>NC_000003.12:15010000-16260000 GCF_000001405.40 Homo sapiens | reverse complement strand
CAGAATGAGAGGAGCAAAGCATACCAGTGTAGTAAGTGGAATGTTTGAATGACTTTGCCAGGTCAGAGCAAGTAATATTTCTGTATCTGAGTTTTTGTTTGTGTTTTGATAAGGCTAATGAAATTGCATTCCAGGTAGGGGTTAACGTCAAATTTCCATGGCTGGTAGCTGTGCTTTTGGCATATCACAGTGTTGTGTCACTACTACAAGGTAAAGCATCTACAGCGGAGAATGAGCTTGAAAATGAGAGACCTATTGTGAATAAATATGCCCATGAGAGCATATTTAATAAGCCTCTATAACATGCAGCCAAACCAGACATTCACTCCTGCAGAGAAATGTTGCCCTGGAGAAAAAGAAATATATAAAGATAGGCTATCACCCTTCTTTTGCTGCAGTACTAAGCATAGCAAGAAATTAGAATCATTTACATTGGAAATTTGAAAATTCCCTTTATATACACAACTTTACTGTGTATAAATAAAAAATATTTATTAATGCAGTGATGTCCGTCAGGTTGTTTTAGGAATGGCTTCTGCAATTAGAAAAATAGCTTGCTAGAATGTAAATGTTCTGTTACTGGTAAATGTACTGCACACATTCATTGGACGTTAAAACAAGTGAGTAGCCTTTTTTACCTGCCAGCAGCATGGCTGTGTGCAGCCACTAGGCTGAGACAATAAATTACCAAAAATTATAATGTACCGAGCTGAAAATGCTCAGTACATTATGTGGCATATTCTGGATGTGATGAGAAATCTCATTGCCATTTGGGACACTGACATCCCAGAAGTAATCCACAACTGCTTTGCAAAAGCAAAGTGACTGCTCAGATGAACAGAGCAGAGTACTCACTCACTATGGTGGCATCAGCTGCAAAGCAAAATGAACTGTCCCATGATCATGTTGATGGTTTTCTAGATACTGCCAACATGTTAGCTCTTTCTGATGCTGATGAGTTTCAAACACGAACAGACACCCTTGATGTGGGTTTGCTAAGAACATAGAAGAACAGGAAGAAAAGTTGCCAGGTTCACACATCCCAGGAAAAAAGAAGCATAAAAAGCATTAGCAGTCAGTGACTGATGATAATGCTGCAATAATGGGAATGGTTTTGTTTCTAAACCAAATTATTTCTAAATCAAATCATTTATTGCTTTGTTTCTAAAGCAATTGAGTCACTAAGTTTGTGAACTGTAGGAGAACACATCAAGATTGAATCCTGTGTTAAGCAGAAGGTAAAACCAGAGCCAGGCGCAGTGGCTCGTGCCTGTAATCCCAGCTACTCAGGAAGCTAAGGCAGGAGGATCATGTGAGGCCAGGAGTTCAAGACTAGCCTGGGCAACATAGAAAGACCCTGTCTCTAAAAAATCTTCTTTTAATTAGCAAGGTGTGGGGCCTTGAGCAAATTGCTTGGGCCCAGGAGTTTGAGGCTGTGGTGAGCTGTGATCACACCACTGCGTTCCAGCCTGTGTGACAGGGCAAGACCTCATGCCTAAAAAATAAAGAGAAAGCAGAGTAAAACTGGACTCTGAGATACGACTAAAGTTCTGTGTGATACGTGTGCCTTATTTAGCTCAAGACATTCCTGGAGCACCTATAAAAACTGACTTGTAATCCAGGCTATGTCTCTTTTTAGCTTCGTAATCTTTGGCAAGGCCATTGGATTCTTCAGCTGTACAATTAGGAGACTCGATCAGGTGATTGCCTTTCTCAGCTGTCAGTTCTCTAATTTCAGGCTTGGTAGCTTGTAGGAACTGAAATTGCAATTAAAACCTTTATAAACTCAAACTAAATCATGAATTACAGAAAAAGTCCATTCTTCCAAAACTTGATGTTACCACACTTACAAGTTTAAAATATGAAGTCGACTGTTTAAAGGATTCTGCATATATTCTAGTGTGCACATTCAGAAACATTTTTCTTGGAAAAAGTACCCAACATTTTTTATAACTGCACATATTAATTTATTGCCAGAATAAATTGCATTGCATGCTAAATAAAGTCAGATAATTCAAATCCATTTGCTTTTATGTAGTTTTTCTTCTAAATGTCAACATTTTGAATTAAAATGTTTATGATTTTATATGAGGTAGAAATCTTAACTGCTTTGGGGTATTGTTAATAGACTTTTTGTTATGGACAGTAGTTTTTAAATAAGGAAATTGCCAATTTCTACAGTTTGGGCTCTGGATTTCTATTGTTTGGGAAAAAAATAACTGAGTCAAGTGGTAGTAAGACAAAGTTGACATTCTTAGATGAGTAACTCAGTTTATTACAAGGAAAGAAAACTGATTGTTTAAGGCTGATGATCAATTCTTGGAGTGGTTTCAGAGCCCAGCTCTGGTCAGAAGACAATTTGAATCTTAGTTCCTCCACTGTGATCTCCGAGAAGTTACTTAATAATTATATTCTGGTTTGTGAAATCTGGATCATAGTACCTCTTTGACAGGGTTGCTGTGTGAACCCATTCATTCTGCAATTAGAAAAATAGCTGTCATGTGCTATGCACTAGGCAAAGAAGTACCTGTCACATGCTAGGCACTAGGGGAAGAAGATTCGGTTTCTACATTTGGAAACTTAGTGGAACTAGAAGAGACAGAAGCAAGATTACAGATGAGTTAGAGCCCCCAAGGAAACAAACCAGGTGATGTGGGAGAGAGTAACTGGGTCAGGTGACTTTTTAAGGGAGTCTGAGCTCTGGCACTTTTTCTAAGACCTGAAGGATGAGAAGGAAACAGCCTTGTGAAAATGATTAAATGAGCTAGTATCTATAAAACATGACAGCTAATGCCTGTCATGTGCAAAAAATGGTTAACTATTCTAACTCCGAAAGGAATTAAACATTGTTTTGCGCTTTCTCCTAGTCCATGTTCTGCTGCTGTAACAATACCTGAGACTGGATAATTTATCAAGAATAAAGGTTAATTTGGCTCATGAGTCTGGCGCCTGGGGAGTTCATGTTATGACCATGGTGAGGGTCTCGTGCTGTGTCCTAACATGATGGAGAAGCAGAACGGGAAGCGGGCATGTGCAAAGATACCATACTGGAGAGTCAGCCTTATTTTATAGCAACCGCCTCTCTTGGTAACTAATCCAGTCTTGGGAGAGGGAACACTCACTCCCACCAGATGTCATTAATTTCTTCAAGGGCAGATCCCTTGTTATCCAAATACCTCTTAAAAGTCTCACCATCTTTCAACACCATTACGTTGGGGACCAAGCCTCAATATGAGTTTGGTGTGGACAAACCATATCCAAGCCACAGCAAACATTGACAGTATTCTTGGCATAAATATGAGAAGTGCAAAGTTTTGGACACCCTTGCCTCCCTCTTATTGAATCTAGGGGTAGGGCCCAGCAACCTGTGTTTTAACAAGCCTGCTTGCTGATTCGCATGCAGTTAAAAGTTTGGGAACCACTGGTTTTCAAACTTGACAGCACATTTGTAATCGCTTCGGGCGCTTTAAAAATTTGATGCCCCAGTGAGTCTGACTTAATTGATTTGGGTGCAACTTGGGCATCAGGATTTTTTAAAAAGTCTCCCTAGCGATTCTAACATGTAGCCAAGGCCTAGAACCACTGGGCTAGAAAAGCAGAAAGTTCATAATCACTAAGTTAAAAGGAACCATTTTTTTTTTTAGACGGAGTCTCGCTGTGTCACCCAGGCTGGTGTGCAGTGGCGCGATCTCCACTGCAAGCTCCGCCTGCCAGGTTCATGCCATTCTCCTGCCTCAGCCTCCTGAGTAGCTGGGACTACAGGCGCCCGCCACCATGCCTGGCTAATTTTTTATATTTTTTAGTAGAGACAGGGTTTCACCGTGTGAGCCAGGATGGTCTCGATCTCCTGACCTCATGATTCGCCAGCTTCGGCCTCCCAAAGTGCTGGGATTACAGGCATGAGCCACAGCACCCAGCCAAAAGGAGCCAATTTTTTAAAATGATCACACCTGCTTTGCACATGGACCAAGGAAAGGGGGCTCAATTGGCCACACACTGCATTTAGGCATGCAGTCAGCCTTAACAAGTGCCAGGAGAGCCCAGGCTGGGCTAATGTACACAGCGGGAGAGCTCTAAACTGGGCGGCCTCCGGGCTGCATCCCGTATTTAAACAGACAATCACATTTTCCAGCACACGCTGGCTGCTAATTACATACCTTACAAAAGCAACAGCTTCTGCAGGTGTAAGTAATTAGGATTTCTTTAACTCCATTTGAGGATGCCTGCCATTCCCTGCTTTTTACCTAGCAAATTGCCATGATTACATATTTGACTGGGAAACCAGTTTACAAATTATTCCTTGCTAAGAGTTTAAAACAAAGGACACACAAAAGAGAAATCACAATTCCACAAAAGGCTTAAAATACAGTGGAAGTAGAGTGGGGGGAATCTCCACCTTTCTCTACATACTTGCAGAGATGCACTTACAGAAGAGCCCTAGAACTCAGAACGAAACACAATTCTTTGTAATGTATGAATGAATATTGTTCAAATTCTAGGAAAACAAGTTAGCATTTTAAAAAGGAAAGTTGTTTTTCAGTCTTCAGACTTTACCACTCAAATTAGGGGGAAAAAAGGCACGTCCTCTTCAAGCCCTGGCACAGGTGGACAAGTTCGAACTTTGGGGAAATTTGGAAGTTAGGAATGTCCAGCTGCAGGAGTGGAAACCCTGGAAGGGGCTAGTGAAGAAGTCTGGAAGGGTCTTTGCTTCCCTGGTGAGATTACCTCTGAGCTTGCAGCCGAGCATCGGTAATGGGGTTGGAGTTGCTGTTGGTCAGTAAAGCTGGCAGGAAGAAGCACCAGGCATGCAGCAGGAAAGACGGAAGATGAAAGCCAACCCACCAGCGCCTCTGCAGCTGTCTCTCACCACCTTACACTGTAGCGCTCTCCAGTCACAGCTGCTGCCTCCTTTCTGCCTTTCAAACCTTGCACCAATTTCTTGTTTTTACTCATCTGTAACCCAGAACCATATTGGGAAGAGAATACTGGGAAATAGTCCCAGCTTGGCCAAGTTAATATAGTACAAAACTACCACAGTTACTGATACTGAAAAGCCACTCAAATCCACTTGAATATCTTAATTAGAAACCCTACTAATTTTCATCTTTGTACAACCTGGAAAACTTTGCCACAGCACCTGCTGAGACAGGACAAATGCCGGGAAACTAACCTAGCTACCAATGTAGATTGCAGAGGCACAGGTAGGCCCAGCAGTCTGTTTCCAAGGAAGATAGCCATCTCAGTCCCAGTTGTGGCAAGTGAGAGGTACTTGATTTGGTATATGAAGTAGCTCCCAAATGGGGGTACATGCCCAGTAAGGAGTAGGAGATCCCAATAAGTGCACAGGGCCACCAGCATTGCTTCAGTCCAGGAGGATCGACACTTGGGGCAATTTCCATGTGAGATCTGACCTTGGTATCAGGACCCAGTCACTAGGCAAATATTTGGGGCCAGACTTCATACTTAGAGGGGAACTGAATGTTTGATAGGGTCAAAGATTGTATCTTTGGACAAAAATTAATGCCAAAGTTGAGAATGAGGAACAGGGGAAAGCAAACCCTTAATGGGCACTACCTGTGTGTACTTTAGGACAGCACAGGCCACCGGGTCCACCCCAGAGGATGTTGGGTCCCAGTGTACAATTCCTAATGGCAGTGAGGACTTAGAGCATTACTGTAGCTAGCAGGTATCTCCGAACCACCAACTGATGATGGTGATGAGAGTAAAGCATACTGGATAGGGGATTGGGGACCATTTTATGAGATTAAATGAGATAACGCATGTAAAGCACTTAGCACAGATTTTGCACCTAGTAAGGGCTCAATAAATAATAGTTTAATCTTACGTGTTTCTTGCTCCATAATAAATTACTTAAGACTATGTTGTGAGGTACTTGCCTGAATTTACAGGTTTAGACAACAATGGACTCAGCCACAATGTATCAGGGTTCAATCCCAAGAAGCTGAAGAACCATGAGTGAGAGAGAATGGAGATGTGTTATAAGGATTAGACTTTACACGGCGTGGGAGCTAGTGGAGGCATCAAGGGAAGGCGGTTATTTCTGCATCTGATGTTGATCCTAAAGTAGTAATTGGTCGGCCAAACTGGTAGTCGTAAAAGGAAGCTTGGTGTGAACAAGAGAAAATACAAACCGGAACCTACATCTGTCTCACTACCTCCAACCTTAATGCTGTGGGTGACTTCTAGGGGAAGCTGGCACCCGTCTCCACAGAGTTGCATAACCACTTGGCCCAGAACAAGGCAAGCTAGCAGATTGCAACATGCATAAGCACCCACTGTTCCTGGGATCCTGCTCCAGCCTTCAGAGCCTAAAAAAACATGTCTGCTGCTTTACTTCTGGCTTCCATATCTTGCAGAAAAATTCTCTTGTGGTCAGTGCTAACCCAGGACCACCAGAGAAGGGAATACTGGGAAATGTAGGCCCAGTTTAGCTAAATTGTAACATACATCACTGGGGAAGTCAAGGCAGGAGTGGGACATTATTGGTCTTCAATGAGTAAAGGGATCATAGCATCGCATTGTTTAGATCACACTATGAAGTTGGTATCATAATCCTCATAGTAACTGAAACTAAGTCTTTGCCAATGTATCAATCAGGAGTTGTTACACTACAAGCCACCCCAAAACTTAAAACAAAAGTCATTTATTCTTGTTTAAGTGTCTGTTGGTCAGCTGGGGGTTGGCTGATCTTGGTTGGGTTTGGCTGAGTGGCTCTAAACTGCAGATTAAGTCTGGGTCCAGTCTTACGTTTCTCTTCCTTCTTGGGCCAGTGAACCAGCTGGAACAGGTGCAGGTGCCAAGTCCCACTGCACATGCACATTTGAAGTCATGGCTTGCATCCGATCTGCCAGTGTTTCATTGGCCAGAATGATCACATGGCTGAGCTAAAGTCAAGGGCAGGGAAATACAATTCTTCCATGGAGGTGGTGGAGGGAAGGAGTGAAGAATTTTGAAAAGTAATTTAATCTATCACAGTCATTAAATGACTGGCTTGGCATTTCAATACAAATACTTTTGACTCCAAATGCCATTGTCTTTCTTTTATGGTAGTGTTTGAATAATTGAAAAACTTTCCAAGGCATAAGATGGAAGCAGTTGAAACTTTCAAACAAATTAGTTATTCTCATCTTTCTGGCCAGACATGAGACAACAGTCCCATGGGATTAATTTTTGCTACATTTGCATTTTGAGGTGAGTGAGGCATTGGCTGTGGTTTCTGTATTCAAAACCAGGCTTCACCTTCAGCAACATAACTCTGATAATAACGAGTTAATATTCCAAAGTCTGCCATAAACATCCTCTTGAAGGTATTTATTAACTCTAATTATGGAGAGAAATGGAGCCATATACTCATAAGATGTCATTAAAAATGAGCTAGAATGCCCACGGGAACGTAGACTACTCACCTTACTGTGTCTGTTTCCTGGTTGCTAGAACTTTGGGATGATTCATTTTGAGTGTTTTTTTTTTTTTGCAGCGAGTTCCCTGATACATTTCAGTGGTGCCCAACAGTTTGTTATGCAGACTGTTTCAAATCAGGACAGCAGCTCTCACTTCAAGTCTGATATGATCCGCGTGACCATAGCTGAAACCTTGAACTTTGGACCTTAAACAAAGTCTGCCATATATAGCTTACATATTCCTAGCAGAATGTGGCCTATCAGTGACTTGTCCATCTGGCTTGGCTAAGCTCTCTCCATACCACGCTGAGTTAGAGGGGGAAAAAGTCAGTGAAGTTAGCCATGAAGGAGAACTTTCTGCTTGGAAAAGTGTTAAGATGGTTAGTACTACTCACTTCAAAATGGATAAACGGTGTCGTGCAATCAATAAATATGCTCCAAGCATTTTTTATTTATGAGAACTGGGGCCTAATCTCTGTGCAAGGGAGGGTTTAAAAACTAGAATTATGTTACAGAGAATCTGTAAGGACAGGACAGAAATGTTTCTCACCAATAAGTGACCCCAATGTATGTTTTGGCAGTTAAACGATTGGAAGCTTTGTCCTCTTTGCCAAACATGCACCTTCCTCATCATCAATTTAAAAAACTATCCTGTGGACATAAAGAGGCAGAAGGAATGCCTGACCCCAGCCAGATGGTTCCTGTTTTTCCTGCACACACACGTGTTCCTGCCCCATCTGTGGACTCAGTGGGTCACTGCCCTGGGCAAAGAGGCCAAAGATGATACTGATCACCTCTCTAGGTCTTGGCTTCTCAACTGTAAAATGGGGTGGCGGTAGGAGGAATGAAGGAATGACTTCTAAGGTTCCTCTCAGCTCTGTTCTGATGTGACTTTGAGAAAGCAGGTGACTATTTCTATACTTGGATGAAGCTGTCCTGGTTTGTCTGAAGGGGCAAACTCGAGAGGACTGCTGCCCTTCTGGGCTGGGGGATGGGGAGGAGGAAGAGGAGGAGCAGAGCGAGCAGCAGCAGTCCTAGGATGGTGGTGAATAGACAGCGCCAGGGCCTCTGGGGGAGCTAGAGTCATGGGACTCTGGTGCTGGCAGGCCCAAGCCCACGCCAGCTTGCAGGAGGGCAGTGCAGCCAGAAACCCTCTGCGATCATGTGTTCCCCTTCCCAAGGGGCAGCCTACTTCATGTGAGTGCCGGGCAGCTGACATTTGCAGGATCTTCACCCCAAGGTCTGAAGCAAACAGCCAGTCAGTTACTGGCCTCAGTGACATCTCAAGATGTGCCTAGCAGGGCTTTTGTGCTGTTCAGCATGGTAGCCACTAGCTATGTGTGGCTTTCTAAATGTAAATTTATTTATTTATGTATTTATTTATTTACTTATTTTGAGACAAGGTCTTTCTCTGTCACCGAGGCCGGACTGCAGTGGTGCAGTCATAGCTCACTGCAGCCTCCAGCTCCTGCGGTCAGCCTCCCAAGTAGCTGGAACTATAGGCACGTGCTACCATGTCCAGCCAATTTTTTATATTTTATAGAGACAGGGTCTTGCCATGTTGCCCAGGCTGGTCTCAAACCTCTGGCCTCAAGCAATCCTCCTGCCTCAGCCTCCCAAAGTGCTGGGCCTCCGGCACACTTATAGGTGTGAGCCTCCGTGCTCAGCCCTGAATTTAAATTAAAATGTATAAAATTAAATTAAGAAGCCAGTGCCTTAGTAGTCACACTACCACATTTCAGGTACACATGCGCACATGTGCTGTGGCTTGAGGTAACCCTACTGGATGGCTCAAATAACATTTCTATCTTCACAGCAAGTTCTCTTGAACAGTTCTATTCTAGAATGTGGCATGGTGCTCACGCACTGAAGAAATAACGCATCTACTAACTTCATCTTTTTTTCTATTACCTTTCTTTGCTTGCTATAGAATGTCTATATATACATTCTTTGAGAGTAGAGAAGAGACAGTGGATGTCAAATATCTGGGTTCAAGCCTCAGCTCTCCCACATCAATTTTAGGAGAACTATTTAGCACCTGTTTCTGCATCAATAAAAGGAGGTTCCCAGGGTAGTGGAAAAATATAGGTAATAAACATGAAGTTTTTGGTAAACTCTACTCACTGTAGATTTCCACCAAGTGATGCACAGAGAAATGGGAAGGGTCATGTCATTAAATTTTTGTTAAAAAGAGGTGTTTTTGGGGAATAATATTGGTGGTTTTTCAGAAGACACAGTAAGGATAAAATGATGCTACTTCCTTTAAGGTGGGAGGCACCCTTTAGGGAGCCTTCTTGACTTTTAGATTTTATAATGCAAAGTCTAGGACGTTCTAATCCTTAGAATACTAACACACACCTTGGAAATTAAATCAGGAGTCTCTGGAGGTGCACAGGAAACAATCACAAGACCCATCCATTTGTCACTCAAGGAGATAAAAAGAGAAGTTTTTATTGCTCTTTCTTCTACTTTATAAATTTGTGTGAAATTCTGTCCAGACTTTGGCATCACTTTCACGCAAGTCTGTTAATGCTTACCCAGTGACAAATTGGGCCCTCTCTCTCCTGTGTTGGTACGAAGGGGTCTTTTTGTTGGCAGGATTATTTCTCCAGCAGGACCAAAGGACACTTGAATTTCCCATGTGGCACAAAGGTGCCAAGAGGAAAGCACCCCTCCAGAGGAGATGGGCTCAGAGAGGAGGAAAGGGCTGGATTTCCAACCGACTCTCACTCCCCAGAGGTCAGCATCTGAGACACAGGCCAGAAGAAGCCAGCAGTTCTGGTTTCCAGGGGCCTATCAATGTCATCCCTGATCCACTCAGAGGAAGGGAGCACTCTGCCCTTGCCAATGTGAGAACGCCCCAGACGACTGGAAGGGAGCAGATAGGGCCTTTGCACCCCTCCCCAGCCTGTCCCTGCACCTCTGGCCAGTTCCAGGATGCTGGTTGTCAGGGCCCAGTCAGCCAGGGTCCAGCAGGCATATAGGACAACCCTGGACACTGCCAGGCTGCTCCCCAACAGCCTAAGAACTCACTAGAGTGGGCAATAGGGGGCGCTAATCCCCTATGGCTATGTCTGAAGTCAGATTGTCCTTGGTTCAAATCCTAAGTCTGCCACTTATTAGTGGGAATTGTTTTAACCTCTCTGAGCATCAGTTTCTTCTATAAAATGGGGACAATGATATTCTTTCACAGGGTGCTATGAGGGTCAAATGAAATAACAATTGTAAGCAGTTAGCACAGCACCTGCTTCATACTCATGTACATCCTTGCTTTGCCTTTTTCTAGTTTGATTCTGGGCATTTTAGCCTCTCTCTGTCCGGTCTTCCCATCTGTGAAATGGGGAGAGTAACAGCACCGGCCTCACTGGAGTGTTGAAAGGACAAAATGAGTTAGCATAAGAAAAGCACTTAGAACAAGGCCTGGCATGTGGAAAAATGTGAAGTAAGTGTCTGCTACTCCTCTTCATTTAATCAATATTTGTTAAGTTCTTGCTATGTGCCATGCATAATGATAGGAGCTGGAATGGTCCATGTTATTAACCAGTCTGCTTTCCACAGACTCCTAGCTGGTCAGGAAGTTCTGCCCTGCCTGGCCATGCCCCATCCACACACACATTGACGAGGAGCCCACCCCAGCCAAGGTTCTGTTTGGCTCCCGTCTGGGGCTCCTCAGTCTCCATCGCCTCATTCCCAAGTGCAGGAAACTGATTCCAAGGATAGTGCTTTCTATACATTGCAGAAATAGTGCTGGAATAAGGGCATCTCTGAGAAGATCCGTTCAGCTGTCAGAGAGCACTCAGGGATGCCTCCCACTGGTGTGCAGAAGTAACTGGCATGAAAGTACGTTAGAATTCACCACCCACCTGAGGTAAGCGAGGCATTTAAAAATGCATACCTATTTCAAGTAAAAACAGATGCCTCATTGTCATTTCTGTGACTCTCACAGTGATTTTGTCTTCAAGCTGTCTTTTTTTCCTCTAAGGAACTGAAGGCACAATGACCTGGGATTGTCAGTGTTCTCTACTGTGTCCAAACTGGATGCTGTTCAGAGAAGGGCTCATCATCCGGGGCCCAGCAGTCTTCTCCCCCGACAACTCCAGCTTTTCTGCACTGCCCATTCTCTGCCCTTTTTTGCACTCACCTTAAATTGTATTCCAATATCCTTACACGTGATTTTATATGTTCTTATATCACGGTGTGTATGTGTGTTTCGGCTTATGAAAGACAGAGATACAGATACAGAGAACGAGGAAGGGAGAGAAGGAATGAGAGAGAAAGAGCATGAGAGAGAGAATAAGAGAGAGAATGAGAGAGAGAATGAGGGAGAAAATGAATTAGACCACAAAAGCAGGGCATAGACCACGAGGATGTTTATTTGCCTGCTGGCTAAGGCACCTATATTTTCTAGGGCAGAATAACTTTTCATGTGTTTTGAGCGGGGGAGGGAGGCAGTGAACAGTAGCTTGAACGATAGCTTCTCTGTAAACATTGTCAGTAAACTGCAGGAGAAACACCGCCCCTCTTCAAAAACGACTGTAGTGAAAATGGAGCAGGTGGGACTGCGGCTAGGAGGCTGGTAGGTGGGCTGTAGAGTTTTCGCCACCAAATGACCGCAGCTGTTCACAGATGAGCTGGAAGCCTGGAGTGCCACATGTGCATGCCACTTCGTTCCTGGGACAGCCCCTGTGTGTGCTGGGTGACGTGTCGCCACCAAGCCAGGCCTCATGAGCACAAGGTTAGATCCTCAGTGCTAAAAAGGTGCTGGGTCCGGGAGGGGGACAGCAGACTGAGGTCGAGGGAAGCCCTGGAAATGCTGAGAGGTCAAGGGGATGGTGAGGGACTTTTATGTTCCCAGTACAGGAAGACAAAAAATGTATTTCAAGAGGAAATGATGCTTCATTTACAACACACTTTCCCAGGTTATCTGATTCTGGGCCTTGCGTTGTCTTTTATCAGTTGTGGGGTTGGAGTGAGTGTGGGTCACAGGCGTGCCTGTGCTTCTCCAGGTTTCACAAGCCCCGTTGAAGGGTGCAGCCTGCTGCTTTAATATTTGTTGCAGGCTGACCTGGTTCCTGTTTTAGTTCTGCCACTAGGTGGCGCAAGCTAACCAATTAGGGCTGCGGCGCTCAATGCAGACGGCAAAGGCATCATGATCTGACGTTCCTGGATTTGAATCCTTTGTTAGTTTTGTGACCTTGGGCAAGCCACAGTTTCTCCTTCTGTAAATTAGACATGATGAAAATCACCTTGCAGGGTGGTTGTGAGGATTAAATGAAAAGACATGTGCTAAGCACCTTGCACAGTGTTAGGCACACAGTCTAAATTGCTGCTTTTCTCTTTTCTTGTTCATCCATTCAATACACACTTATTGATCCATATTTCTGTGTCATGGCTGATAAGGACTTTGTCTGCAAGCATCCTTTAGCAGAAGGTCTTACAAACAGACACACACACACACACACACACACACACACACACACACTACAGTCTTTGCTGGAATATAAGATATATCTTCTACCCCCTGGTTCAAATTCATCCAAAATTTACTCTGTGCAAATGTATTTATGTATGAAAAGCCACATTCTGAAGAGGAAACACAATGGTAAATATATAGCAACAACAACAACAGCAAACACTGTGAATATACTCATTTCATGCTTCTCTAACTTTCTCAGAAAAATTACAAGCCATAGGCCTCACAACTCATCAAGTACAATGTCAATTTTCCCACCTAATTTTTATTTAAAATATTTTATTCCTGTAATACTTTCATTTCAATTATTTATTGCTATAAATACTTTTCTTTTTAATCTATATAATATTATGCTTTTCTTTCCAGAGTTAGAAGAGTATTCCTATATATGCAGAATCTATTATTCCCTACTGGGTTCTGCTATAGAGTATTACATGAACAAGATAACATGTTTCCCTCATAAAAACAATTTAAAATCCTTTTCAGGCTGGGCGCGGTGGCTCACGCCTGTAATCCCAGCACTTTGGGAGGTCGAGGAGGGCAGATCACGAGGTCAAGAGATCGAGACCATCCTGGCCAACATGGTGAAACCGTCTCTACTAAAAATACAAAAATTAGCTGGGTGTGGTGGCATGCACCTGTAGTCCCAGCTACTCAGGAGGCTGAGGCAGGAGAATCACTTGAACCCGGGAGGCGGATGTTGCAGTGGGCCGAGATTGCACCACTGCACTCCAGCCTGGCAACAGAGCGAGACTCCATCTCAAAAAAAAAAAAAAAAAAAAAAACCACTTTCAAAACATGTATGTTTGTCCCAGAGGAGGGCACAGTGACCCTTAGGACAGTTCCCTCAGGATGGCCCTGGGCTGTGGGCCAGTGTGCTCTGAGTGGAGGGTGTGTGAAGAGGAGGTTGTAGGGGCCAACTTGCGAGGGATTTGCATGTAACACTAAGGAGGTCAGGTTGTTTCCACAGGAAACTGTGAGCCACAGCAAGCTTCTGAGCTGAGGAAGATGGGATAATGCCCCCAGCCATAATCTCTTGAAAAAGCAAGGTCCATCCAAAGCTGAAGGCCAGATAGCTTCATTCACAGTCATACCCCAAACCTTCTTCCCATCCCACCTCCTCTTTTTCCCTCTTCCTCCTTCTACTGTTCATTCATTCAACAAATGTCTATTACCCATATACCATATTGCAGATACTGTTTTAGACACTCCAGTTAATCACTGAAAAAATAGTGACAAAGCTTCTTCCTCCCTGGAGCTTGCAGAAACACTTTCTCATTATGATATTTGCATATGCATGTGTCTTCTTTCATATGGGCCTCCTGAGCTGTTTGCGGCTACAGTCCTCCATGTGGAAGAAGCCGGGAATATGGCTTTTCCCCTGAGGCCCAGCTGCACCCCTGCCCTTCCCATGGATTGGGGAACCCTTCCTTCAATTTCATGTGATGCTTCAGTATTTTTCCAGTAATCTCCCCTGCTTCTACAGGACCAAACCGGTTCAATTTCAGTTTCTGTCACATGCCATCAAAATGTTCCTGCTAGAAAGGACCCAGCCAAGAAAACTGGAAAGAATTTCTTGATTATGTTTAGGATGTAGGACCAGCCCTAGAGTGGGGCCAAGGGCCCTGTGGCAGGATTCCCACAGGTGTCTGGATGGCTGGGCCCTGTTTCCGTTCTAGGGCCTAAGTTGGAGACTGAATGTGCATCAGCCATGTTAGTCTAGAAAGCCTGTGTTATAAAGGAAGACTGTGCTCATGTGTGGTTTAGTTTGGGTTTCCCTGAAAGCAGAGCATGAGACAAGGACTGGATGCAGGTGGTTCATGAGGGGTGTGAACCTGGGAAGCAGGAGTGTGGGAGTGAGGATGTGAGATGGGGCAGAAGGAGGCGCCAATATAAGGACACGTTAAAGTTGCCACTTGATTCTGTTGACCCTCTTAAAAAATATACAGGATGCGTTGTATAATTATCCACCTGAAAGACAGAGGCCAGACATCCATCCACTGGTTCCCATCCCCTCAGTGACTGAGAGTTGTCCTGGGAGTGTTAACTGTCCTAGCAAGCCAGGGTGCTTGCTCCCTGGATGTTTGAGTAACTCTGCCTTCAGAGAAAACCCTGGTGCATAATGCAGAAGACACTTAGCACAGGGCTCAGGGGATCTGAGGCTGCACAGAACTGTTCAGCAGCAGTGGCGGAAAGCAGAGAAGGCCTGAGGACATGTGATACAGGCACCAGAGGTTTCTCCGCCATACCTTACTGAACTTTGGAGTTATATTTTAAATTATATGACCTCAGTTTGGGTGACATGCCCCTGGCACAGACGAGGTTGTCTCTGGCTCATATCTGGAATATTAGCCTCTGCCAGGACTCCAGTCTTAAGCATGGGTCTGGTAAGAAAGAGATGAGCTTCCAGAAGTTCTAATGAGATTCTCATTCAACTTTGCACTGTCTACATGCCGATGGTGAGGCTGCTTTGTGGGGGCTCAAGGAGTCTGCACATTCTTCAAAACATGTAGCTTTCTCTAGTGTGTACCCCAACTGTGCTGACTTCCTTAAACCTTGGATTTGCCCAATGGCGTTAGGATGCCTGGCCCATCCTCCAGCCTGGGCCAACTATTGGCATTGATCAGTGTAGCAGTGGTGCACAAATCCTGTTGCTCTCTAAGTTCAGAATCCTGTTTAAAGCTCTCCTGTGTGGCTGCAGCCAGCAGCAGAGTCTGCCCCTGGAATGCCTGTTCCTCTCCTTCCTGGCAGCCAGGCTCCATTTAGTTTAAGGATTTTGTGCCAGGAATGTTATCTGAGCTGTCACCATCATGCTTTGTCACCCTCAAGTGAATGACAGGAAATGGATCGGCGAGCTCTGTCAGTTTCCTTGCTGCTGGCATCACTCAGGTTCAACCATGAGCATCGCACTGTGAGTCACTGAGGAGGTGGACAGAAGCCACTCAAACGTCTCTGCCAGACTTCAAAAGAGCTTTAGGAGATAGAAGAGTCCTATCGATCGGTGCCTGTTCTTCTGTCTTGATTGTTACTTTGAGCCATGCAGCTGTGTTACCATGGGTGCCTGCCACTCTTCTGAGTGTGCAGAGCCTGTGTCTTATGAGACCTGAGAAAGAAAAAGTCATCAACCCCCAGGTCTGACTGGAGCCCGCTCCTTACTTAACATACACAACTTCACAGAACACGACATCAGACAAGGTCAATCTGTGGCTGTGGTGGAGTGAGACAACAAGACCACACTGAAATAAGAACACCCAGCACACTGTGAAAATGACCAAATAGCTCCTTCTCCTGGCAAATATGAGGGGTGTTTATCAAGTACAGCTCCAGCCCTGCTCTGTTCTTCCCACAATCACCTAGATACAAATTATTAGGATGCCCGTTTATAAAATTGTCCCAGTTTCTGACAGCTCCCTAGCAAGACCATGCTTCCCAATCTTTTCCCAAATCACCTAACCCAAGCCCTGACCTCCTGAGAAGCTCCTTTGGACACTGTCCTACTGAGACACCCATGGTTCCTCATGTGGGTGGTCTTCCTTGCTACACCTGCCAATAAACCTAACTTTGATCACCCAGAGGTATGTTCCTGGTGGTGCTGGCGGGTGGGCATAGCCCCAAGGGAAGCTGGCCAGTGCCAACCTCTGCACAGGAAGGAGGTGCTCCCTGGGCGCCCACTGCATCAGCTGCAGAAGTGATCTCTGGGAGCCATTTGGCAAGGCGAGCTGGGCTCTGACCTGAGGGAACCTTTGTTGGTTGGCTCTTATTGCAGATGTTTCGGTGTCCAGTGTCGCATCCTTGGGCCTCCTTGGATATCAGCCCCAGCTCTGGCCGAACTTCCATGGGGGCTTAGATTCATCTTGCACGACATCCAGGTCAAGCCCCACCCTCTCCACATTTCTGCCTTGGGGTCTTCTCTAAAGCCTTGGGAGCCTGGTCTGCTCTTGCAAGTGCAGCCTGCAAAGTGTATCCCAGGGAGTGAATGGCCCCGGGTGTAACCCTCAACCAATAAGAGAGGAGAGCTGGTGGGAAAATGTCTCAGTCTGGTGTTCTTTAGGTAGATAGTTCTGGAACATGTTCTGTGGGCATCTCAGAGTAGAAAGAATCGAACCCCATTGCTCAAAGCACCCTTACATTGACTTTTCTTCCCTGCCTATCTTACTCTTCCCTCTCTCTCACTCCTGCTTCCTGGGATCACCTCCCAAATAAATCACCTGCATCCAAGGCCTTGCTCAGGTTCTGCACTTACATTACCCTAAACTAAGACACCTACCCAGCAATCCCTACCACCACCTCCTTCTTACAGAATTTTCTTTTCTTTTCTTTTCTTTTTTGAGACAGGGTCTCTCTTTGTCACCCAAGCTGGAGGGCAGTGGCACAATCACGGCTCACGGCAGCCTTGACCTCCCAGCCTCAAGTGATCTTCTTGCCTCGGCCTCCTGAGTAGCTGGGACTACAGGCATGTGCTACAATGCCTAGGTATTTTATTTTACTTTTATTTTATTTTATTTTTTTTTGGTAGAGATTGGTTTTTGCCATGTTGCCCAAGCTGGTCTCGAATTCCTGGGCGCAAGAGATTTGCCTGCCTCGGCCTCCTAAAGTGCTGGGATTATAGGCATGAGCCACCACGCTCAGCCCCTACAGAGTTTCTTAACCATAATATTGGCCAAAATTGTTTCCACCTCCAGCTCTAATCAAGATTTCCCAAGCTCCTGGTCACAGAGATTAGTTCAGGGGCAGACGCATTCTGCAAGTCAGTTCAGTCAGAGTAAACAGTAGAGCTTTGCTGGGGATTCTGGGACATAGACTCAGTCTTAGCCACTGGGCCTGCAGGCATGGTGGCTTAAGGATAGCTGCACACTTTTGCTACTTGTCCCTTTGATAAGTGGGGTCTGCTTCCCCTCCTCCCTGAGCCTGGGCTGGCCTGTGATTGCTTTGAGCAAAGGAGTATGCTGGAGGAGATGTTATGTCAGTCCCAGGTCTGGCCTTTAAGAAGACTGGCAGAAATCCTGTTGGTCTCTGGAGATGTTCAACCACTGTGTAAGATAGCTGCCACAGAGATGACGGAGACAAGTCTTGAGATTATATGGAGAGGGGAGGGCCCAGCTGAGTCCAGCCTGCCAGCCTCCCCTGCCATGTGAGAAGCTCTTTTGTACCCTCCAGAAAAGAACAGCCATGAGCTGACACCACCAAGTGACACCAGTTAGAGCCCCATGAAGCAGAGGACTTGCCTAGTTGATCATGAGCCATAATAGTTGCTGTTTTGGCCGGGTGTGGTGGCTCACGGCTGTAATCCCAGCACTTTGGGAGGCCGAGGTGAGTGGATCACCTGAGGTCAGGAGTTCAAGACCAGCCTAGCCTACAAGGTGAAACCCCATGTCTACAAAAATACAAACATTAGCTAGGCATGATGGCAGGTGCCTGTAATCCTAGCTACTTGGGAGGCTGAGGCGGCAGAATCGCTTGAACCCAGGAGGCAGAGGTTGCAGTGAGCCGAGATCGCGCCATTGCACTCCAGCCTGGGCAACAGAATGAGACTCCATCTCAAAAAGAAAAAAAAGAAAAAAAAGTTGCTGTTTTAAGCCACTAAGTTTTGGGGTAGTTTGTTATGCAGCAAAAGATAACTGGAACAGTGCAGTGGGAGTCTGGAATTGCTACAGCCACATGTGGAGAGTCTAAAGCCATCCAAAAAGTGATCAGGACAAAGTCCTCTTAAATTTGACCTCAAATAAGACCTCTTCAGTGTCTAAATTTTAGCTCTGTAATTTTTCTTTTCCACTTTCATTCTGCTTGTTTCTAGGCACAAAAGAAAGATGCTGTGATCGCTTTAGTTGAAGTTCAACAAGCATGTATTACGTGCCTGTCAAGAGTCAGATACTATGCTAGGGACTCTGGGCAAAAAGCTAAGCAAAATTTGTTTAAAGTCCAGAGGAGGAAACATCTTTTTGATAATTTTAACACAAAGTGGTCCATGTTAAGACAGGGCTACATATGCAGTGCTCCAGAAGAGGGGTAATTAATTCAGCCCGGGGGTTCGAGGAAGACCCTCCAGAGACATGATGTATATGAGTCATGCATGATAGGTAAGAAGAAGCTGGCAAACGGAGGGAAGGGCATTCTGTGCAGAGGGAACAGAGCATGGTTAGAGCAGAGACAAGGAAAAGGGTGTTGTATTGGGAACTACAAAAACTTTGGTGTTCAGAGATGGGGCAAATAGTAGCAGGTGAGTCCAGAGGGTGGAGGCAGGGTCAGGGAGGAACTTGTAGTCAGGCTGTGCTGGGGAGGCGGGTCATTACTCTGAAGGTGATGCGGAGTCATAGAAGAGATTATGGAAGGAGAGTGCTTTAGGTTGATTACTCGGGCTCTAGTGTAGATTGAAGGTGCTTGAGTGTGTGAATCTGAGGTTCATGGTTGGAGTCAAGGCTGGAGAAACACTTGGAAATTACTGAAACATAGGTGGATTATTACTTCACAATACATATTTTAAGGATCACTATAAGCTGGGCATATCCCCATGGCAGTGTTTGAAAAAGATTGTTATTTACAAATATAGGTCTATTTTGTGTCCCACTTGGCAAATGCATCAAAAGGAGCACTTGATTGCCTTCCTGGAAATGTTTTTGAAATATCTCTGCCTTCCCAGAAACCAGGGAGTCCATATTCAACTCTGACTGAGTCTGTGCTGACATAAAATTCAGTGAAGATGATATTTTGCAATTTTCTGATTCATGAGTGACTCATCAAGTCATCCACGCCAGTGGTTCAGAAAACACACGGGACAAGGCCCTAGAGGTGTGACCTTGGTAAATAACAGATATTTAATAAATATTTATTGTTTTTAAATCTGCAAAGTAATCCTAAGAACTAGAATTCACTCTGGAAAGGGCATTATAATCTGGTTTGTTAATCATGAACATATCATCCAGAAACTTAACTTTGTGCTTTGCAAACTACCTAAAGCACAGCCAGTGAAATTTGTCACAGCACAGAAAGGTTTTCACTTTACCAACCCAGCCCTCATGAGTATCGGCCAGATGCCATTACCTTCTGTGCTTTCTGAATGGACTAAGAAGGGGAGGATTAGAACCAAAGGGTTGGAGGATTTTGTCTTAAGCATCTGTCTTATGGTAAAGCCTTGAGAAAATCCAGAGGCCCCTTGACACTACCATGTAACGGCTTTTCCCATTAATGGGAAGCAGATGGGGTTAAAAGGTTGTCACTATTGTTTTAAGCAAGATTCTCACGCAACTTCCTATATCATATGTTTACAACAAAGGAAGAAAATCATCATATATCCCATGGGAAGCCCACCCCCTTCACTTTTACACGCCATGCTTACTTGCCTTTTATGTTTCTTTTAGAAAGCAAGTAGAAACCAGAATCTCAGAGACAAGAATAAAGTGAAAGAGTTCTATTGGTTGTCACACCTGGGCCACAAATTTTATTGGAAGCTGTGCAGTAAAAGAAATCAGAACACCATTGCTTCCCAGAGTGTTTGACCGATTATGATAGCAGTGGCTGAGTTCCAGATGGCAGGCACTTTCCTCATATCCCAAACTGAGTACACGGAGCTGCTTCTGGGGCATTGAAGGTTCCTACTTGGGCAGAGGGCAGGAGCTGAATGGATAATACCCAGGAATTGTGAGCACAGGATTTTATAGGTCTCTGTCTCAGTGTCCTGCAGTTTTCATCCCATGACATTAAAAAAAGAAGCTGAGCCCAATCTTGCCTGAGAGAGGAGGCATCTCAAAATGCATGTACTGTCACTGGCCATCCATCTGCCAACTTCCCACTTCCTGGTTTGCAGAACCTTTGTGAGGTTCTGGGTGGCAATGTGCCCAGCCTTTGCTGAGGTACTTTCCTTGCCACTGTCCCAGCCACCCTTGCTGCTAGGACTCTGGCCAATGAGACAGATGGGAAGGTCTGCTGGGGGGCTTCTGGGAAAGATCTTGCTTTCTCAGTGAAGAGAAAGACATTATTAATGAGGAGAACTTGCTTCTGCCGCCCTCTCCATCCTGTTTGGGATTCTGGGGCCAGGATGTCATGTTTGGTGTTGTGGTGACCATCTTGTGCTGGTAAAGAGACAGAAACCAGGATCAAAAGCCAACAGGAATGGTGAGTGGAAGTTTAAAAAGAGCCTGGATCATAGGTGTCTGTAAGCCATTGTACCAGGCACAGAACTGCCTGTCCTCAACTAGGCATGTGAGATGACTAAAGTTCTTTATTTCTTAAGCCCCTGGGAGTTGGTTATTCTGCTCCTTGTACCTGAATGCATCCAAACCAATGCACCTAATTTTGGCAGGTCCTAAAACAACCTGGCCCTTATTTTTACCCATTCCCATTTGGACAGTCCCTGTTTTATTTTCTTTACTCACAAATACTGGGAGGCAATCAAATGTGGAAGTTAAATGTGAAGGCCTTGGAACCAAATGAAACTGGGTTTGTGATCTAGGTCCATCACTTTGGAAGTTGCATAGCCTTAGGAAAATTACTCTGCCTGTGGAAACCTCACCCTTCAACTATAAAATGAGATAATATAAAACGGAGATAATAGTAGTCCTTACATCATTGGCCTATTGTGATTATAAGAAAAAATAACTTGAGTACAACAACTATTGCAATGTTGTTACAATATTAACAACAATATTAATATTAATGTTGTTAATATTGTAACAACATTACAATAGTAATAGTACATAGTACTAACAATGGTAATGTTATTACTATTATCATAGTAATAGTATGTGCTAGTAAGTTAGTACAGCCTTAGCACTATGGTTGTTGTTATTACTATGATTTCTGGCAGTGAATACATATGTTTGGTCACAGAGATATTACTGTCTAATGATGTCCACATTTTTCTCTAGTTGATTTTTCTCCCAACTCTTGAAATGTCATTTTTCTATATCCTAACTCCTGGTTTTTTCTCCTCCATACTGGAATCCACGAAGTCAAGCAACCAACTCCATGGTAACTGCTAAGAGGAAAATAAGGAAGTGTAGACCATGGCTCTTTGCTAAAAGAAGCCTATAACTTATTCTGGAAGATAATTCTGCAGAGCCGTACTGAATAACAGTGTAGGGAAAAGAGCCACCTTAAAGCAACACATATCACTTGTCCATCTGGATCCCACCTGCAAGGCTAGCGTCATCTGGATAGAGAGATTAGGTGAGGAGGTAGCAGATAGGTAGGTGGGGGATCCTGAATACCTGACAAGCTGAGGGGTGAGGCCATTGCGTAAACCAGTCTGTGAGGGGATATTATAGCCAGGGTCAGGGAGCGGGAACCTCAAGGAGACAGTGGTGGCTCCACCATCAGACAAACCAACCCACTACCTAGACCCAGGTGCCAGGGCCTCCCAAGGAGAGTGGTCAAGGATATGCTCAAAGAGTTGACTGGAGACTCTCAAAGAGTTACATTCCTTTACATATGACCCACACTGGGGAGTGGTGGGGGAACAGGACTTTATCTCTAAGATAAAAGTCAATAGGCCTCAACTGTGGCTTCCACCTGGGTACTCAGATCTGCACAGCTGCCTGTCCCTTGTGCATGGTGAAGGCTCACTAGACGATAATAGCTGGGGTCAGCAGCACGGCCAGTAGAGCAACAGAATGCAAAGTAGATGTAGGGCTGGAGAGCTTGGAACTGTCCATGAGTGTGAGGAGGGTGAGGTGCCTCAGGCCATTTGTTTTATCTGGAACCAGCCTTGGATATGCCAATACTGACATGTGAAGGGGCATGATGGGCTGGACAGCCCTAAGCATGGATCATAACAGGCAGGAGGCACCCTAGGCTTGGCTGTTAAACAGGTTTTATGAGCTTGTATTGGCTTCAGAGCACAAGGAGTAAGGTTTGTTGGCCTGGTATAGCCCTGGCCTCAAGGCTTGCTTTTGGAAGTCCCTTTCCTTGGCTTGACTTCTACCATTTGTGTTTTGAAGTCTGGCTAAATTGAACGCCAGAGATCAGAGTTTATATAAATAACCAGAGGTTATTGCTTTTGTCCTACACCAGAGCTTGTGTCTGATTGTCCTTACATCCCAAACACAAAAGATTTGTGTGTTAGCGGGAGCGTGTGCTTTGCCCTTTGTGAATGTCTTCACCACAGTAAGATAAAAACTAGAGTGTTAAACTGTATCTCTTGGCACAGTTTAATCACTTTGGCTTGGCTAAGATACTGAGAGTTACTCTGTGCTTCTGAGGAGCCCTCCCTTCCATGTTCATGTTCTTATTGCAGCTGTGGTCTCATTAAGAAAGCTCGTTTGCTCAACCTCTGTTAACAGTGAAGGCCCCTGGAATCTTTATGTCCCCCAAAGAAAGAAGACTGTGGACTACAGTGTCAATGTTTTATTATTTGATTTTTAAAAATAATTTGCTTATTCCTACTTTTTTATAAAAAGGACTGGAGTGTGCTCATAATGAGAACATATGCTATACACTGTTTCCCTCTTTTTTTGTTATTTTTTGCTGTTCTGTTATGTATAACAGAGAAACACTTTATTTTTATATTTTTAAAGCTCATTCACTATTTCGCTGGTAATATTTCTCTGTTTATTTTTAAGTAATCTGTAATTTGTCTCCTACAGTTGAGTCAAATACTGTAGTCCAGGGGGTGGCAAACTATGGCTGTTGGCCAAATCTGGCCAACCACCTGTGTTTGTAAATAAAGTTTTATTGGAATACAGCCATGGTCATTTGTTGATTATTGTCCATGGCTCGGCTCCTTTTGTACCACAATGGCAGAGTCAAGTAGTTAACAGAGTTAACAGAGTCTGCAAAAAAAGAGGGAAACAGTGTATAGCACTTTCCTATCTAGCCCTTTACAGAAAAGGTTTGCTAACCCCACTCTAGTTCATAGTCTAACATAATTTTGAAATATCCTGATTGGCACTCTTTGGTGGTATGTGGCAACAATCTGTATTAATTCTTCTCCATACCACTGTTACTCTGGCCTTTGAGTTCTAATTCCACTGATGCCCAGTCCTTTTTTTTTTTTTTTTTTTTTTTTTTTGAGACATAGTCTTGCTCTGTTGCCCATGCTGGAGTGCAGTGGTGTGATCTCGGCTCACTCCAACCTCCGCCTCCCTGGTTCAAGTGATTCTCCTGCCTCAGCCTCCCGAGTAGATGGGATTACAGGCACCCGCCACCATGCCCAGCTAATTTTTGTATTTTTAGTAGGGGCAGGGTTTCACCATTTTGTCCAGTCTGGTCTCGAACTCCTGACCTCAAGTGATCTGCCTGCCTTGGCCTCCCAAAGTGCTGGGATTACAGGCATGAGCCACCACACCTGACCTGAATGCCTAGTCTTACTGGTATCTATCCTACCCGGCAAGGCTGCTCTTTTCCTCTTTGTCCTGTCCAGGGACTTATCCCTGTTCCTTGATTTCCATCCCCAACATACTACGAAAGTCATTATGGAAGTCTTAACTAAAAGTCTGGGGTGATGGAAATAAGGCAAATAACTTTATATTGAGGACTAGACACCTAATCCTAAAATTTCTCTGGTAAGTCACTCCTGCCCTCACTAGAGATACCTTCTTGATCATCTCACTCTTTATGTCTTTATCAAATTGTTTGAATCCATCGCTTCCTCAATACTCATATCTGAATCTCCCTCGCTTTATCATGGAGAGCAATCATGCACTTCACTCCTAACTTCTATGGTATACTTCTATATCCTCTAACACTGGTATGTATCAGTTATAGGAAAATAACTGAAATATGAGGGGGAACATTTTTTGTGAGGCCGGAGGAACCTTGCTTCATCAGGCTTCAGGTTTCTTCAAGAAGGGGCATCAATTAGTGGAACACTCATGGCCTCTCTCCACTCCATATTCACTTTTCCCCAGGGAGGAAGGATGTCTAATGTTATAATAAGATTGGGGTAAGGACCGGCCAGGCACGGTGGCTCACACCTGTAATCCCAGCACTTTGGGAGGCCAAGGCAGGTGGATCATGAGGTCAGGAGATCGAGACCATCCTGGCTAAAATGTTGAAACCCTGTCTTTACTAAAAATACCAAAAAATTAGCCAGGCATGGTGGCAGGTGCCTGTAGTCCCAACTACTTGGGAGGCTGAGGCAGGATAATGGTGTGAACCCAGGAGGCAGAGCTTGCAGTGAGCTGGGATCGCACCACTGCACTCCAGCCTGGGCAACGGAGTGAGACTCCAACAAAAAAAAAAAAAAAAAAAGATTGGGATAAGGACCAACTATCTTGCCCCTCCCCCAGACTCTTTTCTTTTGGGCACAGCTGCCTAGAAGCCCATACTGTGGCCTTGCAGTTTGTAGGATAAGTTCAACTCAGGGGAATGGGGTTATCTTGTGCATGGGTTGAGACTACTGGTGAAACAAAGCTTAAACTGTGATAAGAAAGATAACTCTTAGAGATGCAAGCTTTTGTTGGGACAAGCCATGTGTGTTTGGGTGGGTTTCCCCATTAGGAGACATAGAGATAAGGATTTGTGTGCAAGTGGTTTACTTGGAAGATGAGCCCAGGAAACACTAGTAAGGAAGTGGAGAAGGGAATGTAGCCAGTTAAAGATGCATTATCAAGCCAGCTACCACTGTGGGTGACTAGAGCTTAATCCCATGGTACACTGTGGGGAATGGTGTAGAACATGCACCTCAGAGCTATCCCATGGGAGAGGTGAGGGAGCTGAGGTATTTATACACCAACTCCTGTCAGTCATCAATTGAGGACTGCTTCTGGGGAATGTGACTTCCAAGGCTTTTCTGGCCTTCCCCACATCATAAAGCAGTCTTCTTTGGCTTTCGCGGAAGAAAAAAAAAAAGAAACCCAGGTGAAGAAATGCAGATAACTGACAGTTGGAACTTTTTTTCAGAGAAAGCTAAAGCTATAAGACCAGAGGGATATGGGTGGGGCCAGAACACTCAGTGTCACTACTATAGCCTCTGGTGTTAGAGGATAAATTTGGTATCTCTTTCTTAGTTATGCATGCTTTAACTTTACTGCAGGACTTAAGGATTAAGACAATCAAATCTTGGGCTTTGGCAGGATTTGTTTTCCAATCACCTAATTTCATGTTTAGCTATTAGATGTGGCTGTTTTCAGAGGCTACAAGTCCTGGCCCATCTCCAGGGAGTCCCCTATACTTGCCTCTATGAAAATCCACTGTATAGGGTAATCTGCCTGCCAGAACCCCAGCTGCCTCCTCAAGATGAGGGCCATATTCCCATCAGTATTGGCAGCACTCTCAGTATCCCTGTTATTCCAAATCCATATTAAATGGCATTTCCTTACCCCCACACTATGGATTCCCTCAGGAGAAGCGCTGCCACTGAGAAGAGCTGAAAATCTGAGCTATTAATTTATTTGCTCAGTGTTCTAAAAATCCTTTGGAGAAATTGATGCTGTTCACTCCATCAAGATTAGTCAGTTGAAACTGGTGGCAGAAGGGCATGGAGGCCCAGATAGAGGAAAAGTAAGAGTGGAATAAAAATTACCACAAAAACCTGGTGCTGGAAAAGCAGGTTTGCTCAAAGATGAGAAGTAGAGGAAAGTTGGGGAAAGATAAAGAAAGTGAGGGAGGGACGACATGACCACAGACAAATAGCAAGAACAACAAAAAAAGGTTAAAAAACTTCCCTGGTCAAAAAAGCAGAACTAGTGGACAGAATGGGAAAGAGGAAGAATGCTGAGGGAAAAGAAGAAAATGAATTAACAACGGTTGTTATTACATTGAACAGGATACATTATCCTGGCTGGGCGTGGTGGCTCACGCCTGTAATCCTAACACTTTGGGAGGCTGAGGTGGGTGGATCACCTGAGGTCAGGAGTTCAAGACCAGACTGGCCAACATGGTGAAACCCCATCGCCACTAAAAATACAAAAATTAGCCAGGCGTGGTGATGCACGCCTGTGATCCCAGCTTCTTGGGAGGCTGAGGCAGAGAATCGCTTGAACCCAGGAGGTGGAGTTTGCAGTGAATCAAGATCGTGCCACTGCACTCCAGCCTGGGTGACACAGCCAGACTCCGTTTCAAAAAAAAAAAAAAAAAAAGATGCATTATCCTGTAAGACATAGGATCAAATCATCTTACCATGTGGCTTCAAAAAGAGATCCGTTAGAAGCAAAAAACAGTCCAAGAACTCATCCAGTGAGGATTTTCTGAGCTCTAAGTAACAATTTGGAAAAACCCAGAAAACTACTGGAATCGTTGCTACTCAGACAGTGGTCTCTGGCCAGCAGCATCAGCATTGCCTAGGAGCTTGCAGGAATGTAGAATCTCACGCCCCACACAGACCTACCAAATCAGAATCTGCACTTTAACATGGTCCCCACGTGATTTGTGAGCACAGGAAAATTTGAGGAGCACTGAATTAAACAAAATCATTTCCGGTTGTCTCACACACTCCAGGGACAGGGATCTATCAAGGCCTGGGGAACAAACTGGAGCCAGCGGATCAAATACTATCAAGGTGCTCTGTCCCACCTTTGCCTCTGCTCTTTTTATATTTGTTTCCACCCCCACAGCTGTCTCTGATTCACTCTCCAGACTGGATTTATCTACCTCATAGGACCATATACAGAAAACAAGGCTGCTGAGAGCTCAACATTCTCACATTATGTCTCTTTTAAATAAATATATATATATATATATATATATATATATATATATATATATTTATTTATTTATTTATTTTGAGGCCAGGCTATGAGACTGGCTAATTTTTGTTTTGGTTTTGTTTTTTGTAGAGATAGGGTCTTACTATGTTGCTCAGCCTGATCTCAAACTCCTGGGCTCAAGCGATCCTCCTGTCTTGGCCTCCCAAAGTGCTGGGATTAAAGGCGTGAGCCAACATGCCCAACCTCACATTATCTCTTAAGTCACTGGTAGAGAGACTGATTTCTTAGTCTCAGTAACAAAATTACTGAGGAATGTGCTGATTGGCCCAACATGGGTCAGATGTTCAGCTGGGAGGAGGGGCCATCTTATGGTGGGAACAAGGCAGCTCCCACTATAGCCATATGGTTTGGGTTGGAGAATTTTGGAGAGTTTTGGAGAATTTTGGATAATCTAATGAGGTGCTCACCTTTCACCCTCTCTGAACAGTTTCTGCATTGGTGCATCTGGGCAAGTTATGACTTTAAAGATAGCAGCTCCAGTTTTTCTGGATTTTATTTAAATAAGACATTAAACAATGCCACCCTTGATCTGTGCCTAGAGGAGAGTGATCGGCAGTGCCTTCTTGAGGATCTCTGAATGAAGCAAATGATGTCCTACCCATTGTTCACAATCTGCTGAAAAGTTAAAGGCCTTTGATAAGCTTCAGCAGCAGCAGAGTTGGCCCTGTTCTCATCCTGAGAGAGAAGGAGAGAGGGAGGGAGAGAGAGAGGAAGGACTGTATCATTTTAGCATTTGTCATAGGTACTGGAATGTCCATTGACTATGAGCTAGCTGAACAGTTTGGGAATTGTTAGGGAACTTTAATTTTCAAACATTAATCTGGTCTCTTTGGACTGAGCTTATAAACTATCACCCTAGGGGTAAAGTCATCATGGTGATTCTGATGATTCTTTTTTTAAGCCAAACCATCAGGCAAGCTGTTTATATGTCGTGATAACTTAGTGTATTGGTATTACGTAGAGCCTTCAGTGATGAAAAAATATAAACATCCCATACCCGTGGAAAGAACTACTACTCCAGCAAAGATCCTCATAATATTAAAACAATGCTTAGGACATATGGCCATGTCCAAAGAGCACATTTCATGTAAGAAGGAGTTGGAACTGGAAAGAAGATTTGAGATTGGAGGGACTATTATTATTTATTTTACTTTAAGTTCTAGAATACATGTGCAGAACGTGCAGGTTTGTTACATAGGAATACATGTGCCATGGTCCTTTGCTGCACCTATCAACCTGTCAACCCATCATCTAGGTTTTAAGCCCTGCATGCATTAGGTATTTGTCCTGATGCTCTCCCTTCCCTTGCCCCCCACCCCCCACCCCTCAACAGGCCCTGGTGTGATGTTCCCCTCCCTATGTCCATGTGTTCTCATTGTCCAATTCCCATGTATGAGTGAGAACATGTGGTGTTTGGTTTTCTGTTCCTGTGTTAGTTTGCTGAGAATGATGGTTTCCAGCTTCATCCATGTCCCTGCAAAGGACATGAACTCATTCTTTTTTATGGCTGCATAGTATTCCATGGTGTATATGTGCCACATTTTCTTTATCCAATGGAGGGACTATTATTAATACAGGAATGGTAGAGGGGTCTAGAATTCTGGAAATAGCACCTCCTTGGTTATTGTGCTTGACATATCATTTGAAATATGCCCAAATCAAGGTATTTGAATAATCGAGGCAGGACTTGTAGGTGCTTTGGGCTTTGCCCAAAAGTGATCACAGACAATTTGCACTTTTAAAAGAACTTCGAAAGAACAACATAAATAGTGTGCATAATAAGTAGAGTTGTGCCCAGCAAGGCAGCCTGTATCAATGTTTTGCACAATGTTTGCACAACTCTACATATTATGTACACTATCCTTGTTTTTTTCTTTTCTTTTTTTTTGAATGCTTTTTAAAAATGCAACTTGTTTGCATTTTGTTTGTCCAAATTTGGTGACTGGTCACAGATCACTTGGTGTCCAACTGGCTTTTTCATAGCCTTTCAGTAGAGAATAGAACCCCCTCACATTAAGCACAATAACATGACCTCTAAAATGTCAAGTTCTGCTGCAGTGGTGCCATCATTATTGTCACTGAGGACTTTTCAACCACCATGTCTTTGTTAGTTGGAATTCTGAATTTTCCAGTGGGATCTATGGCATTAAAACCAAAGAGGAAACAGGTCAGGCACTCTCCAGGAAGGATATCTGCTCTTACTGTTGTAATACAGCATGAAGAGTGTGGGACTCTAGACTGCTGGCCGGACACTTCTCTCTGTTCTCCCCAGTGGTATAGTTAATAATGATGATGAACTTGGTGGGGGTGGTAACAAAATTCAATCTTAAAAAACGAACAACAAAATCCAATCACAAAATTCAGGTAGACAAGTGAAACCAATCTCTTGGGAATCAGATCTCTCAACTGACAAGTTTCTCTACTTTTAAATTGATCATTATGGATAAAATGAATGCTGAGTTCATAGAGAAGAAGGGAATTTGAACACTTGGTTACACTAAAGGAGAAGGTCCTTCTAGAACTAAATGGAGGCATCTGTTTTACTTAAATTAAGGGTCTGTAAATACCAGCCAGGGACTGAGTTGACAGCCACTTCTGCAATAAAGTAATAAATCATGGAGCTGGTTAAGGAAGCAAGAAACACCATATTCTTGCTTTGTTCACCCAATTAGGCAATAAGCCATCTGGGTCCTTTTGTTAATTGCCACCTAATACAATTTATGCAATTAAATTCAGTCTTTTATTTAATTATATTAATTTATCCCAGCAACTTCAAAGACCCACAATGCCAATGATAAAGTTCAGTTAAAAAACAGAGGTCTTGAAAAATTTTTTTTCTTCAGCCGCTAATACCATTTACACGGTCGCCATCTGAGAATTTGTAGCTCCGTCTCAGTCTCAGGATTTAGGGAAATTTGTTTTAAATATAGATGGGTCTGAAGCAAGAAGACAGTGACTAAAGTCTCTTCTCTAGATGGGATAATGAATCTATCTAGATTGGTCCAACAGAACTGTGATGAAATGTTCTATATCCATGCTCGCCAATACAGTAGAAGTAGACCCTAGCCACAGGTGGGTAGTGAGCATTTGAAATGTGGCCAGCCCAATTGAGGAATTGAGTTTTAAATTTTCTTTGATTTTAATGGATTTCCATCAAAATGGCCACATTTTGTTAGTGGCTACCATATTAGACAGCACAGGTCCAGAGTGTATTCTGAGGAAGGAGAAATGCAGTGAACCCTTGACTTAGCAGGTAGACAATGAATACGTAGTTATGATAGGTATTGTTTGGAAACACTGCACTTCCCACTCAGTTTTTCTTATTTGAAGGATACTGTGTTCTGAGACAGCCCAAAGGAGATTAGCATCTTTAGGGGAAGATTTCTAAGCTGACCATGTGGAAAGGTAGGTAACTCCATCTGGGGAAAAATGAATATGAATGCTGTTTATTAAATAGCAGAACCCATCCCATTCGGCAACTCTTACAGCTAATTCAGGTAAGCCAAGTCATAGCAAGGAAAGTCATTTAGCTCTTACTAGCCTCAGCTGTGCTCCAGATGAGCCGTGTTCTTCCCACACTCATGGACATTCAACCTGTGGACACATTTGGGGGTTCCAGACAGTTATATGGGCTCAGAGATGGCCCTGTCAGCTCTCATGGACATTAACACCCAAATGTTACCTGTCATAAGAATTTTGGCTCAGGCTCTGGCATTTTCCTCCCAGGAAAAAGGTTTGCTTTTTTAGAAAGGTTGCTGTTTCTGCTCCAGTCAGTGCAAACCCTGTAACAGGGCATCAGGAGAGTTTCTCTCTTTTTTTTTTTTTTTGAGATGGAGTCTCACTCTGTCACCCAGGTTGGAGTGCAATGGCATGATCTCAGCTCACTGCAACCTCTGCCTCCTGGGTTCAAGCGATTCTCTTGCCTCAGCCTCCCAAGTAGCTGGGATTACAGGTATGCGCCACCATGCCCAGCTAATTTTTGTATTTTTAGTAGAGACAAGGTTTTGCAATGTTGACCAGGCTGGTCTCAAACCCCTGACATCAGGTGATCCTCCCAACTCTGCCTCCCAAAGTGCTGGAATTACAGGCATGAGCCACCGCGCCCGGCAGGAGAGTTTCTCAACTGTGAACACCTTTGTTAATGGGAATGCTCAAATTGTGCTGGTACTTCTAACACCAACGACTAAAGAGAAATCGATTGCAAGGGAATCTGGTTATGGTTATGGTTAACCAAGTTAGAGAAGAGCTAGGGCAGGGGGAATAGAGGTAGATTCTCAGTAGGAAGGAAATTCTCTACAATGGTGGAAATTCTCATTAACATGAAAATGTCTTTTCCTAGATCTCTTGAAGCTTTTCAGCTGCTGGGTTGAGCTGGAGAATTGGGCCAAAGTGCTCTTGCATCTTCTCTGCAATCCTAAACCTCCTTTCTGTAGCTCCCTTTCCTTCTTCTGAGATATGGCTCAACAAATGAACACAACATTTGTGCTAATAAACCCAATTCAGAGTTTTTGGAATGTCAGGCCATTACATCTGCTTCACTCTTTAATTTTCATGGTTGGCCAAACAGACAATCCAAGTTAAGGCCATTTGAAGACAAATAAATTGATCCATTGAATTTATGTATCCTGGAGGTGCTGCCAGAGAATGTCCAGGCCAGAGAGAAAGCAATTGTTAAGTGCTCAGTGGAGAAAAACAAAGAATCTTCTGTACTATGTAATAATCATTTCCCAGTGATGAAGACAACGGTACAATGGATCCTTTTTTTTTTTTTTTAAAGCAGCCAGCAGTCAATGAAATAAGGTGTGAAAAGGAGAAACTTCCTATATTCTTTCATAGAGCTTTTTTCTCTCCTAACACCAGGAGCACACACACAAAAGGATCAGCTTCATGAAATATATAAGCTCTTTAAGTTCACTTGGAGCTGGATTTTGATGGCCAAAATTCTCTTTTCCTTCTGACATTGACATTCATCGTTCATCCACAGCATTGATCTGGTCAAAACGCCACTGCTGGCGGGCTTTTCCATCACACGGACGCAGGTACAAATCTTTATTGTTTTCTTGCACCACAGCTTCCATGCATTTCCCAGAAAGAATGTGGACAATCATCCCATTCTAAAAAGAGAAAGGAAAAAAGAAAAGAAAACCAGTCCCCCACAATCAGTCAGCAAAAGAAAATATTTTTAAGATTTGTGCTAATCATTAAGAGAATAACAGATGGTGTGAACTGGCCTGGAAAGGAATTGTGGTATTTTGATCAACATAAAATATAAATTAGGTAGCCCTAAAATTTGGATGTCACTCAAAACCTTAGGGGTAACTAATCCAATTATCTTTATTGTAGTTGTGTAATTGCACCATTTCTTAGAAAGTTATGGTTAGTATAATTCCCAGAGCATGTTCAGTCTTTATGCTGTATTTGTGACATTCATTGTTATCACTGTAGTTGTAAATTTCTGCTTTCAAAACGATTTAATCCACTTTACCTTCTGTTAATCCTGCAGTTGGGCACTGTTGTTACCAGGCTGTGGTAGTGAGCAAGACCTCTAGGATATACTGAAGGGCTAAACCAGCCATGTTCAGAAGACCATGGCTATTCCCTGCTCAAAACCACCAGATTTAATATTGACTCCAATCTTCTCCTTTTCAAGAAAAATTTAATTACTTTATGAAAAGTTGAACAACCTTAACCAGCAATGCTGAAAATGCCTATTTATTCATCATTCATTTATTAATGTTTGAGATTGATATGGTTTGGTTCTGTGTCCCCACTGAAATCTCATGTTGAATTGTAATTCCCAGTGTTGGAAGAGGGGCCTGGTGGGAGGTGATTGAATCATGGGGCAGACTTCCCCCTTGCTGTTTTCTTGATAGAGTTCTCACAAGATTGGTTGTTTGGAAGTGTGTAGCACCTCCTCCTTCGCTCTCTCTCTCCCTTGCTCCGCCATGTAAGGACGGGGCTTGCTTCCTCTTCGCCTTCTGCCATGATTGTAAGTTTCCTGAGGCCTCCTCAGCCATGCTTCCTGTGCAGCCTGCAGAACTGTGAGTCAATTAAACCTCTTTTTTTTTCATAAACTACCCAGTCTCAGGTATGTCTTTATAGCAGTGTGAGAACAGACTAGTATAGAGATCATAATACTACCCCTTTAAAGTACACAAGTTGGTGGTTTTTAGTATATTCACAAAGTTGTGCAACCTTCACTCCTACCTACTTCCAGAATATTTTCATTACGTAAAAAGAAACCCACTGTCCATCAGCAGTCACTCCCCATTCCTCCCTCCTCCCAGAAACTAATCATTAATCTACTTTCTATATTTATGGATTTTCCTATTCTGGACATTTTGTATAAATGGAACTATATAAATGTGGCCTTTTGAAACTGGCTTCTTTCACTTTGTGTAATTTTTTTTTTTTTTTCCAAGAAGGAGTCTTGCTCTGTCACCCAGGCGGGAGTACAGTGGTGTGATCTCGGCTCATTGCAACCTCCATCTCCCAGGTTCAAGCGATTCTCCTACTGCAGCCTCCCGTGTAGCTGGGATTACAGGCATGTGACACCATGCCCAGCTAATTTTTTGTATTTTTAGTAGAGATGGGTTTTCTCTACTAAAAACCCATATTGGCCAGGCTGGTCTCGAACTCCTGACCTCAAGTGATCCACCCACCTCTGCCTCTCAAAGTGTTGGGCACCGTGTGTAATATTTTTAAGGTACATCCATGTTGTACCACAAATCTTTTTCTTCTTTTTTTCTTTTTCTTTTATTTATTTATTTATTTTGAGACAGTCTCTCTCTGTCACCCAGGCTGGAGTACAGTGGCACGATCTCAGCTCAGTGCAACCTCTGCCTCCTGGGTTCAAGCGATTCTCCTGCCTCAACCTCCTGAGTAGCTGAGACTAGAGGTGTGCACCACCACACCTGGCTAGTTTTTGTGTTTTTAGTAGAAACGGGGTTTCACCATATTGGCCAGGCTGGTCTCAGCCTCCTGACCTCGTGATCCACCTGCCTCGGCCTCCCGAAGTGCTGGGATTACAGGCGTGAGCCATTGAGCCTGGCCTCTTTTTTAAAAAAATTGTGATAAAAACACATAGCAAAACTTTTACAATCTTAGGCATTTTTAAGTGTAAAGTTTAGTAGTTGATATAGTTTGGATGTTGGTCCTCCCTAAATCTCATGTTGAATTGTAATTCCCAGTGCTGGAGGTGGGGTTTGGTGGGGGATGTTTGGATCATGGGGACAGATCCCTCATGGCTTCGTGCTGTCTTCTTGATAGCGAGTTCTTGAGGATCTGGTCATTTAAGAGTGTGTGGCACCCCCTCCCCCACTCTCTTTCTCTTGTTCCTGCTTTCACCATGTGATATGCCTGCTCCCACTTCATCTTCTGCCATAAGTAAAAGCTCTCTGAGGCCTCCCCAGAAGCAGATGCCACTATGCTTCCTATACAGCCTGCAGAACCATGAGCCAATTACACCTTTTTTCTTATAAATTACCCAGTCTCTAGTATTTCTTTATAGCAATGCAAGAATGGCCTAATAGGCCTGGTGTGGTGGCTCACACTTGTAATCCCAGCACTTTGGGAGGCCGAGGCAGGCAGATTACCTGATGTCAGGAGTTCGAGACCAGCCTGGCCAACATGGAGGAAACCCCGTCTCTACTAAAAATACAAAATTAGCTGGGCATGGTGGCAGGCACCTCTAATCTCAGCCACTAAAGAGGCTGAGGCAGGAGAATCGCTTGAACCCGGGAGGCAGAGGTTGCAGTGAGCCGAGATCCTGCCATTGAACTCTAGCCTGGGCAACAAGAGCGAAACTCCCTCTTTAAAAAAAAAAAAAAAAAAAAGAATAGCCTACTACAATAGTGTTAAATATATTCACATTGTTATGAAACAGATATCCAGAACTTTTTCATCTTGTAAAAGTGAAACTCTATAACCATTAATAAACAAATTCCCTTTTTCTCCTCCTCTGCCTGCCTCTGGTAACCACTATTTTACTTTCTGTTTCTATTAATTTGACTACTTTAGATATCTCATAAAAGTGGAATCATACAGTTTTTGTCCTTTTGTGATGGGTTTATTTCACCAGCATAATGTCCTCAAGATATGCCCATGTTGTAGCAGGTGATGGGATTTTCTTCCTTTTTAAGGCTGAATAATATGTGTATGCCACATTTTGTTATCTCTTCATCCATGGTGGACACCTGGGTTGCTTTCACTTCTTGGCTATTGTCAACAGTGCCACTATGAATAGTACCTCATTCCTTTTTCTGGCTGAATGATAATAACTTTTAGAAGTTATTTATTAATGCCTGAAATATGCTGGGTGTATCTTACTCCCTAATCTTTTACTCATTATTACTTATTTTACTTATTATTTTTAAATGCTGTTTCTAAAGTATATCTTATTCATAGGACTTGCTTAGAAAAATACTTTATGATCATTTATAAAGGACCTTAACTTGACTCATAAGACTTCTTTGAGGCCAGACATGGTGGCTGACAACTGTAATCCCGGCAATTTGTGAGGCCGAGTGGGTGGATCACCCGAGGTCAGGAGTTTGAGACCAACTTGGCCAACATGGCAAAACCCTGTCTCTACTAAAAAATACAAAAAGTAGCCAGGCGCAGTGGCTCACACCTGCAATCCTAGCTATTCAGCAGGCTGAGGCACAAGAATCGCTTGAACCTGGGAGGCAGAGGCTGCAGTTAGCCAAGATCGCACCACTGCACTCCAACCTGGGTAACAGAGTGAGACACTGTCCCAAAAAAAAAAAAAAAAAAAGACTTCTTTGAGCATGTGTGGGCCCCTTGAGTCCTGCCTTCAGTTGGTCACCAAAGCCCCAAATGCTCTGTTCTCAAGTGCTTATTGTGAGCTTAGCTTAAGTTTTCTATCATACGATTTTCTTCTTTCACAGCCTGCTTTAAGAGTACCAATGCACAGGATTCTGCTTAGTCATTTTATCCTTTTTATTCCCCAGCAGAAGTTGAAGAAATTTTTAAAAGGTGTGTATTTATTTCTTTGTATGTTAATACCCCAACTCATTTCAGGAAGAATTTGAAGTAGAGAAAAAGCTGTGTATGGACACAGTGTTGATACTGTCATCTTCCGATCCCGATTCTGTATATAGGACCTGCCCACTCTCCTTAAGTACGGACATTCCTCCTATTCCCTCCCTAACTTCTGGGAAGGATCTATAGTTTCTTTCCCCCAGGGTAATAGGGGTCAAAATTTTACTAAAATGATGAAATACTTACAGTGCAATTTGCATTGAAAGGAAGAAAGTGATATCTATATATCTATATATTTACATCTACATCTGTATCTAAAGTTTCTTGGTGGGGGGAGGGACTTTGAATTGCTCCTAAAACCACACCACCAAGGTGGCTGAACGTTCCTTGTAACATGCCTCACCATCCTACTTGTGAACTGAGCCAATAAACTTCAAAAAGAGGTGTATCCCTCTCTCTGCAATGACAAGCATCAGAGCTACACAGAGACCTGGCAAATCATTACATATGAAGATGCCAGTGGGCCAACTTTGCTGCTGGGTTGCCTTTTCCTCCCCCTGAGGCCTTACTGCCCAGCCACTAAGTTCAAAAGCAGAGGCAGAGGTCCCTAATACCTGACCTCTTGGAAGAGCCCAGGATCCAATGCCAACCAGCAGTTCCTTCTGACCAGCAGCACTACCAGGCTCTTCCTGAACAGATTACTCACCTCCTGGAAGTCCCAGTGCTGCTGGTGGATGGCCAGGCCTTCCTCCGTGCAGTTCTGAAGAATCACCTGCTCCTGCCTGACAGCAAAGCACAGGTGCTGTGGGCTGCCAAAGTGAATCTCCTTCCTGCTGGTGTGCTGCAGGTACTGTGACAGAAGCAATAGTTGTTAGCGCAGCTAGAAAGAGATCCTCTTCAAAGCTGTAGAGGAGGTAAGAAGAACCCACTATAGAGCTGAGGTCTAGGGGCAATCTTCAGATTCTATCGGGGTCAGAAAGACCATATCTCATGGTCAAGTCCAAAAACATGCTGCTAGACTAGTCATAGCCTCTGAAGTCCCCACATTCCACCTGCTCTTACATTCATATTTATACATTCTGGCATGTTTCTCTGTTACGTTATTTACCGTATCATAGGTGAGGCCATAAAAAGTGCTGTGTGTTTTGTTACTATACTGTTGAAAGCACAGATGAGGAACCTCTCTGAAGCCCAGGTTGATGTCTTTCTGGAGAGCCCTAACCTGCTCCTGAAACTAACTTTCCTGCCGTTTGTTGTATCTGCTGGCTCTCACTCATGGTTATTGTTTCCTCTAGTGTTTTGTAGTGTTGGATTGTGCACACCTTTGAGAGGGGCTTTAACTGTGAGGATCTTGTGATGATTAATTAGAAGTCATGTCCTGGAAAGACTATTTTCTGTTTGTTTCTGTCAGATGCAGCCTGAACCCATTTCTACATTAATTTTGTGGCTTACAGACAGGATCAACTTCATGGGTATGTGACCTGTGCAGTCACATGGGGCCTCATGCTTAGATGGGTTTAATAAACTTGATTTAATGCTCTGCTGTCACTGTCTTGAAATTCTTAATAATTGTCAAATTAAAGACTACATTGTCATCTTGCACTGGGCCCTGCAATTAGATAACCTGTCCTGCTTGAGGATTCCCAAGCTACACAATTAGTACACATGTGAACCTAAGCCCATATTAGATGCAAGCTTGTGGTTAAAAATTCTCAGGGAAGAATAATTTGTTTCCTACTCAAAGCCCCTGTAGGGACAAGCTTCTTACCATTTTCCTGTGGCAGGGGGTGGGTATTTCTAGTCAAACTTTTCAAGGACAGGTTACCCTTTGAAGGTCAAAGCTGGCTTGCTATGGGGGTGTCATTTCTGACTTTTCATCTCTCATGGGCTGAAGGTGGGCTCTCGTCACTTATCCCTTGCATGCAGCCAACAGCTGTAGATTCCCGGGGCTCATAGTAACCATCCCTCACACTTGGTAGGGCAGCTTCGCCCATGTCCAATTCCTCTACTTTCAGTTGCCTCTTGTTTTTTGACCCCTGGAGGTTTCCCTTTCTTTCTTATAAACTCGTTTATTCATGAAAAAGGGTGTTTCATATTTTTTTATCTGGCATATCTTATCTAGGTGTTTATAGGGAAAGGCTTTCAACTTTTCTAGTTTACAATATTGCAGGATCCTAAAGTCCTTACTATTTCAAAAAAAAAAAAAAAGAACAAGAAAGAGCTAATATTCCTTTTGCATGAAGGAGGCTGTATTGTTCTTTTGTTTCTTTATTTTTTTTTTTATTCTTCTTTTTCAAACCCAGAATAATCTCTGTAGAGGCTGCATTATTCTTAATTGCAGGAGAGGAAACCAGGATTTAAAGAAGCCTGCCAAGATCACACAGCTAGAAAATGAGAGAGCTCAGATTCAAACCGAGCTATGTCTGACTGCAAAGCTTGAACAATTTTCACCCTACCATGTGGCTTCTTCACTTAGCACTTGATGTTTATGTCTGCATCCCTTGTGCCAGGTGTGAATGCCTATCAGTATGTCCTAGGAGATTGGTAAAGGGCAGAGCCAAAGGAGGCCGGATGGATCCTGAGCATCTCCCTCCCACATGTCCTATAGGCCCACAGCCTGCCCCCAGGAACCCAGGGCCTGCACTGCCAAGCCCAGCCTCAGCCAGCCTTCCATGCAGGGCTGGACCACAGACCCTCAGAGAGATGCTGTCTTTTGCCCCCCAGATCTTTGATTCTCATCCAGTGAATATCTCCAGGAAATTATACTTTGATGTTTGTTTTATTAGGGGCCTTTGGGATGTGATAACTTAAAAGTCCCTATCACACCCTGAAAAGAGAGAGACTTGGGGACAAGCTAGGCTTTCTAGGTTGTGATCCAGTTGTGAAAAGAAGTGGACCTACCAGCCCTCAGCTAGCATCGGTGGAGGATTTCTACCACTTTGGGCAGTTACTCCATGATGAAAATTTTGAAGAGAAGAATTACTCCTAAGATATGAGGAGACCTTCCTAATGACCAAATGGTGCTGGAGGCTGGGATGACCCTGTTTTCTCTAGATCCTTATCCTGATTTGATTACCTTCTTCTTCAGTCCTGGGACAACTGAACCCTGCCTGAATCCTGGAGGCTTCTGAGTTTGCAATCCCTGGGCTAGTGACCCTAAGCCTCAGTTTTCTCATCTGTCAAATGAAAAGTTTGGCCAAACGGCTTCTCCATTTCCCTTTAACTAAGATGCTTTTATTTTCTGACAATGGCACATGTCTGTGCTTACAGATGGAGGTGAGGTGAGGAGAGCTGTGATGAGTCATTACAGTGGGGGACCATGGCAGTCAAGGGACATGGGACCACAGAAAGAAGATACCTCAAAGGGAAGTATGGGGCATCCCAGAAAAATATCGCCCACTTTCAAGTCTTCTTGGGCTATCATCCATCCTGAGAAGTCTGACTACCCACCTGTTGCTGCCGGCTGTCACTGCAAGGAGCCAACACCATGGGACAGCCCAGGATGTCCCCTTCTGCCTGGCAGTCTGCACAGAGCCCAAGTCCAGTGTTGTGGAGCTGAAAGTGGACACACACACAGGAGTGAATTCCAGATTCCACTGTAAAGACACCCTCGGTCAGACACCATTCCTTTGCTGTATTCTCTGGAGTGCAGCCCAAGGCACATTGTTCAGGCCACAACAACAGGTGTGGTAAAGCTGAAGCCACTGACCCTAAGGGACAGGCCTCTTGAAGGAGGTGCTTTGGGGTGGGTAATGGGGCAAAACTCAGCCACCTTCCTCAGACTGGCATGGAGGCACGGGATGGACCCAAGGCCTCTGAGGCCCTGCTAAACCGTGAATGGTTGACCAGGGACATGGAAGAGCTGAACATCTAGTTCTTGTCTTGGGAAGCTTCCCTGTCCCTCCCCATCTTCCCTGGGTCATGCCTTGCCTTTCCAGAGAAACTGGGCCTGGGTTCAGATGGGTACAGCTCAGGGTAGACATTAGCCAGAAACCAGTGGAATGTCCGACAACCCAGTCTCCTTTGCAGCTGCAAGCGTTCCATGCAGTCTGGCTTCTCAGCCTGGGGAGGAGAAAGACACAAGCAGGATGATGAAAGCTTGTCTTGCCCAGAATTCACATGGTTGGGGATGGAGTGGCTGGGAAGAAGCTAAAGGATCAGGACAGAAGGAAGGGGCCAAGACCACAGTTCTCCAGGGCTGCAGTGGGGAGGGTCATGTGTTGGGAGAAGAAGGTCTGGAAGGGATAGAATAGCACAGATCTTCCCTACAGAGAGTTGTGGAACCAGCAAGACTGTAAGTGATATCAGCCCCTTCCCACAATCCCTCAAATCTCCAGTCTATAAAGACTACAATAGGCCGGGAGTGGTGGCTCACACCTCCAGCACTTTGGGAGGCCGAGGCTGGTGGATCACTTGAGGTCAGGAGTTCAAGACCAGCCTGGCCAACATGGTGAAACCCCATCTCTACTAAAAATACAAAAAATTAGCCAGGTGTGGTGGCGCATGCCTGTAATCCCAGTTACTCAGGAGGCTGAGACAGGAGAATCACTTGAACCCAGGAGGCAGAGGCTACAGTGAGCCAAGATCGTGTTACTGTACTCCAGCCTGGGCGACAGAGCAAGACTTCCTCGCAAAAAAAAAAAAAAAAAAAAAAGAGAGAGAGAGAGAGTCTATGATATCTGTGCTTTAATGATTTTTCTGCAGAAGCTGGCAAAATGGTGGGGCTTTGCACCTAGCTTGGTGTAAGGAGAAACTACGAGGGGCCTCATGGAGTCAGGAACTGACCCATAGGCAATTGAGATGAAGTTGGTTGGGAAATCGTGGGCTAGGGGTTGGGGCAAGGCAAATTTATCTTTCTTCACCTCTGGGTACCATTAATGAATCATTCTTTTGGGCTACACTATCTCCTTTTTTTGAGATTCTCCTTTATGATACAATTGTCCTAGGATGGAGATGAAGGCAAATCCTGAACACTAGTACAAATTAATGTTTTTGGCCATATTGATGATACAAAGAACTGTATCCAAAAGTTTAGTACCAAATCTTGGATACTTTTAGGGAAGAGAGAGGTGACAAGGATGGGTTGGAATGACCACAGACAAAAAAAGAGAGAACCCTTTCCTGGCATGGGGAGAGGAAGCGAGCTGGCCATGTCAGAGTTCCCACTTGGTGGCCTCCAATCTGACAGTAAGACACGGGTCCACCAGGCTGTGTAAAGTATGATTGGTTTGGTTCTGCTTTCCCTCTCTCTTTTAGACCTCAGCTGGAAATGTGGTAAGTCTGTTGTACTGAAATTCTCTCTAGACACTTCTCAAAGTGTGATTCCCTGAGCATCTGCCTGAGAAATGCCACGGAGCTAGTTAAAAATGTAGATTCCTGGGCCCTGCCCCAGAGATGATACAGTTGTTTGGGTTGGAGGCCCTGGAATCTGCATTTTAACCATGTCTCCTGGTGAGTCTTTTTCACACAAAGTTTGAGAAAAACTTCTCTAAGTCAGGGATTTCTTGTTTATTCAGTGTATTTACCCACCATGAAACCAAGGGGATCTATTACTTTTTCCTCTAAGTAAATTAGTATAAGTTTCTTGATGGCTTCTTGGCATTCTTTGTGTTTATTTGAGACCTCCGTAGACCTTTCCCAGAGTTGGACTTTGCTACCAAAACAGAAACATTTCTTCATATGAGTTTTATCACCTTTACTTTCCTTGATAAAGAGATAAACTGATAAATCTACCCAATCTTTGTTTGACCTTGAGTGAGGGGCAGGCTGACAATGAACTTTCCCTTCTGTACAATTATGTCTGAGAGAAGAGAAAACAAGGAAATTTCAGCTCCCCAAGCAGCAAAAGTCTGGCCTTGTCTTTTGGGTGCCCAGGATTTCTGTCTCTCAGAATCCTTGTGGGGGTTTTGGGGTGGATGGAGAAATAGAAATCTTTAGGGCAAAATTAACTTTTGGTTATTTAAATTTAAAGTAAATTCATGCTATCAAATACCTTCAGGGAAGTAGGAATGTCACTGAAACCTTGAAATCAAAGTAAGTGATAGGACATTTCCAAAGCATGAATTAATGGAAATGCTCAACAGAGAGAGAAATAAAAGGAGCCCTCTGCTAAAGCTCTTCTCACTGACCAATAAGGGTGCCATTCTCCTTGCAAAAGTCATCAAATGAACAAAGTGGACATCTGTGAATCAGAGAATGGACACCCAAATGGATATAAGAAGAAAAAGGTACCTCACCTGTAGACTTTATGAAAGTAAGCCGAGCACTTATTCTCCATAGCACTCTTTCACATTTCATTTTATAGTATACTCACAACAGTTACTGAGTTCTTAGAGGTTAAATGACTTTCACAGGGTCAATAGCTTCTAAGAGGTCAGAGTGTTTTATTAGGTAGCTAGTCAGACATAAGCAGGGCAGGAGAGGATTTTCCCCGACCCCCCCAACCTCCAGGGATGTCAGGCCACCATCAGGTGTTGGTTAGGCAGCTGTTAACTGTCTCTCTAAAATAATAATTAGTTGCAGCTGGCACCAGGGAACGGCAGTCTCCCAACAGATAGAAAAACCTGAAATTGGTGATCAGCTTCCCGATATGATCTCAGGAGTTGGGCAAGTGGGCTCAAGCATGTGCACTAAGAGGCAAAATGGTGGCGTTTAACTGGTACATGACCTTCCTCCGGGAATGCGCAACTGGTAACGCCTCACGTGAGCATGCGAAAAATTTCAGTAAACACACTGCGCATGCTCCCCTCCCAAGGGCTAACAGGCCACTGCACGTGTGAACAGCCCCCGCCAGGGGAAGAATCAGGGAAAAAGGGACACAAGCCCCCAGAAGCATGCCAATGTATAAGACCCCAAGTGAAAAATCAAACTGCGCACTTAATTGATCGCTCAAGTCCCCCACTTGGCCCTGTTCCAAATGTACTTTACTTACTTTCATTTCTGCCCTAAACTTTTTTTTTTTTTCCCGAGACAGAGTCTTGCTCTGGCTCGCAGGCTAAAGTGCAGTGGGGCGATATCAGCTCACTACAAACTCCACCTCCCTAGCTCAAGCCATCCTTCCACCTCAGCCTCCCGAGTAGCTGGCACTACAGGTGCACACCACCACGCCCAGCTAATTTTTGTAGTTTTTTGTAGACACAAGGTTTCACCATGTTGCCCAGGCTGGTCTTGAGCTCCTGGTAGACTTTTTAATAAACTTTCACTCCTGCTTTAAAACTTGCTTTGGTCCCTCACTCTGCCTTATGCCCCTCAGTTGAATTCTTTCTTCTGAGAAGGCAATAATTGAGGTTGCTGCAGAACCATATAGATTCACCACTGATAACAAGAGCCAAAGGTTGATCTCAGGTTTAAAAATTTTTTTGCCATCCATCCATTCCATTCCACCAATAAATGTTTATGGAACACGTACTATGTGCATGGGATTCAACCAGGCATTGGAGATTTAAAGGTCAGCAGAATAAATACTCTTCCTGCCCTTTTTGAGCTTGTAAGTCTGTGGAACATTTATTGAGCGCCTTCTTCTTCTTCTTCTTCCTCTTCTTTTTTTTTTTTTTTTTTTGGCGGAGTCTCCCTCTGTTGCCAGGCTGGAGTGCAGTGGCATGATCTCAGCTCACTACAACCTCCGCCTTCTGGGTTCAAGCAATTCTCCTGCCTCAGCCTCCTGAGCACCTGTGACTATAGGCACGTGTCACCATGCCCAACTAATTTCTGTATTTTTAGTGGAGACGGGGTTTCACCATGTTAGCCAGGATGGTCTCGATTTCTTGACCTCATGATCCACCCACCTCGGCCTCCCAAAGTGCTGGGATTACAGGCATGAGCCACTGTGCCCAGCCGAGCACCTTCGATATACCAAATACATCCTTGCCTTCCCCCAAATTCAGACAGAACTGTAGAGGATAGCTTATTTATGGACGTCCAACTATTTCTGGAAAAGTATGGTGTCTACATTTGAGGATTACTGTTTCGATGTTAGAGAGCTAAGAGAGAAAAAATACTAAAAGGTTGGACTAGTTCTAGTTCTACTTCTGGTTCTTTCCCCACTTCTCTTTAGCAACTCACCCTCTCATGGGACCTCAGTTTTCTGTTTTATAGAATGAAGGACTTGGGTGAATACAAACAAGCACTTAAAAAATCCTGCAATCACCATCTGGACAAGCAAACTGGATTTTCCCAAAAGCAGACCAGTCATGCTCTAAAAAATCATGCCAGTCCCCAATTTCTGTAATTGTCTAGAACAAAGTATATATTCACAGGCACTTCTAATTGCACCAACCAATGTGGGAAGAAGGTTGAAGTTCTGTAAATAATTTGCATGCTGTTGCATTAGGCTGGCCACAGCCAACATGCCATGTCCTAATGACCCTGTCTGGTGGAAAGTTAGTCTGGCGCATCAAAAACTATGCAACATTTAACACTTCTTTAAGAGTTCTTTACAAATGCAGTCTGTGCCAATGTTAAGAAAATGTCCTCTGAAAGCAAAGAGCTAATACTAAATCCCAAGAGAGAAAAATAGATGGTTTGGCCAAAAGAAACCCAAGAGAGTAAAAACCAGAGAAGCTCTGTGGACCTCTACAGAACTCTGTAGAAGGCCAGTTGCTCCCTGTTGCTAATTGAATAAAGTCTAAACTGTTTAGCCTGACCCTCAGGGGCTCCAGAGTCTTCCCCCAACTCCTCCTCTGGATGTCTGAGTTGAACCCATTCAGCCATTCTTCAGATGTGACCTCCCCTGAAAAGATGTCTGTCATGACCCTGTCTAGGATGAATCACTCTCACCTCTGTGAACATTATCTCTTCCAGAGGAGCTCCTGCCCCACCAAGAACCTGATAAGCATTGGGTATGGTTCTCTGTCCCCTGCAGGACCCACCCAGGGCCTGGCACAGAGCAGGTGCTTGGTTGACCTTTTTTGACCATTAGTAGCCATGACAATAACGATGGTATTAATAGTAAACACACAAGCAGGGCTTACTCAGTGCCAGGCACTCATCTAAAGTGCTTTGGATTTATTAACGTATTTATTCTTCCTAACAACAGATGGAAAGCTTAACAAACGAGGAAGCAGAAACACTGAGTGTTTAAGTAACTTTCGGATCATATAACCAATACTTAAACCCAAACCATCTTGTTCTTGGAGTCCATGGGCTTAACCATCAGACTATACAGCTTCTAGATCGGTGTCTAGAGTTGGACACATGCTTCCACTTCCCACAGATGGCGATGGAGAAGGAGACTAAAGAAGAACAAAGATGCTAGCTAGTAAGTGAGCTGGGTCCTTGTGAGAGTTTTCCTTTCAATCCCAATGCCTTCCTGGAGGAACGAAGGAGGCTGCTGTTAGCAGCATTTCTCCTGCACCAGGAAAGGAGCCAGTGCCACTCTGTTTAATAGTGTGACTAACCGACGGGGTCCAAGAGGAGACTGTAGCCTGCCTAGACCTTGGGAATTACTGTTGAGTCCCAGGACTCTGTGTACTGTTAACACTCTCCCCAGCTAAAGAAACAAAGATCCTTGAAGTTCATGGAGCCCTGACACATCCCAGGCCCTGGAGGCTATTCCCACTTAGGGAAAGGATTGGATCTAGAATGGGGAGGAGGCAGCGCCCTGAGGACCAGGGCAGAAGGGGAAGCTCTGGGGCTGCTCTATGGGGCTTCCCTGTCAGGCTGGCCCTGCACTCAGGCATGTCCTTCCATTTAAGCGGCCTAGGCTTCATCTGTGGCATGCAAACTCACATCTAACTCACACCCCAGCAGTGTGGGCTGCTAAGGGGCTTGTGGGAGCTGCTCCAGGACTGTTGTGGGTCCTGGGAATCTTGTCTTTGGAGCCCCCACTTTCAGCACAGCAAGCATTAATGTGAACCCATTTCCCACATTAAACAGCATTTATGGGTCAATCTGGAAGGACTGGGCTGAGCAGCCACTGACCAATTGATAATGTGCTGTTTGTGGACATTTAAATGTTTAAAATTTTTATTTTTCTGTGGCTTTTTTGGACTCTATTTTTTTTTTTTTTTTTTTTGAGATGGAGTTGCTCTGTCACTCAGGCTGGAGTGCAGTGGCGTGATCTCAGCTCACCTCAAACTCCACCTCCCAGCTTCATGCCATTCTCCTGCCTCAGCCTCCCGAGTAGCAGGGACCACAGGCGCCCACCACCACACCTGGCTAATTTTTTGTATTTTTAGTAGAGACGGGGTTTCACCATGTTAGCCAGGATGGTCTCGATCTCCTGACCTCGTGATCCACCCACCTCGGCCTCCCAAAGTGCTGGGATTACAGGCATGAGCCACCGCGCCTGGCCTTTGGACTCTATTTTTATATTTAATATTTGTTTCATGTCTTGGATCATTTCATAGCCCTGAGCCCTTTGCTCAGGATGAAAGGAGACCTGGCCTTGGAGACCCATCTCATCGCTTCTCTGTGCCAACCCCTCCCCTGGCCCCAGGTGAGGGATCCCATCCCATAGATGTCATCCCATAGATGTTAGGGAGCTTCAGGCCAAGGCCAGCTGTGCTGTCCCATGGAGAAGCCAGAGAGACAAAGGACAGCCTCACCAGGTGGAGGAGCCACTTAAAATAGGGCAGCATGAGGGAAGCTCAAGCCAGAATCTTCTGTTTTCCCCTCCAGGCAAGAGAAAGGAGCCCTCCCTGGCCCACCTCCTGCTAGTGGCCCTGTGCTGGACACAGAAGCCCCACTTGGCTCTCTCCTTACCTTGCTCAAGGAGAAGGCCTCTGGGCTATGCTTGTAGAAGGTTTCTTTGAATGACCCCAGCCAGGTCTCAGCAATGCGAACCCTGTTCCTCAGGGTGGCCTCCTGGTCGAGGGGGGAATGGGAATCCTGATTTTGGTAGATGTGTCCTACCCGAGAGCAGGGAAGGATTTCAACAGAGCCACCACAGAGCCAGGCCTGCCACGAAGGGAAAAGATAAACACCTCAGCATTCCACCTTTAAGAACGGCGGGAAATAGGGAGCCCTATCTATGAGGGGCTGGCAAAATGCACAGGAAATCGTGAGCACTCAATGGTGAAGATGATTATGGTCCTCAGGGTGGCGTAGAGTTTCCAGATTTGGAGGTTCTGGGCAGGGGAGTGACAGGGTGGAGAGAATAGAGGTAGTTGTCCCAAAATGGGGACAAGAGGGCCATCCCCAGGCAACTACCTGAATATGCTGCCCTTCAAACACATGCAGGTCCAGCACTTAGAGAGATGTAGCATGTGAATTAGCACCCCTATTCCCCAAAGGACACTTCCTCAGGGAAAAAGATGATCTCAGTGGTCCGGGAATATCTCAAAGCTTGTGAAGTGTGCTACAAAGACACCAGAAGCTGTTTGTGGTAGAGACAGAAGCAAGCTTTCCTGAGACACAGTCTTTACTATTTCAAGAAATTTCCCTCTGCTCTCCCACTCCCAAACGGCTGGAGTTCATTCGGCAGGAAGACTTTCATTCCACATTTGAGGATAAAGGTTAAAGTAGAAGTACTGTCCTAGGATAAGCAGCATATGAATGGAAACACCAAAACTGGAGTTCCCAAATTATGTGCCAAGGTGCCCCAGGGTGCCACAGCAAACTCATAGGGTCTGGGGTTAAATTTTTGAGAGAAACACGGTGACATCTGTTGGACTTCATGCAGAATACAAGCGTCAGGTAATTCACACTTTCAGCATTAGATCTCTGCACTCTTGATGATGAATTTTTTTTGGTGTTGGGTTTTCGGAGGATACTGTGATGAAAAAGCAAGTATCATGCTAGAAAAGCAATGTGGGACAGGAAATGAGGGTGACTCCAAGGTTTGAGAAGTTGTGTGGTGCCCAACAGGTGCTAAGTTTTTATGACAAGTATTACATTGTTTGGACCAAACTACTCAATACACAGAACTTCAGGTATTTGTTTTGGACTATGGGTGCTGTGAAAAAATTACTAAGATGCTAAGAGCGCTGTGAATAGAGAATGTATGAGAGCCTCTGGAATCTCCGCACAGCAGTTAAAATAACTGAGAGTATGCCTATTCCTGGAAGCAGGTTTTGAAGGCACTGAGAGTGAAACCAAGCTACAGCACAGGAGAGATGGGAAACTGTGAGAAATGGGAGGTTTGACACACAACACAGGAATGACTTTATAATTTTCCCACAGCCTCATTCCTTCCCAGTGACATTTCTAATGCCTGCCTCTGAGCTGTGACCATACACACCACTCCAGAGATCCCACCTCTGTCCTCCCTTGGTCCAGGACATACCTTGAAAGACAGTTCGAGGTTTTCACCACCTCGCAGCGACATAAGAGAGTCATACGCTCCAGTGTTTTGGAAGTAATGTCTGTCCATGGCCACCACCTCTCCGGGCACCACAGGGCTCCTGGACACAGAAGACAGGCAGGACACTGCAGTTCAGAACCCAGAGCACAGCAGGCGAGGCTGGGGGCTGGGGCTTCCCAGGTGGGAGCTCCAGTGGCTGAGAGAACAGGCTTTAGGCTCAGGTAAAATGCAATTTTTTAATTGCAAGACTGGAGCAGAGCCACGATGTCAGAAATCCCAGTGTTTGATGGAAAGAGAGCTATTCTTGCCTGGGCCTTCTATACTCTGTCCTCAGATACTGCTCCTAGAGAGGGCCTAGGGACCACACCTGAGACTCCCCTGCCCTCTGGCTTGAGTCCCTCTGGAAAGATGTTTGGGAAGAAGGCCTTGCTTAAAATCAGGTACTCTAAGAGAGGTAGCACCAGGCCTGACACGGCGACATGGTCAGGCTCTTTCCTCCTTTCTTTTTCTCACCCTCTTCTGTTTTCCTAATGACCATCCACCCTCTTCCCAATTCTATGATGAATCCACCAGGGACCCTGGAAGCAGATAAGTCCCCACTGCCCTAGGGGAAAAATACATGATTTATAAACACAAGAAGCTAGAAACCTTTAATAAGGGAATTAAGATCATAATATCCCTCAGAGGGATTTTAAACAGAGAAAGATGTAGTCAGAGGGTTTTTGAAAAAGGGTCCCTTCATCTAGGAGGAACAAATTTGAATGCAGCCAAACTCTGGGAATTTTTCAAAGTGTAAATGACTAAGAGTTCAGATTTTTCTTAATTACCAAAGAAATAGTAATGCATTAACAAAGCTACTGGTCTTTAGGTTATAAAAATTCTACATTATACCAAAATACTAAAAACTGATATTGTAATGATTATTCAGTATAATTTCCAACTCTGCCACTCCCAATTTGTAAGATCTTAGGTGGGCTATGTGTCTTTGAGCTCAGCTTCCTCACCTCTAATTGGGGATAAAATAGTGTTTCATAATTGGGTTTTGCGGGATGACTAAGGTAAGCCATGTAAAATATGTAGCTCTGTGCATGCCACATTTTAAACGCTCACTGGATTTTGATGTTACAAGTTCAGCATTCCTTTTCTGACACCTGTGGGACCAGTGTGCTTTTTAATGCAGAATTTTTTGGACTTTAAAGAGGGACATACATCGTATACCACACATCAGTCCTAGTGGGGTCTGCCCGGCACTCTTTAGTCAAATATACTAATATTTCTTTGATGAAACACACATATTTTCACAGTAAGCAGTAAGTGGGATAAATAAGGCCAATGCAGACACCCCATGTCAGTTCAGGGCAGCTTTTGCTGCCTAATGATTTTGTTTTTGTTTTTTGTTTTTGAGACAGAATCTTGCTCTGTCACCCAGGCTAGAGTGCAGTAGTGTGGTCTCAGCTCATTGCAACCTCTGCCTCCTGGGTTCCAGTGATTCTTGTGCCTCAGCCTCCCAAGTAACTGGGACTACAGGAGTGTGCTACCATGCCCAGCTAATTTTTTTTTGTAATTTTAGTAGAGATGGGGTTTCGCCATGATGGCCAGGTTGGTCTCGAACTCCTGGCCTCGAGTGATCAGCCCGCCTCTGCCTCCCAAAGTGCTAGGATTACAGGCATGAGTCACTGCATCTGGCCTGCTGCCTAATGAATTATTAAACAAATGTTTGGTTTTTAGAGCTTTTTGGATTTTGCAATTGTGAATAATGAACTGTGGCCTTGTATTTAAAATATAGCATAGCAGTGAAGCAGTCGTCTCAAGGGCCTGGCTGTCTGGGTTTAAATTCTGGATTCACCTCTCACTGGCTTTATAGTGTTGGGAAACTTTAAAAATCCTTATGTACCCCAGAAACCATGGGGGCAGACAACCAACCCCACTGTGTCCTTTCAGAATTCATATCCCACAGAATTCATGAGCTTAATAAAATGGCTGTGTTTTACACCAAGTTTGAGGTGATTTGTTATGCATAAGATATCTAGTACTTCTACTTAAATAGAAGAGTCATCCAAAAACCAAACATGTGAGAAGCGACCCATACAATAGGATATATTTGAGACCTATGGTTCTTAGCATTCACCTGGTTGAATTCTTCCTATTTGCTAAGACGAGACCTGAGGAATTCACACTGTACCTGATGAGAGAGCTGGGCCAAGATTCCATCTCAGGTTGCCACACACTGGGGCATTAACTGATGCTATCTGGAAGACCCTGTCGGAACTTTATGAATATGACAATATAATGGTGGTAGCACCTACATCTGGGTGCCTGGCACTCTCTAAGTGCTTTTCACATATTAGTTCATTCAATCTTCACAACAACCCTTATAGGGTAACCCTTATAGGTAAATACTATGATTGCTCTCAATTTACTGAAAAGGAAACTGTGGCATACATTAAGTAATTTACTAGGAAACTGTGGAGGTAGGATTAGACCCCAGGCAGGCAGGCTGCAGAGTCCATCCTGAGGAGGCAATGGCAAAGCAGGTGTGAAATGGGGACTCACCTGATGGGGCTTATGGGGGACTGGAGGGCCTTCCTCACATGCTCTGGCAAAGGTTCCCAGTGGAAATCCAGCTTCCAGTCCAACACCCCACGCTGCAGGTCCTTTGAGGGGTAATACTGGAAAGTCTTCCAGTCAATCACATCTATCACCGGAGATACCACTCGGCTCCTGGAAAGAATTGTGGAATTAAACAAGGGACGTAAAGCATTTACTTGCTGGGGCTGGAAACAGTCTGTACATGGGCTGCCCAGTATGGTGGCTACCAGACACCCGTACCTAAAATGGGTTTATCCAAATCAGGTGTGGAGTAAGTGTAAAATACACCCTGGATTAAGAATACTTAGTATGGAAAAAATGATGCAAAAATCTTAATAATTTTTACATTGATTATATGTTGAAATGGTAATATTTTGGATATATTGGGTTTACTGAACTATATTATTAAAATTAACTTCATCTGTTTATTTTTATTTTGTAATGTGACTATTAGAAGTATTTTAATTACATATGTGGCTTGTGTTATATTTATATTATATAGCACAGTTCTAGAAAATGTTTTTCCATAAGGAATTAGGGTGTATTGCTTTAAAGAGCATGCCAGTACTTTTCTTTCTTCAAAAACCTTTCTTGACAGCACTGAGAGATACAGAGACGGGTCCTAGGCTCAGCTCTGCTACTAATGAACTATGTAATCTTGAGATACCTGTTATACCTCTCTGGGCCTCAGTTTCCTCATTTGTAGAATGGGAGGTTGAACTACTTCCCACAAAGGCCTTTCTCAGCTGCAATGCTCTAGGACTGTGGCTCTTAACTTCTTTTGGGGTGCTTGATCCCTTTGAGATTCAGGGGAAAACTATGGGCCACTCCTGAATGAAATCTTCCATGTCCATATAAAAAATATTGTGCACGATGTCAGAGAGTTTATGGACCCCTGCTCTCAGGTCTAGTTCTTCTTCCTCCTTGTAGTGTAAAACTGGATTGGCTTGAGAAATCAGGATTTCCAAGCCCTAGAAGTAACCCTACTGTCAATGCATGCATATATGAACATCTGGTATCTATAATCAAAGTCCTGACTATTTTGGGTTATTTGCTCATTTCCCGGTAATGGTGGGGAATTTTAGGCCCAATTTTTTTTTTTTTTTTTTTTTTTTTTTTTTTTTTTTTTTTTTACAGCCTGGAGATATGACTGCAGAGTGATGTGAGAAATTGACATGGGTCATATACTTTTTAACTAAGTAGGTAATCACTCAGGTGTCCCAGGAGCTGCTATCCACCTAGCCAATATCTCAATCACATTTTCTCCCCCTGGCCTGTCATGGTAATTATGTCTTCAATCTGTGCCATGGAATGAATCAGGCCTGAACTTCAGGGTGGCTAGAAGATATCACTCTAAGAGAAGTGAGATTCCTGGGAGGGGAGATACTAGCCACATTGTGTTTACACTACCATCAAATTCCATCTCTGTTCCATTGTCTTGGATAGAGCCAGGGTGGCCCCATGATTTCATTATCTGCTTTAATCTATGGCTTTAGGTAACTGACATAAGTGTAAGGAGTTGTGGGGTCTATATTTAGAGCAAGGATCTTAATATGCTTTTCCTGCCTCTTTCACATTGTTTCTGCTGGAAGGCAAAGGGAACATAATCCCTCTGGGTTTCCCCTATTTTGGGGTACCCTGTATTGACCTAAGAAAACTGAGAACCTAGACCAGGGAGGAAATGAGGGCACCCAGAGCCCCTTCCAGAGCCTCCACTTACTGTGTAATGAATCAGGCAGATGGATAAATTTGGCTATTGGCAAAGCATTTTGTGGAATTTTGGAATCAAGAGCCAGGGAACTGTGTGGCTGAATTAGGAAGAAATGCATGAAATTTGTGCCACCTTCAGCAATCATAAGAGGACAAGAAAGGGACTTGTATTCAAGCATTCCTGCAATCAATTCATCCTAGACCTCTATGCTGTGTATTTCTTTCTTTCTTTTTTTTTTTTTTTTTTTTTTTTAGACAGAGTCTCGCTTTGTTATCCAGGCTGGAGGGCAGTGGCGTGATCTCGGTTCACTGCAAGCTCCGCCTCCCAGGTTCACGCCATTCTCCTGCCTCAGCCTCCCAAGTAGCTGGGACTACAGGTGCCCGCCACAACGCCCGGCTAATTTTTGTATTTTTAGTATACACGGGTTTTCACCGTGTTAGCCAGGATGGTCTCGATCTCCTGACCTAGTGATCCCCCAACCTCAGCCTCCCAAAGTGCTGGGGATTACAGGCGTGAACCATCGCGCCCGGCCTTTTTTTTTTTTTAAATGGTCTCACTCTGTCGCCCAGACTGGAGTGCAGTGGCACAATCTGCGCTCACTGCAACCTCCACTTCCCAGGCCCAAGGATTCTTCAGCCTCAGCTCCCCGAGTAGCTGGGACTACAGGCATGAGCCACCATGCCCGGCTAGTGTGGGGGTGTGTGTGCGTGTAGAAATGGGATTTCGCCATGTTGTTGAGGCTAGTCTCGAACTCCTGAGCTCAAAGTGATCTGCCAGCCTTGGCCTCCCAAAGTGCTGAGATTACAGGTATGAGCCACTGCACCCAGCCTGTGCTGTGTACTTCTTAACAAAGGAGTACGTTGCTTTTTATTAGAAAATGAGAATTCTAAAATTCATTATGTTTCTCTTTTTGTTTTGTCTTTCTGGAAGCTCAGAGTCACATGTAAAACTCACTTCTAATAACTGTATTACCCCTGATTCCCAATACCCTCTTTTCCTTTCTGAAATCTTCTTTTTCCTCTATTTTAACTGTATACAAGAGTGATTAATCATGAGCTTCCCTGAGTACATTTTGGATAGAGATAAAGAATAAAATGTCAGTGAATGAAGTGAGGAGTGTTTTCTATTTTGGTCTTTATTCCCATGGACCACAGTGGCTGCCTAGCAGGACTAAATTACTAACTGTAGTCTACTGACTCAAAAACGGTGATTAATTCAAATAAAAAACCCACAGTCTTCTATTTAGCTTTGTGGTTTTGTACCTACCGATGTGTCTGGTGTTCTTGGAATTCACGTCAAGCAAAATAGCGAGCTGACCTCGTTTGACTTGGAAGGAGCTGGAAGTGTCTGCTTACTTCGTCAGTCCCTCACCTGTGAATTGAGTTTTAACCCTCAGGCAGGTACAAGGTTGATCCTATGTTGAGCCTAAGTTCCAGGAGATCAAGTGCTTATGTTTCAAAAGGCAAACAGAAGGAGTCAAGCTGCCAACAAAGACTGGTTCACTGAAATACGTGAGATCAACGAATACATTACTGTCCAGATATTCAAGAGCTAACTGTAGTTTCAAGCTTCCCATAACCTTTTACCACAATAAAGAATAAGCCCTCGTTTATCTCATTCCTTGTTAATTCTCGTGAGCCTGGATGTTCCTCAAGGTCCATGATACACAAGCCATTTTGAAAGTTCATGCGTATTCTTGGTGTTTGTGGAAAGTCTCTTATACTAGAAGCAGAAGGCTCTGAATTCTCCCTTCCCAGTGCTCTTGCTGCTCAGTTGTGACCGCAGGACTGGCATCGGCTTTTCCAGGGGCAGATACGAGGACGTGTCATGCTGAAGGGTATGAAGTACGATGGTTGCTGGAGAGTTTCCTTGGGGCACCTGAGCCAAAGAAGGCTGCTCCCTCTGGGGGGGCAGGAGGCATCCTGACCTCCTGCTGCTCCTTGACGCGCACATGCGCGCGCACACACACACGCACGCACATGCTCGCTCCCCCCCACACTCAGACTCTCACATGCTTACACACACACACTGACTCACATGCACAAGCACAAGGGGTTCTTACACTGCTTTCCATCATTTAACCCTTCAAAGGGCAGAGTGGGAGGTGTTCTTCTCCCTGCCCCACATTGCTTCTCCCCATAGCACCCCTGGCTGATCCTGAAGGACCGGATGTCTCGCAGATAGGGACCAGACCCATTTTCAAGTAAGAGATAACTTGTTCAGCTTCTTGAGATGATATCATCTTTCAGCCCCTTTCAAGACTGTCCCTTTCCCCTTAGAAACCTTCATCCTTCCAGGGGTATGGCTTCCACTGCTTGGCTTGGGTATGAGAGCTGGCAGTCAACACAAGTCAGCTGAGAGCTGGATACAACAGCTAGTCTTGATTCCCATCATTGTTACTTTGTGTAGAAACTGGCCATCAATCAGCATCTCCCAGGGCTGCCCTAAAATCAGTTGCCCATAGGGAGACTCTATGTAGGGTTGCTATGAACAGTTACAGGAGTTGCGCACTGTGCAACCCAAGAGAACATCTCTAATATTATCATTACTGTAAATTTGCATTTTTATTTCAACAACTTGCTGACAGTTGGCATTAAGATGTCTTATTCTAATAAAATCAGTATATTATGACCAATTTTCTGAGGAATGGGAGTCAGGAGGAATGGTCATGAGGAAGGGATTTCTACCAATTCAAATAAAGTTGCCACATGGCTAGTGGGAACCTGCTAGGCAGGGACAGGGAACAAAGGCTGGTCAGCAGGCTCTGAATTCCTTGGCCAGGGTGTGGAGGAGGCTACGGCTCTTTGAAAGAGCTGATTTGTGGCTTACTGCACTGTTCACTCACCACTCCCACCCCACTTTTTTTTTTTTATAAGAGCTCTTAAAGACCCTTTTCTGTCTTTTGGGCACTGTGTCCTCATCTGGTGACAGAATGTCTCCTGACACAAGCCTTGGAGACAGCTGGGCCCCCTCTCCTCTCCATGTGAGGAGCTGCACCAAATGCCTTCCACAGCTTGGCTTTGTATGAGGCACGTGGGCGACGTCCCTGGGGGAGTAAAGCACACACTGAATGAGGCTGCTCTCCCTGCCACAGCTCATAGAGCGTTGCCAGGTGGAGTGGAGAGAGTGGGACTCAGATACCAGAAAGGTGGCTTTTCTTCCAGATCCTCACCTGCCAGTGCCTAAAAGCTGGACACTAGGGCCCAGAGAAAACACAGTGGACAAGAAGCCATGAATGAGGTGTAGAGATGATGAAAATGTGGTCACATCACGCAGAAGAGATGGAACCCAAAGAGGAAGGCAAGCCAGTAACACACCAGGATCAGAGGCCCACTGTGTGTGTGTGTGTGTGTGTGTGTGTGTGTGTGTGTGTGTGTGTGAGAGAGAGAGAGAGAGAGAGAGAATGAGTGACCAAGAGACAGAGAGAGACAAAGACCGTGAGAGAGGTAGAGAGGCAGAGACAGACAGGAGAGGAAAAGAGGAGAGGGGAAGGGCACAGGAAACTAGAATGTCTCTTAATCACAAAGGGCTTCCCAGGGAGCCTCATTTTCTTTCTAGCCTAGGACACTGAGGTAGTGCCACGTCTTTCTACCTTCACCTAGCTCTGGGAAATGGGGCCCCGATGTGAGAAGCAGATACGAGGGACTCACAGCAGCAGGTAACACATGTCTCATAACCAGTTGTGGGGTTAGGGATGACTAATGTTCCTCCCTGACCAGCTTCTCCAACTCTTAAAAAGAAAATGTACACAATAAAAACAGCACTGGACCCAGAGTCAGAAAATCTGACTCAGCTACGAATTATCTGCCCTTACATATCATGTCACCTCTCTGAGCCTCAATTTCTCCCCCTATAAAACAGAAGCTAAAATACCTGCCTGAGGCCTCTCATGGGGGTCATTAAAGAAGGCATATGAAAGAAGTCTGCGAGGGTTACACATACATAAAGTTTAATGATGTTAATTACTGCATTTCTAAATGTCTGCATAAAAGCAGCATAGAAAACAGCCCAGTTGTCAAATGGCTGTGTGACCCTGAGGGGTCTTTTTTACTTTCCTGGAACTCAGGGTTCTCGATAGCGAAATCATGAGGTAAGACAAGATGATCTTCATGGTCCCTCTGAGAGCCACCTGTCTGTGATACCAGAATGGGAATCAGATGGGAAATGGGCAAGATCAACTTCAGAGTCTGACTCCAATGATAGACATCGCTCTGATTTCAAGATGGCCCTTTGCATGAAACAGAATCAAAAATGGCAGCTTTGGAGGGCTTGTGCATTTTCTTTTCTTTTCGGGATGGAGTCTTGCTCTGTTGCCCAGGCTGGAGTGCAGTAGCACGATCTTGGCTCACTTTAACCTCTGCCTCCCAGGTTCAAGTGATTCTCCCACCTCAGCCTCCCGAGTAGCTGGGATTACAGGCGCACGCTACCACACCCAGTTAATTTTTGTATTTTTAGTAGAGATGGGGTTTCACCATGTTGGCCAGGCTGGTCTCGAACTCCTGACCTCAGGTGATCCGTCTGCCTCGGCCTCCCAAAGTGCTGGGATTACAGGCATGAGCCACCGTGCCTGGCCAGCTTGTGCATTTTTGTGTCCTAGTTCTTGTCCTAGTGCTGAATTTATGTGTGTCTTCTTTTCTTATGAGATGTGAGTCAAGAGACAATCTGTCTCATGAAACTGGGAAACATTAATCTGTCTTGATCTCACTTGAGTTCCGATTGTTCTTCTTTGTTAAAATGGAATGCTGAACTATTAACAATTTACTTTCTGTCATTTGAACGTTTGAAACCATCTCCATTTGGCTGATGGTAACTCCTATGTCTCCAGGATTCATTCCGATCTGGTCCAGGAATTTTTTCTTATATTTGATTGATCATCCCTAACTTCAGGTGAGATAATAAACATTCATCATGGGTAGAAGTCATAAGGCTTGGTTCTAGCATTGGTCCTGTCTTGCTGGGCACCATCAAACAATTATTGATTGTGGTTCTACTCTGCTACATGCCTACATGAGCTCCAAGTGGTATGCCTGAGGTGGTCCAAGGTGGGCCAGCCACCAGGTTTCAGTTTTCCTGGGTAGGATATTCAGATTGAGGGTAATGTTTGACTAGACATGTTTAGGAACTGTTTGTCTTGAGCAAGGAAGTGAGAAAGAGATTGACGGTCAGATGGGGGAAGGAGAGCAGAGAAATGATCAAGAAAAATGTTAAGATGCTTGTCTACAGGGTAATGTAATGCAGTCCTCTCCAACTTCACATTTCCAAGGACTGGCCTTAGGTAGAAAATTAGGGACCCCTTATATAAACTGGGGAAACAAAGAATGCTGTTTAGTGATCAGAGAACATAATGTTTTCTTTTTATGGGTGAGTAATCTACGGCCTAGTGTAGTTCAGAGACTTTTTCCCCAGGTTATGTTACAAGCTTGATTAAAATTGACGAATTTTCGGCCAGGCGCGGTGGCTCACGCCTGTAATCCCAGCACTTTGGGAGGCTGAGGAGGGCGGATCACGAAGTCAGGAGATCGAGACCATCCTGGCTAACACGGTGAAACCCCTTCTCTACTAAAAATACAAAAAATTAGCCGGGTGTGGTGGCGGGCGCCTGTAGTCCCAGCTACTCGGGAGGCTGAAGCAGGAGAATGGCGTGAACCCGGGAGGCGCAGCTTGCAGTGAGCCGAGATCGCCCCGCTGCACTCCAGCCTGGGTGACAGAGCGAGACGCCATCACAAAAAGAAAAAGAAAAAGAAAAAGAAAAAGAAAAAAAAATTGCCAAATTTTCACCAAAGGCAATGATAGCTATGGTAAGGTGTTACCCTCGTCATGCAATTTAATACAATTTTAAGTATTTGCAACCTCATAGAAGCTGTTCTCCAGGCCTCGGTTTCTTTATCTATAAAGCAAGGTAGATGAAGACCTCTAACCTCCTTTCCAACTCTAACTCTATAGTCTTAAAAAACTTACACATCTGAAAACCCGAAGGGAATATATCACTCTCTAATGGAGATTCAGGAATTAATAGGTGGGTTGCTCTGTGAGTGGCTGATGCTGTAGACTGTTTCTCCCAGTTCCATGTCTTGCTTTGCAAGCCCAGGGAATAAGTTACCTGTCACCAGCTATTCTGCTGAGGAGGGGCTCCAGCCAGCCTGGGTGGCACTCGCAGTGGGCATCCATGAAGACGAGCACATCCCCGGTGGCTCTGGTGGCCCCCAGCATCCGGGCCCTGATGGCACCCAGCCTCTTGTTGCTCCTGAGTAACTTCACCCCCTCCAGCCTGGCCACATATTCGCTGAGAGCAGACTTGAGTTGTCCTGGAATCAACAGGGTTGTGGTCAGTGGAATGACAAATGCCACAACCGATGAGATTGTGACTAAGACAATCGTCAGCAACTCTCTTTTGGAAGCTGTGGTGAGCACCTGGGTCCTAAGAACCGAAAACATTACTACAGTGTGGTTGTTGCTGAGATGTAAGATGCTTGGTTAGGTTGGGGTGGGCCATGATTCTCTCCAGTAAAAATTAGAGGGATGGTGTCAGAAAACCAGGAAAGGGGAGAACTTGCTAACATTCTCCAAATGCAGCAGCAAGAATGTAGCAGATACTGTTGGTGTCTGATATGGTTTGGCTCTTTGTCCCCACCCAGATCTCATCTTGAGTGGTAATCCCCATAATCCCTATGTGGCGAGGGAGGGACCTGGTGGGAGGTGATTGGATCATGTGGGCAGTTTCCCCCATGCTGTTCTCGTGATAGTGAGTTCTCATGAGATCTGATGATTATATAAGTGTTTGATAGTTTTTCCTCCTCTCTCTCTCTCTTTCTCTCACTTGCTGCCATGTAAGACATGCTTCCCCTTCCACCATGATTGTAAGTTTCCTGAGGCCTCCCCAGCCATGCGAAACTGTGAGTCAATTAAACCTCCTTTCTTTATAAATTACCTAGTCTCAGGCAGTTCTTTATAGCAGTGTGAGAACAGACTAATATAGTGTCCTACTCAGATTCCCTGAGCTCCCCTTAACTGTTTTGGTTTGGTTTGCATGTCCCCAGCTGCTGTGGGTGCTAACTGAAATCTTAACCCTTCCCTGGAGACTTGCCTTGGGGTATTAAAACGGTCTCTGCTGCAGGTGCCAGACAGTCATGCAGGATGCTGCCCCCAGCCCCAGTCATGGTCAATGACTGACCATTGCAGGGTAAAAAGCAAGACAGACCCCGCAGTGCAGCCTGTGCTCCAGAGTCCCCCATGGGATCAGGCTATGGCTGGACTTCACCTGAAACCACATATTTGTTCAGCTCTTCCCTCTCTCTCTTCTGTATCACTCACTCCCCTACAGATTTCCCCTGAGAGTACACCCTCAAAAAAATCAAATGCACGTGAATCTCCATCTCAGGCCCTGCTTTCAGGAAACCTGACCTAAGACAGTGGTCAAGGAAGTCAAAGGCAAAAGGCTCCATTAAATTTGGCAGCTGGTAGGAGATTGGTGGTGCTGGTCAAAGAGATCTCATTGCAGTTGATAGGGGAGTCTGCAACACAGTGGGTCCGGGAGAGAAAACGGAAGATGAAAAACTGAGACCAAGAGTCCAGACGGTTAGGAAGGTTGATTCTATAGGGGAAGGGAGAAAAAGAGGCCTAAGAAGATGACGGAAAGGATGAGAGAAGCTTGTTAGGTTTTGTGTTTAAGATAAGAATAACTTGATTGTGTGTGTGAGTGCATGTGTGTGTGTGTGTGCATGTCTGTGTACACACACACCAAGAGGAACAAGCCAGTGGAGATGGAAGGAACAATGTGTTCACAGAGAAGCAGTGGTCTCCATGAAGTCTTGGAAATGGGGAGTCCCCCCAGGCCAGTGGACTAAGATCTCCCCAAGGACAGGGGTTGTACCTAATGCATCTCTTCTGCTCTAACCCTTAGTGCAGGGCCTGGCCCACAGTAGGCACTCAGTACATGTGCATTGAACAGAACTGAGCCAAAAAGCAAGAATTTCCCCCCCAGTTCCCCAGCCCAGAGGTGGCCTTAACTGTGGATACAAGTAGCCTGGCTGCTTTGGTAGCTGGATCTCTGGGGAGGCTGGAGAAGGTTAAGGCAGCCCCACCCGAGAGCCCCCAGCAGACTTCATACACTCCTTCCCTGGGAATCTGTCTTCTAAGCACCATGGATTTTCTGCAGGGTGAACAATGTCCTGAGCAGTAGAGGAAAGGAGTCCCAGTCACTGGGCTGTTGCAATTCTCACTGGTAAAATGCTTCGTTGATGTGTTACTTTATAATTATTTTTCTGGTAAGACTGTCAGCCCTGGTCCACTCCCTAGAGAGGAATCTCTGTTAGTCAAGCTATTAACATTTCTGGACTTGCATATCTGAGAAGCAGCCCCTCAGTGACTTCATTGGCTTTAACATTGCTAAATGTAACATCTTCCTCACCATTCATTCTCCCCTTCCACTGTACTGACAGAACTTTGATGTTTCTCGGGACAGCTAAAAACACGTATCTCTCGAGACTTCCTGTCACTGCTGGCAGCAGCTCTGGTAGAAATAAAATGAATGAAAGGATTCTGGGAAAACTATTATTTTACTAATTTTTTTTTTCCGAAGAGCACAAACCGGACTGGCCTCTGCCTATCTCTTCTTCGCCTTTTCCCTATTTGAAATATGTATGTGATGTCCAGAGGTAGAGCAGCCCTGTTGTGATTATGAGGCCAAAACTACTCTCTAAGCATGTTGAAGTGGAAAGCAGATGAAGGTGGGTGTCCAATGGCATTGTGGAGCTGTCACACCAATACTGCATTGCCACCCTGTGAGCTTTCTATACTATAAGGAAAAATAAATCTCTATTCATTGGTTAAGTCACTGCAGCAGGTTTCTGTTCTGTGCAGCCAAATATAGTCCTTCACTGATATTCCCACCAAACATTAATTTATGAAGCCCTCCTTGGGCTGACTGCTGGTCTCTTCAGCTATACCTCTAACCCTTGTTAGTATTATTTAGGACAGACTTCTAGCAAGAGAGCTTCGGAATAGATAAGGAAGAACTTCCAGACTGCGATGGTTGTTTGGCATTCTCAGAGGGTTTTGAAGTGGGTAAGAGCACCCATGTCTGAGTGGTATAGTGCTCGGAAAAAGCTGGTATGATCCTCAACTCCTTCCCTCCAGAAAACAGCAGTAATACTGACTTCCACTTGTAAAGGGTCATCATGGGCTGGTCATCGCAAGCATTTTCTGATTTAATGATTTGGTGTGGGCATCACCACCCCAGACGAATACCCTGAAACCCATCTAGCTGATTCTATCACACTACACTATGCTGTCATGACCATCGGCTTGGAAGCCCATCAAGGTGGCTCAGGGCAACCCGCAGCATCTTTTTCTGTCTCAGTTTTCCTCACAGGTAGAGTAGGGTTGATAAGCCCTGCCTCTCTGGGTGGCCAAGAGGATTAAATAAAAACAGTGTGCAGGGTGGTGCTTGTCTGGGATCTGGGTCTTGGCAAGCACACAGAGGAGAGGGACCTGCAGAAATAGAACCAGTGCTGCCCTTGGTTGTGGAAAAGGCCTTGCACCCCAATGTCAACAGGAAATATGGGGCCACTGGATGGAGAGCCAACCCAGTGGTGAGGGGCAGAAGGGGAGTTGGCCAGGAGGGGGCAGCTTAATTGCTTGGCAGGGGATCCAGATCCCCTCTGGTGGGGCTGCCAGCTCTGGGGTAGCCCATTTCTCTGGGGCCCAGCTCCTCCACTTTCCGTACTCCCGAGGGGCACAGACGTAACACAGCTCATCAGATGGTGGGGGCCTCACCACAGGTGTGCTCTTGGGCGGACCCCGCCCCACTTGAGGGTTTGGAGAGTCTCTGGGCACTTTACCCGCCAACCCAGCCCTGTCCTGCACCTGTTCATTAGTCCTGCCTAATATGCAGCCAGCTGCACCCAGGAACCCCAGGTGTTCCCAGAGCCTCTGGCTAATCTGACTCACTGCTATGGCCAGGCTAGGCCCATCCCTGGAGTGAGGACCGTAGAAAGAACTAACAGAGGCACCTGGCTACCCTAGCCCTTCTCCATTATTCCCCTTAGAAAAACGTGAATGCTCGGCTTCCCTCAGAGCGTTCTGATCTTCCCAGAAGGCCAGGAGGGGTGTCCCTAGGTCATTTAGTTGTGCCAGAAATGTAGGCCTCACGCCCAAGCCAAAGACTAGAGCAGAGGTTCTCAGAGTGTGGTCCACAGAAAACAGCAGCATCAGCATCACCTGGGAGCTTGTTAGAAATGCAAATTCTTCGGCCCCACTCCATCACCAGAAACTCTGGGGGTGGGCCCTGCAGTAGTATTTTAAAAATCGCACCAGGTGATTCCGATGCATGCTCAAGCGTGAGAGCCACTGACCTACGAGTCAAGTGGGGGCTTCTCTGTCTCCATCTTCTTTTAGGGCTGTCCCTAGTAGCCAGGTTCCTGTGAGAGGAAGCACACAGGCAGGTTCTGCAAGTCTGGGCTCTGGGCCTGACTCTGCTGCTTTTGGCTGACTCCGCTCCAGTCTGCTGTCTTCTCTGGGCCCCAGTTTCCTCCTCTGGAAAGTGAGTGGGTCTGTCTAAGCCATGATGAGTGAAGGACCGATACACATATGTGCGTATGTGTAAAGTGCTGCACCAGGGTCTAGGAGGCAGTGAGCACTCACAACAGGGCCGCCCTATGTGATTCTTCAGTGTCTTGGAGAGAGGATTGTTGGACTGGGTGGCACCTGGGAGAGAGATCCCCACGGGATCAGGCTGAGGCGACACCCCTCAAGACCCTCCCCAGGGCTGTTTCCCCTGCAGGGCTCTTTCTCCTTCTCTGTCTTGCAGCCCCCACTGCCTTACTGGTTTCCCCAGTGGCTCTTCATTCATAAGTTACTTGCCCATTAATCCTCATCTGGAGGTCTGTAGTTGGGGAATCTTGCCTAAAATAGTTCCAAACTTCAATCTTTTGCTTGAGAACTCCACCCGCCAGGGGGTAAGGCTCACCCAGACGAGCCTGGAGGAAAGCCGTGGCTACCTTGCTGGCTGAGGTCGTCCACGAGGATGATCTCCTTCAGGAAGGCCCTGGGCACTGTGTCGAGGATGCTGTGTACAGTCCGCAGGAGAGTGGACCAGGCCTCATCATGGAAACAGAGGATGACGCTGGCTGTGGGCAGGCTGTCCTGAGGGTGCTGCTGCAGACACCTGCAGGGAAGAGAGCCAGAGAGCCATGGGGAAGAGAAGGCCACAAGAAACACTCCACACCCTCTAACTCGCTTCCTTTGCTCTGGCTGGAGCTGCCCCCATTATATGGCTGTCCTATGGGATCTCTTAAAATTCCCATATAAAAAGAACCTGTTACGCCTCATAGTGGTGCTGTCTACTATCTCCCAATTCTCAGATCTCAAGAGCTCCTTTATCATTTAATCCAAAGTCCCTCTCATTGCAATTGAGAAGCGTTGCCGTCATCCTCAGCAAATGACTGTCCTCATCTGTAAAATGAGAATGAATGACAATATTATCACCCTCACAGCGCTCACACTTGAGCATGCATCAGAATCACCTGGTGGGATTTTTAAAATACTGACTGCAGGGCCCACCCCCAGAGTTTCTGGAGATGGAGTGGGGCTGAAGAATTTGCATTTCTAACAAGCTCCCAGGTGATGCCGATGCTGCTGTTTTCTGTGGACCACACTTTGAGAACCTCTGCTCTAGTCTTTGGCTTGGGCCTGAGGCCTACATTTCTGGCACAACTAAATGACCTAGGGACACCCCTCCTGGCCTTCTGGGAAGATCAGGACTCCCCGAGGCTGTGGTGAGGCTTGGATAGGATGATGCGTGTAGTTAAGTGTCCAGTAATCTCTGTCATCCATTCAAGGTCAGGGACACTATTTTCTTTATTTTTATGTTCCTACAACCTAGCATAGCACCTGGCACACAATTTTTAAATGTTAGCACTTACTATTTTTTAAAATTTTATTTTAAGTTCCAGGATACATGTGCAGGACGTGCAGGTTTGCTACATAGGTAAACATGTGCCATAGTGGTTTGCTGCCACCATCAACCCATCACCTAGGTATTCAGCCCCACATGCATTAGTTATTTATCCTGATGCTCTCCCTCCCCATGCCCCCACAACAGGCCCCAGTGTGTGTTGCTCCCCTCCCTGTGTCCATGTGTTCTCACTGTTCAGCTCCCACTTATAAGTGAGAACATGCGGTGTTTGGTTTTCTGTTCCTGTGTTCATTTGCTGAGGATAATGTTTTCCAGCTCCATCCATGTCCCTGGAAAGGACAGGATCTCATTCCTTTTTATGGCTGCGTAGTACTCCATGGTACATATGTACCACATTTTCTTTATCTAGTCTATCATTGATGGGCATTTGGGTTGATTCCGTGACTTCACTACTATGAATAGTGCTGCAACAAACATACATGTGCACTTCTGCACAGCAAAAGAAATATCAGAGTGAACAGACAACCTACAAAATTGGAGAAAATTTTTGCAATCTATCCATCTGACAAAGGTCTAATATCCAGAATCTACAAGGAACTTATGCAAATTTACAAGAAAAAAGACAAACAGCCCCATTAAAAAGAGGGCAAAGGACATGAACAGACACTTCTAAAAGAGAAGACATTTAAGCTCTTATTATTTTTATGGAAGAAAAAACAAGGATGGAGTGTCTGTGAGTGCCAACAACATGCCAGACACCGTGCAAGGCCTTTAATATATCACTGCACATTCATCTGATAATTAATCCGTGGGTTGGGCTATCTTACTCCCATTTTACAGATAAGGAAACGGAGGCTTCGAGGGAAGGGAAGACATCAAAGCTCACATTGCTGGCAAGTGGCAGCGCTGAATGTTCTACCTTCAAAACTCTCACACCCTTTCCACTTTGCTGGCTTATGGCTGGATAGCAGGGGTGTTTGCATTTCCCTCTGCTGAGGGGCTGTCTGTGAACAGGGTGCTTGGTGTTTGCCTTGCTTTGGGTCTGTTGAGAATCAGTGGGTCCAGGGTGGAGTGAATTATAACAACCTGATACATGGAGCAGTATATAGCTCACACTTGCTTACAAAAGGCACTTTCTTAACGTGTGTTTCTGAAGAGCCTCTTTCTGAGTTGCAGCTGCTGCTCAAACTATGTTCCTCCTCAGAGGGACATTTGAATAGGAGCCATCTCAAGGACCCCAAACTTCGGACACCTAAAGGAATCTGTGAGGTGGAACTGCGGGCAGAGTGACAACCAGGCTGAGGCTGGCCCTGTCTGAGGGAAACACCTTCTAAGATGTGCCAACTCTTGCTGCTCCCTAGCTTGGTACCAGTCCTAAGAAAGGCAGAAAACTCTCAATGCACAGGAAACCTGTGTGTGACTCTCAGGGCAAAATCCTGTGTAGAGAGGGAGAATTGAGTCTAGGTAATGGTAAGCAGAATTCCTAAATAATTTTTAAAAACACATAAACATCTCATAAAGGAGCTAATTATTTTGTTGGTTTATAAATTTACAAGCTATTTATTTCCATAAATGATTTGAAGCCACTCACAAAAAAATACACACAATACAAATACTTAAAATGATGGTAAAATAAAAATAAGGAAGAAAAGTCAGGAGCTGAGGAATATAAGTAAATTTAGAAAGTCAGCATTTGGAGAAAGAACATAAATATATAGGTTATAAGGGCCTAGGTATTTCTAGAATGAATTTAAATTTGACTCTGAGATCCCTGGTAGCCAAAGTAAAATGTTTATTCTGCAACAGAATTATCACCATTAGAGAAGTTACATGCAAGGTTTTTGGGGAAAGCAACACTCTTTCTAGTAATTTTTTCTTTCAATTCCCACTTTACCACTTTTTATTTTGAAATCGTTTAAGACTGACAAGAAACTGAGAGTTCCTATGTTCCCTTTACCTAGCTCCCCATCATGAAAATATCTCACGTAATCATCCACAATGAGCAAAACCAGGAATCCGACATGGTTCAATACTGTTAACTCAAATATCATATTAGTTTTAAAGAGAAAATTTAACACCCATCTAACACTTATTTGAAAGATAAATTCCTATGGACTTTAGCAAGAAGTCCCTAAATGCATGGCAGCATTCTGAGAACCATTCTTAAAACAAATAAAATAATGAACTTTATATGAACTTTTATAGTCTGAGTTCAGGGCTGCTCAAATAACATGTCCAAAATGGAACCAGCTTCCCTGTAAGGTTTTAGGGAGATGACTGCGTCCCCAGCACATGCATAGTCTTTGCTGAGGTCTTTCACCCCCTTCATTCTCTCCCCTTCTCCCCTGGTGGGGCTGAGAATTTCTGCTCTGCCCTCAGACTTGCTCTAGACTGCTCACAAACAGGTGCAAAATTTCCTCATATCCTCTCCACTTCTTTTGTGGCCATGCATTTGGGTAAACCCAGGGGTCCTAGACAGGGACTGGTGGCTGTGAAAAGAAATTTTGCCTCAGTGAATTTAGTGGGTATGAAAAAAAAAACCCTAAACTATTAATTGGGCTTGTTGCCGGGAGGCTGGCTATTTGCCAACTGAGATAGGAAAGGAGTTTGGGACAGAGAGCCCTGGGTTTGGAATTCCTGTGGGGACAGTTTAATAGTTTACCAAAGTCAGTCCTGTCTGCTCCAAGAAGAGAGCACGGCTATGCCTGCCAGCCATGCCTGGCTCCTTTCTCTGTCTCAATTCATAGACTATGAGAATTGGAAACAACACAAGTGTGTGTTATGCACACACATGTGCACGTGTGTGTGCGTGTGGTGTATGTATCCTTGTAGTAAGATGGTCAAAAGAACTTAGACTTCAGAATCAGACATATTTAGATTTGAATGTTCACTCCGTTGCTTCCTAAGTTTCCTTGGGTAATTCACTCAATATTTATAGGTATCAGTTTCCTCATTTGGAAGGTAAGGGTAACCATAATTACCCTTTAGGCCCATTGAGAGAATCAAAGAATAATAATAGGCACCCAATAGACAGTGACTGTTTTATAGCCATTTTCCAAAAAGACACAATGTAATTAGTATGAATGTTATATTTATGATCATCTTTGCAAATTATAGCTATCTTTAAACAACTATTCTACAGTATAGCATGAGACATCCACTGAACTACTTTCAAGTTTGGGTTTCCCAACAGTGTCCACTTCAGAGCTTTTGGGAGAAATAAGTTTGATAAAGGGCTTGGCACAGTGCCTGGCATGGAGCAGGGCCTCCTTCAATGAAAGAAATTTGTATTTAAACTCTAGCTCTTTAAGATCACACTCCTTGCATATTACTCAAAGTAAGGAGATGTGAGAGCTTCCATCTCTGCTAGTTAAATGGTGACCAGGGCACTCAAGTTCCTTTCTTTGATTTCACAGAACATTCTCTGCCGGGTGGCAGTCTCACCTGGTAACTCAGGTTGTGGACACTGAGGCTCCACCACTTCCTAGCTGCGGAGATGACCCTGGGAAAGTTGCTTAGCTTCTGGGTGCCTTGGTTTCCTCAGAAAGGTAGCCGTAGGGCCCACTTTTTGGGATTTGCTGTTGTGGAGATGAAATGATCTTTATAAAGCACCAAGAACAGTGGGTGGCACAGAGTGAGCACCATGCGTTTGCTGCCATTATTAACAGATGTCCCATTACTACAAGAGGTACCTCTCAGGCTCTTCCAGCCTTGAAAGTGTGTGTTCTTGATTCTTTGGGGGCTCCTTCCCGCAGCAGGAGGAAGAAGGAGGCAGAAAAATAAGGACAGCAAGCATTTCAAAGAGAATTTCATAGACTCCCCTTGCTCCAGGAATTTTGGGGTTTTATGAACAGATGTAACTTCTCTCCTCATAGTGAGAGAGAAGATGGTGAACCAATGGATGGGCAGGGAGTGTGAGTGGGATAAACTAAACAGGCTGCTAAGAGATGTGAAAGGCCAAATGGGTTCTTGAAAGCCATTACAAGGCTATGGGGGATGCCCCGCCAAGCTGTGGAGGCAGGTCTCCTGGCATCAGCTCAGAAAGAATCCTTCTCCTCTCTCAGGGAAAGAAGTTCACGCAGCCTTCAAGACGTAAACCGACAGCTGTGGTTTGTTCTGCAACTGCAGAACTGCCTGGAGACCAGAGCTGAAAATCACCGTGGAAATAATCTGGTGTTTCAGTGGAGGACCAGCAGCAGCTGAGCGGACCCAGCCTGAGGTTTGTGAGAAGGCCCAGCACCCACAACATGGCTTGGAGTGTGGAACTAAATATTATAACCCAAATTTGACAAAGTCTTGTGTCTCAGGGCCTGTTAGATGCTTTTAAGAAAAGCCAGGGATTCTTTTGTTTCTTTTTTTTTTTTTTTTTTTTGATACGGAGTCTCGCTCTGTCCCCCAGGCTGGAGTGCAGTGGCGCGATCTTGGCTCACTGCAAGCTCCGCCTCCCGGGCTCACGCCATTCTCCTGCCTCAGCCTCCTGAGTAGCTGGGACTACAGGCGCCCGCCACCACGCCCGGCTAATTTTTTGTATTTTTAGTAGAGACGGGGTTTCACCGTGTTAGCCAGGATGGTCTCGATCTCCTGACCTCGTGATCCTCCCATCTCGGCCTCCCAAAGTGCTGGGATTACAGGCGTCAGCCACCATGCCCGGCCTAGCCAGGGATTGTTTTGTTTCTAGTGGGCTGGAGGGGGAGCCTGAGGATGGTGCAGACTGTTTAGCTCCCAGACAACAGTGGAAGGGAGGGATACCAACTACATGTACAGGCTTATGGCAGTCCATGGTCATCATCCCAGGATGGGCTTCATCAGCCTATGGGCAGCACAGTCATGCAGGTATGGGCAAATGGGATGAATCCTCTCTCATTGTTCCAGGTGGCAGCACAGAACCAAGTAGGAGGGTGTGGCAAGCAAATAGAGTCCCTGAAAGCGGCCAAACTGCAATTCCATTCACCTTGATAAACTTGCTCAAAAATGTGTTAGTTCAGCTGATGTTTTATCAAGTGGATAAAAGGCGAAGTTTTGGCATTGGGTTCAAATCCCAGTCTGTCCTTATGTGACCTGGGCAAGTACCATAAGCTCTCTGAGAACTATCCTTGCTTTCAACAGTCTCCAGACCAACAGACTCAGTTATACTTCAGTCACTAATTCTCATTTCTCACAATCTTTTTGACTCCATTAATCCATCTTGAACATACAATTTACTTAAACTCATGTTGCTCATCAGTAAAATGAGGTTGTTGGAAGGACCAAATGAGCTAATACATTTGAAGTACTTATGCATAGTAAGAGCCCCAAAATGCTAGCTAGCTATTGTTGATTCTTGCAAACCTCTCATGTGCCTGGATATCTTTCTAGCTTCAATTTCTTCATCTATAAAATGAGGATAACAAGTAGGGTTACTTTAAAGGGCTATGTAAAATGTTGTGTGCTTTGTCCACAGCAGGCTTTCAATAACTGGAAGCTGTTACTATTTTTCAGGTAAAAATGTGCTGACTGGCTTCTGGTATTGTCTGAACATGTCTCTGAGGATGTCCTTCAACATAGCAGAGGAACTGGGCTGGTATTCTGGGAATAACAATCACTGATATTTGTAGGATATTCTCATGCATTATCTCATTTACTCCTCATCTCAACCACTAGGGCTGGTGCATTGCCCAACACCAGTGGGTGCCATGCTCAGAGATCACCATGCACTGGTGTCTCTTGGAGTTATGCAACATGGTGGTGCTGTTCACCTCATGGATTACAGGCAAAGGAGGCCAGGTGGGTGATTGGAGTTCAGCTAGATCCCCTGTTGGACCTAATCTCCCTAGAACCCTGGCCTAACAGCAAAATGTTTCCTGTGATTCAGGCTGCCACCGGGAGCAAAGCTCTCCAATCTTCTTGCTCATCCAGTGGCTTTGGTGGCTTCCTTTTTTTGTTGTTGTTGTTAAAATGCAGGATGACTTCCCTTCAGAAGGATAAAGCTTGTAATAGAAAGCATCCAACTCCTTAGCTGATGTGAGTGTGTAAGTTTTGGGAGATGCTGAGGAGACAATAAGAAATGGTCCAGATGGTATGGCCCTACTCGCCCATGTTTGGGAACCCTGGGCTCCTCATGTCATCATGAGGACCTTGGAGAGAGAGGACACAAGGAGGGAGGTGGAAGTGAGGACAGAGAGGGAAATGGTGCTAAGGACCTGTCATCTGCTTTGCAATCTATCCACTCTTCCTCCCCCGCTCCCACCCAACCTTACAGAGCTTCAGGCACTAAGGAATGAGGGGTGGGTAGACCAGAACTAGGAGGAGGGTTTGAGCAGCAATTCAGAGAAGCCACTGGAAACCTAGGAAGCTGGCTAAGGTCCAGCCAACAAAGATCTTTGAAAGGTCCTGAACTGCATCTACACCATCCCCTCCTAGTGCTCCAACCCCTTTGTTCAGGTTTGAAGGGAGCATAAGCTCAAACACCAGCCAGGGAGATGTGACTCTTGCCCTGTGGGTGCTTCAGTGAGCCCGAGACCACATGGCCCACCTAAAAGGAACAGCTGATGTCACTGGGAGGAAATTTAGTCCAGTTTTGCCACATCTTCCTGATTTTCAGAAAAAGCCAGAAACCTGAACTGTTTCTGGGAAATATCTTAATTTTTAAATGTTGACCACTAATCCAACATTTTTAAATAAAACTGCATGGCCAAACAAACATGTCTGTGATGGGACACGACCTATGGCTGCCATTTTGTGCCAACTGAGTTCCTGTAACTTCTCACTTCCACCACTGGGGAAGATTCCTCTTCCTTCACCCACAGGCAACACTTTGCCTTCTGTGATTCTTTTCCTCTGAGACGCCCCCTTACAAGTATATACAGCCGGAGCCAGGATAATGGTCTGGGGGGAAGAGCGTGAGGCTAGATGTGCTAGATGTGCCACATGCCCTGGACGACGACCTTCCATCAGGCTCAGACCTCTGAATCCCCCTTGAGGGAATGGAGATAAGGGGCCTTGGACAAGTCTCTCCCTTCTCTCCTCTGGCCCTTGTTCCCACATCTGACACTGAGGGATTCACTGTGTAATATCTAAAGATCCTTCCACCTTTGAGTCTATGATTTGTTTTCACTGAGGGAGAATGGAGGAATAGGGTAGCACCTGTGATGCAGGTGTCTTATTAATATTTATCATAGCCACCACTTCATGAGGAGTCCTATGTACCAGGTGCTGTGCTTTAGCAGCATGAATTATTACAAGAATTATTACATTTATTCCTCCCAAATGCCCTTTGAAATAGGAATTTTCATGTGTGCAAAGATGGTCACAACATATCTGTTCATCGTGTTTCTTTATAATGTGAGTCAGCCACTCCTTGCATCAAGAAATGGAATCTATTTCTTCAGCCCCTAAGTCTGGCTGGCCTTGTGCCTTCCTTAGACCAATAGAATGTACTAGAAGTGACATTCGAGAATTCCCAAGATTAAGCCTCAAGGCCTTCCACTTGCTGTCATGAGATGCCATGTAATGAAACCAACGTAGCCTAATAGAGGATTACAGTCTGCTTGAAGAAAAACTAAAGTGCCCCAGCTGAGGACCAGCATCAGCTGCCAGGTCTGAGAGTGAGGCCATCTTAATATTCAGTGCAGTCAGCCGCCCTCTGATGGCAGCCACAGGGGTGAACCCAGGGGAGATCAGCAGAAGAACTGCCTGGCTGAGTCCGGTCCAAATTATAGAACCATAACATAGAAATGGTTATTGTTTGAAATCACTAATTTTTTTTTTGAGATGGAGTCTTGTTCTGTCACCCAGGCTGGAGTGCAGTGGCATTATCTTAGCTCACTGCAACCTCCACCTCCCAGGTTCAGGCGATTCTCCCACCTCAGCCTCCTGAGTAGCTGGGATTACAGGCATGCACCACCATGCCTCGCTAATTTTTGTATTTTTTGTAGAGACGGGGTTTCACCATGTTGGTCAGGCTGGTCTTGAACTCCTGACCTCATGATCCACCCGCCTCGGCCTCCCAAAGTGCTGGGATTACAGGAGTGAGCCACCACGCCCGGCCTGAAATCACTAATGTTTTAATAATATTTTTATTGAGATATAATTCACATACCATAATGTCCACCTTTATAAAGTGTACAATTCCATGGATTCAAGTATAAAGGTGTGCAGCCATCACCACTGTCTAATTTGAGAACGTTTTCAACACCCCACCCCCAAAAACCTACTACCCATTGGCAGTCACTTCCCACTGCTCCCACAACTACCACAGCCCGTGGCAACCACTAACCTACTTTCTGTCTTTACAGACTTGCCTACTTTGGACACTTCATATGAATGAAATGACATAACGTGGCCTTTTGTGACTGATTTCTTTCACTTATCATAATGTTTTCAAGCTTAATCATGTTGTAGTCTATATCAGTACTTCATTTCTTTTTACTGCCTAATATTTCATTGTTTGAATATACCACATTTTGTTTGTCCATTCATCAGCTGATGGACATTTGGATTGCTCCTATTTTGACTTATATTATGACTAATGCCACTATGAATATTCATGTATAAGTTTTCATGTGAACATGTTTTTAATTTTCTTGAGTATATACCTAGGACTGGTATTACTGGCCATATGATAGCTCCATGTTTAACATGTTGGGGAACTGCCAAACTGTTTTCCAAAGCAGTTGCACCATTTTACAATCCCACCAGCAATGTGTGAGGGTTCCAATTTCTCCACATCCTTGTCAGCACTTGCACTGTCTTTTACTTCAGCCATCCTAGTGGGGGTAAAATGTCATCTCATTGTGGTTTTGATTTGTATTTTCCTACTGACTAATGATTTGAACATCTTTTCGTGTGCTATTGACCATTTTTATGTCTTCTTTGAAGAAATGTCTATTCAAATCCTTTGCCCATTTTAAAATGGAGTGTTTTGTTGTTTAATTGTTGGGTTGTAAGGGTTCTTTTTGTATTTTGGATACAAATCTCTTATGCAATATAGGACTTACAAACATTTTCTTCTACTCTTGGATTGTCTTTTCACTTTCTTGATGACATCTTTTGAAGCACCAAAGTTTTAAAAATATCTATTTTTTAAAATCTACTAAGTTTTGATAAGGTGCGTTATACAGCACTAGATCATGGACACACTTTCCCATTTTTAAGATGAGGAAACTAGAGCCCAGAGAGCTTAAATGACCTGTTTAAAGTTACACGGCAAATAGCTGATAGTATATTGCTATAATCTATCATCTATCTATCTATCTATCTATCTATCTATCTATCTATCTATCTGTCTGTCTATCACCATCTTGGACTACAGTGCGAGCAGAATGTTCTGGATTCAGAGTCATAAAGGGACAATGATGGAAGGTTATTTGAAAAACATGCGATCCATCAGTTCCTCCACACATTCTGCACTGTCTACGCTGATTCCTTAAGGTCTTCAAAAGGCAACTTACTTGACCCCTCAGTCTTGGCTGCCTTACAAATGTGCTTACAGGGAGTCGTGCTTGTCATCGTGCTCTCAGCTTTCATCAGGGAACAATGCAAGAATCACTTTTAGGAAACCTGCTCTCCATTACCGAGGGAACTTATTGAGGATGTTGTCCCCCTGTCACTTGTTATCTCCACTTTGATGCTTTGGAAGAAAAGTCCTTGCAGATATAAGTGCCACAAAATACTTTCCTTCATCTGAGCAACAGTGTGCTTCCTCCTCATGAAGAATACAAATAAGAATATCGTCTTTTTTTATTTTTCAGTGTGGCTGCCAGGAAGCTCAGAGTAAGGAAACAGGATATTTATTCATTGAGGAGGCTCTAGACAGGACTGCCTATCTTCATTCTGATTTTCTCTTTAATCTTCACCTTCCATCTCTCTATCAAGTCATTTAACAGATATTTATTGACAGCCTATTATGTGTTAGGACTGAAAGATGAATGAAATAGACATGATGCCTGACCACAATCTGTGGTGCCCCTGCCCATATCCTCTTGGGCCATCTCATTATGATACAGGACGGCCCAACTTCTAATGGCCCTAGGGCTTTCTCTGGCTGACCAGTGTGATTTCCCCAGTCAGAGCATCCCTGAAGAGCTGGAAAATTAACCCCTACCCCACCCCAGTGAGCTGTGCTCAGCCAGTGATTGAAAAGAGTTGGTTTATTAAACACCCAGCACCCTCACCCCTAAGGGCAGAGGGTAGGAAGCGCTGAGATGCATGCATGTTCTACACTGTCTCCAAGGGCTGAGCTCCAGCTGCCCACAGAGGTAGCTGCCTTGAACACATGCCTCTCTCAGGCATCTCTGCTCCGCTTTCCTGAGCCCCTACCCGTGCTTCTTGGGATAACCGGCAAAATGAAGCCTTCTTTCAGGATCTTCTTTAGGGGAAACCTAAACTAAGATAGCCCCTAATAGCATGGAGTTTATGTCCTATTAAACATAACCAAATCATTATTCAGCAGCTGTAGTGAGACGTTCTGGATGTAGGGACGTGAAATCAAAGCCAAGACCTGAAGGGTGGGTAGGACACAGCCCAGAGAGAGAGTGCAGGTGGGGAATGAATGACATGCCTGGCAGGTGTCACAGCCTCTGCTAAGGCCCAGAGGTGGGAAAGGGCTGGCATGTACCAGGAACTGAAGGAAAGACATTCATAGCATTGCTGAGCCAACCAATGAGGCAGAGCATGGCAAAGGCTCTTGAACATCATAAAGCAAGGCCCCAAGTGACTAGGGACTTATGCAGAGGATCCAGGAAGAAATGTATGTTTTTATTGTTAAATAATGAGGCTAACTTCTCTGCTTCAACGAAATATCCGGTGAATATTTTACTATCTCGGTTTGTATGTGTCACTCAAGTGTCCAAAACCCCACCCCTGACCTCCTTTGTTCATCCTTTGAGTGGGAGCAGCGGGACAGGAACAACCAAGGGCTTTGGACTCAAATCAACCTGGGCTTAATCCCTAATTAGCCAACACAGGGATGTTGATACCTTTCTCCAGCCCAGGGGTGTGTCCTGGATTGAAAGGGATAATCTTAGCCTAAGAGAGCTGTTCTGCAGGCTAGCTTTATATCTTCACACTCCAAGATCAGAGGAGTCTGGTGTCTTGTGTTTACATACAGATGCACACCCTCTTTTCCTGCAGCTCCAGGATCCCCTGTGAACTTGGAAAAATGCATTTGGATGATGGCTCTGAAGAGAATGAGTCACAGCATTGCACCAGATGGCCTGGCTGTAGTACTGACGCTCTTCCCTCCCTCCCCTTGCCTGGCCAGAGTAGAAAGGTTTCTGCCAGGTTTCCTAAAGCTGTTTTGGGGATACTGACTCCCAGTTCCTATCAAATCAGTGGAGGCGCCCCACTCGGATAGGCTTCTCTATCTCAGCCCTGATCCCACTGATGTACCAGCCTGTTTGCTTGTCTGCATCCCCCAGTGCACCCCAAGCTTCTTGGGGTTGGGGCTGGGTATTGCTTACCTTCTTACTTCTGATAGTTGTTCAATAGCTATTTGTTCACTGAAGGAAGAAAGACACTGAACTTGTTCTCAGGAAGTGTGTAAGTTGGTTGTCAAGATTAACAGGGGAGTAATCCCACAGAGCCAAGTTCCTCCATTGCAAGAAAATCCTAGCTTGCCTGTAATTGGTGGCACTTATCTTGGGAACACCATACCAACTTCTAGGCCAGGCCTGAGGCTGCTAGGGCTGGGACACAGCCTGGAGCTGAGGCCTTAGAAGAATGGATGAAGAAGCTTGCAGACAAGAGAGATGGGAGGAAAGGGCTGGAGTCTGCAGTGGAGGCTGATTCTGCCAGCCTGTCATTCTCCATCAGTGGACAGACGTCACAAGGTACATGCCATCCCCTTCTCTTTGTGCAGGTTCTCCAAACTCTCACAGCTCACTTCTGGAGGGGTTCAGGGGATCCTTGGCTTGCTCTGATCCTGGCATCTACCTCTGAACCAGAGACAGGCACACACTGGGAGTCACTGGTCTGAACACTGACCGGAGGCCTATGAAGCATCTTGGAGCCATAGTTCCACCTAACAGGGACAGCCTCCCCAGGCTAGCGGCCAGAGAAACCTGCCAGATCCTCCATCTCAAGAAGTGTGAGCTTTAGACATGCAAAAAGTGAGCAGTTGATAGCAGGTCATAGAGCAGACAGTAACCCAAAGACGGGGTGGTAGAAGCCAAGACGTAGCTCAGTGCCTCTCCGGTGTCCATATGCCCTTGAACCATCCGGGACCTCATTAAATGTAGACTTAGGTCAAGTAGGTCTGGGGTGGGGCCTGAGATTCTGCATTTCTGGTGAGCTCCCAGGTAATGCTGATGCTGTTGGTTCCTGGACCACAGTTAGAGTAGAGGGCAGTGGTTGTTAGTGACAAGACAATAGGAGGTGAGCTGACAGATGTACAGAATACTTGGCCAGGTTCTAGGGCCCCTACTGCTGCAGGATGTCAGGAAGGCCAAGTCCCCAAAGGAACTGTGGATCGTGGGTCTCCCTCCTGTCCACCTCCTTCAACCTTGTCTGGACAGTTCCCTGTTCCTTACTTACTTCCTGTGTAAACTTGCAGTAACTCCATCACCTTAAGTGACTTGAGCATCTCTGTTCTTAGTCACCTAAAGTGGCCTAAGCAGTGGTCCTCAGCCTGGTTACACATTAGAATCACTTAGAGAGTGAGTTCCTGTGAATCACATTTACTTGGTCTGCTTTGGAGCCTTGACATGACGACTCATTGGTTCTAATGTGAGTGGGGGCTGTGAACCACTGGCCTCATAATGGCTCTCAAACTTTAACATGAATGGAAATCACCTAGGGATCCTGTTAAAGTAGAGATTTCATCTAGTAGGTTTAAGTGGGGTCTGAAGGGTCTGCATTTCTGAGGCTGCAGGTCTGAGGACCACACTGTGAGTGGCACTGGAGTAAATAACATCAATTCCTCCCACCCCAGGACAAGGTGCAGATTAACCACATCTAATCTAACCCCCAAGGCCAGCTGGGTTTGTCCTGAAGTGCAGGGTAAGACCCTACCACACTTGTTACCATGAATGCATTTGACCCAAAAAAGGGCGCTATATAGTCAGCTCTGTCTACGCTGCAACCCCACTGCGGGGTGATGGATCCAGAGTGGAGGTCCAGAGGAGGTACTGCCTCTGCTGCGGCCACTGTGGACTCGAGGGCTGGAAGGTTGGTGTTTGTGGCATCCCTTCACGACTTGGACAGCCAGGCCCCATAAGCACCACTCACACTGCCCATACTGGGTTGTCTTCCCTCTCTTGTGGGGGGAATTGAGCTAAGTTCCAGCCCCAGGTCTCAAGCCCAGCTTGTTCCTGTTCTTGTCCCTCATCCCGAAGGGCATGTCTGCTCTCTTGGATTTACTGATGCCCTGTCAGCTGCCTCCTTCCTCTTTTGCAGGCCAGGCTATCACAGCCAACAAGGGGTGTGGGGAGTCATCTTGGGGTGAATCACGGCCTGGCAGGACAGAGTCTTCACAGGGAACTGAGTGGACCCCGCGTGGATTGCAACACCATCTTCTACTTGACAACAAAGCTGCAGCCAAGGCGACTCTCCCGCCCCTGCCCTTCCCTCTGACCCCTTGCCCATTATGGCCTCTGGGGCAGGAAGTGGGGAACAAAGCAGAAGATATCCCTCCCAGCTCTCCCCACCAGCTGTGAAGAGCCATTGACCACCTGGGGCCTTGCAGCCTGGCTTCACGATAGAACCACCTGGGGAGTTTTAAGCTCTTGGTGCCCAGGCCTCACCCCAGACCAACTAAATAGAAATCCTTGGAAGTGGAGCATGAGTATGAATAGTTTTTAAGACTTTCCAGATAATTCCAATGTACCTGCACATTTATGATGATTTAGCAGCCTCCAGGGCCAGAAAATAACTTTTCAGTCAGAAAAAGGACAGCAATATGATATCCACAGCTCCATTTTTCTCCATCACTCCAACTTACTCCTAGGCCATTTACTCAAGAATATGATAAGGGCAACTTCTGTTTGGACTTAATACACAAGGAAAATCATCACACGTTGTGTCTCATTTTCTCTACAACCTTATGCAAGGGTGTTATTATTATCCCATTTTACAGTTGAGGAACTGAGGCTCAGAGAGGTTGAGTGACTTGTACAAGGTCACACAGTAACAGGTGGTACCAGGATTCAACCACAGGTCCACAACTGTTTAATCACAGCTATGGGTACATAAACCAGGGAAACACAGGCTGAACCATAAAGGCAAGTTAAAAGCAGGTAGCACACAGCCAGCTACCGCTGAGTTGACATTTATGTTTAGGGACAAACTGCCGGGGCCATGAGGGAGCCTGTTCCTCTCTGCTCTCTTTTCTATTTTCTGACTCTAGTATTGCTTCCTACGTGGAAACTTCCCAAACTCTACCAGCTCTCCACTCGCTTTCTCTACCAGTAGTTCCCCAGACTATCTAGCATCAGCTTAAAAAAATTCTGATTACTGGGCTCCAACTCAGAACTCTGGAGCATTGCCAGTGAGGGGGTCTGAACATCTACGTCTTTTTAACAAGCAATATAGGGGGGTTGGGTGTGCACATACTTTTGGGAAGTCGTGGTGTAACTCCTCACTGTTGAAAAATGTGCTCTGTGGGCCAACAGTGCTGGTGCCACCTTGGAGTGCCTTTGATAGAAATGGAGCATCTGAGGCTGCCCTCCTGACCTGCTGAATTTGACTGCATTTTAACAGGATGCCTAGAAGATTCGCATGCACCTTAAAGTTTGAGGAGCACTGCTCTGGCCAGTCTGTTCGGCATAAAGAGTGTGCCTTAGAGCAGAGGTTCTCAAAGTGTCTCTGGATTGGGAGCAGCAGCAGCAGCAGTACCAGGAGTTTGCAGAAATGCAAATGTTGAGCCCCACTTCACACCCACTGAATCAGAAACTGGAGGAATGGAGGCCAGGAATCTGTATTTTTAACAAGCCATCTAGTTGTTCGGATGCACGCTCAAGTTCAGCCGTAGATGTAGATTACAAAGCACTGGCTCACACAGCAGCCTCTTTGATCCTAGGAACCCATTGCCCCTGCACTGGATACCAGGATGATCAAAGGAGAGCTGGGGCCTGGAAGAACTTTGAAAACCATCCGTGCTACAGGAGGCTAAATGGGCCGGGCTTGTTCCTCCCGCCCCTTCTTTGACAGCAGCTTTGAAGGGCTGAGTTAATCCCGTTCCTGTTTGCGGTTCCATCATGGGCTCTTCTCTATTTTGCCTCAGTATTCATTCAGTTTTATCCCCACCTCTGCCCCGAGGACCCTCCCTTTCCCACAGCACAACCATTTCATTGAGTTTGTTCTGTTCCTGTAAAGAATGGATTGGTTAGTTTGCATGGATTTACATTTCCCCTAATGATACAGTGCTGTAGGCCGCTTTCTGTGCCTTACTTTTTCACTCAGCAGGGGATTTTTAGGGTCTCCCTTCATTGTTGAATGTACCCAGAGTCTGTTGCTTCTAACTCAGGCTGAGTATCTCATAGGGTGCACCCAGCTCCTCCTGCCCTGTGACAAGACATCCTGGTGGCTTCCAGCTCCTCAGCACCATCAAGGATGCTGTGATAAGCATTTCCGCAACTGTCTCCCCATGGACCCGTGTGAGTTCTCCCCATTTTAAGATGAAAACACTTCCAGCCCATGTGACTTGCCCAATCTCTGGTCTGGAGAGTGGCAGACTGGCAAAGTGTAGTGTGGTGGTTAAGAGTATGACTTTGGTGTCAGACTCACCTGGTCAGATAACCTGGCACCAGTCCCTCCATCTTTCTGTGCCTCAGTTTCCTCATCCATGAAATGAAACCTACCTTAGAGGTTTTCTATGAAGAGTTGAAAACAAAAACCACTTAGCAGAGCCTCTAGCACATAGTAAGTGCTCAATAAATGTTCACTGTAATTTTGCCTCTCTTTTCAGAGACTGTCTTTTGACCTCTTTTCCACTGATATTTTTCTTTTTTGCTCTTGCATCATTGGTAATTTTCCTCAAATGCCACCTATTCAAACTGACCTCCAGAAATGACTCTAAAGGTACTCAGAAAAAGGCCTGTGGCCTGGGCAGGGGGGAAAGGACAACAGGCAGAGCTAGTTTGGGCATTTGGGTGTAGGAACTGGGCCAGAGGGGCTTGTCTGGCTTAGGAGTCAAGGATGGAATTGCAAGGGGATGTGTGGCTGGCGATAGCACGGGGTGCGCTACAGCCCGAGGCACAGGCTCCTGATGTCCTAGCGCTCTGCTGGTCCTGGTGGGAAAGCAGCGGTGCAGGGCCCGCATACTGCAGGCACTTAATATATGCCTGTTTCTCTTCTGTGTTGTATTGTGGCCCAGATTTAAAGGGGTAGGAGCCGAAGAGTCCTGTCACCCTGGGGGGAGGGTGGAGATCGTTTGCCTTGCTTTGCAGGGACTCTCTTGTGCATGCAGGCGAGGAATCCAGTTAAGGGAAGGCGCCAGAGCTTGAACCGCAGACTGGAGAGGGGAGTCTGCAGCCAAGGCCTGGGCTGCGCAGGCCGCACGCACCAGCCGGGGCCAGCAGAGGGCGCTGAGCACCTCCGCACAAAGCTGGCGGCCGTTCCGTGAGAACCCTGGCAAGCTGGGGATTGGAGAATCCAATCGTCTCCCTTCGCAGGGGTTGAGGAGTTTCCTCCCGACTGCCTGGGACCTTCAGTGCTAAAATCTGGGAAGTCTCAGGCAAGTCAAGACGAGTTGGTTACTCTGGCTGGAAGAAGCAACCACTGAAGTGTTGCACACACACATAAACGCACACGTGCACATCAAACACACACAGCACAAAATGTACCCACACTTGCACCACGCAACTCACAGTGCACATCACACACTCATGAACATCACACTACATGCATAACATACACAACATGCCTGCACATATACACATGTATCACTCACACCTCACATGTATAACATACATGCAACACACAAAGAATACATACGCACACATGTACCACAAAACATGTAAAACAAACACTACAGCACACACAGGCACAGTACATGCACAGTACATGTGCACATCACACCACATGCACAAGATACGCAATACACACGTATTACACCCATGCACACTACACACACAGCACACACAAATACGTGCACAGCACACACACCACAAAATTTACCTGCACTTGTGCCACATACAACATATCCATGCACTTTATACCACATGCATAATAAACACAACACACTTGTACATATATGCATATCCCATTCACACAATGCATTTATAGCACAATGCACCACAGAAGCACATCATACACAAGAAACACAGTTACAACACAATACCTGTGCACACATGCACCACGTGAACATATGCAAAACAAATAGCAAACTGCAACACACACCCAGATGAACAATGCATGTGGCATCACCCCAATACACAATACATATATGAACCATGCACATAATACATGCACATTAACACACATGCACACAAGATGACACATTGCACAATGCATAGCTGTGCATATCATATCACATACACAAAGTAACATGCACCAAGCATATAGGCACCACATAACGCAGTACCTGCATGTACTACACATACATGCACGACATCCATTTAATACACATAATGCAATGCACACACAACACAGAGAATATATACAACACACATGCACGAACATACATATACCATGACCCACAAATATGCATATTCACCACACATTTGCACTATGCAAACACACAGTCACACACACAGACCACTTTGGTAGCCACAGACCCTCTCGTTTCAGGCAATATTATTTCTTATCGGCAAAAAGAGGATGCTCACTCTTGCTCCAGGCCAGTGAAAAATAGTGTCAAAAAATTTGAAAACTATGTTTGTTCATTCAGCAATCACTTCTTTACTGCATGTTGGGCTTTGGGATGTACAATACAAACTCAGTCCTGACCTTCTAAGGGGCTCACAGCATAGCAGGGAAAGCAGGCATTCGACTGATAAATACATCAATAATCATTTGGCTTTAGTTTTGTAAGTGCTGTGAGTTAAAACTCCAGGGTGCAAGGAGGGCACAAAACTAGAATGGGGTGGGAATTTCCTGAAAATAGCTTTTAAAGGTAAGGCTTGAAAACAGTGTAGCGGGTTTGAAATGGAAGTAGGGTGCGGTGAGTGAGGCACCCGGGGCACACAATTTAAGGAGATGTTCACTCCCGGCTGCTGACCCTGCAATTGCACACCCTCGAGTGTGAGTGGCTGAGCAGCCAGGCTGAGGGGAACTAGATCAGGGATCCGAAGAGTGTGTGGCCCTGCTTCCAACTGCTGCCCTGCACAAATGTTTGCTTTCCAGGAAACTCTCCAGGCTCTGGGAGGAGCAATGGCCTATAGGAAAAGGGACCTAAATCACCAAACTAAAACTAACAAGCTGCCTTGCTCCCTGGATGCTGGTAACCAAGGCTCCCTCCTCAGTGGTCAGCCATGGTGACAGTAAGGGAGCAGGGGGTGTGGAGGATGGGCCAGCATCTCCCTGGGCACAGCTCTGCCCATCACCTACACTTCTCAGCTTACCTCCTGGGGCTGGGGCTGCCCTGGCAGGGTAAATTGCAGTCAGCACAGTATTCTGGCTCTCAGGCACTGGACCTGTTTCCTTAGTCTAGTGGCCCAAGGCAGGTGGCATGGAGTGGTGGGTCAGGCAGACTGGAGCTCACATGCCTGCATTCAAATCCTGACTTTGTTACCTACTAGCAGCGTGACTGGGAAAGCAACTTCACCTTGTTTTCATACCTATAGAATAAGCATGATGATACTACTAGCACCCATCTTGCAGAGCTGTGAGGACTTTCCAGGACTTTATGAGTTAATACATTAAAAGCTTGTAAAGTAAATCCAGACGCATGGGAAGAGCCCCCTAAATGTAAACTGCAATTGTTATTTTGATCCAAACTAAAAGCAAACACTAACAATAACCCTAAAATCAAAATGTAGTGGAGTCAGAGTGTTAGAACTGGCAAATGTCTGCTCTAACCTCCCTTCTGTGTTATAGAAATAAAGCCATTTGACCTAAAGACAGAAGAACTAGAACCCAGGACGGAGAAGAGAATGAACAAGCAAGAGTCCTCACTTTCTGCTTTCTAGGACAATGATTCTCACCTGAAGGGCTTGTTCATACAGACCACTGGACCCCACCCAGAGTTTCTTGTTTGGCAGGTCTGGGATGGGGTCTGAGAATCTGCATTTCTGAGAACCCACCAGTGCCCAGGGGCTGCTGACGCTGCTGGCCCAGGTACTGCATCTTGAAAAGCACTTGCTCTAAGTCAGGAGAGGCAGGCTACGGAAAGTTTGCATTCCCGAGTTTGCTACCACCCGATCATGCCCTGGGATCAGGGAAGGGAAAACAAGGGCCTTACTTACAGTGGGTGCCGCACCTCGGGCAGAGCCCTCTGGAGGGGGATGCGGGCACTGAGTGCCTCCTGGAGGCCACGTGGGTCCAGGCTGAACGGGGTCAACTCCTCTTCTTCAGACACCTCCCCGTCCTCATCAGCCCCCCAGTCCCTCTTTGGGGCTTCCTTATCCTGCCTCCTTGGCTGCTTGATGAGGCGGTAGCTCCCACCTCTCCTGCCCTGGCTCTGGTTCCTTCTGGCCTGGGGTAAGGCCACGGCCACCAGCAGCTGATCCTCCCGCAGTGAGATAAAGGGTGGCAGGCCCTCCAGAGGGCTGTACTCTTCACCCTCATCCTCAGCTTCCAGTACCCAATCCTGGGATTCCCCAAAGTCCAGGCGGTACCTGGCTTCAGGGCTGTGCTTGCTGGCTTGGGCTGTGACAGTCTGGTGCAGGGTGTGGTGGGGAGGGTGCAACATCGCCACCATCATCAGGACGCATCCCAGCATCAGGAGCAGCAGGAGGAACTGGAGTCTGCATGGTCTGTGCCTGTATCGCTTCCTTAGGAGCATGTTGCTAGAACTTGCCAAATGCAACAGGTCATGTTCAAGTTAGCTTTCTCCCGCTCCAGGCTCCTTCAAGCTTGCAGCAGAACCTGGGTTGCTTGTTCCACCTGGAAGTTTTTCTGCCAGTCACTTAACCTGGTCCTGACATTTGCCAACAGCGTGTGCAAGACCTGCTTCCACTTACAATCAGAAAACCACAGGACCCAAGTTTCACCCCAAGTCCTCTCTGAGTGGATTTCTTTAATTGCCTTCTGAAAGCCCATTCACAGGGACTTCAAATTGAATTGCTTCCCTCCCTTTACCCCGGTTTTCTCCTTGGGAAAAAAATAATGATTCCATTCTGCTCAGGTGTTTCTTTCCCCCTTTGTATAAATAGGTTGCTATGAGGTGTCTGGGATGAGCTGGTGGGTTCTCAGTCAAGCAGGGCTGACAGCCGTCCCTCTTTGGACGCTTCCAGTCAGGTCAGATCAACAGATGTAAAGCCGGCAGGCAGTGCCTGGTTTCCTTTCACACATAGCTCCACTCAGCCGAGAGCCCTCTGCCAGACACAACCCAGAGCCAAGCGTGCGCGTCACTCCTGGTCCTAATGCCCTCACTGTTCCCAGGCTTTGCACAACTCGGTGTGGTCACTGCTAGAGCCAAATCAAAACAGGAATATCCCAAGAGTTCAGAAGGAAAGACTAATACCCTCTGATTCAGAAAGGCTGTGTGTGTGGCATAGCTGCAAGGAGCTGCAGCTGTCTGTTTGCAACCTCAGCCTCCCATGGGGGATCAGGCAAACTAGGTTGGACTCTCCTTCCCTTCCTGGGGACCACTGTCCCTGGCCTCCTGAAAATGAGGGAGCTAAGGGAGATGATCTTGCAAGTCCCTTCTTCTCCCACAAGAGCAGCTGAATGCCTGCTCTGCCCTGGCCACCAAGGGGGACGCTGGAAGAGGAGTGGCATGCTCTTTCCCTCATAAAGCTTCCTTCATTTAACCAACACATAATTAATGAACACATGCTATGTGCCAAAATTGTTCTGGGAACTGGAAGTAGAGCAATGAATAACACAGACAAAAATGTGTGTCTCATGGAGCTTGCATTCTAGTGACAGATACAATTAAAACTATCCACTGGGTCAGATAGTGATGAGGATGAAGGCAAAAAAGCAGAGCAGGGATGGGGCTGGGGAGCATGGGCTGGGCTTGGAAATGGACATTGAGTGGTGGAGAAAGGTTTCATGGAAGAGTTACCATTTGTGTAAAGGAGAGGGCTGCACAGCTATTTGAGGTTGAGTGTTCGGGGCAGACAGAATGATAAATGTGAAGGTTCCAAGGCAAGAGTATGCTGGCATGTCTGAGGAACAGCCGGCATGGCTGAAGCAAAGAGAGCAGGGTGGAGCCTGATGGGAAGTGGAATAAGAGAGGCAAGGGGGCGGGGGGCAGGAGGACCATGCAGGACACCCCCTGGTTGCATTGAAGGAACTTTGGCTTTTCCTCTGAGTGAGAGGGGAGCCCTTAGAGGAGAGACACAATCTGACTTGGGTTTTAACTGGATCATTCTGGCTGCTGGGTTGAGACTAATCAGTGGGGGGCAAAAAGCAGGAGCAGGGAGACCAACCAAGAGGTTCTTGGCTTGCACTAAGTGGCATCGGTGGTGACAGGGGTCAGCTTGTGGATATACTTTAAGGAAGAACCTATAGGATTTGCTGATGAATTAATGACTAATGTGAGAGGAAGAGAAGAGTCAAGATGAGTTCAAATTTTTGTTCTGAGTAGTTGGAAGAATAGACTTGCCATTAACCAAGATGGGGAAGGAGAGAAGGTGGAAGGAGATGAATGCATGCCAGTGGCTTGATTTGGAACATGTGACATTCGAGATGTCCTCTAGACAGCTAAGAGGAGATGAAGTGAAGGCAGCAGTTGTAGGATAGCTGAAGGTCAGGGGGAGGTCTGGCCTGCATATACAAAGCTGGACTCCAGCAGCACTCAGATAGTGTTTGAAGCCGTGAGACCTGAGATCACTGAGGGAGTGAGGTAGGTAGAAGGGAGAAGAGAATCCAGCATGCTCAGTTTTCAGGCTTCTGGCTTGAACAGGTTGAAGGATAGCTGACCATCACCATGAGCAGTGTTTCTTCTGATGGCTGTAAAGCAGCCATGCTGTCTGCAACCAAGAGTGGAGGGGGGAAAACTGCCATTGGGGAAGTCCTGCAATGAACTTGCTCATTGTTTTTGTCTTTATTTTGATCTTAGAATGTCAGCTAAAATGTTTGTGGAAAAAAATGTTTTACCTTTTGACTCAGTTGTTTCTTCCAGTGTGTGTGGTGTGTCTGTGCACACTCACGTGCACAAGCATGTATACACGTGTGTTTTCATGAAGTCAGAGGTGAAATAGTGGGTTATGTGTGGTTGTTCTCCTGGAATCCCATTGTAATGCCCCAGTGGACAGTGCTTAGCAATTTCTGGATTGAATTGTGTCTTCCAAATCTCAAATCACGGTGTATTGCCAGGTGGGAATACTGTGTCATTTCCAAATTCAAGAGGCAGACACCCTGGGAGATGTAGTTCAGAATATCTGGGGACATTTTGAGGTTAATGAGGATGAAGGATTAGAAGGTTCCAAATCCAGGAGGCCTTCAGAAAACTGAGTGTGCAGAGTCACCATCTTCCACTCATCTCTAGCAACGCTGTGCTTGAACTTACCAAGAACAGCCCACCCCAGGGCTGTCACCCTGGCCAGCCCACTGCTTGAGCACTCTTTCCCCAGAAAGTCATCCATATGGCTCATTTCTTCATTTTTGTGTTCCCCAGAAAGTCATCCATGTGGCTCATTTCTTCATTTTTGTGTTCACTCCAATGTCACCTATTTAGTGAAGGCTTCGTGGACCCCCCATTCTACATTGAAACCCCTCATCAACATGGGGCTTTCTTTGAGAATCTCTGTGGCTCTTCTCAACACCTGGAAAATTAAAATACTAAGGTGTTTATTGTCTGTTTCTCCACCCACTCCCATAAAACATAAGCTCCACAAGGGTAGGGCTTTTGTTTGCTTGTTCACTGCTGTTTTTCCAGAGTACACAAAGCACATTTTTCCACTCCCCAGGCCTTTGCTGCTGTCCCTGACAGCTTTGCTGCCAGTTCTTCCCATCCCCCACCATCACTTGGCACATGAGGCCCAGACCTTGCTCCCTTCTCCTCTCTTTCTCACCCTTGCTCCTATCATGGGTTGAATCGTGTCCTCCAAAATTACACTGAAGCCCTGCCTCTGCTGGGGAACCTGTGAAGGGGGCCTTGACAGCAAATAGGATCTTTGTAGATTATCAGGTTAAAAGGAGGTTGTTAGGGTGGGCCCTAATCTAATATGACTGGTATTGTTACAAAAAGGGGACAATTGGGCAGAGACAGGCATACACAGAGAACATCATGTGAAGAAGAGGGCAGACCTGGGTGACACATCTAAAAGCCAAGGAATATCAAAGATGGCCAGGAAATCACTGATAGCTAGGAGAGACATGAAACAGACTGTCCTTCACAGTCCTAAGAAAGAACCAGCACTGCCAACACCTTGATCATGGACTTCTTGTTGCTACAACTGTGAGATCATACATTTCTGTTATTTAAGCCACCCACTTGTGGGACTTTGTTATGGCAGCCGCAGGAAACGGATACAGTTCCTCTTGCCCTCCCCACCCTCCCACCCTCCTCTGCCTTCTCTCAACTCTTGCTCTAGCTCTGTCATTTCCATCTCTCCTTCTCCCATTCCATCTCCTTCCTCAACCTCTAGTGAGGTTAGGCATCACACTAACCTCCTCAGCCCATGGCCTTCCCATGACAGAGACAGCCCATGAAAAAAGGCTCCCAAAAGAACTGGGGCTGGGTGACTCTGGCCTGGGATTCTTGGCTCCAGTTCAAGATAAACTAGATCTGGTGAAGTCCCAGATGCAGGCCGTGGGTCTCTCCTGGGACTCAGAGCATTGTTGATCTAACCTCCAGGCTGTCTCATTGCTCAGAGAGGTGAGATGATCAACACCCCAATTAGACCGCCACTGGGGTTTCTGTATGTTTCTCTCTTTAGCTTTTCATCTGTCTGTTTTCTCATAAGCCATGGCAGCTTTGGTGTTAACAATTCTGCTGTTTTCCTAGAAAAAAATGAAATTTTTCTGTTCAGATGGATGGCAGGTTAAAGTGCCAGAACAAATCAGAGACTGAGAGTATTCATGAAAGGAACAGTAGACATCAGCTAGTGAAAAACAAAAAATTCTGCAAAGCAATAGCAGACCTGGCCCAAGCAATTCAAGAAGATGTCATCAACGGCCCAGTCGCTGTTCTTCCCATCTCAAGCTGAGGTGAAAAGAGCAAGAATAAGGGAAGCTAGAGAGGCAATTCCCCAAATAACTTAACCCCAGGCATTTTTTTGTTTGACTTGGTGCTATGGTTTGAATGTTTGTTCCTCCAAACTTCATGTCGAAATTTAATTCCCAGTGTTAGAGGTGGGGCCTAATGGGAGGTGTCTGGGTCATGAGGGTGGATCCTTCATGAATAGGTGAATTTCCTGCTTGGAGCAGAGGGAGACCGGGTGAATGAATTCTCACTCTGTTGGTTCCTGTGACATCTGGTTGTTAAAAGGAGGCTGGCATCGCCCCCATTTCTTGCTTAATCCCTTTCTCGCCATGTAATCCCTGCAGGTGCAGGTTCCCCTTTGCCTTCCACCATGAATGGAAGCAGCTTGAGGTCCTCATCAGAAGCAGATGTTGGCACAGTCTTCTTGTACAGCCTGCAGAAGTGCAAGCCAAATAAACTTCTTTATAAATTACCCAGCCTCAGGTATTCCTTTACAGCAACACAAATGGACTGAGACAGCTATAACACACAGTGATGGCTGTTTGCTTTTTGGTCTCCTCCATTAGTGGTTGTTCCGTCTTTGTCTCTCTCACACTCAGCACAGTGCCTGGCCCGGCAACACATGGTTGTCCAATAAATGACTCTCAGAGATGAGTGATATGATATACACTATGCATTATGCAATAAATAAATTCTTAACAACAAGGTAACACCCTAGGACCTCAGAAAGGGAAGAAGGGAAATGGATGGCATGCAACCACTTATGCAAATGACCAACCCCAACTCCTCCCTTCCCTCAGTCTGCCCAAGGTAGCCTAGCCCACTCTCTCTTTCCTCTTTCATGATCTGGCTATGGATTTTATTGTGAAGGAACAGCACTACAGAGTAGGATCTTACTGTGTGTCTAAATGGCACAGAGGCAAGCATGGGCAGGGAATGGCTTTTACACAGGGCTAACATGAAGAGGCCTGGTGTCCGCAGTGCCTGAAGTGCCTTCTCTGTGCACAGCTATGACCAGCAGGGCCATCACTGAATGCAAGGGCATATTAATCCATTTTCATGCTGCTGATAAAGACATACTTGAGACTGGGAAGAAAAAGATGTTTAATGGACTTACAGTTCCACATGGCTGGGGAGGCCTCATAATCATGGTGGAAGACAAGGAGAAGCAAGTCATGTCTTACATGGATGGCAGCAGGCAGAGAGCGAGAGCTTGTGCAGGAAACTCCCACTTTTAAAACCATCAGATCTCATGAGACTCATTCACTATTGTGAGAACAGCACAGGAAAGACCCACCCCCATAATTCAATCGCCTCCCACTGGGTTCCTCCCAGGACACATGGGAATTGTGGGAGTTACAATTCAAGATGAGATTTGGGTGGGGACACAGCCAAACCATATCAAAAGGTAACCAAGAACAAAGGTCCTTCTTAGGCCTTTCTCAGACTTACTGAGCCAGTATTTATGGGGGTGGGCCTGGGCTTCTATGTTTTAACAAGCCCTCTGAATGCTTCTAATGTATGCTAAGGTCTTAGAGCACTAGTGTAAAGAACACATCTCCCTTACATGACAAGAAAGGGGCCCACACTCAAGTTGCTTCTCTCTGGTCCCAGGAAATGTTCTGCTTGGGTATGAGAGGGAAACAAAGGAGCTTTGTTCCATGTGTATGGAGGCCATAGGCTCAGATGTGCAAGGAAAGATGAAAGTTTTTATTTTCACTGTAAGTGAATTCATGAACCCCTTCTCCTTGGTAGTAAAACCAACCTCAGGAGGTTCAAGGTTTCACCATTCACTTTCTCCGCAGGGCAAGGTCTACTTTGTGGGGGTCCCACAGGGCCCAGGCACCTGTCCTTGTCCTTGTCATCTACATCAGAGTCTCTGAAAGGGCTCTGTCCCCATCTGGTCTCCAGACACTTCTCTGGAAAGGTTTTGCTACATCCACCTGCTCTCCATACCCAAGGCCTTTGTGGGTCACAACTTCTGTGACATGCCCACATCCCTCTTCTCAGGGGAATGAGGGACTCTTTGAGGCTGCCTTACACCCACCAGCCTAAACACCCAAGAGGTTTCTTCTGCTCCCACACCATGCTATTTGAAGGAGATTCTGGGATCTTGTCATTTCCCTGTGCTGTAAAAGATGGGGACACTATTGGGGGTTACTGTCATTTACCTTCCTATATCATTTCTGTCCTGGGATTTGGCTTAGCAGAGCAGTTTAGGATACTTTTCAGGGACCCACCAGAATCTAAAGTCTTTTTGCTTTCTCTTCAACAATTCCTCTCCCGGCATAGGGGACTTAAAAGACATACGCGAATTTAGAAATGTTCTAATTCCCAAAGAGATTGCAGCAGCCATGGCAGATGCACTGCTCTCTATTCCCTCTGCCCCAGCTCTGAGTTCATGTGCAGCTGCAGATGGACAGTAACTGTGCGCAGAAATAGCTTCCCACCTCCGGGGCCTGCATCTCTCTGCCTGAGGGCTTCCCCAGCATGAGGGAGTGGCTCACCGTTCATGCAGAGCAGGCCAGAAGTGCTAGGGATTTAACTTCAGGAACAACTTCAATCCTTAAGAAAAGGAAACTGGTGGATAAATATTTCAGTAGGTAATAGTGGGTAATAGTGAATAGGCTTGATGGGACTATTCTGAGATAGAGTTTACATAATTCTCCAGAATTCTTAGAGTTCTAGGATTTCTAGAGTTCCTGGCAGGACTGAGGACCCAGTTGTCCACAGTGGTAACCTGTTCATGCGTGCTTCCTTTATTCACTGTCTCTTTCTTACTTTCCCCCCCTCCATACTTGTACTTCTTGGGTTCTGTTCTAAATAAACCGTCTACATCCAAGCTTTTATCTCAGAGTTTGCTTTCAGGGGAACCCAAACGAAGACACAGGTATCAACCAATATAAATAATTTATCTCCTTTTTTATTTATACTGGTGGAGTAAGTTACTCGGTGAAATAAATAACTTCCTATGGTATTCAGCAAGATTATTTCTCCTTTTTTTATATAAACTGGACTATGACAAGTTTTCGGATCTGTATTCTGTGCAGTAAAGTGTGTAATTATGTAATTAGTACTCTCTTAGATTTAAAGTCCTAACAGAAGTCAAACATTCTTCAGTATATTCTGTATTATGCCTAGAATAATATGCTAAAGAGTAAATCAAAGCCATACCTGACATTATAAAGTCAACCTGTTCTAAAAACCCAGTCAATCCCAGTGACTCTAGCAGGATTCTAGGATTGATTCTAATCACTCAATTCTACTTTTTCTTCTAAGGACAGTTTTTCAGGAAACTACGTCTTTTGCTCAGTAGACTGCTCACTAATGCCAGGTGAGTGTCACACTGGGAGGGAGGTAATGACACTATGCTCACCCCATGTGGATCCAGCCTGCTAGGGGCATGGGGAGGCAAGAGCACCCCTAACAGTGCCTTCTGGAATGACCTAGATATGGACAACGGCCATGACCCAAATCAACATCTTCCTGAGCCTAGAAACAAAACTTCAGAAAGCTCCTGCCAGCTCCCAGTGGCAAATGTACTGGAAGAATGACTACCAAAAAATTTAGGTGGTATGCCTTTCAGTTTCATGTTGAGGACACTCCAGGAGAAATTCTCTCGTTATTTCTTCCATCTTTTCAGCCATCAATGATTCTCTTGTTCTGCTGAACTAAAGACAAAAATTCTTATTGTAACCACCCTAAGGCTGGCCACATGAGCCCTCACTGGGTGACATGAGACACTGTCGATGTCATAGTCTCACTCTCAACAGACTCTGCTCAGGGAACCTCTGGCCCTTGCACAGAACAGGGAGCCTCTGTTGTTGCTCTTCAGGTATTCTTACCAATTTTTTATTTATGTCCTGATCTAGTGTTCTGAACCTCAAAAGCCAAGCATTCAATTCTGATAGAATGCTATCAGCATTCTGCAATGCCATTCTTTTCTGGAAGCAAGGAAGACCAGTAATGCCAGTTGTCAGAATAAAGAAAAGGCTAGGGTGCAGAAGAAATTATGACAACAAAATATATAAGTACCTCAAAAATCTTATCCCCTCATTTGAGGTCCAGGTGTCTTTGAAGGTCTGAGAGGTTTAGGAGACATGTGCATCTCTGTCCTTCATTATCCCTCTAATTCTTAGAATAAAGGTCCATTCCTGGTGTAGAAGGCAGGGTGAGTGCACCATCCTCTATGCTCAGATTACAAAATGTGTAGCCCGTGTGTGTGTGTGTGTATGCGGCTGTGCATGTGTGCGTGTGTGTGTGTGTGGGCACACATGTGCATCTGTAGCACACATTTGAAATAGGCTTTGCCAATAATTACACTGGCTGAAAGTAGGATTGAAGGGATTGAAAATGCCACTGAACTTTTGGGACTATACCTGAAAAAAAAATAACACAGGGCTTGGGATAGATTTTGAGTTATGATACCAATATAGTGGGTTTTCAGTACCTATAAATATTCTTTTGGAAAAGCACTGTGAAGCCCTACTGGGTCTATTTATTATTGTGTTGTCTCCATTCATTCTGCAAATGTTTATTGAATTTCTACTATGTGCCAGGCATAGTGCTTAGCAAGGGAATAAAAAGATGAATAAGATACAGCCAGTAAGGCCCACAAATAATTACAGCCATATAATGTGCTGAGAGCAATCATAGAGATGTGTACAAATATCTGGGTTAATATGCGAAAAATAAAATACAAATATCTGATATTTTTTCTAAGTCTTTGTTCAACAAAAGTGCAATTACCTTTCCACCCCTCCATAGGCTGTAAGAGCTTAGACAACTGTGAGGGATCTTAATGTTTGTGGCATCTGCTGATGCTGTGACTTCAAAGGGACTTTTTAGTAGAGTATCAATAATGAATTAAGCTAAATTGATTCCAGCTTTGAGGTTGCCACTATCAAAGCTTCACATTTGGTTCCATTAGGTACACAGAGGGCTGAGATGGAATTTACAGTGGGAGACTTTGAGGCAGGAGGATAATCCTGCTATGGTTGATTAAGACTTTGTTTACAAGGATCTCCCACGGGGTCTGTGATCCATGGAAGGTGGATGTAGAAGGAAAATTTGTCTTCACCAGTTCATTTTAACCCTAGTGATCTGATCATATTGAGAGTTCTCTCCTTGCCAGGCTGGTTCTTGTACTTTTTGCAATGCAGGTTCAGAAAAATTTGTAAAGAGAGATTAAATTAAAGAGGCATGGGGAAAGGGGGAGAATTCTTATGTTGGGGTCAGTTCTCAGGTTCTATTTTGTTCTAGGAGAATCTGAATAATGAAAACCTGGGGAACAAAGAGAAGGAGGAAAAGGAAGAAGAGGAGGAGAAGCCATCATAGGAGAGGCTAAGTTGATTATATAATAAAGAGGTGAGAGAGAATGAAGAAGGAGAAAAACAAAGAACACCCTATGGACTGGGCATGACAGGAAGAGAGTTCAAGCTTAGAGGGTGAGATGCTGTGAAATAACTGTAAGGAAGAGAGAGTAAGATATGAGAGAAAGGAGATTTTAAGAGGTGTCCCTTTCTTCTACCCATCAATAGTAAAATACATTCTTCTCAAGTGTACATGGAATGTTCTCCAGGAGAGATTATACACTAAACCATTAAACAATCCTCAGTAACTCTAAAAGGATTTAAATTATACAAAGTGTGTCCTCCAACCAAAATAGAATGAAATAGAAATCAATGTCAGAAAGAAATTTGAGTAATTCACAAATATTTGAGAACTAAACAACATACTCCAAATAACTAATGGGCCAAAGGAGAAATCACATGAGAACCTAGAGAATACTTTGAAATAAAAGAAAACGAAGACACAACAGGCTAAAAACTTATGGAATGTGGGAGCTTCCAAGATGGGTGAACAGGAACAGCTCCAGTCTACAGCTCCCAGCGTGAGCAACGCAGAAGATGGGTGATTTCTGCATTTCCAACTGAGGTACCAGGTTGATCTCACTGGGGCTTGTCAGACAGTGGGTTCAGGACAGTGGGTGCAGCCCACGGACTGTGAGCTAAAGCAGGGTGAGGCATCATGTCACCTGGGAGGTGCAAGGGGTCGGGGAATTCCCTTTCCTAGCCAAGGGAAGCCGTGACAGATGGCACCTGGAAAATTGGGTCACTCCCACCCTAACACTGTGCTTTTCCAATGGTCTAGGCAATTGGCACACCAGGAGATTATATCCCGTGCCTGGCTCAGAGGGTCCCACACCCACAGAGCCTTGCTCACTGCCAGCACACCAGTCTGAGATTGAACTGCAAGGCAGCAGCGAGGCTGGGGGAGGGGCATCTGCCATTGCTGAGGCTTGAGTAGGTAAACAAAGCAGCAGAGAAGCTCAAACTGAGTGGAGCCCACTGCAGCTCAAGTAGGCCTGCCTGCCTCTGTAGACTCCACCTCTGGGGGCAGGGCATAGCTGAACAAAAGGCAGCAGAAACTTCTGCAGACTTAAACGTCCCTGTCTGACAGCTTTGAAGAGAGTAGTGGTTCTCCCAGCATGGAGTTTGAGATCTGAGAACGGACAGACTGCCTCCTCAAATGGGTCCCTGACCCCCGAGTAGCCTAACTGGGAGGCACCTCCCAGTAGGGGCCGACTGACACCTCATACGGCCAGTGCCCCTCTGAGATGAAGCTTCCAGAGGAATGATCAGGCAGCAACATTTGCCATTCTGCAATATTTGCGGTTCTGCAGCCTCCGCTGGTGATACCCAGGCAAACGGTCTGGAAGTGGACCTCCAGCAAACTCCAACAGACCTGCAGCTAAGGGTCCTGACTGTTAGTAGGAAAACTAACAAACAGAAAGGACATCCACACCAAAATCCCATCTGTATGTCACCATCATCAAAGACCAAAGGTAGATAAAACCACAAAGATGGGGAGAAACCAGAGCAGAAAAGCTGAAAATTCTTAAAATCAGAGTGCCTCTTCCCTTCCAAAGGAATGCAGCTCCTCACCAGCAATGAAACAGAGTTGGATGGAGAATGACTTTGATGAGTTGAGAGAAGAAGGCTTCAGAAGATCGGTAATAACAAACTTCTCCAAGGTAAAGGAGGATGTTTGAACCAATTGCAAAAAAGCTAAAAACCTTGAAAAAAGAATGAATGAATGGCTAACTAGAATAAACAGCATAGAGAAGACCTTAAATTACCTGCTGCAGCTGAAAACCATGGCACAAGAACTACGTGACACATGCACAAGCTTCAGTAGCCAATTCGATCAACTGGAAGAAAGGGTATCAGTGATGGAAGATCAAATGAATGAAATGAAGCGAGAAGTTTAGAGAAAAAAAGAGTAAAAAGAAATGAACAAAGCCTCCAAGAAATATGGGACTATGTGAAAAGACCAAATCTACGTCTGATTGGTGTACCTGAAAGTGACAGGGAGAATGGAACCAAGTTGGAAAACACTCTGCAGGATATTATCCAGCAGAACTTCCCCAGTCTAGCAAGGCAGGCCAACATTCAAATTCAGGAAATACAGAGAATGCCACAAAGATACTCTTCGAGAAGAGCAACTCCAAGACACATAATTGTCAGATTCACCAAAGTTGAAATGAAGGAAAAAATGTTAAGGGCGGCCAGAGAGAAAGGTCGGATTACCCACAAAGGGAAGCCCATCAGACTAACAGCGGATCTCTCGGCAGAAACTCTACAAGCCAGAAGAGAGTGGGGGCCAATATTCGACATTCTTAAAGAAAAGAATTTTCAACCCAGAATTTCATATCCAGCCAAATTAAGCTTCATAAGTGAGGGAGAAATAAAAATCCTTTACAGACAAGCAAATACTGAGAGATTTTTGTCACCATCAGGCCCGCCTTACAAGAGCTCCTGAAGGAAGCACTAAACATGGAAAGGAGCAACCGGTACCAGCCACTGCAAAAACATGCCAAATTGCAAAGACCATCGATGCTAGGAAGAAACTGTATCAACTAACAAGCAAAATAACCAGCTAACATCATACTGACAGGATCAAATTCACACATAACAATATTAACCTTAAATGTAAATGGGCTAAATGCTCCAATTAAAAGACACAGACTGGCAAATTGGATAAAGAGTCAAGACCCATCAGTGTGCTATATTCAGGAGACCCATCTCACGTGCAGAGACACATATAGGCTCAAAATAAAGGGATGGAGGAAGATCTACCAAGCAAATGGAAAACAAAAAAAAAGCAGGGGTTGCAATCCTAGTCTCTGATAAAACAGACTTTAAACCAACAAAGATCAGAAGAGACAAAGAAGGCCATTACATAATGGTAAAGGGATCAATTCAACAAGAAGAGCTAACTATCCTAAATATATATGCACCCAATAGAGGAGCACCCAGATTCATAAAGCAACTCCTTAGAGACCTATAAAGAGACTTAGACTCCCACACAATAATAATGGGAGACTTTAACACCCCACTGTCAACATTAGAGAGATCCACGAGACAGGAAGTTAACAAGGATATCCAGGACTTGAACTCAGCTCTGCAACAAGCAGACCTAACAGACATCTACAGAACTCTCCAACCCAAATCAACAGAATATACATTCTTCTCAGCACCACATCGCACTTATTCCAAAATTGACCACATAGTTGGAAGTAAAGCACTCCTCAGCAAACGTAAAAGAACAGAAATTATAACAAACTGTCTCTCAGACCACAGTGCAATCAAACTAGAATTCAAGATTAAGAAACTCACTCAAAACCGCTTAACTATATGGAAACTGAACAACCTGCTCCTGAATGACTACTGGGTACATAACGAAATGAAGGCAGAAATAAAGATGTTCTTTGAAACCAATGAGAACAAAGACACAACATACCAGAATCTCTGGGACACATTTAAGGCAAGGTGTAGAGGGAAATTTATAGCACTAAATGCCCACAAGAGAAAGCAGGAAAGATCTAAAATTGACACCCTAACATCACAATTAAAAGAACTAGAGAAGCAAGAGCAAACACATTCAAAAGCCAGCAGAAGGCAAGAAATAACTAAGATCAGAGCAGAACTGAAGGAGATAGAGACACCAAAAACCCTTCAAAAAATCAATGAATCCAGGAGCTGGTTTTTAGAAAAGATTAACAAAATTGATAGACTGCTAGCAAGACTAATAAAGAAGAAAAGAGAGAAGAATCAAATAGACGCAATAAAAAATGATAAAGGGGATGTCACCACCGATCCCACAGAGATACAAACTACCATCAGAGAATACTATAAACACCTCTATGCAAATAAACTAGAAAATCTAGAAGAAATGGATAAATTCCTGGACACATACACCCTCCCAAGACTAAACCAGGAAGAAGCTGAGTCCCTGAATAGACCAATAACAGGCTCTGAAATTGAGGCAATAATTAAGAGCCTACCAATCAAAAAAAGTCCAAGATCAGACGGATTCACAGCTGAATTCTACCAGAGGTAGAAAGAGGAGATGGTACCACTCCTTCTGAAACTATTCCAATCAATAGAAAAAGAGGGAATCCTCCCTAACTCATTTTATGAGGCCAGCATCATCCTGATACCAAAGCTGGGCAGAGACACAACAAAAAAAGAGAATTTTAGACCAATATCCCTGATGAACATCGATGCAAAAATCTTCAATAAAATACTGGCAAACCAAATCCAGCAGCACATCAAAAAGCTTATCCACCATGATCAAGTGGGCTTCATCCCTGGGATGCAAGGCTGGTTCAACGTACACAAATCAATAAACGTAATCCATCATATAAACAGAACCAAAGACAAAAACCACATGATTATCTCAATAGATGCAGAAAAGGCCTTTGACAAAATTCAACAGCCCTTCATGCTAAAAACTCCCAATAAATTAGGTATTGATGGGACGTATCTCAAAATAATAAGAGCTATCGATGACAAATCCACAGCCAATATCATACTGAATGGGCAAAAACTGGAAGCATTCCCTTTGAAAATGGGCACAAGACAGGGATGCCCTCTCTCACCACTCCTATTCAACATAGTGTTGGAAGTTCTGGCCAGGGCAATCAGGCAGAAGAAAGAAATAAAGTTATTCAATTAGGAAAAGAGGAAGTCAAGTTGTCCCTGTTTGCAGATGACATGATTGTATATTTAGAAAACCCCATCATCTCAGCCCAAAATCTCCTTAAGCTAATAAGCAACTTCAGCAAAGTCTCAGGATACGAAATCAATCTGCAAAAATCACAAGCATTCCTATACACCAATAACAGACAGAGAGCCAAATCATGAGTGAACTCTTATTCACAATTGCTTCAAAGAGAATAAAATACCTAGGAATCCACCAAACAAGGGATGTGAAGGACCTTTTCAAGGAGAATTACAAACCACTGTTCAACGAAATAAAAGAGGACACAAACAAATGCAAGAACATTCCATGCTCATGGATAAGAAGAATCAATATCATGAAAATGGCCATACCGCCCAAGGTAATTTATAGATTCAATGCCATCCCCATCAAGCTACCAAGACTTTAAAGTTCATATGGAACCAAAAAAGAGCCCACATTGCCAAGACAATCCTAAGCCAATAGAACAAAGCTGGAGGCATCATGCTACCTGACTTCAAACTATGCTACAAGGCTACAGTAACCAAAACAGCATGGTACTGGTACCAAAACAGAGATATAGACCAATGGAACAGAACAGAGCCCTCAGAAATAATACCACACATCTACAACCATCTGATCTTTGACAAACCTGACAAAAACAAGAAATGGGGAAAGGATTCCCTATTTAATAAATGGCGCCGGGAAAACTGGCTAGCCATATGTAGAAACCTGAAACTGGATACCTTCCTTACATCTTATATAAAAATCAATTCAAGATGGATTAAAGACTTAAATGTCACATCTAAAACCATAAAAACCCTAGAAGAAAACCTAGGCAATACCATTCAGGACATGGGCATAGGCAAGGACTTCAAGTCTAAAACACCAAAAGCAATGGCAACAAAAGCCAAAATTGAGAAATGGGATCTAATGAAACTAAAGATCTTCTGCACAGCAAAAGAAACTACCATCAAAGTGAACAGGCAACCTACAGAATGGGAGAAATTTTTTGCAATCTACCCATCTGACAAAGGGCTAATATCCAGAATCTACAAAGAACTTAAACAAATTTACAAGAAAAAATCAAACAACCCCATCAAAAAGTGGGCAAAGGATAGAAACAGACACTTCTCAAAAGAAGACATTTATGCAACCAACAGACATATGAAAAAATGCTCATCATCACTGGCCATCAGAGAAAAGCAAATCAAAACCACAATGAGATACCATCTCACACCAGTTAGAATGGCAATCATTAAAAAGTCAGGAAACAACAGGTGCTGGAGAGGATGTGGAGAAATAGGAACACTTTTACACTGTTGGTGGGACTGTAAACTAGTTCAACCATTGTGGAAGACAGTGTGGCGATTCTTCAAGGATCTAGAACTAGAAATACCATTTGACCCAGCCATCCCATTACTGGGTATATACCCAAAGGATTATAAATCATGCTGCTATAAAGACACATGCACACATATGTTTATTGTGGCACTATTCACAATAGCAAAGACTTGGAACCAACCCAAATGTCCATCAATGATAGACTGGATTAAGAAAATGTGGCACATATACACCATGGAATACTATGCAGCCATAAAAAATGATGAGTTCATGTCCTTTGTAGGGATATGGATGACGCTGGAAACCATCATTCTAAGCAAACTATCACAAGGACAGCAAACTGAACACCGCATGTTCTCACTCATAGGTGGGAATTGAACAATGAGAACACTTGGACACAGGTTGGGGAACACCACACACCAGGGCCTGTCATGGGGTGGGGGCCTGGGGGAGGGGTAGCATTAGGAGATATACTTAATGCTAAATGATGAGTTAATGGGTGCAGCACACCAACATGGCACATGTATGCGTATGTAACAAACCTGCACGTTGTGCACATGTACCCTAGAACTTAAAGTATAATAATAAAAAAGAAAACGTATGGAATGTAGCTAAAGCAGTATTACAAGGAAATTTATAGCTGCAAATGCTTATATTAAGAAAGAAGAAAGATTTCTGATCAATAACCTAACCTACTTCCTTAAGACACCGGAAAAAGAAGAGCAAAGTAAATCTAAAGCAAACAGAAAAAAGAAAAAATTAAAATCTTGCATATTTTTTCATATAAGTATTTATAAAGCTGCCTCATTTTAATGACTGCATAATATTTTATTGAACAGATCAACTAATCAATGATTGATTTAGCCAAGCTTCTACTGATACACATTTAGGTTGTGGCCAATTTTATACTTTTAGAATTATACTGCCTTAATATCATACACAAAACATTTTACATATTTGTGCATATATTTGTGAATAATTTCTAGAAATGAAAAGTCTCAAATAATGTATGCATTAAAAAGTTTAGAGCTATTAAAATTATTCTCCAAGAGATTGTATTAATTTACACTTACACTAATAAATTATGAGATTGTCCATTTTCCTATAATCTTACCAGTGGAGAGTGTTATTAATCTTTTTGATCTTCTCCTTTCTGGTAAGTGAAAAGTGGCATTTCAGCAACAAAAATTCTAACTGCCTGGTAATAAATCTTACACCATATATGGGAAAACTATAAAATTTATTGAAAAATCAAAGTAAACCTGGAGAGACATAGATGAGCCTGGATAGAAAGACTCTACATGAAAAAGATGTCAATTTTTCCCAAGTTCATCTAGAAATTCGCTGTCATTACATTCCAATGCTAACTGAGCTTTCCATAGATTTTGACAAGTGATAGTCTCTGACTCTGTGTCCCCACCCGAATCTCATCTCGAATTGTAAGCCTTACGTGTTGAGGGAGGGACCTGTAATCTCCACCTGTGGAGGGAGAGGGAGGTGATTTGATCATGGAGGAGGATTCTCCCATGCTGTTCTCATGATAGCGAGTGAGTTTTCATGAGATCTGATGGTTTATACAGGGCTGGTCCTCCTTTGCTTTCTCTTCTTTCTCCTGCCACTTTCTGAAGAGGGTGCCTCTTCCCCTTCCGCCATGATTGTAAGTTTCCTGAGGCCTCCCCGGTCGTGTGGAACTGTGAGTCAATTAAACCTATTTTCTTTATAAATTATCCAGTCTCGGGGAAGTTCTTTATCGCAGTGCAAAAACGGACTAATACAACAAGCAATCTATCCTACAATTCTTACAGAAGAATAAAATAACAAGAATAAATAGATAATTATGAAGAACAAGGAGGTAAATCCCTCTTAGCAGATATCTAGATTTATAAAGCTATAATCATTAAAATAGTGTGGTATTAGCATATAATTGAGAAGCAAATCAACGGAACAGAATAGAGAGTCTAGATATAGATTGATACAAATTTTTTAAAGCTGATAATAGTGATTCAGCTAAAGATGTGGGGAAAAGGGACTGCTTCTGTGCTGTTGCTAGGAGTGTAGATTGGTATCCTTTGATGAATATTCTGGGAATACCCAGTAATGCTGAGGACACACACGCTCTATAACACAGCATTTCTACTTCTGGGAGAAACTTTTGTACGTGTTCACTAGGAGACATTTGCAAGGATGTTCACTGAACCACTGTAATAGCAAAAACACATGAAATTACTAAATGTTCATGTAACATCATAAAATAAAGCAGTTAGAATGAATGAACTAAATCTACACAAATCAATACATATAAATTTCTAAAACATAATACCGAGTGAAAAAAGTAAGTTGCAAAAGGATGGTGTGATATTACTTATGTAAATGTTATAATAATCAAAATGATACTCCATATTAAGCATATATGATAATATATAAAATTATTAAAAAGAAAAACACCTTCAGGAGATGATTAATTCTGGGAATGGAGGGAAAGAAGAGACCAGAAGGGGAGAAAGGAGGCTTTAGCTCCCATCTTTATATCTGTATATATCCATAACTTCAAAATATTAATTGAAAGTTCTGATGCAAATACAACAAATTATCAACTTTTTAAAAACTTGGAATATAAATATATGGGTGTCTACTATATAGTTTTCAGTATGTTTGAAATAGTTTATAATTAAAAGAAAGTTAGTGGTGTCTTATTGAGGTTTTAATATTCTTTTGTGCGGGACCCCAGCATTTATTCAGGGTGTATTTAGTAATGTCTGAGAATGGGCTCATATGGTGTGAATGTTTGTCTCCTTCAAAATTCATATTGAAATTTAATTGCCGTTGTGACAGAATTAGAAGATAGAACCTTTAAGAGGTGTTGAGATCATGTGGTCTCTACCCTCATGAGTGAACCAAAGCTTTTATCATGGCAGTGGGTTCCCTATTGTGGGAGTAGGTTCACCCCTTCTTGCTCTCTCTGTCTCTTTGCCCTTTGCTGTGTGGTGCCTGATGCCATGTTTTGATGCAGAAAGAGGGCGCTTGCCATGCTGGCACCTTGATATTGGACTTTCTAGCCTCCAGAACTGTAAGCCAATAAATTTCTGTTCTTTATAAATTACCCAGTTTGTGGCATTCAGTGATAGCACTAAAAATGGCCTAAGACAAAAGCTCAGAGAAGCTGCTGAGAAAGGCAAACCCATCCTTGATTTTATATTTTATCATCCAATAGAAACAGAAGCTATAAGACAGGTCCAGTGGCTTGTGCCCATAACCCCAGCACTTTGGGAGGCTGAGGCAGGAGAATTGCTTGATGACAGAAGCTTGAGAGCAGCCTGGGCAACATAGAAAGACCCCATCTCTAAAAAAAATGTTTTTAAAGAGAGAAACAAGAGCTATGAAAATTTAGTGTAATATTTAAGACATTGATTTCTTTATTTTGTTATTCTGTTTTAAGAGTAGCAAGTCTTAAAACAGAAAGAAACTATGTTTATAGGAGGACAAAAATTGAGCAAAGAACTGAGGAGACAGGAAACTTCATAGCCATTCTTTCCTAATTCCTCAGAAGAACATCCTTCAAAAGTGTGTGGTCTCATCTTAAAAAGTTGAACCCATAGAAGCAGAGAGTAGAAACATGGTTGCCAGGGGGCAGTGGGTGGGGGCAATGGGGAGATGTTGATCAAGGGTACGAACTTTCAGTTGTGAGATGAAGATGTTCTGGGGATCGAAAGTATGGCATGGTGGTTATAGTTAGTAATACTGTATTGTTTACTTAAAATTGGATTAAAGAGCAGGTTTTAAGTGTTCTCAACACATACACACACACACACGCACACATGCACACAAATGATAACTATGGATGCTGATGGATATTTTAATTAATTTGATTGTGGTAATTGTTAGATAATGTATATGTACATCAAATTTCACATTGTATACATACAATTCTTATTTGTCGGTTAAATATATTTTTTTTCTTTTTTTTTTGAGACGGAGTCTCACTCTGTCACCCAGGCTGGAGTGCAGTGGTGTGATCTTGGCTCACTGCAAATTCCGCCTCCTGGGTTCACGCCATTCTTCTGCCTCAGCCTCCCAAGTAGTTGGGACTACAGGTGCCCGCCACCACGCCCGGCTAATTTTTTGTATTTTTAGTAGAGACGGGGTTTCACCATGTTAGCCAGGATGGTCTCAATCTCCTGACCTCGTGATCCACCCGCCTCAGCCTCCCAAAGTGCTGGGATTACAGGCGTGAGCCACCGCGCCTGGCCTATATTCTTAAAATATAACAGGTAGAAGCAGCTACCCACCAAATCTCTAAGGCCTGAAAGAGGAAAGTTAGAGAGTGTTGGAGACATCTGGAGCCTGAGCCTGGGCAGGAGCCTCATACTTCTGCTTCGCACTGTATCTAGGAAACTTAGCCCCTTGTCCAGCTTTCCCTTCTGTGCCCTCCCAAGGGCCACAAGCACTGTGTGTCAGTAAGGTTCCAGGGACAGACTCGAATGATGAGCCATTAGAAGCCATACTGTAATAAAGCTCCTGACTTATCTTACTTTTTTCTTCTCTGAATTCATCTTGAATAGTTTTTATTGCTATGTCTTCAATTCAACTAATCTTTTCTTCTGTAGTATCTAATTTGCTATTAATCCCATCCAGTGTATTTTTCGTCTCAGACATTCTAACTTTCTCTCTAGATGTTCTATTTGAATCTTTTTTTATATATATCTTCCATGTCTCTACTTAACATGCTCGATGTCTCCTTTACTTTCTGAAACGTGTAAAATATAATAATAGTTTAAATGTCCTTGTCTACTAATTGTATCATCTGCATCGTTTCTTGATCTGTTTCTATTAATTTTTCTCCTCATTATGGGTTATCTTTTCCTGCTTCTTGCATGACTGGTAATTTTTAATTTGATGTCAGACATCGTAAATTTTACCTTGATGAGTGTTGGACATTTTTGTTTTCCTGTAAGTATTGTTGAGTTTTGTTCTAGAATATAGTTAAGTTACTGGAAAATAGCTTGATTTTTTGAGCAGTCTTTAGTTAAGGGTCAATTTTTTCCCCACCACCGAGGCAAGACCCTCTCACTCTATCTGATGCCCCATGAAGTACAGGGTTTTCCACTTTGACTGGTGGAAACACTAACTAAACCTAATTCTCCGTGAGCTCTTAGGATTATTCCCTCTGCTCCTTTCAGGTGGGTCTTTTCCCAGAACACACATTGCATTGTTGCTTCACATGTTTGCTCTGATCAGAACTCATATGAAGGCTCTGCAAATCACTGGAGCTCTCTCTGGGTGTAGCTCTCTACTCTTCAGAACTACAAACTGTAACCTCCTTGACCTCCCCAGACTTCCAGCTCAGTCTCTTCAACTCAGGGGAACCACTAAGTTCCACCTGGTTTCCTTCTTCCTGCACTATAGCCTTGTAACTGCCTCCAGGCAATACACTGGGTAAATCACAGGACTCGCCTCATTTGTTTTCTCTCTCTCAGGGATCATTACCTTTGCTACCTACTGGCCAATGCCTGAAAACCACTGTGTTATATTTCTTCCCAGTTGTGTATATTTCTGAATTACAAATACTGAATATTTGAAGAGGAAATTACTTGAAGAGAAAGCACTTCTAATAATGTCCTCATTTGAGGTACCCTAGAGGCAGTTTCTGGGGAACAGTCGATCCTCTTTGTTAACAGATTTCATATTTACAAACTTGTCTACTCACTAAAATTAATTTGTAACTTCCAGAATCAATATTCTTGGCACTTTCACAGTTGATTATGGATATGCACAGAGCAGCAAAAAACTTGAGTAACTCAATGTGCATGTTCTCAGCTAAGGTCAAACAAAGCGATACTCTGCATTCACGTTTCAGCTTTCATATTGTAAACAAGTGTCCTTTTCATATTCTGCATAGCACCATGTTTTTCCAATTTTTATGCTTTTTATTGATTATTTTGATGTTTAAAATGGTCCCCATATGTAGTGCTGAAGGCTGTCTAGTGCTCCTGAGCAAAAGAAGGCTACAATGTGCCTCACACAGAAAATACATGTGTGAGATGAGCTTCATTTAGGCATAAGTCATAGTGTTGTTGGCCATGAGTTCAACGCCAATGAATTAATAATATATATTAATTTAGGTGTCTTTAAACATAGACATACCTAAAACAAGGTTATCTATTGATTAGCTGACAAAAATATTGTGACTGGAAGCTCACAGGAACCTAACCCTCTATTTCTCCTAGGAACAATTGTTCAGTATTTGCTAATTCAGTGTTCATGCAACTTTACAGAACATAAGTACTATGAATTCTTGTTACTGTACAATAAAATGTATAAGTGGTTTATTCAGGCGGTTAAAAAAATTACTGGCAAAGGAGAGGGGAGGAGAGATAGGGAGGATAAGGCAGCCTTTAAAGGGCATTTTATCAAGTCAGCTACCATTGTGGGTATCTAGAACTTAATAGCATTGGGGAACTCTGAAAATCAGGGTACTGATTTTGTGCCTCAGAGTTATTCCAACCAACGGGAAGGAAGCTAGGGTATTTATACACCAACTCCTATCAGTTGAAGACTGCTGAGAAGGTGCACTTATGACCTGTTGGGGAGCAACCAGAGAGGGAGTGGCTGCCAAAGAAAGTCCTCAGGTAAAAAGGTGCAGATCCTGGCAGTTTGAAGTCCAGCTTGGGTTTCTACTGCAATGGGAAAGGATATGAGCAGGATGCCAGGCAGCATCTGCTACAGATGGGAATACCAGTGCTTGTAAACTTAGATGCCTCCAGAAGCCAGGCAGGTAACATAAGCAAGAGAAGCAGGTTGGGTGGAACAGCATGAGCTAGAGAGTTCTATCCCTGTTTAACAAGAGCAGCTGTTACTCAGCTACAGCCAATTTTTGCCACGCAGGAAAAAAGGCCCATACTTGCCAAACCTTCTGATTTTTTCAAGAAAAGTGGGAAATTTTGTTTTTTTTAAATGTGAAATCCCCAATTTGTGGAAGTTGGCAAAAAATTTAAAAACACTGTTGAGTTCAAAGAAAACATATTGGCAGGCCAACTTCAGCCCACAGTCTGCCAATTTGCAACCTCTCTGATAAGAGATGTGCAAAGCTCCACCTGTTGGGTTTGAGTCCAGAGAAAATATATCTTTATATCACGTGCACACTGGGGCATTCTGTGAGTGCCAAGGGATGCCCTGGAAGTTGGCCCTGATATCCATATGGCAAGGCACCCCTGTCTCTGTCTAGTGATCTTACCTTACTCTCCTGTCTCAAGGTTTATTAGATATCCAAGAATCACTATTTTTCATGGCTAGTGGACTTCTTCAGTTATTTCTTATCACTGTTTGGCATTTTCCCTCTTGTGAGAAATTAGCTGAGTTTATTGGGCTATCTGGCATCTGCAAGTCTATGTAGCCCACTCCATAGTGAAGAACAGGGCTGCCTGCCCAGGCTTCCACCTGCACATAGAATAGAGACTGTCTGAAGGAGCTTACAATTTGAATGGCAGTGTTCACAGAGGCAGCACCTAGGGAATTGGCCAACATCTGGCATTTTCTGCAACACAGAAGGAGGAAGATGTCAATGGCTAGGCTCCCAGAAGGTGGCAGGGTACCTGTACCAGCCAGGGGTCAGGATTCAACCAGAGAAGCAGAGCCACTGGGAGATGATAGATAGATAGATAGATAGATAGATAGATAGATAGATAGATAGATAGATATAGATAGATAGATGATAGATAGATACAGATAGATAGATATAGATAGATAGATAGATAGATAGATAGATAGATAGATAGATAGATACATAGACACATTTTTTAAAGATTTGTTACAGAGATATGTCCTTACATCACTATGAGAACTGGTTAAGTAGCTTCTGGAAAGTTATTGTCTTCACATGTGATGTTGTAACTTTAAGTTCACAGGGCATGCAGTTGGGAAGGAAAGATGGACACAGAGTGGAGAGATCAAGAACAAGTTGGAATCCATAGGTACAAGGTGGAGCCCCACAAAGATGAATTAAAACCCGTGTCTTTTCTTGTTGCCTCTGATGTAGGTGGTTTGGGTGTCTTGGAGAAGCTGGGGCCTTCTGTCATAGAGCTAAACATAGATGGCTGGCCCAGAAAGCGGAAACTGAAGGAGGATCCAGGAGAAGATAAAGCACTTGCAGGCCCAGCAGTGGCTTCCTGCCAATGAGGCGAGTCAGCAGATCAGCAACATGTGTGAGCTGCAAAACAACTCTTGCTTCCCTCTGCCCTTCTAATCTCCCAAGAATCTCTCTTGGGTTCCACCATAGAGATACTGGCTGTATTAGTCCATTCTCACACGGCTATAAAGACATACCTGACACTGGTTAATTTATAAAAGAAAAGAGGTTTAATCAGCTCATGGTTCTGTGGGTTGCACAGGCTTCTGCTTCTGGGGATACCTCAGGAAACTTATAGTCATGGCAGAAGGCAAAGCAGGAGAGAGAGAGAGAGTAAAGGGGGAGGTGCTACACACTTTCAAACAACCAGATCTCATGAGAACTCTATCACAAGACAGCACTAGGGGGATGGTGCTAAGCCATTAGAAACCACCCCATGATCCAATCACCTCCCACCAGGCCCCACCTCCAACACCAGGAACTACAATTCAACATGAGATTTGGGTGGGGACACAAAGCCAAACCATGTCACTGGCAAAGCTCTATTTTTATTTCTGGGGATACTTCAATGTTTGGTTTTTGGCTCCTGACCAAGACAAGGGCAGTGGGACAAGGGATGTACTATTTAAGGTCCAATACTCCCCTGGCAATCCGCAGTGTTATCTTCTTTATTGGTGGTTTGCACCTGGCCTCACTAGTTTGAGCAGCCAGACTTGCCTACTTACAGAGCCACATAGCTCTTTGCAGTGGGTTCTCCTGAAGCCAAGATTCCTAGCACAGATCTTGGCAGTTCAATCCAGAGATTCAACATGGGCTGTGGGCACAAAGATTGGGCCCTTGTGGACAAACCTGGTGCTGCAGAATGCCTGTCAGACCTACACTGCTTCCCTGCATTCTCTTTCATTCCCTGTTGCCTTTAAATAAAAGCCTTATGTGAGTATACTCTGTAGAGCCTAGGAGATCCTTTCAAATATCTGAACTGGGGAAAATATACCCACTCTAACTGAAAACACATACGAAAGAAGATTCTGGAAAGAGTAGGTTGGCCTAGCTAATTGACACACTACAAAGTCACTGAAGTGTCCAGGGGCTTCGGTGTTCTGTGGCTGCCATCTTGATATAGAGATGGCTGCTGTTGGTACAGGGAGCAAGGACCCAGACCTAGGACTCTTCAGATACAACATTCCACTCATGCATGGGAAAACCAGAACCGGTGGAGTCTTAGAGGAAATAAAGACTTGTTGATTTCCTCAAGTTTACCCTTGTGATTCTACAGCTAAAAAATACGGCATTTCTTACTAGTTTCTAATGCTACTGAAGAGAATGAGAATGCAGAAGGGGTCTGCTTTGCCTTTGAAAGTTCTCTCTAGAGGCCGGGCGCGGTGGCTCACGCCTGTAATCCCAGCACTTTGGGAGGCCGAGGCGGGCGGATCACGAGGTCAGGAGATCGAGACCACGGTGAAACCCCGTCTCTACTAAAAATACAAAAAATTAGCCGGGCACAGTGGCGGGCGCCTGTAGTCCCAGCTACTCGGGAGGCTGAGGCAGGAGAATGGCGTGAACCCGGAAGGCGGAGCTTGCAGTGAGCGGAGATCGCGCCACAGCACTCCCGCCTGGGCGACAGAACGAGACTCCGTCTCAAAAAAAAAAAAAAAAAGAAAGAAAGTTCTCTCTAGAAAGAGCAGAAAGATAGGAGAAAACTAGAACTGCCAAGGGCAAGGTACAATATGGTAGATTTTGGTTCAATCAGTGGGAGAATTTTGTGCCAATAAGAGTAAGGGTTCAACCCATAAAGGAATTGCCTTGCAAGGAGCTGAGTCCACTTTTTTGACTTGATAGTTTTGAGTCAAGGTTTAACAACATTCATCGAATCATCCATTTATCCTTCCACACATCTATCCATCCAGTTATTGATTTATGAATGCAATAATTCACCAACATTTATTGACTACCAATTATGTTCCAGGTGCTGTGTTGGGTTGTGGAATTACAGCCCAGGGAGGAAGGCCCCTGGGGTTATTGACCACCTACTATGTGCTGGGTACTGCATTAGGTGCTAGAGTTTAGAGCCTGGGGTCCTGATCTGGGGACTCGTGAGAATTCTTCAGTTCCAAGCCACTGCCCTTAAGTGGATCTCCTAATTTGTGAGTCCCAGTCTGTTTCATCCTACCAGCCATGACTCCTTGACTTAGAGCAAACCATAGGGCTCCTGTAACCATTAAGAATGTGTTTTCTTGGCTGGGGCCAGGAGGGCTGGGCTGTTCTGGGCTGTGACCTCATTGTTTACCATCATTTAAAAAGATCTTCTGCCTCCCTTCTGTAGGCTGGATCAGAGCCAGAGACAGCAGGGTGGATGTGTGAAATAAACTCCAGCCAGCGTTACTATAATCTTGAACACCAAAACAATGGGTCACACGCCTACAGCTCCTGACTTCTTGGCAGCTTGGTGGGGCCTGAGCGCTTCCACTTTACCGTTTGAGATGGAGAGGCACTAGAAACAACTAATCTGTGAACATTTACAGTGTAAAATCCAAGTAGTTAGGGAGGAGATGAATTGATGAGCACTCAAATCTTAGCCCTCTGGGAAAGACTAGAAAATATCTTTAGCTTGACATTTAAATCTCTGATATGATCCAGATGCTGTCAATTTACCAAACACCTCTCCCCAAACTCGCAGAGCACCTGGAAGGGGAAGGGTGAGGTGTTGTAGGAAATGCAGTCTCAGGAGGACAAGGAGGGCAACGGTCCCTGAGCTGCGTGGGCTGGGCTTTACTCCTTGAATGTTCTTTGTACTGTGTGCCAATTTGCAAGGGTGGGACTGTCTCTAAAGGGGGCTTTTGAAAATCATGTACTCTCCTGGAAACATGAGATGGTCCCTGAAAGAGGCAATGTGCAAGGCTGGAGAAAACTTGCTAATAAGCAAGGTGTTCATCGGTCCAGAATGTAGGCATTCCCTGACTCGAGAGAGGAGGCAAGGCTGAGTTCCCCTACACAGAGTTCCCATTGCCCACGGGAGCCTTCAGTTAGGCCTCATGTTCAATTATGGGTTCAGAAGGCCGTATATTCAGATGGTTTGGGGCATAGAATGCATCAGGAGGGTACCTTGAATATATGAAGTAGGTTGGAAGTAGAGTAGGACTGGAGGAAATCCCTGGTAAGCTTGTCTGAGGAGGCTAGAATTGAAGTTTATGCGCCTGATTCTGGGTTGGTCAGAGTTGTGAGTGGGATTGGATCCCAGTCCAAACTCTGCCACTCATTCCCTATGTGGATCCTGGACAAGTCCCTTCAGCTTATTTATTCATCAAATGAAAGGGCTGCATTGGATGTTCACCCAGATAATTTTCAGCACTAGGATTCTATGATGGAAAGTGGGCATACAGTTCATGGACTGAGTTGTAAATGTTGCTTATAATATGGAGGGTTTGCCTTAGCCATTTGTACAGAACCTCTGAATAGTCATGCAGCTGGAAGAAAGTGAAGACATCTTGAACACCCTACATAGCCTCCTTGCTTTCTGAACAATAGAGCTCTTGGAATAACCAAGTTCCTGGCATCTGCAAATAAAACTCCATGGAGAATCAAGTCATCAGTCACAAAGAGCTGTAACTTCAGGCATTTAAGACTATCCTGCATTCCGGTTAAAAATGCCCATGCTCTTGGTTCAGAATATTGATTTAAGTTTTAAATTACATTTGCATATTGATATCAAAAGCCCTTCTCATAACCCTGAAAATAAATCAAATAAATTAATTGGAACAACTATGGCAACACTCCACCCCAGCAGTGAAATCACTCTCCTAGAGTCCTGAGTTGAGCTTGTAACCCGGTAGAGAGAATCATAGCCTTGACTGGGGAGGATGGTGTGCTGTTGAAGGCAAGTGTCTACCACAGCTGTGTGAAGAGGCCAGAAGACAGTGTCAGAGAGAAGGCTGAAAGGCACTTCCTGGGTTGGGCATTAGTACTTTTTCTGCATGAGTCAGGGAGAAAAGCATTGCAACCTGAGGAGGTAGCTTTGCATCAAAAACCAGAAGCTCTGCCTCTTCCTAATAATAGCATTACCATTTGCATTTTATTTGTTTATTTATTATTCCCTTCTTCACTTCTGAAAGGATTTGTGGCAGCTGGTGTATACATTCAATTCAATCAGACAAAATAAATAGCTAAGTACATGGGGTTGAAGGGAAAGTAGGCTCAGGAAGTAAGATAAAAACAGAAATGAAGTTAGCAAAGTAAGTATAAATCTGTACAATTCCTAGAAGTGAGCTACAAATTGACTCTGAGCTTCCTAGCAGCCAGTGTAAAGGAAGGAACATGGTTAGTCATCAGACTCACAGTATCCACAGTGCAAGAATATTCCAATTGGACAGTCAATAGAGCCTCCTGATCATTGTCTGTGAAACCAGGAGCTTTCAGAGTTTTAGTCTTTAAATGGCAAGAACCTGGAGAGAAAATATTTAAATTGATCATCAAAAGCAGTGCCAAATGCTTTGATAATCAAGAAAATAGAACAGGGCTGATATTCTTTTGGGTCTTAAAATACCTGCTTATGCCATGGTGCATGTCCATAATTCCGATTACTTGAAAGGCCAAGATGGGAAACTCACTTGAGGCCAGGAATTCCAGACCAGCCTGGGCAATATAATGAGACCCTGTCCCTCCAAAAAAAAAATTGCAAAGCAAACATGCTTAATCTAGGATTTATGCCTGTGTATAAGCCCCCCCTCCACTCGCAGGGAGGTGGGCTGAAGGAGACCCTGGGCAGGGCCTGACTGACCTCAGAATGCTGTTTTGGACAAAGGTGCAGTAAAATGTCCACTGTTCTAGGCCCTAGAGCAGTGGGCCTTTAACCCTGGGTGTGTGTCAGAATGATTTAGGCATTTTGAACAACAACAAAGCTTGGCCTCCCAGGGTATTCTAATGTGCAGCCAGAGATGAGAAGCACTGCCTGGGGCATGGATGGGGTTTTCAGGTGGAAAAAACCCAAAGCAGCTGTTACCAATCACTAACTACAGTCACAGTTAGTAAGATGCCCTTGCTATACATGATGGTGACTGATGTAAGATCCTGGGGAATGCCCAGAAAAATGTACCTGGAGATGCTGAAGGAGTTGCACCTGCTGTATCCAATTGTTGGGTCTTAGCCAATTAACCTTAGGAGATGCCTGGCCACAGGAATGACTCCATCCTTTTCAGAAGGAGGCCTCCTATGGACATTTGCTATGACTGGTTTCTAGGGTGACGAGCCATCCTTTTTGACAGGCTTACCAGATCACAGGGCTTTCAGTGCTAAAATCAGGAAAGTCCCAGGCAAACTGAGATGAGTTGGTCATCCTCTTAGTTTTTGGTTTTTGGTTTTTTGTTTGTTTGTTTTTTTTTTTCAGGACAGGATCAGAGTGAAAAGGGGATGACTTGACCAATGAGAAACAGTCATGCCTGAGACACTCAGGGCTGGTTGGGATGCAGGGCGGGATTATAGTCCTCTGTGGAGGTTGACCCGGTCAGCTTGTGGTCTCCCATGTAGCTGAGCTGCCAAATTTGGGGTCTTCCTTCACTTCTGTTCCTATCTCCCTAAGACATTTCTGTATCCATTCCAGAGCCAAACAGGTACCAAGCCAGGGATCTGGAGCCTCTGGACCCTGGGAGAAAGTGAAGTTTCCCCAAACCCTGAAGATCTGCTTTGTTGGGTCCCCCAGGACTGCGGCTCTCCTTCCAAGTCAGGACGGGGTCAGCGCAAGACTCACTGCCTTTCTCTGCAGCCTTGGTCCTTAAAAATCAGGTGGGCATCCCTTGGGTTATAAATATTCAGATAATATAAGATCTCCACAGGCAGCTGGTGACCAGCTACCAGGACCAGTCTCATGGGGTGACCTTTGCCATTACATACAGGCCCTGGGGTCAGAAGGGCCCATGTCTTAATGCTTTGCCATCACTGCCTTGAAATCCTTAGTAATTTTTGAAAAAGGGGCCCACATTTTCATTTGACACTGAGCCCCGCAAATTGTGCAGCCTGTCCTGCCTGCCACCACAGCCCCAAAGCTACCCTTCTATCTCCATTCCACCCCAATACATTGACTTCTGCTGCCTTTGGCAGTGATGCCATTGCAGAAAAACCAGCAATAAAATAAAGAGGTTGTATCTCAGGGGCTTCCAAACCGCTTAATCACCTTTCCAAGAGGTGTAGCTCCCAAATCTGCATTTTAGGAGAAGTTCCTAGAGGAACATAGTGCAGATTAGTCTTGAATATTTTAGAGCAGAGGTCTACTTTAAATTTAAAAGAGAGAGAGAGAGAAGAAACTGAGAGGGGAACAGCTTGGAGTTCCTGACCCTGGAGGCAGAGCTTCAGGCCATGAGATTCTGCCTACGATACCCCCATTTGGCCCAGATTGTGGGGACTTTCCCCTTCATGTGTTTCACTGCCTGAAATTGAGAGAAAAGGATCTCCATTACCGTTTCTGAGTGCAGGGTCTTTGAGCCCTGGGCCTGCTCTCTGCCTTTTAGCCTCTGCCACCCCAAATGGCCAGGCCGGGTTCCTGGGAAGAACCTCCAGATCAGCTCTGGAGTCTCACCCCTTGCCTGCACCCCTCTCAGCTCTAGGGGCCTCTCTGCTGCACCCCTCTGTCCAGCCCCTCCAGCTGTTATGCCCATGTTTGCTTCTGATTTTGACTGACCTTGGCTGGTTGCTCTGGGATGAGTCCTCCAGGCACCCTTCCAGAAGACTCCAGAGAAAACAATTACCTGTCCCTTCCAGGGCCAAGCTGCTAGTCCATATGATGTCTTTGTGAGAGTTAGAAAACAGTGCCCCTAGGTAAGTCTCATTGGTAAAATGTACAGCAGTTTTGGCTTCAGGCTTGGCTGGATCTAGTGCTCAGCAGCACATTTTTCCATGCCAAGTCTTGTTTGGAAAGGCATGATGATCAGTACTCCTTCCCCCATCACAGGCAGCATGGTTTGGGTTGGCATGCTTTGCCTTCTTTCTGCAGGGTCTCTTGTCATCTGATGCAGTGGTGTGCTGGTAAATGTTTAACAATTAGTTCTCAGTGTTGGTAGAAGGGATGCTTTGACTTGTAGTGTGAGGGTTCAGTCAGGCTGGTGGGAAAAATTTTAGTTATAATAGCCACAGACCCTCTTGGAAGGCCTGAGAGTTTGCATAACTTTGGTAATAGATCTGGCTGAAGGCTGCCTAGTCCCTTTACCTTTAGTTAAATAGATTAAAGTAGATACAAAGGAATGTGGAGGAGTTTATCTTACTAGCTTGTTTACTCATGACTAACCGTTGATCTACTGCAGGTGCTTAATTGCTTTCTACTTGGGAGGTCTGCAATGTCAATTACCCTCTAGTGGTGTTGACTCAAGCCTTTGTCAATTAATCTTTACTGAATAAATGCCAGTCTCACTGGCTGGTGGGGGCTGCAGTCGCAACTGTTTACAGCACTCTCCTGGGAGTCTGTAAGCATTCCCCACACTCAGCTGGACTGACAAAGCAAAATATCTGTGTCGGTGCATGTTATTCCTCTGTCGCTGGGTCAGGGTCTGCAGGACAGCCCCCCACATCATAGCATTTGCCAATTTTTGTGATGTAAAACAGTGTGTCATTGTGGCCTATTTCAAGCTACCAGGACCATATCACTAAACAGGAAGAGATGTAGAGTAGGGCATCATTATATAGTATTTCCAGATTCTATAGATGTAAATAACCTCAGAACCATAGGTAATAGTAAAATGTGGTAAAATAATTAGGAAATGTATTTTGTGTATCCATTACCTTTGCTTTCATATAATTCATTTAATTATAAGTTCATATAATTTAATTTTTAATAATGGGCATGTTTAACAACTGGGTAGCAAGAAAATTTAACAACTGGCTCTCAAAAGTTAGTACCAACCAGCTCAACACATCACTGATTCTGGAACTGGGCTCAGTGATTAACAATGCTGTGATCAATTAACAATGTCTGCTAAGGACACAAGAGAAAAGTTTATGGCACACGTGCTACATGTTTGCCTTTTCTAGAATGTAGTGATTTTATAAAAGCAAACTTTTGGGGTTTTGTTTTGTTTGTTTTACTGCAAAGAGGCTGGTATCACCAAAGGAAATGGCACCTTTCTCCCTGGGAAGAAACGTGTAGCTCTTGCCCCAAATTTACAATGCTTCTGAGGTGGTGTCTGGCCACATCACATTGGCATTGCCAAAGTCCTGGAAAGAAAGGAGTGGGAAACACCTGGGGAAATTTTCTCATTTTTGTCCTAAGATGCTAACAACTCCATTAAGACTGCACAATACAGAAAAGTCAACTGCTGAAATGTGGGAGTAAATTGTTTTTCGGCTTCTTTTGCTTAGATGTAGGGAGTCCTCAAGGTCAGAATTGCACAGTTTAAAATCTCATTAACACTTTCTGCACTGGCTTTCCATTTCCTTTCTGTTTTTCCTGGTGGTATTTGCCAGCAGCTGAACCAACCCAGGGTCTGGCTGGCTCTCAAAGGGACCAGGCAACAGCTGCCTCAGTGGAAGCACGAAGGGGTTAATGTGGCTTCTCACGTGTCAAGAAGTCTCTTAATGAGCTGTTAGCATTTGATACAATCTGGCTCAGTGGCTGTGACTTAAGAATGTCCAGATATTATTATCTGTGGAGCTGAAAAAGGCTCCTTGAGAACTAGGGACCAAGGCTGCTGCTGTTTTCCCCGCTCTTGCTATACCTGTGATTACTGCCAGAATCTGTACACAGTGGGTGCTTCATAAATCTTCATCCCAAATTGATCAGTTAGGGAGGTATGAGTCACAGTGCAGAAAAAATTCTTGCCAACAGTGGTTTTTCAGTTCTTTATTGAGGTGTCATTCATAGATAGTAAAAGGCACACGTCTTAAGTGTACAGCTCAATGCTTTTTGCATACATGTGTAAATATCCATGTGACCATCACCCTATCAAGATGTAGGACATTTCCTTCCCCCTAGAAATTTCCCTTGCCAGTCACTAACCCTTCCCTTGATGTAACTACTTGCTGTGGACTATTTGTATCCCTCCAAAATTTACATGTTGAAACCCCATCCCCAATGTGATGGTATTTGGAAAAGGGGCCTTTGTGAGGTGATTAAGTTTAGATGAGGCCATGAAGATGGAGCTTCCCAGGATGGGATTAGTGCCCTTAGTGGAAGAGAAAAGAAACCAGACCACATGTGCTCACGCTTGCATTCTCTCTCTCAACCTCTGTCTCTGTCATGTGAGGATTAAACAGGAAAATTGCCATCTGCAAACCAGAAAGAGAGCCCTTCCCAGACACTGGCTTTGCCAGTGCCTTGATCTTGCACTTCTCAGCCTCCAGAACTGTGAGAAATAAATGTTCATTGTTTAAGCCACTCAGTCTGTGGTATTTTTGTTATAGGAGCCCGAACTAAGACACCACTATTCTGATCGTAGTCTCTTGATGTTGCCATAATAAAATACCATAGTCTAGGAGGCTTTTACCAACATAAATTTAGTTTTCATAGTTCTGAACTCTAGGTCCAAGATCAAGGTTCTGGCCAGTCAAGTTTCTGGTGAGGGCTCTCTTCCTGGCCTGCAGGTGGCTACCTTCTCCCTTTGTCCTCTCATGGCTCTCCTTAGCACATGCTGGTGGAAAGGGAAAGAATGAGCTCTCAGGTGTCTTTTTTGTTGATGTTGTTGTTGTTGTTGTTGGAGATGGAGTCTCGCTCTGTCACCCAGGCTGGAGTGCAGTGGTGCAATCTTAGCTCACTGCAACCTCTACCTCCTGTGTTCAAGTGATTCTCCTTCCTCAGCCTCCCAAGTAGCTGGGATTACAGGCACACACCACCACGCCCAGCTAACTTTTGTATTTTTAGTAGAGACAGGGTTTCACCATGTTGGCCAGGATGGTCTCGATCTCTTGACCTTGTGATCCACCCGCCTCAGCCTCCCGAAGTGCTGGGATTATAGGTGTCAGCCACCGCACCCAGCCAGGTGATTCTTTTTATAAGCACGCAAATCGTATCAGGGCCTCATTTAACCTTAATTACTTCCTTGGAGGCCCCATTTCCAAATAAACTTCTACACAGGGGCTTAGGGCTTCAACATAGGAATTTGGGGAGGGATACACCAACATTCAGCCTATAATAGACCTCTGTCATACAGATGAGTATTGCTGGTTCTAGAGCTTCGTACAAACAAAATCATGTAGTATGTACTCTTTTGTGTCTGGCTTCTTTTCTTCAATGTAATCTTTTTGAGGTTCATTCATGTTGTTGCATGTCAGTGGTTCATTCCTTTTTATTACTGAGTAGCATTTCATTATACAAACAAACCGCAATTTGTCTATCCATTCTTCTGTTGATGAATATTTGGGTTGTTTCCACTTTGCCAACAGGTATTTATTCTATACAGGGCACTATGTTAGCTGCTAGGCTATAAAGAAATGTCACCCATGTCCCTGCCCATCAGGAGCTTATGCTTGGGATCTGTGCTTAGAAAATAGCCAAGGATACACCAATGTATAAAACAACATATGACTCTGACTCACTGAACAGAGACTGAGTCGGGTAATCAGAAGGAAGCAGTTTCTTAAGGAATACCAGTAAAGTCTGTTTGTAAATACACACACTTAAATGAGCCAGCTTAAGAACGCTAGCTGCCAGAGAAACAAAAGCAACTCCAAGTGAGGTCGGAGCTGGCAGGTACTTGGTCCTGCTGCATGGATACCTCCGGGAAACCTCATAAATGCTTCATTTCCTGTGTTCTGGGCCAAAGAACTTCATGAAGTGGGAGCAGGGTGAAAACATTCCCCTTGGAACAAAGCTGGCTCCTGATTTGTTTTTGTGGTTTTCTCCAAGAGGGCAGGGAGGGAAAGGTCTGTCCTCAAAAGGACAGCTAGGCCATGGTCAGGATGGTTTCACTGTGGTCAGGCGTGGATGCTCTGAGTAGAGGGAAGGCAAGGTGGACAAAGGGGTAAGGGCCCTGGGGTCCCAGTTTGGGGTCTAGTGGCTGAATAATGAGTTTCTCTGGCCCACAGGTGGATATGGGTAAGTCAGGTAGAATGTTTGGCACCAGGGGCAGGGCCATGAGGGCAGGGATGGGCGGCTGGAACTTGACAGCCCAAAAGGGTGCCTGAGAGCCCTCCCAGGGCTCTGTGGCAGAGCTGCTCATATCCCTGCCCATGGGTCTGAGAGTTGGGGTTTTGTGTGTCCTCACAAACCTTTGGAAGCCCACCCCTCAAGTTCTATCCTATCAAGCTCTATCTATGGTCACAGGACGTGGTCTTTCCTTGCCGTGATGATATTGGATGACAGAGTAGTAAGTGACCTCAGAGCTCCTAAGTTTTCAGAGGTGAGGGGTGATGGAATGGGGGAGTTCGGGGAGATTTCAGGACAGTTACTCAATGAAAGTTTCCAACCAGAATTTCATGACCATGTCAGTTATAACTATTCATGGAATATCAATATCACATGAATTTTCTGTTTCCTCTGGTTTTAAACTTTCTCTTTTACTTTTTTTTTTCACTGAAAAGACAAAAACTACATTAAATATAACTTGGAAAAAAAACCAATAAAGTTTCCTAATAGATATTTTCATGTTTGATTTCCCTCCAGTTCATATTTTACATATTGCTTTTTTCACAACACGTTAGCTTGAGCATTTGCCATGTTGCTGCAATAGTCTTTATGATAATTATGCTTATAGCTGTGTAATATTAACTGCTCATGTACCATAATTTTCTATTTTCTATTTCTGGCCATTTAAGTGTTCAGATTTTGCTCTTATGTATAACTCTGCCAACGAGTAATTCCTTTTTTTTTTTTTTTTTTTTTGAGATGGAGTCTCACTGTTTCACCCAGGCTGGAGTGCAACGGCGCGATCTCTGCTCACTGCAACCTCCACCTCCCGGGCTCAAGTGATTCTCCTGCCTCAGTCTCCCAAGTAGCTGGGATTACTGGCGCCCACCACCAAGCCCGGCTAATTTTTGTATCTTTAGTAGAGTCAGGGTTTCACCATGTTGGCCAGGCTGGTCTCGAACTCCTGGCCTCAAATGATCCACCCGCCTCGGCCTCCCAAAGTGCTGAGATTACAGGCGCGAGCCACCGCCCTCGGCCTGTAATTCCTCTTTTAAAAGAATTTTTACCCAAAGGTGCCACTCAGCACAGCCTTGACGGAGAGCCAGGTTTTCTCTGTTTGTGGGGCAGAAGGATGAAGAAGACTTGGACTTAGAACTACATCATTGTGGGTTCAAAGGGAAAGATAAATGGGTGTGCAGTGAGGGGAACTTCAAAAAGTCTAATTTCCAAAATGTTAAAAAAAAAAAGCATGATTTTCATACAAATACATAATGAGTACATGTCAAGGTTTTATTTTAACTCATTAATGGGAGAACCAAGTATATAAGAAAAACAGATGTAAATGTGGTTAGTAAAAGAAAAAACTGTAGAATAAGATCTCAAAGTTAGATACTAAGCTGATTGTTTTTCTTCAGAGCAGTAAAACTGTAAACTTTAGGATTATCTTCTCTACTAAACAGGAGACATTTTTATTTCTGTAGGACAAAAAATTATTTGCACTGTTATTGGATAAAAACTCTTTGTATCAGCTGGGCACGGTGGCTCACGCCTGTAATCCCAGCACTTTGGGAGTCCGAGGCGGTCGGATCACGAGGTCAGGAGATCGAGACCATCCTGGCTGACACAGTGAAACCCCGTCTCTACTAAAAATACAAAAAATTACTTGGGCGTGGTGGCGGGCGCCTGTGATCCCAGCTACTTGGGAGGCTGAGGCAGAAGAATGGTGTGAACCCCGGAGGTGGAGGTTGCAGTGAGCTGAGATCATGCCACCGCACTCCAGCCTGGGCGACAGAGCGAGACTCCGTCTCAAAAAAAAAAACAAAAAGAAAAACACCTCTTTGTATCTTAGTGCTTCTCAACAAACTAACAGCTAACCTTTGAGAACTGTGAGAACTGTAAAATCATGAATCGAGAATAAATAATAATTCTACTAGAAAGTCGCATGGCCCATGTGCAAGCTTGACAGTGAAGGTCATGCATCTTTTTGCCTTTTTCCCAACTTTTGGGTATTTTTTTTTTCTTGAAGACAGACCTGGAGAGGAGACTCCATGATGCTATTAACTGCCCATCCCCCATTCCCCACCCCCTCTACCCGGCAGGCATTTTAGTACAAGGTAGCACAGGGAGCATGTCCTCTTGGTCTGAAGCCGGGTAGGGGTACGCAGGGTCAGCAAGGACAAAAAGGAAGCTTGAACAATTAACGTCCTATCCCTGAGACGGCTGGAGAGAGAGGTCCTGGAGCCTATGAGAGGAACAGGAATGAAGCCCAGGATTTGACTAGAAGCCCAGACCACCCCTAACTCCCAAGGACTCTCACTGGGAAGGACCTGAAAGAGACTCCAGAAGTTCAGGTGGAATTTGTTTTACGAAGTTAAATGATTACTTCATTGTAGATTGGGGTTTTGCCTTAATATTTTTGCACTGTTAACAATATTGTTCACCTTAATCACCGTGAGCCTTTTGTCCCACGCACTCCTTAGCACCTCTGAACCTAGAAGTCTAACGGCCTGGCAGCCCCTCGGGCTTTGTGCTTTCACCTCTAGGCCTGGCTGAGGCATCTTTGCCTCCTCTTCTTGTTCCTGGGCAGACCCTGGCTCTTTGAGACAGAGCAGCAGGGGTAGAGAACTACAGTCCAACTTGCCCTGGTGCCCCCAGCACTTTCTAGGTTAGAAAACTGGAAGTTTCACATCCCAGGATCCCCACTCAATTCCAGGAAAACTGGAACCGTTAATGTCTCAGTCAGCTCAGGTTGCCGTAACAGAATACCATTAAACAGGACAGCATAAACAACAGAAATTTATTTTCTCACTGTTCTGGAGGCTGGCGGTCTAAGATCAAAGTGCCATCATGATTGGGTTCTTGTGAGGTCTCTCCTCCTGGTGTGTAAACAGATGCCTTCTTCTTGTGTCCTCACGTGCTAGACAGTGGGGTATGGGGGGGGAGGGAGAGAGAGAGAGAGAGAGAGAGAGATCTGGTATTTGGTGTGTCTCTTCTTATAAGGGCACTAATCCCATCATGAAGGCCTCACCCTTATGACCTCATCTAAACCTCCTCATCTTCCAAAGGCTCTGTCTCATAATACCATTACATCAGAGGTTAGGGCTTCAAGATATGTATTTTAGTTCAGTCCATAGCAGTTGGTCACCCTAAGTCTAGTCCCACTCTTGATCTGAGCAGCTGTTGGATGCTGCTGTTTTCAACCTGAGAAGTTTTTAAAACTATTTTCCTAGTCTTAACTCTATTGTTATATCTCTCTTAAATATCTTCTTAATTCATGAAGGCCAGACTATAGTCCAGGACCCATAAAAGTTTCCCATGTATTTCAGTCTGGAACAGAAATGAGTACAAGTTTTGTATTTTTGTTTTCTAGCAAGGAGACATTTGTGGAAGCTTCCAAGAAGACAAATGGAATGGAATAGGATGTTTACTTTCACGGATCAGAAATGAATCACGTTGCTTTCTTTCAGAGTTGTAGAGTCTTAGGAAAGAAACAACAGAAAGAAAATGTTTTGTAGAGGAGAGCTGTGAAAAGAACAGACTTCTGAGTGGAGTACCTGGGTCAGGAGATATGGATCGATTCTGTGATTGGGCTCCTGAAAAACAATAAACTTGCCATGCTTTTGTATACCTGGATGCGGTCTCCAAATGCTCTCTCTAGGCATTTATTCTGCTCCAGGGTCTTCAGAAGAACAGGTTAGTAGCTGGTCAAAGGGAAGGGAGGAAGAGGGGAATTGTGCTGGTGTGAAACGGTTTGATGGCTGAACTCCCCTTAGGGTTGTAGGCAAAAGCAGATCCCTGGATAATGGGGGTACCAAGCATAGCTCTGAAAATAAAATGTTATTGGCTCCAGTCTGAAACTGTCAATTTCCACTGAAACGGAATAAATTATTCAGAAAAGAGAAGCACCAAATATTATGCAGTCTGCCTTTGGGGAAAGAAAAAAACACCCACTTCTTATAAAAACACTTTTTTGGGATGAAGGATTTGATTTCAACTGATGAGTCATCACTGTGTGTGTGTTTTTTACCACTTAGCCAAAAAGTGAGATTTTTAAAAAGCATTTCTTGAAGCAAATTCTTCCATTGCTTGGGGTTCTCTCATCTAAGAGAGAAGGCATCCTAAGCACTTATATCCACAGTGCCAGCAGCTGTCCCAGCTTGCATGAAAGATATTGTTGGGCAAGATTTGTAGCTCTCAAGTTCCAGATTCATTATGAAAAGGCGACCTCAACATAACATTCATCATCTAAAAGCAAGAAACAGAAAATAAAGAAACAGAAAATAAAATTTAAAACCAATTTCAATGAGTAAAGCATATGTTTACAAATGGCATGATGAATGTCGGAAAGACAAAAGAATTTAAGAGAGCTTGTGCTCCCACTCGTGCGGGCATGGCAGTGGGGTGACCACACGTCTTGGTTTCCCAAGGACAGTCCTAGCTCATGCCTGAAAAGTGCCCACTTTGACTCTCAAAAGTGCCCACTTTGACTCTCAAAAGTATCTTGCTTTGGACAGTGAGTTATATGGTTACCCTAAGTGTTGTAGTTTTAAAACATGTCTGCAAATTCTTTGACACTCCTGTCATCAAAAAGTCGATGTCCCGGCTGGGCACAGTGGCTCACGCCTGTAATCCCAGCACTTTGGGAGGCCAAGGCAGGTGGATCACCTGAGGTCAGGAGTTCGAGACCAGCCTGGCCAACATGGTGAAACCCTGTTTCTACTAAAATATAAAATTAGCTGGGCCTGTTGGCTGAGTGCCTGTAATCCCAGCTACTCGGGAAGCTGAGGCAGGAGAATCACTTGAACGTGGGAGGTGGAGGTTGCAGTGAGCCAAGATCGTGCTATTGCACTCCAGCATGGGCAAAAAGCAAAACTCCATTTAAAAAAAAAATATCTATGTCCCTTCCCCTTAACAGTGGCCAGGCTTTTGTGATCACCTGAGTGAATAGCATGGGATAGCAGTGACGCTACCTGATTTCCAAGTCTAGGTTAGAAAAGGCCATGCAGCTTCTCCTGGTTTTTCTTGGGATACTTGCACTGGGAGTCATCTGCCACCCTCTAAGAAGTTTGACTACTCAGGAGCTGCTGTGCTGGAGGGACCACATGGAAAGACCAGAGAGTGAGAGAGTGGGAATAAGAGATGCATGCTCAGCAACAGCTGGTCTAGCTCCAGCTATTTGAGTGTTCCCAGTCCAGGTACCAAAGATGTGAGTGAGAAAGGCTTTGAGGTCACTCCAGGCCCAGCCACCACCTGACTACAGCAACATGAGAGGCCCCAAGTGAAAGGTGTCTGGCTGAATCCAGTCAACCTCCAGAACCATGAGAGAAAATAATAAAAATAAATGATGTTGTTCTTGTATGCCAGTTAAGTTTGAGATGGTTTGTTATGCAGGCAGAGGTAACCAAGAGACTAGGTGTAGGCTGGTTAAGCATGGCATTACCTGATGGTAGCTGGAGGGTCCCTACTAAGCACTTTCAAGTTGCTGCAACTTTTTTATTATGAACCTTTGCTCATTCGTTTTATTATAAATGTTGCAGCCGCATTGGCTTCCTTTCAGTTCTTCCTGTAGCCAAGCTCATTCTGTGCCAGGATCCACTGTCTGGAACATTTCTCTCCTCTCCCCTACTCCTTCCCTTTTTATCTGTCTTAGTCTTATTCGCCCTCCAGGTCCCAGCTTAAAAACACCTTCTTGATTCCTTCTGATAGGTTCTTAGCTTTCTCACAGACACTTGAGAGAAATTGTATTTTGAAAAAATCACCACAGCTATACTTTTATCATGCTATTCCAAAATTTTGCCATTCCCTTATCAAGAGGTGGTGTCTATTTCCCCTCCCTTTGAAATGGTGCAATACTTTCTGTTTGCAATATTGACTAGAATGGGGCAGAAGCAACGATGTGTGACTTTGAGTCTAGGTCATAAAGGAATGTGGTTTCTACCACTATCCTTCTCAGGATACACACCCTGGGAACTCAGCCACCATACTGTGGGGAAGCCCAGGCCACATGGAGAGGCCACGTGTATGTATTCCATCTGACAGCTCCAGCTGAGGTCCCAGCTGCCGGCCATCATTAACTGCCAGACAGGTGAGTGTGTTTTCCTTCAAATGATAGCAGTACCCTACTTCTGAGCCATGCTAGCTAATGCCAAGTAGAGCAGGAATGAGCTATCTCTGTTGACTGCTCAATACTATGCAATCTATTGTCATTGTTGTAAGACTAAGTTTTAGGATGGTTTGTTATGCAGTAATAGATCATCAGAGCACTACTGTGTTTTTATTTCTTAAAACTGCCCCAACTGTGATTATGTAAATATTATTAAAATGATACGCTCGATGTCTGTTTCTCCTTCTGAATTGTGAGACCCATGAGAGCTGGGACCCTGAATGCCTTGTCCACTGTTGTATGTCCAGCACATGACCATGTCTACTACAAAAGAGGAGCTTCAAAATAGAATTGTGGAATGGAAGTTGTTTTGATAGAGTTATACTCTTTGAGCTCAGGTTATACTGAGTTCCCTCCTCTACTGTAATTTTACTGAATAAAACCTGTCCCCCAATCTTTAATTTAGTGTCCGGTTCTGTTTCTCTTTGACAGCACCCAAGAGAAACTGTGACTTCAACTGTAGTAGAAAGCTTTGAAGAGAAGAGTGATGAAGTTCCATTTCAGAGGGTCCTGGTTTTGTCCTGCAATAAAGCAGGAGGTGGACATGAGGATGAATGACCCTTTCAAGGCCTTCTGGCAAATTTGTCAGGTCATTGGTAAAATATCTCTTCAGGAGCCTCGTGATTATAAGGAAAGGGTCAGGCAATGAACACAGTCCTCCAAGTGAATAGAGAAGTGCTTCTATGGTAAATAAGCACAAGCCTGATCCCGACTCTGCTTCTCCCTTGCTGGGCAACTTTAGATAAATTGCATAACCTCTTCCAAGGCTCAGTGCCCTCGTTCTGTATGAAGAAGGGGTTGTAGTAGACGCTGTTTGAGTTCCCTTCCAGCCCTGATATATTATGATTTCCAGGGCCCCCATATTTCTGAATTAACTGAAAACTCCCCTCTTGCTCACCACCCTTGATGGTTATGTTGAAATGCCTGTCATCTGTGTGTTAAGCTGGGAGAGGAGCTCTCTACTGTGTGCCAAGAAAGAGCTCTCGCGCCTCTTCCAGGGCCATATGTGGCCAGGATCCCCTGGGAAAGCAAAAGCACATATCGTTGCCAAAGAGTCTAACTTTGTAACTCAGAATTTGCCATCTGCTAAACAGCTTTTAATTGAAGCTCCAAGAGGCAGAAGCTGGCTGGAAAAATCTTGCAAGCAGATCCAATAGGATTATCTTCCCTAAAAGAGGTTTTTCTATGTTTAATTAGTTGGAAGCCATTTTGTCACTGACAGATTATTTAGATGTCAGTCCTTTTGGTGCCCTATTCTCACCCCTCACCCCCATGTTTGAGCCTCACAGATTTTTTTTTTTGTTTTTGACAGAGTCTTGCTCTGTCGCCCAGGCTAGAGTGCAATGGTGCGATCTTGGCTCACTGCAACCTCTGCCTCCCGGGTTCAAGCAGTTCTCCTGCTTTAGTCTAACAAGTAGCTGGGATTACAGGCGTGAGCCACCGTGCCCGGTCTCACAGATTCTTTAGTTAGTACCAGCTTCTGATTCTTTTTTTTTTTGGAGGCTATACTGCCCATCCTCAGGCATCCAGTGTTCTCAAAGCCCTTTCTTCACCACTCAGAATACAGGTGAGCTATTTCAACCTGGATGGAGAAGCCAAGTATAACCAGTTCTCAATTTTTGGTGCCTGAGCTCATTACCACGCACTCAGGAGCCACAAATTCATGGTCCTTTAACCTACACCAAGAATCATCAGGCAGGCCTGGGCCTGAAAGGCAGCACCAATCGAGGGAAAGCCCAGTCATTCCAGGGGCAGCGTGTTAACCCTTTGCGCTCAGGGCCTTTCCATAGCCCAGACCGGCTCCATCTGCTGCTGGCAGGAGATGAGTGAAGGAGTAAGTCCCCAGAGTCAGGAGCCTCCTCCAGTTAGGGGCTTGGACTGCTGCATTTCCTTGTCTTTTTTCACGGGGCACATTGTGAGATTCTGGTATAGCCGCAAATGGTTACAGTCAGGAAGTGGCAACTTGGTATGGGAACCAAGGTCAGATGTGGCTGCAGCAAATGAAGATGCTGTTCATAGTGCTTCTTGGCTTGCAACTGGGTAAAATACTCAATATCAACCTGCAAATCAGTAACATTATCTTTATTTTAATGTTTTTATTATAGAAATTACCTTCATGTTAACCTTTTTATTATAGAAAATTTCATAACATAAAAATGGAAAGAAGAGTTAATGAATCCCTATGTGCCCATCACCCAGTTTCAACAGTTATCTACTCAAGGCCAACCTTGTTTCACCTGTATCCTCACCAATCCCCTGCTCCAACTCTCCATATTATGTCCTCACATTTTATAGTTGAGGAAACCAAGGTGCAATATAAATGAAAAAGAATGAACGGAGTCAGTTATTGTCAATAGATGAGGGTGGGGTAAAGGTGGAAAGCAGGGGATGAAGGAAGTGTATCACGTTCTTTGGGTTGGCATGTATATATTTTGGAAAATGCAAGGTCAATAATACACTCTTTTTTTTTTTTTTTTTTTTTTGAGACAGAGTCTTGCTCTTTCCCCAGGCTGGAGTGCAATGGTGCAATCTCGGCTCACTGCAAGCTCCACCTCCCAGGTTCAAGCCATCCTCCTGCCTCAGCCTCCTGAGTAGCTGGGACTACAGGTGTGCGCCACCACGTCCAGCTAATTATTTGTATTTTTAGTAGAGATGGGGTTTCACCATGTTGGCTAGGATGGTCTTGATTTCTTGACTTCCTGATCAACCCGCCTCGGCCTCCCAGAGTGCTGGGATTACAGGCCGTGAGCCACCAAGCCAAGCCAATAATACACTGTTACATAATTTTTGTTTGGAACATAAAAAAAATACCTATTGTTTTCATAATATAATTTACAGAAGGCAAAGCTGGACAAAAGCTTTCTCAAACCACTGGTGGGGATTACATCAAAAGCTCTGAGCCTGTGAGATTTTTATATTTGTCAGAAAGAGGCCATGGGTTAGAATAGGTTATAAATATAGGATTAGAATATGTCCAAGGTTCCTTTCCTCTTTGACACCCCAGGTCAACCATAACCCTAAATTGGAGGCCATGGCTATTTCCCTTTACAGCATCTAGTACTGTTCTGTGTAAGCAGGAGGCTTCAATAAATGCCTCAGAGAGGTGGACTTCCTTGCAGTTGCAGTTAATGTGTGAACTAATGGGAGACCTAGAGGAAATTGCTCGAAAACATCTTAGATATGGCATTTCCAAATTTTAAAAAAAGACTTTGAGCAAGCCCCATAATTTTCAAACTCTGTTCCTTAGGACCTTATAGATGCATGAGGGGTTTGGCAAACATTGACATGTACCATTCAACCTTGGAAGAATTAAACTTCCTGAGGAAAGCCTTTATTGCATTGATTTTATTTTGGGGTTTTGCTGGAAAACTTCAGTAGAATTTTTTAAAAAGAGCTCTGCTGCTGAAAAATCACTGACAATAGCCTCCTTCCACAGGAGAGGAGCTGATAGTGCAGAGAGGGTGTGACTGGTTCAAGTTCATACAATAGATTAGTGGAACTGATGGGACCAGAGACTCGGTATCCTGGGATCTGTGGACAGTTGACATGGTTATTGGATTGGGAGCTGCAGGAAGTGCCCAACATGGGAAGAAAAACCCTTTAGAATGAAAGGGCTGTCCACACAAGTTCTCTTGCTCTCCCAATCCCAGGTTGGGCTCAGCAAACAACTTTCCAGCTGTTGGTTCTGTAAGGGTTTCAGTGAGCAAGACGCACTGTGGTCCAGGAAAATCGAGCACCAGGGGCCTCTGGGCTGCAGGCCAAGGAACACTCGGTATGTTGTGCCACCCAGCTTCAGCCACTAAACAGTCCTGTCTCCACCAACTAACAGCCTAGAAGGGAAACTGTGGACAGATCACACCATTAATGAACAGTAGGGGAACTTTGGGAAGATTCCTGCAGAGGAAGTCATTGTTCAGGGACATGGCAACATGATCAGAGTACAAGCTGTGGAATTCTTCTCTGATGAGCTAGGGAACCCTTGAACCATGGCCCTCATAGTACTCTGGTTGCTTAGCTAAGTCCATGCCAGAGATTGCAAACGAGTGGTCAGTAGGCTGAATACTATTTCCAGAGATGTTTTGTTTCACTTCAGTGGTGTTTCAATACTTTTTAAGTAAGTCACCAACATTTTAAAATTGAGGGGTTTCACATTAAAAACTCCAGATTTCTGATGTCTCTTGAGAAAAAAGAGAGAAAGATCTAGCAACACTGAGCAGCACTAGCAAGACATTGTATCCCAGTCAGCTGGAAGTTGGAGCTTTAAACTGGGCATACATTCTGTCATTTGCTGCAGTCCCCACCAGCGTCGACTGCCTTACACCAGCTGCTGCTTCACTTGTTCAGTTTACCTCCTGGACCCTGTAGCAGTCTGGATTGGTGACCTAATACTCTCTGACAAAGAGTGTCAAACAATGACTCTCAAATATTAGCTCTGAACCCTCTATGGTGCCTACCTGAGGCCCTACCCCAGAGACCCCGATTCCTATGTATAAATGAGGTTCAGGATTTACATTTTAAACCAGCAGCCTAGAGGTTCTGATGCAGGTGGTTTTATGACCACAGTTTAAGACAAGCTACCATAGAATCAAGGCCCTGAATACTGGGTACACATTTGAATCAACAAAGTGAAATTTTACTCCATCTCCCTTATTACACACACACACATGCATGCACACACACATTTCCCTTTAACCATTCAAGTCGCTGAAGAAAATAGACATTTCACCCCTAAATGTTGCAGCACACCTCCCGTAAGAATATGGACATTCTCCTGCAGAACCACAAAGCATTATTAAGCCTGAGAAAGTCATAATTTCCTCATGACTAGATTCAGTCAAATATGTCCAGTAAGAACCTCACATAAATGATTTTGTGTGATGTTGTATACTTCCCATTGCATAAGATTAGGATGCAAAAAAAATGCAGAGGTTCACAAACTACAGCATGCACTTGGAGGGCTGGTTACAACCCAAGTTGCTGGGCCCTACTCCACAGTTTCTGATTTGGGAGGTGTGGAGTGAGACCTGAGATTTGCATTTCTCAGAAGTTTGCAGGTGATGCTGATGCAGTGGGTCCAGGGACCACACTTGGAGAACCACCCACACGATGGCAGGCCATCCCACCATTGGCAACAGATATTGGTATTTTTTAAAGCTCCACCAGGTGATTATTTGCAGCCAGCATTAAGATCCATTGCTAGTCTGGCCCCTCACTACTCAGATAAAGTCCTCGAGCCAGCAGCGTCAGCAACACCCGGGTGCCTTGTGAGGAAGGTAGAATCTCAGGCCCTACTCCAGACCTACCAAACCAGAATCAGCATTTTAGCAAAATCCACAAGTGGCTCGTGCTCGCATTCAGGTTTGAGAAGCACTTCTCTAGAGCACCCGGGAGCTTCTCTTACCTTTAACTGGGGCTTCCACTGGTCTGGTCTTCCCAAGACACCCCCGGCCACTGGTGGCCCTGTAAACATGGTGCCACCATGGATGAGTTGATGCCTGAGTATCGATGGGGGCAAGCCAGAGCGTCCTTCCTAAACGCTATCGAAGTCTCTGACATAGGTACAGCCTGGGGGTGATGGTGGGTGAGCTGCTGCTTAAGGGCCACAGCCCCGACCCTGGAGGGAGCAGGAAAAAAATGAAGCCTACCAGATTCACTCTGGGACCACTATCCCACCCCCAACTTCAGCCTTTCAAGATCTTTTTATTAATACCCACAATTACTCTGATGTGATTACATTACACATTGCATGTCTGTTTCAAAACATCACATGGACCCTATAAATATATACACTATTACGCACCCATAATAATGAAAAATAAAAAAAAAAATTTAAAGAAACCACTTGCTTTGGTCCCATCTATAATGTTAGTGCCTGATTTTACCTGCTCCTCTGGCTTCCAACTTGCTGCCTGCTCCTCACTCATGGCTTTGTTTAGTCTTGATATTTCTTGGTGGGTGGCGTTTTACTAAGTCCTAAGATATAAAGGTGACTAAAACAAATCCCCACTGTGAGGGAGTCGAGTTCCCTATTGCCTGACTGGCCACTCACCTGGCACTGTGAGGCCCCTTCTCAGCCTCAGTATCCCCATCGAGTGGCCTCACCTGTTCCTCGGCTCTGGACCTGCAGGGATGGGTTGGACATAGAGATCATCTGACCTCTTCTTTCTCTTTCCAGTTTGACTTTTAGAGACTGAGGCTGTCTGAGACCATTTACCAGCTATCACTGAACAGTGCCCTAAGCCTTGGGTGTCATGGAGGGAACAGATATGGCCCCTGGCCTTAGATTACCTACAACATGGTGTGGGAGATGGGGCACTTATGAAGAATGTGTTGTGAGATGTAATTTTTCAGAATGAGGAGAAATCCTTCCCACTAAGGGATTAAGGTAGGTTTCATGGAGGAGGTGGCATTTAGGAAGAGGCAGTGGACATCTTCAAGGTCAGATAAAACAATCAGGTGTCTTGGTTTTGCTTTGAGACAGGCCCAGGAGTTGCTGTGATTCAGGCCATGTGAATTGTTCCCCCACCTGCACACCCTGGGCATCAAGGAGAAGGCAATATCTTTGCTCACAAAGCATTTTGCAGGCCTGGGAAATGGAGCTTGGATTGTAAGGGGTCCGAACTACTTTAGCGCTGCAGTGGAAATAGCCTCCGCATGAGGGAGGAGAAGAATCAAGCGGGGAATGTGCCAGCTGAGGACTGGAAACCGCAGTCAGAAGAATGGATCTGCATTTTCCACTCCTGGCAGAGAACAGGCCTCAGTCAGGAATACAACCAGACGGCTGGGCCTGGGAGTCTCCGAAGCAAACCTGGAACTGAGTAAGTCATTATCCTGGGTGAAATTGAGTTTGAGGATGATCAGGAGAAGGGGACAGACAAAGAATCAGAAAGCGTGACAAAGGAGCTGTCTCCCCATCTCAAAGCATTAGACAAGGTAAAACTGTGATCACTAGTTTCATCATCGTCTGTTCACGCGGAGGCCCCTGTCTGCTGGGGTGGCCAGGGAGGGCTTCATGGAGGAGGAAAGTCTTGAAATTTGAGTTGGAACTTTCTGGATAGAGGAGAGGTTGTGAGAAGGTGGAGAACAGCACAGGACAGAGATGTGAGTATGCATTATGTCCCAGCAGCGATAAGACGAGGATGACCACCCGTGGCTGCCCATGTGCCAGCCCACGCCTCAGCCCAGGTGGGGCCTTCATGGTGAATTGCATTAATGGCCCCAGATCATCACCTCTCTCTGAATCCATGCCCTTTGTTATGCGACTGTAGTGACCTCCCAATCTGCCTGGATTCAGCTGTGTCAGCGGTGCTTTAGCCAATAGAAGGAGGCAGAAGGATGCTGTGCAATGAAGGATTAACTCAGCACACCTGGGTGGTCCAAACCTGCCCATTCCAAAGCAAGTTTTGGCCTGTGGCAGCCTGATAAGAATGTCATTGTTTACCTGGAGCCCGTGGGTCATGTCACATAGTCTACACTAAATGAGATTTATGGCGGGGGCTGTGAGCCACATAGTATTCAGGTGACCTCTGGAGAAGTTGGAAACTAAGGCCCACCACATGGGCAGTCAGCCATGCCTATGTGACCAGACCCCAATAAGAACCCTGGACACTAAGGTTGGAGTGAGCTTCCCTGGGTGGCCATGTTCCATGTATGTTGCCATACATCCTGGCTGGGAGAATTAAGCCCTGTCTGTGCAACTCCACTGGGAGAGGACAGCTGGAAGTTTGCACCTGCTGTCTCCTATGCACCTTTTCTCCATGGCTGATTTAATATGTATCATTTTCCTATAGTAAACTGTAACCATGAGTATAACAGCTTTGCTGCATTCTGTGAGTCCTTCCAGTGAATCAGTGAACTTACAGGTGGTCTTGGGGAACCTCTGAATGACAGATAGTATGACAATTCTGAGTCTAGGCTTCAAGAGGCCTTGAAAGCACTTCTGTTTGTTCTCTTGCACTTCTGTGATTGCCTTGAGAAAGGCACACTTGGGCTAGCCCATCAGTACAGGAAGGGAAAGAGAGATGTGTGGAGCAGGGCCACTTTCCAGATCCATCTTAGATCTGTCTAGCCCCAGCTGGTTGTGCATGAGTGAGCCCAGCAGAGACTAGCAGAGCCACACAGCTGAGCCCAACCTAGAGTCCCTGACCCCAAGCTGACCCGCATACTCATGAGAAATAATATATAGTTGTTGAAATTAAATTAGAAATAATACAAGTCAGTGAACTTTAAAACAGTAGGTCATCAGTAGTAGAAATGATAAACCCCCAAAGCACAGTGGTGGTCCCAGCCTTGCTCTAACTGATATGAGGACCTCAGAGAGCCTCAGCAAGCTAGTTACTCTGAGGGTCTCTGCATCCTCAGCTTCCAAGTCAGGATAGAGTTACAAATGAGCCACCCATGTAGTTTCATTCATGCAAATTGCAAGTTGATCCGTTTCTCCAAAGGATGCACGGGTGTCAGTATGGAAGGCCTTGTGGACATTTTTGTGGGAAGGGGCATGGAAGAGTGAAGAAGGGATATGGTCTGAAAGCAGGGTTGAGCAAGAGGGAGAAAAAGTGGGCCCCAGAGAGGAGGGTAAATATGAAGAGGACTACATGGAGAGAGAAGTAGGGAAGCACCTCGAGAGTATTTTTTCTAACCTCCTGACCTGGGATCTTCCAACAGGTATATACACCCTCACACCAGCAGGTACCTTCCAAAATGCTGCAGACTCCCCAGACCACAGTCCTGCTCTTGGATACACCATTGGCCTTTTGGAGTTCACCACAGTTCTGAATACTCGGGCTCTAACTCTGTACCCTCCCAAGGTCAAGAATTGCCTCATTCTTTAGATCTATCCACTCCCAGTTTCCCTGGGGTCTCCCCACTACTTGATGGAAGCCTAGCTTCCAGGGCTTTCCCAGGCTGATGGCCTCTACCCCAGGACTCTCCTGACCACCTGCGGTAGACTAGATTACTGTTAAACAAATATTCACTCCTTTTATCCCCTCCCTGGAGGAGGGATATCCCCAGACACATTCATGTTGGGCTTGTTCTTGTGACTGCTTAGCCAATGAAATGTGAGTGGAAGTGAAAATATGCTCACTCCAGGCCTACATTTTCAGGGCCATCATATTTCTGCCTCCCCCTCCAAGAGACTCTAACCTCCATCATTAGACAATTATGCTCCAGGTCACCACTGCCCCAAATCTTGGGTCAAGAATGAGAGATGCAGAGAAAATATGAACTTGAGCCTCAGCTTGAAGCAGAGCTGCCTTGGTCAACCCACAGGCATTAAAACAAGATTTAAGTAGTTTGTCATGCAGCATATTGTAGTGGTTGCTGACTAACATACCACTCATGAGGGGAGAGCCAATATCTTGCTGAAGTGAGATCACTATTACGACATTAGCTACCACAAATCACTAACAAAGGAAAATTTGTTGTATTCAGAGACACTTACATAAATCCATTCTAAGGATCAACATTTTCGGGCAAGAATGAATCACATTTGGCTATTATTTGCTTATAAGAATTGGAGAAAGGATGTTAACCCACGAATGCTCTGGAAGAAAACCCAAGTGAGAACTGTTCTACTATCACCAATCCAAGGAAAGATCAAGAATGCAAAGTGTCACTATTGCCTCAGGGAAAGAAACTAGCACACAAGCAAATTATATCCCCTGCCTATCTTCCACTTGGCTGCTTTGATAAAGAAAAAGGACACAAGTTTTGGAGTTAGAGGGGAGCTGACTTGGTGCCCTGCTACAAAATGTATTTACAAAAACAGACTTTGCAGAGCTGATATGATGGGTGTCTTGAAGATTGTGATGGTCTGCAACGGAGAGGGGCTGTACTTGTCTTCAAGGGCTGCCACAACAAAGTATTCCAGACTGGGTGACTTCAACAACAGACATTTATTTTCTTGCTTTTCTGGAAGCTAGACATCTTAGATGAAGGTCTCGGCAGAGCTGGTTTCTTCTGAGGCTTCTCTCCCTGGTTTGCCATGGCTGTCTTCCGCATGTGTCTTCATGTGTTCTTCCCTCTAGGCCTGTCTCTGCCTTCATCTCTTCTTTGACATCAGTCAAATTGGAGTGGGGCCCACCCCAGTGACCTCATTTAACCTTAATTACCCCTTTAAAGACCCCCATCTCCAAATACAGTCATCTTCTGAAGCTAAAGCGCTGGGAGTTAGGAATTCAAAACATGAATTTTGTGGGGACACAATTCAGCCCATGATAAGGGTGGAAATCACAGAGAGTCAGATCAACATTAGGAAGAATTCTCTAACCAGAAACATCAAGTGCTGCAAAAGTAGAGAAGCAGGTCCCTGTTACAGGAGCTATTTCAGCTATTTCTGTGCATATTGCATGACCTCTTTAGCAAGGATTTTTTTTTTTTTTTTTTGAGACAGGGTCTCACTCTGTTGCCCAGGCTGGAGTGCAGTGGTGTAATCACGGCTCACTGCAGCCTCAACTCCTGGGTTCAAGCCATCCTTCTGCCTCAGTATCTTGAGTAGCTAGGACTACAGGTGCATACCAACATGCCCAACCAGTTTTTGTATTTTTTGTAGAGATGGGATCTCACTATGTTGCCCAAGCTGAGGTCTCTAACTCCTGGCCTCAAGCGATCCTCCTACCTTGGCCTCCCAAAGTGCTGGGATTACAGGTGTGAGCCACCACACCTAGCCTGTTTCTTTCATTGGTTCAATAAAGATGCCTGTAGAGCTTACCATATGCTCAGTGCTATGCTAGGTGTTGAATAGGGAACAAAGCATTTATAGTATCTTCCCTCCTGCAGCTTTAAGTCTAGTGCGGCATTTAGGTGTTATACAAGTAAACACATAAATGAACATATAATGGCAAATTGCAGCAAGGGCATTGAGAGTATAAGGGGCTCATTTCATTGGATAGCTAGGGAGGACATAACAGACAACATTTGTTGCTAACACAACCCTGATTATTTCAAGTACCTAGGGATCCTTTTGTCTTGGAGAGTACAGGCCTTTACCCAGCTCAAGGGATGACTTGAAGTTGTTCTAAGCAGTCTTTGAATTCTTATTTCCCTTGACCAGTGATTGGTTGTGGAGAGGCCATGTAATCTATTTCTGGCCAATAAAATGAAAGCCAAAGTCTGTTAATTAGACCTTCCTAAAATATTTTGGTTTTCTGATAAAAAAAAATAGACCTAGTTGTAACAGCCCTTGTTCTTTATCCTTTCTTCTTTGTCCTTTCCTCTTCTTCCAGACTGAAGTGTAGAGGTGATGCCTGGAGGCATGGCAGCTGTCTTGCAACCACGAGGCAGCATGCCAAGTACTGTAAGGACAGAGGGATGGAAAGACAGGAAAAGCCTGGTTCTTGACAACATCGTCAAGCTGTGGCTCAGCTTGCACTCTGTACCTCTGCCTACCTCTTAAGTTAGGAAAATAAACCCCACTTTTTTAAGCTTCAGAAGTTGAGTTTTCTCTCACTTGCAATCAAACACAGTCCCAGTTGATCAGTCCAATAGGACTCACTGAGGGAGTAACATTTGCCTGAGACCCAAAGGCTAAGTAGATGCTATGTAAGTGAAGAACAGGGGAAAAGCATTCCAAGTAGAGGGACAATGGTAAAGACCCCAGGCAGGAATAAGGAACCATAGCCAAACCAGGAAGGCTTGTGGGATGTGATAAGGATCATTCTTTTATAATTCACAAGATGTTTAACAACTGAAAGGTTGGGGTAATAAAGCAGACCTTAGAGTCACGTGTCCTCAGTAGCAAGGCCTGCAGCTCTCCCAGAGCACACAGCATTACTTTCCTATTGCCTGCTGAGCCTGGACAAACATTCATTCCCCTCTGCCTTTCCCTTGGCTTGGTTAATTATGAATTTGCAGCCAGAGTTTGGATACTAAATAGAGTATTTGGTGGGTTGGCTGGTTGGTTTGGCTGCTAGCCCTTGATCTTATGAAGAGAAAACTAAAGCCATCTTTGTCCTCAGAGCAACGAGTCCAGACTGAAGATCAACCATTCTTTCTTTGACTGCCACTGGAAGGCAGTTTTCTACCGCTCCTCCTAAGTCTTTCAAAAACCTGGCTATTTTTCCCCTTACTATGAGGAGAATTAATACAGGTACTTTTTTTTTAATGTGTAGGGAAAATACAGGCATAATACAGGACCCTGGGGCTGGTTAACCAAGAGCAGTGACTCCACCTCTAAGCCTGCAAATGCCACTGGAAAATCAGGAACTGGTAAAGATGACACCGTTTCCTCATGCCTGGTCCTTGCTGTCCTCCCAAGACTCCACCTAGTGCTGTCTACCTGTCCCATTTGCCACTCAACATGTCTGGAGTTTCTCCTGGTCACCACACTTGCCCTGTAACATCTGAAGAACATGTTCTTTCTAGGGAAGGTTTCTGACCCATTCCTGGCCTGCACTAGGAGATCTACCCAAGCAAACCTCACATCCTCAGCATCATGACTCAAACTGCCACAATTTCTGCAGACAATATTTAGTTGCCACTGTGGAGATTTATTGTATTTGCCATTACAGTCTGAGGGTTTAAATAGGTGAGTAGCCAGAAAGCATAATTGTCATTGAACAATGTGCAGATGAGTTAATGGAAACACACGAGGTAGGGGGCACATGAGAGACACACAGCTGTTTTCACTCTGGGCTGGACCTGGTATTTGCACCATCACAGCAAAAGAAAGGCCTTGGCTGAACATGTCCCAGACACCAGCAGAGATTCTAGGGAAACTTTTATAACTTTACCTATGAGGTCCAGAATGCCTTTCCCTGGTTTCCTCTCCCTTGCATTAAACCCCACTTGCCAAACCTAGCCCCTGAGATGTAGCTCCTGTAACCCTTCCCCCAAGGTCCCCTGAATCCGGCCCTCAGAGATGGCCCCTCTTGGGAACTCTGACATCTTTGTTGTCTGAGGCCTCTCAGCACTTCCTTCCCCATCCTCTCTCCTGACCCCACTTTGGCTCTCACTCAGCTAATGCTGTTTTAAGAATTCCCCTACCAGATTAAAATCTCTTAGAGGCCAAGGACTCAATGTTATCATAGCCTTGTCAACGGCTATGAGAGTGATGATAAATTAAGATGTTGATTTTGTCTTCAGTGATACAAAGAAATGCCACACCTTCTATTTTCCACCGTTGCTTATAGAGGTAAAGGTATAGTTAGTTTTTCCTCCCCTTTTTATCCCCGCCCTTGAGAAAGAATTCCTTTTACCATGCAAACATTTCTTCCTCCTAGTCATCAACACAGGGATCCACTCTGAGGGGTTTTGTTTGGGGAGGTTGCAGGGGATGAGTTTCTCTGTTTACTGAAATTAAATGGGCCACTCACAATTCACCTGTTTTTCTGAAGCCTTTGGAAGCTCCACCAAGGGGATGAATTGCACTCACTCTCAGCCCCACAGGAGAAATGACATGGGCTGCTCTGGGGAGTACAGTGGAGTCGCATACGTAACAAAGCCCCACATTTATTTAGCTCTCACCCAGGCTTGCTGTTGCAGGACCCCCAGCCTCCTGCAAGGCAATCACTTCTGGGAGCACACAGTGAGTGGCTCAGATGTGCTGTTAGAAAAGTTCTCTTGGCCATCTGTGGCAGCCACCATGTTCCCCAATCCTGCTGCAACTCATGTTGGTAATGTCCATGATGTCTGTGAGGGTGTTTCCAGGGGTCTGCACTGGGCTAGGATCTCCTTGCTGGTGCCTCTGATACCCTGAGAATCTCTATCATTCTCTCTCTCTCTCTCTGTTTTCATCATACTTTGTCACATGAGGGCCAACCTCATATGGCTTTTAGCTTTATGGCTCACAGAATAAGTGGGAGAGCAGCTTTTGGAATGCTTCCTTGCTCCCAGCTTCTCATTCTCCTCCAGGACTCCAATATAAACCCCTAAAGGACTTAGCTGAGGACAAATCTGAGTGACAGAAGTCTCCTTCCTCTGTCCCCTACAGTGGCTCTCTGGATTATCCCTTTTCTTAGACCTCTGAAAATCATCACTGGAAGACACCTGGGAGCCTGGCTTCCTCTTTCATTAGATTATTATCCCTTGGAAGACTTCCAGATGTTCCTATTCCTGTCCAGAATGCTATCCAGAGAAAGATGATCTTGACATGGTGAAATGAGCAGGAAGAATGCTTTAAGCTGGGGGCAGTGGCATAGTCAAAGGTGGGGAGGGACATATTGTGTGTGGGGATCAGCAGCCTGCAAACCTTATAAGACAGAGAAATGGGGCTTAGAAAGTGGAGTTAATGAAAGAGGATCAGTTGAGTTCTGAATTTGTACCTTAGAGCCAGGCAATAAGGAACCAGTGACAGTTCTTGAGCAAGGGAGTAACTCAACATGGCAGTCAAGCCTCCAAGATGACCCCCCGTGATTCTCTCATCTTGGTTTTCACGCTCGGTGTGGTCCCCTCCCACACTGAATAGGCCCAATATGTATAACCAATAATATTGGAGAAATGATGGTCTGAGTCTAGGTCAAAAAAGACATGGCAAAAAGACATTTTAATCCCCATAAAATCGGAAAAAATAATATTCTATTGTGAAAAGAGATTGGGATTGAAGGAGCAGGATACGAGATAATGGTATAAGAATTACGATACAATTTTTCAAGATAAAGGTACTTGCACACTTTTTTATTTCCCCAAATTCCACAAAAATTATCCTGCCCTAGCAGAATATCCTGTCCATTTTGAGCAGATCACGTTGATTCATCTTCCATGCAGCCTAATTCCCTTGCCATAAATTAGTACTCCCTTTTTCCTATTTATTCTGAAACCCTATAAAGTGTTGGCCAGAGACATTCCCATGATCTGCCTTGTCTTCCAGGTCCTCACAAAGCCATGAGGAATGGTGCTGGCTGGGCCCACGAAGATCAAATGTGTCTCCATATGTCCACACACGCATGTCCATCTGGCTCTTTAGGGCTGTCATTAGCCTGCATAGATGTATATTTTGATGACGTTTTTGGAGAGGCTTTTTTTTTTTTTTTTTTTTTTTTTGACGGAGTCTGGCTCTGTCGCCCAGGCTGGAGTGCAGTGGCGCAATCTCGGCTCACTGCAAGCTCCGCCTCCCAGGTTCACGCCATTCTGCTGCCTCAGCGTCCCGAGCAGCTGGGACTACAGGCACCCGCCACCGAGCCCGGCTAATGTTTTTGTATTTTTAGTAGAGACGGGGTTTCACCATGTTAGCCAGGATGGTCTCCATCTCCTGACCTCGTGATCCACCCGTGGAGAGGCTTTTTAATCAGCGACTCTGGAAAAATTCAGAGCCCTGATAACAAAAATTGTGGGAGAAAAGGGCAAGGATGGGAAGAAGGGGAGGCTAGTTCTCATGGAGAATAGGAAAAATGTACAGCTGATCTTAATTATTCACAGGTTCTGTATTTGCAAATTCACCTACTCCCTAACATTTATTTGTAACCCCCAAATCAGTATTTGTAGCACTTTTGTGGTCATTCGTGGACATATGCAGGGAACCAAGACCTTAGAGTCACTGAATGCCCACATTCCCAGCTGAGGTCAGGCGAGCCGCGCTCTGCCTTCTTGTGTCAGTGCTGACGGGAGGTGATCAGAGGTGGGGATGGCGGGGGTGGGGCAGTGCAGGGCGAGAAGCTCAGCTCTGGGCCAGCTGGATGGAGTCTGAATCCCAGCTCTGGCACCAGTTAGTGGGGTGGCCTCAGGAGAGTCACTTATCACTTCTGAAACTCGTGTCTCTTTTGTAAAATAAAAAATATATAATCTGGCCAGGTGCAGTGGCTCACGCCTGTAATCCCAGCACTTTGGGAGGCCAAGGTGGGTGGATCACCTGAGGTCAGGAGTTCGAGACTAGCCTGGCCAACATGGTAAAACCCCCGCCTCCACTGAAAATACAAAAATTAGCCAGGCATGGTGGTGTGTACCTGTAATCCCAGCTACTCCAGAGACTGAGGCAGGACAATCAGAACCTGAGAGGCAGAGGTTGCAGTGAGCCGAGATCGTGCCACTGTACTCCAGCCTGGGCAACGGAGGGAGACTCCATCTCAAAAAATATATATATATATGTATATATATATATATTATATTTTTTTTTATATATTTATTTTACATATATTATATATATTTTATATATATATTATATATATTATATATATTTTATATATATATTATATATATTATATATTTTATATATATTATATATATTATATATTTTATATATATTATATATATTATATATTTTATATATATTATATATATTTTATATATATATATATATTATATATATTTTATATATATTATATATATTTTATATATATTTTATATATATTATATATATTTTTATATATATTATATATATTTTATATGTATATTATATATATTTTATATATATTTTATATATATATTATATATATTATATATATATTTTATATATATATTATATATATATTTTATATATATATTATATATATTATATATATATTTTATATATATTATATATATATTTTATATATATTATATATATATTTTATATATATTATATATATATTTTATATATATTATATATATATTTTATATATATTATATATATATTTTATATATATTTTTTATATATATATAAAATCTGTCAGAATGAGTTGTTTTAGGATGTAAGATCACAATCTATATGATCTTTGTATGTACATATGTGTATATATGCATACAAATACACACGCACACACACACATATATATATATATATATACATACACACACATACATAGCTCACATAGATTATAAACTTGCATAGAGGCTGGGCACGGTGGCTCACGCCTGTAATCCCAGCCCTTTGGGAGGCCAAGGTAGGAAGATCTCTTGAGCCCAGAAGTTTGAGATTAGCCTGGGCAACATACTGAGACATCATCTTTACTAAAATTTTAAAAAATTAGCCAGGTGTGGTGGTGCACACCTGTGGTCCCAGCAAATCGAGAGGCTGAGGCAGGAGGATCCGTCGAGCCTGGGAGGTCAAAGCTGCAATGAGCCGTGATCACAGCACTGCATTCTAGCCTGGGTGACAGAGCGAGACCCTGTCTCCAAATAAATAAATTTGTATAAAATGTGACTATACTTGCAGACCTTTAAAGAGGTGATTAAAGTTAAATGAGGTCATATGTGGGGGCCCTAATTCAATATGACTGGTGTCCTTACAAGCAGAGGAGATTAGGAGAGGTGTCACAAAAAGAGACACCAGGGGTATGTATGCACAGTGAAAAGACCACATGAAGAAGACACAGACAGAAAGTGGCCATTCACAAGCCAAGGAGAAGGGCTTCAGGAGAAACTAACCCTTTCTACATCTTGATTTTGGATTTCTGGCCTCCAGAACTGTGAGAAAATAAATTTCTGTTGTTTAAGCCACTCAGCCTGTGGTATTTTGTTATGGCAGTAAAGCAAACTAATACGCAGCCCCCACTATGGTACTTATCAGGGCTACCTGTAAGCATTTACCTATCTGACTGATCCCTGTCTCCAAGAAGGGTTCGGTTAACCTGAGCCAATCTGGCTCTAGACAGTTCTCATATTTGATGGGCAATAGAGACATGAATGCAAAGGGCAAAGTCAGGAAGGGCTGGGCAATTCCCCTTTAGTACCTTCTTCCAGGTTTCCTCCTTAAAGATCTGATTCAGTCCACACAAGCAGTGGGTTAAAGATCAGCAGAGGACGGTCCTGCAAAGACCCTGTACAGCTTCACGAGCTGTCACTGTCTTTCAGCCATGTGGACCCAGAGCTTGGGTAAGAACCATCAGAGACTTCAGCCCCTGACACGGGTTCATATAAAACACATCTTTATCTGAGCCCAGCTGTCTGCAGCTTGAGAGCTTGTTCCTGGAAAGACTTAGGCTGGTGTTTCCCAAAGTTTTGTCTGCATCGAAATCACCTGGCAGGCTTATTAAAGCACAGATGGCAGGGCCACCCCCAGATTTTCGTTCAGTAGGTCTGGGGTGGGGCCTGAGACTTTATATTTCAAACAAGTTGCCAAGTGATACTGATGCTGCCAGTCCAGACAACACTTACCCAGAAGGGAGTAGGCATTCCAGGGAAGGCAACAGAAATGATTAAAAGAATGTTCAAGGAGATCCAGGCAGAGAGAGATAAAAGGTGATAGGAATGTATGATTTGGCCAAATAGCACTGGGTATGACATCTCAGAAATAGTTGGGGTTTGTCCCTGGCTGAAGGCAATATGACCTTTTAGGAGCCCCAGGGGTCATATTGCCTTCAGCATGTGCCGGCCAAAGCCTGCTATTGGTTAAATACGCCACAGGGTAAGAGATGGAACTGGATGCAAATGAGCTTCCAGGACTATCTTAGAGAGCCCAGGTTCAGTGGGACAAGAAATGGACACCAAAGAGCAGTGGAGAGGACCTCAGTTCATCTTCAGATCTGCAAACATTTCTGGGGGTGGATACTGAGCCGGGCAGCAAGCTATAATGAGAGGAGTAGGATGTAAGTCCTGGCATGATTGTTACCAACTGTATGCAATGGCCATTTCACTTCTTCCTCCAGCCTTGACTGCTTTGTTTTCAGCAACCCTCAGGACTGCTGCAAGGATCAAGTGAGATCTGGACACAGAAGCACTTTGTAAATTGTGTGATTCTATAAAAGCACAAGTTATTTAGGTATTTCATGGGATGTAGAAACGAGCAGGACCACGTCCTTGCCCACAAGGCAGGCATGCTCCAAAGCAGTGGGTTTTGCCCACTCGTGCCTCTAAATCCAAATAGGGCTTTGCGTTCTCCTCTCCTTTGCTACCACCCTAGCCTAAGCCGCATCATCTCCTTCCCCGACCACTCAATTACTTTCTATGTCTGCCCCACAAGCCAATTCTTTATATGGTAGCAAGAGGGGCTGTTTTAAAATCTAATTAGGTTATGCCATTGCCAGACTTATAACTTTCTGATGGTTTATTCCTATTATTTTGAAATCAAATTTAAATTATCTTCATAAACAACCAAACTGCATGATCAGGCCCAAGCCCACCCCTCCTGCCTCAGCTCACGCCACTCCTCCCAAGGACTCCAGCCTCCACCAGTTCCCGGAATGCAACAATCTCCTCCCTATCTCAAGGCCTTCGTTTGTTCTCTGCCCTCTGCCAGAAAGGCTCTTTCCCTCCACTCTTTGTCTGCTCATCCTTCAGATCTCAGTTGAGGTGTCCAGTGGCCCCATAATCTCAATTAGATTACCCTATTATTCTCTTTCATAGTACTCTGTTCATTTATTTTACAACAATTTGTAATTACATATTTTTTCTTTGTTTAGTGTCTGTCTACCCAACCAAATTGACAGGCTCTGAAAGCTGGGATCATGTCTGTTTCATTCATCTCTTATATTATTTCGGGTGTTTTGGATGCCAGCAACAGCAATCTGTCTGGGTAATCTAATGAAAAATGACTTCTTTGGAAGGACATCTGGAGTTTATAGTCAGGCCAGAGAAGAGTGCTTGGAAACAAACAGGAACAAGGAAACTCTAAAATCTAGGAAGCTAAAACAACAGAAAATGTTCTAGTAAAAAACTGTCTCACTGGGCATGGGAATTCCCAAATAGCAACTTGTTTTCACAGTCTTTATCAATCTGTTTTGATTTAAAATCCACAGTGAGAACATTCAACTGGCCCAGCTTGGATCACAGTGAGCATTCTTGGTTTGAGGAGGTAGAGAAGCCTCATTAGAATGGATCCGAAAGGAAAGAAGTAATACTCACTCTCAAAAAAAAAAAAAAAAAAGAGTTGCTTAGTTCACTGGTCGGCTGGTCGGCGGGGAGTGGGGGGTGGGGGGTGGTTCGTGGGAATGAATGCTAGATAGACCCAAAAAAGGTATCCACTAGGCCACCGTATAGACACTACCGTGCTGGATACCCAGTCAGGGTAGCCATTCAGTAAAATATTTGTTGAATGCATGAATGAAAACTTGCTTGGCAAAATTTAGGGTTTTCTCAGTGACATATGCTGAAAGAGAAGAGATTGTAAATGCTGATGATCTTGGTGCTTTAGAATATAAATCTCTTGGTACATGTAGACAATTCTTGGAACAACACATTCTGAATTAGTGTTGTGGAATCAGTAAGGAACTGAGGCTCCTAAGGGGTCATATTGCTTTCAGCCAGGGACAAACCCAAAATAATTCTGAGATGTCATACCAACTACTATTTTCATAACCTCAGAAGATGGTAATATTTACTTCTCTGAGTAATCTCTACTTCTCTGAGTAATCTCTGGCATTAATCAGAAACATTTTCCCTTCAGTCTTTAAGGACATACAACCCATCACACATTGGACCACCTCACAGGATATTGGGCAATGCAACAGGAGGTACTTAATGGGAGTCTTCTCTCTTGGTGTCTAAGGAGGACCAGAAGAATCTATGGCTTTCCGTTGATGTCGATGTATTTTATTCAGAAGGAGACAGGGTATGGAAGAGAAGAGTGCGGGGCACTGTGTGAGAGTCTGGCCTTATCTGGCCTAGGTAATAGAACATTCTTATGCCTCATGGTTTAAGGATTCCCTTTTGTTTTCAGCATTTGTGAAAATAATTTTAATTTCCAGAACAGGAGAGAAAGACGACCTCTCCAGATTCCATTTCTGGGGTCCTTTGGATCTATTCTCAGTGCCAAAAAATTTTCTCCAAGGATTCTGGGCCAGACATCTGCATTTCCAGATGGGTTTTGGCACCAAGGACATTTTAGAGAGGGGAAGTATTTCAATTATCTATTATGGCCTTTTAAACTACCCCAAAATATAGTGGCTTAAAACAGCAGCAATTTATTTTTCCTCATGAGTCTGTGAACTCACTTTTATCAACTGACTCATTCTTCTGTTCCACATGGCATAGCTGAGGTCACTCATGAGCTGCATTCAGCCGGAGCTTGGCTGGGTCTAAGACATTGAGAGAGCCTCTCATCCTCCAGGACCTCTCACCATTCAGGAGTTTAGTCTAAGCTTTTTTAGAGCATAGCAGTTGGCTTCTGAGAAGAAGCATCTCAAGAGAGCAATCCCCAGTGTACAATCCTATATCAAGCCTCCATTGACATCATTGGCTAATGTCTCATTAGGCAAAGCAAGTTCCATGGTCAAGTACAGAGTCAGTGTGGGAAATGAGTATACAGGGTGTAAATACCAAGAGATGTGGTTCACTGGAGGCCACCAATGTAGTAATCTACCACAAGAGAGCATGGTAGCTTGCAAGCTGTCTTCCCAGTTGTCAGTGCTTAGGTAGGGATGTGTAACCCAATATCTGGTCCTTGATTTGCAGTTCCAGAAACTCCATGTGATTGGGGTACATAGCTAGCCCCATCCTATTCTTTGAAATTGCCACTCATCCACAGACCTTGCTGAATAAATGAGTTTAGGTTGTCATGTGATATGGTTTGGCTGTGTCCCCACACAAATCTTGAATTGTAGCTCCCATAATTCCTGCATGTCATGGGAGAGACCTGGTGGGAAGTAGTTAAATCATGAGTGCAGGCCTTTCTCAAGCTGTTCTCATGACAGTGAATAAGTCTCACAAGATCTGATGGTTTTATAAAGGGGAGTTCCCCTGCACATGCTCTCTCTCTTTCCTGCCACCATGTAAGATGTGACTTTGCTCCTCCTTTGCCTTCTGCCATGGTTGTGGGGCCTCCTCAGCCATGTGGAACTTAGAGTCCAGTAAACCTCTTTTTCTTTATAAATTACCCAGTCTCATTATTATGTCTTTATTAGCAGTGTGAGAACAGACTAATATATCATGTTTTTATTTCAGGACCCTATTTTCTTTTTTTTTTTTTTTTTTTTTTTTTTTTTGAGATGGAGTCTTGCTCTTTCGCCCAGGCTGGAGTGCAGTGGTGCGATCTCAGCTCACTGCAAGCTCCGCCTCCTGGGTTCACGCCATTCTCCTGCCTCAGCCTCCCAAGTAGCTGGGACTACAGGCACCCACCACCATGCCCGGCTAATTTTTTTGTATTTTTAGTAGAGACGGGGTTTCACCATGTTAGCCAGGATGGTCTTGATCTCCTGACCTCGTGATCTGCCCACCTCAGCCTCCCAAAGTGCTGGGATTACAGGCGTGAGCCACCACGCCCAGCCCTCAGGACCGTATTTTCTTGGCCACAGATGATTGGACCAGAGTAAATACCTGGCCTAGGTAGAAATTAATCTATTCACTGGGCTGGCCCAACAAGATTCTTTCTTATGACTCTGTAATTGGGATACTGAGAGACTAAGATCTAAATTGGTGAAGAAATTACAACAGATCCATGGATCCTCTAAAATGAGTAATGTCTTCTGAAGTATGTCCCAGACTCCTGAGAAGACTGAAAAATGAGACTGCTAAACCACATTTAATAATTTTTAAGGACCAATGGCAAGTAATAAGGTGCTAGAGGACTGCAGAAAATAAAATCTATAAGCTGTTCACTAGCAGATATCATACATTTGCTCATCCTCTTTGACTCCAATGATCTGCCAAAAGAAGACTCTGCCCTCTGCAGCTATTGGCCCAGAGAGAAAAGACTGGAGCAGAACCTGGAGAGACACCAGCAGAACCCAGCCTGATTAGCCAAACTGCAGCTGACCGGCAGACCCATCAGCATGAGGATAAATTGTGGGTTTTGTATGTCATTGAGATTTGAAGTTTTTGTTACACAAACTTATTATAGCATTAGCTGATTAATACAAATCTCAGTGTGGAACATCCTGGTTGGCCAATGCTCCACTCCAGTGACCAGTCAGAGCTTTAATCTCCTTTATCTTGTGGTTCTACCAACCCCTAGTATATTGTCTTCATCTGTGTGTTTGGAGCCTGGTTAGAGGCCTGTTCAGGTTATACCCTTTGAAAAAGGAAAAGCACGTGGAGGAGTACACAGGCTATATTTAAAGGACTAAACTTGAAATTTCATGTGTCATTTTCACTTATGTTCAACCAGCAAGAGTGTAGTCATATGACCACATCTGGCTGCAAGGAAGGCTGGGAAATGTAATTTCTAGCTGGCCAGCCATGTATCCAACTACTATGGAAGAAGGGAGAGCAGCTTTTGGTGAACAATATGCAATCTCCACTTATGGATAGCAAAAAAATAGTTTAAAAATCTGCAGAGATTTTCATAGATAGTAAGATAGCGCAAATTATCATAGTAACATTGTTTCTGAAAAACTAGACAAGGAAGTTAATTTGATACCAGCTTGCATGAATGACGATGAGAAAATGTGGTAGGCCTGCTTTGTCTATGCTGTTTAACTCTCCCTTTCCTCCAGGATAGTGGCCAATTCATGGTCACCTTTCAGGAGAACAGTGACAAACACAAGTGTATTCAGGAGTCAATAAGCTGATGAAGCCCTCAAAAGCAGGTCATAAGCAGAATGGTTGAAGGCCTTGAGGAATTTTGTCTTGAAGAGAACATTTGGGAAACAAAACTTCTGCCTTCAAATATTTTAAAGTGTGTCATGGTGAAAGGAGATAAGGTTTATTCTGTCAAAGCTCCAGAAATAGATATAATAAGAGGAAGCTGCAGGGAAATACATTTATGTTCATTATAACAAAAGAAGATCCTATCAGACAAGCCCAAAATAATTTACACCTCAGATGCATTTTGGACTAGAATAAGAGATCCAAAGTGCTAGCATTTATTGAGCACCTATGATGTGCCAGACACTACTCAGGCACTTTCACACACTTTATTCTTTCCAACTAAAAGTTGCTAAATTGGTAAGGCTACACCCTACATCCTTCTGACGGCTTCTGAAGAGGACACTGTCCTCCACTTATATTAATTTACACTAGTTCTTTTCTGAGTGTCTTCTCTTTTCCTGAATCAGTCTCCAATTGTGGAGGCAATTTATTGCAGCTCCACAATGCATTTCTTCAAACCCTATTTTTCAGCACTCACTGGCAGTCCTTCAGAGGATATATATGTGTTAAATCTGTGGGGTAGAACATCCTAGGGGGAAATCCTGGGGATGTTGTGTATATCCCAGGTTGTGGGTTCTGTGGCAGATGGGAAGCTGGCCAGGGCAGGGAAGGAAGGAAGCCTGTCACTTTCCAGCAGAAGCCTGCGACCTTTGTGGGGGTGTGCAGTCCTGACCAGCACAGCTTTGTGATGGCCTAAATGCTGGCTGCTTTACCACATAGATGACTCTGGAGAATGCTGTACGGAGGGTGAGTGGGCTGCTTTGGAGGCTCTGTCCAGTGCACAGACGTCCAGTGTCTTCCACATACCTTCTTCTTTGGGAACTGGTGGGGAAAGATGCCCTTCCTAATGTGTTAAGAGTTCCTCCTTCTTGAGTCAACAAGAGTTCTTTTTCATTCTTTGTGTCTCCTGAGCTAAGGTTTCTTGGTCTCCCAGATGTGTCTACCTGTGTGTCTTTAATTCAACACTCACCCCAGTCAATGCCAATCTCTAATGTTATGTCATCCTACTGGAGGGAATCCCAGGCAGGGAATAGAAAGTGACATGGAAGGAGAGACTCGAAAGCTCCAAATCTCCTTGAAGCTTGTGATAAACTGCAATGTTGTATATGGACCTAAAGTAAGTGGCAAGAACTTCCCACACTTTTCCAGGAAGTTGAGGAAAAACAGAGAGGGTGAGGTAGGAAACTATCTGGCCACATAAATATTCCATTTAAGATGTGAGGAAGCTGCACAGAAGACAATGGAAAGCCCCTGGAGCCATCAAGCAGCATGACTGGGGAGGTGGCTTGGAAAAGAAAGGCATCCTGTCTGTTACACGTACCCAGCCCTCAGTCTCTTCTTGTGTCTTCCAGACCCTGCTGCCTCAGATTTGTCAGATATTAATAGAAGTTGCTATGGCCCAGGAATCAAAGATCCCAAAGTGAGGTTGGGAGGGTTCTGGTCTTGTAATCCTGCAGAAGAGAATGTTCACAGTCTAGTTCAGCCTTTCCAGTGATAAGAGTTCCAGCCAGGTTCCTCTGAGCTACCTGATGGAAAGCACACTTCATCACAGCAAACAATCATGTTTTCCCAAGAAAACAAAATGTGGATTCAAATAAGAAATGGATTTTCTTCCTATCACCTTCCTGAGGCCCTCTTACTGTTCGTCTTCAGTCTACTGTGGTAACATGTGCTGTCAAATTAGCCTAGAACAGCTCAACTTAGCATCACAGAGAAGTGGAAGCAAAGAGACCGGGGTAGGTATGATGTAGGGAACCTCATTAGGATTATTTCCTTGTTCTAGATTCCAATAAAGTGAAATTATTGAGTTAAAAGATGTGATTATTGTTAATGACTTTAATACACATTGCCAAACTGCCTTCCAGGAAAGTTGTAACAGTGTCCAGGTATTGCTGTCTTGAACTATTTTTCATATTATAGTCCCTCAGCAATGTCTAGTCCCAAAGCTAGTGGTTATACCATTTTCCTGAATCATACCACTGCCCTCCATCCTCAGAACTTAACCCTAACTTTGATACTTAGAACTCCTTGTGTACTCACTCACTCTACAGAATGGGAGTATTTGAAAATTGAGTTTGGAATAAATATTTATTCATATATGAAATTCCCACTCCAGAATTACACCAGTCGCATTACACACCCACTATGCTAGCCACACCCTTGACACGAACTCATCCCATTAAGTGGCAGCATTGTGTTAGTAAAGGAAATAAAGGAAAAGATATCTTTCCTCAAGAAAAAAAAAATCTCCCTAGGAAATCTCAGGGTGCTTCCTACAGATAATTTTTTAAATGTCCCCACCATTATTTTCATTATCTCTAGCCTCTTGATGGGGAAAGGGAAACAGATAATTTTTCCTACAGATAATTTTTTAAAATGTTCCCATTATTTTCATTGTCTCTAGTCTCTTCATGGGCAAACAGACTAAAGAAGACAATCAGGGAAAAATATTGATTTCTCCATTAGATTGTCCTCCAGTTTGTGCTATATAACTAGGCTGACTGTAACCACGAGTAACAGAAAACCCAAATGAAAAAGAATTTGTGATCTCAAAAACCAAGAAGCCCAGAATTAGAACAGCCATTAGGTTGGTTATTAGAGTGGCTCAAATGTGTCTTCAAGAACACTGACTCTTTCATCTTCTACTCTGCCATTTTCAACATGTTGACATTGACTTCATGCCAGCTCTCCTCATAGTCACAAGATGGTTGTGACCATATATTACTGCCATGGCCTCAGAAATCAGTCTCATACATGTTATGTCTAAGATGTCTATTAGATATCCAAGTGGAGAAGTTGATAAGACATGTGTTATACATACCTCTAAAGTTTGGGAGAGAGATGGTTGGCGGTTTGGTTTGGATACATAAACTAGTGAGATGTTGATGTATAGGTGGTTTTCAGAGCCTATGAGATTGCATGAGATCACCAAGAGCATGAATGTAGAGAGAAGAAAGGACCAAAGATGGATCCCTAAGGCACTCCATGTTCAAAGGTGAGAGAGAAGAGGCAGAACCAGCAAGGCAGGATGAAAAAGAGCAAGCAGAGAGATAGGAAGAAACCAGAAGAGTGAAAGGCCTGGAATCCACATATAGAAATGATATCAAGAGGGTGGGAAGGAATTATCAGCTGTGCCAATGCTGCCAATGGGTCAAGTCTCATAGAGGATGGAGAACAAAGGATTGTATTTAGCAACATGGAGGTTGTTGTTTTCCTCAACAAGCACACTTTTAGTTCAGTGGTAGGGGCAACATCCTGACTGGAGTGGTCATGAGAGAGAATGGGAGCAGAGGAGTTTGATACTGTGAGTTTAGAAAAATCTTTCAAATTCTGCTGCAAAGGGAAACGAAGAAAATATAGTTGAAGGATTTTTTTTTAATGTGGAAGAACAACAGCATATGATATGATTTGGTTGTGTCCCCACCCAAATCTCACCTTGAATTGTAATAATCCCCATGTGTCAAAGGTGGCACCAGGTAGAGATAATGGAATCATGGGGGTAGATGGGGTTGGTATTCTTATAAGAAGAGGAGGAGACACCTGAGAGCTCTTTCTCCACACACACACACAGAGGAAAGCAATGCAAGGACATGGCAAGAAGGTGGCAGTCAACAAGCCAGGAAAGGAGGTCTTACCAAAAATCAATTACGATGGCATATATTATAATTATATATATTATATGATGGCATTTATTATAATTGAATCCCCCATGCTGTTCTCATGATAGTGAGTTCTCATGAGATTTGATGGCTTTATAAGAGGCTTCCCCCTTTACTCAGCACTCATTCTCTCTCCTGCTGCCCTGTGAAGAGGTGCCTTCTGCCATGATTGTAAGTTTCTTGAGGCCTCCCCAGCCATGCGGAACTGTGAGTCAACTAAACCTCTTTTCTTTATAAATTACCCAGTCTCAGGTATTTCTTCATAGCAGCATGAGAACAGATTAATATGCATATTTTTATAAATGGAAATAATCCATAAGCTAGTGAAAAGTTAATGATATAGAGGAGAAAGTGACAAATGGTTGGGATAAGGTTCTTGAGTAGAAGAAAATGATTGGGAATTCCTATATGAATGGAGAGACTTCTTCCCACAGGAGCACAGATAATCCATCTCACTATTAGGCAGGAAGGCAGATGCTGGCAGGTGGGTAGATAGATGTAGTGGTGGGAGTTCATGGAAGTTCTTCTTGGACTATGAAGTTGGAAACAAGGTCATCACCTAAAGGTTAGGACATAGGGGGGTGGAATTGGAGGTTTGAGGGGACAGGAAAGGATGTGAAGTCATTGTGTAGGAAAGTAAGTGGATTAGAAAATATAGTGTGATTGGCAGTAACAATAAGGGTACATTTGAAGTTCATAGCTATAAAATGGGGATAATAATAAAAGTACTTACTATATTAAGCTTTTATGAAAATTAAATGAGTCAGTATATATAAAGCAATCAGAACAATGCTTGCCATGTAGTAACACCTTACAGAAATCTTAACCATTATTATTAGTAGTAGAAAGGAAGAGATTTGTTAATTCAGCAGAAATTAAGCAATGGTTAAGATTTCAGTTGAAGTACATTATTTATCATCATATGGAAGCCTAATAATAAATACAATTAATGGTAGTGTAACCAGATGGCAGAACACATTTATCTTGACATAATGACTCTGAAACATCAGACATCTGCTCACCAGCCACCCTTTGTTCCTTGAGTGCAAACGCTTTTCAGACTCAATCTTGCAGTATCTTGAGCACTGAGTACGGTGCCTAACACACAGTGAAGTCTAACAAATACTGGTTAAACGACTGAGTAAAATGTCCCTTTGATTACCGAGGTCCGTGAATTAGCTCGTGGGCCATTTAGTGGGGTAGTCTCTTTTAAAGATTTCTATAAAAGATGACCATTGGGATATTTTCCTGGCCCCTGCTTAAGGAACCAGCCACCTACCTGGTCCCAGGTATACTCTCCCAGGAGTCATATTTGTAGACCTTGACCCACCCCCACTGCAACAGACTGGCTCATGTGCAACCACCTGACCTGTATTAATCTACTCTGGTTGTCACAACAAAATACTAAGGCTGGGCAGCTTAAACAACAGAAATTTATTTTCTCACAGTGCTGGATATTAGAAGTCCCAGATCAAGATGCCATCATAATTGGTTTCTGGTAAGACCTCCTTTCCTAGCTTGTTGACTTCCACCTTCTTGCCATGTCCTCACATTGCTTTACTCTATGTGTGTGTGGAGAAAGAGCTCTCAGGTGTCTCCTCCTCTTCTTATAAGAATACAAACCCCATCTACCCAAAAGGACCCACCTTTAAAAAGGTCACATTGGAGGTTAAGCCTTCAGTATATGGTTGCGGGGGTTTGGGGGTCCACAATTCAATCTGTAACATAACCCAAATGGATCAGATTCCCTTTCACTCATTTTGGAATTGACACTAAGAAATGTCTATTTCTGGCTGAGCTGATCTAAGCTGGACCAATGATGTAAACTATTAGGAAGTGGGGGTGAAACCATGGTTTCCTCCAGGTGGAGTGGAAAGCAGAGAAGGACAGTTTACAGAAAAATAGAGACAGATAAAGTAAGAGTAAAAGACAGGTAGAATAAAAAAGTGAGTCTAGTTTCCACTACGTATCCACAGTAATTGCTAAAATGAACACACATAGACAATACCAAGTGTTAGTGGTGATATGGAGCAAGTGGAACTCACATCCACTGCTGGCGGGAATATAAAATGGTACAACTGCCTTGGAAAACAGTTTGGCAGTTTCCTATAAAATTAAACGCGCATTTATCGCATGACCAAACAATACTACTCCTCATATATTCCATACATGTGTGTGCACCAAGAAACGCGTACTTGGATATTTACAGAACTGTGATTGTAATAGTCTCAGACTGGAAATAACCCAACTGTCCATCAATAGTAGCACGGATAAATAAATTGTGGTATATTCACACAATGGAATACTCTATAGCAATGACAATGAGTAAATTACTGCTATATACAGCAACATGGATGAATCTCACGACTAAAATATTGAATGAAAGAAGCCAAAGTAAAAATAGGTGAAATTAATCCATGCTGTTAGATGTCAGGATAGTAGTTAGTATTAGGGACAGTAAGTGGAAGCATGGGTAAGCAAGACTTCCGAGATGTGACAATATTCTGTTTCTTGGTCTGATGCCAATTATGTGTGTTTAGTTTGTGAAAACCAGTCAACCTGTACACTTCTGATATGTGCACTTTTCTGTATGTGCAGTTCAATAAAAAGTTTTAAGCACATGAAATTTCATTAAAGATTTAAAAATGAGTGTAGGTATGGAGAGATGGTTGCCTGCTAATGTCAGTAGCATTCCTTACAGAATGAGAAATTTCACCCTGATCCAAAATTTCCTTTTTTGGACTTAAGAAATCTTGAGTGAGTTTCTCTAGGCTGGGGGAACAGTCCGTGATTCCTAAGCCTCTTCTACCAGAGGGGAGCTTTCCACACTGACAAAGACTGGGGACCAAAACTCTCACCTTCCCTTCCCCATGCCTGATCCTGGCCATCTTAAAAAGTGAACACAATTCGGGAAAAATAGCTAATGCATGCTGGGCTTAATACCTAGGTGATGGGTTGATAAGTGCAGTAAACCACCATGGCACATGTTTATCTATGTAACAAACCTGCACATCCTGCATACATATCCCAGAACTTAATAAACTAAAATAAAGAAAAAAAGTGGATGCATTTGTTCTCTGTATAAAGCAGATCATCTTCCAATTTTCAATCTCTAGTCTTCCATCAAGATCAAATCTCAACATTTATCAAATTCTGCCACAAATCTTGAGTTCTTTGAGGAAAGATACCCTGAATGTATAAATCACTGGTGACTTTCCTTACAAGTCACTCCAAAACAGAGGCAGGATCTAGAGTTGCAGACATTTTAGTTTCAATTAACCCACCAAATCCTCTACCTCCCCACATGGAAAGCAGCGTTGCTCAGATGCCTGGGATGTGAGATGGAATGCTTGTGGCCAGGTCATCAGCCAGCACAGTCTCAGGACACACAATCTGAGCTGTTTCAGAGTCAGCCCAGACACTGGATTGTAGTCAAAGCTGCATTTCAGAAATTTGGTTATTTATCCCCCAGTTCATTCCCCTGGATGGTTTCATAAGAAAATAGAAACCAACTCAGAGTCCAATTCTTCCCACATGATTGCAAGAGGACAGACCTCCAGCCCATGAAGCAGAAGTGGCAGGGCAATGAGGCGTTTACAGCCGAGTAAAGATCAGAGCCTTGGGACTGAGCCCTAAACCTCTCCAGATGGTTTGGCTGCCCAAAACTAATCCAAACACAGATAACTCAAGTAGCATCTTCTCTAGACAAGCTCAGGTTTATCCAACCTCATCCAATACAGTAAATAATCATTGTGAAGCAAAAGTTATGGAAGCTCTACTCTATCTGTTCTCTATGCATCTTGAATGACTATTTCCATCTGATCTTTCTTCTTTAATGGAATGGATGACCTCACTTGCCTTCAACCACAATGACTAAGACTCAAAGACTATTTCTTGTTGGAAATAAATTTGGCTTCACTAGCATCTTTCTGCCTCTATGTGGATTATATATCTCCAGATTTCCTTGTACTGTCTGGAAGACAGGGGGAGGCTTGGAGACTGGGTACTTCTGGAAAGTTCACTTAATGTCATGAAAGAGTGAGAACTTTATTCATTTACTCAACAAATGTTTATTCTCTGACATCAACCACTCTATGTACTGAGACTAGTCATGAACAAGAAAGTTCTTCTTTCATGGGGTTTACATTCCAGAGGGAGGGAGATAGAAAATGAACAAGTAAACAGTAAATTTTAAAAGAATTCCAGATATTAATAACAGTCATGGAAAAAAAGGAAACGAGATAAGATAAAGAGTAGCTAGGATGGTAGTTAGTTGCTTGGATAAGTGGTTGGAAAAGACCTCTCTAGGGAATATCCCATTTAAGCTGAGACTTGAATAACAAAAAGATGCATCCAGCAAAGATCTGGGGGAAGGGTATTCCAGGAAGAAGGAACAGCAAATGCAAAGGCTTTAAGAAAAGGCAGGGACAAGCCTGGCGTGTTCAAGAAAAAGGTCAATATGCCGGAGTGAAGAATAGAGTGATTTGAGATGAGGCCAAGGAGGTCTGCAGGGGCCAGATCACATAAGATTGCAGACTATAAGAAATAAAACTTGTCTGCCTGTTGTGGACAATCATTCAAATCTATTGGAGAAAATACAGTATTGAGTATGAGAGATGGTGTACAGCATAATGATTAGGGGCTCAGGCTCTGCAAATGGAACTCTTTTGGGATATATCCCTGCTCTGCCACTGTGCTGTGTGAGCTTTGACAAATGGCTTAGCCTCTCTGGGCATTTACCAGTGAAAGAGATCTGAGTTACCCCAAATTACTGTCAGTGAATCCATATGCGTCCACAGCAACTTCAGTCCTTGCCTCCTCCAAAGAAAGAATTCGACTGAGGGGCATAAAGCAGAAAAAGAGACCAAGCCAAGTTTCAGAGCAGGAGTGAAAGTTTATTAAAAAGGCTTTAGAACAGGAAAGAAAGGAAAAATTGCTTGAAAGAGACTGAAGCAGGCACCTGAAGGTCAAAGAGAGAAAAGAGAGCAAAAGAAGACAGCAAAAAAGGGGCCTTTAACCTTGATCCTAGTCTCGCCTCTTTCCCATGATCCCTCCCTTAGAGTGAATTTTCCGCATGCCCAGTGCTTTCTTACCCTTGGGAATTGAGCACCCGCAGTGCTTAGGGAGTTACCCACGTGTCCCTCTGAAGCTTTCTTTCCTTTTCTGGTGGCATGTGCCCCCAAAAGATCATACTTCACCGTTTTTGTCTCTTAACATGCATGCTGTTAGATACGAGTTCTAAATTTATCTTCAAAGACTCAATATGTCAGTATGTTCAGTTCTTTGCCTTCTACTTTTAAACTTAACTTCCTCATAAAGCAACCTTTTTCGATCACCTGCTCCACCCTGACTCACTCCGATTACCTGCTCTGCCCAGACTCATTCTCATCAACTGCCCCACCCTGAATCATTCCAATCACCTGCTCCACTCTGACTCATTCCGATTACCTGCTTCTCCCTGACTCATTCTCCATCCTGACTCATTTTGATTTCCTGCTCTGCCATAACCATTTTTCCTGCCAAACCACTCACCCCATCACTCTCTTTAAATTAGCCAATCGGAATTAGTTTAGCCTGTGCAGTCTAACCCCAGCCAATAGGGGAAGGACAGGGCAGCAGGTGCCACGTGCGTCAGGAGTAAGAACCCCTTCCCCTCCCTTGTCCAGGTGTGCGCTCACCATTGCTCCATCTGTGAGGGTGCACCCTTCTATAGAAGTACATTGCCTTGCTGAGAAGAAAAAAAGAAAATGTTATATTCGAGTGCTATTTCTCCCTGGGCCTGCATTCAATTGACATTTTGATGTTAACAGGTGTGGAGCATCAGGAAATGGCCTGTCAATGGTGCTGCTGAACTGTCATTTTTAGAGAGGCAATGAGATAATTGCCAAACCATCACCTGACATTTCCAGAGGGTGGTAGGCGGAGAGCCCTGTCCTGCCCTACTCATGCCTAACTACCAGTAACAGGGTCTCAACTTCTTCAGCTTTTAAGTTGGACATAACAATAGTTCTACCTCATAGACACTATTTTAAGTATTAAATAAATTTTTATATATAAAGAGCTTAGAACACTGCCTGGAATATAGTAGTGCTTGAGTTTTATTTGATTAATTGTTGCTGTTGTGATTGTTATGGACTTATTATTAATGAGAAAAGAACTTTCCATGGATTCTTCACTATGTTAAATTTATTTATTTTTTATTGAGACAGAGTTTCAGCCTCCCGAGTAGCTGGGATTACAGGCATGCGCCACCTCGCTCGGCTAATTTTGTATTTTTAGTAGAGACGGGGTTTCTCCATGTTGGTCAACCTGGTCTCAAACTCCCGACCTCAGGTGATCTGCCTGCCTCAGCCTCCTGCAGTGCTGGGATTACAGGCGTGAGCCACCACGCCTGGCCCACTATGTTAATTTTAAAAATGATTAGCAGAATAACATCATCATAGATTGCGTTATCTGTCCTTAATTCTTCCTTCCCTTCCTGCTCTTGCCAACCTTCAGTATTAGTTTGCTATAGTGACTTAAACAAAAGAAATTTATTTTCTCACAGCTTTAAAGGCTGGAAGTCTGAGATCAAGATGTTGATGGGGTTGGTTTCTCCTGAGGGCTGTGAGAAGAGAATCCAGGCCTCTCTCTTTGACTTGTAAATGACCATCTCCCCCTTAAGTCTTCACATTTTCTTGCTTTGTGTCTCTATGTCCAAATTTCTTCATTTTATAAGGACACCAGTCATGTTGGATTGGGCCTACTTTGATAACCTCTTTTTAAGTTGATTATCTCTGTAAAGATTCTATCTCCAAACAAGGTCATATCATGAGGTACTAGGGGTAAGGACTTCAACATGTGAAGTTTAGGGGACGCAATTCAACAATTTCCCTGAGTGGAGTACTCTTCCTCATCCCACTGATAATGGGCTTGGTCATATCTGGCTTTGGCCAGTGGAATGTGAGCAGAAGTGACACACTCCAGTTCCAGGATGACACCTTAAGAGATATCACATGTCTTCATTTGCCCCTCTTAATCTTGGGATGTCTGCTAATAGAAAGTTATGCCCCAGGTCATTTTGGTCTCTGTAGTCAGTCTCAGAAGGAAGATACATGGAGCAGACCTGAATCTAACTTAAAGTCTTGGATACAGTCTAGTCATGCTGACCCACATCTGGCCTACCATCAACCTGCCTACCAGTTGGCAAGAAATAAACATTGGTTGTTATAAGCTATTAAGAGACTGGGGGTTATTTGTCATGTAGCATTATAATAGTGAAAACTGGGTAATACAAAATTTAAAGTTTTTAAAACATTTTCACTCAGAATGTAATAATCAACTGCCTATGTTTTCACATCTCCATTCTTCCAATCTTGATCCTGATGCCTACATACAATTTAGTGATATTTAATTATGTGTCATTATCATTTTGTCTGTTAACACCATGTCAGACACTTTCATGCTGCTATGCAGTTGTCATAACAGTCAAATTTCTTGTTCACAAAACACCTCTCCATCTGCTCTTCTTTGGGGACCACCTGTGAACTCAGGCCATCCCTAGCACAGTTTGCTTAATCCTGAGTATTTTTACTGCCTCCAGATTGTTGCAATTATACACATCCTCATTGGGATGCTGAACACAAAAGGGAAGGGGGCCACACTGCCTGCAGGCCTGCCTGCTGGCTACCATGAGGCTTCCAGGATGACCTAGCTGATCAGTGAGTGGTCTTTGATCTTGCTGACTTTCAAGAACCCAAATAGGTTGGTGCTCCAAGATGAACAGATGCAGGGAGACAATGATGTAAATGAAACCTGGACATTTTCAGCAGAGAGAATCTCCCTATGCCAAGGATTGGATGATTACTATCCCAAGACCAGGGCTTCTACTTTCCCAATACTGATGTCTTTCAGCAATTACATTTGTTGTAAGATTGGCAAATTTGGAATCATTTCATTGTCAAAAATGAAAACTGTTGACGGCTATTTCATCCAGCCTGGGAGGGAGATCTAATGAGTGATAATGCAGTGTGGTGCTTGAGACCCAGGTCTCTCCTCAGGCCTGTGCTGGACACTTGTTGAGTTTCTTACTCTCTGATGCCATGGTGTTTCTACACTGTCTCCAGAGGAATCAGAGGGCCTCCGCTGGTGGAGTTGGGGTGAATTCCCCTTATCAAATTGCTTCTGTGTAGCTTAAATATGATTGCCACCACTTGAGATATTACATTTGAGCTCATCTAAAGTAATAAAACACTTGAAGAAGTAATCCCAGCACTGTGGGAGGCTGAGGTGAGTGGATCACTTGAGCTCAGGAGTTTGAGACCAGCGTGAGCAACATGGTGAAATTTCATCTCTACAAAACATACAAAAATTAGCTGAGGTTGAGAGATCACTTGAGCCCTGGAGGTCGAGGGTGTGGTGAGCCAAGATTGTGCCACTGCACTCCAGCCTGGGTGACAGAATGAGACCCTGCCTCAAAAAAAAAAAAAAAAAAAAAAAAAGAAGAAGAAGAATAAGGAAAAAGAGAGTGAATAGAAGGATGAGGCAGAGGAAGAGAAGATATTAATAATAGGTTCACATTGATAAATAAAACAGAGCAAAAGGGGAAAAAGGATGGAGCAATAAAGAGGATTGTCTTAGTCAGTTTGAGCTGCTCTAACAAAGTACCATAGATTTAGTGACATATAAACAACAGAAATTTATTTCTCACAGTCCTGGAGGTGAGAAATCCAATATCAGGGTGCCAGCATGGTGAGGTTCTGGTGAGAGCCCTCCTCCAGGTTGCAGACTGCTGACTTCTTATTGTATCCTTATGTATTAGTTCGTTTTCACACTGCTGATAAAGACATACCCAAGACTGGGCAATTTAAAAAAGAAAGAGTTTTACTGGACTTACAGTTCCACATGGCTGGGGAGGCCTCACAATCATGGTGGAAGGCAAGGAGGAGCAAGTCACATCTTACGTGGATGGCAGCCGGCAAAGAGAGAGCTTGTGCACAGAAACTCCCGTTTGCAAAACCATCAGATCTCATGAGTCCCATTCCCTATCGTGAGAACAGCACAGGAAAGACCTGCCCCCATGATTCAATCATCTCCCATCGGGTCCCTCCCACAACATGTGGGAATTATGGGAGCTACAAGATGAGATTTGGGTGGGGACACAGAGCCAAACCATATCACCTCATAAGGCAGACAGAGGACAAGATAACTCTCTGGGGTCTCTTTTATAAGATCCTATTCATGAGAGCTCTACTCTCATGACCTAAGTACCTCCCAAAGGCACCCCCTCCAAATATCATCACACTGAGGGTTAGGATTTCAACATATGAATTTGAAGGGGATACAAACAGTCAGTCCATTGTGAAAATGAAGAAGAAAGAAGAAAAAGCACAAGTGGAACAAGAGAGGAGGAAGAGGGAAGAGAAGGTATGAGGGAGGTAGAGACATACCTTCCAATATGAGCTGGTGCCTTAAGTTGGTTTCAGAAAATGGTCCACACCTTCACAAAGTTACCCTGTGGCATTGGTTACAAACTTTGCAGGTTCAGAAATGTAATTTTGTTGAAACACCTGGAGATAATCATGGGCTAGGAAATTGGTTCTTACTTAGTGTGTTTTATGCTGTTACAACAGAATACCACATACTGGATAATTTATAATGAGGAGAAATATATTGGCTCATGATTTGGGAGGCTGGGAAGTCCAAGTCAAAGGGCTGGCATCTGATGAAAGCTTTCTTGCTGTATCATCCCATGGTGGAAAAGTAAAAAGAGGGGAGGGGAGAGAGAGAGAACAAGAGGTGCCAAACGTGTCCTTTTATAGGGAACCTACTCCTGAGATGATAGCATTAATCCATTTATGAGGGTGATGTCCCCATATCCCAAACACCTTCCATTAGGCCCCACCTCCCAGCAGTACCACAGTGGGGATCAAGTCTTCAACACATCAACTTTGGGAGACACATTCAAACCATATCACTAATCAAACTCAAAGGATATTGATAAACTCCAGAATGCTACTTCATTATCTTAAAGATAACACCCCTTTCCAGTACTTGCAGAGTGATGTCTCCTCTCCTGAACTCCCTGTTCCTGGACTTAGATTACATAACTAGTGTATCAGTTTGTTTTCACACAGCTGATAAAGACATACTCAAGACTGGGAAGAAAAAGAGGTTCAATTGGACTTAGAGTTCCACATGGCTGGGGAGGCCTCAGAATCATGTCAGGAGGCCAAAGGCACTTCTTTTTTTTTTTTTTTTTTTTTTTTTTGAGATGGAGTCTCACTCTTGTTGCCCAGGCTGGAGTGCAATGGTGAGAGCTCGGCTCACTGCAACCTCCACCTCCCAGGTTCAAGCAGTTCTTCTGCCTCAGCCTCCCAAGTAGCTGGGATTACAGGTGTGCACCACCATGCCTGGCTAATTTTTATATTTTTAGTAGAGATGGGGTTTCAGCATGTTGGCCATGCTGGTCTCGAACTCCTGACCTCAGGTGGTCCACCCGCCTCAGTCTCCCAAAGTTCTGGGATTACAGGTGTGAGCCACTGCACCCGGCCCCAAAGGCACTTCTTACATGGCAGCGGCAAGAGAAAATGAGGAAGACACAAAAGCAGAAACCTTGATAAACTCATCAGATCTCATGGGACTTATTCACTATCACGAGAATAGCAGGGGAAAGACTGGCCCCCATAATTCAATGACCTCCTCCTGGGTCCCTCCCCAACATGTAGGAATTCCAGGAGATACAATTCTAGTTGAGATTTGGGTGGGGACACAGCCAAACGATATCAACTACAATCAAATCAGGGCCCTGACAAGTCCTGTGGGACATTTTGACTACCCAGTGGAAGGACCCAGACTCAGCTTTCCTTTTGGCTAAAATTTTCATTTCTACTTGTGACTTTCCATGCAGTAAGTACTATTATTGTGTTAAAATTTCAGAGGCTTATAGACACTGAGGAACTTACAAGGATTCAGATTTAGTTTCACTAACTGCAGGTCCTGAAGACATAACAGATGTGAGAATGGTTAGAACCACATCTGTCACACGGTAGACACTCAACACAGCTGCCCCCTCTACTACTAGATGCCACCACTGTGCTCAGGGAAATGGGCAGTTCTTGCCACTGCTATCCAGATCAATTTTCCACCATCTTTGTGTTTTGCACTTCTTGGTTTGGCTTTGGGTGCATCTTAGTAACTGAGCCTAAGTGATTTGTTGGAGCTTTCAGGATGATCTGGGGATTACCACATGGTGAGCAGGAAAATTCATAACCACTGACCCTGGCCTGATACACAAGGCATGTCCAAGCAGAACTATTATTCAGGTGAAACAAAATAATACAGCCAAACTAGTTGTTAAAATATTGAAATGCTTCTATATTGGTTGGTAAGTCATCACTAACCCCAGTTGCTAAGATCCCCACCACCATCCAGGAAACCTCAGTTCTCCCCTAAGACACCCTGGACCACTCCTCCCTTAATTTGGTAATTAAAGAGTTGATGGCACAGCATGGAGCCTTTGGGGCCTTCCTCCAGCCACTAGAGCAGAGCATCATTGTGACCGGCCCTCCCGCTGTGTGTGGGCTTCCCGCTGCACCAGGTAACGGTATCCCTCGAGGGCACAGAACAGAATGGAAGAGGAACTATGGCTCTGACCTTCTTCCACATCATGCCAGATCCCAGCCATTGTGCCCCCAAACAATGGTGCCTTTCCTTCCAGTCCAACAACACTGCCTGCTTCTCAGGCTTAAGTCAAATGCTTCAATAAGTCATTGCCATCTATAAGTGAAATCTAACGGGGAAATAGGCCACAGACAGGATATGGGGCATGGTTGCTACAAGGACGCCATGGTACACTGGTTTGCAATTGATTTGTGTTCTAGATCCAAACCCCAGTACCTATTAAAAAAAAAAAAAAAAAAAAAAAACTGTACCAAGAGCCCACAGGAAAAATAGCTAAATGTTTTCATTCTTGCTGGATCCATTCACACACAGGCTTATGTAGGAAGGAACTGCATGATATTTTCCATTCTGCATATAATTTCCCAGCAAAATCAGATGGAGAAAAATGTAATTAATTCAATAAGGAAATCAGTCTGTCACAGAAAACTTCTGCGGGAAGGGAAAAGACAAATCACAGGGAAGAAGATAAACTACCAAGTTTGTAGGGGAGTTGTGGTTCCAACATTCCTTCTCCTGTGGCCCATCTCAAACATACAGTGGTCAGAGGGTTTTCCAGGACCCCTGCCCACACTGCATCACTGAAGGTCTGTGTTAAGCAATAAAACAATCTCAACCTCAGGGCTTTAAAAAAAAACAAAATCAGTTCCTGCCTGTTCATGTGGGTTTAACTGTAGTCATAAGGCCTCTGGCTCTATTCATTCTGTGTAAGAGATGTGTTAAAAGAGAAAGAGTGTGTGTGTGTGTGTGTGTGTGTGTGTGTACGTGCGCACACACTGAGATTAAAGGGAGAAAGGATGGGAGAATAAGAATATGGAAAACAGAATGAAGCAGCATTTTAAACAGATGGAGGGAACTGAAGCGACGGTCAGAGCTGAGCATTCAGCACTGGCAAACCACAGGGAGCTATGGCAATCCAGCCAGGAACTTAGCAGAGGATCCTGAAGGCTCCTGCATTGGCCACTGTCTTGCCACTTTTCTAAGTTAGACAAGATGACCTGCAACTAACACCTTACATTCCCTGACAAGCTAGTGACAGCCAGCATTGCTTTTTAGCCTTTAAATATTTAACTTTTACGGCTGGGCGCGGTGGCTCACGCCTGTAATCCCAGCACTTTGGGAGGCCGAGGTGGGCAGATCACTTGAGGTCAGAAGCTCAAGACCAGCCTCACCAACATGGAGAAACCCCATCTCTAATAAAAATACAAAAATTAGCCAGGCATGGTGGCATGTGCCTGTAATCCCAGCTACTGGAGAGGCTGAGGCAGGAGAATCACTTGAGCTTGGGAGGCAGAGGTTGCAGTGAGCCAAGATCACACCACTGCACTCCAGCCTGGACAACAAGAGTGAGACTCCATTTCAAAAAAAAAAAAATTATATATATATATTATATATATATAATATAATATATATGTGTGTGTGCGTGTATGTACATATATTTTTAACTTTTACCTTTCTGCAGTTTTGGTATTTGTCTGATTCTATACTCATGGGATGGCGTAAGCAATCCTGCTGGTGCCAAGATGTTGAACAAATTCCAGAACCAGGGTTCTTGGCTGGCAGATGAAGGTCATAGGATGCTAGGAGCCCCAGAGAGAAAGAGCAGACTCCTGGGGTGCCTAAAGACAAAGGTTGCCACGCTGGGAGTAAAGGTGGCATAGGCTTCTTCATTCTCACCTGATAATGTTCTAGGATAATAAGGTGACAGGAAGGGAGTGGGAAATGGAATGGGAGAAAGGTTTCATTGGCTTAAAAAGCTTTCAGCTGGACTTGTGATGACTCCTTGACATGGTAAAATGGTGAAAAGTCATTTAAGCATCCCAAGGTTCTGTGAGGCAGCCGCATCTCTGACTTAGAGGAATTTTTTAATACCTGTGGCATTCATATGTTATAAAAGAATTATTTCTCTCTGAGCAGAGGGTAGATTGTATTTTTTAAAATACAACATCTTTCATTGTACATATTCTTCTATAACAGGGGCTGGCAAACTATGGTCTGGGAACCAGCTGCCCGTTTTTAGAATTAAAGTTTTATTGGAACATGGCCATGCCTATTTTGTCTATGGCTTCTTTCATGCTATAACAGCAGAGTTGAATAGTTTGCAAGAGACTGTATGGCATGCAAGTCTAAAATATTTACTGACCTTCTCTTTAAGAAACAGTTTGCCGAACTATTTTCTAGAGCCTTGCCACTTCCCACCTTCAACAAGAAATGTGGATGGGGAGGGAGGGTCTATGTTCCCTTGCACTGGGCTGGGTGGAACTTTGTGACTGCCTCAACCAGTAGACTATGCAGAGTGATGCTATGTGACTTCTGAAGTTGGATCGTAAAAGATCATAATGTTCCACCTCGCTCTTTTGAGACACCGGCTTCTGGAACCAAGCCTCCACACTGGATTCCAGGCTGGGATTTCTTATGTAGGGGAATCAGAGGGTAATCACATTACCAGTAGTTACATTGTTAGGAGAACAAACCAGCCTCCTGAATAATATTGTTAGGAATTTCCTGGGCTCCTGTTCTCTCTCTTATCCGAAAAGTGGGCTATTCTGATCAAGCAGAAATCATTCAATCAACCAATCTGGCATTTACCTTTAGTCAGCAATGTGTTGGTAGAAGTAACAATGTTTGCTAACACAAGACAGAATCCCTTCCCTCAAGGAGTTCACCAGCTGGCTGAGAAGACAAGGTTAATGCAAGTCAAACATTGTTACAAAATAATATAAATCTACATTATTCATATTATTACATAAAATAGAATATATTCTTGTTGTGATAATGACTATTAATAAAATGTAACTTTCTCATAGTTTATAGCCCTTTAGTGTTTAATGGGCATTTTCATACACTTTGCCTCATTTTTCCTCTCCCAATAAAGTACATAAGAATTTTTACCCACATAATGATGGGTAAAAATATGAAACTGAGGCAGATAGTTTGTAAAAGGAGATAGGGGCTCGAGGTGAGCCTTGTAGATGGGCCACCCTGGAGATGGAGATGGAATGAGAAAAAGGCAGGCAGCGGCAGGTGGAGCTGGAGGCAGGTCTGAAGGCAGACGGGTTGCGGTGTCATGTGGTCACCAGCCTGAGTGGAGTGGAGCTTGAGAGCAAAGAACCAGGACTGCTGGGCTCCCAGCTATTTTAATGGAAGGAGCGTCTAGGTGGCCTGAACTGCTTGAAAATCTGGATGTTGGCCTTCTGAACCCCCTCCCATATGGAACCAGTTACCATGGAAATTCAGCTACCATGTTCCTCCCTATACCCCAGAAGATTTTATTGCTGTCTGTCTGTTCCATGAGCTCTGCATTTCGGCAACTCCATATTACATTTTTCCTGCCCCAGAGTTGATCATAGCCAATGAGCATAACAATTGCTGGAGAGGAAAAGCTACTGTCTGTCCCTGTCTAACCAAGATTCCCTGCCCTATCTGTACCACCCAGCTGTCTCCTTCCCTACTCCTGCAGTCATTCTTCCAGGCAGCTGTGTCAGCCCCATCCCTGGAAGACAACTTTACCCTGCACTCTTTGAGAAAGCAGGGCCAGGCAGAGCCTGCTGTTATAACACCACCAGGTACTTCTAGAGAAGTGAGATGGTTATTTTATCTTCTAAATTTCTCAGCCCTTTCCTCTACCCAGCCCCATTCAGCCACTAGAATTCCAGACCAACCATCAGCAGGCCAACTCCCATCCAGCCATGGGAACCAGGGTGTCAGCAGCTTCCCAACGACCACCAGGTGAGTCCAAGCAGTATCGCTGCACACTCCCTGGCCTGGTGTTGGTGTGAGCCCTGGGCATCTGAGTGCCACCCTTGCCTCTGTGGGGCTTCCTCCAGCATTGAGCCTCCATCATGGGCCTCAGCCTCAGGTCCTGATCTCCACTCCAGCTCCCCCAAAACCCAACCATTTGTCTGGAGCCATCTGCCTAGTCCTTCCCTGTCTCCTCTTTACCCCTTCCACACTTCCTATCATTAGAATGCAGATATGAGGGTGTGCTACTCCCTAGATCTCAGATCAAAGAGAATGAAGAAAAGTATAAAGCCAGTCACTGAGAATGAAGTCACAGATTTAAAAGATGCTTTTCATTCAGGGAGGAATCATAGGGTTTTCCCCCACAGGGCAGCTTTTAATTTAAATTACTTCCAATCCATAGCAAGACTTGCCTGTATCCACGATCAGTCAGTTCCAGGATGGCCCGTGGCAAGGTCTGTGCAGCCAAAAGGTTGAACTGTCTTGGGAAGCCAAATGGACAGCTGAGAGCACTCAGGTGTGCCCTTAACCATGGGGAGGAACTGGCATGCTACCTCCTCGCCCCGAGAATTGGGGACAATTCCGAAGGATGGGCTATGTGAAGAGGCACATGGGTTCATCTGAAGGGTGGTGGTCTGGGCACAATTGGCAGAAACAGCCACTTGATTGGAAGACTTAAGATTTAGAGTCTGTTTCTGCTGATTTAAGTTGGTTTCTTCATGCATTTAGCAATTGACCCCTTCTTAGAATGCTCTGGAAAATGAAGTCTCTTATAGGATCTGCTGAGCATCTGGCTCAGATCCATAGCCTGTTGTTTACATGCTTTCTAGAATCAAATGAGAGTCTCCAGCAAAGGGCAATGACATTTGTGTAAAATGGCTTAGGTAAAATTCATTGACTCAGGCATACCCTTCTGTGGCATTTCTCCAGGTACAAGTTTTGGTTACTGTTTTTAAAGAATTCATTGTACCTGACTTTTTCATTATTAAGGGTAAAGAAGGAGAAAGTCAATGAGCCTAAAGACCTCAGCCTTGCCCTGGATCTGCAGGGATTTACACTCTTGGCATCTCAGTTTCTCTGTCCATAAAGATGATGTGAAATTACCTATCCAATAGGGATGTTCGGAAGGTCAAATGACAACCCTGGATGAAAGACCTTTATAAGCTGCAAGTTGCTAAAGATAAGTAAGATTATTAAAACCAGTTTCCCTCCTCTCAGATTCTCCCTCCTCCTTCCACACACACTAAACTCAGAATTTGCTGTTAAAGTTACAGAATATCAAACCCAGAAGTGTCTGATCATATTCCAGCAAATAAGTTTACATTTCATCCAAAAACCAAGCTATGATTAGACCAAGAGTTCAGGCTAAATGAGTCACAGATTTGGCAGGGTTTTCCTCTAGTGCTTTGACAAGAAAGTATGTATGGGGGCAGGGGTGTGTGTACATGAACACGTGTGTGTACTCTTAAATACCAGGGGTAACCACTCACTAGGTTCACTCTAGTTGATGGCATTTAAAAAATTGAAGGACTCTGCAAATGTGTCCCTTCAAGACATTCATTCAAGGAACATGCATACTGCACTCATCTTTGTACTCTGTTTCTTATGGACTCTCAACAAATAGCTGCTGGTGGAAGGCTCTGAGGGTGCTAAGATGGCCTTGGGCACTACTTCTGGACCCAGCTTGTTGTATCCTTGTGTTTCTATTGCACTTAGGGTTTCCATGACTTTATCTATTTTCCTTCATAAGCATTATTTTTGTTACTAAGTTGGCAGTAGTGCAGAGTCCCTCACAAAGCTGTCTGCCATAGTATACCTGCTGCTGCCCCGGAAAACCTCACTGTGGTTTGTGTCAGGTCTCTTCCCCTCACACTTCCAACATGAATCTTTTCACTGCAGGACAGAGCTCCCTGCCCCCAAGATAAATGGGCTGATTTGAGACAAGGAGGAAGAATTATAGAATCATAAAAATGTGCTTGGGATCTTGAATTAAAATTCCTCCACTTCTTCCTCTCTTGCTTATTAGGGAAAGATATTTTGGAAGAATGAACTTGGGTGGGAGGAGGGGAATGGCTGAGTAAGGAGAAGTGGGGCATGGCCTTGACTGCTCTGATCAGATGAATTTCCACCAGCTCTTCCTCTGGAACTCCAACTCTACTTCTGGTTAGCAACATGACCAGAAGATCCAGGCTGATGTGTCTAGTGGATATTGAGAGAGAGTCACGCCCTGGATGAAGTAACTTCAACACAGAGCCACAAATCCAATGCTCTCTGCTCATTTCTGATGCTTACCTTGATGGTGTCAGATTGGGAGGGGCAGAGGTCAAGGAATCAAATGACAATTTGGTGAAGTCCACAAAAAGGGCACAGCTGAACAATTTAAGAGAGCTATAACCCAAGGTGAGTTCGAGACATGATGTTTTCTAACAGTATTTGTGATCAAATGATTATTTTTTAATATATAAGTTATTACTGGCAGAGTTATTAGCAATCTTCCCCATCCACCCCCAAAAAGTTTGCCTCCATTTTTCAGACTATCAGATGTCTCAGTCTCTCAGATCAACTCTTATCCCTTCCGAGGCCACTTTCTCTCTTCTGCTCTGTGTGTACACCAACTCAATCTTCTATCCCTCTCTGCCCTCAAGTCCTTCCACTGAGCCCCTTGGAGCCCATGTTAAGCCATCACCAAAAGTTTCTGGAGCCCCGCCATCTTCTCTGAGCCTTCATGAAGGCTCTTGCCCTAACTCTGGAGCTTAAGTCTGCCCTGAAGACACCACCTCCCTTCAGCCCACCAAGTGGCACCTCTTTTGTTCTCTCACAGATGGTCTCCTTGCTTCCCATTGCTACTTCCAAGACATTTTCCAACATTCTCTCTTCAAAATCCCCAGCTACTCTGAAGTTCATGCTTCTGAACTAGACCACTCCAACTCATTTCTGGTCCTGTCCTCTAACAACCCTTAAGTGATCCCCTGAATCATGCAAGTTTCTGGCACCTGACTCCCTATTTTTCTCTTCACCCTGGCTCTGAAACCCTTCTTGGCAATGACTCACGCAACACTTGGCTCCTCTGTTCTTTCACTTCTTCACCTCCATTTCAGTTTCCTTCCAATGCCCCCCAGCTATCCTCACCATTGTCATTCTCCTGACCTTGTCACCACTAATAAAAGCACAATTCAGAAAACTTTCTGCTAACTCTACTCAGACAGCCCACTCCAACCCAATAAGCCTGCATCTTCACAGAGACCTTCAATCCAGAAGCCACTGTTTCCTTATCCATTAGCCCCCTTCAGTCCTAACCCTCCTTTTCCCCTCATCGTTCCATTCCCTGCCCAGCAATCTCCCCACCCCCTCACCCCTCTCTCTTTCTCTCATATGCTCACCTGATTCAATCTCAATTCAGATTAAGCCCAACCATCCACCCACTCCATACCTCCACCTGAGTAGCAGATTCCTGTTGGAGAAAAATGCATAACTGGTCTCACAAAAAATGCCAGCTGGTCTCACACTTAATTCATGATGACCACAAGTCTTAAGGGGGCCCTGCCTGGAGAGCCTGCTACACTGCCAGGGCATGCCCCACCACTCCTCAATGCAACCATTGCGAGCTTTCTTTTCTGTCCTCAAACTGCCCACATCCCTTCCTCTTGCTTCGCTCCCAGATGAGTATCTTGCCTGATATTTTACTGAGAAAATAGAAAAAGCAATCAGACAGAAACTCTTCCATCTTTCCACCACCAAATCTCCCAATTTGTCTGCATCTGTCTCTTCCACGTTCCCTCCATTAAAATGATGAAGTATTGCTGTTCCCATATACAGCCAATACCTCCCCCTCACCTTCTCAAGGTAGTCACCACTGCAATTATTTCTTATCCTTAACACTTTGGACAATCTTAACATCAAACTCATACACTCCAGTGTTCCCAGGAAAACTTCTTTATTTCATCGTCTTTGGGCAAGGCCAGTACTAGGCTGGAGCAAGAGAGGTACCGCGGGCACCTGTAAGTGGTCCTGGAACTTCAAGACCTCACCGCCTCTCATGCTTTCCCCCATTCATGGCCTTGTCTCTGGATTCTTCAGAAAAAAACTCCTCAAAAGACTCGTCTTCAGTTCTTCTTGCTATTTCCCAGTCCCTTTTCACATCTTTTCCCAAGACCGTGGCAAACGCCCATCTCCTTTATAACATTCATCACAATGATAATTAAATAGTTGTGTAATCATTTGTTTGATGTCCATCTTTGCTACCAAAATATAAGCTCCCAAGAACAGAGGACAGATCTACAAGGTCCCTGCCATAGCGCCTCTCTGTTCCTCAGTTTTCCTATCTGCAGCATAAGGATAATAATGTACCCAATAAATATTAGTTTTTATGATATGATATCCCTAGCATCTAGCAAGTTCCCAGGCAATCCATCAATAATTGTTGAATGAATCAATAAGTGAAAGAATAATTCCAGGACTGACATATGGAGGAAGATCAACAGGGTTGAATACTTTTCTGCCATAAAGTATAGTATGGTGTGAAAAAGTGGCAGTAAAATGGCCTAAGGATGCAAGGCTCCCTGCCATGTTTTGGTGGCAATGAAATGTACTCCATATCTTCCTTTCCCATGTTTTTGGTACCTTCATTCTGGCACCTAAGGTGCCTATCATCAAGTCAGGTCCAACCTGCCCTTTGCTTACCAGCCCAAGAGAGACTGATGGTGAAATCTTTGGGAAAACCAAATCATTAGTGCAGTTTCCACTGGCACACTGGGAAGGGCTTGCCACAGGTCTATAGGGAAACATAAAGGCAGAGAGACTGTCCTGCTGTTGCCACAACAGAGGGGTTACTAAGGAAACAGCCCCTGCCCCCTCCTGCCTCCTGGCTCCTCGGGACCTTCTCAATTCTCCCAGGGCCAACAAGACTTGGGAAGGTCCCTAGAACTCTGTCCCCACTGTCTCCTTCCTCTCCTTGAGAGGGAGAAGGAGGCACCAAGTGCTCACAGGAAGAAGAGACCCATGGAGGCCTTGCAGAAAGCCTCCAACACTCCGGGTCCCTCCTGGCCGTCTGCTTTCAGAGGCCTTGGGGTTCAGAGCCAATCCCTTCCTGCACCTTCCCCTCTCCATGTTCCTCCTCATAAAATCATTGGCAGGCACGACCATCAGAAAATGCTGAGGTGCAGGCGTTTGCATAGCCCTGCAGGGACTATTACAGCTTCCCCTGGCGTTTTCCCGGAGGATAATGATAGGTACAACTTGCTTGTAGTACCAGAAAGCAAGTGGCATTTAGAGGCAACTCCTTGGTCTCTGGCTGCGATTTTTCTTAGCTTGGCGGCCTGGATTACAGGGCTTGCAGGAGTCGGTTCAACATCACCCTCAGGTCCTGTGGCTGCATCTGCAAGAGCTCTTTCCTTTTATTGCTCCCCATCACCCACTGTTTCCCAATATAATTTGCAACTTGCTTCAGGTTTCCTTTGGGGTCAGGCTGTCTAATATTTGGTTTCACCCCAAAGGTGCTATGGCCATCCCTGTTGCCCTGCCTTGAAGCGTGAACCAAACCCACACGGCTGCTAACCTGGGAGTGGGCGAAACAGCCCCATGTTTCCCAGTTTTCTAAAACTGGCCCATTGTGTGTCTCGCTCTACCCATCAGCCCTTGCTTCGAGATGAACTGGCTCCAAGCCACCAGACTTGGCAGACGCCTCCTTTTCTCAGCTCTCAGAGGAAGACCTGTGGCTTTGTTATGAGAGAGAAGCTCTTTTAACAAAATATGTTGCAAAAAGAAAGCTCTTTAAATATTTGTTTTAAAATAAAATTCATAGAAAAACATACTTTTTCCAAACCAGCCTTTCCTCTGTATTATTCTGGAGGGACAATCCCAGATCAAAAGGAATAGGAGCTTTTTATTGGGAACAGTTCCTGAATGACTTGATTTCAGTCACAGAAATATCCGCTTTATTTTTTTGGTCAGAAATTCAGTGTTGGCTTTAACAGGACATTGAAAACTCACATTAATAGTGATAGCTCCTTGTCTTTCTGTGTGTTTCCTTTCTAAGGGGCCCCTGCAAGCACACCAGGTCTTTGGACAAATGAAATCAATTATTGCTCCAGCACCATGGCTAGGTTAAAAACGTCCTTGTTGCAAAACAATTCTGGACGTGGGAACAGGCAAAGATTACATGACGAAGACACCAAAAGTAATTGCAACAAAAGCAAAGATTGACAAATGAGATCTAATTAAGCCAAAGAGCTTCTGCACAGCAAAAGAAAGGATTAAGAGTGAAAGACAACCTACAGAATGGGAGAACATTTTTGCAAACTAGGCATCTGACAAAGGTCTAATATCCAGCATTTATAAGGAACTTTAAGTGTACAAGAAAAAAAAACTCATTAAAAAGTGGGCAAAGGACATGAATAGATACATTTAAAAAGAAGACATACATGTGGCCAGCAATCACATGAAAAAATGCTCAACATGACTGATCATTGGAGAAATGTAAATCAAAACAACAATGAGATACCATCTCATACCAGTCAGAATGGCTATTATTAAAATGTTAAAAAATAACAGGTGCTGGCGAGGTTGTGGAGAAAAAGAAACGCTTATACACTGTTGGTGGGAGTATAAATAGTTCAGCCATGTGGAAGACAATGTGGCAATTCCTCAAAGACCTAAAAACGGAAATACCACTTGACTCAGCAATTCCATTACTAGGTATATACTCAAAGGGATATAAATCATTCTGTCATAAAGAAACATGCATGCTTATGTTCATTGTAGCACACTATTCACAATAGCAAAGACATAAAATCAACCTAAATGCCCATCAACGGTAGACAGACAAAAAAAGTGTGGTACATATATATACCATGGAATACTATGCAGCCATAAAAAAACCACAAGATTATGTCCTTTGCAGGAACATGGATGGAGCTGGAGGTCATTATCCTTAGCAAACTAATGCAGGAACAGAAAACCAAATACCACATGTTCTCACTTATAACTGGGAGCTAAATGAGGAGAACACATGGACACATAGAGGAGAAAAATACACACTGGGGCCTATCAAAGGGTGAAGGGTGGGAGGAGGGAGAAGTTCAGGAAAAATAACTAATGGGTACTAAGCTGAATACCTGGGTGACAAAATAATCTGTACAACAAACCCCACAACACAAGTTTACCTATATAACCAACCTGCATATGTACCCCTGAACTTAAAAGTTAATTTAAAAAAAAAAAAAAAGAGGCCAGGTGTGGTGCCTCACGCCTATAATCCCAACAATTTGGGAGGCCAAGGTGGGTGGATCACTTGAGCCCAGGAGTTCGAGACCAGCCTGGGCAACATGATGAAACCCCATCTCTACTAAAAAATTACAAAAAAGTATCCAGGTGTGGTGGTGTGTGCCTGTGGTTCCAGCTACTCAGGATTCTGAGGTGCGAGACCTGATCACAGGAAGTTGAGGCTGCAGTGAGCTGAGATCATGCCACTGCACTCCAGCTTAGGTGGCAAGAGTGAGACCATGTCTCAAAAAAAAAAAAAGAAAGAAGAAGAGAAAGAAAAAGAAAAAGAAGATGTCCTTGTTAGGCATTTCAATCTGTGATCAACTGAATTGTAACAATGAGGTGAGCCACGATAAGCATGTGTATGGCCGTTCCTTACACACACTCATTACTTACACACTTGTCAGCTGTGAGAGCTTCCCCTCTCTGAGTTTTGGCCTCTTCAAATTTATAGTAGGAATAATATTGCTTCCCTCACACCATTTTTGCTAAGAATTACACTGGGATCATTTATGTGAAGCACTTAGCATGGTGCCTAGCACATAGCAAATGGGAGTTACAGCCAGAGATACAAAACAGATTCTGTTATGCAGGTTCAATCTGGGGGTGCTGAGGGAGGTTGATAAGGCACAAGACTCCTTACAACATAGTTGTCCATTAGTTTCATCCTGCCTGGGCCCCCTATCTTTAATACCTGAAGAGGTTCACTCACTAGGGACTTTATTAGGACAAGTATGGGTTTGACAAGGGATGTCTGAGTCCATAAAATAGAATGAAAACTGTATATAGTTGATTGTAGTGAACCAAAAATTGGGTAGTGAAGTAGCAATCAGGGATTTTTTCCCCTTCTTCTTTAGCAAAAGAAGCTGTCAAGTCACAATTGAGCACATCTTCAGGGCAACTCCTTGCTAGGAAGATGTAAGCTTGGGAAGGCCCTGCCATGGGGAAAAATACCTTTTATTTGACTAGGGAAGTTGTTTCTCCTGTGGCATGCAAAGGTCTGAGGAAGATCTGCATAAGTTATAAAAGAATCCCAGGGATCTCCTAGAAGAGAAAGGATTGATTGGGTTTCACCACTACCAACCATGGCCAACATCAGCCCCAACCATCATCACCACCAAAACTACCACCTCCACCACACCATCTCACCACCAGCCATGATCAGCACCACCACCACCACCACCTCCACTTCCATCACACAACCTACCGCCAACACTTCCGCCACCATTGCCATACCATATAGTGTTCCTACTATCACCACTGCATCACCACTAATCACCACCACCATCTTCACTCCCCTCCACCACAATCATACCACCTACCATCACCACCACCACCATCACCACCTTCATCACACAGCTCATCATTGCCAGAACCACCATCACATCACTCTAACACCATCATCAGTACTAACACCATCAGCCAGGTTAAGTGGCTCATGCTTGTAATCCCAGCATTTGGGAGGCTGAGGCAGGGGGATCATTTGAGTCCAGGAGTTGGAGGCTACAGCAAGCTATGATTGTGACACTGCACTTCAACCTGGGCAACAGAGCAAGACCTTGTCTCTAAAAAAATATATACATATATTACCACGATCACTAACAACACCACCCACCACTGCTGCCATTGCCACCATCACTCTCAACAGCAACATCACACCGATATGGTTTGGCTATGTCCCCACCCAAATCTCACCTCGAATTGTAATAATCCCCATGTGTCAAGGGCAGGGCCAGGTGAAGATAATTGAATAATGGGAGCAGTTTCTCCCATACTGTTCTCACCATGTAAGACGTGCCTTTGTATCTCCTTTGCCTTCCACCATGATTGTGAGGCCTCCCCAGCCATATGGAACTGTGAATCCATTAAATCTCTTTTCTTTATAAATTACCCAGTCTCAGATATGTCTTTATTAGAAGCATGAGATCAGACTAATACAGTAAATTGGTACTGGTAGAGTGGGGTACCCAAAAATGTGGAAGCAACTTTGGAACTGGGTAACTGGCAGAGGCTAGAACAGTTTGGAGGGCTCAGAAGAGGACAGGAAGATGTGGGAAAGTTTGGAACTTCCTAGAGACTTGTTGAATGGCTTTAACCAAAATGCTGACAATGAAGTCCAGGTTGAGGTGGTCTCAGATGAAGATGAGGAACTTGTTGGGAACTGGAGCAAAGGTGATTCTTGCTATGTTTTAGCAAAGAGACTGACAGCATTTTGCTTCTGCCCTAGAGATTTGTGGAACTTTGAACTTCAGAGAGACAATTTAGGGCATCTGGTGGGAGAAATTTCCAAGCAGTAAAAATGTTCAAGAGGTAACTTGGGTGCTGTTAAAGCATTCAGTTTTATGTATTCACAAAGATAAAATTTGGAATTGGAACTTATTTTTAAAAGGGAAGCAGAAATTAAAGTTCGAAAAATTGCAGACTGACAATGTGATACAAAGAGAAAAACCTTTTTTCTGATGAGAAATTGAAGCCAGTTGCAGAAATTTGCCTAATTACAGGGACCCAAATGTTAGGTGCCAAGACAATGGGGGAAATGTCTCCAGGGCATGTCAGAGACCTTCACAGCAGCCCCTCCCATCACAGGCCGGGAGGCCTAGGAGGAAAAAATGGTTTCATGGGCTGGGTCCAGGGCCCCCCTGCTCTGTGCAACTTAGAGACTTGGTGCCCTGCCTCCCAGCCGCTTCAGCCATGGCTAAAAGGGGCCAAGGTACAACTTGGGCTGTGGCTTCAGAGGGTGCAAGCCTCAAGCTGTGGCAGCTTCCACATGGTGCAGAGAAGTCAAGAATTAAGGTTTGGGAACCTCTGCCTAAATTTCAGAGGATGTATGCAAAGCCACAGGGGCAGAGCTGCCCAAGGCTGTAGGAGCACACCTCTTGCATCAGTGTGTCCTGGATGTGAGACATGAAGTCAAAGGAAATCATTTTGGAACTTTGAGGTTTCATGACTGCCCTATTGGATTTTGGACTTGCATGGGGCCTGTAGCCCTTGCTTTTGGCCATTTTCTCCCATTTGGAACATGTGTGTTTACCCAATGCCTGTTCCCCCATTGTATGTAGGAAGTAACTAACTTGCTTTTGATTTTACAGGCTCATAGGTGGAAGGGACTTGCCTTGACTCAGATAAGACTTTGGACTGTGGACTTTTGAGTTAATGCTGAAATGAGTTAGGACTTTGGGGGACTGCTGGGAAGGCATGATTGTTTTTGAAATGTGAGGACATGAGATTTGGGAAAGACGAGGGGTGGAATGATATGGTTTGGCTGTGTTCCCACCTAAATCTCACTTTGAATTGTAATAATCCCCACGTGTCAAGGGCAGGACCAGGTGGAGATAATTGAATCATGAAAGATTCAGTTTCTGGATTGAATGAAATCATTCATTCCCCCACACTGTTCTCATGGTAGCAAATAAGTCTCACAAGATCTGATGGTTTTATAAATGAGAGTTCTCTTGCACAAGCTCTCTTGCCTGCCACCATGTAAGACATGCCTTTGCTTCTCCTTTGCCTTCTGAGATGATTGTGAGGCCTCTCCAGCCATGTGGAACTGTGAGTCCACTAAACCTCTTTCCTTTATAAATTGCCCAGTCTCAGGTATGTCTTTATTAGCAGCATGAGAACAAACTAATACAACCACTAACAACAGCATCACCCTCCCCACCTCTATTCACAACATGTCACCACCACCATTTCCTCCCCACCTTCACCATCACTCCATCCCACAAAATGTAGAGTGTAAGTCTAGAAAAGGGGATGTTGGCTTCAGCCAAGATAAAACTTTATTGGATATTGATTTTGAAATTCAATCATTTCTGACCATAAACACCTTCTTGTTCACCCCCAGTGAGGCCAGCTTGGGAACTGGTCATGACTAGGATGACTATATGTCCCTATTTGCCCGAGAGAGAAGTTGTTTACACTCATTGTCCTGGCATAATTATCATTATTTTATAACTATATTGATATTGTGGTTGAGGTATAACTTAACATCAGTAAAGTATATACCTTTTAAGAGTACAGCACAACGATTTTTTAAATATGTACACACTCATGTAACTATTCTCCAGATCAAGATATAGAACACTTCAGCACATGCCTTCTTCAGCATAATTATTAACAGCATCACTTTTCACTCTCAAAAGTTCTTGATTTAGGCTGGGCACAGTGGCTCACACCTGTAATCCCAGCACTTTGGAAGGCCTAGGTGGGTGGATCACAAGGTCAGAAGTTCAAGACCATCCTGGCCAACGTGGTGAAACCCCATCTCTACTAAAAACACAAAAATTAGCCGGGTATGGTGGCGCATGTCTGTAATCCCAGCTACTTGGGAGGCTAAGGCAGGAGAATCACTTGAACCCAGGAGGCGTTGCAATGAGCCAAGATTGCGCCACTGCACTCCAGTCTGGGCAACAGAGCAAGACTCCGTCTCGAATAAAAAAACAAACAAACAAACAAAACAGTAAAAGAAAAAAAAGTATCTTGATTTGAATGATCAAGATGATAAAGAGTTACTTTAGTCATCCTAATAAAATCTTTCCATGGTTTCTCCTTGACCCACCTGAAGAAGGGTGGATTTCATTGCCCATTAACATTATACAGTCCTGTGGTCTTTGAGTAATATTTTATACTTGGCGGAGAATCAAAGTAAATATATTGCAGCTGTTTGGAAACCAGGGAGGGTTTTAAATTACATCAGCTTGACTTGATGGGCTCTAAGGATATGTGGACTCGGGAAGGTGGAAATTATTAGAACAAGCACCTTCATGGAAATTACCATTAACTCAAAGTGTCTGAACTTCCCTTTACCCCATCTCCACCACTCCAACCTTCCCCTGCCAAACTTTCCTTTCATTAAAGGAATGAGTCATTCCCAATGGGAATCATATAGGAACTGTTGGGGAAAGTATGAGATGTGGAGTGGTTCAGGCTTGGTCTTGCAACTTAATTTTATCATTTGCTAGCTCCATGTCTTTGGGTAAGTTAGTTAACTTCTCTGGGTCTCAGTTTCCTAATTTATAAAAGGGATAGCATGACCTACTTTGAAGAGTTGAGGTCAGGATTAGATATAATAAGGTACCTGGCACATGGGTATCAAATATATGACAACTAATATTTAAGCCAGATCTAAGGATCAAAATGAAAGCAAGGTATGGCAAATTAGATTTTCCAAATATGGCCACAGCAATGTTTCAAATCCTACCCATTCTTCCAGACATTGCTATTCCCCATCAAGAGGCAGAGTCTATCTTCCCTCCCCTTAAACTTGGGGAGAACTTTGTGACTGCCTCAATGAATAAAATGTGGCAGAATCAATGCTCCAGAATTCTGAGGACAGCTGAAAAAAGACAACCTACCTGTGCTTGACTCTCTCTTTTTTCTCTCAAGATGTCCATAGTGGGAATCCAGCCACCACGCTTGTAAGAAAGCCCAACTAGCTCACATAGAAAGATATATCCAAAGGCCCATGTGAAGGGGAAGTGAGACCCCCAACCAATGCCATTATTAATCATCAGACTTGTGAGTGAATAAGCTTTCAGATGATCTCAACCCTCAGCTGTTGAGTCTTTCAATGAGACCCCAGAAATTAGAAAAAATAATACAAACCATCCCTATCAGTTTGAATTATTGGTCCACACATCTATGAGCATAATACATGGTTATTTAAACTAAGTTTGCAGTTAATTTGCTTTGTAGCCATAGGGACTGGAATTCAAAGTAATCAGGGTTTCATGGATGGGGCTGATGTTCCATACATCTGAAACAGGCAGGGTAAATGTGAGCACAGCCCTTTGCTGTGGTCCATCCAAAACTTAAAACAGTGTATGAATCAGGATGGGCTAGCTGGAGAGTTCATTATACAAATCTGTCCTGTTGCTTCTGATTGGAGCCCCATGTACATATTTATGCTCACAAAATGAATTGGCTCCATTTTTCAAACTCAGAATTGTCTCTTACATCTAAATTCCTAGAGCCCTGTCTGTTCTTTGAAACTGACCATTTACTAGCCTGGAAGAAATGGAACCATAACATGATACAACTAGTTTTTATTGCTGAAAGTGCCTCAAGTTATATAGGCAAATTGCCGCTACCTTCTTCAAACAGCAGTTGTACAAGCTCTAATCCTATTTCTTGATTTTCTGTGTCACAATGATGGAAACTTTGTCCAGTGCTAAGAGTGCATCTGGAGGAGAGAGTTGAGGAAAACTAGCAAGACCCCAAGTCACAGCCAAGGGCTGTGAAGAATATCAGACCAGAAGTTAAGGCAGCAGCAGGACCAGCTTTCCAGACTGGCACAAACCAGGAAAAATGGGTTCAAGGGGCAGATCATGCAGACAGAGCCCAGTCATGGCCTGGAGCCTGTCACACGGCCATGGTAAGGAAGTTAGTGTGATGGAGTGAGGAGAACATGAGCTTTAGGGCAAACAGACTGGGTTCAAATCTGGTTTTTCAACACACCAGCTGTATGACCTTGGGTAAGTTACTTAACCCCTCAATTTTGCCACTTGTAAAAATAGTACTGTGTCCGGAATTTATTCCTTCTGGTGGGTTCTTGGTCTCGCTGACTTCAAGAATGAAGCAGTGGACCTTCGCAGTGAGTGTTACAGCTCTTAAAGATGGTATGTCTGGAATTTGTTTCTTCAGATGTTCAGATATGTCTGGAGTTTCTTCTTTCCGGTGGGTTCGTGGTCTCGCTGACTTCAGGAGTGAAGCCGCAGACTTTCGCAGTGAGTGTTACAGCTCTTAAAGGTGGCATGTCTGGAGTTATTTGTTCCTCCAGGTGGGCTCGTGGTCTCGCTGACTTCAGGAATGAAGCCGCAGACCCTCACAGTGAGTGTTACAGCTCATAAAGGTAGCGCAGACCCAAAGAGTGAGCAGCAACAAGATTTATCATGAAGAGCGAAAGAACAAAGTTTCCACAGCATGGAAAGAGACCCGAGCAGGTTGCCGCTGCTGGCTGGGGTGGCCAGCTTTTATTCCCTTAATTGGCCCCACCCATGTCCTGCTGATTGGTCCATTTTACAGAGTGCTGATTGGTCCATTTTACAGAGTGCTGATTGGTGCATTTACAATCCTTTAGCTAGACACAGAGTGCTGATTGTTGCATTTTTACAGAGTGCTGATTGGTGCATTTACAATCCTTTAGCTAGACACAGAGTACCGATTGGTGTGTTTTTACAGAGTGCTGATTGGTGTATTTACAATCCTTTAGCTAGGCACAGAGCGCTAATTGGTGCATTTTCAATCCTCTAGCCAGACAGAAAAGTTCTCCAAGTCCCTGCTCGACCCAGGAAGTCCAGCTGGCTTCACCTCTCAGGACTACTTGTGGCAGAGGCAGCTAGTCATCCACCTAAGAGATGTGTCCCTTTTGAATAGTACTACTGTGGCTGAGAAGCAGCTGCCCAGGATCTCAGTTGCTCCATGTGACTAGGTGGACATATGTGGCCATGGAATATGAGCAGAGGTCATGTGTGTCACTATCAGATTAAGACGGCTAAGTATCCTGTGTGCTTTGCCCAGGCTATTATCCCCTTTCATGGTGACTTTACAGGCCATAAGTTGAAGACAGCGACATCACAGGACAGAATATGCCTGGACCCTTGTGTCCCCACTTGGAAGAAAGCCATCCAACCAGGAACAAGTATATTAGACTTTGTATGAGTAAGAAATAACCTTTTACTATGTTAAGACACTAAAAATTGGGGCTGTTTGTTACATCGGCTAACCCACCCTGACTCATATACTGCTTTAGAGAATTGTTATATGCATAATTGTAGATATAATTAGAATGGGTTGTTTACCATTTGTCTTCCCTATTTGACTGGATGCTCCTTAAGATCCTTTTGACCCAGCTGACCCTTATTGCCACTATAAACCCTATTGACCAGTCCCTTACATGCATCCGGTACACACAAAGTAGTGAGTAAATTTGAATTGGTTTTCTGCAGCTTGACTAAAAGAAGAGAATTAGAATCTGGACTCTTTAGCAGTAGGAGAAAGAAAAGGTTGATGTTTAAAAAGAACATTACATCAACACTTCATTACCAAAATTAAACAACCAACCAAAAAAAAAAAAAAAAAGCCACTCTAACAGTTTGGCTTTTTTGCCTATTTGGCACTTTGATGCCACGTGGGACCAAAGAAATGAGTTTTCCTATTAGAAAGTTTTGGAAACCAATTTACTATTATATTTTCTTTAAAGTTCCACAAAGCTTTTATAAGTTAATTTAATGGTTGGCTTAACCACTGGTTCATGTTTCCAGCAGATAGGTGGTTTTATCTAGGGAGGGAAACAATTGTGTAAATGCAAACGTGGTAGCAAGAGTTGTACTTGAAAATGATACCTTACTGGGAACATCTGAGTTTTCTCTATCAATTATCAATATGAATAAACATACCTTGCATGTATATAGCACTTTTCTTTTTATTGCTCCCAGTGTGTTCTGACAAGAATCCTAAGAGTTGGGGCATATTTTTTTGTCATCATTTCACAGATGGAAAAATCGATAAAACAGAGAGAGTTGTGATTTGGCCTACGTCTCACGGCTCATGTGAGAATCAGAAACCAGGTCTCCTGAGTCTCAGCACAGGACTTTTTCTCTACCAGACCTCCCAGGTTGATATGTGTTCAACATGGATGACAGCCCAGTAGGAACCAAATCAAACAGACGAACTGTTTTCAAGCCCAGTCTGGGAAAAGTCTCATGCTTGGGTCACTTACAGGATAAAAAGTAAACTAAGACACAATCCTACAGCCTGACAATAGCCAAGCTAATGAGAAAATAATCTAAATAGGTGAATCATTAAAAATAAAGAAATAAATCATAAACTAGCAACGCCTTTTAATAACAGAAGAGATGGGGTAAGACAGGATAAGACTAAATGACAAATAAGTATCACAGTCAAGAAATGCGATGGTATTCTAACAAGGGAAAGAATACATAGGGCTAGGATACCAGAAAAGGCTTCATGGAGGAATTGGGATTTCCGAAAAAGGTAAAATTACGTAACACAAATTGCCATATCAGCTCAGCACTTCTCCCTTACCCTTTTGGAAATGTATCCCCCTTTCTTTTGGAAATTGCCCCTTCCCATTCCAACTATTGGGGATTATTCTGGGTGAGGCTGCCAATGTTAGCGTTCTGCACTTTAGCTACTAGAGTAGACATAGAATCCAATTCTAGACAATTAGAATTCTTAAAAACAAGACACACACCCAACTTGGAACTAACAGAGAGGAAGAGGTCCTGCTTGCATGAGATGTGAGGAAAAGCTACTGCCGGTCATGAATCCTGCTTTAAGAGGAGATTGGGCTGAGAAAAGGCAGCTGAGATTAGAAATAGAGCAAGACAGTGCTGATGACATTGGAGAACTTGGTTCCAGTTTTCTCACAAGCTCAGTGAACCTCTGCTTTCCCTACAAGTTACTCCACTGAGCCAATTATTTTCTTCTTTTCCCTAATGGTGGTCAAGTAAGGCTCATGCCACTTGCAAACATAGTCTTGACTATGGGAATAGGTGAAGAGGAGAGGGGAAGCTGCTCAGGCAGAAGCTACTAAATGAATCAAAACAGGAAGGCATGAGGCAAAAGCTTCTTTAAGGGACAATTTTTAAAAACTATGTTCTCATTTTTTTTTAAGTTCAAGGGTACATGTGCAGGTTTGTTATATAGGTAAACTTGCATCTTGGGGGTTTGTTTTAAGATTATTTTATCACCCAGATATTAATCCTAGTCCCCGTTAGTTATTTTTCCTGATCTTCTCCATCCTCCCACCTTCCACCCTCTGATAGGCCCCAGTGTGTGTTGTTCCCCTCTATGTGTCCATGTGTTCTTATCATTTAGCTCCCACTTGTAAGTAAGAATATGTGGTATTTGGTTGTCTGTTCCTGTGTTAGTTTGCTAAGGATAATGGCCTCCAGCTCCATCCATGCTTCTGCAAAGGATATGATCTCATTCTTTTTATGGTTGCATAGCATTCCATTGTGTATATGCATCAACTTCCTTTATCCAGTCTATCATTGATGGACATTTGGGTTGATTCCATGTCTTTGCTATTGTGAATAGTGCTGCAGTGAACATATGTGAGCATGTGTCTTTATAATTGAACAATTTATATTCCTTTGGGTATACCCAGTAATGGGATTGCTGGGTCAAATGATATTTCTGATTTTAGGTCTTTAAGGAGTCACCACACTCTCTTCCACAATAGTTGAACTAACTTACACTCCCACCAACAGTGTATAAGCATTCCTTTTTCTCTTCAACCTCACCAGCATATTTTAATAACATCATTCTGACTGGTGTGAGATGATGCCTCCCTGAGGTTTTGATTTGCATGTCTCTAGTGATCAGTGATGTTGATCTTTTTTTCATAAGATTTTTGGCCACATGTATGTCTTCTTTTGAAGTGTCTGTTCATGTCCTTTGCCCACTTTTTAATGGGTTTTTTTTTTCTTGTAAATTTGAAACCAGTGTTTTTAGATCTGAGGACTGGTATACCTAAATCCTCAAACTGAAATAGCAAGTTTTGAGCACACTGAATTTAACACCACAGCAGAACAAACCAATAGAGACACTGAGCAGGCAACCAAGATGTGGAAGATAGGTCTCCAGAGAGAAATCACAGCTGATAAAACTGTAGTGAAAAGAGCACTAGACTCAGAGTTAAAAAGACTTTGGTGTGAAAGAGCTTTTATATAGATTAAATAAGTTCATGGATTTGAGAAATATTAACTTGGGAACCATCTACATGCAGGTTACTGTTGATGTCATGGATACAGAAAATTACCAAGGGAAAAAGAGAAAAAGCCTTTGATAAATGCTCACAATTAGTCAAAGACAATAGGAGCATCAAGGAATTAGGGAAAAAACAGGGTCACAAAAGTCAGGTATGTAGAGTTTGAAGAGGGAAAGCTTGAGTAGTGGTGAAAAGAACCAAGAAAGCCATTGAGAAAGTTGAAGAGAGTTTATTGCACTTACAGAGCAAGACTTTATTGGTGAACTTGGAGATGGCAGAATGCCAGCCAAGTGATAGACAGAAGGATAGTTAAAGACATGCTGATGTGGCAGATGGTGTCAGTGCCCATCCATATTCCTCAGACTTTCCAATGGGCCCCTGCTGATTTTCCAGTGTGGAATCTGCCTCTCTGTGTTTGAGAGAGTTTTTTTCTCAGAACCACAAAAGACCATTCTGCTCATGAGGCAGGCCAGAAGTGGTAGGGAACTAACAGCTCTCAGGAGCAGCTCTTTGACTCAAGAGTTGGTGGAGAAATACCCCAACTCCTTTGCCCTGTCCCTGGAGTAAGACAATTCTAGGCATGCATTTCATATCATTTCCCAGAATTTTCCCCCAGATTAAGCTTCCATTCTGCACCGGGGTAGCTGGTTTAATAGCATACTCTTTATTAGCTGTGTTTCTTTCCTTGTCTTATTTCTCTAGTCTCCAAGTAGTATATTCACTGCACTTCCCAAATAAACTACAGCCATGAGATACATTAATCATGGGGATATGGTCTGAGAAATGTGTAATCAGGCAATTTTGTCATTGTGCAAACATCAAGAAGTACACTTACACAAACCTAGGTGGTGTAGCCTGCTACATACCTAGGTTATATGGTATAGCCTATTGCTCCTAGGCTACAACCCTGTACAGCATGTTACTGTACTGAATACTGTAGACAATTGTAACACAGTGGTAAGTATTTGTATATCTAAACATATCTAAGCATAGAAAAGGTACAGTAAAAATATAGTATAAAAAATTAAAAATCCTACACCTGTATAAAGTACTCATGATGAATGGAGCTCCCAGGACTGGAAGTGATTCTGGGTGAGTCAGCAAGTGAGTGAATGTAAAGGCCTAGGCCATTACTGTACACCACTGCAGGCTTTATAAACACTATACTCTCAGGCTACACTAAATTTATTTTAAAATATTTTTTGTCCTCTAATAATAAATTAACCTTAGCTGATTATAACTTTTTTATTTTATAAACTTTTTACTTTTCTTAACTCTGATTCTTATAATAACTAGCTTAAAACAAACGTCTTGTACAGTTGCACAAAAATGTTTTATTTCTTTATATCTGGTATGGTTTGGCTCTTGTTCCCACCCAAATCTCATCTCAAATTGTAATCCCCACGTGTGCAGAGATGGACCTCTAATCCCCATGTGTCGAGGGAGGGAGGTGATTGGATCATGGGGGCGGTTTCCCCCATGCTGTTCTTGTGATAGTGAGTTCTCATGAGATCTGATGGCTTTATAAGGGGGTTTTCCCCCCTTTGCTTCGTTCTTCTCTCTCCTGCTGTCTTGTGAAGAAGGTGCCTGCTTTCTCTTCTGGCATGATTATAAGTTTCCTGACGCCTACCCAGCCATGCAGAACTGTGAGTCAATTAAACCTCTTTCCTTTATACATTACCCAGTCTCAGGGAAGTTCTTTATAGGATTGTGAAAACTGACTAATATCTTAATTTACAAGCTTTTTCTATTTTTATTTTATTTTCATTTTTAAAGCTTTTTTGTTAAAAACTCAGACACACAGACACATTAGCCTAGGCCTACAACAGGGTCAGAATTATCAATGTCACTGTCTTTCACCTCCACATCTTGTCCCATTGGAAGATCTTTAGGGGCAACAGCATGCAGGGAGGTGTCATCTCTGGTGATAACAATGTCTTTTCCTAGAATAGCTCCTGAAGGACCTGCCTGAGAATGTTTTACAGTTAGATTTTTTTTTCAGTAAGTAGAAAGTGTACACTCTAAAATAACAATAAAAAGTAAAGCATAGTAAATACATAAGCCAGTAACATAGTCACTTATTATCATTATCCAGTATTATGTTTTATACATAATTATATGCGCTAACCTTTTGTATGACTGGCAGCTCAGTAGGTTTGTTTACATATGCACCACCACAAACACATGTATAACGTATTGTGCTACAACCTTACCGCAGCTACTACAATACATGCTGCATTGTTGACCTAAGGTAGTTACACAGCTCATGACCACACTTGTGGTTAATCTTTGTCTCACTGTCGGCTGCTGAGGGAACCCAAACTAAGACAGGTGATCTTTTAATTTATGGACTGAACTAGGATGCCTGTGGGAGAGAAAAGGGAGTGGACACTGTTAATAATTATGCCAGGACAACTGGCGCAAAGACAGGCTTTCCACACCTGAAGGTATGGCCTTCCTCGTTACATGCCTCTCCTTTGAGAAGATGGAGTGGGCCAGAAGAGATGTAAAATTTAAATACCAATTCCTTATAATAACAGAGAGCAAATAACAGAGAGTCTTTTATTTAGTGAGCATTTTTCGTTATGCACTATTACCTCGAGGGCTCTGGAAAGGAATATGCCAGCTCAAGAGCAGACAAATATCTCAGGAGGAGAATGGACCATAAGAAGTAGGTCAGTGTCCAGCCCAGCTCATGCATTTCTGAAATCCTGGGATTCAAGGCTCGGGGCCGCAAGCAATCCTGTCAACCGTAGTCAATAAGACAGTCATCTGAAAGCATCGCTGGGCGCCCCCCCTTGCTTCCTCTCACTTCCCATTAGTGATGCTAGTGCCTTCCTCTTTGTAGCTGCTCAAACAGAAAAACCTCCTTTGACAGCACATTCATATCCTCTCTGTTGGTCCCAGCAGCCCCAAGGATACCATCTGGAAACCTGGATCCTTTACTACCCAAAGCCTTTCCACTTCAGATGCTTCCCCATCTATTGTTTCATCATCTCTCTTCTAAAGAGATTTTCCTCTTCAAGAAAATCTTTCAAGAAAACCATTCCATTTCCTCGCATGGTTGAAAAGGAGCTGGTGCTGCAGGGAAGAGCCCCCTGGATGTGATGGTACTGAAAAGGGGGGCAAGAGACTCACATTTTTTTCCTTCCCTGTGCACGTATTAATTCCATCCCTGGATTCAAGATGGGAGTTTCCATGTGATGATGGTGGTGTGGTCTGAGATCTCTGCTGGGGAGGGGCCCTCTGTTCTCCAGCGCCAGGTGGCAGGCTGGCCTGTGGTACTGGGTGTCTCCAATGGTACCAGGATGCTCCTTTCCTGGGAGATGTGTCCCATCGCTCTGACTCCCTGCTCTTGACAATCTGGCTTGCAGCTGCCCCACTGGAATTTGGAGTTGATGCATAAATAGAAGGATCGACACACACGATGCTAAGTTGTGTCTATGTATTAACTCGCCTCACCCACACAATTCTATGAAGTAGATCTTGTTATTCATCCTGCGTTACAGGTGAGAAACTGAGATATAGAGAGGCTGTATAGCCTGCTCAGATAGTAAAGTGTGCCATTTAAGCAACTGACAACAGAAAAGCCCCTGGGATACTTCATAGATCTTTAGGTAAGGCTGGGCTGGTCAGCTGGGTTGGTTGCAGGAGGAGCTGACTTGATGGGTCTCAGTACCACAGAGCTCTCTTAGCTTTAGTGGATGAAAATCTGTTCTGTAGCTACATGCCTATCCTAGACCTTGACACCTGGGGGTATGAGCTCCCATAAAGGGCCCTGGGAGAGTTTATCAGGATGCCGGATCATGCTCACTAGTTTCCAATACCCAGCATCTTTCTGTCCGCTTTGCCTGGGTCTTAAAATCTCCTGTTAAAAGCACCCCTGACTTTGCTCCTGCATCATAGGCCCAATTCATGACCTCCTCAGAAAAAAACCCTGATGACTCTTCCACCCTCCCACTGCCCCTAGAGATTACACTCCTGCGTTCTTCCCTGCCTGATGTTTGCTCATCCTCCATCATAACAGACAGCAGGCAGTGGACATGGGTGTCTCTCAGCTGGACCTGCAATTGATGAGCAAGACATTCTCACAGGTGTCTCGGGGCGTCATGTTTATATTCAGAGGGGTACATGCTGAGCCAAGCCACTTAATTCTTCCCAAACACATTCACAATTTCCTGCCTTGATGTCTTTGTTGATGCTGTTCTTGCCCCTGTGAATGGCCCATCTCTGAAGGCCTAAACTCCAGCCATTTGTCCATGCACAGTACCATGCAGATACCACTTGATGTCTTCGTAAGAACCTCACTGGAAGTCTTCCAAACCTCCTCTGAACCTGTGTAGGTTTTCTGTCTGTATCCCTCTTCAGTAGTAGATGTAATGCATTCTTCTGTGAGATATGTATTTATGTTTATACTTCCTTTTCTAGCCTGTAAGCTCATGAAAGGCTGAATCAGTGAGTCATGATTCAACTATGCATCTTCAAATTTGCTTAGCAGAGAACCTGGCATGTAGGGTGTTTTTGAATGAAATGCACTTACACAGACAGGGGAAAAAAGCAATATCTGGTAAGGGAAACTTTGGAAATTTCAAATAACGTATTTGCAGAGTAGATTATGTACCTCAGGCATCAAATAAAATAAAATTTATATTTCAATTTCTGTCTTCCTTGGGCATGAGGTCCAGGGTACCACTGTTTGATCAGAATTCAAACAGATACTAACTCTCCACTTAAAAGAATAAATTCTATCATTTAATTAAATTATGTATGAGAGGGGACTTGAGGGGGGTTGTTTCAGAGTCAAAGCTTACTCAGTCTCCTTTCACAGTTCTATTTTTCTTTCTAATTAAAAATCAGTGGAATTTTGAGAAACCGACTCCAAACACTTCATACTTTCTCTGTAATTTTTCCCTTAAAAAGAGTAGTCTGATGCTGAACCAATTATATATTTTACACAAGCTTTATAGAAGGCTCTTCATCCCTCATTCTGTAGAAGCTACATAATCTCTCAGCAGATTTGGGGAGTAGTGGCTCATAATAATAATGCAATTGTATCAATAATAATAATAACTACCAGCATTTTACAGAATGCATTAGTCAGGGCACTTTGATCACAAGCCACAGAAACAGATTCTGGCTAATGTAGGCAGGAAAGGAGACACTGGGAATTTTAATAGTTGCTATTGGTGCTCCACCAAGATCCTTCTTACCTTTGGTGCACTCACCCACCAGCTGCTGTGAGCATTGGTTACAAACAGTGCATAACTGCCCCCTTCTCCAGCAAATTGCCCTCTGCCAACAAGAGTCCACTCATCTGGGGGATTACCCTCCACTTCCCATTGGATTGATATGGGAGATTTAAAAAGCCAACCACTTTGCCTGAAGGCAGAACTTACTCTGGTGTGCAATTCATAACTCACAGACTCTTAGGCTAAGGCCAGACTCCAGCTAAGATAACATCTTTATTCAGCTCTTTCCCCCATCCTATTCTGTTTCCCTCACTTTTTTATGATTTCTTTCAAGGGCATCAATAAATCATGTGACAAGAATTTCCCTCAGGCTCTGTTTCTAGGGAACCCAAGCTAAGGCCCACAGAATGGTGAGAGGACAGGACTCACAGTAGTACTGGGACTCTCGGAGAAGAAATTGAGTGCTGGCCTCTGGCCTCTTCAGCCTGCCCCCCACAGGATGAATCAACTCCAACCATTTTAAATGTTTTTTCCTCTCTACCGAACATTTAAATTTCCATAAAAAGAGTCTAACTGACTTATCCTGAGTCACATGCACACCTTAGCACAGAGAGAGGACAGGGCACTTCTTTCAACCATCCTAACAAACTATCCAGTTTCCTTGTGGTAACATTTGGGTACCTTACCAAAAAGAAAAACAAATATCACCTGGACAAATATCATCTCATTTAATCCTTAGGACAGCTCATGAGGTAGATGCTATTATAGTTGTTATACAAATGAAGAAACTGTGGCACAATTTAGGAAAGGCCAAGGAACTAGATCAGCACCCCCCAAATTTCTTGTTTTGAAGGTCTCCTACTTTGTAGGGTTGACTCTCCAATATTCATTCAACCCCTACCCGGTTAATAAACCTGTCATGGCAATCCCAAGCCTGTTTAGTCTGTTTTGTGCTGCTATAAGAGAATACCATAGACTGGTATAGCTATAATGAACAGAAATTTATTTCTCACTGTTCTGGAGACTTGAAAGTCCAAGATCAAGGGGAAGGCTTCTGACAAGGGCCTTCTTGCTGTGTCATAACATGGCAGAAAGCATCATATGGCATAAAAGCAAAGAGAGAGAGAGAGAGAGTAAAAAGGGGCTGAACTTCCCTTTCTATAACAAACCCACTCCTGTAATGACTACATTAATCCATTCACTCCACCCTCGTGGCCTAATCATCTCTTACCAGGCCCCACCTCCCAACACTGTCACACTGGGAATTACGTTTTCAACATACGCTTTTTGAGAAACACATTCAAACCACAGCACATACCCCTCGGCAGTTATTGGTTCAGGAATGGGTATGTGTCCATGTTCTGGCAACAGAATACGAGGAAAATTTTCCTGAGTCATCTGGGAACTATCTTCTTCTTCCTATGGAGACACAAGATGAGACCATCCCCAACTCTTCGTCTAGACATTGCTAAGTGTGCCTCAGACAACTTGCTCACCTCTGTGGTCAATGCTAGCACAAAGAGGTGGAAAGAATCTAGAAAGAAATGGAGCAGAGCTTACGTATGTCCTACCTGAAGTCCGCTGAACCTCTGTTCTCTGTTATATGGCAAAATAAAATTCCCTGTTTTTAAGATACAGCTTGAGCTGAGGATTTCTGTTACTTTTAGCCAAAAGCATCTTAACTGATACACTCACTACTCTGGGTTGAGAAAGATGCCAAAGGAATAAAGACATTTTCAAAGATAAGTCCCAGGACAACTCATGATTTTGAGAATTTCCATTGACTAGCTGTGTAACCCTAGGCAAGTCATCTAACTTCTCTGAATCACAGCTTCCTCAGAAATAAAATAGAGATAATACAGTTGGCCGTCTGCATCCATGGGTTTTACATCCATGGATTCAATCAACCACAGATGGAAAATATTAGGGAAAAAAAAATTCTGCAAAGTTCTAAGAGCAAAACTTGAGTTTGCTGCATGTTGAATACTATGTTGAGTTCATGTAAGCATTGTTTTAGGTATTATAAGTAATCTAGAGATGATTTAAAGTACACAGGAGGATGTATGTAGGTTGTATGCAAATACTGTGTTATTTTACATAAGGTACTTGGGTGTTCATACATTTTGGTATCCATGGGGAGTGCTGGAACAAATTCCCCATGGATATGGAGGGATAGCTGTGCTTGTATCTACTTCATAGTGTGGTCATAAGAATTAAACAGGATCAAACATTTAGAACAAACAACCCACTACCTGATGCTAGTAAGTGTGCAATAATAGCTGGCTATTAGATATACTCTTGGAAGAAAAGTTAAAATAGAAAAACTAATATCTATTGCTTTAACACTATTAGTGAATATTTAACTATTTTTCTGCATTCTCCCCTCACACATCATTTCTGATATTTATCTATATATGTACCTAATTCAGTCAATGCATCATCTCCTTTCAATGAGCATAACTCTGTCAGTGCCTCCACTTACAAGTTTGACCATATTTAAATTGTGAAAAGGCAAAGATTCCTCATGTTCTCTTTGTTTTGCTTTGAATAGCCCCCAGCATAATTCCAAGAACATGCAGACACAATATATTCTTAGTTCAGTGGCTTTTAACCATGGGTCAAAAATCAAATTCAACTGCAGTGGTTCTTAAACATTTGGGGGTCATGAACCCTTTTTTGAGAATCAAATAAATGCTGTGGACCAATTCCCGGACAAATGCACCGCCAAGCAAAATGTCCATACACGAGATGCCTCCCCTCCCCCAGGCACAAGACTCCCTGAATTAAAGTTTTTAAAATAAACCAAAACAAAATGATGAATAAGCACCACCACGTACCAGAGGCTTTACTAAATACCTCTAGTATCAAATCTTTGCATTTAATTATTTATTTACTATATGCATCCATTCACACATTCATTTAATCTTTACAAAAATACCAAGGTGAAGGGACTGCTCTTGCCTTTTGTGTTGATTCAGAGATGTTAGGTATCCTTCATGAGGTCACACTATCAGCTAAGTGGTTTCACTATTCTATCTTATAAGCCCTCCTTGTTGCCTCACAACCTTCCCTAGATCACCAACCAAAGTCACAGGCAGGAACAAGCATTTTCCCATCAGTTCTCCTGATTGGGAAATAAAGGCATTGTGAGGAGAAGGCCTCACAAGAAGTAAAAATGTTAAAATGAAGTCAACTCAGCTCATGGGAGCCTGAAGAGGCCTCCATTCACTGGCTCCTTTCTTCTTTCATTCTCTCAACACATGTGAGCTTTGCAGTGTGCCAGGCGCTATGCCAGGAACTGACATCATGCAGCATTACAGGAAGAACCCACAGAGAATAGATCTGAATTTCAGCTTCATCATTTAGCTGCTATGTGACCTCCAGGAAGATAATTAATTCCCTGAGCCTCAGTTTCCTTATCTGTAGAGTTACTTTAATCTTCCTTGCAGGGTTGTCCCACATATCAGATGTCAAGACAGCAGCCTGCCTAGGACGTGCACAGGATGGGCGCTGAACAGAAGTCAGTTGCTGACAGATTTCATACCTCTGAGGTCCAACAGAGATCCTTAGAGAAAAAAAAGTAAAGTCCTACTCATGAGAGAGACCCAGCAAAAAGGGCAGAGCAGGGGCCTGAGCTAACACAGGGAACAGCAACTTCCTCTTCTCTTCAGACCATTCAGCTGACACTCCTCTTAGTTTTCATGCTGAAAAGGGGAAAATATTTTCCAGGCAGTTGGGAGGAGAGTTTTTCCATTAATCTTCCCCTTGCACATTGCTTCACTAAGATCCAAAGTGACACAAAACTAACTCCAGGAGTTCACACCAAGGAGGATGGAAAAACATACCCCTGCCAGAGCTAAGGAAAGGAGCTCTCTCCAGGCAAGGGGGCCATTTCATCAGGGGAAGTGTCAGCACCGCCCTCCAACCCATCGCTGCACCCCAAGAGCACACATGAAAGCAGCATCCCACAGGCCTCCCTAGCGTGTCTGAACACAGTCCTGAAAGAGTGCTTTACAAATTTCTGGACATCCAAGCAGAAGCGACATGCCTAGGAAGTATGGGGGCTGAGAAGGAGGGTCAGCCAACCACATGAGCCCTGTCTTGTGCCCCAAAGCCTCCATCAGAGACTAGACCTCAACTTTTTTTTTTTTTTTTTTTTTGACATGGAGTCTCGCTCTGTCACCCAGGCTGGAAGACAGCGGCTGATCTCGGCTCACTGCAACCTCCACCTCCCAGGTTCAAGTGATTCTCCTGCCTCAGTCTCCTGAGTAGCTGGGATTACAGCCGCATGCGCCACCATGCCCAGCTAATTTTTGTATTTTTAGTAGAGATGAGGTTTCACCATGTTGGCCAGGCTGGTCTTGAACTCCTGACCTCAGGTGATCCCCCCTGCCTTGGCCACCCAAAGTACTGGGATTACAGGTGTGAGCCACTGCACCCAGCCAGATCTCAACTTTTTTATTCAGTTTCCCTCCAGCCATGAAGGATGATCTTTGAAGTGGACTCCTTCAGTCCAGCCTGACAGCCCATCCAGATCTGGGTACCCAGATTTCAAATGGATGCCCTCCACATTTATAGAACCAAATAAACAGGGAGGGAAGAAGCTAGCAGGAACTGCTATCCCAGAATCCAGTTGGGATTGACCAGAAAGTGCACTGAAGCCTTCCCAGTGTTTGGCAGAAAATCAGCCTCCTTGATCAATGGGATGGTTGTTTTGCTGCTGACAAGCTAGCTATTGATGGTGCCAGCTGGCCTTTCCTTTCACACCAAGGCGGAGCTGGGAGCTGAAGGGTAAGGCAGGCATCTGGAAGTGCACATCCTGGCTCTAGACACTCTTCCTGCTGCTTCAAGGGTGCTGGCCCAGAAAAGAAAGAAAAGACGGAATAAGATGCTCTTAACCTGTGCATCTCTCCCTCCAAGGGCAAGTGGTAAAGGGAACATGAGGCTGGCTCTAGTCCAGGCTCTACAACTCAAGTTGAGACAGAGTTTCGCTCTTGTTGTCCAGGCTGGAGTGCAACGGCACCATCTCGGCTCACCACAACCTCTGTCTCCCGGGTTCAAGCAATTCTCCTGCCCCAGCCTCTGGAGTAGCTGGGATTACGCCTGGCTAATTTTTTGTATTTTTTAGTAGAGATGGGGTTTCTCCATGTTGGTCAGGCTGGTCTTGAACTCCCAACCTCAGGTGATCCGCCCACCTCAGCCTCCCAAAGTGCTGAAATTACAGGCATGAGCCACCATGCCCGGCCCCACCTCTTCTCTTGAATTGCTCCCCGTGACAGACTGATCTGGAAACCCCTTTGTCATCAATGGGTCCTCCCTGCACTTTACCTCTATCTCCTTCATCCATATGTCTCTGTCAGAGACACCATTCAGTCATCCATTCACTCAGCAAACATTTAAGGAGACTTGGCCACAGTAGTGAGTGAGACTGATGTGACACTGCCTCATGCCACCTGCAGCCTGGCTTCTGCCCTTGTTCGAGCCCTCCCCACAACTTGTCTGAACCGTTGCCATTGACAGGTCTCCTCACCATCATTCTGTCTTCCCTCTACTCTGTCCCCACAGCTGCCAGAGAAATCTTTCTAAGGAGCGGCTTTGACCATATTACTTCCTCCCTCTTTCTTAGTCCCAATGTGTTATCTATAAAAACTCAGAAGGATAAGCAACATCACAGCATTGAGGTGAAGATAAAAGGAGATCATATTCTGTGAACACCCTTGGCTCCACAATAGGTATTTAAGAACAATTTGTTGAATTCATCTGATTTGTTTGGCTTTTGTCGGTTAGCAAGATGCCAGTAACCAGTGAGTGGCTTACTAGATCCCAGGTGCTGAGCCAGGCATTTTGTGTACATCATTTCTTTTCATCTTCTCATCAATTCTGTAAGGAAGGTTCTTTTCACTACACCCATTTTGTGCCTAAGAAAACTGCAGCCCAGAATGTTAAAGTAATCTGTCCATGGCCCCTTCTAGAAAGAAGGCAGAGCTAAGACTCAACTCTAAGTTCTGGTTTCAAAGTCTAACTCTAATGCTATGGAGCCTCTCTCAAGAGTTTCCTTTTTTGTAAACATAATGTTGGGGGTCTCCTCTCCTCGAGAAATGCCTGGAGAATTAAATGAGTTATATTTTAATGAGCTTGGAGGGCATCATCTCCAACCATCTCATTTTATAGATGAGAAAACCGAGGTCCAGGGAGGCAACTTACCCAAGACCCAGCAGCTGGTGCCAGAACCTGGAACAGCAGGTTCCAGTTCTGACACCCCCATGCTCTATTGTGAAAAACAGCAGGCATACAGAAAATAAAACTGCTTCATGGAATATCAAAAAACAGTCTTGCAACCACCAGCCATGTCAAAAAAGAGAACATTCCAGCATCCCAGGAACCCCCTCTCATACTCCTTTCCCTTCTAAAAGTAACCAATATCCTGACTTTTATGGGAATCATTTACTTGTTTTTCATTATAATATGATACATATATCCTATATATCACCAAACTATGCATTCCTAAGCACTATGGTTTAACTTTTCCTAACTTTGAGTTTTACAGTGTAACACCACAGTGCATACTCTTTTGTGTGTAACTTTTTTTCCTGAATATTTTGTCTGTGTTTCAGCCATGTTGCATGCAGCCGTAGTTCATTCATTTTCATGGCTGTATAGTATTTGCACTCATTGAATTGTGTCCCCCAAAAAGTTCACATCCACATAGAACCTCAGAAAGTGACCTCATTTGGAAACAGGACCTTTGCAGATGTAATCAGTTAAAATGATTCATACCGGATTGGGGGGCCCTTAATCTGATGACTGTTGTCTTTATAAGATGTTCATGTGAAGACATTGAGAGAAACAGGGAGAGTACCATGTGAAGATGGGGGCAGAGATGGGAGTGATGACAGCTACAAGCCAGGGAATGCCAAGGATTGCAGGCAAAGACCAGAAGCTGGGAGACAGGCATGGAGCAGATTCTCCCCGAGAACCTCCAGAAGGAACCAACCCTCCTGATACCTTGATTTTACACTTCTAGCCTCCTCAATTGTGAAATGATAAATTCCTGTTATTTTAAGCCACACAGTTTGTACTAATTTGTTATGGCAGCCCTAGGAAATGAATATAGTATTCCACTGTATAAACAGCTGCAGTTTACTTATAAATATACCACCATTTCTTGATCCATTCTGACGTTGATGTCGTTTGGTTAGTTTCTCATTTGGAGCTATTATGAGCAATGCCACTGTGAACATTGTTGTTCATGTGTCCTGGTGCAAGGATGTGCACTTCTCTGGATGACATGCCTCCACTGCCACCCTGCTTCCTGAGCAGTCAGCCCTCTATGGCTATAGCAGTAGAAATTCTGGGTCCTGGTAATGAAACAACTCAGATAAAGCAGAAAAAGACAACAGTGCAGCTAGCCAGAGCCCTGCTGGTGATGCACCCTCTGATTCACTGCAGCTCCAGCCAAGCTTCTCCTGCATGAATTCTCCATTCCTCCATCCCTGACCTTGCTGTGGCCCTGACTCCAGCAATCACTACCTCCCACTGACAGGGGAGGATCCTCTCCCTGATTTTGGCTCTGCCCTGCCTCCACCAGAGTCTCTACACCCCCTTTAGTCCCTTTCTTTTTTTTCTTTTTTTTTTTTTTTGCTAGCTGATCGAGTTTGGAACTGGTCTGTTCTTTGTTGCCCCCCTGGACTCAGCCATAGCATCTCAGACCAAAAGTTCCTAACAATGGTCCCTCCTTGCAAGGAGAGGCTTCCTGAATTATTTTCTCCCCCATTTACCAGGAAATCCACTGATTTTAGAGATTTTCCACCCCTAAGGACAGTAAGAACCTGAGGGCAGAGAGTGTAAGGCATCACGGGGCAGGAGAGGTGAGCATCTATGTGGTGGAAGCTGGGGTGCCGATGCACGTGGCTGCAACAGCATCTCCCAGTGGCCAAGTCACAGGGGAAGAAAAGAATGTTTGTGTCAACCACCAAAGGGCTGAGGTAAACAGTTGTCTTCACTCACTGCCCATTCCTGAAGATGAGTCACTTCCCAAACTTCCAGAGCTGTGACGACAATTGTTTATCTGACATGGACATTGAGCTTGTTTTCATTGCTGCAATACCATCTCAAAGCACACTGGGTTGTCCTTCTTCTGAGTAACAACATCCTCTTATTATGAATTCTGTATTTCATTTGGACCCACCTTCTTAGCATTTGTATTACTCCGTACAACTTGTTCTAGGAAATTGTGAAAATAGCAATATTGAGGTAAATAGAATTCTTTTTCTTTTTCATTTATTTTTAGGAAAATCTTACTGCTTTGATTTTAAAATCTGATGACAAATCTGTGGTTAACCCCACCCATCACTGTGCTGAAGAAAGAAATTGGATATTTTTTCTGTGGAATTTCAGCAGTCAATACTCTTTCCTTATTGCTCAAAGTCCTCCCACAGAGAAGTTCTGGGGAAATAGAGAGAAGGCAAAGGGTGGCAGTTGGGAGCCAAAATGCTTAGAGTTATAGTAAATGCAAAATGTGTTAAAAAGAACCTTGAGCTTTCAGTGGTACCACTGTCTTATATCCAACTCACAGAGCAATGTGGTGGGGGATGTATCAGGCAAGGTTCAATCAAGGAAGCATGACCACGATGAATGATGTAGAAAAACACAGATTTGCAATAGAGATTGGACCTGGAGTCATGATGGGAGCTGGTGGAGATGTCTGTGCAAGGCTGTTCCCTCTGCATTTGGTGGGCCAATCCTGAAGTTGCTATGGGTCAGCAGGCCAGGCTGTTTGGATGGAAAGCTGGGCATGAAGTGCAAAAAAGCAAGGAAAACGAAAATCTGTGAAGACAAAGAGGAATCCATAAGGACCAACTGAAATCCACAGGGACCAACTGCAAGTCATATCTGTCTTCTACCATCTCAATCTCAACCACATCGGTGACCCGCAAGCTGGGATCCTCCATCATGGAGTGACACACACTCCTGGCCAGAGCAGCTACAGGAGGAGGTCCAGAAGGAGGAGAGGAGGTGCAGGCCCAGCTGCTGCCCTGTGTAGGTCCGTGATGAGTGAAGACTGCAGCAGCCCCTTGTGTCCGACACCGACCTCCAGACAGTGATGGCTGATGCTCCACATTCACCTTCCAAATCTCACGCAGATTCCTCACATGGCACTCCTAATCTAGACCATACAGGGGAAGGAATTCTGGGAAATGTAGTTCTAGTAGCTAAGTTGACACAATACAAAACCATCACAGTGGTGGAGTCAGAAATACCAGGCAGATAGTTAAGTATGGTGCTCCCTTCTAGAGGCACCACTAAGCTAACACGCATACACTGCTTACAATGTGCCAGACACTCTTCCCAGCACTTGACACACACCAACTCATTCAATCCTCTGAACAGCCTGATGAAGTAGTTACTTTCATTATTCCTATTTCATAGATGAAAAGCTAAGGCACAGAGAAGACCACAAAGATAGTAAGAGGCAGACAAATTCTAGCATGATAGTGGTCATACTGGGCAGCCCTTCATCTGTACTTTTTATGGCCTGCTATTTTTAAATCCTGAATCCTGCTTTCTTCTAGTTTTCTGTTTTAATATGCTGTTCCCTCTCTGTCAGATCTGGGGGCCCTGACTGAATTTTCTTATGAGTGAATTATTCTGGTATGACTATAGCTCTCCTCTTCCCTGTAATCCATGTGAAAAGAAATGTATGTCTTTTCTCATATTGTCTTAATTCCAGGATAAAAATTTCTGCCTGAAAATAACTCACCTAAGTATTAACTAGGTTTATTTCTCAAGATCATATAAGGAAGTGATTAAGAGTATGGAATTTAGAGGCAGATTTGAATTCCATCTGCACTGGTCACTAGCTGAATGATCCTGGTCAAGTCATAGGCAAATTGGCTATTATTATTATTATTATTTGTAGCAGCCATTTATTGCTGGGTAACAAATCAACCCAAAACTCGGTGACTTAAACAACAATCATTAATTCTTGCTTGTGTGTTCAAAGGTTGGGTGTGGTTCTGTTAATCTAGTCTAGCATCAGCTAGGTATCTCTGAAGCAAGTTGAAGGTACAGCTGGGCTTGGCTCCTCACTGATTTGGGGCTCATGTCTACTCCATGTGTGTTCATCATTGCTAGGAGGCAGGAGCTTCCCAGGACAAGCTCTTCTCATGGTAATGGTAGAGATACAAGACAGGCAAACAGAATCAAGTACTGTCACTTAAGACAGACCCAAAACTTTGCCATATTATCACTTTCACTCACATTCCATTGGCTAAAGCACAAGTCTAGGTCAGGGAAGTACAAATATAGATAGTAAATATAGATGGCAAAGGGTGTGGACAGAGGGAGGAAATAATTAGAGTCAATAATTTACAATATTATTAAAAAGCAAATAGCTCTCCTGAGGTTCCCCTTTTAAGTATATTTCTAGATATCAGAAGTTTAACTTTGAGAAGAAATGCAAAAGTGAGTGGATATTTCAGATTGGATAGTTGATTAGGTGGATGACATTCAGAGAAGAATTTGGAGCATATTTTCCTGCTCTCCTTGCAATCACTTTAGGTCAAATTCTGCTGTGTGACATCCATCCTATATTCCTGTGATCCGTTGACATAGGTCCAGTCATTGATGTTGTTTACATATTGAAATCCTTCCCAGCATCAGTTCTGGGTTTGGCCTAGAGAACCAAAGACCCATTTTAGGCTCTCACCATCTCCCATTCCCTTACTACACATCTCACTCAAGGACATTTTGGCCGGGCGCGGTGGCTCACGCCTGTAATCCCAGCACTTTGGGAGGCTGAGGTGGGAGGATCACGAGGTCAGGAGATTGAGACCATCCTGGCTAACACGGTGAACCCCGTCTCTACTAAAAATACAAAAATTAGCCGGGCGTGGTGGAGGGCGCCTGTAGTCCCAGCTACTCGGGAGGCTGAGGCAGGAGAATGGCGTGAACCCGGGAGGCGGAGCTTGCAGTGAGCCGAGATTGCGCCACTGCACTCCAGCCTGGGTGACACAGCAAGACTCCATCTCAAAAAAAAAAAAAAAAAAAAAATTTATCCCACCAACAGAATTTGGACCACAATTCTCAAGGATTTTAGGGACAGACTGGGCCTCTAGGGAGAAAAGTCTGTTTCATCCTTGTGACTGAGTTACATCAGAAGCACACAGGTTGAATTTCCTGATTTCTAAGTATCTGCCTCCGGTGTCTTATTTATTTGTCAATGTATCATTTTTTTAAAAAAGAAAAAAAAGGTTTTGTTTCCATGATGAGATATGTCATCTACATTTATTCTCTTGGGTGAGCTTTATTCATTTTTTTTCTCCTAGAAAAAAAATTTAAGCATTTTTTAGAGCAGAATTAACGTTGGTCCGCTGAGTTCCCAGTAAATGAGGCAGCCCTCCCCCAGAGTAGCATCAAATCAAAACCAAACCCTGTTACCCATTGTCCACTACAGTATAAGCTCCTTGAGGAAAACAAGTCATGTTGTCTTCATGTTTCTATATGTACAGGGCCTGGCACAGTTGAAGCTCAAAATATCTTTGTTAATTAAATGACTAAATTCCAGGCCTCTGTGACAGAGTCCATTGTAACAAGACTTCAAAAAACAAGAACACTGTCATGTTGCATGGCTGTGGATGTAGGTTCTCATAGGAGACATTTTTTAGGGAAGAATTAATTCTTGGCAAAATTATGACATGGTCATAAAATTGTTTTCAGGTCTCAGCGTCTCAACTGTGTGGTCACCTCAAAGCCCTGCTACCCTATATCCCTCTGGTTTCTTCCCATGATGCAAAAATGTAGGTAGGGTTCAGGGACATTCATTTATTTTTTTATTCACATTGGTTTATTGAGCATCTATTATATGCCAAGCACTATGTGTTAGGTTTTAAGAATTAAAAAAATTAAATATAGCATGGCAACTGCCCTTAGGGAGTTAATAGTTTACTGACAGATATATACATGTAAGCTGACCATTATTACACAACATGACAAATTCCCAGATACTGTGGGAATTCAGATGGGATATTCCTAGTCCTTCCTGGAAGAGGTGACATCTGAAATGATTCTTGCTGGACAAATAAGAGTTGAGAATGAGGTGCGGTTCCAGGAGAAAGAACAACATGTACAAAGACTTAAGCTGGAGAGCAATGAACATTCTTGGAACACCATGGAGCTCAGCGTGACTGGGGAAAGGGGTGTGAGTCTGGGTGTGACCAGAGATGTGGCCAGAGAGGGAATCATAGCTGGATCATGCCTGTCAACTCTTAAGGCCTGCTGAGAAGTATTGATTTATCCTTAGGACAATGGGCAGTCACTGAAATTTGTAAACAGAAAAATGACCTGATCAGATTTGTGATTTTAAAAAGGTATAGACTTGAATCAGGGAGACCAATTAACTGAGATCGCCACAATTATCCAAACAAGAGGCCCCTGTCTAGAGGTTCCTGCATAGTGACAGGTCAGTTGCAGTGCAGGGTTTCACCTGCGAATACCCTGCGTGAGCTCTGGTCTACGTGCCTTTGACACATTACAAGCTTTGGCCACTCTACTCACACTTGACTTGAATTTCCGCCTTTGGTGATTATTTTTTCCTGCCAGGTTTGAAGTTGACAGCTTCCAGTGTTTGATAGATTTTTGGTACATCGCTTTCAGACTTTTTATTTCCTTTTAAGTAGAAAACTGTGGGGATTTTTCATACTTGAAACGCAAGATTGCATGAATGACTTAGTTCAAACTTCTCCCAAAATATTGACTTTGGGTAAAGACCAAATCTGAATTTCAGGCTGGAGCACAAAAACAGGTTTGGACATTGTTGTTGTTTCTTCTCTTTGAAAAGAAGGAAAAAAGGAAAAGTGTGAGCAAAGCAAAGAGAAGCAGAAAGTGAAAGGAAAGGGGAGAGAGAAAGCAGGAGGTTTTTCATTTCACCGTTCAAAGAATTAGCATCCGAATAATAAATAATATCCATGTGAACTTCCCTCATTCTATAGGAAACAACAATGCCAAATTCTGAACCTTCTGAGCAAAATGTCACAGACTTAATGTTCCCTATCGACACATGAATTGACTCCGGTTCCCTCCCTTCCCTGCCTTTCTATGCCTGCAGTCTCTCCCTAAATCACCACCACCACGATAGGGTCAAGTGTGGCCTCGGCTGCCTGTCACTGGGATAGAAAGGATTTCTCTTCTATTGATTCTCCAAAGAAACAATTATCAAGTAAAATGAAAATTTCATTTTCAATTTTCATAGGCCTACAGCCCTTGCTATCTGTATCTGATTCTGAAGTTCTATAAGGCTGAATATGATGCATTCAGTGTAATCTATTTACTGTCCCTTGCAAGGTTAACTATTACTGCATAAAACCACTCTAAAGCTTAGGGACTTTGAACAAAACAGTTTGCTATTTCTCACAATTCTGTGGGTTGATCCGGTGTGTGAATACTTCACTGGGTTTGGCTGGGGTAAGGTGTGTGTATACTAAACTAAGGTTGGCTGGGGGCATTGGGATTGTTAGAAGGCCCTAAATGGCTTCACTCACATAAATGTCAATTAGTGCTGGCTGTCAGCTGGGAGCTCAGCTGGGGCTGCTGGTTGGAGGCCTCAGTTATCCAGTTTGGTTTCTCACATGGCTAATTGGGCTTCCTTGCAGCACAGTAGCTGGGTTCCATGAAGGGGTGTTCCAACAGGTGGATGCTGCAGTTCTCTTATATAAAGTACTTCTGCTCTGTTCTGTATGTTAAAGCCATCCACATAGTCAGTCCAGATAAAGGAGAAAGAAAATGGCAAGGACATACCATAAATGCATGTGGGAATGAAAGATATAATTGGCAGAAAGAAAAAGCCAATAGGAAGAGGTTACATTGAACAGCTAACCTCTAAGTGTTTAGATCTGGATGGTACAGGATCAGACTCAGTTGTCCCTGGGGAATGTTCAGTGAGTAGCTAAGAACTAAGCCCTTTGTAAAAAGCCTCATTAGGTTCATAGCCTGTGAGATGATCATATATATCCTTTCTCTAAGAATTCTGTCAGTCTCTTTAATTTTGGCACAGTACACAATACACAACTTGATCCTGATGAAAGTAGTTATTACAGTTTCCTTCAAAATAAGTTGCCAAGCTCTAGGTCATAAGACCCTGGCCACAACTGATTGAACCAGGAGTCCAGGCCAAGGAAGCTGGACCTAAGGGAGACCAGCAGCCAATAACAAAGCCTAGTGTGAGACTCTGACCAATAGGACCACTTCTTATTAGATAGTATTAATCAACATACCCAGATCCTCACCCTTGGGAATTTTTAATGCAAAATGAATTAAGAGAGGGATAGAAAAGCAGAAAGATGTTCATGATGAGGCACTGAGAGAGAGAAGCCCATTCAAAAAGCTACTGAGTCATGAGGGTGACAGAATTAATGGAGTAGAAAAAAATTGATTTCAATTCTGTGGGGACAAGATATTTGGGGCACCAGTGCAACCACTGGGACTAGTGTTGAACACATTGTGGTTTTCTCTGGGCCTGACCTCATCTCCCAGCACTCACCCTTACTCCCTATGCTTCTGCCCCACTGGCTTTCTTTGTGTTCCTAAAACTTGCCAAAGTTTTAGGGGCATTGCAACAGTACCTTCCTATGCCTGGAAAATTCTGCTCCCAGACCTACTCCCAGCTGGCTCCTTCAGAACTCTCAAGGCTTGGTTACAATTCTACTTCCTAAGAAATCTTTCAGACCATGCAATCTAAAGTAGCCTCACACCCTTCTCCCTATCCCTCTTTACCATGTTACCAGATTCTTTCCTTCATAGCACTTACCACCATCTGAAGTCACCTCATTCATTTATGCCCTTTGTTTCTTATCCATCAAACATACAAGCTCCGTGCAAGTAGGAACCTTATCTGTCTTGTTCACTGCTAGAGTCCTTACAGCCTAGAACACAGTCATCACACAGTCGGTGCTCAACAAATATTTGTCGTGTGGATAACAGTGCACTTGCTGAGACAAAACAGCACTCCTCACTTTCCTTGTGTATCCTTAAAATGAATGTGAATACCCATCGTCAAATTTTCAACTGAGTATTCCCCTCCATTCCTTACAAATGGAAAGAGTCTCATACCTATGGTGGGGGTCCTAGAGACCTTCATGGTGGAAGACTTTGTGATGAGGGAACTATAGTGCCAAAGTCATGGGCCCCATCATTGGGAAGCAGCCTGAAGGTTCCCTAAAAATAAAACAAAAACTATTCCCCCAAATAAAGGCAAACCTAAGGACATTTGCTCCCCTTTAATTAACATTATTACTTTCCATTCACTCCCAAGGAAGACAGTCAGAATGAGAAGACAGTCAGGATGAGAAGACAGTCAGGATGAGTCAAGTAATTTCTGCTCACTGGAAATTTTGAGACTCTTCCTTCTCTCAACAGCACCACTGCCCTCTCCTCACCATAAACATACATTTTAAGGTCATGCTTATGTTTGCATTTGCAGGGTATTGCTAAAGGGGTATGCATACTTTATTTTTCATGTCTAGTCCTCTAGGCCAGTGTTCCATGCCTAGGACATTTTATCCACTGGCTCTACAGGCACAGTAATTTTGAATGCCCTAAGAAATATTTGAGACCTAAAAAAAATGATATTGTCTCTCAAATAGAATAAATATAATTCAATAAATGTTTAAGTGCACGTTGAACATTATATGATGTCAACTGCCACATCCATGTACTTCCCAAGGAGGTGGAAGGACCTTTTACTGCATTTGGGATGGTGCAGACGCCACCAAAGATCGCATGCCCAGGGCTGCCCAACATCCTAAAATGGCTCTCACACTAAGTCATGACTGACATGGCCTCATCTATGCATGAATTCTTTTGTATGTGACATTCTTGCCACACAAACAAGGTCTAAAGAAGTGAACTGGCATGTACCTGATTTTTTAGTTAGGGGATTCGTATGTGACCCATCACTAGGATTCCCAATTCCCTGGGACAGAACCAGTCTCAAGTACACCACATCCTGCTTTGCCCATAAGTACACTTGCCCTTGTCAGATCCCATGTCATTGCTTGGGTTCAGAAACCATAGCCAAGTATAGAGGACCAAGGTCCGAGGGTATGGCTGGAGAAGGCAAAGGGAGTGAAAGAGGGTCTCGGTTCAGTGTTCCCTTAACTGCCTCTCAGCTGCCTCCCTCGTCCCAGTCTCCTGCCTCCACATGTCTCTGTTAAAGCAGCGATTGGGGAATAAAGACCCATCGAGAGAGTCTTCTAGAAGTCTTGGGACCTAGATTACAAAAGAGGTGAGGAAATGAGGACAGAGCCTGGCGAGAGTATGCAGAGGTTACAAACTTCCTTACACAATTAAACAGAGGTAGGAGGTTACTTAATGGGGAAAAATCCTATCAGTCCCTCAGAGGTGAATTTTAATTTCCATTTGTGTGGTAGACATAATTTTCCAAACAAAGTTGTGTCCCTGGGATTTTCTGCCAAATATTAATTTCCTTCCTCTGCGTTGGAGCTCTAGTATCTGGGCATGTTGCAAAGCGTCTTCAATATGTGTTTAATATTGTACAGGCAATCAAAGGATGTGAGGACTTGCAGCAAATCTAAAACAGCTTAAACTCAAGAGTTGTTGAAAATTAAGAGCTTTGTGGTTGTCATGTTTTCCTTTTTTTTTTTTTTTAACAGACTGTCATTCCAGACCATTACAGAGTGAAGAGAAGTTATTCTATTTTTAAGGACCGCCAAAGTAGATTCCACTGTCTTCACAACCTATTCTGGTGTCTACGAGCTCTCAGCATTGGCAAGTTTTCCTTGGGATCTAACAAAATTCTGTCCATAGAAGCTCAGGCCAGCCAGCCAGCCATGGGAGCCAGAGAAAACTTCCACCACCCCAGATAAAATCTACCTCAGATTTTCAAGATGGTCCGTAAACCTCTGGAGCCATGATAATCCTAATTTCCACAGCCTCCTTTGGCATTTGGAGAGTTTGCTGTGGAAGCTCAATGCTGAACTTCCCCTCATAGGGAGACCTCTTCACCCACCAGAGAGGAGGGAAGCCAGCACCAAACAGCGCTTCAGCCTTGCTGAGTTTAGAGGGTGAGGGGGTGAGCGAGCCATTGTCCCGGTGCCCACAGAGGCCTGCCCGCTCACACCCTGGGCCTGCCAGCTGCTGTTGCTGCCCCCACCCCTCTCAGCACCCTCCCCTCCATGTCGAGGGACTGGCCCTCCCCCGCCCCAAGAGTGCCTTCCGGCCTTCAAGGAATAGAGGCCAGAAGTATCAAGGAAACATGGCCTCACCCAAGAGGAAAAGGAAGCTCAAAAACCAGGCCAGAGGGTGAGGTGGTGCTGGGGCATAGGATGCATCTGGCCGTCACATTACTGAGGGAGGAAGGGAGAAAAGGAAACCAAGTGCTGGTGGCCTGAAGGCTGCCCAGCCTCAGCGATTTCTTCACACATGCCTCTGATTGCCCTGACCGAGGTTCAAAACCGGCTTGAAAATTGCTTCCAGCTCACATTCTGATTCCAATATAAAGGTAACACATGAAAGACAGTGGAAATGATGACCAGGCAGGACCCTGAAAAACAAACATTTGTGAGTAAAAACTGTCTGCGTGGGGATAGACTGCCTGTACTGAAAGAGTAGCCTCGGCTGTATGCACAGTTTAGGCGTTCACGGATTCCCCCAGGCCTGCGGGGAGGATGGGCTCCAGAGTGCAAGGCATGTTAACTAGCACAGCTGTGGGTAGAAAGAGCACTGATCTTAACGAGAAAGGTCTGGGTTCCACCCCAATCTCTGGGAAGGCACTGGGAGTCTGTTTTCTAGGCTAGATCAGTGTTTCCACTGATGGATTCCTATTTTGTGCCCCAAAATGTCATGTTCCCTCCACATGTGGAGTAGCATCTTCTATGGTGAGCTGGCTTCAAAAGATAAATATAAGACAAAATGATTGCTCATGTAAAAGTTTCCCTTTAAAACTTCTTAAATTACTGACAAATACAGAAATACACTCTATCATGAGAGGTTTGGGCAAGAGCTGAAACCCACTGAGGGGAAGCAGTCACATCCACCAATCTGTGCTCAGCCTGGGCATCCATCCCTTCATGGAGCCAAATCACCAACTCTATTAAAAGACTGTGGGATCCCAGCACTTTGGGAGGCCAAGGTGGGCAGACCACCTGAGGTCAGGAGTGCAAGACCAGCCTGATCAACGTGGTGAAACCCCATCTCTACTAAAAATACAAAATTAGCCAGGCGTGGTGGCACATGCCTATAGTCCCAGCTACTCGGGAGGCTGAGGCAGGAGAATCCCTTGAACCCAGGAGGCGGAGGTTACGGTGAGTCGAGATTGCACCATTGCACTCCAGCCTGGGTGACAGAGTGAGACTCTGTCTCAAAAAAAAAGATGGTGGTTTAATTTCTGTTTTGCTGTTTGTAAGAATTTCTTTTTTCTCTTTTTCTTTTCTTTTTGTTTTGCTAAACCCACAGAGTCATGTTTGCATAGGTTCAATATGCATATAATGCAACTCAATCCTAAATATATTTTTAAATATATGTTGATTTTTAAAATATATTATGGGTCCAGCTGCAGTGGCTCATGCCTACAATCCCAGCACTTTGGGAGGCCGAGGTGGGAGGATTGCTTGAGACCAGGAGCTGGAGACTGGCCTGGGCCACATAGTGAGACCCCCATCTCTACAAAAAAAATAGCTGGGCATGCTGGTGCACACCTGTAGTCCCAGCTACTCAGGAGGCTGAGGCAGGAGGATTGCTTGAGTCCAGGAGTTCAAGGCTGCAGTGTACTATGATTGTGACATTGCACTCCAGCCTGGGCTACAGAGCTAGACCCCATCTCTTAAGAAAAAATAGATTATGGTAAATGTGACTGGAAACTCATGAAAGTTTTTCTATGAATTTGTGTTTTATTCATTGTAACAACATTCATGCACATTTACAAAAGAAAGAAATGATATACATGTGTGGTGAGATACGTGAATTATCCAGGCATAGATGATGCTAGATGCAGAGGGATTAGCTGGCCTCTGGCAGTGCAGCTGAGGTGGTCAAATGGGAGCCAAATGAATAAAATGGCCTAAATAATGCACAGCTTGAAATCTTGATGCATCTGTGGTCTCAACACAAGTCCATGCTCATTTCAACTCCATGCTTATACTTGGCTTTCAGCTCACATTTCAGAAAACTAATTTTGAACAAGGGAGATTGAAATTATTTTTATTTAGCCCCTGATTTTTATTATACTTTATTTGTTACTTGTCATTTTTAGGGTGCTTGTGTGCATTATTACCTGTGGGTCACAAAACACTCCCAGGAGGTAGAAAAAATGAGTATGTCACCCATTTGTCAGATTCAGAAACTGAGTCTCCAAAATCCAAGGGTCTCATCTGAGATCAGACAAGCTAAATAATGTTAGAATTGGAACCAGAATCCAACTCTTCAGATTTAAAGTCTGCCTAGATTCAAACAATTCTTTTTGACTTAAAACTTTAAATATCACTGTGCTTACCTGGAAAGGTTTGTTTAATTTTTGTCTAAAACAGAGGAACGCTTTACATGACCATTGAACTTCCCTTCCAGCCCTAGAATAAGTATTTACATTCTCTACCCAGAGTTCTAGATGGGTGCTGTGCACTGGACCCTGTTCGTCTGCCCCCCTCTGGTGGCCATTAAACAAATAACAGATCCTAGAACAACTCCTAGGGCAATGGTTGCTTTCTCTTTCGTCAATCATTCATTCATGCAAACAGCACCTAATATGTTCCAGGCTCTGCACGAGGACATACACAAATAAACAAGATAGAGTGCTGCCCTCAAGGCTGGTAGACAAACAAGTGAATAGATTATTATAAAATAGTAGGACAAATGTCATGCAGAGTATGCAGACAATGCTGAGAGTGTACAAAGGATGCCTGGACTGGCCTTTTGGGGGAAGGGCAGATATTAAATAGTTAGGAAAGGCAGGCGGTACCCAGGCTGAGTTCTGAAGGAGAGATAGGAGTCAGGGATGGAAGGAAGCATTAGGAATTCAGGGAGCTGCCAGGATGCCAGTTCAAGATGGTGGAATTTAGAGCACAGGTTTTAAGGGGGCAGAGCAAGAAGTGGGGTCAGGGACATTGGCTGGGCCAGATTAGGAAAGGTTTTTTATGTCACAGTAGCATTTGAGCTGGTATCCACTAGCCTAGTGTCCCCAAATGTTTTTTTAATCTTGTTCCCCATCAATAAAAATATCTGCAGATGCATCCCTAATTTGTGGGTATTTATTCCTTTATATATTTTATACCCAGGCAGTATAGCATAATGGTTTATTCATGGGCTCTGGAGCTAGACTGACCAGGCCCAAATTCTTCTCTAAGAAGAACTTAGGACAATGCCTGGTACATGGTAAGTGTTACATGTTAGCTAGTATTATTGCAGAATTATCCTATTTGGTGCCATCATAAAGGTAGGGTTGGGAATTACACCATGTAGTGGCTTCACCTACTCCAAGAAAGTCTCTTTTAATATAAATATACTTCAAAATATCAAGAACTACTCTAGTCTTCAAAATCTCAACCAGAAGAACAGACCACTCTCAACCGTCTCACCTACCCACCCACCAAAGAGCAAAGTAGCTCTGTCATCTCCTGATTGTACTTATGGCAAAACTCATCCACGCAGAGGATTCCTCCATTTAACTCAAAGCAATAAGATGAGGCCTGGGGTGGGGCTTGAGAATCTGCAGTCCTAATAAACTCCCAGGGGATGCCGATGCTGCCAGCCCAAATTCCACACTTTGGAATTTTAAAAGGAAAATATAAATAATAAACTGTTTTTTAGAACATTATTTTACAATAGACACTGAGAAATTCAAGAGGGGGCCAGGGAGGGGTAAGTGTTGAAAAATATCCTACTGGGTACTATGCACTGTACCTGGGTGACAGGTTCAATTGTACTCCAAACCTCAGCATCATGCAATATAACCTTTGTAACAAACCTGCGAATGTGCCCCGTGAACCTATCATAAAAATGTTTTCATGTTCATTTTAATTATTAGGGCACAGCATCTTTGTGTTCTCACTTTTTAAAAAATGTGTTTTAGCAAAGGTAAATATGCTTGAATTTTAATAATCATTAACACTGTGAGGTTGCTGTGTGCAGTCCTAGGTCTAAATTCACATTATTCCAGTACATGGCTTTGAAATAACTGAAAAGGGGCTTCGCCAATATGCATAGATAACAAATGAAAGAAGTGCTTCATGGGCTATGCCTAAAAATAGTGAAAATCATTTTCAGCCTCATTCACCAATTTTGCAGAGGTCTTTGTTAAAATTCAGCTAATAATTTCCATTTTTCCTGATGTCAATCAGTTGTACTTACAAAATAATTAGAAGATTTATCTTTTCACATTACTAAAAAACCAGTTTATTTTAGAAGATTTTTTATAAGGTTAGAATATCCTGTTTCCAAGTTTTTAAAGTAAACAGATACGATAGTTTTTATAGATGGCCTGCTTACGTCATTTTCAGCCTCGAAATCACATAACCCTGGAGACACTTTCACTCTCCATTTTCAGTATACTCTCCCCAAAGCATGAATTTATTTAAAAGGCTATTGTTTTTGCACCCTTGTTACAACATACCCTTGGCCTTGAAAAGACAAGTGTATTTATTTTTTCCAAATATCTTTTAGGTACATTTTATTGACACCGCTTTCATCACAAAAAAGGTCAGCAAACCTGGAACGTTTTCCATTTATAAAAGAAAAATTCATGACATGTTTAAGTTTGATAACTCTTTTAAGTACTTTGTCATAGGAAACCCTTTTTGCCTCATGTAGTATTAAGCTGTATTTCTCATCCTCATTTATTCTATTTCTAACTAGGGAGCTATAATTTGCTTTTCTCCACATCTTGCTGAAAAAATACATACACATACACCACACACACATGCACACACACAGCACCACCACCACCACCACACCAAACATATACATACACACGTACAGTTGAAATACATATCACTCCTGCTAGCATAATTTTAATCCGGCAGTGTGCTGTTACGTTAAAAACCAACTCTCTGAAAAGAAGACAAGGTCTTGAATTGTAGCATTTGCTAACTTCCATGGTCCAAATATTCCCACCATGGTCAATTTCAAGCTACTAACATGATGTCACTGATCACAGAGTTGAGAAGATATACACAGCAGCACACCATTATATAACATGCCCATGATGCAGATACAATAGATGTAAATGACCTCAAAAGCATACACAATAGCAAAATGTAACAAGATCATTAGGAAGTGATTCGAAGTTTTAAGAAATTATTACTTGTGTTTTTAAAATAATTTAATTGTGAGTTTATGTAATTTGATTTTTAATAATGGCTATGTTTATCAATCAGCTCACAAAATTCCTAAAAATGTAGTAATATATTCTCATGACCCACTTGAGCCAGCTGCACGTGCCACTTTGACATTATTTTGCTAAAATAGCAGAGCCATGTGTGTCTGCTTATGTGTTAGAGAGCACTATAAACAATGCTTACTTCTGAAGAAAATGTTTTTTAGACACACTTTTTAATGACTTTTTTAATATAATGAGTTTTTGAAATAAAATATTTTTCTTAAAAGAATAAGTCAGTCAAGCTCTGACAAAAATGCTGATAATGTATTTGGAATTTGCCAGATATTTGTAAATTGTCAGAATAATCAATACCTTTTTAATACTGACTTCCAAGCTACAAATGAGCATGTCTTTCCATGTATTCAAGTTTTCTCTTTACCTCTCAATAAAGTTTTATGCTGGTCCTTTTTAAGCATGCTGCTGGATAATACATAATTCTTCATCCCATGGCAAATACAATGTATTTTTTCCCAGATATTTCCAGATTGGCCATTGATCTTATATATGAATGTTATTGGGTTTTTTTTGGGGGGGTGGGGTGCGGAACTGAGTCTCACTCTGTCACCCAGGCTGGAGTGCAGTGGCATGATCTCGGCTCACTGCAACCTCTGCCTCCTGGGTCCAAGTGATTCTCCTGCCTCAGCCTCCTGAGTAGCTGGGATTACAGGCACGTGCCACCATGCCCGGCTAACTTTTGTATTTTTAGTAGAGACGGGGTTTCACCATGTTGGTCAGCCTGGTCTCGAACTCCCGGCCTCGTGATCTGCCCACCTTGGCCTCCCAAAGTGCTGGGATTACAGGCGTGAGCCACCGCACCTGGCCTATTGCTTTTAAAAATATATTTATTATATGTTGACAGCTTACTGGAAGATATTCTTTGGCTTTTAAAGTATGTAGCAGGGCTGGAGAAACTCAAGCAGCTCCAAAGTCAGATGGCTCAGGTTGGATCCTGGCTCCACACCTCACCAGCCACTGCCTTCTTCACCTGTCTGGAACTTAATTTCCTGGAACTTAATTTCCTTTTCTATAAAATAGAAACAATAATAAATGGACCTCACAGGATTCTTGTGAGGGTGAAATGAGATCATGCCTATGAAGCACTTAGCAGAGGGCCTGGCAGGCAGGAAGCACTGGCATATGCAAGTAATTTTTTATTGTTGAGCCTCTTGGGTTTGTCATGTAGATTATCACATCTGTAAATTTTATAATCCTTCTTAACAACATTGACATCTCCTCTCTCTCTCTCTCTCTCTCTCTCTCTCTCTCTCTCTCTCTCTGTCAACTAAGATTAGTGGGTTCTTTTTCTTTTCTTGTTGAACTGAAGTGTCCAAAATTTTGAAAAGAGTGTTAAATAATAATCATGTTATTGAATCCCAAGCCTTATGCCTGTGACTTTATTAGGTAATGTTTTACCCTTTCTCTGTGAAATATGATGACCATCATCATTTTAAGAAAGGTATTCCTGATACTATTTGCTTTAAAAGTTTTTTATCTTCCTTATTTACTAAGATGTTTTTCAAGGAATAAGTAGAAGGTAGAAAATTTTCTGGAATCCATCAAGTGTAAGTTTTTTTCTCTTTAGACTACTGATGGGATGAATTATTATAGTATGTTTTACATGGTTCTTTACCATTTAGTTACACAAATATTATTTGAGGATATCCTACTTGGAAAAATGTTAAACAATACAGAGCTAGATACAAAAGATAAAAGTTCTAGATCTAAGATGGTCGACTAGATGCAGACAAAAAGAGCATCTCCCACTGAGAGTGCAGACCGTCAAGAAGACTGGCCCACTCTGAGTTAAATAAGTGAGGCATGGCCCACTCTTGCCACGGGCCTCTGGAATCCTAGCTGCAGGAGACCCCACCATGCCCAGAGACATTTGAGCTGGCAGAGAGAGCTGCTTGGAGAGGTGGCAGGGATGGAACTCCTGCCTAGGTGGAGCCCAGAGAATTTGGTGTGGGAACAGCTGCAGTGGAGCATGGCCAGGGACGCCCCAATGCTCGCCACACTCCTGAGTGGGCTTTGCCCTTTATTGGATGTTGGACCTGGACAGAGCAGGGCTATCTTGCCCATGGAACTGGGCCAGTCTTGTCTTAGCACCCCCCTGTCTACTTGCCTCTCCTGGGATCCCTACATGGCCATGCCCGCTTGCAGCACAGCCTTGGCTGCCCAACCTGGGCACTTCCTGGTAGCCACCGCCATAGCTCCTTCGTCAGCAGACTCTGCCTAACCATTGGAGAACATCTCTTCAGAGAGGCCCCCACCAGCACGCACTTGCCCACAGCCTCCCCTCACCACTTTGCTGGTGTGACTTGTCCACAGCCTCCTGCCGCTGCATTTCCAGGGTGCACATGCACGTGGACTTTGCCACTGCTGCCCCACCACCACTGACATACATGTGTGTAAACCCCACCACACTGCCACCACCAGTGCATGTGCACATACATGGACGCCACCACACTGTCAACCCACCACCACCAGTACACACACATGCACAGACCCCAATGCACCGCTGCCACTGGTGTGCACGTGCAAGCACAGACCCCACTGTTACTGCCCCAACAAAGTGCTTTTTCTAGCATCCCTGATCAGTGTTGTTGCCAGAAGACCAGGAATATCTCAGTCCCTCCAGTGCAATAGGTTTATAACCTCGAGGTGCCAGAGAATAAAGCTATGGGCCTGGACCCAGTCCCCAAGGGTTACAGCATGCAGCTCAGGAGTGCTGAGCTGAATTTTAGCCCCCTAAATTCATCCAGAAATGAAGCCAGTTGACTAAACCCAAATTATATCACAGTCAAACCCTCAGGGGCATCAAATAATATAAAAGCAAAAAGCCCCATCCAAAGGATAGCAATTTCAAAGATTAAAAGAACATCATCCCACGCCAATGAGAAAGAACCAGTCCAAGAACTCTGGCAACTCAAAAAGCCAGAATGTCTTCTTCCCTCCAAACAATTGCCTTTCCTTCCTAGCAATGGTTCCTAAGGCTGAAATGGCTGAAATGACAGACATAGAATTCAGAATCTAGATGACAATGAAGATCATTGAGATTCAGAAGAAAGTTGAAACCCAATCCAAGGAATCTAAGGAATCCAGCAAAATGATGCAAAAGCTGAAAGATAAAATAGCCATTTTAAGAAATAACCAAACTGATTTGAGCTGAAAAGCTCACTACAAGAATTTCATAATACAATGAGAAGAATTAACAGCAGAATAGGCCAAGCTGAGGAAAGAATCGCAGAGCTCAAAATCCAGTTCTTCAAATCAACTCAGTCAGACAAAAATGAAGAAAAAAGAATTTTAATAAATGACCAGGCTGGGTGCAGTGGCTCACGCATGTAATCCCAACACTTTGGAAGGTCAAGGTGGGTGGATCACCTGAGGTTGGGAGTTCGAGATCAGCCTAGCCAACATGGTGAAAGCCTGTTTCTATGAAAAATACAAAAATTAGCTGGGCGTGGTGGTGCACACCTGTAATCCCAGCTACTTGGGAGGCTGAGGCAGGAGAACCACTTGAATCTGAGAGGCAGAGGTTGCAGTGAGCAGAGATTATGCCACTGCACTCCAGCCTGGGCAACAAGAGCGAAATTCCATCTCAAAATAAATAAATAAACAGAATGACCGAAAACCTCTGAGAAATATGGCATTATATAAAGAGAGCAAATCTACAACTCATCGGTGTCCCTGAAAGAGAAGAAAGTGCAAGCAAATTAGAAAACATATTTGAGGATATTGTCCACAAAAATTTCCCCAACCTTGCTAGAGATATCAACGTTCCAATTTAGGAAATTCAGAGAACCCCTGTGAGATACTATACAAGATAACCATCCCCAAGACACAGTCATCAGATTCTCCAAGGTCAATGCCAAAGAAAAAATATTAAAAGTAGTTAAAGAGAAGGGGCAGTTCATGTCCAAAGAGAACCCCATCAGGCTAACAGTAAACCTTTCAGCAGAAACTCTAAAAGCCAGAAGAGACTAAGGGTCTATATTCAGCACTCTAAAGAAAAGAAATTCCAACCAATAATTTCATATCCACCCAAACTAAGCTTCATAAGCAAAGGAAAAATAAAATCTTTTTCAGACAAGCAAATGCTAAGGGAATTTGTCACCACCAGGCCTGTCATATAAGAGGTCTTTAAGAGAGTGGTAAATATGGAAACAAAAGATCGTTACTGGCCACCACAAAAACATACTTAAGTACATGAACCATTGACACTATAAAGCAATTACACAATCAAGTCTGCATAACAAACAGCCAACAACACAGTGACAGGATCAAATCCATACATATCAGTATTAACCTTGAATGTAAATGTGCTAAACACCCCCACTTAAAAGGCACAGAATGGCAAGTTGGAGAAAGAAGCAAGACCCAATTCTGTGATATCTACAAGAGATCCATCTCACATACAATGACACTCATAGGCTCAAAGTAAAGGGATGGAGAAAAATCTATTAAGCCAATGGAAAACAGAAAAAAACAAGGGTTGCTATTCTAATTTCAGAGAAAACAGACTTTAAATCAGCAGTTATCAAAAAAGACAAAGAAGGGCATTGCCTGATGGTAAAGTGTTCAATTCAGTAAGAAGACCTAACTATCCTAAATATATGTGCACCCAATACAGGAGCACCTAGATTCATAAAGGAAATTCTTAGAGACCTATGAAGAGACTTAGCTAACCACACAATAATAGTGGAAGACTTCAACACCTTACTGACAGTATTAGACAAATCATTGAGGCAAGAAACTAGCAGATATATTTAGGGCCTGAATTTAACATTTGACCAAATAGGCCTAACAGACATCTACAGAACTCTCCACCCCAAAACAACAAAGTATACATTCTTTTCAACTGCACACAGCACATAATCTAAAACTGACCACACAATCAGACATAAAACAATCTTCATACCAAACACACTCTTGAACCACAATGCAATAAAAACAGAAACCAATCCTAAGAAGATCTCTCAAAACCACGCAGTTACATGGAAATTAAACAACCTGCTCCTCAATGAGTTTTGGGTAAACAATAAAATTAAGGCAGAAATAAATTCTTTGAAACTAATGAAAACAAAGTTACAACACACCAGAATCTTGGCCGCAGGTAAAACAGTATTAACAGGAAAGTTTATAGCACTGAACACCCACACAGAAAAGTTAGAAAGATCTTGAATTAACAACCTAACACCACAGCCAGAGGAACTAACAAAACATGAGCAAACCAACCCCAAAGCGAACAGAAGAAAGGAAATAACCAAAATCAGAGCTGAACAAATAAAATTGACATGTGAAAAATCATACAAAAGATCAAACCAAAAGTTAGAGTTTTGAAAGAATAAGATAGACCGCTAGCTAGACTAATAAAGAAAAAAAGAGAAGATCCAAATAAATGTAATTAGAAATGATAAAGAAAACATTACCATCAATCCCACAGAAATACAAAAAAACCCTCAGACTATCATGAATATCTCTATGCACACAAACTGGAAAATCTAGAATAGATATAGACATAGAGTCTTCCCAAATTGAACCAGGAAGAACTGAAACCGTGAATAGATAAATAATGAGTTCTAATATTGAATCAGTAATAAAAAGCCTACCAACCAGAAAAAGCCCTGGAGCAGATGGATTCACAGCCAAATTCTACCAGATGTATAAAGAAGAGCTGGTGCCAATCCTACTGAAACTATTTCCCCAAAAATCAAGGAGGATGGACTCCTCCCTAACTCATTCTATAAGGCCAGCATCATTCTGATATTAAAACCTGGCAGAGACACAATGAAAAAAGAAAACTATAGGCCAATATTTCTGATGAACGTAGATGCAGAAATCCTTAACAAAATATTAGCAAACCAAATCCAGCAGCACATCAAAAAGCTAATCCAGTACAATCAAATAGGCTTTATTCCTGAGATACAAGGTTGGTTCAACATATGCAAACCAATAAATGTGACTCATCACATAAACTGAACTAAAAACAAAAATCACATGATATCTCAATAGATGCAGAAAAGGCTTTCAATAAAGTTCAACAGCCCTTCAGGTTAAAAACCTTCAACAAAGTAGGCATCAAGGAACATACTGCAATATAATAAGAGCCATCCATGACAAATTTACCGTCAACATCACACTGAATAGACAAAAGCTGGAGGCATTCCCCTTGAGAACCAGAACAAGACAAAAATGCCCTCTTTCACCACTCCTATTTAACATAGTATTGGAAGTCCTAGTCAGAGCAATGAAGCAAGAGAAAGAAATAAAACACATGCAAATAGAAAATTAGAAAGGGAAACTATCTTTCTTCAAAGATGATACAATTTTATACCTAGAAAATCCCATAGTCTCTGCCCAAAGGCTCCTAGATCTGATAAACACCTTCAGCAAAGTTTCAGGATAAAAAAATCTATGTACGAAAATCACTAGCATTTCTACAAACCAATAACATCCAAGCTGAGACCCAAATCAAGAATGCAATATCATTCACAATAGCCTCAAAAAAAATACCTAGGAATATAGCTAACCAGGGAGGCAAAAGATCTCTACAGTGAGAATTACAAAACACAGCTGAAAGAAATCACAGATGACACAAACAAATGGAAAGGCATTCCATGCCCATGGATAGGAAGAATCAATATTGTTAAAATGGCCATACTGCCCCCAAGCAATTAACAGATTTAATGCTATTCCTATCAAACTACCAACAACATTTTACGCAGAATTAGAAAAAAAACTATTCTAAAATTCATATGGAACCAAAAATAGCCTGAATAACCAAAGCAATTCTAACCAAAAACAACAAAGCTGGAGGAATCACACTACCCAACTTCAGACTATACTACCAGGCTACAGTAAACAAAACAGCATGATACTGGTACAAAACCAGACACATAGACCAAGGGAACAGAATAGAGAACCCAGAAATAAAGCTGCATTCCTACAATTATCTGATCTTTGACAAAGTCAACAAAAGCAATGAGGAAAAGACTCCCTTTTCAATAAATAGTGCTGGGATAGCTGGCTATCCACAAGCAGAATATAAATACTGGACCCCCTACCATTCACCATATACAAAAATCAACTGAAGGTGGATTAAAGACTTAAATGTAAAACCTAAAACTGTAAAACTCCTAGAAGAAAACTTAGGAAATACTCTTCTAGACATTGGCTTAAGAAAAAAAAAATTTATGATGAAGACCCCAAAAGCAATGTAATGAAATAAAAAATAGACAAATGGAATCTAATTAATCTAAAGAGTTTCTTCACAGCAAAAGAAACTCTCAACAGAGGAAACAGACAACCTACAGAATGGGAGAAAATATTTGCAAACTATGGATCTTACAAAGGTCTAATATCCAGAATCTATAAGAAACTTAAACAAATTAACATGCAAAAAAACCCCATTTAAACATGGGCAAAGGACATGAACAGATACCTCTCAAAAGAAGATATACATACAGCCAATGAGCATATGAAAAAATGCTCAACATCACTAATCATTAGAGAAGAGCAAATCAAACCACAATGAGATACCATCTCACATCAATCAGATTGGCTATTATTAAAGAGTCCAAAAATAACAGACAGAGGTGAGGTTGCAGAGAAAAGGGAATGCTTATACACTACTGGTGGAAATTTAAATTAGTTCAACCCCTGTTGAAAGCAGTTTGGAGACTTCTCAAAGAACTTAAAACAGATCTACCATTCAACCCAGTAATCTCCTTACTGAGTATATACCCAAAGGCATATAAATCATTCTAACATAAAGACACATGCACATGTATGTTCATTGCCAACACTATTCACAATAGCAAAGACATGGAATCAACCCAGGTGTCCATCAATGGTGGACTGGATAAAGAAAATGTGGTACATATATACCTTGAAATATTACACGGCCATTAAATAAAAAAGAATGAAATCACGTCCTTTGCAGCAACATGGATGGAGCTGGAGGCCATTATCCTAAGCAAATTAATGCAGGAACAGAAAACCAAATACTACCTGTTCTCACTTGTAAATGGGAGCTAAACATTGAGTACACATGGACACAAAGAAGGGAACAACAAACACTGGAGCCTACTTGAGGGTGGAAAGTGGGAGGAGGGTGAGGATCAAAAAACTACCTATCAGGTGCTATACTCATTACCTGGGTGAGGAAATCATCTGTATACCACACCCTCACAACATGCAATTTACCCATGTAACAAACCTGAACATGTACCCCTTAAACCTAAAACAAAAGTTGGAAAGAAAAAAAAGTAGCATTGTATTTTTTTAAAAAGTCCCACCTCTTTGGCCCCCACTACTATCTCCATTGATCCCATTCTCATCTCTCAAGTTATCTTTTGTAGACAGATCTTCTTTATATTCAGTTACATTTACATGTGTAGATATATAAATATATAGCTCTATTTTTTAACTTTAATGGGATCATTCTATAATATGATTTAGCTCACAAATTTAGTTTTTTGTTTGTTTTATTGCTTTTAAAAAAAACTTAATGTATCAGAGCTTTTCCTGTTTCAGTACATAGAAAGTAACAGTCTTTTTAAACTGCTACCATGTATTCCTAAGTATGGTGGTAACACTGTGATTTAATCATTCTCTTACTGATGAATATTTAGACTGTTTCTCTTTTTTTGTATTACCAAGAAAAAATGTTGCAGTAAAAACATTCTTGTACTAACATCTTGTGCCCATAATTTTTTAGGATACAGATAACTGTAAGAGGAATTGCTAAGTCACACATTAGATGCATTTCTAAATTTGATAGATTGTACCAAATTATCCTCCCCAAAAGCTGTATCAATTTATTTCCCCACCTACAATGTTTGAGATTTTTCTATTATTGAACTATGCCTGCATTCTTAGAAAAACCCTGATATCATATTGTTCTTTTGTTGTTCTATTGAATTTGATTTGTTAGTATTTTACTTGGGATTCTTGGAACCATATTCACATCTGCGATTTTAGTAGATTTCTGCCACAAGTTTTGATACCAAGATTATGCTACTTTGGCAAAATTAAGTGAATCATGCTCCATTTTTTCCTATGCCCTGGAACAGTCTAAACCACATGGCAATGATGTGCTCCATGAAGTTCTCATGGAATTAGCTTGTAAAATCTAGACACATTTTGGGAGAGCTTTGACAACTTTTAAATTTTCTTCTAAGATCATGAGTATATTTATATTCTCTTCTTCTCTAATAAATTTTGTTTGTGTATGTTTTATTAGGAAATCATTCATTTTACCCAGATTTCACAACTTTTAGCACAGAGTTCAACATAATCTACAAAATAAAACCTCTAAATCTCCCCTTTACTTGTCATTATATTCTGTTCTCATCCCAATTGTTTGTTTTTTCCTCTTATTTATCTTGACTAGCTTTGCACATGTTTCTCTTTTTTTTTTCTGGTGTTTTAAAGAACTATCTCTGGTTTATTTTTCAAATTCATTTATTTTCTCTCCTCTAACCACTCATTTCTGCTTTAGTCTTTATCAATTTCTTCTTTCTATTTTCCCGGTCATATTCTCTTGGCTCTCTTTTTAACTTCTAGTTGAAAAATTTATTTCTATTCTTTTTGCTTGTCTAATTACAAAAGCCCTTAAAACCTCTAGTTGTTCTATGTGTACAACCTTGGCCTTCTCATTTATATAATGTTCTTGTTGTCATTGTTTCTGTATAATCTGTAATTATAGTTTTGATTTCTCTTTAATCTAAAAGTTATGTAGGAGTGTGTTGTTGGGTTTTTATTATTTTTAAAGTTTTGGCGTTAATGCTCAGTTTCTCTGCACCGTGTTCCAAGATTATGGCCTGCGTGATTTCTTGTCCTTGGAACGTATTAAAATTTTTCTTGTGGCTTAATAACTGATCACTCTTATTAAACATTTCATGGACCTGAGACAGAAGATGAATTCATTGCGGAGAACAAAGTGTGATAGGTATCTGGAGTTGGGAAAAATATTTTGATACAAACTGATTCAAGTAAGTCAATTGCTGAATGGAATTTTTAACTCAGAGCACACGTAAAGCATTTTTTATTGAAAGGGCCAGACTTTGTTGAGATTTTAGCAGAAGGCAAAGGAGAAAGACAAGGGGGAGGAAGAGGAGGCAGAGAGAAAGAAGAAAGGAAGGAAGTCAGTTTGCTTAGAATTCCAGAAACTAGGGTTTAAATATCATCAGCCAATCTTAGAGGACTAACCACAGAGATTTGTACTATGAACCACAGACTTGAGAGGACCCAAAAAATGATGTAAAAGCCATTTTCATACTCAAAAAAATAAGTGCTTAAGGCAGGAAGAAGGCTTGGAGAAAGGTAAGAAGTTTGGATGCAGATGAGTGTTTCTGAATGGGGGCTGTGGTCCTGCCCCCTCCTAACGTTGAAACCCTGAAGAGGGAAGGAAGGACTTAGGTTTGAGGGTCTGGAGAAAGCCCTGCCTCTCCCCTGGAGTGCTAGGAGGAAGAAAACCCTCCAAGTGTCCTATGCCAACATGAAGTAACCAGCATGGAGTAGAAATAGTGGCAGGGCTGACCTAGACAGAGAGAGGACCCACTGTTTCTCAGATGACAGCTGAGAGGGAGTGGAAGAGTTCACCAGGGCAAGGGGCACAGCAACCTGAATTGGAGGGCCCAAGTCACAGAGAGACCTCAAGGGATCTTCCAGAACTGAGGAGAGGCCCAAAACTCCCAGAGACCCTTAGGCACAGGTCAAGCCAAGAAAATGGACCAGCTGCGACCTTTGGCAATCAAGGAAAGAGGCCACTACCAAAGGCCAAGCAGGACAAGGCTGTTTAGCAGAGGCCAGCCTTGTTTCATGCAGCCCACAGACAAAATACCCATCCCTAAAGCCATGAGGTCATCTGAACCTCTTAAACCCAAAAGAAACCCAGAGGAATAGGAGAACAACCCTGAAAGATGCAAATTTTCTTCACATTTTTCATACCTCTGAAACAGGGCTGAGAGTTATAATCAATGGCCTCTTACAGTAGCATTTAATTGGCCATTGTCTGTTTAATGTGGAAGGTCAAACATACCAGCTTCAAAACTTGCAAAATGAGCAGGTGTTGGCAACTTTGGATAAAATCCCAAAGCAATGAAGAAGCAGTCATTACCTTTAGGAATAAAATGGTTGTAGGGAGGGGTGAGAGAAGCAGTCAATCAAACATTCCCCAAACAGGAGTCAAAAGTAGGTGTTGCAGATTGGGCTTCCCAGGAAGCAGACTCTGAAATGGATATAACTATGCCAGAGGTTTATTAGGGGATGCTCTTAGATTCACTACTGGTGGAAGGAAGCAGGATTGGACAGAGGAAAAAATTGAGTTGTGACACAGTCACAATAAAGGCCTCAGCCCAACCCATGAGGAACTCTGAAGCTGGGATGATCCTTTCTACTAGTTCCTATTTGGGACAAGGGACCAGGCCTTTATACCCATGTGTTGGCCAGTTTGGGGAAGGAAGCACAACCTTGGATGAGGTGGCCCTCTTTAAAGTGCCCCCTTCAAAGGCCCAGTCTCCAAAGGGGACTGACAGGTAAAGGCTCTCTGCCAGCAGCACTCCCAGCATCAGAGAGCATGCATGCTTCACTGCTGAAGGAGAATCTGGGTGGCACATGATAGCTCCCACCACAGAAGGCTGGCAGCACCTCACTGAAAATCCAGCTTAATAAGAACCCAGAACCAATGGCTTTTGGGTTTTTTAATGGATTGTTTAAAGAAATGCTGAGCCACCAAAGCTTCTGATGGCAAGGAGGATAACATTATGTAGAAAAGACAACACGAATGACTCAGTAAAAAGGTATTACAGAACAACGGACTCTGAATGTGGAGGAGACTTAGAAATCCTTAACCAATTTATTTTGCTTATATTTCTCTTTGTCCATATGCGTGAGAGCTCTATATGAAAAAAATCTGTGTCTAATGGTGTCTAAAAGAGTTTTTTCAATAAATATAAAAATTATAAGTGATTTAAAAAAGCACAAGGAATCTGAAATTTTCTTCCAAGCTTCTGATGCCTACCCCTTTTGCAAGTTCTGAGGCTTGTTCACACATGTACAGGCAACAACAACTACATCATGATGGCAACCACTTTATGACCACCACCCATCACAATTCACATCACCATATTTAGGATATTAAAATGTGAAAAGAATGTGTGTCTTATACATTAATGAAACACAGTACCTATATAGCAACCTATATAAAGTTCCACCTTAAAATTAATGACAACCTTAGATTTCTATAAACTTTTTCATGAAGTATAAACTTTGTGCATACAGAAAATTGTACATATCATAAGCATGTGGATCAACAAACTTCCAAAATTCAACCCCCATGTAATCAACACTCAGATCAAGAAACAGAACATGAGCAGCACCCGGGATCCCCATCATGGCCACTTTTAATCACAACGTTCCCATAACCATTCTCCTGGCTCCTCACAGCATGGATTCATTTTTCCTGGATTAAAACTTTATAGTAATGGAGTTGTACAATATGTACTCTTTTGAGTCTGGTTTAATTGGGGGGGTCAACATTACACGTGAGATTCAGCCACATTTTTGCATATGTTTGTAGCTTGTTTGTTCTGGTTGTTTTAATGTATTCCATTCTGTGAATATACCACAATTTATCCATTCTACTATTGGTAGACATTTGGATACTTTGCAGTTTTTTTACTATAGTTGATCCTTAAACAATACACATTTAAACTGCACAGATTCACTTTTTTTCCCAATAAATTTTACACTGAGTGTGCCTGCCTCCCATTCCACCTCCTCCACCTGTTCCACCTTTGCCTCCCCTGAGACAGCAAGACCAATCCCTCTTCTTTCTCCTCTTCCTCAGAGAACAAAGATGAAGGCCTTTCTGATGGTGACCTTACATTTAATGAATAGGAACAACTTTCTTTTCCTTATGATTTTCTTAACAACATTATCTTTCCTCTAGCTTACTTTATTGTAAGAATACAGTGTATGATACACATAGCATACAAAATATGGGTGAATCAACTATTTATGTTGTTGTTAAGGCTTCTGGTCAACAGTAGGCTATTAGTAGCTATGTTCTGGAGAATCAAAGGTTATACATGGATTTTGAACTGCATGGGGGGTTGGCACTCCTAACCCCCATGTTGTTCAGGAGTCAACTGTATCATGAATAGTGCTGTGTCTTAGTCTGCTCTGGCTACCATAACAAAATACCATAGATTGGGTGGCTTGAACAACAGGAATTTATTTTTCATTGTTCTGGAGGCTAGAAGTTCAAGAGGAGGGTGTCAGCATGATTGGGTTCTAGTGAAGGCTCTCTTCCTCGCTTGCAGGTGGCCACTTTCTCACTGTGTCCTCACAGGGTAGAAAGAGTGACAGCAAGCTCTCTATGTCTCTTTATAAGGGCACTAGTCCCATTATGAAGGCCCTACCCCCACATCTTCACCTAAGCCTGATTACCTCCCAAAGGCCCCATCTCCAAATACCATCACATTGAGCATATGAATTTCAGGACACAATACAGTCCATAGCATGAGCTGCTATGAGCAACCTTCTGATGGATACATACATAGAAGTAAATGGCTGGGTCATAGGGAATTCAAATGTTCACCTTTAATAAATATTCTCAAATACTTTCTGAACTAGTTGTACCAATTTGCATACCTACGAGGTATAGTGCACTTGAATTCCATTTGCTCCACATCCTTGAATTACAACTTAGATTTGAATAAACATAGTACCTGCTTCAAAGAAATTGAGTTACCTACATTCCAAAAGTAGCTAGGTTATTGTGTAAGTTGGGTCTTTGGGAAGCAGATGCTGAGACAGAGTTTAAAAGTGTAAGGGATTTACTGGAGGGTAACGCCTGTAAAAGATTTTTAAAAGGAAAGAAAGAAAGATCAGGAAGGAAAGTCTTTAGACTGTGATGCAGACCTTAAAAGAAAGAAGAGAGGAAGCAAAATTGGGCAGAAGGAGTCTCAGATCACAGTGCACATCTGCCAACATCTTAGCCAACCCAGTGGAAACTAAGATTGCCTATTGAAGGAATCTTATGTTGGGCAGAAATGGCAAGACCCTAAAACCTCCTGCCCTATTTAGTCATTGGCTAGGACCTTCCAAGAAGATTGTTGTCTAGACTTAACAGAGGCAAATCTGAAGGTATTGACAGCTGGAGGCTGTCAGCTAACTGACCTCCTGACAGCTGGATGGCAAGTTCTTTCATGAAGGAAGATCTCGGCACCACACCTCCATGACTGCCACAGTGCTCCCCTTGTGCCATGTGATTCCACTTTCATACACGTTTATAGAGCAGCTCTTCCTGGGTTCCCAAGGGCCTCACTTCTTATGGGAAAACTTAGAAGAGGGAGGTTCATGGGATGACCTACAGCCCACTCACTGTTGGTCCTGGAGTCACAACTAGTATTCATCAACTCCTTTGTCCACTATCCATTCTCAACTTCTCTCATTCTCAGCTACTACTCCAGCTGGACTGGGTGACTCACCTGGTAACATGAACCAAATCCTCACTCTTGAGGAATATGAGTCCCTGGTAATCACACCTTTATGAAGCTGGGCTGGCGGCACTTATCCTTCTGTAGTCATAATTCACCAGGTGATGCCACCTCACTTCCAAATATATTTCCCCATCCCCACTGTATAACATAGCCCTACCTCCTCCTTTTTATTAAGTCAATTAGCCCTGCCAACACGATGACTCCTTTTCTTGCCTGTTGGTCCCTAATCACAAGGAATTCAAAAATGCCTATATTTTAGTGTGTAGTTCAATTCTCCTTTGACATGTCCTCTGGAGAGAGTATTTTACCTTTGGGACCAGTACCACTCACACTGCAGACCCCAATGTTGTGGGTTAGGGAAGCATAAAGCCACACAATAGGTCACTGGGATTGATGCTACTTAGGACCACTTCTGCTTCTCCCCCTTGATTATCCATGTATTTTTCCCTGCAGGGGACACAGAGTCAAGTAGGGTTCTCTGATTCAGTGCTTAAATCATGTCTTAGAGGAAGGCACCCACACCCCATTCTCACAGAGTATTGCCTCAAGCGCCACCAGAACATTTCAATGCTCTATCAAGTGCCAGCTTCTAGGCCATATGGTAAGTGATACAACCAATGGATACCATGATCATGGGCCCATGCTGCAGCTCCTTCACTGTGAAATGGTTATCCTGATCAGATACTACGTGTTGTGGGATCCCATGCCTGTGGGCCAGTTTCTCCATACGCCACTGGATAATGTGCTGGATGAGGCTCTGCAGGCATGAAAGGTAGACCCACACCCAAAACAGGTATCTACTGCTATGAGAACAAATTGCCACCAAGTGATCAATTGGTGTCCCCAAAAAGTAGTGCCATATTTGGGGCTCAGCATTGATCTCTAGTACTGGCAGGTTAGACATTCAGAAGGGGCAATAGCTATGTCAGTCTTTTTAAGTGGTGGTCCATGCAGTTGCGTTCATGTGGGACCTCTATCTCTGCTACCATGACCACTCTATTCATGGGTCCATTTGACAATCTATCATGCCAGTTCTGGAGGAACCAATGATGAATGCTGACTAATGTAAACTGGCTGAGCATTTTGTCTGTTTGTATATCCAATGTCATTTCTGTGACAGATGCTTTATAATGGACATTAACACGTCACACAAAAATCTTTACACTTTATGCCCATTTCCACGGGTCTGTCCACGTGCCTCTACTCCAGATCTCCTTGTCTCCAAGTACCCAGTCATTTTCTTTCTAGACCTCTAACTGGTCCATTAAATCACTGGCCATTTCCCATGAGTATATATATGTTCTTATCTTGGCCACTTGTCTTTCCATGCAAAGTAGATGACCAGATGCATTACTTGCAGCTCCATCCATCAACAATATTTTTCTTCTCTACTTTATTTAGAGCCTACCCTGAGTGTGGTGGTTAATATAGTAGCTGTTCATTTTCAGCCTGTATTTGTATACTGAGCCAACCCAAATATAAACCAAGCTAAGGCTTTTTTCTTTTCCTTAGCTGGTCCTATGGGATCCCACATATGGCCACAGATGTGAGCTGAGGGAGGGGTGCTGATGCAGTTGTGATGGGCGACATGGGGACCGTTGCTCCCTGCCCATGCAGCTTCTCATGTCCTCTAGTCTTGCTTGGGCTCAGTTCTAGTTGTACCTTTTCCATCTTACAATGGATTGCTACTTAGCTTACCCAGATCTATGACTTGGCAAATCTAACAGTTTTCTACAGGAAACTTAATTCCATGTCACAATCAGAGCCCATAGGAGCTACTCAGTGAGAACCAAATTTTCTCCTTCTTTGCATTTATAATAATTATAGCATTTTAAAAGATGTACCAGGGCTCCAAGCTCCCAGAAGAAGCAGAAACAACGGGGATGGTGGAAGTTTGGCGATAAGGGATTTATGATGATGAGAACCGAGAATTTGGGGAGCAACTTCTGTGGCAAGACAGACTGGTTCCAAGCAGAAATAATACCTCTTCAGGGACAGAGTTGGAGGCAGAGAAATTCCTACAGTGAATGCTTGACTAAAGTGGGAGCATTTATAAATAGTGAGGTGCATATTTTGGGCACTTATATGCTCAAGGTTCCTTGAATACAACTTTTTTTACATATTTTATTTGCATCTTTTATTAAGCAGAGAGGTGAGATAAAGCACAACTGAAAGTGGAGACTGACTGCCTGTATTTGATTATGTAATGGATTAAATACAGTCATCAAGTCTTTGCCCCTCCTTTCAGTGAGAGGTAGAATCCCCTCCCCTTGAATATAGGCTGGCTTTGGCCCAGTTTTGACCAATCAAATATGGTAGAAATGTTACTGCTGTGCAAGTTCCATGGCTGCACCTTAAGACCACCATGCTGTGAGGGAGCCCAAGTCCCTGGAGAAAGCAAGGCCATATGGAGGAACCCAAGAACGCAGAAGCAGCAGAGATGTGCATGAGGCCAAACTTAGAGCTGAGCACAGCCACTAGCTGAATGCAGCCAAATGAATGATCCCAGCTGACATCACCTGGAGCAGAAAGACCACCCAGCCAAGCCCTGAATTTGTGACCTACAGAATTGTAAGCTGATTAAATGGATTCTAAAGTCCTGACCCATGGAATCGCAGGCAAATTAAACGGTTGTTGTCTTAACCAAATAAGTTTGGGGTAATTTATTATGCAATAGATAACTACTGCAGGTTGTTACAGTGTTTAGTGATAGAGGACCTTATGGAAACTAATCTCAATAATGACTCATAGCCCCCTTAGATAAATTAAAAATAAAATCATCAGCAGTCTGAGTGAGAAGTAGCAGAGAGGGAATTCAGAGACGATGACTCAATTAGTCTGTCTCTTAAAAACAGGAGTTTTCTATTTGGTTTCCCAGGGCTCCCTGTTATAAAGGGGGCACTGGCTTTATTAATAGAGCAGCTCACATGAATAAGCCAATGTTTCTAAATTCCTTCTCTTCAACTGCACCTCCCTCTCCCCGTCTCCACCACCACCACCACCAATTCCTTGCTTGAGAGTTATTCTGTAAGTTTTGACACATGAATATAGTATCATGCAAACAAAAGGGCATTTTCAAGACAATGTATTTAACTGAAAAACCACATTTTAGAGTTTTCACGTGGTCTTCTTGACCTTGATGAAAAAGTAAATGCAGGAAAATTCCAATGCTATCTATCTACTTGGCTCTGCAGTGAACTCCCTGGAACTTTCTCCCCTGAGTCCCACTGTCAATGAAAGGGAAGCAAGGATTAGCTGATGAATGTGGCTTCTAGCATGGAGGAAACTGATGTCTACTCCAAAATGCCTCAATAATGTTTGTGACTTAGAGTCAGCCTCAGATTCTTTGTCTTAAATGGAATATACTTCATTAAACAAATATTTATTGACTTCCTATTATATGCCATGCACTATTCTAGACAAAATAGGCACAAAAGACAAAAATCTATGTCCTCTTACTGCTTACATTTCTACTTGGGAGGGACAAACTATAAATATGATAAATATATAAATTATATGTTATGCTAGAAGATGATGCATTCTATGGAAATAATAGAACAGGATGACGAGGAACAGCAATAGAGAGGAAGAAGGCAGTTTGCAGCACTGCATAGTACCATACATGCCAGGGTGGACCTCGCTGAGAAGGTGATGTTTGCACAGATATGAAGGAGGTGAGCGAGTGAGCCACATGGATATCGGGGGGAGAGTGTCTTTGGCAGATAAACAATGAGGGGAAAGGCCTTGAGGCGAGAGGTGCCTGATGAGTTCAAAGAACAACAAGATTATTGTGTCTGCTGAGGAATGAGGGAGGGAGTGAATAGTAGGAAATGAGATATATAAAGGGCTGGGGGGATAGGAGCTGATCATGTAGAGCCTTTAGCCATTGGAAGGCTTTGGCTTTACCTCTGGTGGAAGGGAGAGCCACTGGAGAGTTCTGAGCAAAAGAATGGCATTTTCTGATGTACCTTTTAACAGAATCCCTCTAGCCTCTGAATTAAGAATAGATTTGAGGCCGGGCGCAGTGGCTCACACCTGTAATCCTAGCACTTTGGGAGGCCAAGGCAGGCAGATCACAAGGTCAGGAGTTCAAGACCAGCCTGACCAATATGGTGAAACCCCATCTCCACTAAAAATACAAAAATTAGCCAGGCATGATGGTATGCACCTGTAATCCCAGCTACTCAGGAGGCTGAGGCAGGAGAATTGCAGGAGAATTGCTTGAACCCAGGAGGCGGAAGGTTGCAGTGAGCTGAGATCGCGCCACTGCACTCCAGCCTGAGCTAAAGAGCGAGGCTCAAAAAAAAAAAAAAAAAAAGATTTGCAGGAGGCCAGGACAAAAGCAGAGTCTAGTTCAACAGTCCAGGGAAGAGACAATGATCTAGGCTTGATTTCTTTTTCTTATTGTGGGCTCTCTCAAGTCAATGGCAAATAAAAATAAAACTTGAGGGAAAGGACAAGGGCAAGGTAAATTATTTTTCCTGTTTTGTTTGACATGTCTACCCTGTGCTAGGCTGTGGCTGGAGGCTGGACAGGTCCCAGCTGACCTTTCTTGGAGTTTATGACTGACGGGAGAGAGGTAGTGAGGGAGAAAAGACAACTGTTTGCTTGCTTCCAAGCTTGTTTGTTGGCAACTGCTCATCTTAGAAAAGTGGCTGGCCAGCTGAGGGAAATCTGATCCTTGGCTGGACGTATATTTTGGGGAGATGGGTGATTGTGCACTTTTTGAACAGGAAACTCAGCCAGCCAGTCAATAATGACTGGGTTTTAAAACTGAAAATACTTCCCGACTAGAGGACTGGTATCCAGTTCCCTCCAAAAGGATGTGGGGAGGAGCCTGCAGCCAGGGCACACAGGAGGATGCAAGGGCTGGAAGGAGAGTAAGTTCTCCTGGGCTTTTGATGTTCCACTGTCACTTCCCTCACATATGATGCATGGAAAATCCAGTGCCTGCCACATTCAAGGAATTATTCAATGAATGTTATAAAGGAAACAGGAAGGATTGGCCACTGTGCATCACCCAAGACACATGTCAAATACTGGGAATGATATGATTACCAGGTGACTCGTCTTGTTCCTCTAAACACATGGAACCCCCAGACAAATCTACTCCATCAAGGGCTTTTATGGGTTGTGGTATTGGAAATCAAAGCTTGCTGTATTTTATACAGACCTTTAGGAACCTTAAGAAGATTTAAATTTTAAAAGATGATGTATAGTACTGACCATTGTGCCTTTTCTAAGTATGTGACTTCCTCCTTTTCTTTTTTTTCTTCCCCACCCACTGCCTTCAAGACTCTCACTGTTTCTTTTAACCAACACCTTTGGGTACCTCCTATGTACCAAGCATGGAACTCAGCTCCAGATGTTCAGAACTGAGTAATTCAAAGCCCCTGCCCTTCAACTGTATTTGTTCTAGGAAGGAGAAGGAACTTCACAGAACCCTAATGCATTGTGAACAAGGGCTATGACAAAGAACCCCAAAGAAGGGATAGATTTGTCCCTGAATTGGGTCTTGGAGGGTGAGATAAATAGGGAAGTATATTCATGGCAGAGTAAATAACAGCTAATAGTTACAATTCGCTCTCCCTCTCAAAATGTGTGCATATGTATATATATTTATATAAATTATACTAATAGAATGTGTACACAATTTACAAAAATAATGAAATATATAATACTTATTATTGTAAATTCCATTTAGCCAATGAATTCTCATAAAATGCTTTCAATGATTTTGCTGAACTCTTGTATCCATAGCCAATCTATGGTTGCAACTGACAAATGAGTGTAGCTGTGACAGATATGTTGGTTGATATTTTTGTTCGTATTAATAAGATAAAAATGAGACAAAAATGTACATCAGAACTTCACTCATTGGTCAATGACATGAGTAACTATAATTAGTTTGCTGAATCAGGTAATAGTCTTAAATACTGGAAGAACATTTTCTCAAATTTTTGTGCTGTTCATATTAGGTTGGTGCAAGTTATTGCGGTTTTTGCTATTACTTTTAATTACTGACATTTTCTCCATCATTTTTTAAGTCTAAACAATCAACAAAACAATAAACCAAACTTGAATTTGTAGCATTTGCTGATTTCTGTGGTGTAAATACTCCCAACATGAACAATTTCAAGCCACCAGTGTGACAGGAGATACACAGTAGCTAGTTATCATTCAGTAGCTCCAACATACAGACACAATAGACACGAATAACTTCAAGAGCATAAATAAGAGTAAAATAATTAGAATATGATAAGTTGAATTTATTGCCTTTGTTTTTAAGTGTAAGGTAATATAATTGAATTTTAATAATGGCTGTGTTTAACAGCTGTCTTGCAAAATTCCTGCAAATTGAACAATTAAGCTTCTCGTGAGCCTGTCCAAGCCATCTTCAGCACACTACTGGTCCTAGCACACAGTGAGAATTCGATAAATAACACATACTATTGGGTATTATGCTTATTACCTGGGTGATGAAATAATCTGTACACCAAACCCCCGTGACATGCAGTTTACCTATATAACAAACCTGCACGTGTAACCCTCAACCTAAAATAAAAGTTTTTTTAAAAAGAATTCAGTAAGTGACAGTTGAATTGTTTTTCTTTTATTAAGGAACAAAAAATTAGAAATGGATTAGCTAAGTTGGATAAAACAATGATTGGCATGAGTGCATGAAGAAAGGGTTTTCCAGAAAGCATGGTCATGTTTTCCCCTCCTCTGCCTGAGTGCTTTCAGTGTCATTTTCCTCTGGAAGTGTCAGGCCTTCTTTTCACTGTGAAGGAGAAAAGGCACCACGGAATGACCCACATGTGTCAGTCTTCCTCCTGAGCAGGCCAAGCATGATGGGCCTCCCCACAGAGCAGATAATGTTCCCACTTGGTGTGCAGACAATGCTGTTCACCCCTACCTGACCTCTCACACTGTGTCAAGTGACACCAATAGATTGTTTCCAGTGGTGCAGCCATCTCTATGCCCAGCAAGATCTGGAAATGTTTGTGACTTTGCTACAAAGAGTGCTTCTAAGGTGTCAGTCAAGAAAACACTCCCTCCTGAAATTTATGCAATAAAACCCATGGAGAGTAAGCTGCTAATATTGAAATAACAAAATCTATATGCTCCCTGGCAGAAGCTTGGGTTCTGAAATACACCTCACCATCTCTGTGAGCTGGTGCTTAACTCCCCAAGACACTTCCCGCAAGCACCAATGTGCTTGCTCTCAGGACAGCAAAGGAGCAAAGTGTTTCAAGTGATAGTCCAATGGTCTTTGTAAAATGTGCCAATATCTTTCACTTGGAAGCCTCAGCAAGTCTTCCTTTGCCTACAAGCTGGACGATGGGAACAGGTAAAGAGAAACAGAGAGAGTTCAGGAGAAGGCATGTCCACAAGCTAGGTTGTTAAATATGAATTCTAAATTTCTCTTCAAAGAATTAATATGTCAGTATGTTCAATTCTTTGCCTTCTACTTTTAAACTTAACTTCCTTGTAAAGCAACCTTTTTCAATACCTACTCCACCCTGACTCATTCCGACCACCTGCTCCACCCTGACTCATTCTGATTACCTGCTACCTGCTCTGCCCTAACTCATTCTCCACTCTGCATAACCATTTTTTTCCCGCCAAAGGGCTCACCCCATCATTCTCTTTAAATTAGCCAATCGGAATTAGTTTAGCCTGTGCAGTCTAACCCTAGCCAACAGGGGAACAACACAGCAGCAAGGGCCACGTGCCTCAGGGATTAGAACCCCTTTCCCTGGCTTGTCCAGGTGCGTGCTCACCATTGCCCCACCTGTAAGGGCCCACCCTTCTATAGAAGTACCTGGCCTTGCTGAGAATTAAAAGAAAATTTTATATTCGAGTGCTATTTCTTTTGTGGCACCAAAATTTGGGGGCTCATTCAGGATTATGTTCCCCTCTGAGGGCAGCCTCTGGTTCTCTCTGGTGCATGCCCCGCCCCTTGTGGCAGCCTCAACAGGGAGAAATCAGAACCCACCCAGTGCCAGGAATAACCCGAGCTCTCAGCAATGAAAAAAAAAAACAAAAAAAACAAAAAACTGGCCAGCAACCTAGCTTAAAAGATCCTCACATACTGTGGCAACGACTCTGTGCACAGACCAAGGAAGGAGAAGCCACGAGAGCCTGTAAAATATTTCCTTGGTGATCAGGACCAAGATAAGAAAGCTGCGGCAGGGGCGGAGAAGTATTCCTTGGTCAGGGTGGCTTAGAGGTTAAAAAGCGGTAAGACATCCCTACTGGGGGGAACTGAACCTCACACAAACCTCCAGTAGTAGAAAAGGCAATAAATTTCCAGTGGGGAAACTGAGCCTCACCCCAAAAGGTGAGAAATTTCCAGTAAGGGAAATTGAACCTTGAACCTTACCCCAAAACCATCAAGATGGGAAATACCCCAAGCAAGACAGGGAGCAAGGGGGATAAAGATGGTAACAAAGATATCCCCTCGGATAGACCCCTAGGTCTCATGCTAAAACACTGGAAGGATAATGAAAGGACTAAACATAGGAAAAAGCAACAAATGATAAAATATTATTGTTTTATTTGGACTCAGGGACCCATCCTCAAACCCTCAATCTTCGGGCCAAAGTTTGGGTCGAATGAGGATGTAATGTGTCAGCTTCTAATCTGATATGTTAATGAAAAAAGTCCAGTGTCTCAAGAAGAACTAGGTTATGTCCTTTGTTGGAGACAAGGACCTGCCCTCCTTTTTCCCTTAAAAACAAATAGGGAAGAACCCAATCTGGCACCTCAAAATGAAAAGTCAGAGGAGCCAGCTCTCATGCCTAAAGATTCCAGCACATGGGATCCCCTAGACTATCTTCCTCTGTTCAGAATCCCCAATCTTTCCCCTCAGACAGCCACTGCTGCCTCAGATTCCATTCCAAATTGCCCCTCTACTCACGTTATCCCTCTCCTTATACCCCTGACTCTTGGGAATTACAACCCCACCAGCCTGTTCCCTCCCAACTTAAATACCCCTCTCTAAAAGGACTCCAGCGTGAGGTAGAACAATATAAAAAAGATATTCAGAATTTCCCATTTCCCTCTGTACCTAACAGGTGAGCCCCAATGCTCTTCCCTTTGAAAGAGGTACCACAAGGCGGGGGCAGGCATTGGCTTTGTAAATGCTCCCCTAACCAGTTCAGAAGTCCAGAATTTTAAAAAGGAGTTTAAACCACAACTAGATGACTCTTACAGAGTGGCAGACCAAATTAACCAATACTTAGGACCTCAGTTATACACTTAGGTCGAGTTAATGTCCATCTTGGGCATCCTCTTTTCAGGGGAAGAAAGGAATATGATTTGTAGGGCTGCTATGGTAGTTTGGGAACATGAGCACCCTCCCGGTGAAACGTTCCTATGCAGACCAGAAATTCCCCGCCTGAGACCCCAGGTGGGACAATAACAACACAGATCACCGGGAATATATGCAGGACCTAAGGGAGATGATAATAAAAGGAGTTTGGGAATCAGTACCCCGAACCCGAAATCTTTCTAAAGCACTTGATATACAATAGGAAAAGGATGAAGGGCCTATGAGATTCCTAGACAGACTGAGGGAGCAAATGAGGCAATATGCAAGCCTCAATGTGGATGATGCCCTTGGGCAAAGAATGTTGAAACTCCAATTTGTCACTAAAAGTTGGCCAGACATTTCAAAAAAGTTACAAAAGATAGACCATCCTCTAAGTGAGCTTCTCAGGGAAGCTCAGAAAGTATACATGAAAAGGGACGAAGGAAAACAGAAACAAAAGACAAAACTTATGTTTTCCACCTTCCAACAGATGGCTCCAAACCCAGGTACTTCTAGACAGAGCTTCTAGAGAGCCAGAAACTATAAAGGGTCTGAACCCTCTCTTAAAGGACCCAGCCTCCATCTGGAGGACAAAAGTCCTCGTCTACCAGGCCCCCTAAAGAGTATAGGGGAGCAAGGTTAAAGAATCCCAGAACTAAGAAGGAGAAAGGACAAGATAGGGGCTAGAGATGTGGAAGAATAGGCCACTTCAAGAGAGGATGTCCTGAACTAAGAAAGGAGAAAGAAGCCCTTCCACTCATGACTTTCGAGGAAGAATGGGGGGTCAGGGGCTCTGTCTCTTTTATCTTGAGTCCCACCAGGAGCCCTTGATAAATTTGGAGGTGGGACCAAACATGAGCTTATCACCTTTTTAGTCAATTCAGGGGCTGCTCGCTCCTCTGTTTGTTTCCCCCCATGTAATGTTGTCTCCTCCTCAGAGGAACTTTTAGTCTCCAGGGTAAAAGGGGAAGGATTTAGAGAAAAATTTTACAAAGCACAGAAGTTAGATACCAGGATTGCTCAGGTCATATTCTGTTCTTGTTAATCTCTGAAGCAGGAAGTAATTTACTGGGGAGGGATTTAATGTTAAAGTTCGGCATAGGTGTACAAGTCAGCCCAAGAGGATTCCTTACCTCATTAAACCTACTCACCACTGCAGATGAAAAATATATTAATACTAATGTCTGGTTCAAAGAAGGAAACCGAGGGAAACTCCAAGTTCCTCCTATCCCTCAAGCTAAAAACCCCGAGAGAAGTAGTATGAAGGAAGCAATACCCTTTTCCCCTAGAAGGTAGGATAGGGTTGAAACCTATAATCAAAGGCCTTATTAAGGATGGGCTTCTCAAGCCCTGTATGTCCCCTTATAATACCCCAATACTGCCGGTCAAGAAATCAGACATGTCATACTGGCTAGTAGAGGACCTTAGAGCTATCAACCAAATAGTCCAGACTACCCACCCCGTTGTCCCCAATCCTTACACTATTCTTAGCAAGATTCCATATAATCATCAATGGTTTACCGTAATAGATTTCAAGGATGCTTTTCAAGCATGTCTCCTGGCTGAAGATAGCTGAGATATATTTACTTTTGAGTGGGAGGATCCCTACTCAGGGTAGAAACAACAATATCGATGGACAGTCTTGCTCCAAGGGTTCATAGACTCCCCTAATCTTTTTGGCCAAATTTTAGAACAAGTACTAGAAAAAGTTGTCATTCCAGAACAAATATGCCTTCTTCAATACATGGACGACATTCTTGTATCTGGTGAAGACATAGAGAAGGTAACTGACTTCTCTACACATATTCTTAACCATCTGCAGTTTGAGGGGCTACAAGTCTCAAAAAGAAAGCTTCAGTATGTACAGCCTGAAGTTAAATATTTAGGTCACTTAATAAGCACAGGAAGCAAAGAATAGGGCCTGAACGAATCAAGGGAATCGTGTCCCTACTCTTACCTCAAACTAAACAAGAACTCAGGAAATTTTTAAGGTTAGTTGGATACCGCCACTTATAGATTCACTCATATGCACTGCACAGTAAACTGTTATATCAAAAGCTTGCCCAGGAGAAGCCTAACTGTCTCCTGTGGACTTCTGAGGAAGCTGACCAAGTCGAGAGGCTGAAGGAAAGGCTCATAACTGCCCCTGTTTTAGTCTTACCCTCCCTAGAAAAGCCATTCCACCTTTTTGTTAATGTGTACAGCGAGGTAGCTTTAGGAGTGCTAAGTCAAGAACACGGAGGCCGCCGGCAGCCCGTAGCCTTCCTATCAAAGGTCTTAGACCCAGTCACTTGTGGATGGCCTCAACGCATCCAGTCCATCACGGCTACGGCAATACTAGTCGAGGAAACAGAAAGTTAACCTTTGGAGGGAAATTGACAGTAAGCATGCCTCACCAAGTTAGAACTATCTTAATCCAAAGAGCAAGGAGATGGCTTACTGACTCAAGAATCTTAAAGAATGAGGCCATTCTGTTAGAAAAGGATGATTTAACATTGTCCACTGATAATTCACTCAACCCAGCAGGTTTCCTAACAGGTAACCCAAATCTAAGGAGAGAACACACATGTTTAGATTTAATTGATTAGCATACAAGGTTCAACCAGACCTAGGAGAAACCCCCTTCTGGACTGGACAGCACTTATTCATAGACGGTTCCTCCCGGGTGATTGAGGGAAAAAGACACAACGAGTATTCAGTGATTGATGGAGAAAGTCTCGTAGAAATAGGGTCAAGAAAATTGACCAACCAACAGTTGGTCTGCTCAAACGTGTGAGCTGTTTGCACTCAGCCAAGCCTTAAAGTACTTACAGAACCAGGAAGGAACTATCTATACAGATCCCAGGTATGCCTTTGGAGTGGCCCATACGTTTGGGAAAATTTGGACTGAACGAGGTCTCATTAATAGTAAAGGTCAAGACTTTGTTCACAAGGAGCTGATCACCCAAGTATTGAATAATCTTCAGTTGCAGGAAGAATAGCTATTGTCCATGTTCCCGGACACCAGAAAAGCCTTTCTATTGAAAGTCAAGAAAATAACCTAGCAGATCAGGTAGCCAAGCAGGCTGCTGTGTCTTCTGAAATGTGTATTTTTCACTTAACTCCCTACCTCCCTCCTCCTACCATAATCCCCATTTAGTAGAGAAACTAATAAAAATAGGCACTAAAGAGAATTCAGAAGGAAAGTGGATACTGCTAGACCAGAGACAAATGTTACCTAAACCCCTTATGAGGGAACTCTTCTCCCAACTACATCAGGGGACCCACTGGGGGCCCCAGGCCATGTGTGACGCAGTTCTCAGAGTTTATGATTGTATTGGAATTTATACCCTGGCCAAACACGTTACAGATAGTTGCTTAGTATGTAAGAAAACTAATAGACATACTATAAAAAGATTACCTCTAGAGGGAAGGAATCCAGGCTTAAGGCCATCCCAAAGTATCCAGGTTGATTACACAGAAATGCCTCTAATAGGTCGTCTAAAATATTTACTAGTGATAGTAGACCACCTCACTCACTGGGTCGAAGCTACTCCTTTTCAAATGCAACAGCAAATAATGTAGTTAAGACCCTAATTGAAAATATAGTATCCAGGTTTGGACTAATAGAAAATATTGACTCAGACCATGGAACTCATTTCACCACACACATTATGAAAAAGCTATCCCAAACGTTAGACATTAGATGGGAACACCATATGCCCTGGCACCCACCCTCATCAGGGAGAGTAGAAAGAATGAATCAGACTCTAAAGAACCACTTAACCAAATTAGTATTAGATACTCGATTGCCATGGACCAAGTGTCTTCCTATTGCCCTGCTGAGAATTCGAACTGCACTAGGGAAAGATATTGGTCTTTCTCCTTATGAGATGCACTATGGATTACCTTATTTGCACTCCCCTGCTGATATTCCTACCTTTGAAACAAAAGATCAATTCCTTAAAAATTGTATACTTGGTCTATCTTCTACTTTCTCTTCTCTTAAAACTAAAGGTCTATTAGCACAAGCACCGCTCTTGGAGTTCCCAGTGCATCAACATCAGCCTGGGGATTACGCCTTCATCAAGAGCTGGAAAGAGGAGAAGCTTGAGCCAGCCTGGGAATGTCCTTATTTAGTGCTCCTAACTACTGAAACCACAGTCCGCACAGCAGAGAAAGGATGGACTCACCATATCCGGGTCAAGAAAGCACCGCCCCCTCCAGAGTCATGGGCCATAGTCCCAGGGGAAAACCCTACCAAACTAAAGCTAAGAAGAATTTAACTCTCTTTCATCTATTTTATTACTGTTTCTTCTTTCCGCGCTCTATCACTGACCATCTAGTTATTAACATAACCTAGTCAATTTTGCCTCAAACTATTGTGTTTGATGCTTGCCTTTTTATACCCTGTGGGGATTTCTCAAGTGAAAGACAGCTCTCTACTTCAGAAAAGTACCTCCGTCCCTCCTGGCTCTCCTCAAACTGGGCACTAGTGAATTGGTACCACTTAATCTGGGGAGATTTGGATAAAGACCAGGGTCAACCAGGAGTCTTGCCCCCGATGTAGAGCTTTTATGCCGTACTTGGTCCAGTGTTCTGTGGACCACTGAAGAGTGAGGATGGACTGCCCCAACTAGTGTTTGTAATTTCCTGAAACCATACATTCATTTTACTAAAGGAATAGCCCCCCACAACTGTCAGCTAAACCAGTGCAATCCTATACAGGTTATTATTTTGAGCCCTCAAAATTCTTCCCCTTTTCTAAGCCAGTTACCTTCTTCAAGCTGGTTTTATGGTATGGGGGCTGAGGTTTCAGGGACAGACCCTATTGGATTATTTGAAATGCATTCCTTTGATCCCGTGCCACCTGCACCTGCCTCTAAGCCTTTTTCCAAAACCTCTTACAACGGAACCATTGTTCCTCCTCCATCTAACAATAAGGCCAAGATAGCGATGGTAGAAGTTAAAGACTTAAAACAAACTTTGGCAATTGAGACAGGATACCAAGATGTAAATGCCTTGTTGGAATAGATCAAATATGCCATCTGCATGTAAACAAAAGCAATTGTTTTGCTTGTGCTCGTGGCAGGCCAGAGGCCCAGATTGTCCCTTTTCCACTAGGGTGGTCCTCTGGTCGACTGAGGATGGGCTGCACGGTAGCTCTTTTCCAGGATTCTACAGCCTGGGATAACAAGTCATGCCAAGCTCTCGCTCTGCTATATCCCGAAGTCCGGCACCCTGCGGGTTAGCCCCAGAGGGCCGTCCAGCTTCCGTCTCCCAACACTAAGTTCACTTTGTGTCTCTCACGACAGGGAGGAAACTTAGCATTCCTTGGAGACCTAAGGGATGCAGTGAGCTTAAGAACTTTCAAGAGCTTAGCAATCAGTCAGCCCTTGTTCATCCCCAAGAGGCTGTGTGGTGGTATTGTGGTGGACCTTTACTGGACACTCTGCCGAATAACTGGAGTGGCACTTGTGCTTTAATCCAATTGGCTATCCCTTCCACCCTGGCATTTCATCAACCAGAAGAAGGAAAAATAAGACATCGTAAAGCGAGAGAAGCCCCTTATGGATCTTTTGACTCTCACATCTATTTAGACACAGTTGGAGTCCCATGGGGGATACCAGATCAATTTAAAGCCAGAAATCAAACAGCTGCAGGATTTGAGTCAATATTTTGGTGGGTGACAATTAATAAAAATCTAGATTGGATAAACTACATCTGTTACAACCAACAGCGATTTATTAACTACACTAAAGATGCTGTTAAAAGAATAGCTGAGCAATTAGGGGCTACTGCTAGCCAGATGGCTTGGGAAAATAGGATAGCCTTAGACATGATATTAGCAGAAAAAGGAGGAGTTTGCGTCATGATTAAAACTCAATGTTGCACCTTCATCCCAAACAACACCGCCCCTAATGGAAGTATAACAAAGGCATTGCAAGGTCTGACTGCTCTATCCAATGAGTTAGCCAGCAACTCAAGGGTAAATGACCCCTTTACAGGATGGCTAGAGAAGTGGTTCAGTAAATGGAAAGGAATAATCCCCTCAATTCTTACCTCCCTTGTAGCCGTAATAGGTGAACTTATTCTTGTCAGGAGCTGTGTCATACCATGCGTCCATAAGTAGATGCAGAGGCTCATAAAAATGGCACTTACTAAAACCTCCCTTAACTATCCTCCACCTTACCCAGAGAAGCTTTTTCTTTTAGAATATCAAGCAGAACAACTAACTCAAGACATGTTAAATAAGTTTGAAGAGAAAGCTGTAAGAAAAATGCAAAAGGAGGAAGTTGTTAAATATGAATTCTAAATTTCTCTTCAAAGAATTAATATGTTAGTATGTTCAATTCTTTGCCTTCTACTTTTAAACTTAACTTTCATAAAGCAACCTTTTTCGATTACCTACTTCACCCTGACTCATTCTGATTACCTACTCCACCCTGACTCATTCCGATCACCTGCTCCACCCTAGCTCATTCGGATCACCTGTTCCACCCTAACTCATTCCGATTACCTGCTACCTGCTCTGACCTAACTCATTCTCCACCCTGCATAACCATTTTTTTCCTGCCAAAGCACTTACCCCGTCATTCTCTTTAAATTAGCCAATCGGAATTAGTTTAGCCTGTGCGGTCTAACCCTAGCCAATAGGGGAACAACAGAGCAGCAAGGGTCACGTGCGTCAGGGATAAGAACCCCTTTCCCTCCCTTGTCCAGGTGTGTGCTCACCATTGCTCCATCTGTAAGGGCGCACCCTTCTATAGAATTACCTGGCCTTGCTGAGAATTAAAACAAAATTTTATATTGGAGTGCTATTTCTTTTGCAGCACCGAAACTTTATATATAACATAGGTGAAGTACTAGCCAAGCTAGTAATCAATTCCCACTTCCCTGAATGAGTGTTCAGAGAAGTCTGCTCCATTTCCTTTCTCAAGGGCCACAAGAAGATGTCAGGGAGGCTGGATGAGGTGGCTCATGCCTGTAAATCATAGCACTTTGAGAGGCTGAGGCAGGTGGATCACTTGAGCTCAGGAGTTTGAGACCAGCCTGGGCAACATGGCAAAACTCCGTCTCTACTAAAATACAAAAATTAGCCAGGCGTGGTGGTGTGTGCCTGCAGTTCCAGCTATTCAAGAGGCTGAGGTGGGAGAATCGCTTGAACCCAGGAGGCAGAGGTTGCAGTGAGCTGAGACTGCGCCATTGCACTCCAGCCTGGGCAATAGAGCAAGACCCTGTCTCAAAAAAAAAAAAAAAAAAAAAAAAAGAAGAGGAAGAAGACGACGGCAGGGAGAACCAGCCACAGTGGACATCTATACACTGTTTGTCCTACCACTGTCCCTGCTTCTCTGGATCTTGCCTTCCCATTTCCTCAAGCCACATGGTTTCCATGAGAGTGGTTTGTTTAATATTATCCTGTTCCCTTAGCTCCAAGTTGCCAATTCAGAGGTAAGCACCATCACAATTTAACCTAATTAATCTTATCCCCTGGGAAAATGTGACTTTAGTCTTTGGAAAAGGGATGGGTCTCTCTCCAGGCTACTGAACCTCCTACACATAAAACTTTGGTCCAGTCGGTGGCCATATTGCTTGTGCAGATTAAGTAGAAGACAAAACCAGTCATCAGAAGACAGCAAGAGAGCAAGGCCACAGAGACAAGTAGAGGCAAGCGATGGCAAGAAGTTCCAACCATTTTCAAGTGTGTGGTTCCACTGGGATCCTAAGCCCCAGTGCATTACTGCTCTAGGTCCATATCTTTTTTAAGAAGCTTTTAAAGCCCTGAAGAAAGGAGGAAATAAAGAGCTGGCTTCTCCAGAAAATTCTGTGGTCACCAGCAGCATTCTCTTGTCAGTTAACTAGTCCACCATATTGCTTCCTGTGTGCCACTACGGAAAATGGTTATTTTTGACTGCCACTAATGATGATAATATAATAATAATAATATTTATGGAGCATTTAAAAGAAGCCAAATACTGCCTCAAGCACTATACATGAATTAGTTTATTTAATCCTCTCAACAATCCTATAAAGAATGTATTGTTATTATCCAGTTTTACAGATGAGTAGCATTGAGTGTTGGGATTTACCTGGTTAAGTTTCTGTATCTCATGTGTCCATAAAGTGTCTAGGCAGTTTCATCACTTGTGAACTCACATTTGTTATACTAAACATTCTGACTTTTGTTTCGTAATTATGGTAGTTTTACTTAATTTATGTTTTATCTTATTCCAGAAAAATTGAAGAGCACCTCATTAAAAACATATATGATGCTTACATGAATATAGTCAACTGATCTTTGTCAAAGGAGCAAAGGCAATACAATGGAGAAAAGAGTCAAAGAGTCTTCTCAACAAATGGTGCTGGAGCAACTGGACACCCACATGCACACACACACAAAAATGAATCTACACACAGACCTTATACCCTTTCACAAAAATCAACTCAAAATGAATCACAGACCTAAGATGTAAAACACAAAACTATGAAACTCCTAGAAAATAACAGGAAAAACCTAGATGACCTTGGACCTTGGGTTTGGCAATGACTTTTTAGATATAACACAAAGGCATGACTCATTAAAAAAAGAACTGAACTATTGTATATGATACTGCAATTACATATACGTCATTATACATTTGTTAAAACCCATAGAACTTACAACAGCAAGAGTGAACTGTAATGTAAATGATGGACTCTAGGTGATAACGATGTGTCAATTATAGGTTCATGAACTGTAACAATTGTACCACTCTGGTGTGGGATGTTGATGATGGCAGAGGCTATTCCTGTGTGGGAGCAAGAAGTAAATGGGAAATCTCTGAACCTTCTGCTCAATATTGGTGTGAACCTAAACCTGCTGTTACAAATAAAATCTTTTAAAATATATATATAATATAGTACAAATAACAAATTTAACTGAATTCTCCACTGGGACAAAGATAAAATGAGAATAAGATATGATGAGTGCAGGAGTGATGATGATACAGCAAAAGCATGACAGGGAGTTTAATGTGAAGGACACGTATCACAGCAGCATGGTTAATAATAAAAATTAGAAACTACATCTATGTCCCACATGAATAGCCAAAATAAATTATGGCACACGCATTTGATGAAATATACCACAAAATCAGATTAAAGACCTTGGAAAATACCCACAAAATATTTTTATGAATAAAATGGAATTGTTGTAACACTAATTTTATACAAATTTAAGGAATACAGGAACAAATTTCAGGCTACAAATTCAAGTCTGCAAAAAAATACTTCCTTATTTTTTGAAAGAACTTTCAAGTGGTAGAAACTGAATCACCCAGAGTTCCAGAATCCCCATCTGCTGCCAAAGATGCCAAGGCAAAGGGGTTGACAGAGGTGCAGGAAAGAATCCCTCTCTAGATCTCATCTTCTCTCCACACTGGCATTGGTTCAGATAGCCTCATTTCCACACAACCTTTAATTATTGATCCAAGCACGACACTGCTGGGCCACCCTTGTCCAGGCAACAAGAACACTCCAACACCATCAACTCTGAACCATAACCACACCACTCCTACCTGTGCCAGAATATTCTGCTCCTCCTCTCCACCTCTGAAGCACAGAAGCTTTACTGGCAGCATATAACATTCATCTACTCAGATATTTCCTCTGATCTGTGAAAGAAAATCCCCAAACCCTTGCTGAATTTCCAGACTGTCCCCAGGACACGGCACACAGACTCCCCTGTGTTTTGGTGGCTCCATCATTGTCTTCCCTAGGGCCTCAATCTAGTGAAGAAGAACCCAGGAGGCAAGACTACGTCTCAGGCATCCTGCCAGGGCCTAAGCTCTCTTTGTTTCCTCATGTGACTCCTGATTTCTAACTTTATTGATTAGTTTTCCATGGTTTTGAACTTACTATAAATGAAATATAAAATAAATACTCTCATAAATCTTGTTTCTTTCATTCAACATTGTGTTTGTAAGGCCCATCCATGTTGTTCCATATACAGTAATTTATCCTTTGTCATTACTAATAGCATTCCTTTGTACCTCCATGATATTTTATTTCTATAATAACATACCAGACTGATGAGGAAGGCTAGAGTCACAGGCATGCATCTCCATCTACCAATTCAACTGCATTAAAAAAAAAACCATGACTTATTTTTTCAAAAACTGTACCTAATTTCTACTTCAAGCATCTATTCTATGAGATGATAAAAACAATTTTTGCCTATTCAGGTTCTTTCCCCTCCCTCTTTCTTTTCCTTCTTTCCTTCCTTCCTTCCTTCCTTTCTTCCCTCCTTTTATCCTTCCTTCCCTTCATCTTTCTTTCTTTTTTCTTTTTTTTCTTTCAGAGATGGGATCTCGTTGTGTTGCCCAGGCTGGTCTGAAACTCCTGGCCTCAAGCAATCCTCCCATCTCAACCTCCAGTGTAGTTGGGATTACAGATACGAGCCACCATGCCCAGCCCCCTCCCCTTTTCTAAGAAACATCTAATTTCTGGAGAAGGAGCTTATGAGGATATGAAAAGGGACAAGCCAATTACACTTAAAAATTTCCAGAATTTTCCATAAAGTACAGTATATATGATTTTGAAATCCAACCCTATACAGGAAGAAGCATGAGTAAATATATTGTATAATGTACGCCATTATATACTATAAAATAGATATTCCAAAAATACCTGGAATCATACTTAATGTAACAAATGACTTAACCTTTGAAGTGATGACTTGGAATTGAGGCTGAGTCAACCGCAGATTCATGCCTTTCATACCACCCCCCGACCCCCCCACACACAAATACACAGGAATGATTGGATTAGCATAAGTAAAACATGTCTAGAACTCAACTGCACTCTATTCGAATAGGACCTCATTGTCTCTCCTACACCATGAATGCCTGTACTAGATGCCCAGCACCTCTTTCCTTCCCTAGGAATTGTCCCTTACTCATTTACATGGTGATAGTGATGACAGTATTGACTATGTTTTCCCGTGACTACGTTAGCACATTTTATTGGCTTACTGCCATGAAAACTGTGGCAGGCTGAGGTTTGTTTGTTTGTTTGTTTGTTTGTTTGTTTGTTTTAACAGACAGGGTCTTGCTGTATCACCCAGGCTGGAGTGCAGTGGGGCAATCTTAGCTCACTGCAGCCTCAAACTCCTGGCGTCAAGTAATCCTCCCACCTCACTCTCTCTAGTAGCTGGGACTTCAGGCATACCCCACCATGCCTAGGTAATATTTTTTCTATTTATTTATTCATTTATTCATTTTTATAATTCAACTTTTGTTTAGAATCTGGGGTACAGGGGCAGATTTGTTACAAGGGCCTATTGCGTGGGGCTGAGGTTTGGGATATGAATGATCCCGTCCCCCAAGTAGCAAGCATAGTACCAGTTTTTCAGCACTTACCCCCTCCTCCGCCTTCTAGTAGTTTCCAGTATCTATTGTTGCCATCTTTATGTCCATGAGTGCCCAATGTTTAGCTTCCACTTATAAGTGAGAATCTGTGGTATCTGATTTTCTTTTCCTGCATTTAATTGCTTAGGATAATGGCCTCTAGCTGTATCCACGTTGCTGCAAATGACATGATTACATTCTTTTTCTGACTGCATAGTATTCTATGGTGTATACATTTTCTTTACCCAGTCCACCACTGATGAGCACCTAGGCTGATTCCATGTTTTTGCTATTGTGAATAGTGCTGCAATGAACGTACAAGTGCATGTGTCTTTTGGTAAAATGATCAATTTTCCTTTGGGTATATACCCAGTAATGGAATTGCTGGGTCAAATGGTAGTCCTGTCTGAAGTTATTTGAGAAATCTTCAAATGGCTTTCCACAGTGGCTGAACTAATTTGCATTCCCACCAGCAGAGTATAAGCATTTCCTTTTCTCTGTAGCCTCGCCAGCATCTGTTTTTTGACTTTTTAGTAATGGCCATTCTGACTGGTGTGAGATGGTATCTCATTGTGGTTTTAATTTGCATCTGTCTAATGATTACTGATGTTGAGCATTTTTTCATGTTTTTTGGCCAATTGCATACTTCTTTGGAGAACTGTCCATGTCTTTTGCCCACTTTTTAATGGGATTACTTGTTTTTTTGCTTGTTAAATTGGTTAAGTTCCTTATAGAGTCTGGGTATTAGACCTCTGTCAGATGCATAGTTTGCTGATATTTTCTCCTATTCTGTAGGTTGTCCATTTACTCTGTTGATAGTTACTTTTGCTGTGCAGAAGCTCTTTAGTTTATTTAGGTCCCACCTGTCAATTTTTGTTTTTGTTGCAATTGCTTTTGAGGACTTAGTCATAAGTTCTTACCCAAGCCTGATGTCCACAATGGTGTTTCCTAGGCTTTCTTCTAGGATTCTTATAGTTTGAAGTCTTAAATTTAAATATTTAATCTATCTTGAGTTAATTTTTGTATATGGTGAATGGTAGGGTCCAGTGTCATTCTTTTGCATATTGCTGACCAGTTTCCCTAGCACCATTTATTGAATAGGGAGCCCTCTCCCCATTGCTTATTTCTGTCAACTTTGTCAAAGATCAGATGGCCATAGGTGTGTGGCTTTATTTCTGGGTTCTATATTCTGTTCCATTGGTCTATGTGTCTGTTTTTGTACCACTACTATGCTGTTTTGTTTACTATAGCCTTATGGTATAGTTTGAAATCAGATAATGTGAGGTCTCTGGCTTTGTTCTTTTTGCTTAGGATTGCTTTGGCTATTCAGGATCTTGTTTGGTTCTATATTAATTTTAGAATAGTTTTGTCTAATTCTGTGAAAAATGACATTGGTAGTTTGATAAGAATAGCATTAAATTTTATAGATTGCTTTGGGCAATATAGCCATTTTAACAATATTGATTCTTCCAATCAATGAGCATGGAATTCTTTTCTACTTGTTTGCATCATCTGTTTTTTTCAGCGATTTTTTATAGTTCTTCTTGTAGAGATCTTACACCTCCTTGGTTAGAGATGTATTCCTAGGTATTTTGCGTGTGTGTGGTTATTGTATTGTGGGACTGCGTTCTCATTTTAAATGGGATTTGGCTGGCTCTCGGCTTGAACATTATTGGTGTATAGATATGCTACTGATTTTTTTACATTAAATTTTTTTTTTTTTTTGGTAGAGATGAGGGTTCACTACGTTGCCCAGGCTCGTCTCAAATTTCTGGCCTCAAATGATCCCAGTGGGCCTCCCAAAGTGCTAGGATTACAGATATGAGCCACCATGCCCAACCAGGCTAACTTCTTTGTTTTTGTTTTTGTTTTTGTTTTTTTTGAGACGAAGTCTTACTCTGCTGCCCAGGCTGGAGTGCAGTGGCGTGATCTCAGCTCACTGAAACCTCCGCTTCCCGAGTTCTAGTAATTTTCCTGCCTCAGCTTCCCAAGTAGCTGGGATTACACGTGTGTGCCACCATGCCTGGCTAATTTTTTTTCTTGTATTTTTTAGTAGAGACAGGGTTTCTCCCTGTCGACCAGGCTGGTCTTGAACTCCTGACCTCAGGTGATCCACCCGCCTCGGCCTCCCAAAATTCTGGGATTACAGGCGTGTGCCACCACAGCTGGCTGCTAACTTGTTAATTTACAATTAGTGATGAGCCAATCAGAGGTCTTTACCAGACCAGAAACTACTTGTGACAGTCCTTCTTGGGTGATGGAAGACACAAAATGGAAAACTGAGTTGCCATCAATGGTCATTGCATCAGTAGATACTGCTGCATAACAAACAACCACAAGACTTTAGTACCAGAAGCATTCATTTAGTTCATGCTTCCTTGAGTCATTTAAGAATCAGTTGCTTCTGGCTAGGCTTACATGGGAAGTTCTGTTCCACATGTCTTTTATCCTCCTCCTGGGATAAATGTGCTAGCCATGGAATGTTTTTTCCATAGAGGCAGGTGGAAGAGAAAGAAAGCAAGTGGAAGCATGTGAGGCATCTCAAGATCTAAGCTTAGACACTTGAACTTGTTGTTAGACAGTTCTCCATGGGTCTCTCACGTTTCTGTACATCCTGCTAGCAAGGCATTGACTGCACCTTTTTCCAAACTTTGTACAGCAAATGGCCCTGGAAGATAGAGATATTGTCAACCTCCAGATCAAGGAGCAGATATACTTACAGTCTTGGAGGATAAAGATAGTGTCTCCCCCTAAAGCAAAAGGCAGACAAGCTTATTGTTGTATAACAAAGATAATGTCTCCCTCTAGGACAAAGATCAGACAGGCTTACTGTCCATTATAAAAGATTTGGGTTCCCTAAGCTCAGGGTTCTTCAGCTTGACACACCTACTGCAAATGCATCATCCACCTAGGTCCCTCCACATCATCCTAATGCAATTTGGTGGGAGGCAAGGAGAATTGATGCAAACATGAAGCCCATGCTGCTTGCTGTGTCATGAGTAATAAAGTCCTTTGTTTCTGTCACAGGAATCTCATGTCTTCTGCCTACATCAATAAAATGGTGGCATGCTAACTGAATATTTATAAGTAGGATAAAATCTCATAACCGTTACAGTTCTTAATGGAACTCTGTCACTTATACCTAATTCAACTGGCTAAAGCAAGTCACTTGACTGTTCCCAAAGTCAAGGATGGAGAATACATTCTACCCCTTTAGTGGGAGGAACTGCAAAGTCACATGGCAAAGGATGTGGATCCAAGGAAGGATGAAGAATTGGGATCAATGATGAAATCTGCCACTGCCATCATTCCTGTCAGATGGAGGAGGCTGCCCCATGATGACAGGGAATGAAGCTTCAGAGAGAGAATAGAGACGAGAGGAAGGCAGAGAGTACTGGAGGTTTCAAAGCCCTGGTTCTAGTATATGAGGCTCCATCTCAAAGCCTTATTGCCATACTACCCAAAGATTGGTTGTCCAACCTTGGCTTTGATTACATAAGGCACCCCAAAATTCTTCCTATAAAGGTCTTTCATTTGCCTACACAAGTTCAAGCTAGGTTTATGTTTGTTTCTACAGAGAGAATCTTAAATAACAGTTTTACTCATCTTTGTTATTCTCTAGGGTACAGTGCTTATCCCATCATAGCAGCTACTCAAGAAATGATTATTTGATTGACTTTGGCTTTTGTTGTACAACTAAGTGTAAACACCTAAGTAGTTTCTGACATCATGTACACCCTGTATCAACATATTTATCTATTACATGTAACACTGACAAGATAACTTGGAATTGTAGGTGCCCTATAGTTTCTAGTCCCCTACTCTCATCTATCACATGGATCTCTTTAAAAATAACATAAAAGTAGCACTTCCAGGATGATGGATAAGGACCTCCAAAAATCTACTCCTTCATAAAGCAATCAGAACACTGGCAAAAACTGGCAAAATCAACTTTTTCAGAACTCTGGAAATTAACCAAAAGCTTGCAAAAATTCAAGGAAAATTTCCCGAAAAAATGGCTGAATTTTGGTAAGAATTAAAAGCATTGTGGCTTGATCTCTTCCCATTCCCTTCTCCCTGGTTCCACAATTACTGTGAAAACCAATAGCCTCACAATCATATTATGTGTGAAAACCAGCAGCCTAATAGACACTGGAGGGTACAGAACAGGTTTGGGGTTCCTCCAGAAGGTCTATCCTCAGATAATTGTCACTATTTGACCTATCTGGAAGCTCCCTGTAAAAGTTCCATTCTTAGCGTGGGAGGACTCACATTTCCCAATTTCAAAGCTATAAAATTATAGTAATCAAAATGGTGTGGTACTGGCATAAGAATAAACATACAGATCATTGAAATGGAACTGAGAGTCTAAAAATAAACCATCATATTTATGATTAATTGATTTTTGACACAGGTGCCAACGCAATTCGATGGGGAAACAACAGTCTTTCCAACAAATTGTGCTGAGACACAGGATATCAATATGCAAAAGAATAAAGACAGACCCCTACTGATGTGGTTTGGCTCTGTGTCCCCACACAAATCTCATCTTGTAGCTCCCATAATTCCCACGTGATGTGGGAGGGGCCCAGTAGGAGATAACTGAATCATGAGGGAGGGTCTTTCCCATGTTGTTATCATGATAGTAAATAAGTCTCACAAGATCTGATAGTTTTAAAAACAGGAGTTTCCCTTCACATGCTTTCTCTTTTTTTTTTTTTTTTTTTTTTTTTTTTTTGAGACAGACTTTCGATATTGTCACCCAGGATGGAATGCAGTGGTGCAATCTCAGCTTACTGCAAGCCCCATCTCCCAGGTTCAAGTGATTGTCCTGCCTCAGTCTCCCTAGCAGCTGGGATTACAGGCACCCACCACCACACTCGGCTAATTTTTTGTATGTTTAGTAGAGACGGGGTTTTGCCATGTTGGCCAGGCTGGTCCTGAACTCCTGACCTCAGGTGATCCACTCGCCTAGGCCCCCCAAAGTGCTGGGATTACAGGCATGAGCCACCATGCCCGGCCCACACACTCTCTCTTTTTGCCTGCTATCATCCATGTAAGACAAGACTTGCTCTCCTTGCCTTTGCCATGATTGTGAGACTTCCCCAGCCACATGGAACTATCAGTCCATTAAAACGACTTTTTCTTTCCAGTCTCAGGTATGTCTTTATCAGCAGTATGAAAACGGACTAATACACCTACCTCACACCATTTATAAAAAATTAACTCAAAATGGATTTTTAAGTGGGTAGATGATTTCAATAGGCCCTTTTTCAAATTATATATTCAAATCACTTATAAAGACATGCAAAGATATTTGCCATCATTAGTCATCAAGGAAATGCAAAGCAAAATCGCAATGAAATACTATTTCACATTTTAGAGATTTCTAAAATTGAAAGGACAGGCAATAACAAGTGTTGGCAAGGATGTGGAGAAACTGGAACCTTCACACATTTCTGGTGGAATGTAAAATAGTGCATCCACTTTAGAAAAACATTTGGGAGATTTTTTAATGTTAAATATAGAGTTATCACATGATCTAGCAATTTCACTCTTGGAAACATACCCAAAAGAATTGGAAAAATATGTTCACGTAAAAACTTATACATGCGTGTTTCATAGCATGTACCCAAATATTCATCTACTGATGAATCAATAACCAAACTTTGGTATATCCATACAACAGAATGTAATTTAACAATAAAAAAGAATGAGGTACTGATGCATGTTACAATATGGATGAAACTCAAAAACACAATGCTATATGAAAGAAGTCAGCCACAAAAGGCCATGTATTACATGATTCCATTTATATGATGTGTTCAGAATAGGTAAAAGCATAGAGACAGAAAATAGATGAGTGATTGCCAAAGGCTATATAGTTTGGCCAGAGATAGGATGGGGGAGGCGGAATGGGGAGTGACTCCTAATGGATATGGGGTTTCTTTTTGGAGTTACGATGTTCTAAAATTAGATAGTGATGATGGTTGCACAACTCTGAATATACCTAAAAAAGAACACTGAATGGCATACTTCGAAATGGTGAATTTTATGGTTATGTGAATTATATATCAGTAAAACTATTATAGAAAACAATTCAGCTTTGTATTAAGATTAATAATAAAGGGTATGACAGTATTTTAAAAACAAAGAAATTATGTCATAAAAGATTACGGATGCAAATCATCACCCCAAAATGAGGCTACATATGCTTGCACAGTGCTTTGAAAGTGAAAATCATTAAGTATTTACAGTTAAGGCCCTGTTCTAAAGTGTGTAATTTATCTTGGCTTGAGACAATAAATGAGGAAGGTTGTATAGCAGAGGGTCTCAAGACTATGCTGCTGCTCATGTGAACTACACAATCAGAGTGGTTGGTATGACAAACAGAAGCAGAGTCTGAATGCAGAAGGGATGCTGACAGAAGAAAAGTATCCCAGAGCACTGAACCACATGAAGTTGCTATATTTAAAACAAAAACAAAAATTAAAAACCCAAGCACTTCTTTTTGTAGTTGTCTCTGACACTCTCAGGGTCTCTGACACTCTCAGGTTTTCTTTTTTCCCAATGATGGGGACTATTTGTAAGTTTTTTTTGAATAGTGATAATTTTATCAATTGGGGGCTACTGAAAAATAAATCAAAATTGCCAACAAATATTGGCACAACCATTAATTTCTCCTCCTACCCCATTTTGTTAATTACCCAAAAGACTGATCAGCTGTAAGTGAAATTTCTAGTTGAGTTTTTGCAACATCTTAGCTAATGATGCCTACTTTTTCCTTAAAAACACTGCTTAGGCAAACAAAATGAAAAAAAAATTCTGTGTACCTTGTACTTCTTTTACACGCTTTTAGCATTGTCTGTCTTTTCAGATGTTAATGAATGAACTCTAAAGCAGTTTTACAACTTTTATGTCCTTCTTTGCATTTCCTAATCCAACACATAGACACATACAGCAACACAGCTACACAGAGTTGTAGATACCTAGCATCCTGAGGATGTAAAGCTGCTATTCTAACTCTTCCCTTACTGTACCTTCTCCCCACTTCCTCTGTTTCCAATGACATAGACATTTATTTTGGCTACTTTGGATAAATATAAATAAATTTATTTGAAGATACATATAAATAAAATACTATATGTATTTGAAGATACATATACATATTTGAAGATACATATTAAATAAAATAAATTTTATTTGAAGATATATGTCCAAATATATCATTCTCCTGTGGTGGAATCATCCACCATCTTGCTATGGCTTCACGAAGGGTGGATACCTACCTCTTGACTTCGGGCTGGATCATGTGAAATGAACAGAGGCTTGAAATATGTTTGTATTGCTGGGCTGCTCTTTTGCACTCTAGTTATTTACGATGAGAGTGATTACTCCAGATAGTTGCTTCCTCTTTGGCCTGGGCCTCAGATTAAAACACACAGAGCTTGCCCGAATCCAATCTGCAGCCTGGAGACTGGAACAGAATGCCAGCCCAGCTAAGTTGTAGTTGGCCTGCCAAGTCATAAATATTTTTTAAAATATTGTTTTAAGCCATTGACTCTTGGAATGGTTTGTTACACAGCATTATTTTGGTAATATCTCACCAGTATATATATGCCACCCCATTTTCCACAGCAATTCTGCTACAGTAAAACCACTGAATCCAACCATCTTAAGAAGAAGAATGCACAACAAGGGGTTTATTCAATAAAGTTGTTTGGTGTGAGCAAATATCCTTGTTGTCTTTCTAACTTGATAACCTTCCCCATCTTGCAGGATCTATCCAAAGCGTGTCCAGAGAAGAAACAAATGGAGATGGCCCAGCATGACCTCACTAGACAAAGGTACATGCCAACTTCAGAAGTTCTGGTGAACATGAAAACATTTGTGAAAAGACTCCAAACCCAGAGTATCTTCCCATTTGTAGAGTGATAGACTCCTTTCTAGAGCACACTGCCCAATATCTTTGAGGACTAAACATAAGCATGGTTGTAAAGCTATGTCTGACTGATCCCCCCAGTGAGAATCCCAGATAGTTATTTAAAGCAGGAACAGGAAGCGGGGTGATCACTGGGGATGGGGCCAGCCTTGCAGCTGAGGGAAAGGACAGTTAAGTCAAAGAACTATGCCCAAAATGGGTCATCAAAGGAAATGGCGGTGAAGGTCCCTTTATCAGAAACTGAAAGAGACAAACGAAGTCCCAAGAGCTAAGAATGCAGAGGCAAGGAGCAGTGGGTCATCATGGGTGAATGGAAGGTGGTCTGCAAAAATTCCAAAAAACAGGGAAATTCCAGGAGACTTGCTTTCCATTCTCCTCATGAAGATGTGAATGGCTTTCCCTAGAGGCAGGAAACCCAGGCTCTGAGAGACAGGGGAGGGGATAGCCAATTAAGACAGTGGCAAAACTGGTTAAAAAAAAAAAAGAAAGAAAAAAACACTAAGTGTTCCTGGGTTTGTTTTTGTTTTGTTTTGTTTTGTTTTTTGAGATGGAGTCTTGCTCTGTCACCCAGGCTGGAGTGCAGTGGCATGATCTCCATTCTCTGTTCACTGCAACCTCCACCCCTGAGGCTCAAATGATCCTCCCACCTCAGACTCCCAAGTAGCTGGGACTACAGGTGTGTGCCACCACACTCAGCTAATTTTTGTATTTTTTGTAGAGATTATGTCTCTTCATGTTGCCCAAGCTGTTCTCAAACTCCTGGGCTCAAGCAATCAGCCCGCCTTGGCCTCTCAAAGTGCTGGGACTACAGGCATTAGCCACTGTACGTTGCCAAGTGTTCTGTTTAGAGTAGATAGTTAACAAATGTTTCCTTTTTTTCCCCCTAAATCTCTACCCCTCTACAATTTTTCTGAGTGCCTAAGAATCTCCGTCTTGACTCCTAATATTCAAGGAATTTTCTGTCTCTCTGACCCTCTAAGTCTACTGATCATCAGTTTTGCCCAAGTCTTTAGACAGCCAGTTTATCCAATTCAGCAAATTCTGGGTATTTCTGTGTATCATAGAGTAAAAGACTGCCTATGAAAAACAGTGTTCACCTGTGTTAATAAAGGTACTATGAAATAATGAAAATTTATAATCTCTTTCAGGTTAAAGTTGACCAAAGAACAGCACTAAAATTTGAGAACTGGTTTCTCTTTTCTAGCAGGATGTACTAGGGAAAATTCAAAAGGTTAGGTAATGGAGTATGTTTTTTTGATTTATAAAGACCATCTCTCCTATCTGGGCCTGCACTGCTTTCCCCCAGCAGGCCCACACAATTGTGTGAGGAACATCAATGTTATCAATTGACTCTAAAAATGGAAAAGTTCTGGTAACCCCAGGAAGATCAAGGGGGAGAAACACTGCCATTTCCAAGTTTTATTGATGATGAAAAGAGAGCTCTGACCCAAAGAGCTTCTCTGATAGACTCTGCCAGACAGGAAAGTGCAAAGGACTGGTGGGCAAGGGGCTATGAATAGTAATAAGAATTGTTATTTATTCTCACTTACTCTGCATTTACAATCATCACTGAATTTAATTCTCTCAACAGTTCTCTGAGGTAGCTATTATCATCTCCATTGTACAGATGAGGAAACTAAAATTCAGAAAGATTAAATAGGTTACTCAAAATCATTGAGCAAGTAAGTAGTACAGTTAAAATTTCAACTAAGTCAGTTTGATCTCCAAGGCCTACTTCTTAACCATTATACTGTACTCCCTGCCTGGGTCACTGTTATTCACTGAATTGTGTCCCCAAAAAATCATATTTTGAGATCTTAACCTCCAGTATCTCGAATGTGACCTTATTTAGAAATAGAGTCATTGTAGACATAATTAGTAAGTTATGACAAGGTCATATTGGAGTAGGGTGGGCTCCTAATCCATTATGACTGTTGTCCTTATACAAAGGGGAAATTTGGACATAAACACACACACTGGGAGAGCACCATGGGAACATAAAGGCAGAGATCTGGGTCATGCATCTATAAACCAAGGAACACCAAAGATTGCCAACAAACTTCCAGAAGCTAGGAGAGAGACATGGAAGAGATCTTCCCTCACAGCCATCAGAAGGAACCAACCTTGTTAACGCCTTACTCTTGAACTGGGAGACAATAAATTTCTGTCATTTAAGGCACCCAGTTTGTGGTACTTTGTTATGGCAACTCTTGCAAACCAATAAAGTCACCATCTTCAAGTGTACACCAAGGAAAGAGAACAAATATAAATGAGTCAAGTCACAGTGTTTAGGGGTGATGAGCTAAAAGTTTAAACAAATGTTTGGGCTTCCACTAGGACATGTCTCTCTTGACTTTGTCTCTTTAGAATGTTGTCATCTTATTCCCCTTGGGGTCAGTTTCATGCGCGTCCGTGTGAAGAGACCACCAAACAGGCTTTGTGTGAGCAACATGGCTGTTTATTTCACCTGGGTGCAGGTGGGCTGAGTCCGAAAAGAGAGTCAGTGAAGGGAGATAGGGGTGGGGCCGTTTTATAGGATTTGGGAAGGTAATGGAAAATTACAGTCAAAGGGGGTTGTTCTCTGGTGGGCAGGGGTGGATCTCACAAAGTACATTCTCAAGGGTGGGGAGAATTACAAAGAACCTTCTTAAGGGTGGGGGAGACTACAAAGTACCTTCTTAAGGGTGGGGGAGACTACAAAGCACATTGATCAGTTAGGGTGGGGCAGGAACAAATCACAATGGTGGAATGTCATCAGTTAAGGCTGTTTTTACTTCTTTTGTGGATCTTCAGTTACTTCAGGCCATCGGGATGTATACGTGCAAGTCACAGGGGATGCGATGGCCTGGCCTGGGCTCAGAGGCCTCACAGTCAGGAAGCCAGGAAAGACCTGTGGCTGCTTCCTGCTTTGAAGAGGTCTCAACTTTAGAGTGTCCTTTGTAAAGGACACAAAGAGGCCATGTGATCTGTGTATATTGTAGACATGGTCCAGGGATATCACATGGTATAAACTAGTTTACCAGGCCTAGAGGTCTCCAGAAAGAGCTTGGAATCAACATGCTATGTTCATTTTTCTGATTTTGTCCCTTGTGCATGTTTCTGCTTTGGGTCAATCAGAGAAGCCAACCAAATGTCCTTTCTTCATGACTAATATACTGGGGCTCATTTTAGGTTATGTTTCCTCTGAAACACTTGGATGTTCATCACAGAAGAGATAGTTGTAGTAAAAACAAAAAACAAAAAACAAAAAACAAAAAAAAAACACAGTCTGCAAGAAGAAAAAATCTGAGCAATCTTCATGAATTAACTTGGGTCCCTAAGAAGCAGACTCCTAGACAAGGATATGAGTGAAAGTTGTTATTGGGGTGGCAAAGGAGCAGAATTATTAATACTTATTATAATACCATTCATAGCTTGTTACCCATCAGCCCTTTGCACTTCTCCCTCTGGCAGACTCTCTCTGGCGGAACCTTCCCTCTGTCATCATAAAACTTGGAAATAGCCATATTTCTTTCTTTTGGTCTTCTTGGGGTTGTGAGGGCTTTTTCTTTTTCACAGTCAATTAATAACATTGATGTTCCTTGCTTGAAATGTGAGCCTGCTCAAGGAAATCAGTGCAGAGGAGCAGGGGAAAGTGAAACAGGGAAGGCGCATCTTCAATCAAGGGTGTATTCGTAAACCAGCAACCATCATGGGCTACTGTAGCTTAATGCTAGGAAGACACTCTGGGAAAAGTGGAGAATACAAGCCTTAGCATTCTCCCACTAGAGGAGCCATCAAATCCCATCAATCTTTGGTTGAGAGCTATTCCAGAGGAAGGGTGACATTAATCTTCTGACACTTCCAGCCTGCAGGGTGGGCAGACAAAGTCCTCACATAATTTCAAAGAACGCCCTCAGGCAAGAGATGCATATACTGGCAGTTGGAATTCGACCTGAGGCACAATGAGGGCCCTAGGGATATGGGAGAGGCAGTTCTGTAGAATTCCATCCTTGTTTAAACCAGCATCCCAATGGATTGGTGAACCATGTTATCGAGAAAATTAAAGCTGAGCTTGAACAGCACATGATCCAGTGATCAATATCACAAGAGCCACCACATTAAAATAAAAACTTATAGAAAATACTCATTCCTCATTAGAAGGAGCACTGCTGTCATAAGGCAAATTCATTATCTAAACAGTCCAGGGAACTCCATATGGGATTGGGATCATTAATGTCAATAAATCTGGTGCCAAAAAAGCAAGTGCCTGTAACTCCAGGGTGCTGGCCCCTTACTCTGAAGGCAATTTTAGAGCTTGGTATTATGTCTGGGTGACTTATGGGGTCCAGGCTAATTACAGGCAAGTGGTTGGCTTTATTGTTTCCAGCATTCAGAGAAACATTCTACTCACAAAATAAACTTCTAGACTTGTGTTTGGAATCTTTCCTCAATTCCTATGGTGCCCTTTTATCCACCTGGGATGAGGTTAAGTTCACCACTCCCTGCCCATCAACACTGTAGAAGGCACTTCATTTGGACATTTTCTCAGAACACTCTTCTGCTTTGGCAGGTGACATCAGCATGACACCATGCAGCAAGGAAGAAGCTGCCTGCAGGTCCAACTAAAACACAGAATCCCTTCATGTCAGCCCTACTTAAAATGGAGATAGGCTGCATTTGAACGCTAAAGTGTCCACTTCCTCTAAAATATCTGCTCTATCACTTATGTTATTATTACCTTATATTTTTTCTTAACTCTTATACTATTATTCAAATATCCATGCATATGTTTTGCTCTACAAGCCATCATTAGATCCTTGAGGGCAGAGACTATGAGTTCTATGCATTATGGCACTCCCATAACTTTCCCTCCTTTTTCCTTGCCAGTAGAATCCTAATTTTCAGGTGGTAACATGCCCAAATTTGGACAGTGAGACCTTGGGTAAGCCGGTTTTGAGGGCTTCTGGGAAAACCTGTCTTCTGATAAAACAGGCAGACATAGTTGATGTTACTGTTTTCCTTTTCTATTGTTTTTATTTTGTTTGTTTTGCCTTGAATAAAGCAGCTCCAACAATGGTCTTGTAGCCATGAAGGAAAATTCGAAAAAACTGCACAGATACTGATCCTGATTGATCCTGATATTGGTAAACTCATGGACAAATCCAATGATTGCCTACATCCAAACTTCTTGCTATCTGAGAAAAATAGGCTTCTATTTGCTTACACCACTGTAGGTGGGTTTCCTACTACTTTCAATTTCACAAACATTATTGCCAGAAGAAACAGTAGTAATAGTGAAAGCACAACCTCCACCTCACTATGTTCATTGCTGTTTCTCAAATTTCACACAAGTACATCTGCTTGGCAAAATCTGTCTCCTGTGAAACCTGAACTAAAAATGGGTGTCTGGGGAAATATGGAAATATCTTTGCCTTTCTACAATTTACCTTGCATACTACAAAAAGTTTGGAATGGAGGCGAGTGAGCCAGTCTGCAATATCTGCCATAACATCCATGATGAGTAGAGAAATGGAGATCCCCAGGGAGCATCTCCAAGCAATGCCTGTTACATTAGTTCACATAACACACTAGCTGCTGTAACAGACAAACCCCAAAATCTCAATGGTTTAGCACAATGAGAGCTTATTACTTAATCCTGTAAAAGCCAAAATGGATCTTGGTAATACCGGAAGCGGGACAGGAATGATGTATTCTCTGTAGTCACTCTGAGAACCAGGCTGACTTCTTTAAAATTCAACTGGTAGGAGAAGAAAAAGAGTGAAAAAGGAATGTCCACTTCTTAAAAGTCGTGGCCTGAAGGTTCATGAGTATGTAAATGGCCATGATTCCTATTAAAAGTAATAACCAACAGTTATTCCTGTAAAAAGCTTAGAAGTCATCACTCCATCCTAACAAGTAAAAAGCTGAATAAACTAAAAATCAACAACTCTTCTTAGAGAAGCATGGTCACAGGGCAAACTGCTGCCCCTAAAATGGAAGCAACAGAAAGGAGAACATAAGAAGCATAACTTGCTGCAGTAGAAATCCACAAGCAGGAATCTCAGGAACCAGTGCCAGGATAGGAACACCTGAACTGTAATTGATGAACAGCTGGAGGCTCAGTGTGGACACTAAGAGTTAAAAGCTCCAAGGGGACCTTGCATAGGGGAAGCCCCGCACTCTTGCAAGTTTTACCAGTAAGAGCTCAACCAGGTTCTCACAATAATTTTTTTTTTGTAATCTCCTCATGTTTTCAACAAGGAGAGGGGAAAAGGAACCATTCTGAAATACACACTGTTCTTGCCCCCGCCCGGCCAGCCGCCCCGTCCGGGAGGGAGGTGGGGGGCGCTTCTGCCCGGCTGCCCCGTCTGGGAAGTGAGGAGCCCCTCTGCCCGGCCGCCACCCCGTCTGGGAGGTGTACCCGACAGCTCATTGGGAACGGGCCATGATGACGATGGCGGTTTTGTCGAATAGAAAAGGGGAAAATGTGGGGAAAAGAAAGAGAGATCAGATTGTTACTGTGTCTGTGTAGAAAGAAGTAGACATAGGAGACTCCATTTTGTTCTGCACTAAGAAAAATTCTTCTGCCTTGGGATGCTGTTAATCTATAACCTTACCCCCAACCCCGTGCTCTCTGAAACATGTGCTGTGTCCACTCAGGGTTAAATGGATTAAGGGCGGTGCAAGATGTGCTTTGTTAAACAGATGCTTGAAGGCAGCATGCTCATTAAGAGTCATCACCACTCCCTAATCTCAAGTACCCAGGGACACAAACACTGCGGAAGGCCACAGGGTCCTCTGCCTAGGAAAACCAGAGACCCTTGTTCACATGTTTATCTGCTGACCTTCCCTCCACTATTGTCCTATGACCCTGCCAAATACCCCTCTCCGAGAAACACCCAAGAATGATCAATAAATACTAAAAAAAAAAAAAAAAAAAAAGAAATTTATGGCTTCTTTTTTAATAAAGATGACCAAAGTGTATAGGCTATGCCTACATCCTTGTCTTGATCTTCTAATGGTGCTACATTTTCTCTGGTCCTGAATTTTGTTTATTTATAGCTTTATATTTTTTAGTATATTTTCTTATGAATTGCCACAACTACTTCGTGGAAATAAATGAGTTATGAATAAATAAAAGCCCTTGAATACACATAAAAAAAAACTTTAAAAAAAAAAAAGAAATACACGCTGTTCTTAACAAGGCGTGCGTTAAAGAGAAACTACTTTACTAGAGCCTAAACAACTGGAGTTTTTTCAGAATCTAACTAACTTAGGGGAATGGAAATGCCCAACCTCAGCCCATTCTAGCCATCCTGTCCCAAGTAAGGGGAGGGGGCATCTAAGAAGCACTTGTGAAGTTCACAGTCCAGAGGCACAGGCTCACTACAAGACTGAGACCAAATCACAGGGTACAGAACACTTCCCCTCCACCCACACCTCACCACCATGTTACTTGAGGCCTATTTACCATAGTTCTTTTTTCCTAGTACATCATGTCTGGCTATCAAGAAAAAATTACAAGGCATACTAAAAGGCAAAAAATACAGTCTGAAGAGACAAAGAATCAGAACCAGAATCAGACATGGCAGAGATGTTGGAATTATCAGGCCAGGAATTTAAAACAATTATGATTAATATGCTAAGTGTTCTAATAGACAAAGAAGACAGCATGCAATAAAGGTTGGGCAATATAAGCAGATAGACGAAATTATAAGAAAAAATCAAAAACACAATAACAGAAATGAAGAATGCCTTTGATGGGCATATTAGTAGACTGGACATGGCAAGAATCCATGACTAGACAGCAACAAAATATATAAAATATGTGTAATAGGAATACCAGAGGAGAAGAAAGAGAGAAGGGAACCAAAGAAATATTTGAAGCAATAATGACTGAGAATTATCCCCGAATCAATGTCAGACACCGAAAATCCAGGAAGAGAACTACAAGCACGATAAATACCAACAACAACAACAAACAAACAAAAACAAACAAAAAACCTCTCACATGTAGATATATCATATTCAAACTGCAGAAAATAAAAAATAAAAATAAATATTTAATGAGGACAAAGGGGAAAAAAATCTTCCCTATACAGAAGCAAAGATGAGAATTATATCTGGCTTCCCCCAGAAACCACACAAACAAACAAACAAACAAAAACAGTGAAGAGGAATATTTAAAGTGTTGAGAGAAAAATACTACCAACCTAAAATTCTGCACCCTGCAAAACTATCCTTCAAACGTGAAGGAGAAATAAGGACTTTCTCAGACAAAAAAACGCTGAGAGAATCTGTTGCCATTAGATCTGCTTTGCAAGAACTGTTAAAAGAAGTTCTTCAGAGAGAAGTAAATTACATAGGTAGGAAACTTGGAACTTCTTAAAGAAAGGAAGAGTATCTAAGAAGGAACAAGTGTAGGTAAAATAAAATCTTTTTAAAAAAATTATTAATTGATCTAACAGACAACAGTTTGTTGAGAATAATAATAGCAACTATGTATTTGATTGTATGCTGTATATTTGTGTGCATGTGTGTGCATTTATGTATGTTCATGTATAAATAAAATAAATGACAGCAATGACATAAGAAACAAAAAGAGGAATTGGAATTGTTTTATTATTATAAGATACTCCCACTATCCATGAAATGGTATTGTATTTTATAAAAGTAGACTTGGATTAGCTGTAAATGTACATTATAAACTCTAGAGCAACCACTAAAACAAAAAGTATAACAGATACACTAAGAAAGGAGAGAAAGTAGACTCCTATAAAATGAAAAAAAGGGACAAAAAGAGTAGAAGACAAAAATAGGAACAAAGGACAATGGCAACAAGTAGAAAACAGTAATTAATATGGTAGATATGAATCCAACTATAATAATAATCACTGTAAACCTCAGTTGTCTAAGTACACCAATTAATATACAAGAATTGCAACCATGGATCAAAAACAAGAAACCCAACTATACATTGTGTACAAGAAATCTATTTTAACTATAAAGACACATGTAGATGAAAAGTGAAGGGATGGAGAAAGCTATACTATGCTAACACTAATCCAAAAAAAGTAGGCATACTTATATTAATTTCATACAGAATACTCTTCAGAGTAAGAGAAGTTATCAGAGATAAAAAGAAGCATCACACAGGCCAGGCACGATGACTCACGCCTGTAATCCCAGCACTGTGGGAGTCTGAGACAGGCGGATCACAAAATCAGGAGATCCAGACCATCCTGGCTAACACGGTAAAACCCCATCTCTACTAAAAATACAAAAAATTAGCTGGGCGTGGTGGCGGGCACCTGTAGTTCCAGCTACTCGGGAGGCTGAGGGAGGCTGAGGCAGGAGAATGGTGTGAACCTGGGAGGGAGAGCTTTCAGTGAGCCGAGATAGTGCCACTGCACTCCAGCCTGGGTGACAGAGCAAGACTCAGTCTCAAAAAAAAAAAAGAAGAAGCATCACATAATGATAAATGGGTCAATTCTTCAAGAAAACATAACAATCCTTAATGTGTATGTACCTAATAACACTGCATGAATATATCAGATGCAAATATATATATACAAGGAGAAATAAATGAATCCACTATCATAATTGGAGACTACAACACCCCTCTATCATAAATAAACAGATCTAGCAGGCAGAATATCAGTAAGAACATAATTGAATGTAACACCATCAATCAACTGGATATAACGAACATCTATAAGCTATTTTATTCAACAGCAGCAGAATACACAGTGTTCTCAAACTTGCATGGAACATTCATCAAAGTAGACTGCATTCAAGGCCATCAAACACAACTTAACAAATTTAAAAGAATAAAAATCATATGATGTGTACTCTCAGACCACAATGGAATTAAACTGGAAATCAATAACAGAAAGATAGCTGAAAAATCCCAACATATTTGGAGATTGAACAACACACTTCTGAATAACACATGGGTCAAGAAGATGTCTGAGGAGATAGTTTTAAATATTTTGACTAATACAATGTATGAAAATTTGTTTCCTCTCAGAAAACTAGAAAAAGAGCAAATTAATTCCAAAGTAAACAAAGGAAAAGAAATGACAAAAATTAGAAGAGAGATCAATGAAATTGAAAACAGGAAATCGATAGAGAATTAAAAAAAAACAAAAGCTGGTTCTTAGAATACATCAATGAAATCAATAATTCTCTAGCCAGGCTAAGAAAAAAGAGGACACAAATTACTAATATCATAAATGAAAGAGGGAATATTACTGAAGAACCTACAGACATTAAAAGAATAATACAAGGGCAAGCATAGTGGCTCACACCTGTAATGCCAGCACTTTGAGAGGCCAAGGAAAGAGGATTGCTTGAGCCCAGGAGTTGGAGAACAGCCTGGGCAACCTAGTGAGACTCCATCTCTACAAAAAAATTAAAAATTAGCCAGACATAGCGGCACACACATGTAGTCCCAGCTACTCAGGAGGGTGAGGTAGAAAGATTGCTTGAGCTTTGATCATACCACTGCACTCCAGCCTCAATGACAGAGCCAGACCCTGCCTCAAAAAAAAAAAAAGAAAAAAAAAAACAAGAATATTATGAGCAATGATATGTCCACAAATTTGATCACCTTGATGAAATGGACCAATTCCTTGAAAGACACAATGTGCCAAAACTCACACATGAAGAAATCAACAGTCTGAATAGGCCTACATCTATGAAAAAAAATGGAATAGATAATTAACAACATTCTAAAACAGAAAGCACCAAGCAGGCTCAGGTGGGTCCACTGGTAAATTCTACCAAACATTCAAAGAAGAAATCACACCAATTCTCTTTCAGATGATAGAAGCAGAGGAAATACTTCCTAACTCATTCCATGAGGCCACCAGTACCCTAATACCAAAACCAAACAAATGTGTTTGAAGAAAAGAAAACTACAGACCAATATCCTTCATGAACATAGATGCATAAATCCTCAACAAAATATTGGCAAATTGAACCAACAATGTATAAAAAGAATTATATACCACAACTAAGTGGGATCTATCCCAGGTATGCAAGGCTGGTTCAATATTCAAATATCAAATTATGTAAACCATCATATCAAGAGGCTAAAGAAGAAAAATTACATGATCATAATAATAGCTGTAGAAAAAGCACTTGACAAAATGTAACACCCATTGATCATTTAAAAAAAACAAAACTCTCAGCAAACTAAGAATAGAGGGAAATTTCCTCAAACTGATAAAGAACATCTATAGAAAACAGTTAACATTATACTTAATGGTAAGAAACTCCAAGCTTTCCTGCTAAGAACAGAAACAATCAAGGATGTTCCCTCTTACAACTTCTTTTCAACATTGTACTGGAAATATTAGCTAATGCAATAAGGAAAGGTATACTTATTAGGAAGAAAAAATTAAAACTGTCTTTGTTCACAGATGACATAATCATCTATGTAGAAAATCTGAAAGAATCTTAAAAAACTCCTGGAAATATTAAGTGATTATAGCAAGGTTTGCAAGAGACAAAGTTAATATACCAAAGTCAATCATTTTCCTGTACACCAGCAATGAACAAGCAAAATTTAAAACTAAAACACAATAACATTTACATTAGCTTTCCAGAAAATGAAGCACTTAGTTATAAATCTTACAAAGTACAGATGCTTCTTGACTTAGAATGAGTTTATGTTCTGACAACTCCAACCTAAGTTGAAAATATCGTAAGTTGAAAGTGCATTTAATCTAACCTACCAAACATCATAGCTTAGCCTAGCCTACCCTAAATGTGCTCAGAATACTTACACTAGCCTATAGTTGGGCAAAATTATCTAATACAAACCCTATTTTATAATAAAGTGTTAAATATCTCATGTAATTTATTGACTACCATACTGAAAGTGAAAAGCAGAATGATTGTATCAGTTGTTCACCCTGGTGATCATGTGGCTGACTGCAAGCCACTGCACTGTGGAGCACTGAAACAGAATGTCATATCACTAATCCAAGGAAAGATCAAAATTCAAAATTTGAAGTACGGCTTCTGTTGAGTGTGTACCATTTTCTCACCATTATAAAGTTGAAAAATTGTAGGTCAAACCATCATAAGTTGGGGATATCGGTATGTAGAAGATATAAATGAGAAAAACTACATAACTCTGATAAAAGAAATCAAAGAAAAACTAAATAAATGGAGAGATATTCCATGATCACGGATAGGAAGACTCGATATTGTCAAGATGTCAATTCTTCCCAAATTGATCTATAGATTCAATCCAAGCCCTGTCAAAACCCCAGCAAGTTATTTTATAGATGTAGACAAACTGATTAGAAAGTTTATATGGAGAAGCAAAAGACCCAGAATCATCAATACAATAATGAAGGAGAAGAACAACATCAGAGGACTGACAATATCCAACTTTAAGACTTACTATAAAGCTACAGTAATCAAGACAGTGTGGTATTGGTGAAAGAATAGACATATAAATCAATGGAACAGAATAGAGAGCCCAGAAAGACTCATATAGATATAGTCAATTGATCTTTGACAGAGGAGCAAAGGAAATATAATTGAGCAAAAATACTATTTTCAACAAATGGTGCTAGAAAAAGTGGACAGATGATATAGGAGAACACTTAGATGACCTTGGGTATGGCAATGACTTTTTAGATACAACATCAAAGGCACGACACACAAAAGAAAGAACAAACTAGTATTCAGTAAAATTAAATGTTTCTGCTCTGTGAAAGACATTGTCAAGAGAAATAGAAATCAAGCCACAGGCTTGAGAAGAAAGATATATTTTCTCCCACAGACTGGAAAAAAATCTGCAAAAGATGTATCTGATAAAGGACTGTCATCTAAACTATTCAAGGAATTAGAAAATTCAATGACTTTTTTTTTAAATCAGCCAGGCATGGTGGCTCAAGCCTGTAATAACAGCACTTTGGGAGGCTAAGGCAGGCAGATTGCTTGAGTTCAAGAGTTCAAGACCAGCCTGGGCAACCTGATAAAACATGACAAAACCCTTTGTCTCTACAAAAAATACAAACATTAGCCGGGTATGGTGGTACACACCTATAGTCCCAGCTACTCTGGAGGCTGAGGTGGGAGGATCACTTAAGCCCAGGAGGCACAGGTTGCAGTGAGCCAAGATAATACCACTGCACTCCAGCCTGGGTGACAAAGTGAGGCTCTGCCTAAAAAATAAAAATAAAAAATAATTCAATTAAAAAATGAACCAAAGACCTCAGCAGACACTTCACCAAAGAAGATATACTAATGACAAATTAAGCATATGAAAAGATGCTCCATATTATATGTCATCAGAGAAACACAAATTAAAAGAAAAATGAAATACTGCTACATACCTATTTGAGCAAAATCCAGAACACTGACAACACCAACTACTGGTGAAGATGTGGAACAACAGGAACTCTCATTGATTGTGGTAGGAATGCAAAATAAACACAGCTACTTTGGAAGACAAAACTAAACATACTCTTACAATAAGATCCGGCAATTGCACTCCTTGGTATTTACCCAAAAGAGTTGAAACTTACATTCCTGCAAAACCCTGCACATGGATGTTTATAGAGTTTTACTCATAATTGCTAAAACCTGGAAGCAACCAAGATGTCTTTCAGTATGTGATATGGTTTGGCTCTGTGTCCTCACCCAAATCTCATCTTGAATTGTAACTGCCACAATTCCCATGTGTCATGGGGGGAACCTGGTGGGAGGTGATTGAATTATGGGAGTGGGTCTTTCCTACACTGTTCTTGTGATAGTGAAAGAGTCTCATGAGATGTGATGGTTTTAAAAATGGGAGTTTCCCTGCAAAAGATCTCTCTTTGCCTGCCTGCCATCCATGTAAGATGTGACTTGCTCCTCCTTGCCTTCTGCCATGATTGTGAAGCCTCCCCAGCCATGTGGAACTGTAAGTCCATTAAACCTCTTTTTCTTTTCAGTCTCAGGTATGCCTTTATCAGCAGCATGAAAACAGACCAATACAGTAAATTGGTAACAGTAGAGTGGGGCACTGCTGTAGATACCTGAAAATGTGGAAGCAACTTTGGAACTGGGTAACAGGCAGGGGTTGGAACAGTTTGGAGGGCTCAGAAGAAGACAGGAAAATGTGGGAAAGCTTGGAACCTCCTAGAGACTTGTTGAATGGCATTCACAAAAATGCTGATAGCGATATGGACAATAAAGTATTGGTTGAGATGGTCTAAGATGGAAAGAGAAACTTGGGAACTGGAGCTAAGGTGACTCTTGTTGTTTTAGCAAAAAGACTGATGCATTTTTCCCCTGCCCTAGAGATTTGTGGAACTCTGAACTTGAGAGAGATGATTTAGGGTATCTGGTGGAAGAAATTGTTAAGCAGCAAAGCATTCAAGAGGTGACTTGGGTGCTGTTAAAGGCATTAAGTTTTATAAGGGAAGCAGAGCATACAAGTTCGGAAAATTTGCAGCCTGATAATATGATAGAAAAGAAAATCCCATTTTCTGAGGAGAAATTCAAGCCAGCTGCAGAAATTTGCATAAGTAACGAGGAGCTAAATGTTAATCCCCAAGACAATGGGTAAAATGTCTGTAGGGCATGTCAGAGGTCTTCACAGCAGCCCCTCCCATCACAGGCCCAGAGGCCTAGGAGGAAAAAGTGGTTCTGTGGGCCAGGCCCAGGGTCCACGTGCTGTGTGCAGTCTAGGGACTTGGATCACTGCGTCCCAGCCACTCCAGCTATGGCTGAAAGGGGCCAATGTAGAGCTCAGGGCCGTGGCTTCAGAGGGTGCAAGCCTCAAGCCTTGGCAACTTCCACATGGTGTTGAGCCTATGAGTGCACAAAAGTCAAGAATTGAGGTTTGGGAATCTCTGCCTAGATTTCAGAGGATGTATGGAAACACCTGAATGTCCAGGCAGAAGTTTGCTGCAGGGGTAGGGCTCTCATGGAGAACCTCTGCTAAAGCAGTGTGGAAGGGAAATGTGGGGTTGGAGCCCCCACACGGAGTCCCTATTGGGGCACTGCCTAGTGGAGCTGTGAGAGGAGGGCCACTGTCCTCCAGGCCCTAGATGGTAGATCCACTGACAGCTTGCACCATGCACCTGGAATAGCCGCAGACACTCAACACCAGCCCATGAAAGCAGCTGGAAGGGAGGCTGTACCCTGCAAAGCCACAGGGGTGGAGCTGCCCAAGACCATGGGAACCTACCTCTTACATCAGTGTGACCTGGATATGAGACATGGAGTCAAAGGAGATCATTTTGGAGCTTTAAGATTTGACTGCCCCAATGGATTTTGGACTTGCATGGGGCCTGTAGCCCCTTTGTTTTGGCCAATTTCTCCTATTTGGAATGACTGTATTTACCCAATGCCGCTACCCCCATTATATCTAGGAAGTAACTAACTTGCTTTTGATTTTACAAGCTCATAGGTGGAAGGGACTTGCCTTGTCTCAGATGAGATGATGAACTGTGGACTTTTGAATTAATGCTGAAATGACTTAAAGCTTTGGGGAACTGTTAGGAAGGCATGATTGGTTTTGAAATATAAGGACATGAGATTTGGGAGGAGCTAAGGGGGGGATGATATAGTTCGGCTGTGTCCTCACCTAAATCTCATCTTGAATTGTAACTCCCACAATTCCTACATGTTGTGGGAGGAACCCAGTGGAAGGTGACTGAATTATGGGGGTGGGTCTTTCTTGCACTGTTCTCAGGATAGTGAATGAGTCTCACGAGATCTGATGGATTTGAAAACAGGAGTTTCCCTGCACAAGCTCTCTCTTTACCTGCTCGTCATCTATGTAAGATGTGACTTGCTCCTCCTTGCCTTCCACCATGATTGGGAGGCCTCCCCAGCCATGTGAACTGTAAGTCCATTAAACCTCTTTTTCTTCCCAGTCTCAGGTATGTCTTTATCAGCAGCATGAGAATGTACTAATACAGTAAATGAATGGATAAATAAATGGTGATACATCCAGACAATAGACTATTACTGAGAGCAAAAAAGAAATGAGCTATCAAGCTATGAAGAAACATGGAGGAAACTAAAAAGCATAGTTAAGTGAAAGAAACCCAATCTGAAAAGGCTGCATATCATATGATTCCAAATTTGTAACATTCTGGAAAAGTCAAAACTATGAAGACAGTAAAAGGATCAGTGGTTCCTAGGGGCTAGGGGGAGGGAAGGATGAATAGGTGATGTACAGAGGAATTTTAGGGTTGTTAAACTACTCTGTATGATATGATAATGACAGATAATGTCATTACACATTTGTCAAAACCCATAGAATGTACAACACCAATAGTGAATCCTAATGTAAACTGTGGACTTTGGGTGATAACAATTGTTATTGTGGGTTCATCAGTTGTAACAAATTTACCCTTCTGGTGGTGGATGTTGATAGCAGAGGAGGCTGTGTATGGAGGAGCATGGTGTATATGGGAAATCTCCGTACCTCCCTCTCAATTTTGCCTGACTCTAAAACTGCTCTAAAACACTTTTTTTTTTTAAAGTCTTGGCCAGGACACTTCACTTCTGCTCACATTGTATTGATGAGGACTCACAATATCATACCCCACTTTACAAGATACAAGGGGGAGGCACATGTGGTCCCTGACTTGGCAGCAACCTACCAGAAACCACTCTACTATATGGAAGGAGAGAACAAATCCTTGGTGGACAACTATCTGCCATCAGCGAACCACAGAATCATTACAGATGGTTTCACCCCTAACATGGTGCTTCTGTGCTCAGTAAATTCATAATAGATAAATGGATGAATGAATGAATCTTGGCATCTCAATTCAATTTTTTTTTTTTTTTTTTTTTTGAGACAGTTTCACTCTAGTCGCCCAGGCTGGAGTGCAATGGCATGATCTCGGCTCACTGCGGCCTCCACCTAGTAGGTTCAGGTGATTTTCCACCTCAGCCTCCCGAGTAGCTGGGATTACAGGCACCCACCACCATGCCCAGCTAATTTTTATAGTTTTAGTAGAGATTTAGTGATCCAGCTAGATTAACAAAGAAAAAAGAGAGAAGATCCAATAAACACAATCAGAAATAATAAAGATGACATCACAACCAATCCCACAGAAATACAAAAGATCTTCAGAGACTATTATGAACATCTCTATATGCACAGATAATCCACAGGAAATGGATAAATTCCTGGAAACACAACCTCCAAAGATCAAACCAGGAAGAAACAGAAATTCTAAATAGACTAATGAAGAGTAACAAAATTGAATCCGTTATAAAAATGCCTACCAACCAAAAAAGCCCTGGAGCAGATGGACTAATAGCCAAATTTTACCAGACATACAATGAAGACCTGGTACCAGTCCTACTGAATCTATTCTCAAAAAATTGAGGAGGGACTCCTCCCTAACTCATTCTATGAAACCAGTATCATCCTGATACCAAAATCTGACAAAGACACAACAACAACAAAAAAGAAAACTACAGTCCAATATTCCTGATGAACAAAGACACAAAAATCCTTAACAAAATACTAGCAAACTAAATACAGCAGCACATCAAAAAGTTAACTTACCATGATCAAGTGGGCTTTATTCCTGGGATGCCAGGTTGGTTCAACATATGCAAATCAATGTGATTAACCACATAAACAGATTTAAAAACACAAAACATACTATTGTATTAATAGATTCTGAAAAAGCATTTGATAAAATCCAATATCCCTTCATGTTAAAAAACCCTCAACAACCTAGACATCAAAGGAACATACCTCAAAATAATAAGAACTATCTATGACAACCTCACAGCCAACATTATACTGAATGGGCAAAAGCTGGAAGCATTCCCTTTAAGAACTGGAACAAGACAAGAATGCCCACTCTCACAACTTCTATTAAACATATTATAGTACTAGAAGTCCTAGCCAGAGCAATCAGGCAAGAGAAAGAAATAAAAGGCATCCAAATAGAAAAATAGAAAGTCATTTCTCTTCACTGACAGTATGATTTGATACCTAGAAAACCCCATAGTCTGCCAAAAAGCTCCTAGACCTGATAAATGACTTCAGCAAAGTCTCAGGATACAAAATCAATGTGCAAAAATCAGTAGCATTTCTATACATTAATAACACTCAAGCTGAGAACCAAAGCAAGAATGCAATTCCATTTACAATAGCCACACACAAAAATAAAATAAAATAAAATATCTAGGAATACATCTAACTAAGGAGGTGAAAGATCTCTATGAGGAGGACTACAAAACACTGCTAAAAGAAATTATAGATTACACAAATGGAAACAAATGGAAAAGCATCCTATGGTCATGGGTTGGAAGAATCAGTATTATTAAAATGCCAATATTGCCCAAAGCAATCTGCAAGATTTAATGCTGTTCCTGTCAAACTACCAATGTCATTTTTCACAGAATTAGAAAAAAACTATTCTAAAATTCATATAGAGTCCAAAGCAATCCTAAGCAAAAAAAAAAAAAAAAAAAAACCAAAGCCAGAAGCACCACATTACCCAACTTCAAATGATATACAAGGCCACAGTAAGCAAAACAGCATGGTACTGCTACAAAAATAGACACATAGACCAATGGAAGAGAATAGAGACCCCTGAAATAAAGCTGCACACTTACAACAAACTCGTATTCAACAAAGTCAACAAAACTAAGCAATGAGGAAGGACACCCTATTCAATAAATGGTGCTGGGAAAACCGGCTAACCATACGCAGAAGAATGAAACTGGACCATTTACCATATACAAAAATTAATTCAAAATAGATTAAAGACTTAAATGTAAAACCTCAAACTACAAAAATTCTAGGAGAAAATCTAGGAAATATTCTTCCAGACATTGGCTTAGGCAAAAAAAATTATGATGACCTTAAAAGCAAATGAAACAAAAACAAAAATTGACAAGTGAGACCTGATTAAACTAAAGAGCTTCCACACAGCAAAAGAAACTATCAGCAGAGTAAACAGACACCAACAGAATGGGAGAAAATATTTGTAAACTATGCATCTAACGAAGGACTAATACCCAGAATATATAAGGAATTTAAACAAACCAACAAGAAAAAAAAACATCAAAAAGTAGGCAAAAGACATGAACCAACACTTCTCAAAAGAGGACATACAAGTGGCCAACAAATGTTAAAAAATGCTCAACATAAGTCATCATCAGAGAGACTGCAAATCAAAATGACAATGAGATACCATCTCACACCAGTCAGAATGGCTAGTATTAAAAAGGAAAAAAACAACAGATAATGGCAAACAATTTTTCACCACTTTTTAAAAGTAATAGTTTGTTTTCTCCTCCCTTCCCCCACCACCCTCACCTCAACCCTTGACCCTTACTTCCAGTTTTCTGGGGGTATTGGGTTGTCCTGTTCTCTTCTCAGAGGCTGGTGGGAGGACCTGTAGTTGAACATTCAGAACTCATTAGGGCCTGGACCAAGCAGAGCCCCAAGGAAAGGGGAAGCAGGGAAACTCATTCTCATCTGAATCCTCATCTCACATCAAATTACTCCTCAAGCCTGAACTGTGTGGACACTTTTCCAGATGACCTGAGGGCACCAAAGCAGCCTTTCAGTTTCAACTTCATTCTTCCCTCCCTCCCAGCAAGTCCAGGGTTTTCCGCCTGACCAGACGTGTTTTGCAATGAGGTGCATGAGTGTTGCTTTCCTCTCTGGCAAACACAGCTTCTCCTTACACAGTTCAAGATGTTAGTAAGTGCTATTAATTGGGAGCTAATTTGCATACTTTATGGATTATTTGTGGTTTGTAGCTAAGGGGATCAGAGCTTGCACACACAACCCCACCCTACCCACTCCTGTAGGGGCCTGAATTACCCCAGTCTGCTCTTCCATGCTGAGGGAGGGCAAGGGAATAACAGATTTATCATGCTAGGGCCCAGGGCACCCTGGAAATGGAGCTGACACACTCCCCTGAAATCCTGCATGACACAAAGGAAGCCCTTCTGTAGCACATGACTGGGAGGCTGGCTGCATGACATAGGCGCTGTGTGATTTAGTCCGGAGATTTTTGCCAGCACCCCTGCCCTGAGTCACGCAACCACAACCATGCTGGCATTAGAATTCTGAAGAGGTTTTTCAGCTTTTTGTTTCGGCTTTTTTTTTTTTTCATTATTAATCTCGGCCCTTAAGTGCTTTGTGTTTATAATTAGTCATAAGCCTTGGGATGGCACCATTCGCATCATCGTGCAGGCGTCCGCCCCCTTGCTTGCCCAAGTGCTGTTAATTAGCCCTGCAAAGATAGGCAAGCCTGATTGGCAGCAGCTTTTGCAAAAGACTCCCAGCGCTCTAGGCAACAAAGAAAACCATCTTAGCATCTCAGCATTATGGCTGTCATCTGGATTCTTTGCTTTCTCAGTCTGCCGCTGGTGAGGATTTCATGGATGCATTTATTTATTTTGAAATGTGAGCACCAATGTTTTGGCAGAAATTCATAAACCTATGTGAAAGTAATGTCCTGTTTGAGATTTGTCACAACTCTTAGGAAGGGATAGAACAGGGGCAGGAGCATTCACTTTTACATTAAGAATGGGGCTTACAGTTTGGAAAACTGCTTGACAGTATCACTAAAGCTAAACATAGACACACGCTATGACCCAGCAATCTCACTCCTAATTCCCACAGAAATGTGGCATGTGTTTCCCTGACAAAAGTATTAAGATGTACCTAGCTGCACTATTTGTAATAGCCCCAAACTGGAAATTGCCCTAATACCCATCAATAATATAATGAATTTAAATTGTAGTAAATTCATGCAATGGAACACTATACAACAATAAGAATACAAACTACAATTACAACAATATGGATGAGCCTCATAAATGTAAAGTCGAACAAAAGAAGTTAGACACAAAAGAGGATATATTATGGCATTGTGTTTATATAAAGAAAAAAACTGGTTAAAAGTAATCTATGCTATTAGTTCAAATAGTGGTTAATTTGCAGGAGATGGGGTAGTAGTGACACAGAGGGTTTCCTGGGTACTGTTAATATTCTATTCCTTGATTTGAAGGTTGGTTATAACAGAGTGCTAATGTATTAAAATGTATTGGTTGTAAGCTTATTTTTGCACTTTTCTGCATGTATATTATGCTTCAGTAAATAGTTAAAGAAAAAAATGAACTAGGAAGTTTTCTTCAGTAGGAAGCTTTACGGTTGATTTTAATAATTTAGTAATTGCAGCAATAAGGTTATATGGGCCTGGGATGTGGTATCCTAGAGAGAAACCTGGGTCTGCATTGAGGGTGGGGCTCCCTTTTCCATGGGCTGTGGTTCTGAAAGCCTAGAGAGCCATCTTAGCAGCATCTCAGAGAAGAACTCATGTAAAAACCAGATAGATGATCTGAAGAACTGTAACTATGGAAGAGAAAGTCAGAAATCAGAGACAAAAGGGATGTGACTATGTGTAAAATTTACCAGATTCATCTCCAGGGCATTCTAGACATGGGGTCTAGGGCCTGAGAGCGTCTCAAAATCCTATACAATTTTCTGAGGCCTTGAAAAATGTATGATGACTCCAAAATGCAAAACAGAAAATTACATAATTAAAATCAATAAATGTTTACAAAACAAGGATTATATCAAGTAATTCAGCATTTCTTAAACATTAATAAGCATACGAAACACCTGGGGATCTTGTCCGACTACAGATTATGATTTAGTAGATCTGGGGTGAGGCCTGAGAGTCTACATTTCTAACAAGCTCCCAGGTAATGCCAATGCTTCTAGTCCCTTGACTTTGAATAGCAAAGAAATAGTTAATTGCAGCTCAACTGAACTCTTCCATAGTTATAAATATAATTTTTAAAAAAACAACAAGAAAATAAAATGAATGGCCAGGCTCAGTGGCTCACGCCTGTAATCCCAGCACTTTGGGAGGCCGAGACGGGTGGATCATTTGAAGTCAGGAGTTCGAGACTAGCCTGGCCAATGTGGCAAAACCCTGTCTCTACTAAAAATACAAAAATTAGCCGGGCATGGTGGCAGGCATCTGTAGTCCCAGCTACTCAGGAGGCTGAGACAGGAGAATGGCATGAACCCAGGAGGCAGAGGTTGCAGTGAGCCAAGATTGCACCACTGCACTCCAGCCTGGGTGACAGAGAGAGACTCCATCTCAAAATAAATAAAATAAAATGAACATTTTATTTTTATAAAATTCAAAATAAAAATTTTATGGTGATAAAAATATGCATAAAATTTACCATTTTACCCAATTTTGAGCATATAGTTCAGTGGCATTAAACACATTCACACTGTTGTGCAACCATCATCACTATTCATCTCCAGAACTTTTCCATCTCTTCAAAATGAAACTCTGTGCCCATTAAACAATAATTCCCTATTTCCTTCTCTCCCCAGCCCCTAGCAACAACCACTATTCCACTCTCTGTCTCTATGAATTTGACTCCTCTAGGTGCCTCATATAAGTAGAATCATGCAATATTTGTCCTTTTGTGCCTGGCTTATTTTACTTAACATAATATCTTCAAGGGTCACTCATGTTGTAGCATGTGTCCAAACTGGATTCCTTTTAAAGGCTGACCAATATTCCATTGTATGTATGTGCCTGCTATGGTCTGAATGCTTGCCTCCCTCACAAATCCCTAAATCCCTATGTTGAAATCCTCACCCCTAAGGTGATGGTATTAGAAGGTGGGGCCTTTGGGCAGTTATTGGATCGTAAGGGCCATGAATGGGATTAGGACCCTCATATTAATATAAGAGACACCAGAGAGATTGCTTACCCCTTCGACCATGTGAGGACACTGAGAAAAGATGGCTCTCTATAAAGAGGGATCTCACCAGTCACTGAATCTGCTGGTGCCTTGATATTGGACTTCCCAGCCTCTAGACTGTGGGAAACAAATGTCTGTTGTTTATAAACCACCCAGTCTATGGTATTCTGTTACAGCAGCCTGAATGGGCTAAGACAATACCACATTTTCTTTATCCATTCATCCGGCAATGGACATTTGGGTTGTTTCCACCTTTTGGCTATTGTGAAAATGCTGCTATGAACATGGGTATACAAATATCTGTTCACGTCCCTGCTTTCAGTTTTTTTGGGTATGCACCCAGAAGTGGAACTGCTGGGGCATATGGTAATTCTGGGGGTTTTTTTAAGTACCAAAATAATAAAAACTTGCCATAGACTGTTATTTTGATGATCCAGATGAACACGTTCCCCAGTATTCATGTCCTTGTATAGTTCCCTCCCACATTGACTGTGGGCTGGGCTTGCCACTCCCTTGACTAATATAGAGGAAGTGGTACTATGCCAATTCCAGGACTAGTCCTTAATTGACCTGGCAGCTTCTGCTTCCTCCCTCTTAGAATGCTTGCTCTTGGAACAGTTCTTGTTGGACATCAGCCACCATGCTGTGAGGTGGCCCAGGCAGCCACATGGGGAGGCCCATATGGAGAAGAATCAAGGCCCGCAGCTGAAATCCCAGTCAAGCTCCATCTGACTCCTAAAGCCCTGGTATTTCAGACATTTCAACCTCAGCTGAGCTGTTGATCAAAACTTGGGATGACTGCAGTCACCCACTGTTCCCAGCTAATACCACTTGAAGCTGAAGAAGACCACACCATGAAATAGAATACATTGTTGCTTTAAGCCACTATGTTTTGAAGTCATTTGTTACACAGCATTAGCTAACTGAAACAAAACTCTTTCAAATGTTTTAGAGCAAGAGCAAAATATACCATACCTAATGTGGAATGTGAGCAGAATTTTAGATATTTGATATAAAGTAGGCCCAGAATCTTCAATGACCTTAAATATCTCAGGTCCTAACAAAAGAGAAGATGCAAAGCAGCTGGTGGGAGATGGGCCCTTGAATAACCCATCCCTTAAACCAGCAGCTGCAGCAGATTTTTGTAGTTGTTGTGATTGTTGTTTTGTTAAAGGCCCAGCTGGCCCAGAGCAGCACGCCAGTTAGCTGTTATCGTCCCTATACCAGAGAAGGCAGCCAGGGATTTTGTCACATATGTGGCTTGGCATATGGCTTCTGGGGGATTTGAACTCTTAATTAGAAGCTTCCTTTTGCCCAGAAATTACTGTGCAGCTGAGTGGTAAGAATGAATTCAACCAAGTCTGTTCTCAGATTCCCATAAGCACAGAAAATAAGCAGCCCAAACATGAAGCCTTGAAAGGGGTGGCTGAGGCATGATGCTCACTCACCCAGTCCCTGAGGCCCTGAACCCTCTCTCAATGCCAGACTCTGCAAGGAAATCAGTTGCCTCTCTCTGTTCTCCCCAGCTGGGGCCCTGTGATCCACACTGGCAGGAACTGCGCCGACCTTACACAAGAAGAATGGTGGGCAGAGGATTACTCACTATGCAATAACATATGTGGAGCACATACATTTCTGGAGCTCCTAAAGCCATGCCTGGTATGTAACAGGTGTTCAGTAAATTTGAGTAAGTAATGAATAATGACACAAAGTTGGCATCTCACCTTTTCACCACCAAAGAAAACATTTATTTATGTGCAACCTAGTGGTGATTTTACTTACTGTTCCCCATTCCCCCCAAAATTGCATTTAAGTGATCATTTGGACTTTTTTTTTAAAGGACAAGTATATACTAGCGGCCAATTACATCTACTGTTCTTCATGAAAAAAAAAATGGGGTCATCAGAGAGGGTTAATGTAACCCCACTCAGAAATAATGCAAGAGGGTATTTTTGACAAGAAAGTTTCTTACCCCAGGTAAATGTGTGATATCCAGTGGGCATTTGAAAATCTTGAAAATAGTGCACAGGCCCATGTTACTATTGTCACAAGCCTCAGATGGGCTTAATTAAGTTGAGGTCCTCCAGCCAGCATGTTAGAATATATTATCGAGGATTTCAAAGTCATTGTACCTCAGCTATCCACTGAGCACCCACCTGCCTGATGTGAACCAGGCAGAGGAGACGGAGACCAAACCAACAAGTACTTATACTGTGGTTCACACAATGATGGAGCTTGGCAGAGGTTGCTATGGGAACACATAGCAACCTCTATGGAGGACACATTGGAAGGACACATTACTCAACTTGGAAGGGCCAGGATGGAGCATTGCCTGGACGAGACATTTCCCATGTTGAACGTTAAAGGATAGGAAGTAGTCAGCTAAATGAAATGGGAATAGCTGGACAGATGGGGCAGCAAGGGGCCAGGTGCTCTGGCTCACACCTGTAATCCCAGCACTTGCCACTGCACTCCAGTCTGGGCAACAGAGTGAGAATCCGTCTCAAGAAAAAAAAAAAAAAAAAAGGCGGGAGGGCAGCAAAGGTATGAGCACAGAGGGGAGAAACAGCTGCAGTACTCAGAGGGCAATGAACAGCTCAGGTTGTCAGAGCAGAGGGAAAAGGAGGAAGAATGGAGGATGAGGTTAGCCTTGTAGCAGGAACCATTTGGTACAACATTGAACCTCTAATAATTAGATCCTGCCTTTCTCCTTTTATCCTCCCTGTCCTGGCATTACATCTGGGATCTGGTAAGTCACAGTATGAGAACCAGGGTCCAAATTTATGAAGAACAGCATGGACATTTTTGTCATTGGTATTCATTTCTTTAGAAAGAATTTTTTGCCAACACTGGAGAGTCTGAAGGTAAGCAATTTTTTCTCTTGTAACTCTTTTCACTCCTAGTAACAGCTAGTTTTTTAAAAGTCAGCATATGCCCATTAACTTTGAGAAACTACAGCAAAGAATGCAGGAAATTTCCATTGTTTGGACAACTGGCAAAGAAAATAGCCTTCTCCCAGTAGTGGGCAATAGTTTCACCCATACTGCAATTAGATAGAAGGATAAAGAGAAAAGAAGAAGAAGAGATTAGCATTGAATGGAACCCATTTTTTTTTCTGTTTTTTTAGAAATCTTGGAGACACAGATTTTGTTTTCTCCTTCCACAATGAAAATGTGAATATTCCGTGTAGCTTTATCTGCTTTGCTAGCTCCAAAACTTGGCCACTAAAAAAGGATCCATGATGCTGTAAAATCTGAAAGAGCAACTTCAGAAGAAGCCTGTACAGGGGTAGATTTCCAACTACCCTCCCAGACTGATCATCAAGGAGCAAACTAAATCCCATTTAACACAAACTGCTCAGCAAGAAAAATTTTGCCCATGTGTAAATCCATACCCAGAGTCCCCATTTAGTCTCAAAATCTGTCTATTTTGCTAGATTTACACACACATTGTGGTGCTTAGAGACTTGGAGGCACAACATTCCAGAAGGTGAGGGTGGGGCCGAGTGCTATTGAACATGTGAGGGAGACAGGGTCAGGCGGGCCTCAAATGAGTGTGCAGAATCTTCTCCCTCAACATGCTGCCCTGTGTCTGCTGGCATAGGGGCTTTGAGGCCTGAGGGACCAGAGGCAGGAGGCAGAGAGCAGCAGGGGAGGGCAGGATGAATGTCAGACCCATGGCTATCCAAAAGGGCATGAAGTCCCTTTGGCCCCATAGCACCATGACCCTCAAAGATAATGACAAAACAAGTTCCAGGATGAAAGTGAGAAGTTAACCTTGTAGTAATGTTGCCAGCTTTAGCACATAAAAATACTGGACTCTCGATTAATTTGCATTGCAGATACACAACAATAATGTTTAGAATAAGTATGTCCCAAGTATTGTATGGGATATATTTATGCTAAAATATTTTTCACTGTGTATCTAAAATTCAAATTTAACTGAGTCCCATATTTTTTATTTGCTAAATCTGGTCATTCAAATTTAACTGGATATCCTGTATTTTATCTGGCAACCCTACCTTGTAGGTCTCTAGTTCACAGTTCCCCAATATGTCCCATCCCATCCCTGCCCCTGGTGATTTCCTTTCCCCTTTCCCCCTCTTCTGGCCCTCATTCTTCCTCATCAATACAAGAAAGGATCTAACAACAGTTTCCAAAGAATTGGAGCTCATTAAATACTAATATGTTCTCTTGCCTCGATTTGCATATTTACTTTTTTTTTTTTTGAGACGGACTCTCGCTCTGTCGCTGGGCTGGAGTGCAGTGGTGTGATCTCGGCTCACTGCAACCTCCGCCTCCTGGATTCAAGCAATTCTCGTGACTCAGGCTCCCGAGTAGCTGGGGTTACAGACATGCGCCACCACACCCAAGCTAATTTTTGTATTTTTAGTAGAGATGGGGTTTCACCATGTTGGCCAGGATGGTCTCGATCTCCTGACATCGTGATCCACCCACCTCAGCCTCACACAGTACTGGAATTACAGGCGTGAGCCACTGCGCCCAGCCAACTTTTTTGTTGTTGTTGAAAGTTGAAAGACTTTATTCCCTACTAAAATTACCCCCAAGCAATCTGCAACTTGTGAGGGGAGATCTATGGGCTGCCTGCTTTAATAATTCAAGTACACCATTCTGAAATGAGAATAGTTTAAGCTGTTCTCACTAGGTCTTTTAATATATCAGCATCTTTCTTAAGAAATTCAGGTCACAGCCTCCTGATCCAATTGTTACTACCTCAAGCCTCCTCCTGCTCAGTTTTCATTTGGGGAATAGGGAGAAATGGAAAACACTGGAAAGAAGGATGCAGAGGCAGAGCACCCAACGATTGCATGATACTAGTTTGGATCTTTGTAATTTAGTTTATGTGAGTGTCAGAGTTTGCATGTGGGGTGATAATTAAATGGTAGGTGGTACTGGAGAAAACTATCAGCGTGGAGGCTGTTGATACGTACTGGCGACCCAAACAAATGGGACTATAAAAAGTTAAATGGGTTTGGCTGCATAGAAGTAATACTAATTACAGTCATTTCTGTGAGCTTTCCACCACACGGATGCCTAATTACCATATGGTGCCATAATACTTATGTGTATCATTATATGTGCCTTAAATTAACTTTGTTATAAAGTGTAATTTGGTTAGAACAGGAGACTCAGCATGAATTGAGTCTTCATAGTTTGTCATTCGTGCAGAATGGCTATCTACTACTCTTAAAAAAATCAATGCAACTATCGCCAGGGTCATAGTGAGAAAGGCAACTGTAGCAGGCAGCCTCTAAAATGGCTCCCAATCTGCCCCAAATCCTTGTATTCGTGCCTCTGTCCAATCCCCTCCACTTCAGTGTAGGGCGGGCTCCAAACCTATCCTTCTGTGCTCAGCTTTGTCCCACTGGGGCTGGGACTCTGCAAACCAAATTCCTGCTTTCTCTGTGACTCCTTGGTAGGCTATGCCGATAGGGGGCGTTAGAGGGAGACCGCGGGGCTGGAGGGGGGAAGCAGGGACTTCCTCCTTCTTGTCTGTCTCCATTTCTTCCCATTTCTATGAGCTTTACCCCAGCAACATTGACCCCAGCTGCAGCAGCTCCTGTAGCAGCTGTTGAGTCTAGCTTGCAATTTCAGCACTTGTAGAACCAGCCTCATGGTGCTCCTTGACACTGGCACCAGAAGAGTAGCACCTGCTCCTCAAGAGGTTTGGGTCTCAGGACCCTCTACGTTTGAATATTTCCCACCTCCTCCTTTTGCTCCCCTAGCCCACGGAGTGGTGGCTACTTCTTGCAGTTGCTACTTCCATGATACCTTCGAGTTCTAGAGTTCTATCAAGTTTGCCTTTTCGGTTACCTAATTAACAATTAATTCTATTAAATCCTGTTAAAAATACAAAACAAAACAAACAACAACAACAAAAAAAACATGGTGTGATGTGTCTCCTGATTGTACCCTGACATACAAGGGTTACCCTCTACCTCTGCTTCTGGCCAGGCAGCCTCAAGCTCAGTCCCAGCTTCCTTTTTTTTTTTTTTTTTTTTTTTGAGACAGATACAGGGTTTCACTCTGGAGTGCAGTGGTGCAATCATAGTTCACTGCAACCTCAAACTCCTGGGCTCAAGCAATCCTCCTGACTCAGCCTCCTGTGTAACAGCTTCCCATCTTAACCCTCCAAAGAGAAGAACTGCCCAGCCTGCACTTGCACAACCTAAGAAGTGAATGTGTCCTTAACTTGTGTGCCCTTGGCTCCTGTCTTGCCTCAGCCTACTCCGAGCTCTGCCCTCAGGAGAAATCCAGGGAAGTGATGCCAGAGCCAGACACAAAGATAATGGAGGAAGAGGAGAAGGAGGAAGGTCAGTGCAAAACAGCCAGAGGCCAGCTTGGGGATTGCTGGTGCCAAACATGTCCAATTTTAGCTGGGGTCACAGGGATAGCTGAGAGCAAGTGGCGGTGAGGAGCAGTGCTGGCTAAGGACCCACCTGAGGATCATATGGGTTATGGATCATCTGCTGCTTGCTGGGCTTACTTACTGTAAGGTACATCCATGTGCTTTGGTCAAGAATTAGGCCGAGGCAGACATCCAGGCCTGCATGACTCGGCGAGTTTAGGGTGCAGGTACATACTCTTATTTGTTATATAACCTGTTTGTGTAAGCTCATATTTGGCTCAAAGCCACTATTGTTTGGAAAAGGTATAACTGCCCTGCTGACACCGTACAGGCACTCTGGGGCATGGCTAAACATGGCTCAACACAGTGTGCATACTGTGCCCGGAGAGTAACGCTTCTGATCCCTGTAAGGGAGAGCCAGTCGCCTTGAAAGCGGGCAGAGGGGAGCCAGAAACCAGTTTGTGCCCAGAGGGAAAGAGTTAAGCTGCTGACCCTGAAGGAAGGGAAAGCTGGCCATACACCTGTGTGTGGAAGCAGCCAGAGGTGCAGAGCCAACTGCTGAAAGGAGCCACAGAGTCACAGCACACAACCAAGATAAAGGCAGACAGGGTGAGAGAGCTGCTGATGGGAGAGCTGCTGAATAAACCTACTTTTCACCTGCTTACGGCCCTCCAAGTGTTCTTACCGCTATGTGCCCATCCACCCACTCCCCTTGGACCTCAGCATGGGCTTCAACCTGACCCCAAGTATGACATTGGGCATAGTCATGGCAAAACACTTATGTATGCTGCATCTCCACTGCTGGAGCAAATATATACAGTCATCTCTTGGTATCCACAAGGTATTGGTTCCAGGACCCCCTCACATATCCAGATTTCCACATACTTAAGTCCTGCAGTTGGCCCTGAGGAACATGCATATATGAAAAGTCGGCCCTTGATACACGTGGGTGTCACATTCCAGGAATACTGTATTTTCGATCTGCGTTTGGTTGCAGATGAGGAATATATACACACAAACATATATATATTAATATATATTTATGAGTTGAGGGCCCCCTTATAAAATACTAGATTAGCAAGGGAAATGAGAATATAAACTGAAGTTTAGATGTAAAACTCACTATATCAGGCAGTGTCTAGCCAGGAAAACAGAACCTACTTTATTTATTTTCCATTTCAATAGGTTTTTGGGGAACAGGTGGTGTTTGGTTACATGAATAAGTCCTTTAGTGGTGACTTCTGGGATTTTGGTGCACCCTTCACACAAGCAGTATACACTGTACCCAATGTGTAGTCTTTTATCCCTCACATTTTCTTTATCCACTCATTGATTGATGGGCATTTGGGCTGGTTCCATATTTTTGCAATTGCGAATTGTGCTGCTATAAACATCCATGTGCAAGTATCTTTTTAGTATAATAACTTCTTTTCCTCTGGGTAGATACTTAGTAGTGGGATCACTGGATCAAATGGTACATCTATTTTTAGTTCTTTAAGGAATCTCCACACTGTTTTCCATGGTGGTTGTACTAGTTTACATTCCCACCAGCAGTGTAAAAGTGTTCCCTTTTCTTCACATCCATGCCAACATCTATTATTTTTGATCTTTGATTATGGCCATTCTTGCAGGAGTGAGGTAGCATCTCATTGTGGTTTTGATTTGCATTTCCCTGATAATTAGTGATGTTGAATATTTTTTCATATGTTTGTTGGCCCTTTGTACATCTTTTGAGAATTGTTTATTCATGTCCTTAGCCCATTTTTTGATGGGATTCTTTGTTTTTTTCTTGCTGATCTGAGTTCCTTGTAGATTCTGGATATTAATCCTTTGTCAGATGTATAGATTGCAAAGATTTTCTCCTATTCTGTGGGTGGTCTATACTGATAATTTCTTTTGCTGTGTAGAAGTAATTTAGTTTAATTAAGTCCTACCTATCTATCTTTGTTTCTGTTGCATTTTCTTTTGGGTTCTTGGTCGTGAAGTCTTTGCCTATGCCAATGTCTAGAAGGGTTTTTCCAATGTTATCTTCTAGAATTTTTATGGTTTCAGGTCTTAGACTTAAGTCTTTGATCCATCTTGAGTTGATTTTTGTATAAAATGAGAGATGAGGATCCAGTTTCATTTTTTCTACATGTGGCTTGACAATTATCCCAGCACCATTTGTTGAATGGGGTGTCCTTTCCCCACTTTATTTTGTTTGCTTTGTTGAAGACTCGTTAGCTATAAGTATCCAGCTTTATTTCTGGGTTCTCTATTCTGTTCCATTGGTTTATGTACCTATTTTATACCAGTACCATGCTGTTTTGGTGACTATGGCCTTATAGTATAGTTCGAAGTTGGGTAATGTGACGCCTCTAGATTTGTTCTTTTTGCTTAGTATTGCTTTGGCTATGCGGGCTCTTTTTTCATTCCATATGAATTTTAGGATTGCTTTTTCCAGCTTTGTGAAGAATGTTGGTGATACTGTGATGGGAATTGCACTGAATTTGTAGATTGCTTTTCGCAGTATGGTCATTTTCACGATATTGATTCTACCCATCCATGAGCATGAGATGTGTTTCCATTTGTTTGTGTCATCTATGATTTCTTTCAGCAGTGTTTTATAGTTTTCATTGTAGAGGTCTTTCACCTCCTTGGTAACAGGTATATTCCTCAGTATTTTATTTTATTTTTTGCAGCTATTGTAAAAGAGGCTGAGTTCTTGATTTGATTCTCAGCTTGGTTACTGTTGGTGTACAGCAGTGCTACTGACTTGTGTACATTAATTCTGTATCCTGAAACTTTACTGAATTCATTAATCAGTTCTAGGAGCTTTTTGGATAAGTTCTTAGGGTTTTCTAGGTATACAATCATATCATCAGCAAACAGTGACAGTTTGACTTCCTCTTTACTTTTTTGGATGTCCTTTATTGCCTTCTCTTGTCTGATTGCTCTGGCTAGGACTTCCAGTACTATGTTGAATAGAAGTGGTGAAAGTGAACATCCTTGTCTTGTTCCAGTTCTCAGGAGGAACGCTTTCAACTTTTCCCCATTCAGTATAATGTTGGCTGTGTCAGAACCTACTTTATTTAAAGAGATGGGGATTTAATGCAGTTAATTGATTACATGGATGATGCAAGAGCAGAGTGTCCAAATGGGACATGGTGAGGCCACCTAGAGATTAGCACCAGCAGGAAGCCATTCCCATCTCTAGGCTGGAGGCAGAGGGGAGAAGTGGTGTTGCAGGCCGGGCTCTCAGAAGCACTTAGAAATATACTGGAGTGCAAGGTGTTCATGAGGGGTCAACATCTGGGAAGGGGAAGGAGAAGCAACAGAATGGGCAGAGGCAGAAGCCACACAGTTATGCAGACCCAATGAAACCTCAGCCCACCTGTGTCCTCCAACAAGCCAGAATGGCAGGGCATTCAACACCCCACCTCTTCCACTCACCGGATGCCAGCTGCTTCAGGAAGGGCATGACCTCGAGCAAGGTGGTTCTCTGCAAGTAAGGCTGACCCTGTAGGGGCTGACAGCTGGATGCTGGCTGCAGCACCTGCCGTTGGGCAGCAAGTCCTTCCTTAAAGAGGACCTGAGTACCTCACATCTACCACAGTGGTGTGGCCAGAGCCAGGGACTGAGAGATTCCTTTATGGGAGCTGGAACCACAGTGAGCCTGCATAGGAGAGTTAGAACAAGGGAGAAGACAAGCTGCTAATGGAGTTCCTGCCCAAGGCGAAGAGGAAGGATGGAAATACTCTGGTTTCTCTGGTTTCCTCCTGCTTATGTCTGATCAGTGGTTTCTCCTGGTCAAACCTGCCAGAAACCAACTGATGGGGAGTTTGAGAGATGCAGCCTGCAGGTGTCAGCACCACTGGGCAAGCTAAGAAAAGGAAAGGACTCTGAGAGCACATAGGCCCAGGAAACCAACTCAGCAACTTTTTCTCTTATCTTCTCTCCAATGCAGCAAGGTTTAGACCTGCATCTATTGACTGCCCACCCCCACCCACCCCAGCATGTTGTGCTCCCCATCACCATGTGCCACCTTGTCTCACGGTGATGAACAGTGAACTGGCCCACCCAGATCCCCTTCAGGAAGGAAGGACTCCCTCCCTCCACTGCTGAGGAACCATCACTCCTGGTGCTGGGGGAACAAAAGGAAGAAGTTGAAATCATTTAAGTAGCCCTCAGCTGCCAAGGACTACTGTGGCAGAGGGGAGCCACCTCACCCAAGGTCATACTCCTTCCTGGGATGGCCAACATCTAATGATGGACTAAGGCGAGGCATAAAGATCCAGCCCCCAACTTGGGACCACCCCGAAGGGCCAGCCCAGCTTCAGAACTCCCGATGGCCGATGGAAACCTCCACTGAGACTGCACCATAGCCCAACTCTGTCCTCTGCCCAATCTTGCTGCCTTTCTTCCCCAGCAGGTGTTGATCCCGCAAGCATTCCTAATAAGCTTCCTAAACACTGGTCTTCATCTGAGAGTCTTCTTCCTGGGAAACCCAAGGTGTGGCATTCACATTAAGCACGTTAATCAAGTTAGCCTTATCTCGGATCCTTTTGGTTCTGGAGGAATCTTTGTTACGTCTCTTCTCTCATATCAGGAAGTGGAGATGCTCAATTCAGGCATTCATTCATGCCTGGAAAGTTCTTCCCCAAGCAGCCATCTCAATCCTTCACCTCATTTAGATCCATGCTCAAATATACGCCACCTGTGAACAGCAGCATTCTCTAAGGCTGTACTGTGCCTTATTTTTCTTTATATAGCACTTTCCATCTAACAAATTATTTATGATTGTTTGTGGATTGTGTGTCTCTGCCCACTGAAGCAGGGAATTTGGTTTTGTCCATAGCTCTATGTACACAGTGCTAGTGTTTAGCACACAGTGTGAGTTCAATAAAATTTGCTAAGGAATTTGGTCTGAGTGCTAAGTCCTGTGCCAGACACTGATGATGCCTTTGGAAAGTTCCAATCTAGTGGAGAAGTTAGACAAGTAGAAAAACAATTATAACACAATGTGACAAGTGCTGTAATTGAGCATAGCTGTCAACTGATGTGAGCAACCTAGGCTGCCTGGACAAAGCTTCAGAGAGCATGTATAAGCGACTGACTCTCTGGGGAGCCCTGGAACAAGTGAACCACAGACTGATCTGGGCAGGCAGGCAGGTAACAACAGAAGTCTCTAGGATATCAGGGTCAAAAGGATAATGAGAGAGAGGAGGCCAGGCATGCCTTAAGATCCAGCACTGCCCGTCTGGAAACGTATTCCTCAGAACATTAGCTGGCATGAATGTACAAAGATTTAGGTACATGGAGTGGGTGGGGAGGCGGTCACAGCCACATTGTTTACAATAGCCAAAAAAAAAATAATAATAATAATAAGGAGCAACATGAACATTGATCCGGAGGAAAAGAGCTGAATAAACAAAGGAACTCCCATACTTCGGCGTAATGACACTTTTTTTTTTTTTGACACTCATTCTGTTGCTCAGGCTAGAGTACAGTGGCACAATCACAGCTCACTGCAGCTTCAAACTCCTGGGCTCAAGCCATCCTCCTGCTTCAGCCTCCTGAGTAACTGGGACTACAGGTGTGTGCCACCATGCCCAGCTAATTTTTTAGTTATGGTTTCGTAGAAAGGAGTCTCACTATGTTTCCCAGGCTGGTCTTGTACTTACTGCTGGATTCAAGCAATCCTCCCCGCTCAGCCTCCAAAACTGTTGGGATTATAGACGTGAGTCCACCCACTGACACTATTAAAAAGAGATCAATCTATATGTACTGACATGTAATAATATGCATGATATATTAATGAAAAAGATTACAGAACTATATGAACATGTTGATACCCATTTTGTTCAAATATATATGCACATGTGTTTACATAAACATGGAAAATCATCTAGAAGGAAACTGAACTGCTCAACTGTTAATGGTGGGACTGGGGGATTGAAATAGATAAGGGAAGGCTTTTGCTTTTTGGTATTATTTGAATTTGTCACAACCAACATGGACTAACTTTCAAAGGAAAGAATCCAAGGAACTTATGGTCATCAAGCATCAGGGACGTGCTGGTAATTGATCAAAGCAGCTCATGGGGGTTAAAGCAAACAAGAGATAGGAGTTAAGTAGGTGAACTAATTCAAGACAAGGTCACTGGCAGGACGGTGGAGAGAGGCAGAAACATAAATGACCTGACTCCTGGAAAAGCACTGTTGACCCTTTGGCCTAGTGGCTACTTCCTACAGGTTTTAGGAGTGTTCAGACGCCTTGGCAATTGGAGCCACCTGCAGTTATACTGGGACTCTGATGGGTACAGGAATAGCAGAGTTAAGATGATGATGATGTTCTCATAAGGCAAGCCAAAGCCTTCTTGCTTTATCTAACCCAGCCCTTCCTTTATATATCCCTGGAAAAAAGACGTAGCATCTCGCCTTTTGTCTTTCTTTGCTCCATGCAAGACCTCTCAGAGACTTTAGTAAGCTTTCTGTTCTGTTTGCAGTGGAAGCTCCACAAGGAGAAGCCATATGCAACATTTCCCAACAATATTGGACCACAGAGCACACCTTTGTTAATATATTTTAATTGCCATCAAGTTTTAGTTATACAAATATTAGTGGATGATTTCTCCTTGTAAAGAACTCCAGGCTAACCTCTTGGAGGGAAAAGAACATGGAACAAAAGATGAAACTCTACATGAAGAGAGAAGCCACATGGAGGAAGTCTGAGAAACTCCAGCCGACACACAGCACCAAGGCCCCAGCCTTGAGGGTGAGGCCATCTTGGACCCACCAGCCCAGCTGAACGCAGACACATGAGTGAGCCAGAGACAAGCCATCCCCACCAAGCCTTGCCTGAAGTCTTGACCCAGAGAATCATGAACAATAACTGGTTGTTTTAAGCCACTATTTTAGGGTGGGTCTTTACATAGCTATAGATAACTGATACATTTCCCATCCTCTCCTCAGTGTCAGTCTCCCTCTCCATGAAGAAAACATTATCTTGAAGATGGTTTTTATTGTGATTTTGCTTGTTTTAAGCAGTTTTGTCAGGTATGTATATATCCATACACAATCCATTTTATAATTTTAAGCTGTATTTGAGCTTTCTAAATATGGAACCATGCTACATGTAGGGAGAACAAAATTGTGGAATGTTCCTCCACTGAATAATTACCATAGTGAAAATGATGTTGCTACACACGATACCATGGATGGATCAAACGCAGAGGCATAGTGTTATATTGAAAATGGCAGTTGGGGCCGGGTGCGGTGGCTCACATCTGTAATCCCAGCACTCTGGGAGGCCCAGGCGGGTGGATCACGAGGTCAGGAGATCAAGACCATCCTGACCAACATGGCAAAACCCCGTCTCTACTAAAAATACAAAAAATTAGCTGGGCGTGGTGGTGTACACCTGTAGTCCCAGCTATTCAGGAGGCTGTGGCAGGAGAATTCCTCTAACCCAGGAGGTGGAGGTTTCAGAGAGCCGAAATCGCGCCACAGCACTCCAGCCTGGTGACAGAGCGAGACTCTGTCTCAGGAAAAAAGAAAGAAAGAAAATGGCATTTGGGTCAGGCACGGTGGCTCACAACTGTAATCCCAGCACTTCAGGAGGCCAAGGCGAGCGGATCACTTGAGGTCAGGGGTTTTGAGACAAGCCTGGCCAACATGGCAAAACTTTGTCAAAAGTCTGCCATTCTGACTCATCATTTCCACTCTTCCTTTCACTCCTTCAGTCAAACTGTTGCAGTTGCACATGAACGACTTCATTTCATCTAAAATGGGCCCCCAGCCTCCAGAGCTACGCACTCTGCAATCAGGTTCACCTCCTTAAATTAGCTGGCGTGGTGGTGCAGGCTGGTGGTCCCAGCTACTCAGGAGGCTGAGGCACAAGAATCACTTGAACCCCGGAGGCGGAGGTTGCAGTGAGCCGAGATTGTGCCACTGCACTCCAGCCTGGGCGACAGAGCAGTGAGACTCTGTCTCAAAAAAAAAAAAGAGAGAGAGAGAAAGAAAGAAAAAGAAAGAGAGAGGAAGGAAGGAAGGAAGGAAAGAAGGAAAGGCAGAAAGGCAAGTTGCAGAAGACCACCATACACATCATTCACCTTTTCATAGGATTATTGGCCATTACCTCTTGAGTTTCTGATTAATTCACGTGTCCATTTTTCTTCTGGGTTGTCTTTTTCTTATTAATTTGAATTCGTTATGTATTTTAAGAAATGTTCCCCAAGTGTACATACAGTCCTAGGAATTGCTTGAATCTTGAGAAACTTTTTCAAGAATGTAGTTTAAAATTACCAAACAAAAAGACCACACCCTGGAAGGTATTGAAAAAAATAAAATAAAATAATGATAACTTACAGGTTCTTTCATTTCTTTGCCAAAAATTCCAAGCGTTAGAGACTTGACAGAGCTTTAGGCTATATTACCTGGTAAAAAGCCATTTACATAAATCCACAGTGCACAGAGGTACCTATTTCATATTTTCTTTACTACCGATAGAAAATGCATCATTTGAGATACAGCCCCCTTTAAACATTTCCTAGGGTAGACCAATGAATTACTGTTCTTTCTAGCCATGAATTTATATCGCACTAAGAAAAAATAGACTCCTTTAACCTCTGAAGAGTGACATTTCTTTCACTTGGGTCACTTGATAGAGCCATTATAGTCTCAGATAAGACATGTGGGACTCTGTTTAATATCTGGCAATTTTCTTGTGCCTCTTCATTTATTAAAAGAATGTATCCATTAGCGGTCATTAGTACGTCCTGTCAAGATGGGGGTTAAATTATCCTCAACGGCTTATGAAAAAAAAAACGCTTTTTCAAGAAAAATGGTGGCATTAATTGCCCAGTGGAATAGAAACGGCTTTCTTTGCCATAACCTCTCCCTCCCCCGCCTAGGAGGAATTGGACACTGCTTACCTCTGTCAACGATCCAGGCCACTTTCTCCTTACCCTATGAGTCAGCTCCATCACTCCGGCCTGTGGCCTCTCTGGTGGCAGGCCACTATCCGCAGGGAGTAAATAAAGCTCCTCAGTCCGTCACAGTGAGGAGCCTCAGACTGACTCTTCTTGCTTGCTAATTCATCCAAGGAAGAAAGAGGAAGGAGATGCCTCACTTAGCAAACAATCTCATTTGAAGGGGCAGTGTTTTAGCAACAGGAAGCAGCTCACATTAGAGAAATAATCACTCTCCCTTAGCTCCAAACTGAAACCGATCTCCTTTTTGACCTTTCATTTGAAACATATGCTCTTTGGAATTTGAACCACCCGGAGTGGTTCAAGGAGAGAGGTTGTCCGGTGCGCGTGTTGGGGGAGGAGGAGTATTATGTTTTCAAAATTAAAACAAGTTTTCTGTGTAGCTTTTAAGATTAAAAACCTTAAGGTTTAATTAGCAAAAGGTTTCCATCTGCTAAAAGAAGTTTCCAGGCTTTGTCTTTCTCTTCCCCCTTCTCAGGGCTCATCCATTCTCACAAGCATTAGTAATTATATCCATATCAGTTAAGATAAGCTGAAAATCATAAAATACCAACCAACAGTTAAGTAATAAAGACATTTAATAAATGTTAAGTGTAACGAGTCTGGAGGTCAGCACATCAAGGCTTGGTTCAGCAAATCCACAAGGCCACTAGGAACCAGAGGCTCTTACTATCTTTCTGTTTTGTCATCATCCGTGTGTCGGCCCCTCTCCAAAGTGTCCAAGCCCCCCTGGCCAAGCTCACTAGCAGGAAGGAGGAAGATGGAAGCTCAGGGCTCCGCCCTATGGTGGTCTCTTTACCAGGAGGAAAAAAAAAAAAAAAATCCCCCCTAGAGCCCTTTAGCCTCATTGGCCAGAACGGAATCACACTCTCACCCCTTAACCAATCAAAGGGAAATGAGATACCATATTTGGGGTCTGGCCAATCATGGCTTATCCTTTCCATCTGGGCACATGGCAGCCCAAACACAGGTGGAATTCTGTTAGGAAGGAAAGAGGACCATTTTAAGGCGGAAACAGCTCCCAGATCCTTATTTCCAGCCCTGACTGGTTTTCTTAACTTTCTTCCCCACTGCCTTCTGAACAGCCCCACCTCATTATCTTACTGTCACCTCAAACTCAGTCTATTAGGGAACAAATTCCTTTTTTTACCTCCTAATCCTGGCTCCCTTTTCTTTCCTGATTTTTCCAAGGGTAGTTTCTTCCACCATGATGAAGGCTGCAAACTTTGGAATCATCTTGGATGCCCTCTCCATCTGGACTTCCTTTTCCAGTTGGTCCCCAAGAGCTGCTGATCCTTTTTCTTCCTAACATCTCCCCCTCTGACTCATCATTTCCACTCTCCCTTTCCCTCCTTCAGTCAAGCTGTTGCAGTTGCACATGGACGACTTCATTTCATCTAAAATGGACCCCCAGCCTCCAGAGCCATGCACTCTGCAATCAGGTTCACCTTCTTAAAGCTCTCATCCCTCCCTCCTAGCCTCCAGTGCTAGGTTCCCATATGCTCACAGAAGCAAAAAAATGCAAACTATCTTGCTTGAGTTTTAAGATTTTCTACAACAGTATACTCTACCCCAGCTAGACTACTCAACTGACTGTTCCCTAAAGCATGCTTTATGCATTCTCATCACCGCAGATTTGTCCACGCTATTCACTTAGACAAGAGTACCTTTCTGCTTCCTCTCTCCCAGCTGAATCCTACCTGGCCAACTCAGATTTCACTGCTGAAACCTCAATTATTCTAGGCTACAGCGATTGTTTTCTCCTCTGAAATCTTATGTGCTTACTGTCTTTGTGGATCATGAGCCATTTTTTTTAAAAGAAACCTTAGGATTAAATGATTAGGCAAGATAACTCTGCGATGGCCATATTACCAATGCTTTGCAATGTGCCACAATAATACTTACATGGTAAATAATGATATAATAGCCATTATTGAAGTTTTTAAAATATCCTTTTAGTTAGTAAGCTTCGGAAAGTTCAGAGCCCCTTTAAAAGGTAAAGGTAGTAGTACTTTAGGGCTGCAATAGATTCTTCAGGAATGAATCTATACAATATGATGTCATCTGTCAGTGGAAAGACCATTCATTTATAGCCAGGAAATTACAATTTTATTGCCTGACAACTGTCACCAGAATTCTTGGCAGGAAAACTCTGTATTTAGGAAAATAACTTGACAAATTGCTTGGGGGTAGACAATGAAGTCCAGATAAGAATTTGACTACATTATTTGTATCAGGGTGCCATGCTCATATTTAGTCTAGTGGAGGACTTACCTTCTTTACCATTTCTTCATTTAAAAAAAAAAACAAGCTTCTGGAATAATTGGCAAGCCACATGGAGAAGAATGAAGCTGGATACTCATCTCTCACCTTATACAAAAATCAATTCAAGATGGATCAAAGACTTAAATCTGAGACCTGAAACCACAAAGATTCTAGATGATAACATTGGGAAAACCCTTCTAGACATTGGCTTAGGCAAAGACTTCATGACCAAGAACCCAAAAGCAAATGCAACAAAAACAAAGATAAATAGATGAGACTTAAGTAAACTGAAAAACTATACAGCAAAATAAATAATCAGCAGAATTAACAGACAACCCACAGAGTGGGAGAAAATCTTCGCAACATATACATCTGACAAAGGACTAATATCCAGAATCTACAAAGAACTCAAACAAATCAGCAAGAAAAAAAACGAAGAATCCCACCAAAAATTGAGATAAGTACATGAATAGACAATTCTCAAAAGAAGATATACAAGTGGAATGCAATACCGTCTCACTTCTGCAAGAATGGCCATAATCAAAAAAATTTTTTTAAATAGATGTTGGTGTGGATGTGGTGAAGAGGGAACACTTTTATACTGCTGGTAGGAATGAAAACTAGTACAACCATTACGGAAAACAGTGTGGAAATTCCTTAAAGAACTAAAAGTGGATCTACCATTTGATCCAGCAATCCCACTACTAGGTATCTACCTACAGGAAAACAAGTCATTATATGAAAAAGATATTTGCACATGCAGGTTTATAGCAGCACAACTTGCAATTGCAAAAATATGGAACCAACCCAAATGCCCATCAACCAATGAGTGGATAAAGAAAATGTAGTATATACATACCTCGGAATACTACTCAGCCATAAAAAGGAACAAAATAATGGCATTTGCAGCAACCTGGATAGAATTGGAGACTGTTATTCTAAGTGAAGTAACTCAGGAATGGAAAACCAAACATCATATGTTCCTACTTATAAGTAGGAGCTAAGCTATGAGGACGCAAAGGCATAAGAGTGATACCTTGGACTTTGGGGACTCAGGGGAAAGGGTGGGGTGGGTGACAAGGGATAACAGACTACACATTGGGTACAGTATGCACTGCTTGGGTGAGGGATGCACCAAAATCTCAGAAATCACCACTAAAGAACTTATTCATGTAATCAAACACCACCTGTTCCCCAAAAATCTATTGAAATAAAAAAATGAAAATTTTTAAAAAAGGAAATAAAAATAATTTTTTTAAAAACTCAAAAACATTTTCTAATTATCCAATTCTGGAAGGTATTAGAAAATAGAAAAAGAGAGACTTTTAAAAATTATATAATTGTTTAGGGAAATTACTTTTAAATACCTGAATCATCTTAAGAAAATGTTGAGATGTTCTAACATTAAAAATTGAATTGTCGGCCAGGCACGGTGGCTCACGCCTGTAATCTCAGCACTTTGGGTGGCCGAGGTGGGTGGATCACAAGGTCAGGAGATCAAGACCATCCTGGCTAATACAGTGAAACCCCGTCTCTACTAAAAATACAAAAAATTAGCCGGGCGTGGTGGCGGGCACCTGTAGTCCCAGCTACTCGGGAGGCTGAGGTAGGAGAATGGCGTGAACCCAAGAGGCAGAGCTTGCAGAGCCGAGATTGTGCCTCTGCACTCCAGCCTGGGCGACACAGCCAGACTGTCTCAAAAAAAAAAAAATTGAATTGTTTAACCAAAAAGGTTGAGATAAAGGGACAAATAGATTGTTGGAAGTTCTCATTATGAAATCAATAAGAGGTAGTCTTATTATGACAGAGAGAAGAAAGGATAGATCTTTAGTGATGAAAAAAAAGAATAAGAAGCATAGGAAAATAAGAGCATGGCATTTAGAAGAGAAGAAGTATAACAGGGTAGACAGAGACAGAAATAGAGGTAGAGGTAGAGAGAGAGAGAGAGAAACAGAGTGAGAGAGAGAGAGAGAAAATAAAATCATTTCCACAAGCTGGAGAGGCAAGTGGAATGAGGATACCAAGAACCTGGCATACCAGGCCAGAAGTTTTTAAATTTGCTCTGAGAGAGGTGTAGGTCTCAGGGCCTGGAAGAGACATGATGGGAATGTTCATCGACCAGGCATCTGCTTGGTGGTCCACCAGTGCCAGATGGTCACTACTGAGCCCACTTAGGGAATGACTGGAGATTGCTGAACTGCCTACGAAAGATGGATGACATATGACCATGATACCTGACCACAAGCCTGGGATGTCAAAATGAGATTATGATGTTTATTTACACATTTGATTTGTGCTGTAATCAGTTTCTATTTATCTTCTTTTCATTGACCCCTTTGACCAGCTCTACGCATTACGAATAAAGCAATCAGAACATAAATTGTTAAAAAAAAAAAAAGCCAAGTCACTTAAAGAAAAATGGCGAGGTTGTTGAGACAGAACCTTGTGTAGAAAAATAAGAAGATATACAGACTATTTTCTGTTCATATATTTTATAAGAACTATAGCAAGAGTAGCATAGCTGTTTGATTAGGTCAAGGTAGGGTCTGGTACCAGATTGCCCATTGGGTTTCTCTGAAGGAATTTGTCAAAGTATAGCTCAGTGTGTGTGTGTGTGTGTGTGTGTGTGTGTACATATGTGTGTATATATATATACGTGTGTGTGTACATATGTGTGTATATATATATACGTGTGTGTGTGTGTACCTATGTGTGTGTGTGTATATATATATATACATGTGTGTGTGTACATATGTATATATATACGTGTGTGTGTGTGTGTGTGTGTGTGTGTGTGTGTGTGTGTTTATGACTTATAAGCCTAGCAGGAATCCTGGCTCTGTAACTTGCAAGCTTTGTCAGAAGTCTCTGAACCTGTTTCTTCATTTGGAAGATAGAAGAAAGGAGGACTGTATTACATCCAGGCCTGCTCTGTATTTTCTTTTCTGTATTCACTCACACATTTATGTTTTATTTCCTAGGACTGAGTTCTTATTTTATGATTCACAATTCTTTGGTGAAATTGTCTATATTGGCAAGGATGCATTTGGCTGTGAGTAATAGAAAACTCTATTCCAACTGGCTCATACCCTAAAGGGGATTTATTGGTTAATTTAACTGAAAGAGTCCAGATGCTGGGTAGCTGTCAGGTGTGGCTCCATCAGCCTCCAAATCTGCCTCTCTATGATTTGCTTGGCCCCTTCCTCTTCTGTGGCTTGGCAACTTACTCGGGCCACCAGCGAGGTGACAGTAGCATTTCCTGGCCATAACAATGTCCACAGGAAGAGGGACCATATTACCCAGTAACCCCACTCTTTAGGAATCCTCCTATCCTGAAACTCTTACAAAACCTTCTACCTTATTAGTCACAATTTGGTCACATGCCCATTCCTGAACCAATCCCCTTGACCCAAGAATGCCACCCATAGATTATCTAAGGTCTGGATTCCGCTGTGGCAAAGGAGTAGAATTACCCATAGAACAGTGAGGCCCACACTGCAGCTGAAGGCAGGGTCAGCTTCCCTAAACCTCAGCTCTGCATGCGGGTAGAGGTATTCCTGAACAAAAATCAGAGTGCTGTTAGAAACAGGCAAGAGGAAATGGATGCTGGGTAGGCTTTTGAAAGTTCACTCTATGGAACGAAAATTGTAGAATATACTATTTTATCCCAGAGGCCACTGAACAGGATATAGCCATGTCTGATAACCAAAGGCTGTAATGTTCAAAATTAGAGTCTGCCAGATCTTTATCTAACAAAGTCTAAGAATTTCCATAAGGAAATTAGAAACATGTAAACAATTGCAGCTCCTTGGGTAACTGTATGCTAGCATATCTGAAAACAATTGTTTCCACTCCATATGGGATACTAATCAGCTTAATTAAATGGAAAGAAAAAAAGAAACCTCAGGAACCAAAACTGCTCCAATATTTCATCAAAGGAATACACAGGGAGCTTTAAAATACAGTCTCTTCAAACAGAAAAATAGGTAAAATATTGGAAAGGATTAATCAGAGTGAAGCAGTCTTTAACTGCTATTTTTTCATCAGGGGAACATAAAAGAAGTTGAAAAATATAGATATTCTGTTCAGATAGAAAAATAGATGTAATGTTGAAAAAGATCATTTAGAGACTGGGCAGTTTTTAATTGCTATTTTAATTGTCAATCAATAATATCCAATTGTATTCTGCCACTAAGTTTACATTCAGAATTTACCTAATGTTATAAAAATGCTATGTTTATCAATTTTGTGAGGATGGAGGACAGTGTGTCAATCCCTCCTTGCTTTGAGCTCAAATCAACTTAGAAGTACATGGAATCTGTTCTTCCAACAAACATCTATTGAGGGCCTGTGATGTGCCAGGCTGCCCCGGGTTCATGGCATAGCCATGTGTCAGCCAGCTGCCTTCCTTCCTTCCAGAGGAAGCAGGTACTTGGAGGCCATCGTCTAACATCCCTAGGTTTACATCCTTTGGGACATTAGATCCCTCTGTGGAGCAGCCTTGGCCCTTTCTCTGATGTCAGCTCAGTTGGGTCACTGACTTATTGAGCTCCCACTCCCAAAAAAGAACTATACAAAATGCTGTACATCAGAGCTTACAAAGTACAAGAATAAGCATACAGAGTAGGAGAATAAAAGAGAAATCATTGACATAGCTCTTGCTCTTGAGAACCACCAAGAAAGAAAGAAGAGCACATACATATCAAAGCACTGATGAACAGAGGCCCAAAGGGAGGTAGTACAGGAGTGAAACATGTCTTCCAATTCCCAGGTTAGCATGATATATTTTGGGAAAGGAGACGAATGAATGAATAGGATAAAGGCTAAATCGTGGAAGGCCCCAGAAGTCAAAGAATTAGACCCCGCAGACTAAGGGAAAGGCGAGCAGTTTATATTTCAAAAGGAGGACTGTGGCACAAGTGCTTTCTACCCATCTCATCAAAAGCCTGTTGATGCAGCCAATGTGGTATAGTGGAAAGAGCAAAGCCTTCCATGTCAAATCAGTGTGGAGCTGAATTCTGGCCCAACCACTGAAGAGCCATGTGACCTTGGGAAAGCTACTTATCCTCTCTAAGCCTCAATTTTCTCATGTAAATAAAGAAATGAAGTCTATATTATCAAGTTGTGCCATCTAGTGTGGTAGCCACTAGCCACATGGGTCCATTGCATTTAAAATGTTGCAAGTCCAAATTCTGGTATGCTGTAAGGATGAAGTACACACTAGGTTTAAGAGGCTCATATAAAAAAAAAAGACCTCCTAACTCTTTATGTTGATTACATACTGAAATAATAACATTGAATTACATAAATACATTGGATTACATAAAATACATTATAAAAATTAGTTCTGTCTTATTTCCTTTTTATTGTTATAGAAAATTCAAAATTACATAGCCATAATGTTAGACAAAGCAGAAAACAGTTCTTTTTCTCTAATGGAAATTGGAAATAGGATTTTGTTCCCTAATGTCTTTAAAATCAATGAGCGTGATAATTTGCGATCATGATCACAATTTCTATCCATGCTGTTTTTGTGTCCTCCCACTCTGACTTTGGGCTGGACACGTTACTTTTCCAATGGGAATTTAGCAAACAGAATACAGGCAGAGGATGTCACACTACTTGCACACTTACACACCAGGGCTTGCTCTCTGGCTGCTCTTGGGAGCCTTGAGACCATTACCACGTAAGTAAGCCCACACTAGCCTGCTGGATGATGAAAAGTACCCAGCCAAGTATCCCCACTGCCCCCCAGCCAACCATCAGATAATGTAAGTGAGGCCATTCTAGACCACCTAGCCCCAAATGAGCTGGTCCAGCTGACCCACAAATTTGTGAGAAATAATAAATGTTTGTTGTTTTAACATATATTTTAAGGTGTCTTACTCTGCAGTAAAAGCTAACTGGTAGATTTTGAATGAATCTATGACAAACATCATATTAGCAGAATCTTCATCAGAGTCTGAGAAAGAATAGAGACTGGTAAAATCCAGTTACCCTGATCTCTATTGGGGGTGAGCTTTGCAATCTCATTCTAGATAGATAGATAGATAGATAGATAGATAGATAGATAGATAGATAGATAGATCCCTCTTCCTCTCTCTCTCTCTCTGTCTCTCTCTCTCTCTCACACACAAACACACACACACACACATACAAACAGACACACATTTTGGAGGAGAATTGGAAATATTAGTCCAGACAGACTCAAAAATCTCAACCCAGGGTTTTCCAAACCTTTTAGACATGAACACCTCTTTTTCTGATAGCAAAAACACTTGTACTCTGGTGGTGTTTTGTTAATATCTGTTGATTAAGAACATACATAATTCCTATAGAGTCCTTGCTACTATTTGCATGGCTTTATGAAATGAAGTAAAAGAGGATCAATTATATGGATCCATTAGAAAATGGTAGTGCTTCCTCTCAGGGATGACTCAGCACCAAAACAGGACAAATGGCTCATGGAGGAGAGTTGTGACTGCTTCCAGCCCTTGTGTGAGGCCCCTCAGCTGGGTGCTCTTGGCTAGAGCTCAGCTTTAGCACTGGTAACAGAAAGACACTACGGATTCAGTAGGGCTTTGAAGTGAAATTGTGTTTGATTCATAACAACAGTGTCTAGATGCATTTAAAAAACAATCATTCTTTATTCTACAGACAAAGCTTTTGGGATTGAAATGAATTCAGACTTCTTATTATTGTATCATAACTTTGTGACCCACCCCCACCCCCACACCATGAGATTATAGTCCACAGCTGGGCTCAGACCACTCAAGGTTATGTCTAATGGCCTCAAGTGGGCAGAAATAGAGAGCAGACATTGTCCCTCTCTGGCCCAAGCTTACAGTTCGCAACTGCAGATCAAGTGTGAGACTTGAGGAAGGAGGTAAGGTGGCACTCTACCACTTTGCTCCAACAAATAAATCACAGCATTAGGTGCTAAATGAATCCTTTTACATTTTGTTCACACATTTTTTGTGTATGGAGAAAAAAATGCGTACAAATGAATAATTTTAACATAAAATTCTGAGTTATTAATAACCCTTCGTCTTACCCATGCATTTTTTATTTTTTATTTTTCTAGCTTTATGCCTTCATATCTATTAACCATTCTCTTGTGACTGTGTGATCTTTTGCAACAACACCTTTTGTTTATATAAGGTTGCTATGGGTTGAATGTGTCCTCCAAAGTTCATGCGTTGGAAATTTAATCACCAAAGCAACAGTGTTGAGAGGTAGGACCTTTAAGGGGCGATTAGGTCATTAGGGCTCTGCCCTCATGAATGGATTTATGCCATTACCATGGGAGCAGCATCCTTATAATGAGTGAGTTTGACTCTCTTTCCTCTCTCACATGCACTCTCTTGCCATACGATGCCTTCTGCCATGTTACTATGGTGCAAGAAGCCCTTCACAAGATGTGGCCTCTTGATCTTGGCCTTCATGGCTTTCAGAAAAATGAGCCAAATAAACTTCTATTGTTGGTCAGGCACAGTGGCTCATGCCTGTAATCCCAGCACTTTGGGAGGTCTAGGTGAGAAGATCATTTGAGCCTGGGAGTTTGAGACCAGCCTGGGCAACATAGTGAGACCTCGTAACTACAAATAATTAAAAAACTAGTTGGGCGTGGTGGCACACACCTGTGATCCCAGTTGCTTGGGATGCCGAGGTGGGGGAATCACTTGGGCCCAGGAGGTTGGGGCTGCAGTGAGTCATGATCATTTCACTGCACTCCAGTCTGGCTGACAGAGCAAGATTCCATCACACACACATACACAAAATCAATTGTTTATAAATTACTATGGCTGTGATATTCTATTATAGCAGCACAAAAAGGACTAAGACAAAGGTATTCACTTTTTTTAAGCCCTTTTATTAAACTACAAATCATAAACCACCGAATTATTTTAAGAGTTAAAAAATAAAGTTTTGTTTCAAAAATGATCATTTATTATCCTAATAATCTTATGAGATAACAAGGGAAAATATTATACTTTTGCCTGCTCCAGAGAGGGGGGATGTTGAAGGACAGAGGTGGTATTCTCAAATTATTAGCAGAACCAGTCCATGCAGAGCTCTTTCCACTACATGAAGCTGCTTTATATAGATAGGGCAAGGGTAAATCACAAGTAACATATTTTTCAACTTTTTCGTTAACCTAAGCAAGTGAAAATCCCTGGCAAAGCCCTAGCAAAGCATCTGCCAATTTCCATGGTGTAAATGCTCCCAGTGTGTCTGATTTCCAGCTACCATATGATGTGACTGAACATAGAGTTGAGATGTGCAGTAAGTAGCACATGGTTATTTAGTATTTCTACTATACATATATAATAGATGTAAATAACCTCAAGAACGTAATAGTTAATGTAGTAAAACAATTAGGAAGTGAAGAAATTTTGCTATTTATTACCTTTGTTTTTAATATAATTTATTTAATTGTAAGTTTATCTAATTTTTAATGATGTTGTGTTTAACAAGCAGCTCACTAAATTCTTGAAATTTTAACAGTCACTCTCACCAACTAGTAGGAGTGGATTCTGCATGCCACTGACTCAGGTCTTCCTTTCAAGTTATGTGAAATTTAAAATAAAATAAATATCACCCCTAGGGGGCACAGCTAGTTGTACACCTTAACACTACCCTCCCTCACCAACACACACATTTGAGAATTTCTGGATTGCACAAGTGAATGTATCATCACAGGGCAAGAGATGGCATGGCAATTTGTGGATGGCCTGGGCTGCAAGTCAGAAAAAAGCAATGGAGCCAGTGAGCTAGGACTGTTGATATAATTAAGATAGAGGGTAACTTAGGACTCTTCCTACAACCTTCTTGAACTGCAGAGCAAAGAAAATCCACCCTCCTATTGCAGAAAAACAGGGTACTTTTGCCCTGAATTATTCAGCTAGACTATTGACCAGGTTCAACTGGGTAATTACACGTGTCTTACTTTGACTGGTTCTATGTTGGCCTAAGCTTTAGGTTTGGGACATAAAATGTTAGCCCTGGGAAAGATTACAGAGATAACAAAGCCTGGCTCCTCATTTCACAGACAAGGAAACTGAGTAAACCTAGGGCTAGAGAAAGACAAATGAGAAACTAAGGTACAAAATTTAAGTCGGCACTCATTTTCAGGATAAAGTAAGTGCAGTCAGTCCTGAAAGTATATCCTTAAATTCTCCAGCCTAGGTATCCCTCTCACTTTACCCTTGTCCTATCCAAAACTAATACCCAAAGAGGCCAAGTTAACATAACTAGTTGTGATCAGAGCTAGAACTACTACATGTCTTCTAACTTCTGGCCTGGGATCTTCTTCCTACAGTAGGCTGCCTCCAGCTTTGCCCACCCTTCCAAGGAAAGACCTCCAAAATTTTTTTTAATGATGTTGTGTTTAACAAACAGATAGCTAAATTATTTTTTAAAATTTTTTTGCTAATTTCTTTTTTAAAAAGCTTGTTATTTTTTTAAAAAAAATTTGCTAATTAAAAAAAATAAATTAAATTAAAATGAGCAGAGAGCACCTTAGTCTGGATTAGGCCCAATTTGGTTATAGAATAGTGACCTGGAAGAGCATGGCAAGACCTCATGCACTACAAGGTGATCACAGTGTTTAAGCAGGCTGGACTTTTGCGCTCTCTGTAGAAATTGCACTCAGTAGATTTGCTTATAAAGCAAATCAATATGTGTAAACAAAGGAAATGTTTATCTTTCTTAAGAAGGAAGGCCAACAAACTATTTTTAAGTACTTATAAAATTATTTTGAAAAGAGCCATTTGCAAATGATGACTTTGCTAATTTACACATCACTCCTCCTACTGATTGAAACACATAGAAGATCCTTCAAGGCACAGAATGATTTTACCCTTTACATCAGTCTTTGTCATGTGTATTAGTCAGGGTTCTCCAGAGCAACAGAACCCAGATGATATATATAGACACAGGAGTTTGCGGGGAGAGAGAGTGTAAGAATTGGCTCATGCAATTATGGAGGCCAAGAGATCTGCTGTCTGCAAGCTGGAGAACCAGGAGCACTGATGTTCACAGGCAGAAGATGGATGTCCCAGCTCAAAAAGAGAGCAACAATTCACTGCCCTTCCTCTGCCTTTTTGTTCTACACAGGTTCTGAAAGGATTGGATGATGGTCACCCACGCTGAGGAGGATAATCTGCTTTACTCAGTTCGTCAATTCAAATGCTGACCTCTTCCAGAAACGCCCTCCCAGACACACCCAGACATAATGTTTTACCAACTATCTGGCATCCCTTAGCCCAGTAAAGTTGATGTATAAAATCAACCATTACATCATCAACCTGAAATAATCAAAAGGACCAGAATTCAGTTTAAAAGAGTCTATTGGCTGGGCGTGTAAACCCAGAAGTTTGGGAGGCTGAGGTGTGTGGATCATTTGAGGTCAGGAGTTCAAGACCAGCCCAGCCAACATGGTGAAACCTCATCTCCACTAAAAATACAAAAATTAGCCCGGTGGGTAGTGGCGCACACCTGTAATCCCAGGTATTCAGGAGACTGAGGCAGGAGAATCACTTGAGCCTGGGAGGTGGATGTTGCAGTGAGCCAAGATTGTGCCACTGCACTCCAGTCTGGGTGACAGAGTGAGACCCTGTCTCAAAAAAAAAGTTTATTCAAGCGCAAAGCTGAGAATGGCCATTTGGATTTGGATAACACAGGCTTCAAAGGAATGGGGTCAATACTCCAAAGTTAAAAATTAAGGTCTTGCTTATATAGGCAGGAAACAAAAAAATTTAATAGGATTATGACATTTTCTATACAAGGTTGGTTTACGAGTTAAAACAATTTAATTACAGTTTTTCTTTTATATCCAGCTTTTTTTCTCCTTTCCAATTTGAAGTAATATATTTAACATTTCATCTTAGACAATATGATAGTCAAGAAGTCTGTGTGAGAGAAGAAAGAGGGAAGTTAACCTACAACAAAGATCAATAGTTAAGAGAGAAGGGGTTCCTACCTCGGTGCCCGTTAGTAATTTCCAACATATTACAAAACAATGTAGGTAAGGAAAAAAGGCTAATCTATAATCAGAGACACAAAAGGTTATAGCTGCCTGTTTTTGTGACTCAGGTCCCATAATCACATTCCCTTAAGGCTCAAAATATTTTATAGTTCCAACAGCTTAGATTTTGAATTACTTATTTTCACATCATGAATCTGAGAGTAATAGTTCTATGTTTATTCAAGAATAATCTAAAATATAAGTTTTCCCACAACACAGGTAGACCCAGTAATCCCAATTTTACTCAAGAGAAATGTAAACTTTATCAAGTTGTGATAAAGTACCTGTGACACAGTTACCTGACTGTATGCATTTGTCAAAGCTCATGGAACTGTACACTAAAAAGGATAAATTGGCTAGGCGCAGTGGCTCATACCTGTAATCCCAGCACTTTGAGAGGCTGAGGTGGGGGGATCCTTTGAGCTCAGGAGTTCAGGACCAGCCTGGGCAACATAGTGAAACCCCATCTTTACAAAAAATACAAAAATTAGCTGGGCGTGGTGATGTGCACCTACAGTCCCAGCTATTCAAGAGACTGAAATGGGAGGATGGCTTGAACCTGGGAGGCAGAGGTGGCTTGAGCCTGGGTGACAGCGCAAGACCTATCTCCAAAAAAACAAAAACAAAAACAAAAAAAATCCATGATTTTTACTGCATGTTAATTATACCTTAATTTGCCAAATTGGAAATTTTTTGCTTTCTAAACTAAATTAGTCTCCATTATTAAAATAGACCTTCTGAGGGTGACATTTGTATTGCAGCTCAACATCTCCTCTGCTCTGAACTGAAGACCTGCTACCTTCATGATTGTGGGTGCGATGTTTGAAGCACAAGCTACTTGTCTGTAAGAACTAACAAAATCGGATATTAGAAATCACATAGTATAGGCCAGGGGTGGTGGCTCACGCCTGTAATCCCAGCACTTTGGGAGTCTGAGGCGGGCAGATCACAAGGTCAGGAGATCGAGACCATCCTGGCTAACACGGTGAAACCCCGTCTCTACTAAAAGTACAAAAAAAAAGAGAAAGAAAATTAGCCAGGCGTGGTGGCGGGTGCCTGTAGTCCCAACTACGCGGGAGGCTGAGGCAGGAGAATGGCGTGAACCCGGGAGGCAGAGCTTGCAGTGAGCCGAGATCGCACCACTGCACTCCAGCCTGGGCGACACAGTGAGACTCCGTCTCCGAAAACAAACAAACAAAAAGAAATCACACAGTATAATGAATAGCCTCTTAATTTAAATGCAACAATAATACTAACAAAAATTGAATGTTTGTCATGTGCCAGACATTGCAATACCCATAACAATCCTATGAGGTTAATGAAATGATCTAACTTATTTTTCAACAGGACCACTTGGGCTGCTATGTTGAGAATTGAATATAGGTGTGTGTTGTGGGTGGGGCAGCAGTGGACAAGAGTGGAGGCAGGAAGATGTATTTGGAGGTCATACAGTAAATCAGGTGAGCAATGGTGGCATGATCCATGGTGAAGGTGGTGGAGGGGGTGAGGCACAGTTGCTTCTTGGATGTTTGGAAGACAGTCCACAATCTTTGCCAATGGATTAAATTTGGGGCGTTAGAGAAGGAAAGAATGACTCACAGGTTTTGAGCCCCCGAACAACTGGAGGGGTAGAGTGAGAGTGGCCATTTCCTGGGGTGGAGAAGATGGAGGAGGAGCAAGTTTCAGAGGACAGAGGTCAGGGTTTCAACTTTGAGCATGTTAAGTTGGAGACATTTGTTAGCCATATGGGGGTTTTCAAATAGGCAGTTGGACAGATGAGTCTGGTGTTCAGGGTTGCGGGAGGATCTACAGCTGGGGGCCGTGGATGATCTACAATCTTGACACTGGATAAATTACCATTGGATGAGGGAGGTAGAAAAGAGAAGACATCCAAGGACTGGAATCTGAGACACTGCAACATTTAGAGGTCATAGAGCTAAGGAGGAAGCAACAAAGGAGACTGAGAAGGCGCTGCCAACAAGACAGGAGAAAATCCAGGAGAGAATGGTGTCCTGGAGGCCAAGGAAAGAGAGTGTATCAAGCTGGGGAAAGGGATCTACTGTCAAACTCTCCAATGAAGCAGCTGGAGGACTGAATGGCCAGTCCAAGAGGCCACTCTTCCTCCCAGTCACCTTGCCCATTCCTAACTCTGTCGTATATTTATTACATCCCCCTGTAGTCATCAGCTCTCTTGTCTATCTTGAGAGCCTCTTGTGCATTTCAGTATTTCCAGTGCCCAGCAGGTGCTCAATAAATGTTTGTTGAATAAATAAAAGATGAATGACTGAGTGAGTGTGTGAGTGAGTAGTGATCTCACAGGTTAGGGATGGTGGAAACACTACAGAATGGTGTGCTTCTGCTCATCTCTCCCAATACCGCACTCAGTGATGTTGTGTTGGTAGCTTGAAATTGACTATGGTGAAAACATATACACCACAAAAATGAGCACTTTCTACCAACTCAGGCTCCCTTCACCTGCTAGTGTCTGTGTTAAACATTTGCCATCACACTACTGGTTATACTATACTTCCCATAAAAACCTCCAGGAAGCAACCTTTCTTCTATGAGGAAAAAAAATCACTCCATTCTGTGGAAGACAGTATTTTCTTCTCTCTGTTTTTTTTTACTTGTGTGAATACCAGGTAGACAAAACAACCAACAGATTAACTAAATTTTTCTTTCTCTCCTACTGGTGATTTTGATGGGCAGACAGCTCATCTTTAGCACCACCAATCAAGCAATGGGTTTTGACATCACCAGTGATGACTTCTCCCACAGCCACCACTCTGTAGCCTCTTCCACTGGGTTCTTCTGAGAGAAAAAGTTGAGATTTATGAGAATCCACTCATTATTATTTAACTGGGTCAGCAGTTGAACTGGTTATGAAACATGTGTCTGGATCAGAAATGTGGATACAAAATGCCATGCTTCAAAGATTTTGAAAAAACATATAAGGAAAATGTGGAGAAGAGTGAGATTATTCCCTTTGAAAGCTGCTACCCCAGCCTGATTCCTCTCCAGGTCCCTTTCCAGCTCCCTGATGATGCAATTCATGTCCCCCACTGGAATGCATTATGCTCTCTTGAAATACTCAGAGCTAATGGAACGCTGAGAAAATCAATCCCTTCTTATTATGCAGGGCTGCTGTTTGGTAAATGGAAAACAAATTCTTTTTTCCTCCTAAGTAGGCAGATATAAGCCATGAGAGGCACCTTGATTACAGCCTCATGTCCTGAATGAGAGTCTACACAGGATTACTGTGCTTAACATGCATTTTATTCAAAGAGGTCAGGTATGTATCCACTCACAACTCAATAAGGAGACAGAACTTCTTTTTGCTGCTTCCCCTGCCACCCCTGAAGAGGGCACATATCATAATGCAATGCCTTTTGGAGAGACACATTCAATTGACATCTAACATCCATAATAATATCTAGCACTTATTAAGTATTCACAGCGTGCCAGGTATCATGCTTTAAATATATTCTTTTTTTTATTTTTTGAGACAGAGTCTCACTCTGTCACCTAGGCTAGAGTGCAGTGGTGCAATCTCGGCTCACTGCAACCTCTGTCTCCCAAGTTCAAGCAATTCTCCTGCCTCAGCCTCCCGAGTAGCTGGGATTACAGGTGTGTGCCACCACGCCCAGCTAATTTTTGTATTTTTAGTAGAGATAGGGTTTCACCATGTTAGCCAGGCTGGTCTTGAACTCCTGACCTGGTGATCCACCTGCCTCGGCATCCAAAGTGTTGGGGTTACAGGCGTGAGCCATTGTGCCGGGCCAACATATTTTTTTTTTTTTTTTGAGACGTAGTCTCGCTGTCGCCCAGGCTGGAGTGCAGTGGTGCGATCTCGGCTCACTGCAGGCTCCGCCCCCCGGGGTTCATGCCATTCTCCTGCCTCAGCCTCCCGAGTAGTTGGGACTACAGACGCCCGCCACCACGCCCGGCTAATTTTTTGTGTTTTTAGTAGAGACAGGGTTTCACTGTGTTAGCCAGGATGGTCTTGATCTCCCGACCTCGTGATCTGCCCGCCTCAGCCTCCCAAAGTGCTGGGATTACAGGCGTGAGCCACCACGCCCGGCCAACATATTTTTTTTTAATGGTAACTTTATGAGGTAGATTCTATTTTTGTCCCCATTTTACAGTTGAGCAAACTAGTTGACATAAAAGGACCAAGGTCACTTTAAGTAGCAGAATCCGGATTTGAACCAATTTCTGTTTGACTCCAAAACTAGGACCTCTAAACACGTTCCATGCTGATGATATGTCTCAACTAGAACCAAGTGAAAGCTATGAGAAGTTTCAGACTTAGTATAAAAGGCTCTCAGCTGAGACTGAGCATATTAATACATTCTCACACTGCTACAGAGAGCTGCCTGAGACTGGATAATTTACAAAGGAAAGAGGTTTAATTGACTCACAGTTCTGCTAGGCTGGGGAGGCCTCAGGAAACTTACAATCATGGTAGAAGGGGAAGCAAACACGTTCTTCTTCACATGATAGCAGGAAGAAATGCTGAGCAAAGAGGGAAAAGCCCCTTATAAAACCATCAGATCTTGTGAGAACTCACTCACTATCATGAAAACAGCAGCATGGGGGTAACCACCCCCACGATTCAATTACCTCCCACCCAGTCCCTCCCATGACATATGGGGATTATGGAAACTACAATTCAAGATGAGATTTGGGTAGGGACACAGCCAAACCATATCAATGAGAATACACAGCCTCGTAAGATAATGAGCTCTCTGACACTGGAGATATTCAAGGAGAACTGGAAAGAAGAACACTTACCAGTATGGTAGGTTTCTTGCTCTGAGAAGAATGGTTGATCAAACCTGCTGCTTGTTGAAGCTGACTGTTCGCCTGGGAAACAGAGAAGATATTTTTGGTAAGAAAGTAGACATGTTCCACAAAGCTGGATTAGAAATGAGGGACAAAATGAACAGATTTGGGCCATAATAAAGACGAACTTCTTTTTTAAATTATTGTTTAATTGACAAGTAAAAACTTTATATATTTTGTACAACATGAAGTTTTAAAATATGTATAAATTGTGGACTGGCTGAATTGAGCTAATTAACAAGTGTACTACCTCCCAGATTTATCATTTTTTGGGGGTAAGAACACTTAAAATCTACTGTCAGGGGTTTTCAAGAATACAGGTATACCATGGAAATAGTGAAGGTTCAAGTCCAGATCACTCTATTAAAGCAAATATCACAATAAAGTGAGTCATACAAATTTGTTATTTTCCCAGTGCATATAAAAGTTATGTTTACACTATACATGTATATATATATATATATATATATATATATATATATAATACCATAGTCTATTAAATGTGCGATAGCATTATGTCTAAAAAAAGTATATAGCTTAACTTAAAAATACTTTATTGCTAAAAACATGCTAACAATCATCTGAGCCTTTATTGAGTTGTAATCTTTGCTGGTGTAGAGTCTTGCCTCCATGTTAATGGCTGATGACTGGATCAGGGTGGCGGTTGCTGAAGGTTGGGGTGGCTGTGGTGATTTCTTAAAGGAAGACAACAATGAAGTTTGCCACATCAATGAACTCTTCCTTTTATGAAAGATTTCTCTGTAGCATGTGATGCTGTTTGATAGCATTTCACCCACAGTAGACCTTCCTTTTTTTTTTTTTTTTTTTTTTTTGACAGAGTCTTGCTCTGTCGCCCAGGCTGGAGTGCAGTGGTGCGATCTCGGCTCACTGCAACCTTTGCCTCCCAGGTTCAAGCAATTCTCCTGCCTCAGCCTCCTGAGTAGCTGGGACTCCAGGCGTGTGCCACCACACCTGGCTAATTTTTTGTATTTTTAGTAGAAACAGGATTTCACCCTGTTAGCCAGGATGGTCTCAATCTCCTGACCTCACGATCTGCCCACTTCAGCCTCCCAAAGTGCTGGGATTGCAGGCGTGAGACACCGCACCAGGCCAGAACTTCTTTCAAAATTGGAGTTAGTGCTCTCAAATCCTGTTGCTGCTGTATCAACTGTGTTTATGTAATATTTTAAATTCTTTGTTGTCATTTCAACAATGTTCACAGCATATTCACCAGGAGTAGACTCCATCTCAAGAAATCACTTTCTTTGCTCATCCATAAGAAGTAACTCCTCATCCATTAAAGTTTTATCATGATTGCAGGAATTCAGTCACATATTCAGGTTCCACTTTTAATTCTAGCTCTCTTAGTATTTCTACCACATCTGCAGTTACTTCCTCCACTGAAATCTTAAACACCTTAGAATCATTTGTGAGGGGAATCAACTTGTTCCAAACTCTTGTTAATGCTGTTATTTTGACTTCCTCCAATGAATCACAACTGTTCTTAATGGCATCTAGTATGGTGAATTTTTTCCAGAAGGTTTTTAATTTATTTTGCCCAGCTCTATCAGAGGATTCACTATCTATGGCACCTATAGCCTTACTAAAAGTATTTCTTTTTCTTTTTTCTTTTTTTTGAGACGGAGTCTCACTCTGTCACCCAGGCTGGAGTGCAGTGGTGCAGTATCGGCTCACTGCAAGCTCTGCCTCCCAGGTTCATGCCATTCTCCTGCCTCAGCCTCCCAAGTAGCTGGGACTACAGGTGCCTGCCATGACGCCTGGCTAATTTTTTTTTTTTCTTTTGGATTTTTAGTAGAGACGGGGTTTCACTGTGTTAGTCAGGATGGTCTCAATCTCCTGACCTCGTGATCTGCCCACCTTGGCCTCCCAAAGTGCTGGGATTATAGGCGTGAGCCACTACACCTGGCCTAAAAGTATTTCTTAAATAATAAGACTTGAAAGTCCAAATTACTTCTTGATCCTTGGGCTAGAGAATAAATGTTGTATTAGCAGGCCTGAAAACAATGTTAATCACCTTGTACATTTCCATAAGAGTTCTTGGGTGACCAGGTACATTGTCAATGAGCATTAGTATTTTGAAAGGAATCTTTTTTCTACACAGTAGGTCTCAACAGTGGGCTTAAAATATTTAGTAAACCATGCTGTAAACAGATGTGCCATCATCCAGGCTTTGCTGTTCCATTTATAGAGCACAGGCAGAGTAGATTCAGCATGATTCTTAAGGATCCTAGGATTTTTGGAATGGGACATGAGCATTGGTGTCAATGGTAAAGTCATCAGCTACATTAGTCCCTAACAAGAGAGTCAGCCTATCTTTTGAAACTTTGAAGGCAGGCATTGACTTCTCTCTAGCTATGAAAGTCCTAGATGGCATCTTTTTCCAATAGAAGCCTGTATGTCTACATTAAAAATCTGTTGTTTAGTGTAGCCAGTTTTATCAATTATCTTAGCTTGATCTTCTGGATAACTTGCTGCAGCTTTTACATCAGCACTTGCTGCTTCACCTTGCACTTTTATGTTATGGAGATGGCTTCTTTCCTTAAACTTTATAAACCAACCACTGCCAGCTTTCAACTTTTCTTCTGCACCTTTCTTACCTCTCTCAGCCTTCATAAAATTGAAGAAACTTAGGATTTGCTCTGGATTAGGCTTTGGCTTAAGGGAATGTTGTAGCTGTTTGGTTTTCTATCTAGATCACTCAAACTTTCTCCACATCAACAGTAAGGCTGTTTCACTTTCTTATTATTCATGTGTTTAATGAAGTAGTACTTGCAATTTTCTTCATGAACTTTTCCTTTGCATTTACAAATTGACTAACTGGTGTAAGAGGCTTAGCTTTTGGCCCATCTCAGCTTTCAACATGCCTTTCTCATAAATATATCACATTTTCTAAATCCATTCATCCACTGATGGACTCTTAGGTTGTTTCCATATCTGGCTATTGTGAACAGTGCTGCAGTTAACATGGGAGTTTGGATATCTTTTCAACATACTGATATCATGTCCTTTGAACATATACCCAGTAGTGGAATGGCTGAATCATATGGTAGTCGTGTTTTTATTTTTTTGAGGAACCTCTATACTGTTTTCCATAATAGCTGTACTAGTTTAAATTTTCACTAACAGCGTGCAATTGTTTCTTTTCTCCACATCCTCACCAACATCTTTTGTCTTTGATAGTAGCCATTCTAACAGGTGTAAGGAGATATCTCATTGTGGTTTTAACTGGCATTTCTCTGATGATTAGTGATGTGGGTATCTTTTCATATATCTGTTGGCCACTTGTATGTCTTCTTTTGAGAAATGTCTATTCAGTTCATTTGCCCATTTTTAAAATCAGGTTGTTTTCTTGCTATTGAGTTGTTTGGGCTCCTAATATATTTTGGATATTAACCCTTTATCGAATGGGTTTCCAATTTTCTCCCACTCCATAGGTTGTCTCTTCACCCAATTGATTCTTTCTTTTGTTGTGCAGAAGTTTTTTAGTTTGATATAATCTAATTTGTCTATTTTCCCTTGTGTTGCCTATGAGGAAGAACTTTTAGTTAACATGCTATGGACTAGGCTTCAAGAGGCTGTTCACAGGAAAGCTGACAACCATGCCTAGAGTTGCTTTTGCCTCTACCTTTGCCCAGGATTTCATCATCTCTCACCTGGAATCTTGCTCCAGTTTCCTAACTGATCTCTCCTCCAGTCTCTCCCCAGCCTAGCGCGTCCTCACACTGATCTGAGTTATCACCACCCAAACCAATCTTACCTTTCATTCTCTTACTTAAAGACCATTTAACCCCTATTGGCAGGGTGAGTTCCCAAGGAGGCTGAATGAGACAAAGACTAGCAGGCAGGATGTTTATTAGGGAGGGCTGTTGGGATTAATACCTGTAGAAGAGAGAGAAGAAGGCAGGATTGGACACACAGGGAAGTTGAGCTCCAAAGTCATCACAACAAAGCTTTAGCTAACCTCCTGGGAAGCTCTGAAGTTGGGATGGCCCTTCAGAGTTCTTCTGAATTGGAGTGAAATGACAGAGTATACTTCTGTGTAGACCACTCATTGGTTGCCCCAGGAAGCTGGTATGAGCTTGGGATAGACAGCTGCATGCATAAAAAAGAGATTCCAGAAGAGAGTTGCAAGTAAGGGCCATCTGCCAGCAGCACTCCCTGCAGCCAGGAAAATATGCCATTCAGGACTGAAGGTCATTACATTTCCCTATACCAATAGAATACCACCCAACTCTTCTACATGACATGCAAGGCCCTTCACAATCTAGCTCCTGCCACATCTCCAACCCCACCTTTCTCTACTCCCTACTGCTTAACCCAAGTACATTAAGTTTCCCAGGGGTGTCTTGAAAATGCTGTCACTTTCACAATTTGTACATACTATTCCCTCCTAATAGGATGCCCTCACCTTCTGTATTAGTTTTTAATGGTTGCTGTAACAAATTACCACAAACTTGGTGGCTTAAAACAATGCACATTTATTCTTTTACAATTCCTGGAGGTCAGAGTCCAAAATCAGTTTTACTGAGCTGAAATCAAGGTGTCAGCAGGGCTGTGCTCCCTCCACAAGCTGAAGGGAAGAATCTGTTTTCTTGCCCTTTCCAGCTTCTAGAGCCACATTATTTGCATTCTTTGGCTCATGACTCCTTCTTCCATCTTTAAAGCCAGCAGCACAGCATCTTGCTCTAGTGTCACATCAACTTCTGCTTATGCTGCTGCTGCTAAATCTACCTTTGCCTCTCCCTTATAAGAATACTTATGATTCCATTTATGGTCCCGCTGAATAATACAGAATAATATTTCCATCTCAAGATACTTAGCTTAGTCACATCTGTTAAGTCTCTTTTGCCACATTGTATGGTTTGGCTGTGTCCCTGAGAGGTGAAGCCAGCTGGGCTTCTGGGTCAGGTGGGGACTTGGAGAACTTTTCTGTCTAGCTAGAGGATTGTAAATGCACCAATCAGCACTCTGTGTCTAGCTAAAGGATTGTAAATGCACCAATCAGCACTCTAAAAACACACCAATCAGCGCTCTGTGTCTAGCTAAAGGATTGTAAATCCACCAATCAGCACTCTGTAAAAATGCACCAATCAGCATTCTGTGTCTAGCTAAAGGATTGTAAATGCACCAATCAGCACTCTGTAAAAAGGCACCAATCAGCACTCTGTATCTAGCTAAAGGATTGTAAATGCACCAATCAGCACTCTGTAAAATGGACCAATCAGCACTCTGTAAAATGGACCAATCAGCAGGATGTGGGCGGGGCCAAATAAGGGACTAAAAGCTGGCCACCTGAGCCAGCAGCAGCAACCCACTGAGGTCCCCTTCCATGCCGTGGAAGCTTTGTTCTTTCGCTCTTCACAATAAATCTTGCTGCTCCTCACTCTTTGTGTCCGCACTACCTTTATGAGCTGTAACACTCACCACGAGGGTCTGCAGCTTCATTCCTGAAGTCAGCAAGACCATGAACCCATCGGGAGGAACAAGCAACTCTGGACATGCCACCTTTAAGAGCTGTAACACTCACTGTGAAGGTCTGCAGCTTCATTCCTGAAGTCAGCGAGACCACGAACCCACCAGAAGGAAGAAACTCCAGACACATCTGAACATCTGAAGGAACTCCAGACACACCATCTTTAAGAGCTGTAACACTCACCACGAAGGTCCACGGCTTCATTCTTGAAGTCAGCAAGACCAAGAACCCACCAGAAGGAATAAATTCCGGACACATCCCCACCCAAAATCTCATCTTGAATTGTAATAATCCCCACATGTCAAGGGCGGGACCAGGTGGACATAATTGAATCATGACAGCAGTTTCCCCCATACTGTTGTCATGATAGTGAGTGAGTTCTCATGAGATCTGATGGTTTTACAAGGGGCTTCCTCCTTTACTCAACTCTCATTTCACTCTCTTGCCACCATGTGAAGAAAGATGTATTTGCTTCCCCTTCCACCATGATTGTAAGGTTTCCTGAAGTCTCCCCAGCCTTGCAGAATTATGAGTCAGTTAAACCTCTTTTCTTTATAAGTTACTCAGTCTTGGGTATGTCCTTATAGCAGCCTGAGAATGGACTAATACATCCTATAACCCCAGGCTCCAGGGATTAGGACTTGATCTCTTTGGGGACCATTATTCACCTACCCCATCTACCTTGGCCCACTTACATTTAAGTCTCAGCTCAATTGTCACCTCTTGTGTGAAACTTTTCCTGACACTCCAAGGTGGGTAGAACTGACAGCCATTTTTTTCCCCAGAACTTTATCCATATCTTTATTTATTAGTTTCCATGTTATGCTGTACTTCATTTATAAGACATGGATTCATTCATTCATTGAGAAATTTCTATGCGCCCAGGCATTGTTGTTAATTCTTAGGGTTAGAGAAGTGAACAAATTGGACAAAAGCCCTGCCCTTGTCTGACTTCTATTCTAATGAAGGGAGATACACAATTTTTAAGAGAAAAGAAAAACAAATAGTGTGTTAAAAAGAAACAAGTGCTGAGGGAAAAATAGTAGATCATGGTATAAGAGATTAGGCATGCAGCAGGGGAAGACGCAGGTAGGTGCAACTTAAAACAGGTGGTCAAGGAAGGTCTCATTGGGATGGTGACACTGAATAAAGTCGTAAAGGAGATTAAGATGGATATCTGGCAGAAGAGCCTTCTGGGTAGAGAGAACTGCCAGTGCAAAGGCTCTGAGGCCAGAACATGGCTTAGGTATTCAAGGAACAGATAGGGGAGCTCCTAGAGTTTTGAGCAAAGGAGTGACACAAACTTTTATCAGGATTCTTTTACCAGTGCTGTCCCAAGACTTGGGCCTGGACAAGATTGGTAAAGATGACAGGTGTTAAATGTAGGTGGGTGAGAGAATCCTATCAGCAGGTGAGGGAATCCAGGAGGAAATTGTTTCAGGTGGGGAGGAGAGAAAGTAATGAATCTAGTTTTAAAAATGTAGAACTGGAGATGAAGGTGGAACATCCTAGTGGAGAGGCTCAGATGAGGGTTGACAGAATTTTAGATTTGAAAGATCATCTGGTCTATCCCTTCATTCAAGAAATATGAGCCTGCAGTGGTGGCCTCTCATTCTTACCCCATTCTCCACCTGCCACCAAGTTTCTGCATCTTGCCATCCCTCCCCACTCCTAGGTTGCTTGCATGTCTTTTCTCCACTTCCAGGACTTACCTCCAAGTCCAACTCCTTTGGTAATGGTCTGTCTACGATTTTATCCTCTTCAGAATTCCTGTCCTTTATGATCTGATATTTGGCAATATCTAGGGAAAAGGTATTGTACAGAGAAAAGAATGCAAGTTTTGGAAGCAGACAGATAGGATTAAAATCCCAGCTCAGCCACTTCCTAGTGTGTGATCTTAGGAATTCATTCCTCCTCCCTGGGCCTTAGTTTCTTCATATTAAAATGTTTTTAAAGGATTGAAAATTATAAGTCTACTTCATAAACCTATGTGAGTATCCAAAGACAATGTTTACAAAGCACCTGGTATGTATTAGGCACTCAATGAATGCTGATTCCTCCTTCTCTGACTGCTTGCCCCTTGCCCACAGTTCCACTGTCTGCAGTGGGCATTTTTATTCTTTTCCCTTATTATATTTAGTGACTGTTTTATTTATAAATATATATTTGTGACATTTTATTCCAGGCCACAGCAGCCCAGGTTAGAATACAAGATTATGGGAAACCTTTTCTTGGTAATTATCTACTTGAATATACATAAAAATCACCTGTACAATTGTCCATGTCAATTTGTTAAAACTTATTTGAATATTTTCAAACATAGTCCACAGTAGAAGAGAATAATAGTACAATGTACCTCCAAGTACTTGTTACCCAGCTCCAATAACTGTCAACCTTAGCCAGTCTTGTTTTATCTATCTGCTATCCTCAATTTTTATTTCTGGAGTATTTTAAAGCAAAACTTTAGACATCATATTATTCCACTCATAAATAATTCAGTGGGTATCTCTAGTATATAAGGATTCATCTTAGTTTGCTAGTGCTTCCATAACAAATACCATAGCCTGGGTGGCTAAAACAATAGACAATATTTTCCTCTCATTTTTAGAGGCTAGAAGTCCAGATGAAGGTGCCGGCAGGGTTGGTTTCTCCTGAGGCCAGCCTCCTTGCCTTGCAGATGGCCACCTTTTCACTGTGTCCCCACATAGCCTTTTCTTTATGCTAGTGCCCTACCCCATGGCTCTTCTTCTTATAAGGACACTTAGGACCCCACCCTGCTCCCACTAGATTAGGTCCTCATTTAGCCCCTGTAACCTATTTAAAGGTCCTTCTTCTAATACAGTCAAAATGGGGGTTCAGGCTTCAATATATGAATTTTGGGGGAATATATTCAGTCCACAATAGGACTATAAAAATATATGACCACAACACCATCATCATGCCTATAATAATAATAACAACGGTTTAATACTCTCTAGCATTCTGTCCGTGTTCAAATTTTTCTGGTTGTTCCCCAAACATTTTGTTAATAGTTGGTTCGTTTACATTATAGCTCAAAAGATGGAGGATTTTTGTTTCTGTTTTTGTTTGTTTAAAGAAAGAGATTCCTAAGCCCCACTCTATGGGTGGTGATCTAGTTTTCGCCTTGCTGCCTATTCATCAGGCAGCTCCTGTGGGGTCATGATATTTTTCACTGTTATTGTTACCTCACTGGAAATTTGACTATAAATATTTTCATCAGAATTATGCCAGCATTGACAGACTTCCATCAAGAAAGTGAGTTTCTAGAACAAATGTCATTAGTAATGAAATTCACTGATCAATTTTTCATACGGTAGTTTCTAGTTTTTACCATTTTGTATATATTGTATTGATGTTATCTTAATTGGCATCAATTTTTTTTTTTTTTTTTTTTTTTGAGACAGAGTCTTGCTCCATCACCTGGGCTGGAGTGCAGTGGCGCTATCTTGGCTCACTGCAACTTCCACCTCCTGGGTTTAAGCGATTCTCCTGCCTCAGCCTCCCGAGTAGCTTGGATTACATGCACCGCCACCACGCCTGGCTAATTTTTGTATTTTTTTTAGTAGAGATGGGGTTTCACCATATTGGCCAGGCTGGTCTTGAACTCCTGACCTCAAGTGATCCACCCACCTCGGCCTCCCAAAGTGCTGGGATTATAGGCATGAGCCACTGCGCACAGCCTCTTTTTTTTTTCTAAATAGAGATGGAGTCTCACATGTTGCCCAGGCTGATTTTGAACTCCTGGCCTCAAGCAATCCTCCTGTCTCTGTTTAAATTTCCTGACAAAATTGGATTCGTTATCAAGTTATTGTCCATGTCAAATTTTACCAATTATAATATCTGTCTTCATGGATTTTACTTTGTGCCCGTTATTTCTACCGAATCCAATTTTTCTTGATCATATTTGGATGTCTACATTTTGTCAAGAAGATTTGATTCTTCAGGCAATTTTCCATCAATAACCATTTTTTTCTATGTGTAGTTTTAGCTGTTAATTTGTGTTGGTCATTTCCACCAGTAATATTCATTATTAGTTTGATAAATGGCTGAGAGCTTGGATTTATTTCTTTATGTATTCATGAAAAAATGTTATCTATCTAAGAGATAGCAAGGGAGATAAAGCGTGGGAGTTAGAAAGTGACAAAAAGACACGCGCGAGGGAGATGGAGACGCATTGAGAAAGAAGCTGCAGCTGTCTTAGGATAATGTTTGCTAAGCTCCCTGAGGGGCCCCCAAAGTATCTTGGAGGTCAAATGACAAGATTAAAACAATATGGTGGCTCCAATATGGTTGGTGAGAATGGACTGGACATATAGTTCAGGACTTTAAGTCCTGGGAAGTTAAACACGCAACTGTCATCCTGCCACTCCTAACCCTTTTCCCTTTTATGGATTTTTATTTCCTTCCTATTCCTACTCCCCTCTCTTCCTGTCTCCTTTCATTGCCCACAAAATACGTTTAGCAGAGGTGACCTTCCATCTGGGTTTTATCAGTGCCTAGCACAGTGCCCTGCATGCAATGAATGTTCAATAATTATTTGTTGACTAGTTTATCTTCAAGCGTCACACTTATGAGTTAAACTCCCATAAGCTAGGCCACTGTTAACAAATCAAAACACGTCGAACTCGACCTACCGCTTCCTGGGGGGGTAAGTGGGTGGAAGGAGCCAGATTCAGCAATTCTGCACTGTTGGGAGGCCTCTCAATCTGTCTGCAGAATTGAAGCTTCAAAAGTTTTATTTTTTGCCGACATTCCCTAGCAGATGCCTGCTGCACACCCACACACTTAGCCAGCAAGAAAAAAAAGAAGAGCTGCTGGAAGAATTATTCCTCTGGGACCAATAATCATAGGAACAGCATCCCCAAAGCTTTCCATCCAGCCTGAGCTCCCAGTTCCTCTAGTCCAGCCTCATACTAATCTGGGGATGAAGCCAAGGAGGAGGGAGGCTTTGAGAGAAGGGCTACAAATGGTAGCCCCTCCTGGGAGAGTAAGGCCTGGGTAGGGGCTGAGGGGAGGCAGTGGTAAAGGAAGCAAAGACCCAGCCAAGCTGAGAGAGAGAGGAGTAGATGAGAAGGGGACCACAAAGCTAAGTTTTTGGCTAATGTCTTAAATGGCTTGGAATGGCAGCAGCCTGAACTTAACCATGTGATTGCAATGCTAAAACCTGAGGATTAGGCCGGGCGCGGTGGCTCATGCCTGTAATCCCAGCACTTTGGGAGGCCAAGGCGGGTGGATCATGAGGTCAGGAGTTCGAGACCAGCCTGACAAATATGGTGAAACCCCGTGTCTACTAAAAATACAACAATTAGCTGGGCGTGGTGGCATGCACCTGTAGTCCCAGCTACTCAGGAGGCTGAGACAGAAGAATCACTTGAACCTGGGAGACGGAGGTTGCGGTGAGCTGAGATCACACCATTGCACTTCGGCCTGGGCAACAAGAGTGAAACTCCCTCTACAAAACAAAACAAAACAAAAACAACCCAAGGATTAGCAAAAAGGAAACAGAGGGAGCAAGGGAAGGATGCTGGCCTTTAAGAGAATAGGAGAAACGAGAGGGACAGGCTAGACCCAATGTTTCTCAAATTTAGCTGCAGATTGGAACCACCTAGGGGGCTTTAAAACACTGAAGCCTGGGTCCCACCACCAGATGGATTTAATTGACCTAGGGTGGGTTTTGAGCATCAGAATCTTTAAAAAGCTCCCCGGGGGTCTCATATGCAGCCAGAGCAGAAAGCAACTGGGCTTGATCACTGAAGATGGAAAAGGAAAGGAAATGTGATCTCCCTGTGTCTTCTGTGACCCAGAAGTGCAGGAGAGAGGGACCTTGGGCCTGCCTACCCTCTGGTGTCCCTGTGACAAATTGTGGTGGCTCCATGGAAAGAACTAGGTGTGTGAATCTCAAGGCCTGAGTTCTAGTTTCAGATTGGCCACTAGCCGCTGTGTGACCTTGAGGGCACGGGACACAGAAGACCCGAGCTCACTAATTCACTGAGTTGTGGGCTGGTCATTTCCTCTCCCTGCCTTCAGTTCTCTCATGAAAACTGAGGGTGTTGATCTGCAGCTCTAAAACATTCCAAATCTCTACTTTCATTAAAATAGCCCAGTCACTTCTAGTTCAACAGATTTTTTTTCATGAATTATTCAAACTTAGGAGTTGAATGTTGAAAATAACATGTTCGCAGTGTCCTCATTAGGAAGCTCTTAGCTGTGACTCTCCTTTCTTCCACTATATTTACAAAGCCTGACTTCTGCCAAGTTTTAGGGGTGAACACAGTCAGTCACTTACAAAGTCTCTAGAGAATGACACGTGGAAATCAAGTAAGTAATAAACACCCGATAAACAGAGATGGTGTAATAAAGTGAGCAGGAGGGAGTAGCTGTGGATGCTTGGAAGAGCTCCCCAGCCTTCCACCAGCTGCTCAGCCTTGCTGGCTTCGGTGTCGTCCTGTCCGTGAACATCTACTGCATGCCTATTTTGTAGAAGGGGAATGAGACAGATGACTCTTGCCCCTGATGAGCCCCAATCTGGGAGATTGAGGCAGACACATAAACAACCAATGATGATACAGAATATGAATCAGAGGCAGAATGTGGTACAAGCTTTTAACTTCTGGTCTTCTCCTTGACTTTTAACCATCAAACAGGAAATTCAAAATAAGCAGAAGTTGGGCCTGAGTGATGACATCCTTTGGAGGGGCCCAGAGTGTCTGTCTTCACACCTCCAGACAACACAGGGCTTTGGTGTAACTGCTTCTAGAGACAGGACTGTGAAGGTGTAGAAATAAAAACATAGTGATTTGTATACAATTTGTTATAAGGTTATAAATGTATTGTAACTCTAGAGGAAAGGTAATTTTGGGGTTTTTTGTTAGAGATGGGGTCTCACTATGTTGCCCAGGCTGGTCTCAAACTTTTGGTCTCAAGTTATCCTCTTGCCTCAGCCTCCTAAAGTGCTAGGATTACAGGCATGAGCCACTGCATCCAAACTAGGAAAGGTATTTCTAAAGAACAGAAGTGACAGCAGATTCATTTGCTTAATTTTCAGAATCCTTCTATTACTGCTTCATAATTAAACAACAGCCACCCAAGGCAACTGAGGAAGTTCTACCTAGTGACTGTGCTCATGCATATCTCTGCAAGAATCAGAAGACAATAATATCTGGGAATTTTCACAGTATATGTAAAGGAGGTAAGGAATCTAAAATGCTAAGACATTTATGATTCCACTTTGCTTTGCATTGGAAAAGATGGTTGTAAGCTGTTAAAATGTAAACCAGTAATTCCCAAACTCTAGCGTTCATCTGAATCACATGCAAAGCTTGCTTAAAACACTGATTGCTGGCCTCACTCCCAGGGTTTCTGATTCAGCAGATCTGGGGCGAGGCCAGATAATTTGCATTTCTAACAAGTTCCCAGGTGATGCTGATGCTGCTGATCAGGGACCACATTTTGTGAACCACTGATATTAACGCATAATTTTGCTATTCAAAGTGCTGCTCAAAGCAGCAAATAAAGTGCATTCAAGGACTCTCAGTATTGTGCTCCTTCTGCTCTACATATTATCTCTGTCTATTCATGTTCTGCCTTCCTAGTTCTATAACCCATAGCACTGATCTGTGGCTAATCAGCTGTAGAGAAATGGGTCCCTTCCTGGACACCATCATCTTAAATTATCATTAGTGCACAGGCACTATTGTAAAATCTGAAACTTGGCTCAGCAGTGTAGGTTCATTTTTTTCCCTCTAGTTTCTTCCACAGCAAATGTCATGATTTTAAAGAATATTCCCCAGCCCAAGAGCCTATGATTTTATGAAGCATTGATTTTAAGAAGCACTGTCCGTTTGTTTGAAAGGAGGAGGAAAATCACTTTTTTAGAGCATCCACTTATCTACACATATGCTTAGTCTCATTTAATTTTCCCATAGCCATTTGAGTTGATGGTCATTTTAGAGATAGAGACACAGAAGTCCAGGGAGCTTAGGTAAAACCAGGCAGGATTTGAACACTGAGCATCCTTGTTCTTCCCAGGATACTGCAGGATTTCCTGTTGGGGGTGCAAAGTGAGAATAATGTCGGGGAATGCTTCCTCCCACGGACTGCTCCTCTGCTTCCAAACACCACTGACACTTGGGTGTTTGCACCCAAGAGGGAGGCTTTGGCACCGGGCCCCCTTGTTTACAGATCTGGAATCCCACATATACAAAAAGTCAATGCAGAGCCAAGAGGGAGGGCCGAGGGCTAGGTCAAGCCTGGATGGCACAACTGTCAACACAGCAAAAATACAGGGAAAGGCAAAGACATTTCAAAAAATACAATCAGCCATTTTCTTCTTGCTAGAACCAGCAGCTTCTGATGCTCTGTTTGAATAGGCTTTTATTTTCCTTAAAAAAAATTATTCTATTTATAGCTCTCCTAATGACAAGGTCACAATGTTCACTGGGATGATAGGAGGAAACCTCTCCATGACACACACAGGTCTTGCCAATCTTAACATCCAGTAATTCAAAATCACAGGCTCGAGTGACACTCAAGGAGGAAAAAGGATCTCTTACTCAAATCTGACCATTAGTGAGAGGAAAATGATAACTATCAGCTACCACTTACTGAGGGTTCCTTAGGGACCACGATAAACAGTGTTTAAATTATTTGCAGAGTCAGAAAGCCCAGCCCAGTAGGCCTCACAGACTGCTGGAAACTAAACCAAGTGACTTCTTGGAGAACCAAAGCCAAAATTATGAGCAGAGGCTGCTCAAGAGGTATGTAAATGACTCCTACACTGGGAAGGAAACTGCATAACAGCCAATGTGTGCACTACAAGGTTTTGAGGGGAAGGAAGTGGCAGCAATCTGGACTTTAATGTGCTAGTGAATCGCCCTGGGATTTTGCAGATTCAGCTTTAGGAGGTCTAGGCTGGGGCTGAGATTCTGCATTTCTAACAGCTCCCAGGTATGCCAATGTTGCTGGCCCACAGACCACGCTAAAAGTAGCAACAATCTGGAAAACTTTACATGTGGAATCTTGAGTTGTTTTAAGGAAATCAATTTCCAGATCCTCAAAGCCTATTTGTACTCTTTCCTAAAATCTAAGAGACAGTGAGGTCAAGCTGTAAGTTGCCCTTTTACAATGGATTTCTTCCCACTTTACAAAAGAAAGGCTCTTCTCTCTTCCATCCCACATCTTACAGTGGTGCGTTGTTACCTCAGGGTGAAAACACCTCCAGGTTCCCAAGCAAAGGAACAATTTGAAATATTCATATGAGAAAAAAAAGCTTTTTATCTGAGGCATGTGGGCCCCTTTAAATTATCAGGCCCAGAGAGGCATTGAAGACGTAACAGTAGTCATGTCTCACTCCTCCTTGAGCTAGATAATTACCTTTTGAAGCCATTTGCTATGCAGGCTCTAGAATAATGCCAAGTAGCCATAAAGCGCCATACATCCTACAGTTCAACAAGGTATAGCCAATCACTAACAAATGTTATTTCTGTAAACCAATGAGAATTCCTGAAGAATTACCCACTCTCTTGATTTGTTCCTTTTATCTTTAAAAACTTGAGCCTCTCCTATGTTCCCCAGAGCACTCTCCAAGGCAACCTGGAAGTATGTCCTGGGGTGCAGTCTTCAAACTTGGCCCAAATAAACTCTCTATAGTAATTTTGCCTTAGCTTCTTCCTTTTAGGTCTACTGGTATTATTGTTGAGGAAGTTACTAACTCTCATAACTGGTTACAAATACTTTTCACAAGTCAATTGGTATTGAGTCATTGCTGTCAACAAAGTTACAAGAGATATGAATTATATAATAACAGCTGTTTAAAAAATAATTTTAAGAGAAAAATCAGTAAATAATTTTTGCTTTTTAACTCAAAAATAATTCAATAATTAAATGACATTTCTTTTCTTTTTGAGACGGAGTCTTGCCCTTTCACCCAGGCTGGAGCGCAGCAACACCATCATGGCTCACTGCAACCTCCACCCCCTGGGTTCAAGAGATTTTCCTGCCTCAGCTTCCCAAGTAGCTGGGATTACAGGCACCTGCCACCATGCCCGGCTGATTTTTGTATTTAGTAGAGACAGGGTTTTGCCATGTTGGCCAGGCTGGTCTCAAACTCCTGACCTCAGGTGATCCACCTGCCTTGGCCTCCCAAAGTCCTAGGATTACAGGCGTGAGCCATAGTGCCCGGCCTTAATGATATTTCTAAACAAAACTTCCAATTCCACGGCTTAAATATGAACAAAATTTCTCAGCATTTATATCTAATTAAAAAAAGAAAAAATAGGGTGAATATTGATGCTGAATACTATCTCATTCTAGCAATAATAGCCAACAATAAATATAATTGCCAAAAACGAGAGAGCAAAGAAAAACAACTCTACCTATCTAATTAAGAGATCAACTTCCCATAAAACTTTTCTTTCATAATCCTCAAAACATATATTTATGTTGTTTTGACCAATTGTATACCAATAATCATCATAATGACTCAATGCAGAAGAGATGTTTTAACACTTAGAGCTTTATAGACTGTATATCCTTGTTCATTGTTACAGAGAAATATGACACAAGGTATGTTTCATAGGATAAATTCTGTAAGGTAAAGAAATGGAAATACAAATCCAAGGAGAAGAAAGAATGATGTAAAATTTAAGAAGAGCTTGTTCTGCTACTTCTAAAAAGATGATGAAATCATTTGGTGTATAGATTCCATTAGAAACATTTCTTACACGATATATAAAATGTCAATACATTAAGAAGAGCTTGTTGTATTTTTTAAAAAAAGGATGAATATATATCAAATTAGTATGTAGATTCCACTGGAAACATTTTTAAAATATGAGGGGCTTGTTTTGAGATGCCAATACTTGTTGTAACAGGGAATTTCTTTACAATTACTTAAACTTATGATAAAAATTTTTAGATGTCAGCATAAAAACTGTGAGCAGTGCATAGCTATTTCAGATTTCCTTTAGAAGTCCATGAGCAAAACATAAACGTTTGAAGACCTCAGGTCTGAAAGCTTTTTCTCTGTCTTTCAAGACACATCAGGGCACAGAGTCATCTGGTCAGTGATGAAGCCCTCTGTTACCTCTCAGCAGGCAGAGCTAACCCCCTGTGACCTCATGCCCCCAACTCTGCTGGAGACCTGACTCCAATCTCACACCATCATCCTGCAGGGTAATTAGCTCTGCCTTTTCTTTTTGTCATCTCTAGCACCTCCTTATCCCTGCCATAAAGGGCAAACTCAATGAATGCTGGAGGAAAGATAAAGGATGGATAAATGGATGAACGCATAGGTATCTGCATGCTGCACAGAGAGACTCCAGACTTTGTAGCCAGCTATTCCGAGTTATTCTGAGCAAAAACACTCTGAGGGTTAAACAACAAGCTCTTCAAGACTCTTACTCCAAGGTTTCTCTCTATATAACTACATTTCAGCAGACTATCACTGCCTGATGTTCATATCATACAGTACAGGGTATACCTGTGATATAGTTTGGATATTTGTCCCCACCAAAATCTCATGTTGGACTGTAATCCCAGTGCTGAAGTTGGGGCCTGGTGGGAGGTGTCTGGGTCATGGGGGCAGATCCCTCATGGCTTAGTGCTGACCTGGGATCATGAGTGAGTTCTCATGAGACCTTGTTGTAAAGTATGGCATCTCCCCTCCCTGCCACTCTCTCTCTTGCTCCTGCCTTTACCATGTGAAGTGCCTGCTCCCGCTTCACCTTCTGCCATGAGTAAAAGCTCCCTGAGGCCTTCCCAGAAGCCGAGCAGATGCCAGTGCCAAGCTTATTATACAGCCTGCGAACCATGAGCCAATTAAACTTTTTTTTTGAGGGGGCGGGTAGGGGGAAGACAGAGTCTCACTCTGTCACCCAGGCTGGAATGCAGTGGTGTGATCTCGGCTCACTGCAACCTCTGCCTCCCAGGTTCAAGTGATTCTCCTGCCTCAGCATCCCAAGTAGCTAGGATTACAGCATGCTCCACTATGCCCAGCTAATTTTTGTATTTTTAGTAGAGACAGGGTTTCACCATGTTGGCCAGGCTAGTCTCAAACTCCTGGCCTCAAGTGATCCACCCGCCTCAGCCTCCCAAAGTGCTGGGATTACAGGCATGAGTCACTGCACCCAGCCATAAACCTTGTTTCTTTATAAATTACCTAGCCCAAGTATTTATTTATAGTAACACAAGAATGGCCTAATACAACCTGGCTATGAAGAGTCAATGTCACAGCAGAACATTTCCCTCAGCCTTCAGAAGGGCATCTTCTATTTGGTTATCTTGATTTTATAGATCAGAATTTTATTTGCTTTTTAAATAATTGATTCTACCCTTATTATATGTTATTTATTTATTTGATTTCCTTTTTTGTTTTTGTTTTTGGTAGAGGAAAGCAGAAGGAATGAGAAAGGGTTATAGAGAAGATAAAAGTGAATATTTGGCTGGTATCTTCAAAAGATATTGCTTCTTTGGGTTATTACCTATATAGCCATTCATTCCAGTCATCTTCTCATCTCTTATCTCCATTTTTCTTCCTCATTTCATACTTACAACAGTGTATAAAATGTATAAAGTATTAACAATAACAATATGAACCCCCCAGATATAAGCAAGAACGATAATGATATCAGTTCTTTTGAAATCCCCTCTATGCCCCTCCTCTGTGCCATTCTCCTGCCTTCTCTTCTCCCAAAAGTAATTTTGTTTTATCATCCCATTACTTTTGCCACACATCTTAAACAATAAATGGTTCCATTTTACCTGTTTTTACACTTTATATAAATGTTACATTGTATATATTTTCTGTAAGGATTTTTTCACCCGGCATTTTGTTTGAAAGACTCATTCATATTGATACACATAGCTGAAGTTCATTCACTTTCAGTGAAGCAAGGTATTCATTGAATAAGTATAGCAAAAATTATCCATTCTCCTATCAATAGGCTTCTAAATTGTTTCTTATTGTTTTGTTACTACAAAAAAAAAGTTATTATGACCATTTTTGCCCATGGCTCATGTTACACATGGGCAAGAGTTGGTCTAAGGGGTCTGTGTGTGTGCATGCATGCATTTGTGCATGTACACACACATCCCTAGGAATTGCTGGCTCATGGAACATATTATGCCTATACTCAACTTGATTACACAATACCAAATTACTTTCAAAAGTGGTTGAAATAATTTATACTCCCACCAACAGTGTATAAGAGTTTCTGTTATTCCACAGCTTCACCAACATTTTTTTTTTTAATATCTTATCAGCTTGGTGTGTGGCTCACGATTGTAATCCCAGCACTTTGGGAGGTCAAGGCCAATGGATCACCTGAAGTCAGGGATTCGAGACCAGGCTGGCCAACATGGTGAAAACCCGTCTCTACTAAAAACACAAAAATTAGCTGGGTGTGGTGGCACACACCTGTAATCTCAGCTACTCAGGAGGCTGAAACAGGAGAATCGCTTGAACCCAGGAGATGGAGGTTGCAGTGAGCTGAGATTGCACCACTGCACTCCAGCCTGGGTGACAGAGTGAGACTCCATCTCAAGAAAGGAAAAAAAAATTATCAATTTTAGGGATATAAAGTAGTCTGTCATCCTGGTTTAACATGCATTGTCCTAATTATAAATGAGCTTCAGCATGTTTGCCTATTGTTTATTGGACATCCTTGGTTCTCTTCTGTGCAATGCCCTTTGTGTATTTTTTCTACTGACTTTTTCTTATTGACTTTTAATATATTTGTTGTATATGATACATGCACGTGTTATAAAATGTATCTATGTATCATGTATAAAAAACTATATATAAGCCAGGTGTGGTGGCTCACGCCTGTAATTCCAACACTTTGGGAGGCAGAGGTGGGTGGAGCACCTGAGGTCAGGAGTTCGAGACCAGCCTGGCCAACATAGTGAAACCCAGTCTCTACTAAAAATACACAAAAAATTAGCTGGGCAAGGTGGTGTGTGCCTGTAATCCCAGCTACTTGGGAGGCTGAGACAGGAGAATCGCTTGAACCCAGGAGGTGGAGGATGCAGTGAGCCAAGATCTCGCCACTGCACTCCAGCCTGGGTGACAGAGTAAGACTTTATCTCAAAAAAAAGAAAAAAAATATATATATATATAATAAAATATAATTTTTTTCTGGGTAAAATTCCTTTGTTATATGTTTTGCATATTTCTTCTCCCAGATCATAGCCTGACTTTCACATTCTTTCTGCCAGCTTTCAATAAACACAAGTTCTTGATTTTAATAGAGCTAAATTTGACAATACTTTCCTTCATGTTTTGCACTTTTTGTTCTTTGTTTAGGAAACTATTTCCTACACTGACGTCAGACACATATTCTCTTATATTTTCTTCTAAAATTCTGAAGTTTTGTTTTTCACACTCAGGTTATTTGATTTACCTAGAATTGATTATTGGTAAGGTGTAAGATAGGACCAATTTTTTCATATGGACATCTGATTTTCTTAACATCAATTATTTAATGGGCCCTCTTTTTCCACCAATCTACAATGCCAGATCTATTGCATATAAAGTTCCCATTTCATGTATGGGGCTGCTTCTGGGAATCTATTCTGCTCCACTGGTTTAATTTTTTTTTCATCCCTCTTTCCTACAGTTTCTTTCCAGGTGTGCTTCAATCAATGTATGGAAGTCATACCTTTATTCCTATGTTGGCTTAGAGTTTTTAGGGATATCTGATAACTCTTTATATACCTCATACAATTGAAGTAAAGTAATCAAACAGGATATATAAAGTGCTTAGTAAAGTGCCCGGCACAGAGTAGCCTCAATAAACTGTAATTATCATTATCATGACACCTTATAGTGTTCATAATTTACTTGCTTTAACATTACAGAGGCCAGATTCCTCAAAATAAATTATTTGAGCATCTTCAGGAAGGAGCCAGCCATGTAGCATAAATTGCCTGCTTTATTCAGCAAAACTAATTAAAAGAAAAGAGGAGTTAGGTCATAAAATATGTGTGTGCATTATCAGGAAGAATATGAAATGGCCAGGAAGAGTAGAGGTTTCTATGTTCACATGGTATTTGCTTGAAAGGAGAAGTATTCTCTCACTTGTTTATCTTGCTTATTTTTATGAGGGAGGAGGAGCAATGACTTAGAATTGACAGGAGACTGATTTTTACAAAATGCTCCTAGACTCCATGGCAAATATGAAAAGGGAAAATGAGCAAATTGTACTCCCAAGTGCTACAAGTTAGTGTGTACTGAAAGGGAGACCTGCCTGAATTTCAATTAAGGTGAAGAATGTTTTACATGTACCAGACACATTTTAAAGCATTTTAGGTGCATCATGTCAATTCATCTTTGTCAACAAATATCTTTAATTTACAGATGAAGAAAATAAAACATAGAGTTACACAACCAGTAAGTGGGAGTCTGCCAAACTCCAAGCCCACACACTTAAGTTTATATTATACTGGAAGCTTATATGATAGCACAGATAATTGGTCTTATCATAGAATAACTAATTTCTACTATCTAATTTCAAGAACACTTATTGAATGGCCACAATGTAAGCACCTCACTACTCATTGTGACCCCAAATTAAATCGGAGTCAGTTCCTGCCCTTGAGTTGTGCACAATCTTAAAATGTGCCTGAGAGTTATCCACTTCTCCACCTCTGCTGCTCACTCTAGTCCAAGGAACCATCATTCCTCACTCACAACTCTATAGAGCAGAGTTTCAGAGTAAAATCCTATCCTCTTACCATGGCCTGCAAAGCCCCACAAGATCTAGTCCCTGTCTGTCTCCAACTTTCCTTTCTGCTCTATTATGCTCCTCCTCCCTCCACACAGACCACTTCTCCAGTCCTCAGGACTCCAGGCTGCCTTCTTCCTGGGAAGCTTATCCCACGCTTCCCATCCTTTGGATATCAGCTTAAATGTTACCTCCTCAGGGGAGGCTTTTCCAACCACTTATTTCAGTTGGGTCCACTTACCCAACCCACTTTCCCAAGTCAGCACATCCTGGGTTTCCTTACAACACTGTCAACGTTTTATATATTAATACATTTTTTATTTTCTGTCTTCCTCAATGGAAGGTAAACTCGAGGACAAAAACATGTTTAGCTAATTACACTATTTTATGTCCCACTTAACCTCTGTGCCTGCATACAGTGGGTGGTGAATAAATATTTGTTGAATGAATGAATCAATCAATCAAGTGAGGGAAAAAGTCAACAAACAATTACAACACAGGTGTTAACCATAATGGTTACCATTTCTCAAATGCCCCCAATGAGCCATGCAATGTATCACACATTTAAAATGTTCATTTATTTATTTATTTAAGACAGAGTCTCACTCCATCACTCAGGCTTGAGTGCAGAGGCATGACCTAGGCTCACTGCAATCTCTGCCTCTCAGGTTCAAGCGATTGTTGTGCCTCAACCTCCCCAGTAGGTGGAATTACAGGCACATACCACCACTCCCAGCTAATTTTTGTATCTTTAGTAGAGATGGGGTTTTGCCATGTTGGCCAGGCTGGTCTTGAACTCCTGACCTTAAATGATCCACCCACCCTGGCCTCCCAAAGTGTTGGGATTACAGGTGTGAGCCACTGTGCCTGGCTGAAATTTTCATTTATTGAGTTCCTATAATGATCCAAAAGCTTCACTAGACCTTAGAAGTATCATCTTTTGTTTCCACAAGAACTCTGCAAAGTAAATACCATCATACTCATTATTACAGATGAGAGCTCTGAGGCCCAGAGAAGTAACATGATTTATAAAGGCTACTTCACCAGAAAGTGGCAAAGCCAAGATGCAAACAGAGCAGTCTTACTACAAAGACCACATTTTTGCCCTATATCACATTGTCTCTCTAAAATTTGGTAACTTACAAAATACATTGGCTAAGATCAAATCCTTGCATCTCCATCATGCTATTCTAACCAACGAATAAAGAATCAGCTGTAACCAAGAGATATTCAAAGTGTTCTAGAACACCCTATACGCACTTAATGAAATATAATCACGTGTTAGTGTGTTTAAGTATATGAAGCATTTAGTGTTGTGCCAAATACAAGACAAGTGGCTACTACACTCAACAGGTGGTTACTATAACTGAGAGATACATGCTCAAGGTGGTCAATGGCAAGGACTTTGGAGCCAGGCTAAATCTGAATTTGAATTCTGGTCTCTCCAACTTACTAGTTATATGACCTTGGGTAAATTGCCTCACATCTTCAAGCCTCAATTTCTTTATAAGTTTGCTGTAAAAACTAAATGCATTTTAAATGCATTCAATTAATTAAACTCATACATGATAAACACCAATAATCAATAATTTTCATTGCTGTTAGCTGTTGAAGTATCATAGAAGGCATGCTTAACTCCCCTTGGTGCAGCTGCCTACTGTGCTACCTGATGTTAGTACCTCTGTATTTCAGGGTTCACACAAAGCATTGTGGTCAATGACATCAATGGCATGACGTCATTGAACTCAAACAACCACACCCTCCACTAGAGAGAGCTCCAAGGGACAGTTATTCAAGTCAGCACTGGAGAACACCACCAACTTTTTATTCTCTTGAAGCCTTGTCTCTTATTTATCTAAGATCCATGCAGACGTAGTTCAGTACAAGTCCTCTTGTTTAGCAAAGTGGAGAAATGTAGTTTGTCAGAAGAATTTTTTTTTTTTTTTTGAGACAGAGTCTCACTCTGTCACTCAGGCTGGAGTGCGGTGGCGTGATCTCAGCTCACTGCAACCTCCGCCTCCCAGGTTCAAGCAATTTTCCTGCCTCAGCCTTTTGAGTAGCTGGGCTTACAGATGCATGCCACCACACCTGGCTAATTTTTGTATTTTTAGTAAAGACGGAGTTTCACCATGTTGGTCAGGCTGGTCTGGAACACCTGACCTCGTGATCTGCCCCTCTCGGCCTCCCAAAGTGCTGGGATTACAGGAGTGAGCCACTGCACCCAGCCGTCAACAGAACTTTTAAAACTAAATTCAAAAAAAGTTAATTGGAAAAAATGAGGAAATCGTAAAAAAGAATATGTTTAATATTTTAGTCTGCAGCATTTAACTGTACCTTAATTGCCTTTTTTTTTTTTGAGACAGAGTTTTGCTCTTGTTGCCCAGGCTGGAATGCAATGGTGTGATCTCAGCTCACCGCAACCTCCACCTCTCGGGTTCAAGCAATTCCCCTGTCTCAGCCTCCCGAGTAGCTGGGATTACAGGCATGCGCCACCATACGTGGTTAATTTTGTATTTTTAGTAGAGACAGGTTTTCTCCATGTTGGTCAGGCTGGTCTCGAACTTCTGACCTCAGGTGATCTCCCTCCTTGGCCTCCCAAAGTGCTGGGATTATAGGCGTAAGCCACCGCGCCTGGCCTTAATTGACAATTTTTAAATATAGGGCTAAGGCCTTTTCTTTAAAATTGACCTCATTTCTCTTACATAAAGCCCACCAATAAGGTATCATCTAAAATTTCCAGTTATTGAAATTCTTTAAAGTGGATCAAGAATATAAAGACCTTTGTGAAACAACTTCAGAGCAGAATTCCTCCAGATTTTTACAATTCTTGCCACAATCACCATTGTCTCACTTACATATTATTCAATAGCAACTTCATTTTATATATATATTTACTTTTTGAGGCAGGGTCTCGCTCTGTCACCCAGGCTGGAGTGCAGTACCACAATCTCGGCTCACTGCAACCTCCACCTCCTGGGCTCAAGCAGTCCTCCCACCTCAGCCTCCCAAGTAGCTGGGACCACAGGCGCAAGCCACCACGCCCAGCTAATTTTCATATTTTTTTTATAGAGATGGAGTTTCGCCATGTTGCCCAGGCTGGTCTCAAACTCCTGAGCTCAAGTGATCCTCCTGCCTCAGCCTCTCAAAGTGCTAGGATTATAAGCATGAGCCAAGGCACCCAGGCTGCAACTTCATTTTAATCAAAACACTTTTGTCAAGTCTTTTCATAGCATCCAACTTAATTTTCATAAAAGGAAGAACTCATTTTTTGCACCTATTATTTAATTGGTTGGCCTAGTATTTTATTTAGCTGTATAATTATAAAATAGTACAACTGGCATAAGCAGGTTTGGGAACGAACTCAACTGACTCTAGGAAGAAAGCACATAACATAATTGGTCAGAGCAGAAGTGCTGAGCATAGAAGAGACTGGACTATCAGAAGATTTTAGGGATGTGGATATTCATCAGTATATTTTACAGAGAAAACAGCACATCTGCTAAACTGGCTAGTCTTCTTTCAGAATGTCTTCTTCTTCATTATCAATTCTAGAGTATGGGTTGCAAATTGGTGGTTTCATTTGGACAATGTGGTGTATTAAAACTTTTTGAGTCTGTTGCCAACACTCGAAAATTGGCAGATATACTAACACTGTTAGATCCCTTCCACCCTCTTTGACGTATGCTTTCACTAGAAGCATTGGAAGAGGCAGTAAATATTGTCTCCTATAAATTAAACACTATTGTAATAATTCCCCAAGTGGGGGTCAGTTAAAAGGACACATTGCATAAACATTCTTTTTTTCCCCCTTCAAATCATGTCTTGTGTAACTGATTGGATTAAGCTCTCTTAGATATAGTCACAATCCTCTCTTGCCTTCCTGAGACTACACTCACCTCTTTAGCCACCCAATGAACAATCATAAGTCAGGAAGAGTTCCTTTTAGATTATAACAAGCTCATTCTATAGATCCAAGTTTGGGACTCACTTTGCTGCAGCCATCATGTACTGCTCCCAGGAACTGCTCTAAGGATCAAATGAAACTGTATGTGAAAACACTGTGTAAACTCGAAAAGCCCTGATCTTACAATGAAGTCAATTTTGTATGTATTTATCACACCATCCCAATAGATTTTGGGTTCCTTGAGGATATGAATAAAATCACAACTATATATGTATGCTGGTATAAAGCCAGCCTCAGTATTGACCACATAGTGAGGATCCAGGTTACATGGGGATTGATCCTGTATGGATATACACAAATATTCTTTGTTGTCCTTATCTGCCAGGTACAAGCATGCACAGGGCAGAGGATCCCATCAATTCTGACTGTCCCATAGGTCTGGGAGCATTGTGAGTGCCCAAGAAAATAATGAATTTTACAAGATTCTCCACTCCAGAAAGAAACATTCTGGTGGCGGCTTCTGGGAATTATCAGTGATGACAATGGAGATTGACAAGGAAAATGAGCATGTGGTTTTGTCTGGGAGGAGTAACACTTTCACATAAAACCAAAGTGCTTTTTTAATATATATATACATTTTTATTTGCTCTCTTCCTATTCTATAAAAAGTCTTTTAAAAATAATTGAATATATTTTTTACAGGCAAAGTTTCTGTTTTTTTCAGGAAGGAAAGAAACTTGCCATTACTTACTTATTTTCCCTGGTCACTGGCAATACCTTTATGATATTTTTTTTCTTTTCTCCTTCTGTCACTTTTCTTTTGTTAAGGGGCAGGGGATAAAAGAATAAAATAAGGATGTGTCTGTTATAAGATAAAAAGAAGCTTAGTTCTTGAAGTCCCAAAGGAGGCCAGAGCAAGTCTTAGTCTAGGCTCAAATATCCTAAAGCAATGATTCTCAAACTTTAACCTGCATCAGAATCTCCTGGAGGGCTTGTTAAAACACAGGCTGCTGGACTCTGTCTCCATAATTTCTAATTCAGTAGGTCTGGGATGAGGCCCCATGAATTTGCATTTCCACCAAGTTCCCAGCTCATGCCATAGGTCCAAGGATCATACTTCCAGAATCACTGCCTTAAGCTCTAGAATGCTATTTCAGCTACCAAATATGAACACTTACAATATACCACACTCTATGCTGAGTGTACTGAGATGGGTGAGACTCAGTTCATGCCCTTGAGGAGCTCATAGTCTAGGTGGGGAAACAAACATACACACACATGAATATATTTATTTGTTGAGAACAGATAAGTAAACACAGCATCGGTGTTCTTTCTCTGGACCTCAGTTTCCCTCCTCATATCCCAGGCCTCTACTAGTGCCATTCATTCTACTCACTGTTTCAGCAGGAGAGCTGTTCCCAGATTATAGTTGATAAGGAACCTTGAGGGATATGTGGATGGAGAAGCCTGCAGCCATTTTTATTAAAATACCAATGCAGCTAGCTGCCTTTGCGGCCAGGAAAGCACTAAGGAAAGATCCAAGAGGGCATAGATACAAGTCAGCAGCACCTTGATGGGGAAGACTGAGTGGGTTGGCCAGGGATTACTTCCTTACTCCATCTCAAAACCCCCAATCTTTATCTCTTCATGTGTAAATGTCACTCTTTATTTAAGGTTTGGCTTAGATGCCCACCATTTCTGTGAAGCTTTTCACAACCTTCTACCCTCCACTGTCCTCAGTGACACCCCAACTCTGAACAGTTATAGCATTTGATTCTTGCCTTGTCTGTGGCACTGCTTCTTCCAGCTTTACCTCTGGCTATGAGTTCCACTTTTTCGCAGAATTCTTCACTGCACATAGCACTGCATCTGACACAGCACTCAATACACGTCAAAGAGTTAAAGAGTAAGTAAACAGAGAGTTGATACTACAGAAACTATTTCAACTCCCAAATTCACAATGTGATAGTGGGAAAAAACAAGCAAAAGGGAAGTTGGGATAGAAAGAGATCAGAAATGGCCAGTTCCAGAATTTGTCTGGAGGCTAGATAGAAGTAATTCCAGGTTTGCCAGGGGTTATGATTAGCCAGTGGAAGGTTATAGGAATTCTAGGATCCATTTATCCATCCATTCATTATTTAGTTTTTCCTTTGTTCGCTAGTATGCCAAGTGTGGCTCCCTTGGGCAGTATCTGTTCTCATCCCAAACCTTCCTGAAAACAGAACTCAGCATTTGATGGATCCCTCAAAACAGATCCACAATGTGTTAACAAAATAGCAATTTACTGAAGATTTTCGTGAAGGGAAGGGAAAGGGGATTGACTTCATACACCACAAAGCAAAGACTTCTCAGATTCCTCATTAGTTATCTTGGTTCCCTTCAGAATCCTCTTCGGTCAGCCCTCTCAGCTCTTATCATGTCTTCCCTAATAGCCTCTGAAATCCTGTCTGCTGTCCCTGGTACTTCAGCTCTTTTCAAATTGCGGCAATCCACTCTGCAAAATGGAAGGCTAAGAGTTGGCCCAACTGTTACAGGTAGGCATGAGCCAGGCAGGAGCGGGCTCTCTCCCCTGATCTACTAGAAATGTCAGGTGATGGTTCGGCCATTATCACATTGCCTCTCTAAAAGTGATAAATTGGCAGCCAGTGCCAGGGAGGGGCCATTTCTTGATGGTTCACACCTGTTAACATGAAAGGCTTAATTAAAGGCAGACCCCCGGGAGAAGCATCTTCCTGCGCATGCACATTAACAGGCGAAAATGGCAAAGTATGATTGTCTGGGAACACTCCACAGGAAAAAGGAAGAAAGCCTCAGACGGGCACATGTTCAGCCTTCTAAACTCACTGCACATGCTCACTTCCCAAGGGTAAGGAGGGCTCTGCACATGTGAGCAGCCCACCATGAGGGAAGAATCATGGGAAAGAGGCAAGCCTATAAAAGTCCTAGGACCGTGGTTAAAGGGGGCAGTTGACCTTCTCTCTCTCTTTAACCTTTACATGCCCTCTTAGATCTCTTCCAAGTGAACTTTCCTTTCTTTCTTGTTCTAAGGCCTTTTAAATAAACTTCCACTTTTGCTCTGGAACTTGTCTCAGTCTCTTTTTCCATCTTATGCCCCTCAGTCGAATTCTTTCTTCTGAGTAGGCAAGAATTGAAGTTGCTGCAGACCCATACGGATTCGCCGCCAGGGTAAATCAGATCTCTCCCACAGGGGTAATATAACCACGATCATCTTTGTTTCTCTGAGTATGTCCCTTTGGGAGCCCCACATTCAGTGTATACAAATGTAGAAACTCTTGTTAGCCAGCTTCCAAGCTGCTGTCAATGATCATGCCCTGAGGTGGTCCCTTTCCATAAAGAATTAGAGCTGGCCCCATGTGACAAATAGAATCAGGTAGAAGTAGACTGTGTAACTCTAGAGTTAGATCCAAATGTCCTTGAAACATCCACTGTGTTCTGTGGGAGCACCTGCTTTTGCAGCTCTGAATTGTGACATGAGACGTCCAACTCACCTGAGGCTATCGCCCTGGAAAGACTACACAAGAAACCTCACAGAGTGGCCCTGAGACTACACGAAGAGAGAGTGAGAGGCCCAACTAGCCCTTGGCTGTGCCAGCCTCAGCCATTTCCATCATCCCAGCTGAGGCCCCAGATGTGGCATGGAGCAGGGACAAATCATCCCTTCAGGTCCAAATTGCAGATTCCTGAGAAATGTCTATGGCATTAAGCCACTAAATTTTGGGATGGTCTGTTACACAACAACAAATTACAAGAATATCCTCCTACTTAACCAGCTGCCGGGGCACTGGGCAAGTCAGGGAGACCCCATCTCTTGAGGCTGCTGACACAGGGTGACCTTGGAAGATCCCACTGCTATCTCATGAGTCCTCGAGGGAGCTCCAGGGCCTTAATGCCCTCTTCCCCTGCTCCTTCAAGCTCTCTCTTTCAGGCCAACCTTCCTCAAACTTCCATTCTACTCCTGTGGCAAATCAAGCTCCTTTCTTAGAATCCCCAATGGATTTCATAGGTCCTAGGATAAAATCCAGGCTCCTCACTGTGGCCTAAAAGGTGATGCATGATTTAGCCCCTACCTAGGTCTCTCACCTCATCTCAGATATTTTACTTCATGTTTCCTCAGGTCATCACACCTCAGCCGTACTGGCTTTCTTCAGTTCCTCTGACAAACCAAACTCCCAATCAGTTTGTCCAGTTTCCTCACTTGAATATTCTCTCTACACTGCCCCCAGGACTGGCTCTTTTATCTCATCTTGTAGGTGTCTCTCCGCTTAAATGACACTCCTGTGGAAAGGTTTTTCTTTTCAGCCCCCATCTAAACGAGCCTATCTCAGTCCTTGTCAGTGGTATAACACTTATGATAACTCAAAAATATTTTAAAAATCTATCAGCTTACTTGCTTTTAGTCAATCAGCTCTGCTAGACTTTAGGCCCTGAGAGGTCAAGGACTGTGTCCATCTTGTTGGTAGCACCAGGAATATACCTCACTGTGGTAGATGCTTAATAAACATTTATTGAATGCTAATGTCAAGAACTCTTCTTGGATGTGCTTTCATGGAAGCTTTTATATATCCAGCAAACCTTCCTAGCAAGGTCTCCCTTGCTTGTAAAATCCTTTTATTGTCAATAAATCATAAATAAGTGGTATTTCTAGATATTTCTGAGTTTGAGAGAAAATAATTTTCTAGTTCTCATAAAATCATTTTTAAACTTTTTATTATGGATAATTTAAACATGTACCAAAGTAGAGAAAATGTATAATGAACCCACATGAACCCATTACCAGCTTTAACAACTATCAATTCACAGCCAATCTTGTTTCATTTATTTTATCACCTGCTACATGATATTTTTAAACATTTTATTGTTTTTAACTGACACACAATAATTATACATATTTATGAGGTACAGTGTGATATTTCAATACATGGGTGGAATCTGTAATGGGCAAATCAGGGTGATTAGCAAATCTATCACCTCAAACATTTATTTGTGTTGGGAATATTCAAAATCCTCTCTTCTAGCTATTTGAAAATACACAAAAAATTGTTAACTATAATCACCCTACAATGCTATAGAACACTAGAACTTACTTCTATCTAGCTGTATCTTTTAGACAACATCTCCCTATCTCTTCTCTTCTCTACTCTTCCCCACCTCTAGTAACCACTATTCTACTCTCTATTCTATGAGATCAACTTTTTAAATTTCCACATCCCCCTATATTTTTAAAGCCAGTTCCAGACATCATATTATCTGTAAAACTTTCAGTGTGTACCTGAATAAACTTGATTATGCTTAAAAGAAATAAAAAATTCCTTCTTAATATTATAACATATCCAGTGCTCAAATTTACAATTGTCTCACAAATGTCATAGTGTAGTTATCTCTTTCCATCTTTCTCTCTTTTTCTTCCTTCCAGTTTGTTTGCATCAGTACCCAAATAAGGCCCACACATTGCTACTGGTGGTTGTAACTTTTAAGTGTCTTTAATCTGTAAGGTCCCCCTTAATCTAGCTCTCTCTCTCGCTCTCTCTCCCACACACACACACACACACACACACACACACACACGCACTTTCTTGTTGCAACTTACTTGGTTTTTTGTTTTTGTTTGTTTGTTTGTTTTTTTGAGACGGAGTCTTGCTCTGTCGCCCAGGCTAGAGTGCAGTGGCACCATCTCCGCTTACTGCAAGCTCCGCCTCCCGGGTTCACGCCATTCTCCTGCCTCAGCCTCCAGCGTAGCTGTAGCTGGGACTACAGGAGCCCGCCACCAAGCCCGGCTAATTTTTTTGTATTTTTAGTAGAGATGGGGTTTCACTGTGGTAGCCAGGATTGTCTCGATCTCCTGACCTCGTGATCCGCCCGCCTCGGCCTCCCAAAGTGCTGGGATTACAGGCGTGAGCCACCGCGCTAGGTGCAACTTACTTGTTAAAGAAGCTAGATAGTCCTGTAAAGTTTCCTACTGTATTAGTTTGCTTGGGCAGCCATAACAAAACACAGGAGTCTCTCCTTATTCACAAGGGATTGGTTCCAGGACCTCTCTTGAATACAAAAATCTGCAGATGCTCAAGTCCCTTATATAAAATAATGTAGTATTTTCCTATAAGCTACACACATCCACCTGTACACTTTAAATCATCTCTAGATTACTTGGAGTAATCTAGTCTAGTCATCTCTATAGTACATAATACAATTTAAATATTATAAATAGTTGTTATACTGTATTTTTTACCATATGACAAGAAAAAAAATCTGTGCAAGCCCAGTACAGATGCAATTTTTTTTTCTTTTTAGAGTCAGGGTCTCGCTCTGTCACCCAGGCTGGAGTGCTGTGGCACAATCATAGCTCACTGTAGCCTTCATCCCCTGGGCTCAAGCAATCCTCTGTCCTCAGCCTCCTAACTGGGATTACAGGTGTGTGCCACCACCCCCAGCTAATTAAAAAAAAATTTTTTTTTTTTTTTTTTGAGATGGAGTTTTGCTCTGTCACCCAGGCTGGAGTACAGTGGCACGATCTTGGCTCAATGCAACCTCCGCCTCTCAGGTTCAAGTGATTCTCCTGCCTCAGCCTCCCCAGTAGCTGGGATTATAGGCATGCACTACTGCACCCAGCTAATTTTTGTGTTTTTAGTAGAGACGGGGTTTTATCATGTTGGCCAGACTGGTCTCGAACTCCTGACCTCAGGTGATCCACCTGCCACAGCCTCCCAAAGTGCTGGGATTACAGGTGTGAGCCGCCACGCCCAGCCTAAAAAATTCTTTTTTACAGAGACTGGGGTCTCACTGTCACCCAGGCTGGTCTCGAACTCCTGGCCTGAAGCAACCCTCCCACCTTGGCCTCCCAACGTGCTGGGATTACAGGCATCAGCCACCATGCTTGACCCTCAGATGCAATTTTCTTTTTCAAATATTTTTCAATCTTTTGTTGGTTGAATCCACAGAAACAGAACCCATGGATATGGAGGGCCCACCATACCACCTAATGGGTAGTCTAAACTGCAGAAATGTATTTTCCCACAGCTCTGGAGGCTGAAAGTCCAAGATCAAGGTGCCAGCAGGGTTGCTTTCTCGTGAGGCCTCTCTTCCTGACTTATAGACAGCCCCTCCTTACTGTGCTCTCACATGGCCTTCTCTTTGTGGGTGCATGGTAGAAGGGGGATTGGTGAGGCAAGGGGGAGGTGGCTGGTGCAAGCTCTGATATCTCTCCCTCTTCTTACAAAGACAATAGTCCTATTGGATTTAGGTCTCCATCCTTATGATGCCATTTAACCTTAATTACCTTCTTAAAAGATGATATGGTTTGGCTCTGTGTCTCCATCCAAATCTCATCTCGAATTGTAATCCCCACATGTTGGGGCAGGGGCCCAGTGGGAAGTAATTGAATCATGGGGACGGACCTCACCCTTGCTGTTCTCCTGATAGTGAGTGAGTTCTCATGAAATCTGGTTGTTTGAAGGTGTGTGGCACATCCCCCTTCACGCTCTCACTCTCACTCTCTCTCTCCTGCTCCACTATGGTAAGACGTGCCTGCTTCCCCTTTGCCTTCCACCATGATCGTAAGTTTCCTGGGGCTTCCCAGTCATGCTTCCTGTTAAGTCTACAGAACTGTGAGTCAATCAAACCTCTTTCTTCATAAATTACCCAGTCTTGGTAGTTCTTTATAAAATCGCAGTGTGAAAACAGACCAATACAAAACCCCTATCACCAAACACAGTCACATTTCAGGTTAGGGCTTTAATATATGAATTTTGAGGGATGTAATTCAGTTCATAAAATCTACAGTCTGGATTTGTTGATTGCATCCCCATGGTGTTGTTTAACATGTTCTTATCTCCTCTATATTTTGTTTATCTTGGTAGTTGGAGCTAGTGACTTGATAAAATTAAGACTTAATGTTTTGATAAAATGATTTCATAGTAATACTGCATACCTCCATCTGTAATATTGATTTATACACATAAACCCCAGGCCAGGTGAGGTGGCTCATGCCTGTAATCCCAGCACTTTGGGAAGCTGTGGCAGGCAGATCACTTGAACCAGGAGTTCCAGACCAGCCTGGGCAACATAGCAAAACCCCATCTCTACTAAAAATAAAAAAATTAGCTGCACTTGGTGGCACATGCCTGTAATCTAAGCTACTCAGGAGGATGAGGCACGAGAATCACTTGAATTCAGGAGGCGGAGGTTGCAGTGAGCCAAGGTCATGCCACTGCTCTCCAGCCTGGGGGACAGAGCAAGATTCTGTATCAAAACTAAATAAAAAAGTAAAAGGGGGTGGAGCCAAGACAGCCAAATAGGAACAGCTCCAGTCTACAGCTCCCAGCGTGAGCAACTCAGAAGACGGGTGATTTCTGCATTTCCAACTGAGGTACTGGGTTCATCTCACTGGGGAGTGCCAGATAGGGGGTGCAGCACAGTGGGTGCAGCACACTGTGCGTAAGCCAAAGCAGGGTGAGGCATTGCCTCACCCAGGGAGCACAGGGGGTCAGGGAATTCCCTTTCCTAGTCAAAGGGGTGGCAGACAGCACCTGGAAAATCAGGTCACTCCTACCCTAATACTGCGCTTTTCCAACAGGCTTATCAAACGGCACAACAGGTGATTATATCCCTCACCTGGCTAGGAGGGTCCTACGCCCATGGAGCTTCACTCATTGCTAAGACAGAGGTCTGAGATCAAACTGCAAGGGAGCAGCAAGGCTGGGGGAGGGGCACCCACCATTTCTCAGGCCTGAGTAGGTAAACAAAGCGGCCAGGAAGCTCAAACTGGGTGGAGCCCACCACAGCTCAAGGAGACCTGCCTGCCTCTGTAGGCTCCACTGCTGGGGGCAGGGCACAGACAAAAGACAGCAATAACCTCTGCAGACTTAAATGTCCCTCTCTGACAGCTCTGAAGAGAGTAGTGGTTCTCCCAGCACGCAGCTTGAGATCTGAGAACGGGCAGACTGCCTCCTCAAGTGGGTCCCTGACCCCCGAGTAGTCTAACTGGGAGGCACCCCCCAGTATGGGCGGACGGACACCTCACACGGCCGGGTACTCCTCTGAGACAAAACTTCCAGAGGAACGATCAGGCAGTGGCACTTGTGGTTCACCAATATCCGCTGTTCTGCAGCCACCGCTGCTGATACCCAGGCAAACAGGGTCTGGAGTGGACCACCAGTAAACTTCAACAGACCTGCAGCTGAGGGTCCTGACTGTTAGAAGGAAAACTAACAAACAGAAAGGACATCCACACCAAAAACCCATCTGTACGTCACCATCATCAAAGACCAAAGGTAGATAAAACCACAAAGATGGGGAAAAAACAGAGCAGAAAAACTGGAAACTCTAAAAATCAGAGGGCCTCGACTCCTCCAAAGGAACGCAGATCCTCACCAGCAATGGAACAAAGCTGGACAGAGAATGACTTTGACGAATTGAGAGAGGAAGGCTTCAGAAGATCAAACTACTCCAAGCTAAAGGAGGAAGTTTGAACCAAAGGCAAAGAAGTTAAAAAGTTTGAAAAAAAATTAGACGAATGGATAACTAGAATACCCAATGCAGAGAAGTCCTTAAAGGACCTGATGGAGCTGAAAACCACGGCACAAGAACTACGTGATGAATACACAAGCCTCAGTAACCGATGCGATCAACTGGAAGAAAGGGTATCAGTGATGGAAGATGAAATGAATGAAATGAAGCGTGAAGAGAAGTTTAGAGAAAAAAGAATAAAAAGAAATGAACAAAGCCTCCAAGAAATATGGGACTATGTGAAAAGACCATATCTACATCTAACTGGTGTACCTGAAAGTGACGGGGAGAATGGAACCAAGTTGGAAAACACTCTGCAGGATATTATCCAGGTGAACTTCCCCAATCTAGCAAGGCAGGCCAACATTCAAATTCAGGAAATACAGAGAATGCCACAAAGATACTCCTTGAGAAGAGAAACTCCAAGACACATAATTGTCAGATTCACCAAAGTTGAAATGAAGGAAAAAATGTTAAGGACAGCCAGAGAGAAAGGTGAGGTTAACCACAAAAGGAAGCCCATCAGACTAACAGCTGATCTCTTGGCAGAAACTCTACAAGCCAGAAGAGAGTGGGGGCCAATATTCAACATTCTTAAAGAAAGAATTTTCAACCCAGAATTTCATATCCAGCCAAACTAAGCTTCATAAGTGAGGCAGAAATAAAATCCTTTACAGACAAGCAAATGCTGAGAGATTTTTGTCACCACCAGGCCTGCCCTAAAAGAGCTCCTGAAGGAAGCACTAAACATGGAAAGGAACAACCAGTACCAGCCACTGCAAAAACATGCCAAATTGTAAAGACCATCAAGGCTAGGAAGAAACTGCATCAACTAACAAGCAAAATAACCAGCTAACATCATAATGACAGGATCAAATTCAAACATAACAATACTAACCTTAAATGTAAATGGGCTAAATGCTCCAATTAAAAGGCACAGGCTGGCAAATTGGATAAAGACTCAAGACCCATCATTGTGCTGTATTCAAGAAACCCATCTCACGTGCAGAGACACACATAGGCTCAAAATAAAGGGATGTAGGAAGATCTACCAGGCAAACTGAAAACAAAAAAAGGCAAGGGTTGCAATCCTAGTCTCTGATAAAACAGACTTTAAACCAACAAAGATCAAAAGAGACAAAGAAGGCCATTACATAATGGTAAAGGGATCAATTCAACAAGAAGAACTAACTATCCTAAATATATATGCACCCAATACAGGAGCACCCAGATTCATAAAGCAAGTCCTCAGTGACCTACAAAGTGACTTAGACCTCCACACAATAATAATGGGAGACTTTAACACCCCACTGTCAACATTAGACAGATCCACGAGACAGGAAGTTAACAAGGATATCCAGGAATTGAACTCAGCTCTACACCAAGCGGACCTAATTGACATCTACAGAACTCTCCACCCCAAATCAACACACTATACATTCTTTTCAGCACCACACCACACCTATTCCAAAATTGACCACATAGTTGGAAGTAAAGCACTCCTCAGCAAATGTAAAAGAACAGAAATTATAACAAACTGTCTCTCAGACCACAGTGCAATCAAACTGGAATTCAAGATTAAGAAACTCACTCAAAACCGCTCAACTACATGGAAACTCAACAACCTGCTCCTGAGTGACTACTGGGTACATAACGAAATGAAGGCAGAAATAAAGATGTTCTTTGAAACCAACGAGAACAAAGACACAACATACCAGAATCTCTGGGACACATTCAAAGCAGTGTGTAGAGGGAAATTTATAGCACTAAATGCCCACAAGAGAAAGCAGGAAAGACCTAAAATTGACACCCTAACATCACAATTAAAAGAACTAGAGAAGCAAGAGGAAACACATTCAAAAGCTAGCAGAAGGCAAGAAATAACTAAAATCAGAGCAGAACTGAAGGAAATAGAGACACAAAAAACCCTTCAAAAAATCAATGAATCCAGGAGCTGGTTTTCTGAAAAGATCAACAAAATTGATAGACCTCTAGCAAGACTAATAATGAAGAAAAGAGAGAAGAATCAAATAGACGCAATAAAAATGACAAAGGGGATATCGCCACCAATCCCACAGAAATACAAACTACCTTCAGAGAATACTATAAACACCTCTACGCAAATAAACTAGAAAACCTAGAAGAAATGGATAAATTCCTCAACACGTACACTCTCTCAAGACTAAATCCAGGAAGAAGTTGAAGCTCTGAATAGACCAATAACAGGCTCTGAAATTGAGACAATAATTAATAGCTTACCAACCGAAAAAAGTCCAGGACCAGATGGATTCACAGCCAAATTCTACCAGAGGTACAAGGAGGAGCTGGTACCATTCCTTCTGAAATTATTCCAATCAATAGAAAAAGAGGGAATCCTCCCTAACTCATTTTATGAGGCCAGCATCATCCTGATACCAAAGCCTGGCAGAGACACAACAAAAAAGAGAATTTTAGACCAATATCCTTGATGAACATTGGTGCAAAAATCCTCAATAAAATACTGGCAAACCAAATCCAGCAACACATCAAAAAGCTTATCCACCATGATCAAGTGGGCTTCATCCCTGGGATGCAAGGCTGGTTCAACATACGAAAATCAACAAACATAATCCAGCATATAAACAGAACCAAAGACAAAAACCACATGATTATCTCAATAGATGCAGAAAAGGCCTTTGACAAAATTCAACAACCCTTCATGCTAAAAACTCTCCATAAATTAGGTATTGATGGGACGTATCTCAAAATAATAAGAGCTATCTATGACAAACCCACAGCCAATATCATACTGAATGGACAAAAACTGGAAGCATTCCCTTTGAAAACTGGCACAAGACAGGGATGCCCTCTCTCACCACTCCTATTCAACATAGTGTTGGAAGTTCCGGCCAGGGCAATCAGGCAGGAGAAGGAAATAAAGGGCATTCAATTAGGAAAAGAGGAAGTTAAATTGTCCCTGTTTGCAGATGACATGATTGTATATCTAGAAAATCCCATCGTCTCAGCCCAAAATCTCCTTAAGCTGATAAGCAACTTCAGCAAAGTCTCAGGATACAAAATTGATGTGCAAAAATCACAAGCATTCTTATACACCAATAACAGACAGAGAGCCAAATCATGAGTGAACTCCCATTCACAATTGCTTCAAAGAGAATGAAATACCTAGGAATCCAACTTATAAGGGATGTGAAGGACCTCTTCAAGGAGAACTACAACCACTGCTCAGTGTAATAGAAGAGGATACAAACAAATGGAAGAACATTCCATGTTCATGGGTAGGAATAATCAATATCGTGAAAATGGCCATACTGCCCAAGGTAATTTATAGATTCAATGCCATCCCCATCAAGCTACCAATGACTTTCTTCACAGAATTGGAAAAAACTACTTTAAAGTTCATATGGAACCAAAAAAGAGCCCACGTTGCCAAGTCAATCCTAAGCCAAAAGAACAAAGCTGGAGGCATCACACTACCTGACTTCAAACTATACTACAAGGCTACAGTAACCAAAACAGCATGGTTCTGGTACCAAAACAGAGATATAGACCAATGGAACAGAACAGAGCCCTCAGAAATAATGCCGCATATCTACAACGATGTGATCTTTGACAAACCTGACAAAAACAAGCAATGGGGAAAGGATTCCCTATTTAATAAATGGTGCTGGGAAAACTGGCTAGCCATATGTAGAAACCTGAAACTGGATCCCTTCTTTACACCTTATACAAAAATTAATTCAAGATGGATTAAAGACTTACATGTTAGACCTAAAACCATAAAATCCCTAGAAGAAAACCTAGGCATTACCATTCAGGACATAGGCATGGGCAAGGACTTCATGTCTAAAACACCGAAAGCAATGGCAACAAAAGCCAAAATTGACAAATGGGATCTAATTAATCTAAAGAGCTTCTGCACAGCAAAAGAAACCACCATCAGAGTGAACAGGCAATCTACAGAATGGGAGAAAATTTTTGCAACCTACTCATCTGACAAAGGGCTGATATCCAGAATCTACAATGAACTCAAACAAATTTACAAGAAAAAAACAAACAACCCCATCAAAAAGTGGGCGAAGGATATGAACAGACACTTCTCAAAAGAAGACATTTATGCAGCCAAAACACACATGAAAAAATGCTCATCATCACTGGCCATCAGAGAAATGCAAATCAAAACCACAATGAGATACCATCTCACACCAGTTAGAATGGCGATCATTAAAAAGTCAGGAAACAATAGGTGCTGGAGAGGATGTGGAGAAATAGGAACACTTTTACACTGTTGGTGGGACTGTAAACTAGTTCAACCATTGTGGAAGTCGGTGTGGGGATTCCTCAGGGATCTAGAACTAGAAATACCGTTTGACCCAGCAATCCCATTACTGGGTATATACCCAGAGGATTATACATCATGCTGCTATAAAGACACATGCACACGTATGTTTATTGCAGCACTATTCACAGTAGCAAAGACTTGGAACCAACCCAAATGTCCAACAATGGTAGACTGGATTAAGAAAATGTGGCATATATACACCATGGAATACTATGCAGCCATAAAAAAGGATGAGTTCATGTCCTTTGTAGGACATGGATGAAGCTGGAAACCATCATTCTCAGCAAACTATCGCAATGACAAAAAACGAAACACTGCATGTTCTCACTCATAGTTGGGAATTGAACAATAAGAACACATGGACACAGGAAGGGGAACATCACACACCGGGGACTATTGGGGGGTGGGGGGAGGGATAGCATTAGGAGATATACCTAATGCTAAATGACGAGTTAATGGGTGCAGCACACCAATATGGCACATGTATACATATGTAACAAACCTGCAAGTTGTGCACATGTACCCTAAAACTTAAAGTATAATAATAAGAAAAAAAGAAAAAAAAAGTAAATAAACCCCATTTTTATTTACAGACTTACAGTTTAATTATCCAAAACTAGAACCCAATTCCTCAAAGCAACCGAAATACTAAATGTATATTTTTATATAACCCTGTCAAAATTTTCAAAGGTAAAATCATAGGTAACAATAATGATAGCTGATATTTATTGAGCACCATGTGCCAGACACTTTGGGTTTGTTTTTCAGAATAATCTTGTCATTCAGGAATATTATTTCCTAATTTTTCCAATGGAGAAAATAATATTTTAAGAAATTTTCTTAAACCAGTTTTTTAAAACATCTTCTCAAATATTTAGTCAAACACCAAGTCAATTGAATTCTCTTTTGGAAAAGCTTTAGATGTGAATTTGGTGGGACATTAAATCATTAGAGATTCTCCCTGAGAGAGCTAGATCAGGTGGTCAATAAATCTTCACCAATTTAAAGATATCAAGTTTGACCACAGCTGACTGATTCTTGGTGAAACTGAAATGCAAGGTGCAGATAGATATACCAGATAGATTTACCAATCTGATTCATTATATTTCCTGTTATTTGGGTTTCCACCATATGCCTATATTTTTTTCCAGGGGGCCATGATGCCACTGGCACCACAGGCATGCTGGTACAACATCTGCTTCACCACTGCCTCTCTCAGTCTGTAACTTCTGGTCCTCCATCACTCAGGCATGGCTCACACTCAGCTTCCTACTGGAGCAATGCAAGTCTTGAAAACTGGCTTACACATCCAGAAAGTTGACGTGCAAGCAAACCAGGACCCTCCTGTTGGCCAGTCTTCCATTTTCCTTACAGCAAGGAAGACTCATTAGAAAAAGAACTTTAGGTCAGAAAACCCAGAGCCAAGGAAAGAAATTAGGCAAGTTACACTGGATCAGGAATTGTGGCCCCGCAAAGGGAATTACAGTGGGCTGGAGAGAAGGGTGTGCCTAGTACCGCTGGAATGGAAGGAAAGAACCAAGATCCTGTGCTGTACTCTCTGCGTGCCCCCTGTCCTCTTCCGTGCCCTCGCTACATGTCTCTGCCCTTTTCTGTGTTCAGGGGGCTGACCTCAGTAGACTGCATCACCCAGGCTTGCTAATCAGTTTGGCTTCTGATTGGACACAGGAATGAGAGGTCCTGGCAGGCAAATGGAAGGTAGGAAGAGAGAGAATTCGGGGTATTTCTTCCCTCTCTCTCCCTCTTTGCACCACATCTCTGGCCTTGTCTGTGTCCTTCCTGGGGTTACTTGAGCCCAGGAAGTCAAGCTACAGTTCCTCCATGGCTCTAGCTCACAAAAGCTCTAGTGACACTCTCCCTTCCCTTTGCACTTTCCAAGCTGCTGATCTTTGGATGCCTCAAATCCCGCTTGTTCCTTTAACTTGGATTATATTTCTATATAAGCAGTTCCTTCATTAAGGAGTTTTCATTTGTACCATCTGGGGTGAACTTGGTTTCATGCTGCGATTGTAGGCACCCAAATGATGCACGTGTACTTGAAGAGGCTGGGCAAGGGTGTGTCAGAAGACCTAGTACAAGGAAAACTGGGGTGGGATTATTTGGGAGCTGGCTCTGCACCAAAATATAAGTGCCAGATATTTTCCAATTGTGGTGCTGGCTGAGCCCAACAGATGATTTTAGGAGGTCTTATGTATCATCCACCTATTTTAGTAGCCTCTTCCTCCCGTATAAGAATAACAAAACCCTCCTTTTATATGAGAATGAAAAGTCCAAGCCTCTTAATGTCCTTGCTGTGGCCAGTGAGGGCACCATTATTCTGGAACAGGACTGGAAAAATTCTCACAAGTGTTTTTGCTTTTGCTATGGCCCCAAACATTGCTGCCTGCCCTTTCTAGTGTAGTAGTTAGAAGTATCAGTGCTAGAACTAGAGTGCCTTGGTTCAGACCATGGCTCCATGCCTGGCTAGCCCTGTGACTTTGAATAAGTAGGTAATTCCTCTAGGCCTCAGTGTTCTCATCTATAAAATGGGGATAATAATGAAATTGGGGCAAGAAGTAAATGTCCTGTTACATATAAAGCTCTTAGCACAGTGTATGATGCCAGCAAATACTTTAAAGATGTTATCTCCACTACTTACATAGCCACATGACCCTGGGCAATTTACTTAACTTTCTATGCCTCCATTTCCTTCTCTGTAAACTGGAATAATAACACTGACGTCCTGGGTTGCATGAAAATCAAAAGGAAGAAAATGTCAATGAAAGTATTCTAGAAACAATAAAGCATCTTATCAATGCAATGTCTTTTTAAAAAATATACAATCATAATTGTCTTAATTTAAAAACTAGCCAGGGCCCCAAAGCAATGTTTCAATAAGCCTTAGCACCAATATCCATAACAAGATAGAGGAGAAAATTTAATAATAAGGTCATGAGAAGGTCTTAAAGAACAGACCATTTAAAAAAAAAAAAGGTCAAGAGAACTACTGAGAAAGGGTATTGGTTTCATTCTGAGGCTAAGTAGTTGCTGGAATGTTATTTCCACCACAATATATTATCCAAATTAACTGATCATTAAGCCAAGTATGAACGACGACTATAAAATACAATGGATCAGATGCACTGAAATAGGTATAGTCACCCCAGAAGAACTCTTTCCAGAGGTCCCCACTCCTACTTTCCAAGCATCCAGAGGGGGCCACTCCACCCTTCAGAGCAGCATACCTCCCTGCCCACAACTGCCCACACCTGCCTTCATTCATGAGTGCAGACAGTCACAGTCCAGGGCCTATTGCAATGACTTTGTTTGGAAGACTAGTCTCTCAAACTAGACTACTTTTGTCTTCTTGCCCTTCATTCTCTCCCTTTTCCTTCCTAATAAAAGCATTGATGTCATGGTCAGGGTTTTAACCTCTTACTACTCCAAGTACGATTTGTGGACCAGCAGTATCAGTATCACCTGGGAGCCTGTCAGAAATGTACAATCTTGGGCCCCACCCTAGACCTGTTGCATCAGAATCTGCATTTTAACATGATCCACGGCTGATTCATATGTTCATTAAAGTTTGAGAAGCACTGTTTTCTTCTTTCTGAAACTCATACTTATCTTGCAAGGTTATTGTGAGGATTAAATGTATTCAAAGTGCCTGGCAAATAGTAGGTGCCAAATACGTTATCATCTTCCTTCAGCCAGCACCTGGCACTGCCCATGCCTCTGCCTGAGCCCTTCGTCCTGGCCTAGGCTCTGAATGCTGACCTTAACTTGCTTTCTCAGACTTGGCCAGTGCCCCAGATTCTGACCTCAGCTTTTCCCTTAGAGTCCCTGGCAGGCTGGCTGTGCCCTGTTGCTATACTTTCCACTACTCTCCACTGACCTACGGCTTCCCCAAGCCCCACCTTTTTTGGCCTGTCCCTTCTTGTGGATACCTAAGACCCCACAGCAGCACTTATTTTAGTCATGTTGCCATTGCTCAAAATGGCCTTGGAACTGCTCCTTGGAATTTGTCTTCACAGCCTCACACAGTGCCCAGCCCAGCATAGGCACTCAACTAAATATTCCTTAGTGGAATGAATGAAGAACAAGGATTTGCTTCATAGTGGGCCATGCTGTTAGGGTTTAGTATCTCCCTTTGGGGATTCTCTTTGCTTTTCCTTATTTTCACTTTTCTTTGGCATCCAAAAAGTGTGATACAGAAGTCTGAGATTTAATGTTTACCTAGGAAAAAAGAGCCAAGGAGAATGCCTGACCTGTTTAGATTCTAGGCCTGAAGCCTCTATGCCAGGGAGCCTTGTGTTCCCACAGGGTCCAGCCCTGCTCACTATGATTCCACACTGAGGCTTGAGAACATATTGCCAGGAAGTAATAAAATGTTCTGGTCCTGGCCTGTTCCTCTATGCTTAGGTCACTGTAGGCCGTTGATGTCCTGCCAAAATCTCCTCACTAGCCAATACACACTGTGCTACGACTAAAAGCTTCTACCTGTGACCTTCTTTGGACAACTGCTCTTGAATGAGCTGTCTTACGTAGAAAAGCTTGGTATGCAGCCAATGACTGATGGATATAGGGGCACAAAAGCCTGGTCCCCCTGCCTCAAGGTGGGACAACTCCATAGTACAATTTGCATTTGCACTCCAGCGTCCCCATGGATCAAGTCAAGGCTAGAATTTACCTGGGAACACATCCCTGCTAGGCTCCTTCCCCTGTCTCGCCTGCTTCTCTCACTCCCTTAGAGCTTCTTTCCAGAGCATCCCTCAATACATTTGGTGTGCCTGAAATTTGTCTCAGGCTCTATTTCTAATCTGAGACAGTGCTCTTGGGATATATGAATGAGCGGCAGGACAAAATTCCTATTTTCAGGATCCCAAGCACCATGTCAACACCAGCTCAACATGACTTACACAGGGGTCTCCTCTCCACTTTCATCAGCCTACAGGGCACCAGAGCCAAGTCCAAAGGTGAGGGATGAGGATTAGAGCTACACTGTCTAAAATGGTACCCACCAGCCTAAGCAACATAATGAGACCCTGTCTCTTCAAAAAAAGGTTTAAAAATTAGACAGGCGCCAGGTGCGGTGGCTCACACCTATAATCCCAGCACATTGGGAGGCCAAGGCAGGTGGATCACTTGAGGTCAGGAGTTCATGACCAGCCTGGCCAACATGGCAAAACCCCATCTCTACTAAAAATACAAAAATTAGCTAGACATAGTAGTGTACACCTGAATCCCCAACTACTCGGGAGGCTGAGGCAGGAGAATGGTTTCAACCCAGGAGGTGGAGGTTGCAGTGAGCTGACATCATGCCACTGCACTCCAGCCTGGGCAACAGCGAGACACCATCCCCCCCCCAAAAAAATTAGCTACACATGGTGGCAAGCACCTGTGCACCTGTAGTCCTAGCTACTTAGGAGGCTAAGGCTGGAGGGTCACTTGAGCCCAGGAAGTCCAGGTTACAATGATCTATGATTGCACCACTGTACTCCAGCCTGAGCTACAGAGCCCTGTCTCTCTTAAATAAATAAATAAAATTGTACCCACTAGTGACAGGTGGCTGCTTAGCACCTGAAATGTGGCTAGTGCAAATGATTTCATTTAATTATAATTTTTTAAAACTGATAAGTTATTGGAAAACTTTTTTTTTTTTTTTTGAGACTCGCTTTTTTTTTAGTCTCGCTGTCGCCCAGGCTGGAGTGCAGTGACACGATCTTGGCTCACTGCAACCTCAGCCTCCTGGGTTCAAGTGATTCTCCTGCCTCAGCCCCCCGAGTAGCTGGGATTACAGGTGTGCGCCACCATGGCTGGCTAATTTTTGTAGTTTTTACTAGAGATGGGGTTTCACCATGTTGGTCAGGCTGGTCTCGAACTCCTGACCTCAGGTGATCTGCCTGCCTCAGCCTCCCAAAGTGCTGGGATTACAGGCATGAGCCACCGTGTCTGGCTTGGAAAACTTTTAAACATGTTTGGAACTATGTGGGTGTGTAATCTATTTTTCAATTGTAAATTTTATAAGACCTAATACAGATCAAATATTTCTGGTGAAAATTTAGTGTCTACATTGATATATGCTGTAAGTATATAAAACATACACTGAAATCCAAAGATATAGTATTTTGAAATAATGTAGGCTGGGCACTGTGGCTCATGCCTGTAATCCTAGCACTTTGGGAGGCCAAGGCGGGCAGATCACTTGAGCCCAGGAGTTTCAGAGTAGCCTGGGCAACACAGTGAAACCCTGTCTCCACACAAAAAAAAATCAATACAAAAATTAGCTGGGTATGGTGGCACGTGCCTTCAGTCCCAGCTACTTGGGAGACTAAGGTGAAAGGATCACCTCAGCCTGGGGGACTGCAGTGAGCCAAGATCATGCCACAGCACTCCTGGGCAACAGAGCAAGACCCTGTCTCAAAAAAATAAATAAATACTGGCCAGGCACTGTGGTTCACGCCTGTAATCGCAGCACTTTGGGAGGCCAAGGCAGGTGAATCACTTGAGGCCAGGAATTCAAGACCAACCTGGCCAACGTGGCAAAAACCCATCTCCACTAAAAATACAAAAATTAGCCAGGCATGGTGGCACGTGCCTGTAGTCCCAGCTACTTGGGAGGCTGAGGCAGGAGAATTCCTTTAACCTGGGAGGCAGAGGTTGCAGTGAGCCCAGATTGTGCCACTGTACTCCAGCCTGGGCGACAGAGCGAGACTCTGTCTCATAAATAAATACATAAATGATGTAAAAGATATCATTAACATTTTCAATGTTGGTTTCTTATGAAATTATTTTGTTAAATAAAATGTTATTAAAATTAACTTGGCTGGGCGCAGTGGCTCACACCTGTAATTTCAGCACTTTGGGAGGCCAAGGTGGGAGGATCATTCGAGCCCAGGAGTTCGAGGCCAGCCTGGGCAATACAGTGAGACTGTGTCTCTACAAAAAATTAACAAATTAGCTGAGTGTGGTGGCATGCACCTGTGCACCCAGCTACTTGAGAGCGTGAGGTGGGAGGATCGCTTGAGCCCAGGTCGAGGCTGCAGTGACCTGTGATTGTGCCACTGCACTCCAGCTTGAGCAACAGAGCAAGATCCTATCTCAGAAAAAGCTAAAATTAAAATAAAAAATTAATTTAATTTAATAACTTTAAAAAATTATTTTTAAAAATATGGCTACCAGAAAATTTTAAATTATACATGTGGCTCACATTATATTTCTTTCTTTCTTTTTTTTTTTTTTTTTTGAGACAAAGTCTCCCTCTGTCACCCAGGCTGGAGTGCAATGGCATGCTCTTTGCTAACTGCAACCTCCGCCTCCCAGGCTCAAGTGATTCTCCTGCTGCAGTCTTCTGAGTAGCTGGGACTACAAGCACGCACCACCACGCCTGGTTACGTTTTTGTATTTTTAGTGGAGATGGGGTTTTACCATGTTGGCCAGGCTGGTCTCAATCTCCTGACCTTAGGTGATCCACCTGCCTCAGCCTCCCAAAGTGCTGGGATTATAGGTGTGAGCCACTGCACCTGGTCATTATTTCCATTGACAACCCTTGTCAAAAACTTCAGCCTGGGATGGCCGCAGTGGCTCACGCCTATCATCCCAGCACTTTGGGAGGCCAAGGCAGGTGGATCACTTGAGCCCAGGAGTTTAAGAACAGCCTGGGCAACGTAGTGAAACCCCATCTCTATAAAAAATACAAAAGAATTAGCCAGGTGTGCTGGCGCATGCCTGTAGCCCCAGCTAACTCCAGTGGCTGAGGTGGGAAGATGGGTTAAGTCCAGGAAGTCGAGGCTGCAGTGAGCCATAATCAGGCTATTGCACCCCAGCCTGGGCAACAGAGCCAAAGTCTGTCTCAAAAAAAAAAAAAAAAGAACCTCAGCCTGAACAGGCAGATATAAAGAAAAAATAAGCTTCCATTTACCTCCAAGTACGTGACACATGCCTTCCAGTACCCTCCACGCCAGTGAGCTGTTGAGGGCCTTTAAGATTCCCTAGCCACTAAGTCATTAAGGTCTAACACTTTATCTAAATTTAGATGAGTCTTTATCTACATTTAACTTTTTAGCTATTTCTCTTCAGTTAGTGGTTAGACTGAATAAACAAAAGCAATGTCTTTGCAGCATTGTCAAATGTGATAGACTATTATGTTGGTAGCCCCCAATCACTCATGCCTCCCTATATAGTCACACCCTTGTAATCTATTCCCCATGAAGCTGAGCTGGTCATGTGACCTACTTCAGCCAATTGAAGTGATGCTGAGTCAGATGCTTAAGAAGGCCTGGCAGCTTCTGCTTTTGTGTTAAGCCAGCAACCATGTAAGAATTTGGAATTAATATTCCTGGCCATCAGCCCCCACTGAGTTCTCTCAATAGCCGCACCAAACTGCCAGGCATATGATTGAGGCCGTCTTAGAAGTGGATCCTCCAGCCTCAGTCAAGCTACCGCATCTGACACCGCATGAAGCAAAGATGAGCCTCCCCTGCTGAGTCCTGCCTAAGTTACAGAATCACAAATGGGAAATAAAATAGCTGTTACTTGAGCCACTAAATTTTGGTGTAGTTGGATACATGGCAGTAGATTAACTGAAATATTAAGTGTTCTGAGGGCAAATTTCTATATACGTTTCTGAAGACTTTTGCCTATCCTTTTAAAACCTAATGGACTGCCGGGCACGGTGGCTCATGCCTGTAATCCCAGCAGTTTGGGAGGCTGAGGTAGGCAGATCACTTGAGGCCGGAGTTCGAGACTAACCTGGCCAACATGACGAAACCCTGTCTCTACTAAAAATACAAAAATTAGCCAGGTGTGGTCGTGCACACCTGTAATTCCAGCTACTTGGGAGGCTGAGGCAGAAGACTTGCTTGAACCTGGGAGGCAAGGTTGCAGTGAACTGAAATCGTGCCACTGCACTCCAACCTGGGTGGCAGAGCAAGACTTTGTCTCAAAAAACAAAACAAAACAAAACCTAAAAACCTAATGGACTAATTGACTCATGCTCTTAAATTTACATCATCTTTGATAAGCTTCTTTTTAGCATATTAGGTAGCCCATTTATATAAATACAGTATTTGAAATTATTTCTGTGTCCTCAGAACAGATCCAGTTTTATACCAACCACTTCTATTTACCATATCCTCAATCTTGCGGGAACAAGATTGAGACTGGTTGCACTGTGTCCTTGCCTTGTTCACTCTTTCTCTGCTTCCACAAGCCACCCTGAATGATAATTGAGTGTCACACCTCTTTGGAGTTATAAAAGCTGTGTGCCCTGAAGAGGACTCTCCAGGGAGTTGATAAGAAAGTACCTGCCTCACCTACCACTCTCTTCTGAGGAAAATGTCCCCAAGGTGTTCTTTCAGCAAAACGCTCCTGTGGCTCCTGCCATGTGATTTGAATGACCCCACATGGATATCCTGACTCCACTTTGATAGGAACAGGGGTCAATGGCTGAGCTAAAGACAATTAAGTGGAAATGGGTCAGCTGCCTTTGAGGTGGCCTGGAGTAAAGCTCTACCCGTTAGAGGATTTTTGTTGTGCATGGTGGCATCAGGCCGATCAAATTATCCTTTGGAAAGGATAAATGCCAGAACCACAAGGGCAGGTAGGGCACTGGAGCCCAAACTGAATGTGACCAATGAGGGACTTGGAAACGCTGGGCACCAGAAATGGTGAGATGTCTCAGGTGTCCATGTATCTTCCCAGGAAATCTCTATGCTTCAGGTTGGGTTCTTTGAAATAGGCACTGAAATGAGGAGTAATGTGCAAAGCAATAATTAAAGAAGTGTTCCCAGAAGCTGGGTTGGAAGTGGGGGAAGGAAGACAGGGAAGGGAGAAAACCAAGTATGGTGTGATTTCAGGCAGTCCAACAGAGAGAGGCTGGGGTGGTTTCCACCAGATATGGCTAGAAGGGAGTATAAGTTACACACCAGAGGTAGTCCCAACTCTAGGTAAGGGAGGTCATACAGCAGTTACTGTAACTATAGTAGTTACCTATAGTAGGTCAAACAGTTCCAGTAACCCAAGGAGAGTTCTCATAAGAAGAGTTACAGGTACAGACCTGTAACTCTTGAAGGCAAAAAAGCACACTGCAACTGGGGAGGAGTAACCAGAAACTGTAAAGAGATTTGAGAATTCTCAAAGTGCATCAACATTATCCACTGTGCTCCATCACGGAAGGACACTTGAGTGTGTCTCTTCCCTGCAGCCTGAAATGTGTGTCTGGGTCAGCATGTTCTAGTCCTTCTTCCATTTATTTAAGTTTTCAGACTGTTCACAGAGTTTCCTCTTGTGGCCCTGTAAGTTCAGGAGAACCCAGGTGGGAAGGGATCCATTCCTTCTACCCAGCTGTAAATGGAGACATTCTACCTTTCTTTGTTTACATATTGTGCTTCCATGTGTGCTTTGGCTTAAAAACAGGTCTCCACAACTAAAGAAAGCCTTGAAAACTACCGTGATTGACCATGGTAAATGGACATATTAGTTTTTTATTGCTGCATAACAAATTACCAAAAACTTAGAGGCTCAAAACAATACTCATTATCTCACAGTTTCCATAGTTCAGAAGTCCAGATTCAGCTTAGCTGTGCCCTCTGCTCTGGGTCTCAAAAGGCTGCAATCCAGATGTTGGTCAAGGCTGTGGGCTCATCAGAGGCTAGACTGGGGAAAGAACTTCCAAGCTTCTTCATGTCATTGGCAGAATTCATCTCCTTGTGGTTGTAGGACTGAGGCCCTGTTTTGTTGCTGGATGTCAGTTGGGGGCCACTCTCAGCAAATATAGGCCACCTGCAGTTCCTTGCCATTGGCCCCCTCCATAGGCCCTCTCATGATGTGGCAGCTTACTTCTTCAAGGGAGCAATGTAAAGAGTCTTTCTAATGCATGCTAGCTACACAGAGTTATATATCAATACAATAATGTAATGATGAAAATGACTTTCCATCACTTTCCCACCACATTTTATATTGGTTAGAAGCAAGTTCTTGGTCCCACCCACACTAAGAGGAAGGGATTATAGAGTCATGAAAATGAAACCACACTAGGGTCTAGTCTGTCTACCACAATGATTATGGAGGGAGGACTTTTAACAGGAGACATCGTGGCCTCCGAATTCTTTCATTCATACCATGCTGGTCTTAAGCAAGCAAGGTCTTTCCTGTGCCTACACTGAACCCTTTTGATCTATTGCCTTGCTTTCTGACTTGTCATGTTGTGTGAATTTTGACACCTTCTCATTTGTCTCCTAACCACTGGTTCAGGCTGGGCTCTCTCTGGCTAATTATGTAATTTTGCCCTACCTCAGCATTCTTATAGCTGTTGCCTATGGTCCCAAACTGATAACTTTTGTTTCAGTTAATTTCCTACCTCAGTTTTCCTGTATCTGTGTTTGATCATAATTTTCATTTATTTGAAATCAATTTAAATAGCCATATGTAGCAAGTGACTACCACAGCAGACAGTATAAATCAAGGCCTTTCCAGTTTAAAAATAAGCAAACGGAGCTTCTAGATTGCACAGCTAGTTAATAACACAACTGCAACTGAAAGCTTTGTCTCTTCTCTTTTTCATTTTCCATTCTATTAATTCAAATTGAAGAAATCTGCATAAGTGATTTTCCCAGATATTTCAAATTTGCCACTTTGTTTGTTTGTTTGTTTGTTTATTTATTGAGATGGAGTCTAGCTCTGTCGCCCAGGCTGGAGTGCAGTGGCGTGATCTTGGCTCACTGTAACCTCCACCTCCTGGGTTCAAGCAATTCTCTTGTCTCAGCCTCCCGAGCAGTTGGGATTACAGGCACCTGCACCACACCCAGCTAATTTTTTTGCATTTTTAGGAGAGACGGGGTTTCATTGTGTTGGCCAGGCTGGTCTCGAACTCCTGACCTCGTGATCTGCCCGCCTCAGCCTCTCAAAGTGCTGGGATTACAAGTGTGAGCCATCGCGTCTGGACAAATTTGCCACTTTAAATGTCCATACCTGGCTAGATGCAGTGGCTCATGCCTGTAATCCCAACACTTTAGGAGACAAAGGCAGGAAGACCACTTGAGGCCTGCAGTTTGAGACCAGCCTGGGCAACATAGTGAGACCCCATCCATAAACAATTTTTAAAAATAGCCAGGCATGGTGGTGCACATGTGTAGTCCCAACTACTCAGGAGGTGGAGGTGGGAGGATTGCTTGAGCCCAGGAAGTAGAGGCTGCACTGAGCTATGATCGTGCCACTGTACTCCAGCCTGGGTGACAGAGCAAGGCCATATCTCTAAAATAAAAAGTAAAAATAAGTAAATAAATAAATAATAAATGCCCATACTTAATCATTAAAGAATGTAAAGTTTTCTAAAAGATATTACACACTTATCTACCTTAGAAAAAAGCCATGTGGGCATCACTGTAGACTTCTCTTAACGGCACAAGGTTGCAATTGTGAACTTTATCATTCTGGGTTACAGTAATGATGCCCTTAAAACAGGACCTGGTGGGCTCATGGGGCAATCTTCCCCATACTGGCATCTCTACAGCTGGCGTGTGATTTGGCTGCTGCTTCTCTCTCACATCTTGATGTGGTAGCTTCTGACACCATCCCTGGTCCCTTCACTACCTCAGCAATGAAACAAATACAGGAATTTGACCCATCATTGGCCTTTGCTTCACCCACTATTTCAAACCATTAGGCCTAAGGGATTGGGTGTTCACAATGAGTCAGGTACACAGAGTTTTGTGCAAATTTTTCCATAATGCACAGGCTTTTTTCTTATAGGTTTATAATGATGCAAGTCTCATAAAAGCTGATTGCTGGATACATGGTATGGTATCTTATGTTACGTTGTGCCACTCTTTGTGATGTCCAGGGTACCAGGGCAGGGTAGGATTGTGTGCAAAATATTTTCAGAAATGAGACCGCAATTAGGTATGAATTATTTTAAATTAGTTTTCTGAGCTGTTTCTCCTTAGTATAGTCGCAGGTCATGAAATATGAACAGTCTCATGAGTCTTTTAAAAATATTAAAAAACCAAAGTGAATTTTAAGAGCACTAAAAAATAAGATAAAATAAAATACATTCACTTCAGTAACTCTCATAAACAGAGGCCAGACTCACAGTGACTATATCTATCCAAAACATATCTGAGTGCATGGGAGCCAGAAAAGGGCTCAAAACAAGGGGAGATAGTTGTCACAAAGCCCATGCATTAGAGCCCATCACCTGTAACCAAGCGAAAGGAGACATTGATGGCTTTAAGCCTATGTCTCATGCTCCATGCCTGGAGCTGAAACTGAAGGTGAGTGAAAAGGGTGGTGAAGAAGGAAATCCAGGTTCTGCTACCAAATCCTGAACCACCAAAAGCCAGTAAATGAAATGTACTCTGTTCGCCACCTCTGGAGAAAATATAACCCATTTTAGAAAAATTTCCCTTACACAACTAAAATGTTCAGGGTTTTGGCATTTACAAGGTAGCTTTCAGTTACCTGGAAAAATTATTTATGTAAAATCACCACTGCCAGACAGGTGTTTCTGTATTTTTACTCACCCTTCTGGAACAGCTTGAGGATTTGCTCCAGGAAAGCACTCATTTTGCCTGTACGCTGCTTTAGAAAATAACTTCACTAAACACGTTCGTCGTTCCATTAGTTATTTATAGTCGAGTTTTGATTATCCACTAGGCAGGTTCCTGGCTCAGTTTTCAGCCCTCTGTTTGCCTTTCTCACCTCCCACTGACACACACTTGCTGCAGCTTGTAGCAACTTAGAATTTCCCCTGAGTCACAGCTCCCCTTCCCCCAGTTCCAGCACAGCTGCTCCCCCATCCCCACCAAAAGATGTCTACAAACCAAAACAACATTTACCTATTGCTTCCCCAACCTTTCCCAAGAATGGTACAAGGTTGCCAGAAAGAACTCGGCAGTGGAATAAATAAGGCCACCACTGGGTATCAGGCAGAGAGCCCCAGAGCTCAGGTGTTCCTGCAGCCTGAATGTTGGGGAGGGGTCACCAGCCAGGGCAGGACAGGGATATTCAATAGCTTCCCATCTCTTTTCACAGTGTGGCATCATTTTGTTGTTTGAAGTGTTATGTATTCCTAGACATGTGACTCACCTTCCAGTCCTCAAGTTCCAGATGAGCACAAAAACACATTCCTGGCCAAGCACAGTGGCTCATGCCTGTAATCCCAGCACTTTGGGAGGCCGAGGCTGGCAGATTTCCCGAGGTCAGGAGTTCGAGACCAGCCTGACTAACATGGTGAAACCCCAACTCTACTAAAAATTCAAAAATTAGCCAGGCATGGTGGCCCACGCCTGTAATCCCAGCTACTCAGGAGGCTGAGTCAGGAGAATGGCTTGAACCTAGGAAGCGGAGGCTGCAGTGAGCCAAGATCATGCCACTGCACTCCAGCCTGGGTGACAGAGCAAGATTCCATCTCAAAAAAAAATACAATACAATAAATAAATGAAACACATTTCTAACTCCCATCAGAATTTTTTCCCCAACTTTTCTGCACTTTGAACATCAGTGAAAGTGGCACTAGCACTTTTTTGTGCTGTGGGATTTCTTCTAGGTCTCCTAATTCCACAGATATGGCAGTTTCTATGCTAGCTTATAGTGGTACTCAGCCTTGGAATTCTGATGCCTGCGCCTCAGCTCAGAGATTGTTTTTCTAGTCTGAGATGAAGCCTGAGCACTGGAATTTTGAAATGCTCCCTAAGTCATTGTAACATGTAGCCAATGTTGAGAACCACTGGCTTGGAACCTCACTTGGTTAATAATGACTGTAAGTATGACTCTTAACTTGGACAGCTGTGGCTCCACTGATTTAGAATAAATGTTTAAATAGGAAAGGGAGGAAATGTGCATACACATAGACCAATTCAGAAGTTATTGTGCATTGCCAAGGTCAACATTTCATTCACTCCTTCACTTAACAAATATTTATTGAGGGTTGCTACTAGGATGGGAGAATGCAAAAATGCATAATGAATTTACTGCCCTCAAGGATATACATTCCCTGGAAGAGCACTCAGACATGTTCTCTAGACTCCTACAGTCCCCCACAGGCACGGTCAACTCTAGCCCTTCCTTCTTCCTCATTCATCCCTAGTTAGTATCTCATAATTCCCCAACATTTGCATATAATTTTACTGAACATGCATAATCCTGATGCCTGTAGTCTCTGGTTGCTCTATAGAGTGCAACTGCTTGAATTATGACAGTTATCTCTGTTAATAAAGTTCACATTTTTCCTGCAGAGTTATAAATATATATGCAGCTTGCATATTCAAGAAAGCACGTGGGAGGAAATGCTGAGCTGTGGGGCCCTTCTAGAACAGAAGCCACTCCCTGGCACCTGCACATACATAACTATCCTGATACCCTCCAAAAAGGCTTGTCCTTGTGGCTTTCTTATACAAAGGATTTAGTCTAAGCAGTCCTGGTGAGAAAATCAGATATTAGCACCTTTGACATCTGCATTCTGTTTTTTGGGCCCCCAAATGGACTCACAGTCATCAGCTTTCCTTTTCCCAGGGAAAAACTGGTCCTGCAGTCTCTGAGGAAACTGAAATGGAATTAACTGGGATGTAAAGTGGCAGCCAAATGAGATCAGGAAGATCAGCAGCAGAGAGAAGGGATGGCTGATCTTGTAAACTTGAGTCACGCAAATAAATTCATTAAATCTAGGATCTGCTGGGGTGCTGGCAAGGCATATATAAAAGCAGCAGACCAATAAATCTGTTCTGTTATCTGAAGAAGAGCTAATAGAGGAATTTTCTAAAAGAAGCCTTTTTACAGAATACAATAATACCATAAATTATCAATCAGCTGACTTTAGTTTTACAGTTTAGCCTGAAACCTGAACAACTTGCAGGAGTTTGTACCTTGTGGGTAATAATAGGTATGCATGGTCAATGTAATACAGCATATTTCTTTCTTTCTTTTTTTTTTTTTTTTGAGATGGAGTCTTGCTCCGTCGCCAGGTGGAGTACAATGGCACAATCTTGGCTCACTGCAACCTCTACCTCCCGGGTTCAAGCAATTCTCCTGCCTCAGCCTCCCGAGTAGCTGGGATTACAGGCGCATGCCACCACACCCAGCTAATTTTTGTAATTTTAGTAGAGATGGGGTTTCACCATGTTGGCCAGGATGGTCTCAATCTATTGACCTCATGATCCACTCGCCTTGGCCTCCCAAAGTGCTAGGATTACAGGGGTGAGCCACCATGCCCAGCCATATACAGCATATTTCTTTAAACTATATAGCTAGCTACTTTGGTAACATATATATTTATTTACAAATAAAATGATGATTATATTGTTATATAGTATGCAGTAGGCTCTGCTGCTTGTTTAACCAACAGCTTTTTCTTTGTTTTCCTTACTAGTCAAGCCCTGAATTGGGTGGGTTTCAACCCTTCCCCATGTGACACAGGTGAGAGTGCCACACTCTACCTTCAGGATCAAAGGTAAATTGTGATGGGCCTAAGGTAATCCCAGTGGCCTGTTCCCCTTGCTGGGGCTGGTTTAGAGGTGAGTATGCTGAATTTTTCTGCTGCCAGCAAAGTACTACCACCAGGCGTCCTAGAATCACCATCTCTGTCTCGTTCCAGGTTATTACTCATGAGAACAGAGGCAAGATTTGGAAAGAGAAGGACATTATTCCTCTGGATATGGTTATAGCTGTATAGCAGGGCAAATGAGAAATTCCTAGTAGTTTCCTGGCACAAACTTCAGGAAATATTAATATGCACCTAGGTGTTCCAGGCTAAGATCTTTGAGGGTCAGCAACTCTGACATTCAAGAATAGAGCTTTTGAACCTTATCCTCATATTCTACTCTCTGAGCAGTAGTGTATGCCATTAATTCTATATAAAGAATTAGGGGCCCTTTTACATCCAGAATGCATAGAGTCATTTTAGTTTTTCATCCTGAACTCTGACTGCTACAGTGGCCACGTGGAGTGGAAATTGGCTGGAGGGCTTTGTCTTGGTCCATTTTGCATTGATATAAAGGAATACTCCAGCCCGAGTAAGAAAAAAAGGTTTATTTGGCTCATGATTCTGACAGCTGAAAAGTTCAAGATTGGGCATCTGCATCTGTTGAGGACCTCAAGCTCCTTCCACTCATGGTGGAAGGCAAAGGGGAACCAGTGTGTATAGAGATCACAAGGCAAGACACTAAGCAAAACTGATGTGTGTTGAGGGGCGTGCCAAGCTCTTTGTTTTAGAGATGGGTTCTCACTGTGTTGACCAGGATGGAGTGCAGTGGCTATTCACAGGTGCAATCATAGTGCACTATAGCCTCCAACTCCTGGGCTCAAATGATCTTCTTGCCTCAGCCTTCTGAGTAGTTCAGACTACAGGTACACCACAACACCCAGCTAACAACCAGCTCTCATGGGAACTAAGAGAGTGAGAACTCACTCACCCTTAAAGGACAGCATGATTCTATTCATGAGAGATCTGCTCCCATGACTCAAGCACCTCCCATTAGGCCCCACCTCCAACACTGGGGGTCAATTTTCAACATGAGGTTTGGAGTGGACAAATATCAAAACCATAGCAGGCTTCTCCTTACTCCTGAAGAGACTCTGGAAAAAAGACAGTCCCTAACACCATTGGGATGTAATACCTGGTACAGCTGTCATGATGAGCTGCCAGCCTGAAATTGAGCCAATATGCAAGTAGATAGCAGGGCCAAGAGAAATGACCAGCAAGAGGAGCTGGTGTCCTAAGGTACCTGCACCCAATGGCCTTCTAATTGGTACAGACTCATGACTCAAGGGAGCAAATGTTTAAGAGAGGTTGACATTAGCTGCCATGTTTTCCAAGGATGAGACATAATATGGTCATTCACACCTGTCCTCTCTCTCCAGACAAATGAATACCCAGATAATCTCTGTCTCAAATGTGTCATACACCACCGAATAGCTATGTGAGTTACTGGTATGCATTGACAGGTGTGTCTACAATATTATTGTACCTTTTATCATTTTCCAAACTCCCATTATACTTTAAAATACACTTACAATGCTAAAACATAAGTATGATTCCATCATTTTGAATTTCTTGTTTTACCCATAACCAGGCAGTCCTCACTTTGCATGATAGTGCAGAGTCATACAGATGACCATGCAAGGAGACACTGTGCAAAGCGATTTTAATAATCATAGGAAAAATTATAACTGGTCCAAAAAATTCTGGCCCAAACATTAAAAATTCTCTTACTTTCAGTTGTAATTGTATAGGGATATTTCTAAAATAGCAAAACTAACATTTATTTAATAGATTATGATTTAAAACATTAGAAACATTGATAATTAAAGTGCTTTGTAAAAATCTTGTCAAGAGTAGTTTGAATAGTGCCTACCTTCAGAGCATCTTTTCTATGCCTTGGCAAATTGTCATATCCTTTCTATATTTGTACTAGTGTCCAACATTTTATCCTTTGCACTTTCAATAACATGAAGTATCCTTGAGAGTTCCTTTAATGTGATGCTTTTGCCAGTGTTACTTCCTCTTGGACATCATCTTTTTTGTCACAACCACTAATACATGTTGATAAATTTGCCTTCTAATGCACACTTAAAAGTTTCTTGAATGGCAGCGGTGTCAATAGCATGTCCACTGTAGAAACACATACACTATAGACACACACACACACACACACACACATACAGCAGAGAGAGTGTGAGAAAGTAAAAGAGTAAGAGAGAGAATGAGAGAGAGAGAGAGAGCAAGAGAGAGAGAAAGAAGAGAGCATGTATGTGTGCACAGGAACTTGGGCTTTGGAGTCAGATCTGGGATAAAATATTGGCATTTAGAATTTCATATCCAATCAACATTCATTGTGTCCCCACTATAAAATGGTTGCTGGTCTTAAAAAGTAAAACAGTAACACAGTCATTGTTCTCCAACAGTAAATAATCTAGTGAGCTCACTACGTAATTCCCTCTAAATGTCTTTTTTAGAGACATTTTCCACACAATGGTGAGACAGGCACAGTCATTAGTAAAATAAAGAAAACCTCTATCCACCTAGGATGATGAATAAATAATAGAATGTATGCAAAATGCTCAGCAAAGTACTGGGCTCATATTAAGGGTTCCCTAAGCAATAACTGGTGGAAGTTTCTAGTTGTCCACTCACCATCCATTATTCCCTTCCTTCTCACTAACTTACTGTCATATTGGAGTTCTCAATATGCCTAGGTAAAGATTATACTTTCTAGGTTCTTTTGCAGCCATTTGTGGGCATTTGACTTAATTCTAGCCAATGAGATAAATTCTAGTCAATTCTCAATGGGAATTATTAAGAGGGACTTCTGGAAAGAATCCTGTATTCCTTTCTTATTGCTGTTGTAATGAATTGCCAAATTTATTGGCTTACTAAAACACAAATTTATTATTTTACAATTCTGGCGGTCAGAAGTTGTCTTAGCCCATTTGGGCTACTATAACAAAATACTTTAGTCTGGGAAACTTATAAACAACGGAAATTCATTGCTCATAGTTCTGGAGGCTAAGAAGTCCAAGATCAAGGCACCAGGTGATTCAGTATTTGGTGAGGCTCCATTCTTCATCAATAGTATCTTTTCACTGTGTTCTCACATGGTAGAAGGGGTGAGCAAGCTCCCTTGACTTCTAAGGGCACTAATCCCATTCATGAGGGCTAAGTCCTCATGACCTAATCACCTCCAAAAGTCCCCACCTCTTATTACTATCACATTGGGGATTAAGTTTCAACATACGAATTTTAGGGAAACACAAACATTCAGACTATAGCATTCCACCCCTGCCTCCCCACCCGATTCATGTTCTCTCAAATACAAAATACATTTTTTCATCCCAATAGCCCCAGAAGTTGTAAGTCATTCCAGCATCAACTCATAAGTCTAAAGTCCAGAGTCTCATCCAAATATGTAAATCAGAAATGAGTGAGATGCAAGGTACAGTTTATCCTGAGGCAAATTCCCCTCCAGCTGTGAGTCTGCGAAACCAAACAAGTTATGTGCTTCCAAAATACAATGGTGGGACAGGCACAGGATAGACATTCCCATTCTAAAAGGGAGAAATAGGGAGGAAGAAAGGGGTAACTGGTCCCAAGTTAGTCCAAAATCCAACATGGCAAATAATAAATCTTAAGGCTTGAAAAATACTCTTCTTTGACTTGATGTCTCACCTTCTAGAGACATGGGAGTGGGAGTTGGGTCCCCAAGGCTCCAAGTGGCCCTGTTCTCATGTATTTCCTGCTCAAGTGACAGACAGCTCTCATGGATTGGAGTCTGATGTATGAGGCTCTTCCAGGCTGGAGATGCACATTGGTGGCTCCAATTTCAAGAAGGATAGCCTTGAAATTGTTCTGCCCTCAAGGACCTGGTATTCTGGGCTTATGATGGGTAGGGCAGCCCCAAAGATCTCTGAAATGTTTTCAGGATCAGTCATCATTGTCTTGATGAACATCATCTGTCTTCCTTCTATCCATACCAATCTCCTTATCAAATGTTTGTTTGGCTACACCCTTGGTGTTTTCTCCTGAATACATTTTCTCATTTTTTTATAGAAAGAGAATTTTCCAAATCTTTAATTTTCGCTTCCTTTTTGATAGCAAATTCCATCTTAAAATTTTTTCCCTCTTCTTGCATTTACTATAAGCAGTCAAGAGAACCCATGCTGCACCCTCAGTACTTTGCTTAGATATTTCCTCTATTAAATATCTTATTTCATCATTCAGAAGTTCTACTTCCTACAAAACACTAGGACACATACAATTCAGCCAAGTTATTTGTCACTTCATAATTAAGGATTGCCTTTCCTGAAGTTTCCAATTATATATTCCTCATTTCTGTCTGAGCCCTCATCAGAATGGCCTTTATCAGCCATATTTCTACCAACAGTCTGATCATGAGCACTTAGGTAGCCTCTGAGAAAACTGAGGCTTTCTCTACAGCTCTCCTCATCTTCAGAGCCCCCACAAGAATCACCTTTTCAGTTTATTCATGGCTATATAGGCTTTCTCTAGCATGCTCTTCAAAACTCTTCCAGCCTCTACCTATTGCCCAGTTCCAAAGCCACTCCACATTTGTAGGTATTTGCTATAGCAACACCTCACTCCTGGTACCAAAATCAGTATTAGTCAGGGTTCTGCAGAGAAACAAAGCCAATAGGATGATGGATGGATGGATGGATGGATGGATGGATGGATGGATGGATGGATGGATGGGTGGATGGGTGGATGGATGGATAGATAGGTAGATAGGACAGATTTATTATGGGAATTGGCTCATGTGATTATGGAGGTTGAGATGATACATAGATAGATAAATAGATAGATAGAAGATTTATTATGGGAATTGGCTCATGTGATTATGGAGGTTGAGATGATAAATAGGTAGGTAGGTAGATAGATAGATAGATATAGGAGAAGAGATTTATTATGGGAATTGGCCCATGTGATTATGGAGGTTGAGATGATAGATAGGTAGTTAGGTAGATAGATAGACAGACAGATAGATAGATAGATAGATATAGGAGAAGAGATTTATTATGGGAATTGGCTCATGTGATTATGGAGGTTGAGATGTCCCATAATATGTCATCTGCAAGCTGGATACCCAGGGAAACTGGTGGTATAGTTCAATCCAAGTCAGAAGGCCTGAGAACCAGGGAAGCCAATGGTATAACTCTCAGTTTCAGGCAGAACACTTGAGAAACTGAGGAACCACTGGTACAATTCCTGGAGTCTGAAGGCCAGGGAATCTGGAGTTCTGATATCCAAGGGCAGGAGAAGATGAGTGTACCAGCTCCAGAAAAGAGAGTGAATTCACCCTTCCTCTGTCTTTTTGTTCGATTTGAGTCCTCAACAGATTGGATAGTGTCCACTCAAATTGGGTGAGGGCAGATCTGCCTTAATTAGTCTATTGATTCCAATGCTAATCTTTTCCAGAACTACCCTCACAGACATACGTAGAAATAATGCTTTGCCAACTAACTGGGTATTCCTTAACCCAGTCAAGTTGACAAAGTTGACACCTACAGTTAACCAACAGAGAAGTCTAAAATATCAGGGCTATATTCCTTCTATAACTTTAGGGAGAATTTGTTTTCTTGTCTTTTCAGCTTCTAAAGGCTGCCTGCATTACTTGGCTGCAGCCCCACATCACTCCAACTTCTGCTTCTGTCTTTACATCTTCTCTGACTCTTTCATGCCCCTCTCTGATAAGGGCCTTTATGATTATATTGGACCTACCCAAATAATGCAGGATAATCTCCCCATCTCAGGATCTCTAACTTAATCAAACCTGCAAAGTCCCTTTTGTCACTGATATGGTTTGGCTCTGTGTCCCCACCCAAATCTCATCTTAAATCATACTCCCATAATTCTCCAGGGTGGGAGATAATTGAATCATGGGGGTGGTTCCCCCATACTGTTCTCGTGGTAGTGAATAAGTCTCATGAGAACCGATGGTTTTATAAGGGGTTTCCGCTTTTGTGTCTTTCTAATTCTCTCTTGCCGCCACCATGTCAGAAGTGCCTTTCACCTTCTACAATGATTGTGAGGCCTCCCCAGCCACATGGAACTGTGAGTCCATTAAACCTTTTTCTTCCCAGCCTTGGGTATGTCTTTATTGGCAGTGTGAAAAAGGACTAATAAGTCATATAAGGTAACATATTTATAGGTTCTGGGAATTAGAATGGACATATTTGGGGTAGCCATTATTCAGCCTACCACAACTTCTTAGGACAGAACTGGATAAATCCTCTTGTCCTTCCTCTTTCTTCCTTCCCACAGCAAATGTACTTCCGCAGCCACATTTGCCCATAAGGTGACATACAAATGGAAGGTTGGCCATTCTACATACTTTAAAATGACAAAATGATAGAAGGGATCTGTGTTCTCAATGGCTTGAGAGTCACCATACAAGTCTGGGTTTGCCTTCCTCTGGAGTTACTTACATGTAAGAAAAATAAACTATCTTGTTTAAGCTACTGTTTGGGGGGCAATTTCTATTATTTGCAGCCAAAATAATCCTAACTGGTACAGGAATTATTATTACTATTATTGTGGTAAATTCCATACTCCTGTTGAGTTCAAAATCACAGATCGTAATAGAATTTAAACAGACCTGTGTAGAAACCTGTTTAGAGCTTGCTTCTGGAAAACCCAAAAAACATGTTATAGGAATTTTCCCATCCTATTGAGTCTAGACTTCCTAAAATGCCATTTTTCTTCCTCAGGTTCCCAAACTTTCCTCAGGTACACAAACCTTCTGGATTGGTTTTAGAACCTATCTACTCTCTGGGAAGTAGCAAGAAGGGAATAAGGACAGGGATTCACCAGAGGAAAGCCAGCTGGATGTTGAGAAAAGCAGTTTTGTTAGGTCACTATCATCCACACCAGCAAATCAATAGGGTCTCACAGGTCAACTGGCAGTAGCTTTCTAGAGCACTGTGTTAAAAAGTATTTTGAGGCTATGTCTAGGCTCAACACAAAAGAGCAACAGAAATTGATTTTCGATGTCTACTGTAGTTAAGGGAGAAGAGAGTGAGCATGTGTGCTCTGCACAGGCTATTCCTGGACTAGAGTCCTGCTCTCAGTTGTCAGGGTCAGATATTCAAGTTTGCCAGCATATCAAAAGGTATTTGATCTCTCAGGGATAAAATCTATCAACCAAATTAATAAGACACTGGCTTATAAATCAGAAGGTCAGTTTATTTATCTGAATTAGAAATAAAACTATAAATGTGCACCTGTTATTAAGTGGAAATCTGCATGGTGTAGGAAAGAAATGCAGTCTCTGGAGTCAAACAGACCTAGTTTTGTATCATGACTGCATCCCTCAATAGCTACATAGCTTCTTAGAGCAGAGATGATAAGGACATTGATGCTGTGTCTGAGATCTGTAGAAAAAAAGGCCTGATTATGGATAACCCATTTACCATGTGATTATTACACATTGCATGCCAGTACCAAAGCATCTCATATACTCCATAAATATATACACCTTCTATATACTCACAAAATTAAAAAAATAAAAATAAAAAATGTCCTGATTAACTATGTCTGACCTAGTGAAGGTAGGAGAAGTGGGAGTGGCTATTGTTGGTACGTATTAGTATATGTTCTAGTTTTTACCAATCAATTCATGCTCCCGTGATGGAAAGTCTAATTTCTAGGATTGAAAAACTGCTTTGTGAACATGGATATAAAAGATGTTTGCTATATAATTTTTATGGCTCATATTACTGAGTTATCTTCACAATATAAATACAAATGACACAGAAATAAGAAATGATGATTTGTGGTTCTGAACACCCACTGCCCTGTTCAGACCTGGAGGAAAAATGGTCAGTTTTTTTCTCCTACCCACCCTCCATTTTATATGTGCCTTACAGATCAGTGTGAAAAGAAATATAATACAGGTCACGAATGTGAGCTACATAGGTTACATTTTCTAGTAGCCACATTTTAAAAAGTTAAAAGAAATAGACACAAGTTTTTGCAAAAATTGTATCATACAGATTTTTTTTTTTTTTTTTTTTTTGAGACGGAGTCTGGTTCCGTCTCCCAGGCTGGAGTGCAGTAGGGCGATCTCGGCTCACTGCAACCTCCACCTCCCCGATTCACGGGACTCTCCTGTCTCAGCCTCCTGAGTAGCTGGGACTACAGTCACGCACCATGCCTGGATAATTTCTGTATTTTGAGTAGGAACGGTTTCACCTTCTTAGCCAGGCTGGTCTCAAAACTCCTGACCTCAGGTGATCTGCCCACCCTGGCCTCCCAAAGTGCTAGGATTACAGGCATGAGCCACTGTGCCCGCCACCACGCCTGGCCTCATACAGCTTTATTATCCATTATCCCTAATCTAGGTATTCTCACTCTCAGAGAATAACTTTTATACTTAGCTATTGGCCTTGGATTTCTTGGGTTAAGGATTGGTATCTCAGAGAAGGATACTGGAGACCTCCATAAGTCTCTAGTCTGCACTTGCTCCTGAGTGGCAGACAGCAGCTATCCAGTTTAGTGTTTGCGGTTCTCTCTGTGAAGCACTGGTTTCTCCACAACGACTGTTCTGCCAGGCCTCCAGCCAAGCTAAACTTTTTTTTTTTTAACCTTAGATGCTCTCAAAATTTCCTCTGTAATCAGCCTTTTTTTTTTTAAACTTGGCTAAAGGACAGGCTTCTTTCTCCTTCTTTAAACTAAATTTATGGAACAATTACTAGTTTTCTCTAAACCAGTGATTCTCTAACATGAGCAAGTATTAACATTACCTGGAAGGCTTATTAAAACATAGGTCACTGGTTCAGCTCCACAGTTGCAGAATCAGTAGGTCTGGAGTGGAGCTTGAGCAGTTGCATTAGCCAGTTTCCTGGGAATGGTGATGCTGCTGATCCAGGGATCACACTTTGAGAACCACTGATATAGGTCATTCATTTTGGTTCAGAGAAGAGATAACAGGTATTTGAAAATGAAAGAAGTTTGTAACCTAAAAAGCATCAGATTACATCTTCCCTCCAAAATAAGCTATACCCAGTCTGCTGGTATTCTTTCCCCAGAATCAGCATCTTAACAGGCTCTAACATCCCCTTTCAAGATTTCTCCTCCCATCTCCTGCTAGGGGAAGAGCAACCAGGCCCTTTCTATGTCCTTTCAAAGACCTCAATTATAGCCCTGTTATTCCATGGTACTGTAAGCATCTGGGCTTGCATGTTGACAGTTGTGTGCTGCAGGGCTGCAGACTCCTGTTAGCTCGCAGCACCATTTCCTAATACCAGCAGCTCTAAAAGTAGTCACTCAAAAAACAAGTCTTAAGGCTGGGCATGGTGTCTCACGCCTATAATTCTAGCACTTTGGAGGCCAAAACAGAAGGATGGTTTGAGCCTAGGAGTTTGAGACCAGCCTGGGTAACATAGTGAGACCCTGTCTCTACAAAAACATAATAAAATTAGCTGGACATGGTGGCACATGTCTGTAGTCCTAGCTACTTGGAAGGCTGAGGTGCAAGGACTACTTGAGCCAAGAAGCTGGAAGGTCAAGGCTGCAGTGAGCTGTGACTGTGCCACTGCACTCCAACCTGGGTGACAGAGTGAGACCCTGTCTCAAAAAAAAAAAAAAAAGAAGAACATGTTGATTGAGTGAATGAATGATGATACATGTTTGGAAGAGGAGAAAGACTATTCATGGTAATTAAAACTGTAAAACTTTTACTAAGAGACAAAAGTGACACTGGAATTTTTTTTTTTTTAAAAGCCCAAAACAAAGCAAAATAACAAAAACGCTTTGTCTTCTGAAAATTCATTATAACTTCAAAATCACTGACATGATGTCAATCACAGACAGTTCCAAATACTCATCGTGGTTTTACAGATATAACTTCCATTTTATATAGATGGGGTTTACTTGGAGTAATAGATGTACGGTATGATACTGTGAAGAAAATGAATTCAGTGCCCTTAAAATGCTGGGTCTCAGAGGCTTTCCTTTTTACTTTAACTTTTCGTTTTGAAAAATTTCAAATACACTTGGCCCTCTGTATCCATGGGTTCTGCTTTTGTGTAGATTCAACCATGAATGGAAAATATTTGATCCTAATACAAAGAAATAACAAATGTTTGAGGTGATGGATATGCTAATTATCCTGATTTGATCATTACACATTGTATACATGTATCAAAATATCACACTGTATCCCATAAATATGTATGATTCTTGTGTGTCAATTAAAATAATAAAAACAAAAAAATGGAAACTTTTTAAAATATTCAAAAAACAATAAAAATAATATAACAAAAACAATACAAATTAAAAAACAATGCAGTATAACAACTACCTATATAGCATTTACATTGTATAAGGTATTATAAGTAATCTAGAGATAATTGAGTATACCAGAGGATGTGCATAGGTTAAATAATACTAGTTTATATAAGAGACTTGAGCATCCACAAATTATGGTATCAGCAGGGGGTCCTGGAACCAATCCCCCATGGATACCAAGGGATGACTCTATATACAAAAGTAAAGAAGACAATAGAATGAACTTTAATGAACCAATCATCCAGATTCATTAATTACCAACTCACGGCCAATCCTGTTTTATCCGTAACTTCACTAATTCATCTAATTATTTTTTAGCAATTCCTAGTGTAATATCATTTCATCCATTAAAAACTTCAGTGTGTGTCTAATATATAAAGCTTCTTTTAAAAATATAACCATACTATCATTATCATACCTAAATAATAATTCCTTAATAGCATTGTATGTCTAACCAGTGTTTAAATTTCCCTGTCTCAAACTTTTTCAGTTTATTTATTCAAATTGGAAAACAAATTGGTTCATAAATTGCAATTGGTTAGAATGCCCCTTAAGTTCCTCTTTTTAATCACAAGGTTCCCATTCCATCCCTTTTTGTTTTCTTTAAATTTTACTTGTAGGAGAAACTAGGTTATTTGTGCTATAGTTTCCCACAGTCTAGAGTTCTAGAGCTTTTGTTTTCTGTTTGTTTGTTTGTTTGTTTGTTTTTGTTTTTGGTAGAGGCGTTGAGACCTGCTTGATTTATTCCAATTATTTAATACACAATGACACAACTGTGATCCCAAAGTATGCAAAGTTAAAGCCTTCAACAGCGGCTGAGGAGAAGGCAGGAATGGTACACCTGGGGATGGTGGTGAGTCAGGAATGACAGGCAGGTGGCCATGACCAGGGCAGCCTCCTCCCCAGGGCCAGGGACAGGGGAGCTGCCTGAGGAGCAGGACCCAAGGGTAGCCCAGGGCCAGGGAAGGGGGCAGAGACCACTCCTTGGTCTAGGTCAGGAGCTAAGAAGTGCCACATGGCTGAGGGGGCAGCGGCCCGGGAAGGGCCAGAGGCAGGGCCAGGAGAGCACCATTTCCTGGGGGGCTGGGGGCAGGGAGGTGCTCTACAGGAGAAGCCAGGAGGGGCTGCCTGCCCCCCAGGGTGGGGGCCGGGCTGGAGCAGGCTGCAGCAAGAAAGACCTGAGGCAGGCACCTGAGACCCTGGCTGGCTGGGCTCAGGGGGCTCCCAGGGCAGCCTGGCCCAGGGAAAAGTCCTGACTGCAGGGGATGCTGAGCGAGGGGCTGCAGACCCCTCAGGACCTCCCCTCCTCTCTCGCTGGAAAGGAGCTGGGGAACCTGTAGTGCAAATCTGTGGACCACTCAGTTATGGAGGGAGGCAGTGCCCGAAGGTGGACACTGGGGTGCACCCCCTCCACCACCTCGACCTCCACCGCTGTCCTTAGTACAGCCGCTTCTCCTAAGAATGCAGGCCGTGGACGCCACCCTTGATCTGGGCCAATATGGTCCACTTCTCAAACTTGAGCTCCCCTGAGTACATCATGGACCAAAGGGCAGACAGGCTGTGGGCCCTGCTATCCTGGCAGCCTTGCTGGATGTCCACTATGAGGTAGGACACGAAGTTTTGAATGGACCCTTTGTCCTGGATGGAGTTTGAGACATCCTGCGCGATCTTCACCTTATCCCCCTCGCCGAAGTATCGTTTCTGGCTGCTGCTGCTCTTCCCCATGGCATCCAGCGAGCCCATGCCACGGTACTTCTTGAGCCACACCCCATCTGAGAAGAAGTACTCACCGGGGGCCTCCATGGTGGCAGCCAACAGGGAGCCCGTCATCACTGTGGAGGCTCCAAGGGCCAGGGCCTTGACCATGTGCTCCACGATCTGGATGCCACCATTGAATATGATGGGCACACCAAAGTGCCAGGCATACTCGGCCACCTTGTACATAGCAGTGCCCTGGGGCCGACCACAGGCCATCACTTCCTGGGTGATGCAGATAGAGCCACAGCCCGTGCCCACTAGCAGCCCATCCACACCAGCGTCAGGTTCTTGGCCTGGGCTGCTGTCACCATGTTCCCCCCAGTCACCTGGAGGTGGGGGTACTTTTGTTTGATGTAATGCACCATGGTGATCTGATGTGCCGAGTTCCCTGGGACGAGTCCAAGACTATACGTTGAGACCCGCCTGGAAGAGCAGGTCCAGGCAGTATTTGTCATCCTCACGGGTGCCCACAGCTGCCCTGCACAGCAGCTGCTTGTGGGAATCCTTGGAGGCCAGAGGGTAGTCTCTGTTCTTCTTCAGGTCGGAGTGGGTGATGATGGCCACCAGTTAATCGCGATCATTGACGATAGGCAGCTTCCCTTTCTCGCTACACTTAGGATCTCTTTTGCCTCTTTCAACGTCACACCTGCTGGAGCCACCACCAGCTCAATCCTTGGCGTCATCACCTCACTGAGGAGGGTGGTGTTGTCCTTCTCAGCAAGAAAGTCAGTGTCTCGGGAGGTGACGATGCCCACCAGCTTGGTGCCCGTCTAGTGATGGGGATGCCAGAGAAGCCATGCCGCATCTTGGCCTCCAGCACATCACCCACAGTGCGCGAGGGGCTCAGCACCACGGGGTCCGTGATGAAGCCCTGTTCAAACTTCTTGATCTTCTGTACCTCCTTGGCCTGGAACTCTGCGGTACAGTTGTGGTGAATGAAACCAATAGGTCCCATCAGAGCCATCGCGATGGCCATGTCAGCCTCTGTCACAGTGTCCATAGGGGAGGAGATCAGCGGCGTCTTCAGCGTGACCTTCTGGGTCAGGGCTGAGGTCAGGTCCACCTCATCAGCTATGAAGTCTATGAATCCTGGAAGAATCAGGAAGTCGTTGTGGGTGAGGCCGTCAGCGCCGACGAAGAGCTGGGGCACAGTGAGCCCATCCCTGGGCACGTAGCCGGTGCTGCTGGTGATCAGGTAGTCCGCCATGCTGCTGCCAGACCCCGAGACCCGACAAAAACACCCACGCGGCCGCCCGCTGCTGCTACTGCTGCTGATGCTGATGCTGCACCGCGGCCACGCTGCTGCCGCGGGCTGGGCAGGCCAGGGGCGGGGACAGTCTAGAGTTTTAAGATTATATTTCTGTGTTATCATTTACCCCATCCACTCCCTCCCCTTAAGGTAATAACTTCTTTTAAAGCTTTTTTTTTGTTTGTTTTTTGTTTTTGAGACAGAGTCTCGCGGTCACACAGTCTGGAGTGCAATGGTACAATCTCAGCTCACTGCAACTTCCACCTCCCGCGTTCAAGCGATTCTCCTTACCTCAGCCTGCCAAGTAGCTAGGATTACAGGCGCCCGCCACCACGCCTGGCTAATTTTTGTATTTTTAGTGGAGATGGGGTTTCACCATGTTGGCCAGGCTGGTCTCAAACTCCTGACCTCAGGTGATCCATCCGCCTCAGCCTCCCAAAGTGCTGGGATTACAGGTGTGGGTCACCACGCCCGGCCTAAAGTTTTTATATTTTATCTTTTCTTTAAAAAATAAGTTACACGGCCGGGTACGGTAGCTCACGTCTGTAATCACAGCACTTTGGGAGGCTGAGGCGGGCGGGTCACGCTATCAGGAAATCGAGACCATCCTGGCCAACATGGTGAAACCCCGTCTCTACTAAAAATACAAAAAATTAGCCAGGAGTGGTGGTGCGTGCCTGTAGTCCCAACTACTCAGGAGGCTGAGGCAGGGGAATCGCTTGAACCCAGAAGGTGGAGATTGCAATGAGCCGAGATCGCACCACTGCACTCCAGCCTGGTGACAGAGCCAGATTCAGTATCAAAAAAAAAAAAAAAAAAAAAAAAGTTAAACAATGGCATATCATACCATACATAATTTTCTGTGCCTGCTTTTTTTCATTCAACTTTATACCTTGGTGATTACTCTACGGCAGTTTACAGAGGTGTTCCTCATTCCTTTTCTATAGCTGCATATTACTTCATCATGTAGATGTTACATAACATATTCAACGAGTCCCCTGCTGATATACATTTGAATTGTTTAAAGTTTGTTGCCATTTTAGGTAGTATTGCAATGAATAGCCAATATGTCTCTTTGTGTTTTTGCCAGAGTATCTTTGGGATAGAATCCTAGAAGGAAGACTGCTGGGACAAAATATAATTGCATCATAATTTTGCTACAAATTGCAGAAGTGCTTCTTTTAAATGCAATGTATTTCTGGAAGTTTTATCATAAAAGAAATCCTGAAACAGATCCTATTTCAGTTATCTACTGCTATATAACAAATCACCCCCAAAAGTATGGCTTAAAACAAATCACCCCCAAAAGTATTATTTGTCATGATTGTGCAACTAAGGTGGGACTCCTCAAGAATGGCTTGTCTGTGCTTCATGGGGTGGCTGCTTCGTGACTCCTGAGGAAGCTGGGATAGTTTCGCTAGAGCTAGAGAATACAAGATGGCTTTATTCACATGTTTTGCACCTCACTTGCAGTGGCTGGAATAGTTGGGTGCTAGCTAGGCTTCTCTCTCTCCATGTGGTCTTACATCATCCAGAAGGCCAAGCTTCTTAAACATGGTGCCCAAATCTCAAGACAGCAAAACTGGAAGTTGGAAGGCCTCTTAAGGTCCAGGTCCCAAAGTTAGATTAACATCACTTCTACTGAATTCTATTAGCCAAAGCTAGTCACATGGCCATCTATATTCAAGTGGGGAGGAAACAGACTCCATCTCTTGTTGGGAAGAGCAATGTACATATACAAAGATGAACGAAATTGTTGATGGTCATCTTTGCAGACAATCTACCACAGATCCCAACTACATACATGCATTCTACAGACCATAAATATATGTCCTATTCTTACCTACTTGAGCATCAGCAGAACCTGTGGGAAGATTCCATGAAGGTGATATGAAGTGAAACACTTCTGCATATGGTGGTGTTAAAAGGGGACCAAAAGTGGAGGTTATGTCTACCAAGGAAAAGGGTAAAAGTCTTGCTTTTAGGCAGGGCACTTTATCATCTGTCTAGACAACTATAAACAGCTTTTATATTCCTTCATTCTATTTGCGTTTATTCAAGAATACTGTTTCAGACTGCAAGAGTACAGTGATGAACATAACAGACAAAATCCTAGCTCTTGTGGTATTTACATTCCAAATGGGGAAATACAGAACATGATAAGGGATAGAAAGACATGTAAGAATATCCTGTCCTTGAGGAAATTATAATGTTGTTGAAAGCGGGGGTGATAGGCAATCATTGCCTAGTTAGAGATAACAAGAAGACAAATACAAACTTTGTATAAATAGAGATAAACAGACACATATTAGAGCATCTGCTCTGCATAAGTAGCTACACCACCAGGAAGAAAGTCTGCAAAGGTCCAGAAAGTAACGAGGAAGAAGAGTTAGGAGAAGGAGGGATCACTGTGGCCTGGGAGAGTCAGGGAAGACTTAGGATGAGAGAGAGGCATAGTGGAACCAGAATCTTTCTTTGTGTATCTGATGACATACTGGCAAGTCCCAGGGGCTGCTGTGTGATTAGAGCTTCTCACCAGGATAGCTTCCTTCTAAGATGGCCTCCCACTACTTGCTGAGAGAGGAAGACAAAGTGGGTTTTTAAAACTGGCTGATTTGCCTGGTAAATAATGTACTTCTAGTCTATAGAATACTGTATTTTTCAAAGGCAAAAATATTCAAGGCTTAGTCCTTGCTGCTCATATCAACATGCTCTCCCTTGATGAGCTCACTCAGTCTTGTAGCTTTACATAGCATCTAAATGCCAATGACTCACAGGAGGATAATATCTTCAGTTCTGACATCTTGCCATACTCATATATCAACCATTTTATCTACATATCCATTTGGAGATCTAACAGGCACTGTAAGCTTCACATGGACAAAACCAACTGCTTGATTTTCCCTAGAAAAACTCTGCTCCTCTCCCAGTTTCCCTGTTAGTGGCACTACTACCACCAAATTACTCAGACCAAAGCAATGGAGTCTTTCTTGTTTTTTCTCTCACTCCGTATCCAATCAATCAGCTGTCGAACAACAGTTGAAGAACAACAGCTGAACGATCCTGTTTGTTCTATCTTTTGAATGTATCTCTCAAACTCCTAGCCTCAAGTTATCCTCCCACCTGGGCCTCCCAAAGCACCACCACACACAGCCTACTAGAATATATCTCAAACTCAATTACTGCTCAATACTTCTTCCCCTGCACCAGCCCATTATCAACACTCATCTCCTAACTGATCTCTTGCTTCTTCTCATGCTATTCTCACTCTATTCCCTACAAAACTGTCTGGGTAAACTTTTAAAGATAAAAATAAGGTCATTTAAAATCCCTGACTAAAATTCTTTAGAGAAAAAAGGAAATAAAATTAGAGGAAGAAAACATGACCAGAAAAGAAAGAAAGGAAAAAAAAACCTATAGTGGCTTATCACAGTAATTAAATTAAAATTCAAACTTCTACCCTTACAACTTTCCAGCCACACTGACCTTCCTTATGTTTCTTAAACATGCTGAATTTGTTGCTTCCTTGGGAATTTTACATTGCTCTTCCCCAGATCTTTGGCTGAAAATTCCTTATTTTCTACTTCTCAGCTCTCAGGGCATCTTACAGATACCTTTTCTGACTGTCCTACCTAAAGAAGTCCACAGCCAAAACTCACTAACCAAGGCACAGTGGATAATTGATAAATATAACAGACAAGGTCCTAACTCTTGTGGTACTTATTTTCTAAATGCGGGGAATGCAAAACATGGTAAGAGACATCTTGTTACTCTGTTTTATATTCTTCATAATGTTGATCATGCTCTGAAAAAATATCTTATTTATTCATTTTCTTGTTTATGTCTATCTTTGCCATTCAGTATATATTAACAAAAGGAGATAGGACGCATACCTTAGCTCTCTTGCTCTCCACAAAGCCACTAGTCCTTACAGTAGTAGTACCCAGCATACAGTTGGATCTCAAAGCATCACTGAATATGCTTGTACATATTCAAAAATGTAGGAGTAACATCACAGCTATAAAGGAAAAATTCATTATAGTGGAAAAACTGTTAATGAACCCCTTTACCCAAATAATATCCTTCCCAACCTTGACATCTAATCCAACCCCAGAATTTTCTGATATCAAGGGTTAGTGGACCCATTCCTTATATTGGCTACCAGGGAAACGTATGTCAACCTAATTACATCAGAGCAACACACATTTCCTAGAGGGCAACACACTTCTTTGCTTCCTGTAAAAATGTATTCAAAGTTGTGTTAAACAACATTGTTACAGTTACAGATTCTTGTCGTATTTTCTTTGTTTCTTTGACATAAGCAATCATGACCTAGCTAGAACCAAATAGAGATAACGGAAAGACAAACAAAAATTTAGGAAAGTGGACAAACACCAACACAGATTAGGCCATCTGCTCTGCATTATATGATCTAACACAAACAACAATGAACCTGACTTTACATTCTGATGCTGGACAAATTATGTAGTCCTTTGTGGTTCATGTTCTTCTGTCTGTAAAATCTGGACAGTCGTGCTTATTTATTCTCCCCAATTTCCGTGTGAAATAGCTATTATTTTATTTCATAGAATTATGAAATGTTATGCCCTGCAGAAGCTTGAGAATCATCTCATCTGTATCCAAATGTGGAAACTGAGGCCTAATGAGGTTAACTGATTTACCCAGGCTCACAGCTAATTACTGACAAAGCTGGAACTTATAATAGAAATCGGATTTTCTGACCCTTAGGCAAGTGGTATTTCTGCCTCACCATACTGCAATGTTTGCCTTACTGTTTCGTTTTTGATGGAGGAGTATATTATCTTCCAATTAGCATGTAATCCTTGAGGATGTGGTAAGTTGTTCTCCCCACAGTAATTAGTTGGCCATATGTAAATAAATATTTATTAAATAAAGGAATAGTTTGCCATCAGTCAATGGCACCTGCCACCCCTCTATGTTGCAATCATCTACTGACCTTTCAGTCATTTCCTCTCATTCATTCAAAATTTTAGCATACAGGTCCCTGTCTCTCCACTGTGACTTGTTATTCTTGGTGACTTCAACAAGCACTAAATGATACATCTGACACTCTGGTCATTCAGTTTCTTGACTCCTCATCTCTAATGATCTTTTTCTCCACCCCACCTTAGCTACCCACTCCCATGCTCATATACTATTACTCTAAAACCTTGATTTTAGGCATTCCATTATTTGACTACCTCCTTCTATCTTCCTAGTTCACTTATTCTAATACACTCTAACTCTTCTTTAATCCTAGCAGGAACTCTGATCCTTTGGCCTCATCAATTTTTCATGGGGCTTCCTTTCCTCACTGTCCTTTTTATCCAGCCTAGATTCCATGGTCCATGACTGTATTCATACTAATTAAGGGTTTGTCAGTGTACAGCCCCTAAGGCCCTTACCACATTCTTTCTCCATCATACTGTCCTAAAAAAAAACTCCAATCTTGGTTAAAGCCAACTCTCTGCGTGACCTTTCCCTGCACTTAAGCATGAAATGAACCTGGATAAAACAATCGCAATTGTGTTGACTGGTTAAATTTATGATCACACACTATAGGAGTGTCTTCAGCAGTACCCAATAATTCTACATTTCCTTGGCCAACCCTCTCCTTCTCTTCTAGGCAGCTCTATCTCTCTTTAAACCATATACTCTTGATGCCCACTCCTAAATTTTACCTGATACCTTCATCTATTGATTTGCTAGGGAAAAAAATAAAAGTAAGCAAAAAAGAGGTACTAGAATCTTTTCCAATAATCTATCTTCCCCACCCCTCACCCTCTACCATTTAAAATGGATGAGGTGTCCAAGCTCTTACTAAAGGCTAAACTCTGTTGAGAGACAATTCTCTAAGAGTCTCTTAAATTTCCTTGTTCCAGACTATGTAATCAAGGATTGAATGTTTCATAGCCTTGGAAGATAGAGATAGTGTCTCCCTCTGGAACAAACAGCAAGAATGTTTACTGCTCAAAATAATAAAAACAATGTCTCTAGAGCAAAGGGCACACACCTTTATTGCCCAATATAAAAGATTCGGGTTCCCTAAGTTCAGAGTTCCTCACTTGTAATGCAACTCAATGCATATGCGGGTGTCATCTGGCCCTCTTCACATTGATCTGGGGAACTGGGGTGTAGGGAACTGGTGGTGTGAGAAATCAAAGCCTTTGTCTTTGACCCAGGAGTTTCCCATTTGCTGAGCCTCCATGAAATAGTGGCAGGCTAACTTGTTAGCTTACAAATACAGTAAAATCTCAGACCCTTCAGAGTTCCTGACATACTTTGCTTCTGAACTACATCTCATTCCCTCCTGCCTTCTCAAGGACTTTGTGCCTGCAGGTATCTACTCTCTCTTGCATCACCAACTTTTCCCCCTTTTACCTTTCAATTACTCCTCAGTCTATACATATAATATCTCCCATCTTAAAAGACAAAAACAACTTCCCTTAGGCTTTTCATCTCTCTCCCTACTACTCCAAATCACTGCTGTCCTTAATTTTAACAAAACCCCTTGGAAGAGTTGTCTGTATTCATTTTTTCCACTTCTTCACTTCTTATAATGAGTTCTGTTCCAAGTCATTCCAATTAGATTTTTATTTATGCTATTTTCCCAAAATCCTTCCTAAGGTTGTCAACAAACCACATGGCCTAATCCAATGGTCAATTCTCATTTTCTTTTATAGGAATTAGCAGCACTCAACCAGTTGACCACTCTGTCTCTATTGAAATACATTCTCTCTTGGTTTCTGGTTTCTCTTATCCCAGTCTTCTTTGCTGGCTCTTCCTACTCTATTGAGAAGATCACGTGGAGTTTTTTTGGTGCTTTATTCCTCCTTCATTCTTGATTTTGGTAATTAGTAATGTTTCTCTTGTTTCCTTGGTCAGTCTAGTTAAGGGTTTGTCAATTTTGTTGATCTTTTGAAATAAAAAACTTTTAGGGATTTAAATTTTTTATCTATTGCTTTTCTACTCTAATATTTATTATTTTATTCCTTCTGCTTGTCTTGGGCTTAGCTTGCTCTTTGTTTTCTAGTTCCTTAAGGTGGAAGCTTACATTTTTTATTTGTCTTTTATTATTTTCTGATATAGGAATCAAAGTTATATTTATTTCTAAGTACTATTTTAGATATATCCCATAGATTTTGATGTTGTGTTTTTGTTTTCATTCAGTAAAACTTAATTTCCCTTGTGATTTCTTCAACTCATGGGTTATTTAGAAGTGTGTTGTTTAATTTCCAAATATTTGATGTTTTCTCAGGTTTCTTTCCCTTATAGATCTCTAAATTCCATTGTGGTCAGAGCACATGCTTTGTACAATCACAATCTTTTTAAAAATTTTACTGAGACTTGTTTTGGGCTCTATCACATAGTCTATCCTGGAGAATGTTACATGTGCACTTGAAAAGAATGAGTACTCTGAAGTCATTCAGTGGAGTGTTTTATAAATATCAGTTAATGATAGTGTTGCTAAAGTCTTCGTTTTATCAATTATTGAAAGTGGGGTACCGAAATCTTTTAAAAATAATTCTTATTGTGTATATTTAAAGCATATGATTTTGTGAAATACATATAGATAGTAAAATGGTTCCTATAGTGAAGTAAATTAACATATCCATCATCTCACATCGTGTGTGGCACTCACATTTTGTGTGGCAAGAGCAGCTACAGTCTACTCATTTAGCAAACATCTCCAAAGCAATACACAATTATCAACTATAGTCCTCATTTTGTACATTAGATCTCTAGACTTATTCATCCTACATTGTAGCATTTGAACTACATCTTCCATTTTCTCTACTTCCCACCTTCCTCCTAATAACCACTGTTTAGTCTGTATCTCTGTATACTTGAATTTTTTTAAAGATTCTGTATATTAATGAGATCATACAATATTTTTCTTTCTGTGTCTGGTTTATTTCTCTTAGCATAATATCTTCCTATCTTCCAGGTTCATCCATACTGTGGCAAACAGCAGGATCCCTCCTTTATTTTATTTTATTTATTTATTTTTTTAAGACAGTCTCGCTGTGTCACCCAGGCTGGAGTACAGTGGCACGACCTTCACTCACTACAACCTCTGCCTCTCAGGTTCAAGCGATTCTCCTGCCTCGGCCTCCCAAGTAGTTGGGTCTACAGATGCCCTGCACCACGCCCGGCTAATTTTTTTTTTGTATTTTTAGTAGAGACAGGAGTTTCACTATGTTGGCTGGGCTGGTCTTGAACTCCTGACCTTGTGATCTGCCCAGCTCAGCCGCCCAAAGTGCTGAGATTACAGGCATGAGCCACCGCGCCCGGCCAGGATTCCTCCTTTTTTAAGGCTGAATAATATTCCACTGTGTAAGTATATGTAACACATTTTCTTTATTCATTCATCCATTGACAGACACTTAGGCTGTTTCCAAATCTTGGCTGTTGTGAATAATGCCACAAAGAACATGGGAATGCAGATATCTTTGTGGGATTTCATTTGAGTATACACCCAGAAAGGGGATTTCTGGGTCATATGGTACTTCTATTTCTGTTTATGAACTTCTATACTGTTTTCCATAATGGCTGCACCAATCTACATTCCCACCAAAAGTGTACAAGGGTTCCCTTTTCTCCACACTCTTGCCAATACTTATCTCTTGTCTTTTTGATAACAGCTGTTCTAATTGACGTGAGGTGGTAACTCGTAGTAGCTTTGATTTGATTTCCCTGATTAGTGGTATTGAACATCTTTTCATATACCTGTTAGCCATGTTTGTCATCTTTGGAGAAACAGGTCCTTTGCCCATTTTTATATCAGCTTATATGTTTTCTTGCTATTGAATTGTGTAAGTTCTTTATAAAGTTTAGATATTAGCCCCTCGGCAGAGCTATGGTTTGTAAATTTTTTTTCCATCTGTAGGTTGCCTTTTCATTTTGTTAGTGGTTTCCTTTGCTGTACAGAAGCATTTTAGTTTGATATAGTTCCATGTATTTATTTTTGCTTTTGTACCCCAAGCTTTTGGTGTGATGTCCAAAAAATTATTGCCAAGGCCATGTCAAGAAGCTTTTTCCTTATGTTTTCTTCTAGGATTTTTATGGTTTCAGGTCTTATGTTCAGATCATTTACCCATTTTAAGCTGATTTTTGTGCATGGTATAAGGGTCCAATTTCATTTTTTCACATGTGAAAATCCAGTTTCCCCAGCACCATTTATTGAAGAGATCATCCCTTCCCCATTATGTCCTCTTGGTGCCCTTGTTGAAAATTAGTTAATCATGTATGTTTGGATTTGTTTCTGGACTATTCTGTTCCACTGGTCTATGTATCTATCTTTATGCCAGTACTATACTATTTTCATTACTATAGCTTTGTAATATAATTTTAAATCAGGAAGTGTGATGCCTCCAGCTTTTTCTCTTTTTCTTTTAGGATTTTTTTCTATTTTAGGATTGTTTTCTATTTCTATAAAGAAATATATTTGTTTTATATATATTTCTATAAAACAAATTTTAGGATTGTTTTCTATTTCTATGAAGAATGCCATCAGGATTTTGATAGAGATTGCATTAAATATGTATATTGCTTTGAATAGTATGAACATTTTAACAATATTCATTCTTCTGATTCACATGCATAAGATATCTTTCCTTTTATTTGTGTCTTCTTCAGTTTCTTTCATGCTGTTTTATAGTTTTCGGTGTATAAGTCTTTCACCTCTTTGGTTAAATTTATTCCTAAGTACTTTTTAATGATATTATAAATGAGATTTTTAAAATGAAATCTCTACTACTGTTGAATTTGCTTCATCCATTTATTTTGGAGGTCAGTTCTTATATAATATTTATTATTCTAGATGTATTGACCCCTTATCAAAATGTCTCCAGTAATATTTCTTAAGTTTAGTTTACTATTTTGATATTAATGTAGCCACTCCAGATCTCTTATGGTTACTGTTTGCATAATGTATCTTTTCCATCTTTCACTTTCAACCTACTTATGTCCTTGAATCTCAGGTGTATATCTTGTTTTATTCAGTCTGATAATATCTGCCTTTTAGTGGAGATGTCTAGTTCATTCATAACCAATGTACTTATTGATAAAGAATTTCTTTTACCATTCTGAGTTATTTTCATTGTGTCATGTCTTTTTTTATTCCAATGTGGCAATATAATTATTAAAATTTAAGTTTATATAAAACGCCAACATATTTGGAGACTAATGATTTCTCACTAAAGAAAACATGCAAAATACAGATAAATGAAGAAATGACTCATACTTCTGTCATTCAAACATAATTTCATTTAATACTATGGTATACTGTCTTCTGGTCTTTAGTTTTTTTCTATTCATAGATGTTTGCTTATTTCTGTTTATTTTTTACAGAGTTTATATTATACTATGTATACAACTGTTGCATATTTTTCTTATGTAGTCTATTATTTATATTTTTCATCTACTTCAACCACAGAAAGGATGTCAGCAGCAGAGAGATACTTGTAGTAGTTAAGCAGAGATCCTCTTGAAAAAGCTTTTGAATAAATGAAATGGTTCTGAATGGCCCTATTTTTAAAATAACTGTACTTGGATGTCAGAGGGTTGGGCTGAAATAAAAGGTATCTGAGAAGCATTTGCTGCATCAGGAATCTCGGTGTTAATACACTTGATGTTAGCCTCTATTTATGAAACAAAACGAAGAAAGGTCATGTTTGGTAAAATTCACCTCTAAAATGGCTGGACTTCGTGTCTTGGGGGAGTGGTGTGAACTATTGATTATATATGTGTGTGTGCATATATTCTCACATAATATCAAGCTTATTGATTTTATGGCATTCAACCCTTTTGTCTGTTTCTCTCGCGGCTCACTGCAACCTCCACCTCCTGGGTTCAAGTGATCCTTCTTCCTCAGCCTCCAGCTGGGATTACAGGCATGTGCCACTACACCCAGCTAATTTTTATACTTTTAGTAGAGATGGGGTTTTGCCATGTCAGTCAGGCTGGTCTTGAACTCCTGACCTCAAGTGATCTGCTAGCCTTGGCTTCCCAAAGTGCTAGGATTACAGGCATAAGCCACCGCGCCTGGTCTGTTTTTAATGGGGCATTTGCCAATTACTCTATGTAGTTTCAGCAAATTTTGCTTAATGTGGTTAAATGCACACAAGTTCATGACTACATGGTGGCTGTTTATCTTTTTGGTGGACAGTTCCTTTTATGATGACTACACATTACTTGTTAATTCCTATCAATCCTTCTTTCCTTAAATTCTTATGCCTGATATGTTATTAGATGAATAATATTTTGATTAATATTTTCTTGGTATACAGTTCTTTTTAAATCCTTTCCCTAAACTTTTGCAATATGTTTTAACCATATATCTTGCAAATAGCTGGTTTTTAAAAAAACTCAGTCTGAATGTGTTTGTTGTTTTTTTATAGACAGATCAAATCCATTTATATTTATTGTGATTAACAATATCCTTGGACTTCTTTGTACAATCTCATTTGAGTTTCCCATTTATCATACCGTTAATTTGCCTCTCTTTATCTCTTTTGCCTACTATTTCATTAACTAAGTTTTCTCTAGGCCATTTTTTTTTTCTCTATAGGTTTGGAAGTTCCACATACTAGTTTATTTTGGTGAATACCTTTAAATGTTTAACATGTGTATCAGTAATGGATTGTGTTATAGTCATGGTTGCCATAATCTTTTAAATAACCTTTCTATATTTGGGATACTTTTCTGATTATAGGTCCTACCTACCCAGGATAGAATTGCGAACTCAAATTTCCTGCCTCTCTTGCGGTTAGAATGCAGGCCTGTGACATTGGCTCTACTTACTAGATGTACCCATGGAAATGTAAGGAATGTGAGGATACAAGCTCTGCAGACAGCTACTACTCTTCTGGCTACAAGATCAAGTTCCAGACACAGAATTGACACTGATCCTGGGAGCAGGAGCAAATGAAGAAAAGTCGAGCTCCTGATATTTGGAGCTTGATGGGAACAGCATGCCAGTTAGTTCTGCCATGGTTTTGGGCATTTTTCTAGAAGTTTAGCCCAGGATTGTTTTTCCAGCTCTCTCAATAATTTTGTTATAAATTTTTAAAATTCCTGCATGGATTCTGTTGTTTACAACAAAGAACTTTAACCAGTATAACTTGTCAAAGTCTAAGGTGAAGGAATATTTCATTGCCTTTGAATAAAATAACTCCAGAATATTTTAGCTCAGAACTCCCTCCTACCATCATCTACCATATTTTAATAGATATTTTAATTTCACCTGGTTTTAAAATTCTAAAATACTAGCACTTAAAAACATACTACTGATTCATATTAACCAAGATACTTGCTAATTTGTTTATTTTTTTCTTCAGGTTTCAGCTTTTTTCTTGTTGCAGTATATTTCCTAGGACTTCTTTGAATGAGTATGTGTGCATCCTAAATTTTGAAAATGTGTTTATTTTGTCCTTTCTCTTGAAAGATGGTTTAGCTAGGTATAGAATTCTAGTTTCTCAGTTTTGGTCTCTTAATACTTTGAAAATATTTTCCATCATCTTCTGTCACAACTGTTGGTGATAAATCTGCTGACAGGATGATAGTCATTTCTCTTAGGGTAATTTGACTTTTCTCAGTGGTAACTTTTAACATAATTTTGTTATGTTTGGTATTCTTTAATTTCATTACTATGTACAGGTCTCAATTTCTAAAATTTATTCTGCTTGAGACAATGTACTCCTTTGATCTGACAACTCACATTTTTCAAGTCTGAAAATTTCTCAGACATCATCTCTGGAGATCACCTCTCCTTCCTTCTCTCCTCCTGAAACTCTTTTAAATATATGTTGGACCTTCTACTTCCAGCCTCTGGGTCTCTGAACTTACCTTTGCTGCCTTTTCTTTTTCTTTCTTTCTTTTTTTTTGAGATGCAGTCTTGCTCTGTCATCCTGGCTGGAATGCACTGGCATAATCAGAGCTCACTGCTCAGCCTTGAAGTTCTGGGCTCAAGGGATCCTCCCACTTCAGCCTCCCAAGCAGCTAGGATTATGGATATATGCCACCATGCCCAGGTAACTTTTATTCTTAGTAGAGATGAGGTCTTGCTACGCTGCTCAGGCTGGTCTTGAACTCCTCACTTTAAGCAGTCCTCCTTCCTTGGCCTCCCAAAGTGCTGGGATTACAGGTGTGAGCCACTGTGCTTCGCCCTTTTGCTGCTTTGTTAGTCTGTTATATGCATTTTCATAAGATAGGGATTATCTGGCTAAAAAGCCTTAAATATTTATCTATTTCCTACCACATAAGCTGCTCTTCTGGCTTTCAAGGTCCTTATGCATCCAGGCTCTGCCATTGATTAGTTGGGTAACTTTGGGAACACACAACTTCTTTGGGCTCCAGTTCCCAACATAAAAAGGTTAATAAAAAATTTAAATGAAGCAAGCATATAAGGTGCTGTGCAAGTGCCCAACAGTAAAAATAGTAGTAGAACAGTAAATAAAACGTGGTGTGGCTGCCTAGCTCACAGCAAATACCCTGGCGGTCACATCTGTATAACATCTTTCCTTCTATCATTTTGGACATGAATTCTGAATGGAGATTGTCATCAGCCCCAAGACCTTGCAGTAGTGATTGGCTGAGGCATGAGCACATGAGTCTAGTCCAGCCAATTAGTCATTACTTCAGATGTCTCAGGAATATTGACTCTTTTCTTTTTATCACTGCAGAGTACTTAAAATGTGTCAGTGGAGCTACTGGCTGTAGTAATAGAGAAAAAGAAAGAGACGTGGAAAACAAGAGAGAAAAATTGATTACTGGCAACAATTAAGTTCCTGGCCCCATTGGCTTCGATGATACGGTTTTTTTTGGTGTTAAGAATTTCCCTAATATGTAAATATTTCATTATAAGCAGGAATAGCCTTATAATGAAGATTTTAAAAATATTAGAATGTGAATATGCACCTTATTTTTGCTCAATTGCATAGTTTTTTTTTTTTTTTTTTTTTTTTGAGACAGAGTCTCACTGTGTCACACAGGCTAGAGTGCAGTGGCACGATCTCAGCTCACTACAGCCTCTGCCTCCCAGGTTCAAGCAATTCTCGTGCCTCAGCCTCCTGAGTAGCTGGGATTACAGGCATGCGCCACCACACCCAGCTCATTTTTGTATTTTTAGTAGAGACAGGGTTTCGCCATGTTGGCCAGGCTGGTCTCAAACTCCTGGCCTCAAGTTATCTGCCCACCTTGGCCTCCCAAAGTGCTGGAATCACAGACATGAGCTACTGCACCTGGCCGTATAGACTTTTTTTTCCTATTTTTTTCAGCAGCTATGAAAATGTACAAGGCATCTTCAAAAAGTTCATGGAAAATGCATATTATGAAAAAATATGCATGGATTTTAATTTTTCCTTTTTTTTTCTTTTTGAGACAGAGTCTTGCTCCATTGTCCAGGCTGGAGTGCCATCTTGGCTCACTGCAACTTCTGCCTCCCAGGCTGAAGTGATTCTTGTGCCTCAGCCACCCAAATTATTGGTATTACAGGCACGCACCACCACATCTGGCTAATTTTTGTATTTTTAGTAGAAACAGGCTTTGGCCACATTGGCCAGGCTGGTCTCAAATTCCTGGGCTCAAGTGATCCACCTGTCTTGGCCTCCCAAAGTGCTGGGATTACAGCCATGAGCCACTGTGTCTCGCTGGATTTCAATTTTTTTTCACCAACATAAACTTATATTAACTTGTTATAATGTATCTGAACAGGATACAGTTTGCAGCACTAAGAAGGATAAGACGTCAGTTTGAAAAGAGCCCGTATCAGAACAACATGAATTCTGTTAAAATTGAGGCAAGAACAAACCTCAAGTTTATGGTGAAGCTTGGGTGGAAGAATGGTGAAATCATTGATGCTTTATGAATAGTTTATGGGGACAATGCCCCCTGCCCCCCAAAATAAGCAGTTTACAAATGGATAACTCATTTGAAGAAGGGACAAGACGATGTCAAACATAAAGCCCACAGTGGCAGACCATCCACATCAATTTGTGAGGAAAATATCTTGTTTGTATCCTAATTGAAGAAGACTGACGATTAACCGCACAAACAAGAGCCAACACCACAGACATCTCAATTGGTTAAGCTTACATAATTCTGACTGAAAAATTAAAGTTGAGCAAACTTTCAACTCAATGGGTGCCCAAACCATTGGGCCCAGATCAGTTTCAGGCAAGAGAAAGGCTGTCAATAGAAATTTTAAACAAGTAGGGTCAAGACCCTAAAACACTCGTACACTTCTTCAAAGAATTCTAACAGATGAAACATGGCCTTACTATTATGATCCTGAAGACAAAGCACAATCAAAGCAATGGCTACCAACAGGTGGAAGGGTCCAGCCAAAGCAAAAGCAAATCAGTCAAGAACAAAGGTCTTGGCAACAGTCTTTTGGGATGTTCAAGAGATTTTGCTTGACTTTCTGGAGGGACAATGAATGATAACATCTGCTTATTATGAAAGTATTTTTGAGAAAGTTAGTAAAAGCTTTAGCAGGAAAATGTTCAATAAAGCTTCACTAGAGAGTCCTTCTCCAACATAATGCTCCTGCTCATTCCTCTCATCAAACAAAGGCAATTTTGTTAGGATTTTGATGGAAACCCGTTAGGCATCCACCTCATACTCCTAATTTGGCTCCTTCTGACTTATTTTTGTTTCCTAATCTTAACAATTCTTTAAAAGGCATGCATTTTTCTTCTGTTATTAACATTACATTATTACTGTAAAAAAGACTGCATTGACATGAATTCCCAGGACCCTCGGTTCTTTAAGGATGAACTAAATGGCTGGTATCATTGCTTATCATCTTGAACTTGACAAATCGTATGTTGAGAAATAAAGTTTATATTTCAATTTTAACCTTTAATTCTATTTCCCACAAACATTTGAAGTACCCTGTAATTGCTGTCATAATAATAATATAGTGTAATGGTCCTTCAGAGTTTTCCACAGCCTTTCATATCACTATCTTATCTGATGGTGTGAGATGAGTAGGCCAGGAAATGTTAAGCTTAGTTTTTTTATGAATGTTGAAACTGAGACACAGAGAAGTTAAATGGTGCTCATGGTGCAGAAGGGTGAGAACCCAGCTAGGTGTGAAGCATCATCTATAAGGAGAGCTCCATGCCTACTATAATGCAGATGGTACATCATAAAACATTTTCATTAATTACTGTTAATTAGAAAATTTCAAAAGAGTCCTGGAAAGTTTCATTAGCTTCAATCACAAAATCTATTAAAATGCATATTTAGTCCATAAATTCATACTCTCAAACACACTTACATTCTCCCAAAAAATCATCTTTGCCATGTTCCTAATCAGGTTCTCATTGTGTTTTTAAATTCTAGAAATTTAACCTAGAGGAGAGATTATTTGGTGGGAAGAGGAGGGCTATATTAATTCCTGGCTCAACATCCATAGTGCTTAACAGGCTTACTTATAAATGAGGGTAAATCCTAACACTCCTAGGCCAAGATAGAACACGACTGGATATGGCACATTGGTAATTATTTACAAAGCTAACTTGTAATCACAAAGTACTGTAGTAATATTATCACAACATCTTTGTTTTGGAGAACTCAAGTGCTTTCACGACATTAACTCATTCACCCTCACTGAACTGATAAGGAGGGGTTGGGTGACAAATAGTATCTCTATTTTATCTGCTGGAGTTGAAATAAAGGGTAAAGGAGCTACTGAAGAGAATGCAAAGCAAGAGCAGTTTGATTTCCTTTTTAGCCTCATTATGACGGTTAGATCACAGTTATGAGAATTCCTCCATTTTAAGTAGAAAATATCATGACGAGGGACATAATTTTAGGTAAGAAATTGTTTCAATGGAACCATAGCATGGATATCTCAAAGAATATTGGAAGGGTCGTACTATCAGTTAATCAGGTGTGTTTTTTTATCTTGCACTCTATTTTCTTTTTTTTTTTTTTTTTTGCGTGGCTAAATCTAAGTTTTTTGTTATAAGTGCAGCATTACAATAATCTGATAGTCCTGACGAAGATCTCCATTTCTCTAGACTGCCATTAGGCTCGAATCGATTCTCTAAAGTCCATCCCAAGAGACACAACTGATGTAGTGGGTAGAAGAGACTTTTAAAAACCGACCCTGACGTCACACGTTTGTGTTTTAACCATCTGCACCTTTTATAAACCAGAGGCTGGAGCCGCCCGGGCGGACAGACCCAGGCGCACAACAATCTTCTCCCACACGAGCCTGGAATGGCAACAGCGTGCGGCTGGCTAAGAAAGAAAAGCCGTTTCAGAGCTGCGGGGTGGCGTGGGGGTGTGTGTGGCAGGATGAGGGAGTCATTCCTCTTCTCCTCCATCCAAGGATGCTATTTATTAGAAATCCTGCACATCTTTTTTTTTGTTTGTTTAAGAAAATTGATTTCTCTCGAGTGGGAGGCAAAATGCTTCAGATGCGAAAGGGGTGGAGGCAGCAAGCCTGGCTGGGGAGCTTTCAAGGGAAAACCACACAGCTTAGCTTCGGATTGGGACTACGGGCAGAAAAACGATTGGGCGTCCACAACCTGTTCGGCTGCGAAGACGACGCCCTTCCGTCCAGAGTGCCAGCATCACCCCCGCCCCTCACCCGGTCTCGGCCTGCAGCCCCCGGGGAGGACAGCAGCGCCCCCCATTCCGTGACCACCTCTCATCCCACTCCTTGGCTCCCCACCCTCCCCAAACCCAGGGGCACATTCTCACGCTTTCTCCACGTGCAAGTCCGGCTCGCCCATCGCCACTCGCCGCAGCCCCCAGGTGCCCACCCCTTCCAGCCCTTCCGGTCCCTCACCCAGCTCCTTAGTCTTGCCCTGGCTGAGGGAGGCGTCCGCGCTCCACCTCCACGTGCGAGTCCCGGGCCGTTCCCCACCTCCCCACGCCACCTCCGCCCCGGACTCCGCCTACCACGCCTGAGGCGGCAGCGCCTGGGAGCCGGGACACCTGGCCGCCCTCCCCCGGCCCGCACCCCTGCCGACTCCCCCGCCCCGCCCGAGCCGCGGCCCCGCGCCCACCCTTGCGGCTTCCTCCGCATGCCCCTCCCGTCGCGGTAGGCGGGGGGGTCACCAGCGAGCGCGGCGGCGTGGCCAATGGGCGCTCGGCTTACTCTGGCCTCTCCCCCGCGCGGCCGCCAATCGCGGCGGGCGGTGGTGGTAATATTGTGGAGTTTGGATGCCGCCGCTGCCGCGGGCTGGAACGGCGCGGCCGCGGGGGCTGCCAGGGTATTTCGGGAAGGGGGCGTGAGGAGGCGGCGGCGGCAGCGGCGGGTAGGGCAGGCAGCAGAGGGAAGGAGAAAGAAAGGAAGGAAGAGGGCGGGGAGTCCTCAGAGGAGGAGGCGGGACCGGCCGGGCACCTCACCTCTCGGCGGCGGCGGCGGCGGCGGCGGCGGCGGGCGGCCGGGGAGGCGGCGCCGCCCCCTGCCCGCAGGTCTTCTCAGCGCAGTCGGCCGCGGACCCGCTGGTCCCGGGCAGCGGCCAAGGCTACTGGGGCGGGAGCAGTGGGCCGGTCGGCGGCGGCAGCGGCAGCGGCGGAGGAGGAGGAGGCTGGAGTGGGCGCGGAGGCGACCGCCATGGCGTTCCTCAAACTCCGTGACCAGGTAGGTGAGGGGCTGCAGGGCGGGATCGCGCCGTCCGGGAAGGAAGGGAAGCAGGGCGGACCGGCGGTGTGGGCCGCTGGGACGCCCGCTCGGCGGGGTGGTTGCGAGGGAAACGGGGGTCCTGCCCCGGGGACCTGCGCGAGACGGCGGGCCGGGGTCCGCGGGCGACCCGCCTGTCAGAGCTGCCGGGGCCTGGGTGAAGCCCACGTGCCGACGGGGGTCTAGCCGCTGCAGCAAGAGGGGCGGGTTCCACGCTCACCGCCCTCGCGTCGGGCGAGCTGCCGGGCAATCGCTTCCTCTTTCCTGCCAGGTGAGGCTCGGGCCTAACAGGTGGCTTCCCCGCTGCCGGGCGGGAGCGGTACTGGCGGCCGTGACCCAGGGTCACGACCTTGTTCTGTTTGCTTGGCTGGGTAGTGCGAGGGACTCTCTCTCCGGGTTAAAGGCAATTGATTCCTCTTAGCGACTAGTTACTCAATGCAAGTTTCCAGACTTGTTTTCTTTTGACATTTTGTGCACCATCTTGTTACTTTTCTTGACTTATGAAGAGCTGGTCAAAGAATACAAGTCAAAATGACTTGTAATTCTCTGGAACTGAAAAACTACTTTGTATCTAGGAACGAAATCGCAACTGTATCTGAATGTTTTGTACACCTAAACATTTGGAAAGATGGGTAATAAGGCTTTTGAAGGATCCGGACGCTGCCAAACATTTTCCCCCTCTTTTAAGGAAAAGGAAAATTAATGTGTGACATTTACACATTAATTTGTCGCAGGACACTTACTAGTGTTGACAACTTATTTTTGCCATTGTTTTCCTGAACAGAAGATGTTGAACAGATTTGAAGGGAAAATAACTTGGATGTTTTGGAAAACTATTTTGAAAGTGAGCACCCCGTTTGCGAAAACAATGGGGAAGAACCTGAGACTATTTTTTATATTACTTAATAAAGATTGCACCTTAAATTCTGAATCTAATATCAAGAATTCTCATTTCATAAGTGAATTTTATGTTTAGGCTGATCGCAGACCTTGTGTATCATTAGGTATCAGAATGGTCTTGCCTGGTGTTAACATCAGGTCATGATACTTTGAAAAACTACGGTTTAGTCAATACAGTTTATACCTTGTATTTCAAATTATACAACTGTTCTGTCCTATAAGAGAGCCACTAGCCACATGTAGCAATTTAATTGAAATTAAACCAAGTTCCATAGTTTTGCTAGCCACATTTTAAGTGCTCAGTAGACATATGTAGCTATTGGCTATTGTATTGGATAGGACAGACATAGAACATTTATCTCATTTCAGATAGTTCTACTGGACAGCAGTGTTAGAGAATAGCAGGTAAAGCACAGTTATAGCAGGAACCATTTCTGCTAATTCCAGTACAGTCCGTGCATCTTATACTCTTAACAGTGTGAAACTCGAGATCTGGGTTTTCCAGTAACCTTTACCAGTCAAATGGCACTTTGTGCTTCCATTGTTAATGGTTGAAGTAATGACTGATCGATGTTTTCCTTTGTTTCTAGTCCTGCATTTTTGACAAAGTTGTTTTTGTGATTTAGATTACTATGTGCATTAGAAATTTGGTGAACTTTTAGGAGAGACTCATATTTGATTCACCATTAGGTTTTAACAGAAACAGGATTGTGTTTTTCAGGATTGTGTTAAGCAAAAGTGCAACTGGATTTTATTTTGGAATTGCAGTTGTGAGAAAATTGTGATGCCACTCCAGTCTTATGTATATCCATTAATCTTCAGTGGTAATATTGAACTTTAAAATGCCACTTGCGGCCAGGCGCGGTGGCTCACGCCTGTAATCCCAACACTTTGAGAGGCCGAGGCAGGCGGATCACTTGAGGTTAGGAGTTCAAGACCAGCCTGGCCAACATGGTGAAACCCCGTTTCTCTTAAAAATACAAAAATTAGTCTGGTGTGGTGGCACGCACCTGTAATCCCAGCTACTCTGGAGGCTGCGACAGGAGAATCGATTGAACCCGGGAGACAGAGGTTGCAGTGAGCGGAGGTTGCACCACTGCACTCCAGCCTGGGCGACAGAGCGAGACTCCATCCCAAAAATAAATAAATAAATGTCACTTGTAAACCTAATGGCTCAGGGAGAACGAACATTGAGGTTTTCCTCTAAACTACTGAGTAATTGGCTCATCTGGTCTCTCTTGGAAGACTTTGAGAAATAAGTTTGGTTTTGCCTAGTTTAAAGGGAATAGCTGTTTTTAGAGGGCATCTTATATGTTGTTTTATTAGCCATTGGAATTGATGGTAAAAATGAAATAGAAAGCAAATACTCTTAAACTTTCCCGTCTACAGGAAAAGCAGGTCAGCTAGATTATTTTGTTTGGAGTAATGAAGAAGATACGGGTAAGGACATACAGACTTCTAAAGCTGGATGGTACTTGCCATAGCTTTTAGCTCAAAAGCCTTATATACACTTGACATAGGAAGTAGTAGAATGTACTTTTTTAGGTCTGTTTCGCTGTTCACCTTGTATTTTGTTTTCTTTTGGCTTTGTAAACTACAGTTTAATACATATAAGCTACAAATGCAAAAGGGTTGTTTTTCTTTGTGCATTTAAGCATCAGGAGGGTTCTAGATGGTTTAAACATAAAATCAGTAAGTAAAGCAATTTGTTCTCATAGCCAGTCAATTTGAATAAGATAATTTTCTCTCATTTTGTGCCACCACCTAATTATGGGGGTAAGAAGTTATTACTGCATTGCTTTCTGACTGTGAGTAGATGAAAATGATTTTTAATTGTAAACTGAAAATAATTTTTTTTCTGTTTATAGGAATGGACACATTTTTTCCTTGAATTTTCACTTTAGTTTGAATAAATTTGTGACAATTGCAGGGTTTTTTCTAACAGATATCAGTGTTACAGTTTTTATTCTTGCAGTTGGTATGTTAAAATGTAATCATCCACAATTACATTTTAATTTATCAGCAGTACACCCTAGTAAGAAGGGTAGAAGATCATTGTTTAGGGATCACAGACTCACAACCAGTAAGCTAAATGGTAATTGACATTGGGCTTCAGTGTTTAGAAGACAACAGGGAGTAGTGGACATCATGGCAAATAAGAACAACAAGTATGTTAGTGGCTGCCTAGCTTCAAGCCATTGTTGCAGTGCTGGTGTGCCTAGCATTTTTAGAACTCCATTTTTTTTTTGGAAGCCAGAAATCCAGATTGCTAGACAAAACCTCTCTCTACAGGTATTTGTAAACGTTGGCAAGTCGGTAGCTACCGTTGACAACAATTAATGCTTTGGTTTTAAAAAGGGACTAGTAAGGAACCAGTTTATAACTGCTGGTTTAGATCAGTATGAAAAAACAAAACTACAAAATAAGATTCCCGTTAAATACAGTTTTCTTCTAGATAAAACAGCCAGTGTGGTCAAAACACTTTTTAAAAATTGCGATAAAGCCCACATACCATAAAGTTCACCCTCTTAAAGGGTACAGTTGAGTGGTTTTTAGTATGTTCACCAAACTGGGCAAACCATTATCACCATCCACTTCCGAAATATTTTTATCATTTCCAAAAAGAAACCCCATACCCATTAGCTGTACCTTTCATTTCCTCCTTCTCCCAGCCCTGGCAGCCACTAATCTACTTTCTGTCTCTGAATTTGCCTATTCTGGATATCTCAGATAAATGGAATCATACAATATATGGCCTTTTGTGTCTCATTCACTTAGCATATTTTTAAGGTTCTTCCATGTTGTGCACGAATCTGTTGGTCATAAATTTTTGTATCATGTTTAGGAATTCCTAAAAGAAGTTCCTGTACTCAGGTCATCTCACTGCCTTCCGTGGTATGCATATGTGTAATCTGGGATAGTATTTATTTCTGTTTTTGGAATTTGTTTTATGAACTTTGTTTGCAGCAGTACTAAAGGGTAATAGCTTTTACATTTGGATCATTTTTGTGTAGGAGCCATCTTTGTGTGCTCCCTTATGGGTTAATGGTGAGGACTGATATGTTTAAGGTGTTGGGTTTTTTTTTGTTTTGTTTTGTTTTTTTAAACAGGGTTGGCATATATCAGTGAGAAAGGTGTTGGATGGATGTGAGTAACTTAACCACTATTTTGGATAGTTAATAAGTTCTTATTTGATCAAGTACACACTAAGAGTGGAACATTGTTTGAGGGGAAAAAACACACACAAAAAATGACGGTTCTTGGGAAATCTTACAATAGGGGATACAGAATGCATGAAATACTTGAAGAAGAACACTGATGCCCAGATATTCAGGTACTCTATGTAGGAGGTGTCTTCCTGTTTTGTTTTTGTTTTTGTTTTTGTTTTTTGAGACGGAGTCTTGCTCTGTCACCAGGCTGGAGTGCAGCGGCACGATCTTGGCGCATTGCAACCTCTGCCTCCCTAGTTCAAGCAATTCTCCTGCCTCAGCCTCCCTAGTAGCTGGGACTACAGGCGCCCACCACCACACCCAGCTAATTTTTGTAATTTTAGTAGAGACGGGGTTTCACCATGTTGGCCAGGATAGTCTCAATCTCGTGACCTTGTGATCCACCCACCTTGGCCTCCCAAAGTGCTGGGATTACAGGCGTGAGCCACCATGCCTGGCGTGTCTTCCTGTTTTGTGCTGGAGATGACAGGGGACACAAGGGTGAAGTAGCTACCATCTCTACCCTTACAGATCTTAGAAGAGGGGAAAAAAAAAACACATAGATGTAGGGTAAGTGAGATACATCACATGAAGAGACTTATAGAGGCTGAAGGAAAACATGTGGAGCATATTAATTGAAAATGTAACATACAGTTCAAAAACAAGTTCTGTGTTTCCTCACTTTTTGGATACCTTTTGCAATACAAAATAGAACCTGGTGAGCTCTGTAAGAGGTGCAGATAACATGTTTCAGAATTTAAAGGATCAGATAATCTGATTGTAAGTGGAGGGAAACCCTCATGGCAGGGGAGGTATTTTAGGTTCACCAGAAGTATATGTGGATGTTGAAAGCAAGCAGTTGTCAATGAAAGCAACAAGAGGGAACTGTGAAGGCAAGCCAGGAAGGATGGATGGGATAATCAGGAGATAGTCTTGATTGGAGTGTGTAGTTGGAAAAGAGAAGATAAATTAGTTAACAGTGACTACATTAAGTACTTTGAATCCCAGGCTGAGAAGTTTGGACTTCATTGGTAAGTGATGGGACGTTTGAGCTGGGCCTCCTTAAAATAGGGCCTGCGAAGGTTTTGGCAAGAATGTGCAGGTATGGATCCTCAGAGGGGTCCATGATCACTGAAAGTTAGATAACCATTACAGGTTTTGGAAGAGTAGATTACAAAAGGCAGACAAACAGGGACACCCAGGACCAGTTAGGTAGCTACTGCTGTAAATCAGAACATACGTAAAATATTTTAGTACAGATCGAGAACATTAAGTACTAGGCAAAAGTTTGAATGAGAGTGAGTATATCTTAAAATATTTCTCATAGCTATATTAATGACCTGTTTGTATCTACAATTGAGAGTGTCTTGGATTTGTATGATAATTGGTAATTTTTTGGATACATAGTTCCAGTAGGGTAAATTCAACATTATGAAAATACAATTAAACATTGATTTTAGGGCCGGGCGCGGTGGCTCATGCCTGTAATCCCAGCACTTTGGGAGACCGAGGCGGGCGGATCATGAGGTCAGGAGATCGAGACCATCCTGGCTAACACGGTGAAACCCCATCTCTACTAAAAATACAAAAAATTAGCCAGGCGTGGTGGCGGGCGCCTGTAGTCCCAGCTACTCGAGAGGCTGAGGCAGGAGAATGGCATGAACCCAGGAGGCGGAGCTTGCAGTGAGCCAGAATCGTACTACTGCACTCCAGCCTGGGCGACAGAATGAGACTCCATCTCAAAAACAAAAAAACAAAAAAAACCATAAAACATTGATTATGGTAGTTAAAGAGCAGATAACCCAAATAGTTAGATTTTGGATACATTTTTTCAGCATTTTGTCTTATTTCCTTTTTAATTTTCTAGTCTAATGTAAAATTTATATTCAGTGAATGTACTCATTCTGGACTGGGGTGAGATGCCCATGGAAAATACCCTGTACCTGGAGGAAATAGTTCAGGATTAGGTCTTTTGTTTTGAATAATGTATCCTATGGGCGGTTCACATCATATCAAATCAGTAACAAAGTAATACCTTAAATTTAAAGCCAAAATTAATGAAATTATTAGTTACTTAAAACAGTAATGTTTTAAACTGTTACTGGGATATTGTATACAATGTAAAGTTGAAGTGGTTTAATTTTCAAATATTTTAGGTTTAATTTCCATTCCCATCCCTCATCCCCAATTCTTAGTTATGCTATTAAATTATTCATCCACCCTCCTTAAGCGATACTGATTTAAAAAAAAGTTACCAGGATTCTTCTATGTGTATGCTGATTGGCTTACATAGTAGAGTCTGGATAGAATTATTATGCCTATTAGCTTTTGTGAGAAGGCTACTTTTGCCTAGTCAATTTAAGTTGACATTCTTTTTTTTTTTTTTTTTTTTTTTTGAGACAGAGTCTCGCACTGTCGCCCAGGCTGGAGTGCAGTGGCACAATCTCAGCTCACTGCAAGCTCCACCTCCCAGGTTCATACCATTCTTCTCTCTCAGCCTCCCAAATAGCTGGGATTACAGGCACCCGCCACCATGCCTGGCTAATTTTTTGTATTTTTAGTAGAGACGGGGTTTCACCGTGTTAGCCAGGATGGTCTCGATCTCCTGACCTCGTGATCCGCCCGCCTCGGCCTCCCAAAGTGCTGGGATTACAGGCGTGAGCCACCATGCCCGGCGTAAGTTGACATTCTTATTGGTAAGGGTTTACTCGTCTAGATTTATCTATTTATAAATTTAAAGATATGTATTTTCTATTCCTCAGGATTTAAGTCCAAAGATAATATTAAAACATCTAGCACAAGACAGTTAAAATACTTTAAAAAGGCAATTGAGTAGAGAAATTCAGAAACTTAGAATAAGAGTTGTTATAGATGAGAATTACATTTATTTCCTGTTACCAAAAATACTAAAGAAATACAGGTTTTATAATAAGGAAGCATAAATTAGTATAGAGAGGCAGCCTTTTCTCTTGAACAATTTCTATATTAAAAAGTTTGATCTTTTTTATATTTTAACCAGCATTATTGAGATGTAATTCACACACAAACTTAAATTGTACAATTAAGTGTTTTTTAATATATTCACAAAACTGTGCAAGTACCACCAAAATCCATTTTAGAACATTTTATGACAAAAACCTTTTACCCCTAAACTATCAACCCCCGAACCTCCATTCTTGCCAGCTTCTTGACGACTACTATTCTGTCTCTGTAGACTTTTCCTGTTTCACTTGGTGTGTTTTCAGGGTTCATCCACTTTGTAGCAAGTATTTGTATTTATTTTTAATTGGTGAATAATATTCCATTGTATGGATATACCATATTTTCTTTATCCATTCATCAGTTCATGGACATTTGTGTTTACATTTTTTGGTTGTTATGCTGATACAAACATTTGTGTACAAGATTTTATGTAGACGTAAGTTTTCATTTCTCTGGGATATAGGAATGGAATCATTGGGTAGTATGGTAACTCTGTATTTAGCCTTTTGAGGAACTATTCTGTTTTCTAGAGTGGCTGCACCATTTTTCATTCCCAGCAGCGTATGAGCATTCCAGTTTCTCCACATCCTCAATACTACTCGTTATTGTCTGTCTTAAATTATAGCCATCCTAGTGTGTCTGAAGTTGTATCTCTTTTATTTATTTATTTATTTATTTATTTATTTATTTATTTATTTATTTTGACACAGAGTCTCACTTTGTCACTCAGGTTGGAGTGCAGTGGCATGATCACGGCTCACTGCAGCTTCAACCTCCTGGGCTCAAGTTATCCTCCTGCCTCAGCCCCCCAAGTAGCTGGGAGTACAGGTACATGCCACTATTCACAGCTAATTTTTTTTTATTTTTGGCAGAGATGGGTTTTTGCCGTGTTGCCCAGGCTGGCCTTGAACTTACGAGTTCAAGCCATGTGCAGCCCTCCCCCTCCCCAGCCTACCAAAGTGCTAAGATTACAGGTGTGAGCCACTGCACCCAGTCATGAAGTAGTATCTTACTGCAGTTTTGATGCCTAATGATGTTGAGCATCTTTTCATGTGCATATTGGCCATTTGTGTGTCTATTTTGGAGAAGTATTTATTTGTGATAAGGATATAGGAAAAAACAAACCCAGTTTCTCTTACTATAATCTGACAACATAGAATGCTTTTGTGAGCAAATGTGTCACATTTCAGTTTTCCCCCACATACCAAGGAAGCAACCAGTTCTTCAGCAAATTCTCCAGTGTACACCAGCTAGATGTCCTCTCATTCAGTTTAGTTCTGACACTGTCTACCTGTAGATATTGTCAGATCCACAAGTGCAGTCCCACAAGACTGCCTCCACTTCAGATGCCAGTTGCAAGCCCCAAGTTGTTTTACTTGGGCTTCTGATGACTGGCTATAAATTGGAGTTCCCATGACCCCCTCCTTGGGTTTGATTAATTTGGTGGAGCAGTTCACAGAACTCAGGGAAAACCTTATTTTTACTTATTTATTCTAAAGGATGTTACAAAAGGATAGAGATGGAAGAAATACATAGGGTGAAGTATGGCAGAAAGAGTAGAAGCTTCCATGCCCTCTCTGGGGATGCCACTGTCCAGGAATCTCCGTGTGTTCAGCCCAGAAGCCTCCTGAACCCAACAGAAGAGAAGACAGAGACAGTAGGTGAGAAGGCCATGTAAAGATGGAGGCAAAGGTTGGAGTCATACAGTTCCAAGCCAGTGAACTCCAGGAGCCCAGATGCTGGAAAAGGCAAGGAAGGACTTCCCCTTAGTGTTCAGAAGGTCACCTTGATTTCAGGCTAGTACTCTCCACAACTGTGAGAGAATACATTTCTGTTTTTTAAGCTACCAAATTTATGGTTATCTGTTATGGTCATTTGTTAGCCCTAGGGAGCTAATATAAGGAAAAGTTTTTAGCTCTTACATTTAGGGCTGTGATCCATATTGAGTTGTTTTGTATATGCTATGAGGTAGGATTTCAACTTTCTCTCTCTCTCTCTCTCTCTCTCTCTCTCTCTCTCTCTATATATATATATATATATATTTTTTTTTTTTTTTATTGCATGTAGATACCCAGTTGTCCCAGTGCCATTTGTTGAAAAAGGTAATCTTTCCCCCATTGAATTGTCTTGGCATCTGTATCATAAATCAGTTGACTCTAAATGTGGGAGTTTATTTCTGGGCTCTCAGTTCTGTTCCATTGGTCTATATGTCTGTCCCCATGCCAGTACCATGCTGTCTTGATAACTGTAGGTTTGTAGTGTACAGAGTCAGAGATCGCTTCCAACCCTGCTTTAACCTCTTACTTGGCTCTTCAGCTGAGTCTAGAAACCACATTGACACCAGGCAGATTAACAAGAGAAAAATATACAAATTTAATAAGTTTTCCGTATACATGGTGATCTTCACAAGAGATTGAATTCTGAAGAAGTGACCAAAGCAAGATGCTTTTATACTTTTTAGACAAAGAATGATAAATTTGAGGAAAAATGATAGAACAAAGAAAATCTGGCTGGGGCAGAAAATTTTCTAGGGGAGTTAACTAGGAGATATATTGGGGAGGGGTGTGAAACAGGTAGAAGATAAGGATTACTTCCTTAAGAATATTTATTCAGGTCCATTGTAGCTTCCAATTCCAACTCTCTGGAAGTAAGGGTTATTTTTCTCTCCCTGGTATGGTGAGGGTACCCCTCCTAGAGGAATCTTTATGTCTTGGCTGCGTGTAGGAAGAGACAGGTTAGCTCACCCTGTCTTTGTAGAAAACTACAATTTCTCTAATGTTTTCAACTCAAAATAATCACTATACCAATCTGACTTATATCTTGGAATGACAGATCCTTCACTCCTTCAGTAGTAAGTTTGAAATTGGGAAGTGCAAGTCTTCCAATTTTTGTTTTTGTTTTTTAAGATTTTGGCTTTTATGGGTCACTTGCATTCCCATATTTTAGCATCCATGGGTCAATTTCTTCCAGAAAGACAGTTGTAATTTCGATAGGTATTGTATTGAATCAATAGATCAATTTGGGAAATACTGCCATCTTAATGATAATAGTCTTTCCATGAACATGGGATGCTTTCCATTTATTAAGGTTCTTTAATCTCATCGTATCTTGTAGTTTCAAGAGTACAAGTTTTGGACTTTCTTAAATTTCTAAGGTTTTAAAATGCTATTGTGTATGGAATTTTCTTATTTTTAGATTGTTTATTGGTAATATATAGAAATACAAGTGATTTTATATATTGCTTTTGAATCCTACAACTTTGTTGAACTTTCTTATTAGCACTAATACTTTTTTAGTGGCTAGAGATAATTTTCCGTGACTAGAGATAATTTTGCTTTTTTCTTTCCAGTCTGGATGCTTTTTATTTCTTGCTTACTTGCCCAGACTAGAACCTCCAGTACGGTGTTCAGTAGAAGTGGTGAGAGTAGACATCCTTGTCTTGTTCATGATCTTTCATCATTAAGTATGATGTAGCTGTTGGTTTTTCATAGATGGTTTTTATTAGGTTGAGGAAGTTCCTTCCTATTTCTAATTTATTGATTGTTAGCTGCTGCTATATTTTTTTTTTTTTAAGTTAAGGTCTCACTTTGTCACCCAGGCTGTAGTGCAGTGGTGTGATCATGGCTTACTTGCAGCCTAGACCTCCTGGGCTCAAGCGATTCTCCCACCTCAGCCTCCTGAGTAGGTGGGACCACAGGCATGCACCACTATGCCTGGCTAATTTTTTAATTTTTTTGTAGAGATGGGTCTCCCTCTGTTGCCCAGGCTGGTCTTCAGCTTTTGGGCTCAAGTGATCCTCCTACCTTGGCTTCCCAAAGCACTGGGATTACAGGTGTGAGCCACTACATTCAGCTATTGTTAGCTTCTTAAACATGGATTAAATAGCCCCTGTCTTGCACAAGGTAGCTATTTGGGTATAATGAAAGTTTAGGAAAGAAAAATCCCCTGGTTTTAACCAAGATCACATTATTGTCAGAGTTTCTTCATTCTTAAGACTTCCAAATACTGTTTCTTTAGTGGTGATTCCCAAATTTGTGGTTCTGGTTTTGAGTTTTCACCTAAGTTTGAATCTCTCTAACATCTGCCTATTTGATAATTCCAGTTAGCTACATTTGTGTTGCCCCAAATTCAGCATGACTGTTTGTAAATTTATTTGACTCTGATTTTATTGTGCATCAAGTGCTATACCAGACTCCAAAGGACACAAGAGTGTGTTTGGAGAACTGTCAAGAAGTAAATATGGTTGCAACACAGAGGACTTGAAGTGAGAAGAAATGACCCTGTTGGAGATAAGGGCCAAATCATGAAGATCCTGTGTGCTGAGTTCTAAGTTGGAACTTTATTCTGAAAGCAATCATGAGCCACTGGAAGAGGCAAAGCAGGGAATCGGTGCAGGATTTTGTTTTGAATCAATTCTGGAAGATAGTATAGAATATAGGTTTGTGTTGAAGGTGAAGCTGGAGGCAGGTGGAACTGGTAGTAAGTGTTATCCATTTGAAAAGTGGTTTTTACCTAAGATACTGGCAAAAGGGATGGATTCCAGAGATACTTAGGATGTAAAATTGATAGGACTTGATAACTGGATAGTAGGGGCTGAAGGAGAAGGATGACTCTTCAGTAACTCCTGGGGATTTGACTAGAGGGCCTAAGATTTAGAGCATGCTGGAAGAGCTGGTTTGAAGGTGAGGTGAATTCAGTTTTGGATATATTGAGGTCCTTGTAGGACATCTAAATGGAGAAGTGTTGTTACAGTAGACAGTTAAATGTGAGGCTGGGCTTTTAGGTGATAATTAAAGTGAATGAGGTCACTCAAGGAATGAGAAAAAGCTCATGGCCCAGCAGAGTATCATGGAAAATATGGAATGAATGGAGGAAAGAAAATCTAAGAAGCTGCTAGAGTTAGGAAGAAAGCCATAAGAGATTGCTATCACAAGCAATCCCAGTTGCACCCTATATTCTCTTAGACATGAAGTCTTAATTTTTTCATCACTTTTTAGTTTTTCTTTATTTAGTACATTCTTTTAAATTTTTCATGGAAAAGTTTCTTGTTTGCTCCAAGTTCTTTACTTTCTAAGCCACTGTTTCCTAACTTTGGAGCATACATCAGAGTCACTTGGCAAGCTTAAATACATATTCTTTGGGATCCTATTAGACCTGCTGAATGATGATCTTCTGGGGGTAATGCCCCAGAATCTGTGTCTTAAAACCTCTTGTGGTAAAGACTAGCTTGCTGTTTACCAAACTTGTTTTCTTTTCTCCCAGGCCCCAGATAACTTATATTTACTAGACCTTTTGTGTTTGGGGATGGCCATATGATTGAAATCTGGCCATAGGAAATAAAGCAGAAGTGTTGAGTGTTACTTTAGTCCTGGCAAATAGAAACCTCCCTTGAAAGATTGTCTTTCTTTTCCACCTGCTGGCTGGGTGGTGGTTGCCAGAGCAACTTTGGAAATGAGGGGTCAAAGAGAACTGAACTTCTTTCAGCCTGGGTTGTCTCCAGCCTCCTCAGGCACACCCAGCTGATCATTAACATAGATTTTTTGACTTTATGTGAGCATGAAATAAAAATAACCTATTCTGTTATGTGATAATTTGGGATTTATCCATTACAGCATCCACTATTACTTTAATCAGTGGAGCTCTTTCGATTGTTATAAAATGGTCAGAATTTAGGAACTGTTGCCCTTGGTTTATACTGTTTGTATTTTTTAACTCGTTTATATGGTAGGTAAGCTTTCAGCTGTTGACTTCCAGACCCTGTATATATTGTGTTTGTGAAAGCAGCCTCGGGGGCTTTACCCTGCAGAGCCACAGGGGCAGAGCTGCCCAAGGCCTTGAGAGCTCACCTCTTGCATCAGTGTGCCCTGGATGTGAGACATGGAGTCAAAGGAGATTATTTTGGAGCTTTAAGATTTAATGACTGCCTTGCTGGGTTTCAGACTTGCATGGGGCCAGTAGCCTCTTTGTTTTGGCCAGTGTCTCCCATTGGAACAGGAACGTTTACCCAATGCCTGTACCTCCATTGTATCTTTCAAGTAACTAACTTGTTTTTTATTTTACAGACTCGTAGATGGAAGAGACTTGCCTTGTCTCAGATGAGACTTTGGGCTTGGATTTCTGAGTTAACGCTGGGACGAGTTAAGATTTTGGGAGACTATTGGAAAGGCATGGTTGGTTTTGAAATGTGAAAAGGACATGAGATTTGGGAGTGGCCAGGTGTGGAATGATATGGTTTGGCTCTGTGTCCCCACCCAAATTTCTTCTCAAATTGTAATCTCCATGTGTCAGAGGAGGGGACTGGTGAGATGCTATTGGATTGTTGGGGCAGATTTCCCCCTTGCTGTTCTCTTGATAGTGAGCGAGTTTTCACGAGATGCAATGGTTTAAAGTGTGTGGCACATACCCCTACCTCCTGCTCCACCATATTAAGACGTGCTTGCTTCCCCTTTGCCCTCCACCGTGATTCTAAGTTTCTTGAGTCATACTTCTTATTAAGCCTGTGGAACTGTGAGTCAATTAAACCTCTTTTCTTTGTAAATTACCCAGTCTCAGGTAGTTATTTATAGCAGTGTGAGAGTGGACTAATACGTGAAGGTTAACAACAGCTGGCTTTTAAAGGATGTATAAGCAGACTTCAGCATCAGAGTGAGCAGTGGAGTTGAAACCAGATAGAATAGCAAGTGTGGTATTAGTCAAGTAGATCTAATAAGTAGCCTAATCCAAGGCATAGGCAGGTAGTTAGAAACTAGCATGTCTGTAAGTGCCTGAATGATTGAAATAGAGATGTCTGGAATCAAGAAACTTCAACAGATAATGCCAAGGAGCTGTAACCTTTTAGACATTCTCAGGACAAAGAGGGAACCTAGTTGGAGTATTTCCCAATTGAGAAGCTAGTCAAGAGGGATAAATGTAATATGGAATATATATATATATATACTTTAGAAATGTTCTGGAAGATTGTGTATATGTTATGTAACAGTTAATCCACTCATTTAATAATAGGTGACTTGCTATTTTGAAGAAATGCATTGTAAGTTATTTTTAAAATAGTGATATGGTTTGGATTTGTGTGCCTAAATCTCATTTCTAGTTATAATCCCCAGTGTTGGAGGTGGGACCTTGTGGGAGGTGATTGGATCATGGGGGATTTCCCCTTTGGTACTGTTCTACATTCTCGTGAGATCTGGTTGTTTAAAAGTGCCTAGCACCCCCGTGTCCCCATTTTGCTCCTGCTCCAGCCATGTAAGATATGCCTGCTTCTCCTTTGCCTTCTGCCATGATTATAAGTTTCCTGAGGCTTCCCCAGAAGCAGAAACCGCTATGCTTCCTATACAACCTGCCAAACTGTGAGCCAATTAAACCTCTTTTCTTTATAAATTACCCAGTTTCAGGTATTTTATAGCAGTGTGAGAACCGACTAATACAAATAGAGTCCCTTAATAAAACAAATTCCCATTCAGTTAATCTTTTATTATAAAACTGAATTTCTGTATATCATCTTCACTTAAATTTAAGTGCAGTGACTGTTTAACTATTACAGATTATCAATACGGAGATTATTTTACATGTCTTGGTGTATTATTGGTTTTAGAACCTCCTATGTTTTAACTATTAAAGTATCGCTTTTAATGTCACTAATCAACCTGTTCATATTGTTGTCTCCTTACTAACAATATTCTGCCTTATAAGCCTTCCAGATCCATTACAAAATCACATGAACCCTTTACCTGCTCACCTTCTTGTTCTGTTACCTCCTTGGAGCCTTAGTTTTGAAATTGAGGTGTTTTGTTTTTTTTTTCTCTGACCACAACTTTTTTCATTGTCAGTTCTCCCACTTCTTTACCTACAGTGAATCTGAACTCTGCTGTATTGGAACCTACTTCATCTAATCTGTTTGGTTCCCTTTCGCCACAAACTGACCTCTTGAGAAGTCTTGACCTTGTGATTTGAGCAACATTATGTATAATAGTGTTTTCTGAAGTATGGGACAGTTTTTACTACCGGTATATTTCTTGAGATTTTGTTTGGGTGACCAGTCTACTTTAATTACTAGATATTGATTGATACTTCTTTGCTCACAGTCCAGAATCAGTCCAGACTGGGTGTTGTAGGCATAATTATCCCATGCCTGCATTATTCTGGGCTATTTGAGGGTCTCCCAGCTCACTTCATATCAACCATTATGGAGCTTTATTCTTCATTTTGTTCTCTACAACACCCATCCCCTTTTTCTTCAACTATCACCTACCCTACCCAGCTTTCGTTCCTGCATTTCCACCTTAACCTCCCTTCCTTTAGCCCTTTTGGCCCAACTTTTTAAGCCTTAACTCCTAATGTACACACGCTTTCAGTCTTCTCCTTTTCATCTCCATCTTCTGCCTCTTGCAACTTGCCCATTGCTTTCGTATTGATACCCTTGCTTATTGTAAATTGTTTTATTTCTACATTTTGATTTCTGCCTCTTTTTTTTTTTTATTATTTTTGGCTCAAACTGGCCTACTGTACTCTTAATTCTATCTTTATCTGAAATTTAGATGTATTGTTTATCTCTTATTTGTATTCATTTTTTTTACCCATTGCTTTCTTATTGATACCTTTCCTTATTGTAAATTGTTTTATTTCTACACTTTAATTTCTGCCTCTCTCTCTTTTTTTTCCCTTATTTTTGGCTCAAACTATTCTGCTGTACTCCTAATTCTATCCTTATTTGAAATTGAGGTGTATTGTTTATCTCTTATTTTTCATTTTTTTTGTACTTCTCCTCCTGCCACTACATATTGTTGTATATTGGTGTCCGGATGGACGCTATTAAGATTCTGATGCTCAGATGGGGCAAAACCAGGTGATAGAGTTTGGATGTGTGTTCTTGCCCACATCTCATGTTGACATGTAATCTTTAGTGTTGGGATTGGGGTCTGGTGAGAGGTGATTGGATCATGGGGGCAGATTTCTCATGAATGGCTTAGCACCATCCCCTTGATGATGTCCCTGTGATAGTGAGTTCTCATGAGATCTGGTCATTTAAAAGTGTGTGGCACCTCGCCACTTGATCTGTCTTGCTCCTACTTTCACCATGTGATGTGCCTGCTACCTCTTTGCCTTCCACCATGATTGAAAGCTTCTTGAGGCCTCCCTGGAAGCAGATACCACTATGATTCCTGTATAGCCTGCAAAAGGATGAGCCAGTTAAACCTCTTTTCTTATAAATTACCCAGTCTTGGATATTTCTTTATAGCAAGGCGAGAACAGTCTAATATACCAGATAAGCAACACTCATTACATAATTTAGCCTTAACAAGGCTTGTTTCTGTCCGGGTGTGCTATATATAACAGTATAACTTTAAAAATCTTGTTTTCTTCAGTGTAAAGCAGTAAATCAAAGTTGTTTGAGTTGAATTTCTTTGGTTAGTGAAAACATTCATTCCCATCAGCATATGTCAAGTTTAAATATTAATATATGTAATATTCCAAAAAAACCAAACTTTTATTTATGTTTTAAAAAATTTTTGTTTTTAGCTTTTGTGGGTACACAGTAGGTGTATATATTTATGGGTTACAGGAGCTATTTTGATACAGGCATGCAGTGCATATACTAACCACATCTGGGTAAATGGGGTATCCATCACCTCAAGCATTTGTGCTTTGTGTTATAGACAACCCAGTTATGCTCTTTTGTTATTTTAAAATGTTCATTTAAATTATTTTTGACTATAGTCACCCTGATGTGCTGCCAAATGCTAGGTCATATTCATTCTTTCTATTTTTTTCTACCCATTAACCCTCCCCACCCCTCCATCCCCCAACTACCCTTCCCAGCCTCTGAGAAAGGATGGGTCTCAGAGGATGGTCTTCCCAACCATCCTTCTACTGTCTGTCTCCATGAGTTCAATTGTTTTAATTTTTAGCTTCCACAAATAAGTGAGAACATGCAAACTTTGTCTTTTTGTGCCTGGCTTATTTCACTGAACATAATTACCTCCAGTTCCATGTTGTTGCAAATGACAGGCTGTGATTCTTTTTTATAGCTGAACAGTATGTGTGTATGGACCATATATTCTTTGTTAATGGACATTTAAGTTGCTTCCAAATCTTGGTTGTTGTGAATAATAACCAAGGTTTTTATATATAATGTGCATATTATATATCAATTATTATAAAATAATATAAAAATTATAAAATAAAATTATATATAAATTATGTTATATATAAAAATTATACACAATATATAACATTATACATATAAATTATGCCTATATAATAACATGGGAGTGCAGATATCTCTTCAATATACTGATTTCCTTTCTTTGGGTTATACCAAGCAGATGGATTACTGGATCATATGGTAGTGCTAGTGCCATTTTTAGTTTTTTGAGGAACCTCCAAACTGTTCTCCCTAGTGGTTGTACTAGTTTGCATTCCTACCAACAGTGTACAAGGGTTCCCTTTTCTCCACATCCTCTCCAGCACTTGTTATTGTCTGACTTTTGGATAAAAGCCATTTTAACTGCGGTGAGATGATTGTAGTTTTGATTTGCATTTCTCTGATGCTCAGTGATGCCGAGACCCTTTTCATGTACCTGTTTGCCATTTACATGTTTTCTTTTGAGAAATGCCTATTCAGATCTTTTGCCCATTTTTTTTTATTGGGTTATTAGGTTTTTTTTCTGTACATTTGTTTGAGCTCCTTATATTCTCTGGTTATGAATCCCTTGTCAGAGAATTAGTTTGCAGATATTTTCTCCCATTCTATGGGTTGTCTCTTCACTTTGTTGATTATTTCCTTTGCTGTGCAGAAGCTTTTTAACTTGATGTGAAAATATTTTCTCCCATTCTGTGGGTTGTCTCTTCACTTTGTTGATTATTTCCTTTGCTGTGCAGAAGCTTTTTAACTTGATGTGACCCCATTTGTCCATATTTGCTTTGATTGCCTGTGCTTGTGGAGTATTAGCCAAGAAATCTTTGCCCAGTCAGTGTCCTGAAGAGTGTCCCAGATGTTTTCTTTCAGTAGTTTCATAGTTTGAGGTCTTGGATTTAAGTCTTTAATCCATCTTGATTTGATTTTTGCATATGGCAAGAGGTAGGGGTCTTCATTCTTTTTTTCTTTTTTTGAGACACAGTCTTGCTCTGTTGCCTAGGCTGGAGTGCAGTGGCGCGGATCTCGGCTTACTGCAACCTCTGCCTCCCAGGTTCAAGCAGTTCTGCCTCAGCCTCCTGAGTAGCTGGGATTACAGGCGTGCACCATCATGCCTGGCTAATTTTTGTATTTGTAGTAGAGACAGTGTTTTGCCATTTTGGCCAGGCTTGTCTCAAACTCCTGACCTCAAGTGATCCGCCCACCTCGGCCTCCCAAAGTGCTGGGATTACAGGCGTGAGCCACCACACCCGGCCAGGAGTCTTCATTCTTTTCCATGTAGAGATCCAGTTTTCCTGGCACCATTTATTGAAGAGACTACCCTTTCCCTAATGTGTGTTCTTGGCACATTTGTCAAAAATGAGTTCATTGTAGGTGTGTGGATTTATCCCTGGGTTCTCTATTGTGTTCCACTGATCTATGTGTCTTTTTATGCTAATACCATGCTGTTTTGGTTAGGATAGTTCAGTTGCATAATTTGAAGTCAGGTAGTGTGATTCCTCCAGTTTGTTCTTTTTGCTTAGGCTAGATTTGGCTATTCTGGGTCTTTTGTTGTTCCATATAAATGTTAGGATTGTTTTTTTTTCTATTTCTGTGAAGAATGTCATTGGTATTTTGTCATTGGCATTGCATTAAATCTATAGATTGCTGTTGGCAGTGTGAACATTTTAATGATATTGATTCTTCCAATCCATGAACATGGAGTATCTTTCCATTTTTTGTGTGTCTTCATCAATTTTTTTGCATCAGTGTTTTATAATTTTCATTGTAGAGGTCTTTCATTTCTTTGGTTAATTCCTGGTATTTTATTTGTAGCTGTTATAAATGGAATTACTTTCTTGATTTCTTTTTCAGATTGTTTGCTGTTAGCATATAGAAATGCTACTGAGTATTGTATGTTGATTTTTGTATCTTGCAACTTTACTGAATTTATCAGTTCTAATAGTTTTTTTGTGTGTGGAGTCTTTAGGATTTTTCAAATATAAGATCATATCATCTGCAGACAAGGATAATTGGACTTCCTTTCCAGTTTGGATGCTCTTTATTTCTTTCTCTTGTCTGATTTCTCTAGGACTTCCAGTACTATGTTGAATAACAGTGGTGACAGTGGGCATCCTAGTTGTGGTCCAGATCTTAGAGGATAGACTTTCCAATTTTCCCCATTCAGTGTGATACTAGCTATGTGTCTGTGGTATATGGCTTTCATTATGTTGAGGTATGTTTCTTCTGTATCTAGTTTTGTGAGAGTTTTTATTATGAAGGGATGTTGAATTTTATCAAATGCTTTTTCAGCATCAGTTGACATGACTATGTGGTTTTTGTCCTTCATTTTGTTGATATGATGTATCATATTAATTGATTGCATGTGTTGAACCATCCTTGCATCCCTCGGGGGATAAGTCCCACTTGGTCATGATGAATGATTTTTTTTAGTGTGTTGTTGAATTTGGTTTGCTAGTATTTTGTTGAGGATTTTTTGAGTCAATATTACTCAGTGATATTGGCCTATCGTTTTCTTTTTTTTTAATGTGTCTTTGTCTGGTTCATGTATCATGTTATTATTTACCCTGCAGATGGAAATTTGACCCACTCTTCAAGTAGCCCTCTATCTGAGCCACATTGATTCTGAAATGTGATTATAGTTTTCATTGGTTTGGTGTTCCTGTGTGCTGAATCAACATGTCAGAAAATCTTCCCTTTTACCCACTTTGGTTCTCTCCAGCTGTAATTCAGTTGTTTTTTGTTATGTCTTCTACAGCTAAGGTCCTGAACAGCTGATCAGCCTTTTAAGTTGGATTAAAAGAGCTGGTGATTGGTTAGATCAGTGTGTTTTTTTTTTAACAGTTTATTGAGGTATAATTTATATACCATAAAATTCATAAAATGTCTTGAGTGCAATTTGTTTTCAGTAAATTTAAAGAATTTTGCACTCATCATTACAAACCAGTTTTAGAGTATTTTCATCACCCCAAAAAGATACCTTGTACCTACTTTGCAGTTACTCCTAGTCCCACCTCCAGCCCCAGGCCACCATTGAATAATGGTTTTATTTTATAAACTTTTATGGACATTTTATATAAGTGGAGTCATATGATACGTGATCATTTTTTGTCTGGCTTTTAAAAATTTGGTATAAATGTTGTTGAGGTTCATTCATGTTGTAACATGTATTAATTGGTTCTTCGTTGCTGAATAGTATTCCATTGTATGGATATATCACATATTGTTTATCCATTCACAAGTTGATGGAAATTTGAATTGTTTCCCATTTTTGGCAACTATGAATAATACTGCTATGAATATTCATGTATGAGTCTGTGTATGGACACGTTTTAACTTCTCTTGCGAAGATTTTTTTTTTTTTTTGAGACGGAGTTTCGTTCTTGTTGCCCAGGCTGGAGTGCAGTGGCGTGGTCCCGGCTCACTGCAACCTCTACCTCCTGGGTTCAAGTAGTTCTCCTGCCTCAGCCTCCCAAGTAGCTGGGATTACAGGCATGTGCCACCATGCCCGACTAAGTTTTTTGTATTTTTAGTAGAAATGGGGTTTCACCATGTTGGCCAGGCTGGAGGCTGGTCTCAAACTCCTGACCTCAGGTGATCTGCCCGCCTCGGCCTCCCAAAGTGCTGGGATTATAGGTGTGAGCCCACCATGCCTGGCCACAAAGATTCTTGAGTAGAATCGCTGGGTCGTATAATAAGCTTATGTTTAATGTTTTAAGAATAGCCAATTTGTATGATTCCTATTGTATGCTGCTGGATTTGGTTTGCTGATATTTTGTTAGGATTAAAAAAAATCTCTATTCGTGTGATATCTTTGTCTGGCTTTGGTATTAAGGTAATGTTAGCCTCATGGAGGGAATTAGAAAGTGTTTTCTATTGAAGTATCTAGATGAGTTTGTGAAGGATTAATATTATTTCTTTAGTGTTTGGTAAAATTCACCAGTGAAAGAAACTATGTGGGCCAAGGCTTTTCTTTGTGGGAAGATTTTAATTACTAATTTCTTTAGTTGATAGAGTTCTATTCATATTTTCTGTATCTTCTTCAGAGTCAGTAATTTGTGTCTTAGAATTTATTTTTTTCTAAGTTGTTTACATTTGTTTGTATACAGTTGTTCATAATATTCCCTTAAAATTCTTTTAATTCCTCTGAGTTCGGTAGCGATACCCTCTCTTTCATTCCTGATTTTGGTAATTAGTATCTTCATTTTTTTTTTTTTTTTCTGGTTAGCTTAATTAAAGGTTTGTCAGTTTTCTTGGTCTTTTTAAAAAACCAAATTTTGGTTTTCATTTTCTTCTTTTTCTTTTTTCTGTTTCATTGATTCTTCCTCTAATATTGATTGTTTTTTCCCCTGCTACTTGTGTTGGGTTTGGTTTGCTCCTCTTTTTCTAATTTCTTAAGGTTGAAGCTCACTTGAGAATTTTCTTTTTTAACATCACTGTGCCCAGCTATAATTTTCCCTCTAAACACTGCATTGTCTGTATCCTATGAGTTTTGATGTGTTTTGTTTACATTTTCATTCTGCTCAGAATGTATTCTAAATTCCTTTGTGATTTTTCTCTCTAGTCCATTGGTTATTTACAGGTGTCTTGTTTAATTTTCAAACATGTTTGGATTTCTGAAATTTCTTTTTATCTTTGATTTCTAATTTACTTATACAGTGATTGAAAAACATTTTTTTGTATCAGTTCAGTTCTTTTAAATTTGAGACTTGTTTTATGATCTAGCATGTGATCTATTTTGGAGATTGTTTTATATGTGCTTGAGAATAAGTTATACTGCTGTTGGGCAGAGTCTTCTATAGATGTCAGTTAGGTCAAATTTATAGTGTTGTTCAGATCTTCATTGCTAATTCCCTGCTTTCTTGTTTATTTATTGTTAGGGTGGAACATAGAAGTCTCTAATCATTATTGTTAAATTGCCTGTTGCCCCTTCATTTCTGTCATTTTTTTGATTTCCCTATTTTGGGACTGTTTTGTTAGCTCCGTATGGTTTTTATGGTTTTTTTTTTTTTTTTGAGACGGAGTCTTGCTCTGTTGCCCAGGCTGGAGTGCAGTGGTGCGACCTCGGCTCACTGCAAGCTCTGCCTCCTGGGTTCGGGCCATTCTCCTGCCTCAGCCTCCCAAGTAGCAAGGACTACAGGCGCCCGCCACCATGCCCGGCTAATTTTTTGTATTTTTAGTAGAGCCTGGGTTTCACCGTGTTAGCCAGGATGGTGTCGATCTCCTGGCCTTGTGATCTCCTGACCTTGTGATCTGCCCGCCTCGGCCTGTTATTACAGGTGTGAGCTGGGATTACAGGCGTGAGCCACCACGCCTGGCCTGTTAGCTCCATATGTTTATGTTTATCTTCCTGTTGAATTAATACTATTAATGTTAAAAAAATGTTCCTCTTTGTCTCCAGTAACTTTTTTTGACTTAAAGTCTGTTTTGTCAGGTACAAATATAACTCCTTCAGCTCTCTTATGGGTATTCTTTGTGTGGTATATGTTTTTCCATCGTTTCAGCCTGCTTGTGTCTTTGAATCTAAAGTGTTAGGTAGACAGCATACAATTAGGTATTGCTTTTTAAATCCAATCCAACAATCTCTCTTTTTAATGGAGTGTTTAATCCTTTTATATTTAATATTACTTTTGAAATGGTTGGATTTGTATCTCAGTTGCTATTTGTTTTCTATACATCTCATGTCTTTTATGTTCCTCTTTTATCACCTTTTCTATTTTCTATTTTTTATTTGATTTTTAAAAATTATATTTTTAGCGTTTGTTCCATCACAGTCTACCTCAGATTAATAATGATTGTTACATAGTAATAGTCCTCCGGTATAACTATTTTCTCTCGTCTCTTTTACTGTTGTCATATATATTATGTTAATTTATGTAATAAACCCAACAGTAATGTTTTAATTATTGCTTTGTATAGAGTTTATCTTTTAAAGAAGAAAGAGAAAAACATTTATAGTCTTTTATATTAATGTATATATTTACCACTTTCAGTATTCTTTTTTATTGTGGATTTGAGTCACCATCTAGTGTCATCTCTTTTTTTCAATATAATTCACTCCCATTTTTGTGCTTCATTTTCATATGTTTATATGGGATAAACTTGACAATACAGTTTTATAGTTGTTCTATGCAGTTACCTCTTAAGAGAAGAAAAAAGTAGAAGTTATATTTATACAGCCTTTTATACTGTCATTTTTCCTTTACCTGTAATTACCATTACCAGTGCTCTTTATTTCTTCCTGTGGATTCATTACTGTCTAGTGTCACTTTGGTCCTGGAGAACTTCCTTTAGTATCTGTCTTTCATCTATATCCCCTGAATAATACATTTTAGAGTTAGCCAGTTTACTCCCATCTTCTCAATTGGGGATCATATTCCTCATGATCTTAAGTGTGGTATTAGTTGACTAAGGATTGCGAAGGGATGGCACAAGATGAGGCTGGGAGAGAAGTTATGTAGACGTCAATTTCTAAGTATCTTACTAAGCTATGAGACTTGAACCTTATTCTTATAGCTGTGGGGGCAACCATTGGAAACTTTTATACAGAGTTCTGTCCTCAGATGTGAGGAAAGGACTTTTCAAAGATGAGTTCTAAATGTTTGTTTAGAGATGGCAGCAACAAGCCACAGGCTGTAAGAGGAACGTGAATCTACCTTTTTTTGTTGTTGTTGTTGATTCCTCCTTCTCTATTGTTTCAGGCAATTAAAAGCTATTTATATCCAAATAGCTGTTTTCTTGTAGGCATAAAATATTTGCCTATTTGTGGCAGAATGCGATATAGTTTGTAGAATGGGAACCATGATAGCATTCTGTGAGATTTGCAAAGCCACTATTATAGGATGAACAGATTGCTTACTGTTTGTGTATATGGAATGAGGTGTGTATTGAAAAATTAGATAAAACATCCTCTGGCATCTGACCTTTGTTTTTAATTCTCTCTTTCTTTTTCTTTTTTCTTTTTTTTGATACAGAGTCTTGCTCTTTTGCCCAGGCTGGAGTGCAGTGGTGCGATCTCAGCTCACTGCAACCTCCATCTCCCAAGTTAAAGAGATTCTCATGCCTCAGCCTCCCGAGTAGCTGGAATTACAGGTGTGCGCCAACACACATGGCTAATTTTTGTATTTTTAGTAGAGAGAGCATTTTGCCGTGTTGGCCAGGCTAGTCTCGGACTTCTGGCCTCAAGTGATTTGCCCACCCCTGTTTTTAATTCTTAAAGGAAGGTTGGGTATTATCAGCAGTTCTTTTTATTACTTGTGACATAACAGGGAAGTGTTTGATCTTTACTTTTAAAAAATATATTTGGTACCCACAACTTTAGTATTTTTAACCATAGAAATATCCTTTCTATAAATGTATAAATAGCTTTGTTTTTGCTTCTTAGAAAAAACTGAAGAGCAGAAAATTTTTATATTCCTGGGTTTTGCTACCAGTTTTTCATAGAAGTATGAAATGAAAGGAGAAAAATGTCCCCTTCTCCAGTCTTGCCAGATTCTGTTGTAAACAATCCTTATGATGATTAGCTTTTCAGTGGATTTTTTCCCCTTTGATTGACTTCTTCAGGAGCTCTTTTTATTCTTGTTAATAAAATCATTAAACTCTCCCATGTTCAAGAGCACGTGGAGGCATCACATTATCTGACTTCAAAATATACTGCAAGACTATAGTAACCAACACAACATGGTACTGGCATAAAAATAGATATATATATTACTGGAACAAAATAGGGAACCCAGAAATAAAGCCACATACCTACAACCAGCTAATCATCAACAAGAATATACACTGGGGAAAGGACACTCGATTCAGTAAATGGGTCTGGGAAAATTGGATAGCTATATGTAGAAGAATGAAACTGGACCCATGCCTCTCACCATATACAAAGATTAACTCAAGATGGATTAAAGAGCTAAACATAAGACCTGAAACTATAAAAATACTGAAGAAAACCTGAGAAAAATTCTGGACATTGGTCTAGGCAAATAATTTATAACCAAGTCCTCAAAAACAAAAATACACAAATGAGACAATTTTAAAAAAGCTTTCACACAGTAAAAGAAACAGTGAACAGAGTAAACATACAACCTACAGAAAGGGGAAAAAATATGTGCAAAATGTGAAAACTGCATCTGACAAAAGGCTAATATCCAGAATCTACAAGGAACTTAAGAAAAAAACAAACATTAAAAAATGGGCAAATAACACAAACAGACATTTTCCAAAAGAAGACATACAAGTGGCCAAAAAACATGAAAAAATCCTCAACATCATTAGTCATAAAAGAAATACAAATTAATCCACTTATGCCTAGTGTTCCATTATTGGAACACTAAGCATGTGGGAGTTATTTATATCCTACTGCTCAAGGTCATTGCCAAGTTCTGATTTTTCACTCATAATTGCAGCTTCCAGCATAAATGGGTTAAAACCATCTTATATGAGTCAGAATGGTTAGTTACTATTAAAAGGTCAAAAAAACAACAGATGTTGCCAAGGGTGCTGTATTAGGGTTCTCTAGAGGGACAGAACTAATAGGAGATATATATATACACACACACATTATATATATAAAAAATAATGTATATATTTTATATATATATAGTACATAATATGTAGTATATTTTTATATATTATATATATATGAAGGGGAGTTTAAGTATTAACTCACATGATCACAAGGTCCCACAGTAGGGCATCTGCCAGCTGAGGAGCAAGGATAGCCAGTCCGAGCCCCAAAACTGAATAACTTGGAGTCCAATGCTTGAGGGCAGGAAGTATCCAGCACAGGAGAAAGATGTAGGATGGGAGGCTACACCAGTCTAGTCTTTTCACGTTTTTCTGCCTACTTCATATTCCAGCTGTGCTGACAGCTGATTAGATGGTGCCTACTCAGATTAAGGGTAGATCCGCCTTTCCCAGCCCACTGACTTAAATGTTAATCTCCTTTGGCAGCACCCTCACAGACACACCCTGGATCAATACTTTGCATCCTTCAATCCAATCAAGTTGACACTCAGTTTTAACCATCACAGGTGTGAAGAAAAGGGAATGCTTATACACTATACACTATTGGTGGGAATGTAAGTTAGTAAAATCCTTATGGAAAATAGTATGGAGATTTCTCAAAGAACTAAAAATAGTGATACCATTTGATTCTGCAGTCCCACTACTGTGAATATACCCTAAGGGAAAGAAATCATGTCAAAAAGGTATCTACACTGGTATGTTTATTGCAGCGCTATTCACCGTAGCATATACGTGGAATCAGCCTAAATATCCATCAACAGAAGATTGGATAAAGAAAATGTGGTGTATATGTATAAAGAATGAAATCATGTCTTTTGCAGCAAACATGGATGGAATTGGAGCCCATTATCCTCCGTGAAATAACTTGGAAACATAGTCAAATACTGCATGTTCTCACTTCTAAATGGGAGCTAAACAAGGGTATATGGGACATACCAAGGGGATAACAGATATTAGAAACTACAAAAGGTGGGAGGTGGGCAAGGGTTGAAAAATCACCTGTTGGATACAGTGTTCACTATTTAGGTGATCTCTACACTAAAAGCGCACTTCATCACAATGCAGTAAGTGCATGTAAGAAATCTGCAGTGTATCCCCTAAATTTATTTTTAAAATTTAGCATAATGTTTTCATTGAACTGATGGAAATTAGAATTGAAACTGGGAGGGAATTTACCTAATCTTGAGCTTAAAGATTCCCAAAGAGTAGGGAGAGACACTTTTGCTCAGCACCCCTACACATAAGGAATTTTAAATGTAGGTATGTAATTATGTCACAGGCTTTCTAAATAATAAAATGCAAAATAATATTTTCACTTACCACATTTAACTTTGAATGTATTTCTGCAGATATTGCTGAGAATGCAGAGAAATTTCTTCCTTTATTCTATTTATTTCCCTGTAGCACTATCTGAAGTGATCTTATTTGTCTATATGTTTATGAAATGTCTCACTCTACTGGAATGTGAGTTCTTCAAGGGCAAATACGATGTCTTTTATTTACTGCTGTGTCTCCAGCACCTGTAACAATGCTTTGGCATATAGTGGACACTCAATTGCTGGATAAATAATGAATTCTGATTAAGTGTGTCTGAGATAGGACCCTGGCACCTATATTTTTAAAAACTACTGGGGGTTATTTTGATGTATACTCCCAAGGTTGAAGAAAACTAGTCTATCTTCCCTCTGTGGTGTGCATAAGATACAGAAAATATATATGTATCCTTATTTAAAGATCATTGTTAGAGGCTTCTCCTTCTCTTGAAATTGGTAATCTGACTGAGTTCCCCAGAAGGAAGAGTTTTTAGTTCACCACTTCTATCCAGATATTTTTTGAAGGTAGAACTCAGAATGTGCAATTGCTTTCCATCATCAAATAATTAACATTAGGAAAGGCAGGAAGGTAGAGCTAAAAGTGAATTTATTCCCTTTTTTTGTAAAAGATAAGGCAAGGTCAGACTACCTAGGTGAGTTTCCTGAAACAGTGATTTTCAATATTGAGGGGAGAGCGATTTTTCTCCTCAGGGGAATTTGACAGTGTCTGGAGACATTTTTTGTTGTTACCACTGGGAAGGAGGGAAGGATACTATTGGCACCTATTGGACAGAGGCCAGGGATGCTGCTAAACATCCTACTGTGGACAGGACGTTCCTCTATAACAAAGAATCATTTGGTGAGAATCCCTGCTCTAAAACAAGCTGCTTGGAGAAGGGGCTGGTAGTTATGTGGAGTTTGGCAGTGCAATTTGGATCTGTGCACATATGCACAATAGTTTTTGGTCTTGGGCAAAACAGTGTCTTGTGTAGAGAAACATGTAGGTGGGGATTGGCTTTTGTTATATATACTCAGGAGTTTGATCTTGACCAGCTTGTTTAGTTTGTGGGAGATTGTGCACTCTCAGATTTGATAATTTGCTTAGAAAGACTCACAGAACTCAGCAAAGCAGTTAAATTAATGGTATGGTTTATTACATCAAAAGAATACGGATTAAAACCAACAGTGGGTAAAGGTGCATAGGACAGAGGTCCAGGAGAGTTTCAGGCGTGAACTTCCAGATGTCCTCTCCTAATGGGGTTGTGCAGACAGTGCTTACTTTTCCCAGCAACAATATATGGTGACACGCAAGGAGTATTGCCAACCAAGGCCACCCACGTGAGGTTTGCTGTCCAGAGTTTTTATTGAGAAGTCAGTCACATAGGTATGGTTGACCACACCTGTGGCTGATGTTAGTCTCCATCCCCTCCAGAGGTCAAGCTGATACTCCGTGACTTAAAGGTCCCACCAAGAATCATATTGTTAGACTATCTGTCATGGACCAAAGCCCCCAGGTAAACAACGACTCTTTATCAAGCAGGACATTCCAAGGGGTTAGCAGTTACCTCCTAGGAGCTGAGCAAGGGCCAAACCTTTCTTTGGCCAAAATTAATCCATTACTGCAGCAGTCCCCAGTGTTTTTGGCACCAGGGACCAGTTTCGTGGAAGACAATTTTTCCGTGGATGGGGGTGCGGTGGGGGGTGGGATGGTTTTGAGATGAAACTGTTCCACCTCAGATCATCAGGCATTAGTTAGAGTGTTGTAAAAAGCACATAACCTAGATCCCTCAGATGTGCAATTCAAAATAGGATTGGCAGTCCTATGAGAATCTAATGCTGCGCTACTCTGACAGGAGTCAGAGTTGAGGTGGTAATGCTTGCTTGCCCGCTGCTCACCTCCTGCTATCCAGCCCAGTTTCTGACAGGCCATGAATGGCTAGCAGTCCTCAGTCCAGGGGTTAGGGACCCTGGTCTAAGAGACTTCTCATAGTGTGGTCCATGAACCCCTGGGAGTCCCTAAAGTCAAAACTGTTATCATAATAATAAAATGTTATATGCGTTTTTTACTTCGACATTCGCATTAATGGTACAAAAGTAATAGTACTTACTGCTGATGTATTAGGAATCAAGTTAGTGGCACCAGACTGTGTTTTTCACTGCCTTGCTTACAGTTAAGGGGAGGGAAAAGCCTATTTCCCTTAAGATTGTTTTTAAGTATAAATTACTTACATTACACTTCACCCTGGGGTGTCTGTATGATAAAATGAGTATATGCTGCACAGGAAAAATGCTTATGTGATTGAGTTGCTAGCTGGACTAGACTTTTTTTTTTTTTTAATAGAATACCTTTTTACTTGAAAAAACAACTAACATTATGGTTATTCAGATTTGGCTCTTTGGCAAACCTTTTATTGAAAATATTCCTTGAAAAGGAACAAAGTGAACTTGTCACTTCAAGGAAAGCCACTGTCAATATTTGTTACAGATGATGAAATTTGAGCTTCCAAGCAAAATTAGAATTTGAGTAAATCTGTATCGGCCACCTTGAGCTTGCTACCTTTACAGAGCTTAAAGATGTTTTGTGGTGGCTTTGGTAGTAATATTAATAAATATGACTTTTGATATTGTATATCATGAAACGTGTCAGTAATTGAAGACCTTCGTAAACCAGTGAACCAGCATTTTCCAAATTACTGATATATGATATTGTAAAATGACACATGGGTTAAAAAAGATCCATTCAAAGTTCAGTTAGACCAATGGATTTTAATGTGAAAAAAGTACTAAAAGCTCATTCATATGGCTTCATAATTCACATTATAGTTAACTTCTAAGAGATATCACTTGTCAAGCTTTGATGTAATATCAAAGATTGTCCACAAGTATCTAAAAATATGCTACCATGAGTATAGATTTTCTTCATATACTTGAACCATGATAACTTATTGCAGCAAATTGAATGCAAAAGCAGCTGTGAGATTCCACCTATTTTCTGTTAAGCCAGACATGAACAGTGCTACTTAATTTTTTAAAAAAATAATTATTTTAATAAAGTTATTTATATTGGTATGTAGTGGATATATTAGTAAATAAATTAAAAATAATACTTTTAAGCAATTCGGTAGTTTTGATTTTGAATACAGTAGACATCAGTAGAAATAATCCTCATAAGCAAAACTTTTTGGGCTCTTCAATAATTTAAAAATGTGAAGAGGTCTTAAGACCAAAAATTTTAAAAACAGCCTTCTAATATTGGTCCTGCAGATATCTAAGTTTGTCTCTCTTGCTGGGTATGGTTACTACAGGCTAGGAGATTTAAATTCCTTGGGCTTTGTTGGAAAGTTCTGGCTATATATTTCAGACGTGAATGTACTTTCTGCAGATGTTTTCTTATCTATATAAAATTAAGCAGAGTTACCTTGATTTAGAGTCTTGGTCTTGATTACACATTTATAAAGGGTAAGTTTGGTTTGTGCTTTGGTAAGGTTTCAAGAAATATCTGTGAAGTCAGTGAACAAGTGCAGCGTGGTGCAAACCTGTGGAGGATACAGAGGAAATCGGGAAAATCTGTCAGAGATTAGGTTAAAAATGTGAAGGCAATAATCCCCCCCACCCCCCCAGATACTAATATTTTTGTTAAGCTGGTGTTATAGAAAGAATTGAGGTCAGGAGTTCAAGACCAGCCTGGCCAACATGGTGAAACCCCATCTCTACTGAAAATACAAAGGGTCTCAAAGTACTGCATATAAAAAATTCAAGCCCACAGTTTATCTTCATGGTTTAGAGAAACAGAAAACATATTTAGAATAAAGCTGTAGTGTACTGACTACTAAAGTACTCCTATCATGTCACCTTTTTATGAGTATGCAATCTCTTACATGTAAGGTGTTTAACTTCATGTTTCTGCCCACCTCCCAAAGTGCTGTGATTACAGGCATGAGCCACCGCGTCCAGCCCTAACTTCATGTTTCTCTGAGACTTTCAGAAGGTAATAATTTTTCCATAATCATTCGCCTGTTTTGACCTCTAGAAAATAACTTATTTACCATTCCCTGCAATTCTTTGTCATTCTTTCAGATCTAATTCTCCATTCATCAGATCTGTAAGTGATGCTTTTTTAGCCATATGAAGTCAAAATTTAATCATATTAAATTCTGCCATATATTTTATACATTAACTCTAAATAACTTTCAGGATCACTTCCATAGTACCTACTAACAATTTTTAATAATAGCTATTCTCGTGTATGAAGTGGTATTTCATGACTTTGGTTTGCATATCCCTAATGATTTGTGATGTTGAACATCTTTTCATGTTGTTGATTGGCCATTTGTATACCTTTTGATAAATGTCTATTCAAGTCCCTTGTCCATTTAAAAATTTGTTGTTTAATTGTAGGATTTCTTTATATATTCTGGATATTAATCCCTTGTCAGATTTGTAATTTGCTAATATTTTCTCCTGTTCTCTGCATTGCCTTTTCACTCTGTTGATAGTATCCTTCTCTGCATAAAAGTTTTAAACTTTGACAAAGTCCAATTTAACTTTTTTCTTTTGTTGCCTGTGGTTCTGGTGCCATAGCCAAGGAATCACTGCCAAATCCAATGTCATGAAGCTTTTCCCCTGTGTTTTCTTCTAAGAGTTTTACAGTTTTAGCTCTTACTTTGAGGGTCCCAGGGCCATTCAATGGGGGCAAAAGACAGTCTTTTCAACAAATGATGTTGGGGAAACTAGATTTCCCCACATGCAAAAGAATAAATGTGATCCCTTACCTCACAAAAATTAACTCAAAATGCATCAAAGTAAGGGCTAAAATTAATGCAGTGACAGGACTTCCTCCTCCTTTAAGGCTGAATAGTATCCCAGGGTGTACATATACCACTTTTTTTTCATTTATTGATGGACACTTAGGTTGATTCTATGTTTTGGCTATTTTGAATAATGCTGTAATGAAAGTGTGAGTGCACATATCTCTTTGACATACTGCTTTCATTTCTTTTGGTTATATACCCTGTAGTGGGATTACTGGATCATATGGCAATTTTATTTTTAATTTTTTGAGGAACCTTCATACTGTTTTCCATAATGGCTGTACTAATTTACATTCCTCCCCAACAGTGGGTAGGGGTTCTCTTTTCTCCACATCTTTGCCAGCACTTACCTTTCTTTCATCTTTTTGGTAGAAGCTGTTCTAACAGGTGTGAGATGATATCTCATGGTTTTAATTTGCCTTTCCCTGGTGATGAGAGAGTGAACTTTTTAAAAAATATATACTTGGCCATTTGTGTCTTCATTTGAGAAATGTCTAATATAGGAGATTTTAAAGAAAGGAGAATGACCTACAGGCATACCGTACTTGCATAACTGTATGAAGAACTCTGTAGTCCTAATTTGTATGTATATGTAATATTGATCTCTCCCTTGCACTTTCATGGCTTTAGTTCCTGCTGCTGTCATTTCTTATTGGACTAATGCAGTAGTTCTCTGGCCAGTCTACTCTTCTCCAATTTTGCCGCCATTTCAGTTCATCTTCTACACTCAGACCAATCAGTGATCTTTCTTGAAAAATGGTTTTAATCAAATAGAAATGTTCAGACACACAGGATAAAATAAAATATAAACCTAACTACCTATCACTAGGAATAAACAGCTGTGAATACTTTGCCATATTTGCTTTGTGTCTCTTAAAGAATGAAATATTTACATATATAACTAGAGCTCTGCTCCCCTTTTTTCCTAGGTAACCACCTTGGAAGTTAGCTTTTATCATCTAGGCTTTTTTCACTTATACTGTGTTTACATATCCATAAACAGTATAATATTACTGTTATGTTTTCTAAAATTTTAAATTAATGGTATGCTTTATGTATCTTTTTATCACTGCTTTTAAAATTTATCCATGATAATACATTTGTTGTAATTTCTATATATCTGTATCTTTGGGGATACCCCAAAAGCCCTGATTTGACCACTACACAATCTGTGCGTGTAACAAAATTGCACTTGTGCCTGATAAATCTATACAAATAAAAATAATAGTTGCTGTATATCTGATACAAATAAACTGCTGTTTATCTATTTTCTTAACTTTCTATAGTTAGGTATCTTCTAGTTTTAGTTATTACAAATAGTGATGTAGAAATTCTAGTATAATGTGTATCTTTTTTTGTACAGTTTCTCTGAGATAGATATGTGGAGGTAAAATTGCTGGGTCATAGGATATAGACATGTTCACCTTTATTATGTAATTATTATTTTCTTCAGAGGGGCTGTACTGATTATATTGTCACAAGCAATTGAGTAAGAGTCATTCTTTACTCTCAAACTTGCCGATAATTATTTTAGTTTGACTTTCATTTTGGCATTCTGATGTATATGAGTGATACTTTGTTTTAATTTGTGTTTCCTGGATTTCTAAAGAGATAAAATATATTTTTACATATTTTTGACAAGTTAGATGTTTTTTGTGAATTGCCTATTTTTTCTTTGCTTTGTAGTGGTAAGTATATATCTCTATTATCTATCTATCTGTAGGTAGGCTATGAATCTTTTATTGGTTTTGTTATACCTCTCAATCTGTGGCTAGTCTACTTTGTTTTAGGGGTCACTCATTCAGAACTTTTAAATTATAGTATGATCATTCTTATCAATCTTTTATGGGTTTTTCCCCCTTTTTTGTGTTGTGTAAGAAACAAGGTCTTAAAAAATATTCTGTTTCTTCTAAAAATTTGCAAATTTTTTTTCCATTTAGTTTTCTGAATGACCTAGAATTTTATTCTTGTATACGATGTGCAGTTCAGCCTTCCTCCCCCACCGCCCCGAATTGGCTCTTTACTCTTTGGTCTTCCATATAAATTTTTAAAACATTTTGAAGTGCCATGAAAACTGTTGAGCATCACTGATATTCCATTGAGATTATGGATTTAATTTGAAAAATTAGCGTTGTACAGTATTGAATCCAGAAAAGGCAGATGTTTCTTAATGCAACAGCTGCTTCCAACCTCATGCCTATCGTCTGCCCATGAATTTACTCCCAGTTGCCATCAGACAAGAATTGCTTTTCTTTCTCTTCATTTAATCTTGCATGCGTGAGCCTCATTGGCAGACACTATCCTTAAATCATTCCATAAAAAGAGATTCTGGGAAATGTAGTTTAAGATTTCTGCCCTGTGATGTGGAGAGTACTGGTAACGCAAATTTTACAACAGATAAGCCAAGCATATCAAATCTATTCTTGATTTTCTCCCCCTTTTAACACACAAGTTGGCTTATTTGATTGTTTTGTACTACCCCTCACCCCCAATATATCTTGGAGATCTTTTTCAGTGGGATGTGCATTGAAAATTTTGCTAGTGATTGCCAGTTGCACAGAGGCTGTATCAATGTATATTTCTACCAGTCTGTCCTCCTGCATCCTGGTCAACTTTGCATCCTGCCCTCTATTAGGAATGCCTTTTACCAATGAGTTTAAACCAACTCCTTGTTCTGTAAAAGTAAGTCGTTTTGACATAAGTGATACCTGATAGCAAATGTGCACATGCACACACTCAGCACACCAATAGTGTGTTTTATTATTTGTAAATATTTTCCTTGTGTCCATTTTTAGGCCTGGGCCTTCTTAGTCATCAAACTATCAGAGCTAATTTTTTCCTAAGTTTTATTCTTTCTGATGCTAAATAGAATTGCTTTCTTAATTTCTTATTTTTGGATTGTTCATTGCTGGTATATAGAAAAGCAACAGATTTTGTGACTTTATCTTATATTCTGCAACTTTGCTGAATTTGTTCATTAGCTCTGATAGTTTGTTTTTTTTAATTCTTGGCCAAGCATAGTAGCTCACACCTATAATCCCAGCACTATGGGAGGCCGAGGCAGGCAGATCACTTAAGCTCAGGAGTTCAAGACCAGCCTGGGCAACGTGGTGAAATGCCGTCACTATCAAAAATACAAAAAACTAGCCGGCTGTGGTGGCACATGCCTATGGTCCCAGCTACTCAGGAGGCTGAAGTGGGAGGATCGCTTGAGCCCAGGAGGCGGAGGTTGCAGTGAGCTGAGATGGCGCCTGCATGACAGAATGAGACCCAATCTCAAAGAAAACAAAACAAAACATTCTTTAGGATTTTCTATGTATAACATCATATCTGCAAATAGAGATGATTTTTTGGTTTGTTTTATGACTTTCCAATTTGAATGGCTTTTATTTCTTACCTAGTTGATCTAGTTAAAACTTGTAGAACAGTGTTGAATAAAAGTGGTGAAAAGTGGCATCTTTATCTCTCTCCTGATCTTTGAAAGAAAGCATTGAGTTTTTCACCCTTAACTGTGATATTAGCTGTGGGTTTTTAAATAAACGATCTTTATCATGGTAAAGAAGTTCCCTTCTATGATGTTGAGTGTTTTTTATCATGAAAACGTAGTGGATTTTATAAATGCTTTTTCTTTGCATCAGTTGAGATTATAATGTTTTTATTCCTTTCATTTTATTAATGTGATATATTAAATATTTTAAAGTGTACAACCACCCTTACATTCCTGGTATAAGTCCCACTTGGACATGGTCTACAATTCTTTCAATATGCTGCTGAATTTGGTTTGCTAGTATTTTATTGAAAATTTTTACATAATCATAAGGGATGTTAGTTTATTGTTTCCTCATGATGTCTTTTTCTAGTTTTGGTATGAAGTGTCTAGTTTTGGCCTCAAGAAATGTGGATATCCAGTTGTCCTAGCGCTATTTGTTGAAGAATATTCAAGTTCTCCCTCTTCTTTTATTTTGAGAAGAATTTATGTTGATTCTTTAAATTTTTGGTAGACTTCATCAGCAAAGCCATGTAGTCCTAGGCATTTCTTTGTTGGGAGGTTTTAATTCTTTATTCAATCTCTTTATTTGTTATAGCAGGGGTCCGCGACTGCCAGGCCACAGATGGTCCACGGCCCATTAGGAACTGGCTGCACAGCAGGAGGTGAGCGGCCTTCAAGGGAGCATTACTGCCTGAGCTCTGCCTCCTGTCAGATCAGTGGCAGCATTAGATTCTCATAGGAAGCCTATTGTAAACTGTGCATGCAAGAGATCTAGGTTGTGCACTCCTTAGGAGAATCTAATGCCTGATGATTTGAGGTGAAACGATTTCAGCCCAACGCCCCCCGCTCCATGGAAAAATTGTCTTTCACAACACCAGTCCCTGGTGCAAAACAAGGTGGGGGACCACTGTGTTATAGGACTGTTCAGTTTTCTATTTCTTGGGTCAGTTTTGATAGTTTGTATGTTTCTAGGAATTTGTCCATTTTGTATAAATAGGCTAGTTGGCTTACAATTAAAATAGTAATCTTTCATAAGGTCAGTAGTAATGTGCCTACTTTTGTTTTTTATTTTAGTAATGTGGGTCTTCTTTTTGTCAGTCTAGCTAAAAGCTTATCAGTTTTGTTGATGTTTTCAAAGAACTAGCTATTTTCTATTTTAATTATTTTATTCTTTAGCTCCAGAATTTCTATTTAGTTCCTTTCTGTGACTTCTATTTTTTAACATCAATATTCTCTAATTGGTGAGATGACATTCTGGTTCCCTTTAGTTCATTGTCCAGGGTTTTTTTTTTAGTTCTGTGAGCATATTTAAGGCAGTTGATTTAAAGTCTTTGTCTAGTAAATTCAGTGTCTGGCCTTCCTCTGGGACAATTTCTGTTAATTTCTTTTTCTCTTGTGACCAGGATATAGTTTGATCTTTATTTGCATGCCTCAGATGTTTTTGTTGGAAATTGGATATTTTGAATATTGTAGCTGGAGAGCCAATGTTTCCCCCTCCCTGGGGATTGTTATTGCTGCTTGTTCTGGTGGTTGTTTAATGAGTCTTTTAAAACTATTTTTGTAAAGTCTGTGTTCTTCATTGTGTTTGTCCACTGAATTCTCTGTTCATTCTCTTGGCAATCGGCTATAATTTGGCAGAGGTTTTCCTAAATGCCTCGATCTCCCCCCAACAACTCCCCAAAAAAGCCCAAACAAAAACAAACTCTCCTAGATTTTAGAAATTGCTTCTGTGTTGGGGTACATAATGCTCAGCCAAGCTTCTTACAGTTCTGTCCTAGTCTTCACTTTTTACTTGCGCAGAGCTGAAAGGTCAGCCAGAGGTGAAAGTTTAGGGTCTTCATGAGTCTTCTCTGAGCATATGGCCAGTCCTGGACACGCATGTGGCCTCTAGGTTTTCTATTATATATGGGAGCTTTCAAAACCTTTATTTTCATATGCATCTCCTTCTCCAGCTTCTTCCTTCCTGGGTCTTTAGATGTTTATTGTTTGCCCCAGTTGTTACCTGTTACACACAGATGAGAGAGATATGCTTTTGACAGACACCACTGGGAAAGATGCTTCAGTACTAGGAATCTCCAAGCATGGTGGAACAAAGACAAGCCCTTGACCCAATCCTTCAGGGAGCCACTACATAGTTCAAAACATACAACCACAGTTTTTTGAGAATAAGGTCCATATTAGTTTATCTGGTACCCACAACAGGCACCAGATGTGGGCTGCTATCATGGATGCTGCCATGTAGGGGGAGTTGGGAGTGGTGTGCAGTAAATTAAAATTCCACAGCGTTTTCCTATGAAAACCTAGCAGCATCTTTCTTCATTACATGTTCCTCTGGTTGTTATAAGGTTTTAATTGAATTCTAGAATTATGAAAATGTTGATTCTGGCTGTTTTGCCACCTATTCATTGCTTTGTGAAGGGATGGAGATTTGGAGTTCTTATTCTGCTATATATTGTGATGTTATTCCCACTTTTTTGAGTGAGCTGAATATAAGTAGATATAATGTTCATTATCTTGAGCCATGAAAAAGCCTAATTTGTTTAATATATTGTGTTTAAAAGTAAGGATTGTACATCTTTACATTTTCTAAAAGGTTAAGCCTTTCTTCAGATACTTGAATATTCCTGTTAACATAGAGAAAAATACCATTTGTCTGTTGCTGGCTAGTCATTTTATTGAAGTTGTTTTTGCCAGATTTTAAGGAACGTAACTACTGAGTTCCTTTTGCTTTTTGTAGTAAGCTCACCATTCTAAGAAATCATTAATTTAAATCAGTCTTTCTCAAATGAGGGGTGTTATTGTTCTCCAGGGGACATTTGGCAATATCTGGAAATATTTCTGGTCATCACAATTTAGGGGAATGAGTTATGCTACTGGCATCTAGTGGGTAGAGACCAGAGATGCTACTAAACATCCGGCAATGGATAGGAGTGGACCCCATGACAAAGAATTATATGTCCTAAAATGTTGGTAGTGCCAACATTGAGAAACCCTGATGTGGATTTACCAGATCTAGATTTCCTTAAATTGGTTCATATATGTATTGCTGTAAAGTTTAGTGACTAAATTTGGACCTAACCACTTTAACTTTTTCAGAAGGAAGTGTCAAAAAAGGAAAACAGTATTATCTGTGAATAGGGTAATAGGGAGATGTCAATCTAAAATTGCATTATTTTCTTTTTTTGTGATATCATCATATAATTGAATTTCTTTAATGTTAATAATTTAATTATTAAACTTTGTCATGCGGAAAAGACATTAATGAACCCCTGTGAATTAAGACCAGTTACCAATTTTACCATTCCTCAATGTCTTTGGAGTATTTTGAAGCAAAATTAATTTGCATTTCATTTTGTGTGTGTGTCAGATGTCTTGAAGGTTAGTTTGTTAGAATAGATCTAAACAGGATTTAAACATTGCATATGATTAGTTTCCTAAGTCTCTTTCTCTACTACGTTCCCCTTCCCTTTTAAAAAATGAATGTATTTATTGAAGAACTTGTGTCATTTGTTCTGTAGGATTTCCCACATTCTACTTTAGCTGATTGTATCTTCACAGTGTTGTTTAACATATTCCTCTTTTTTTTGGTAAATCAGTAGCTTTAAAGATTTTATTAGATTCCACTGTTGTTTGTTTTTAAGAAAGACTGTCAGGTATAATAAAGCAATTGTCAATATGCATATAGCCACCTATCACTTTATCCTGTATGCCATGTGTATTATAGGTTGATATATATGCATATATATACACACATACAGACATGTAGATAAACATACGTACATTATTGCACAAGTGGGTGCATAACAAGTTGCTCTATTCCTAGTGATAATACCAGTCTGTACAAATGTTGTCAACTTGATTCATCATGTTTCCTACCAACCCTTTACCTAATGTTTTCATTGGGGTTTAGCAAAAATTATTTTTCTTAAATTATTTCCTTTGTAGTACCATGTGACCAAATTAATATTCTATGTACATTCATTATATCTTGGTCATTTGCTTTTGCCTTTGAGGGAAGGAAATATTTTATTAACTCAGCTTGGTCAGTACAGTGCATTGCATATGATAACCATGCCCTATGATTGGTTCTAAACCTTAGCTCTGAATTAGAATCACTTGTTTGAAATTATAAATTCCCAGGCTCCACCCCTAATGATTTCTGATTGGTTTAACAGCCTTTGTGCTGGAAGAAAACAGACTGGCAGAGTAAAATGTATCTGTTTCACACATTTTAGTAATTTATTGAGGAAAGCATTGTTTTTTGTAATTCTTAATACATTGGTATGCATCTGATTCATCTGTGTAACTTGTAACAGGCAATCATAGTTCATGATTTACAAGGAATACAAACAGTATAATGTAAAAATTGTCTCTTCCATCTCTATTCACATCAATCCCAAGTCATCTGGTTTCCTGTACTGTAGCCAACCAATATTATTTTGTTTATACCTAGAGATTTTATGACTATATAAGCAAGTATCAGTTACCCTCATTTTCCAAATGAATTATCCAGTTGTTTCAGGTTGATTTGTTGGAAAGATAATATTTTACTGTCTTGAACTGCCTTTGTACCTTTGTCAGAAATCAGTTGACTATATATGTGTAGCTCTATTTATGGACTCTTCTGTCGCCTTCCATTGGATCTATATGTTTATTCTTACTCCAATATCACTATCTTTGCTTTCTTTCTTTTTTTTGAGAAAGGGTCTTGCTCTATTGCCCAGTTTAGAGTGCAGTGACATGCTCTCAGCTCACTACAGCTTTGACCTCCCAGGCTCAAGCAATCCTCCCACCTCAGCCTCCCAAGTAGCTGGGACTACAGGTGGACGCCATCATGCCTGCTTAATTTTTAATTTTTTTGTAGAGACAGGGTCTTGCCATGTTGCCTAGGCTGGTCTTGAACTCTTGGGCTCAAGCAGTCCTCCCACCTTGTCCTCCCAAAGCACTGGAATTATAGGCGTGAGCCAATATGCCTGGCCTTACTGGAGCACTCTAGTAGTATGAATCCCTCAATTTTATTGATTTTCAAAATTGCTTTGGTTTTTCTAATTTCTTTTCCTTTCCATATGAATTTCACATCAGTTTATTGATTTCTACAAAAAAGCCCACTGAGATTTTGACTGTGATTACTTTTCACCTATAAATTAAATGAGGAAAAATTGAAATTATAAGAATATTGAGTCTTCCCAACCATGAGCATGGTACAGTAGTTTCCCATTATCCACTGTTTTGGTTTCTATAGCTTGAAACACCTGCAGTCAATTATGGTCCAAAAATATTAAAGTATCTTGTGAGAGACCACATTCATCTCACTTTCATTTTACAGTGTGTTGTTAAAATTGTTCTATTTTATTATTAGTTGTTACTAATCTCTTATTTTACCTAATTTATCAGTTAAACTTTATCATAGGGTATGTATGTACAGGTTGAGTATTCCTAGTCTGAAATGCTTGGGACTAGATGTGTTTGTGATTTTGGAATATTTGCATAAATGTAATGAGAGATCTTGGAGATGGGACCCAAGTCTAAACACGAAATTCATTTGTTTCATATACATCTTATACGTGTAACCCAAAGGTAATTTTGTAAACTATTTTAAATTTGTGCATGAAACAAAGTTTCTGTTAAGTACTTATTTGTGGAATTTTCCACTTGTGGCGTCATATGAGCACTCAAAAAGTTTCAGAGTTTACAGCATTTCAGATTTTGAATTGCCAGATTAAGAATGTTCAACCTGTGTCGGACAAAACATAGTATATATAGGGTTCAGCACTACCTGAGATGTTTGGGCTTCCGTGGAGTGAGGGAGGGGTGGCATATATCCTCTGTGGATAACGGGGGAGCTCCTGTATCTGTTTTCTTTACGTTGTCTCTGATGTCTTTCATCAGTATTTTGTGATTTTCAGCATACATAATCTGTACATATTTTGTTGAATTTATACCTTAGTATTTTTGAGTTTTGGGGTATTATTATAAATGGTACTGCTTTTTGTTTTGATTTCCAGTTGTTCATTGGTAGTATGTAGAAACAGCAATGGTAATCTATGACTTTGCTAAACTTATTAATTCTAGGCATTTTTTAATAGATTCCATGGAATCTTCTATAAAGACAATCATGTTGTCTGTGAATGCAAGCACTTTTATTTCTTCCCTTCCAAACTATATATCCCTTATTCCTTCTACCCTTATGGCAGTGCTCTTTCTTTCAATATGATATTAAGTAAGAGTGATTAAGAGCAGGCATTCTTGCTTGTATCTCATCTTAGGAAGAAATTAGTGGTTTCCTGGTAATTTTATATTTATTTAAATATATAAATCTCAGTATAGCGATCACTTAGCAAAGGAATCTTAGTTAATTTTATTTACTAGGTTGCCCTCCAGTTTTCCTCATAGGATTCATCAACTGGTATATCTTGTGATTCCTAAGGAACTGTATGTCTGTCTGTCTCCCTCTGTCACAGATACACACAACAAACTTTTAGGAGAGCACTTATTGCACTGCTTTGTAGTTTACTTTTTATTTCTCTTTTCCCTTATTAGAAGGTGAGTACTTAGAGCAATAAGAAATGGTGCCTACCGGTAGCTCTAGGAACTTAATGTTGTGAGCAATTGATATTAGGTTGGACCATATGAAATTGCCGATGTTAGTTTATAACCTATAAAATTTTCTATCTAGTTGGGACAAAAACAAAATAACAAGGAAAAAAAAACCATGGTACTTCTACTGACAAGATAAAATCATCAGTATGTGAAATGTTTGTGCGTGAGAAATTGTTCATCACTGTTACATGTTAAGGAAAATCGTAGAGTGGACATACTGATGAAATGAGTGAGACACAGCCCCTACCTTAAACGATGCTCACTCTGTGGAAGACTGGGCCTTTACAGTATTCAGATGTGTGCTTTTGTTTGGGTTTCTTTTGGTTTTGGTTTTGTTTTCTTACAGAGACAGGGTTTTGCTGTGTTGTCCAGGCTGGTCTCCAACTCCTGAGCTGAAGTGATCCTCTCACTTTGGCCTCCCAAAGTGCTGGGATTACAGGCATGAGCCACTGTGGCTACCTCCCTCCTCTTTTTTAATAGAGATGGGTTTTCAGATGTGTTTTAACTCTATGATTAATCTATGCACAACCTATGCACATATTTACTCTCAGTTTGGATTTACTCATTATCCTAGCTTCCTATCTCTCAGTGTCTTGGATTATAAGACACTTTGGCAATAACTTCTATATATAAATTGAGACGATTGACATACTTTGATAATTTTATATGAAAAGATGCTCTTATACATTTTTCAGTTTCATGTAACTTAAATGTTTGTTAGTTAGCATCTAGTGGGTTAAATAGTGTAGTAAAATAAAGGGCACCAAACACTTTTCCTTTTGAAGCAACTTTATAGAACAGAAAGACTTTAAAGCAGTCATAGTCATAGCAGGAAAAATAAAACTTTCTTACTTGAATATTTCTGTGTAGTGTTTTTTAAATTGTAAATTATAGGTGAAGAGACACTGTAGTATTTTTTATCCTTAGGCTGTTAACTTAAGCTGGTCTTAATAACCCCATATTACAAATCAGGGAAAAGGAAATACATGAGAGATTTTGTGTAAGTTTCATGAAACCTGAAACTATTCTTGTGTTTACTGCTATATTCCGTGCATTTAGCATATAAATAGTTATTAACAAACAATTATTGAGTAAATATTTGTGGAGGTAGGAGGCTAGGCTAGGTGGATTTGGTTAAAGTAAGAAAATTTAATTTTTCTATAAGATATGTAAATTTTAGTTAATACAATGAAAATCATTGCAATTACATGTTGCCTGATAAGCATCAAGAGCCACATAGTTTTTGAGGCAGTTTGATTTGGTAAATGCCATAGTAACAGAAGGCGGTTTTCAATCAGTCAGAAATACGCTCGTGATATTGTTTTGAGCTTGACTATTAATATAACAAGATTAAAACATAATTATGAAAACCTGTAAAGCCTCTTCTATTTGAAACCTTTGTTTAAAATACATGACTCAGGGAAGACATTAACTTTTTAAATGGACGTACTCAAGAAATTAATTTTCTTTGGTATTTGCTGCCACCATATGGCAGACTAATTCTATTACCATATCTGTTACATGCTGTAGAACCTAAAATAATGTACCTTTAATATTTTCTGATGAGGTTGATTTGTTCATAAATAATTTTGACAAGGGAAGAAATAACAGATTTTTATGTTTAGAACTATAGCTGACCTTCCTCCAACTATCCAAGGATAGTTTATGTCTTCTAACATTTTAGAAGGCATTAATTACTACAATAGTAATTACTATAACAAAGATGATTCTTTGTCATAGCATTGATGACGATTCTTTCAGAACAATAAGAAGTGTGTGGGTGGTGCAGTGGCTCACTCATGTAACCCCAGCACTTTGGGAGGCCAAGGCAGGAGGATCGCTTGAGCCCAGGAGTTTGAGACCAGCCTAGGCAACATAATGAGACCCCATCTCTACAAACAAATTAAAAAATTAACTGGGTGAGGTTATGCATGCCTGTGGTCGCAGCTACTGAGGAGGCTGAGGTGGGAGGATCATTTGAACCCAGGAGGTTGAAACTACATTTGGGCCACTGTACTCCAACCTGGGTGACAGGGCAAAATTTTGTCATAAAAGAAAAACAAAAGAAATGTGGTTGGCCCCACACTTTTATGTAGGGAATGTAATTCTGACATTTGTTCTTTCTAGGTCATTGCACTTGAGAATTATGGCTCCATAATTTTTTAGGCCTAATTTTATTTATGTGAAGACAAGCCATTTCACTAAAATTAACTTGTGGGAATTTTATTTTTTATCTTGGGAAAAGTATTATACAAGAATATATAATATTCTTAGAAAAATTATTATATATGAATTTTAAAATAGAAGCAACCCAAATATTTACTCTTAGGAAATTAAATACAGTATTTTTGAATGGAATGTCATATTCAGGGTGTTGCGGAATATTTAAGGTCCACATTGTTAAATGAGGAGTGATGGAGACAAGCAAGTTACTAAATAATATGTATGTATTATCCTAACCTTTAAAAAAGTATATATATATACTTTTTATATATAATATATGTATAAAATTACCAGAGTTTTCTTTGAGAGATATTGCAGTGATTTCTTAAATTTATGTATTACTGAAATGAGTATGTTCTACATATTCAAAAAGCGTATAGATTGAATATTTTAAACTTTTCATAGGCAGTTTCTTAAATCAACACGTCCCCATGGGTAAATAATTGCTGATTAGTAAGTAACTGAATATATTATTAGTGAATGCATTTGAAAAGTTTGTGTGTGTATATGTGTGTGTGTGTGTTTGTGTTTAAGATTTATGAGAATGACTTGTTGCTAGGAATTCTAAGAAACAAACACCACTTTTTAAGTCTCTTCTGGGAAGCCAATTCTGTTTAATATATAAAGAAAGCCTTTAAAAAATGTTTTGTTGCCCAGATTAGTATTTTTTTTCTTGATAGAAGGATAAAAGTAAATTCTGAATTAATAAAATCCAAAGTAAGTTTTTGAATATTATCCAATAATTCAATGTTTTGTTAAGGTACTAGTTATTTATAAATAACATAGCCCTTAATTTCTAGGATCAGCGTATTCTTTCTTTTGATATCTGTTTTCTGCTACAGGCCTGTGATTGGAATTGAAACAGTACAACTGCCTCCACCAGAGGAAAATAGTATGGGAATTCCTATTATGGTAGGTTATTTTCTAGTAGTCTCTTGCAGTAATATAGGCAGCTCTTGTAATTTGTTAGTTTGTTGCTGTTTAAGCCTCCTTGTAACTTAGCTTTCATACATAACTGTATGTGAGTAAATAGTTAGTGTCAGCCAAAAAGTCCTTTATTGTAGAAACATTTATAGTAGTGGACCCTGTGTTAGTGGAAGACTTAGTATAGCCGTTTTATAATTCAAGTAAATTTTCAGTGGAGGGGGCTTATAAATCTAAGATCTCTGTCTTGGAGAAGAAAATGTTAAACAGCTGAAAATAATGGTATCGCAACTAGTTTTATTTATTTTGTTCTGAAATACTAAATTACTAAAGGTTTTCAAACTTTGGTTTAGATGTATGCATCCTTTTGCTCATAGCTCATTCTCTTACATGTTAAATGATTGTGCTGCACACTTTAAACATTAACAGTCATTCAGTAATCACTGGGGAACCTCAATTATTTGAGTGACTCCTATGTTTTCATGAAAGTAGTTTTTAAAAAATCTCACAACCTCCAGGTGTGTTGGACTGCAGGCACTAGTGAAGATAGGATAAGCTTGTTTGATATCATTGGTAGTATTTGTTAGGCTTCTTATGTCAGATTCAAACATATTGAAATATTTTTTAGAGTATAAAAGGAGAAAATTATGGCCCAGTAATTGATTTTTTTGTCATTACCAAGGTGCAGTATGCTGTACTTTTTGTTAAATATCTTATGATCCCAAACAGTAATACCATTTGATATCAAGTAGACTTGATGTAAAGTTGTTTCAGAACAAAGAATCATCCTTACTGGGTTTCTGTAATAATTTGTTTTTGGTTTCATTAAAGTTTTGGGGTTTTGGTTTTTGTTTTTTCCTTTGCAACAAGGTCTCACTGTTGCCCAGACTGGAGTGCAGCGGCATGTGATCAGGGCTGACTGCAGCCTCAACCTGCCGGGCTCAAGCGATCATCCCACCTCAGCCTCCCGAGTAGCTGGGACTACAGGTGCATGCCACCATGCCCGGTTAATTTTTGTATTTTTAGTAGAGATGGGGTTGTACCATGTTGCCCAGACTGGTCTTGAACACCTGGGCTCAAAAGTGAACTGCTCACCTCAGCCTCCCAAAGTGCTAGGATTACAGGCCTGAGCCATTGTATTAAACTTTTTAATTTTTTCTCTAAAAAAAAAAAAAAAAAAGGAGGTGATTAAAAAGCTGTTATGTTGGAAACTGCAGATTTTATTCATCTGTTTTCTGATAGGATAGGGGTAGATTATTGGGAACACACCGTTTACCTGATTGTTTTCTTCAAATTGGAGTGAATCGGGTCACATTCAGGATTCATGTTCCTTTTAGAAATTCTGAATTCTTTATGAAATCTCTGATTGTGAATCTTTACCTGGCCTTTTCAGGAGGGTCTAGATTACCTACCCATGATCACCTTTTAAAAAAGTACATAGAATGACTTATTTGTTGTTCTGTGGGATGGCTGTTGGTAACTAGAGTTCCATTGGAAATTCACCCCCTCACACACTTTTTAAACCATTTTCTAGCCTGTGGCTTAATAAAGGCTTTAGATGAATTTTAACAATGCCCCTATCCTAATTCTGTTCCCAAACGAGCATTTGGATAATTGGTAAGCAAGACAGAAAAACAACAACGAAATGCCAACTTAATATAGTAAAATTTGATTAAGAAAATGGTAACAAATAGCAGATACCCTCAGTATTATATAGCCAGTTTACCTTTTCTTTCCTGGAATGTGTGTTGGAGAAAAGGCAGAGTCACAAATCATTTAGCTAATTTTGCTTTTAATAACTGTATAAATTGTAATTATCATCTTTTACCACTGGATGGTGCTTTTCCATTGGTTACTGCAAACCCTTTCTAAATTTACCTAAGGGCACCATTTGAAAATTCATTTAAAAAACAAATGAAATTAAGATAATGGTATAGTTTCCCATCTCAGCCTCCCAAGTAGCTGGGACTACAGGTGTACACCGCTGTGCCCAGCTCTATGATGCCATCTTTGATTATCATCTTAGAAACATTTTATTGTTGTTTTGGGTTTCGTTTTGTTTTGTTTTGTTTTGTTTGCCAGAGTCTCACTCTGTTGCCCAGGCTGGAGTGCAGTGCCTCAATCTCAGCTCACTGCAACCTCAGCCTCCTGGGTTCAAGCGATTCTCCGACCTCAGCCTCCTGAGTAGCTGGGACTACAGGTGCGTACCACCACGCCTGGCTAATTTTTCTATTTTTAGTAAAGATAGGGTTTTGCTGTGTTGGCCAGACTGGTCTTGAACTCCTAACTGAAGTGATCCACCCACCTTGACCTCCCAAAGTGCTGGGATTACAGGCGTGAGCCACTGTGCCTGGCTTAGAAACATTTTAAATGTATTAACTTTTTAGGTGGTACTATCATTTACATGGCATCTATAGAAAACCACAATTTCTTAATTTATAAGGTTAAAATAAAGGTTTTAAAAAAATTGTCCCTGGCCAGGCGCAGTGGCTCACACCTGTAATCCCAGTACTTTGGGAGGCCAAGGTGGGCGGATCACGAGGTCAAGAGATCAAGACCATCCTGGCCAACATGGTGAAACCCCGTCTCTACCAAAAATACAAAAATTAGCTGGGCATGGTGGCGTGCACCTGCAGTCCCAGCTCCTCTGGAGGCTGAGGCAGGAGAATCGCTTGAACCCAGGAGACAGAGGTTGCAGTGACCTGAGATTGTGCCACTGCACTCCAGCCTGGGCAACAGAGCAAGACTCTATCTCAAAATAAAGAAAAATTGTCCCTGGTAATTATTTTGTCTTTTCTCCTATCCAGTAGCTGTTCAGACTCCTTTCACTGAAGCCCTTTTATTTCACAAATACTATTTTCAAATTCTGCTTTTTTAGCTACCAAATGACTTTTTGTTAGCTACCCTACTTAAATGAGTTGAGTACTTAAGTCTATAGAGTCTATTTGTGATTGTAACAGATTATGGAGATCTTAATTCAGGGAAATAATTTCTTCTAATAAAGCATTCTCTTATTCTTTTAAAGATCAAAATAAAACAGACTCTAGAATAACAGTGTCCCTTAACAACTTACTCTGAGGCCTTGTTTCTCCAGTCTGGTGTGCTGTTATTTCCTTTTCTGTTCTTTGTAGGGTTATTTAGATAAAAAATAAAGTCATAAAAACAAGCATCTTAAACTACCCTGTTCTGTAGTCTGCTCTTCATTTGCTATTTTATAGCTTTTGAGTTATGAATTTATAGGGGATTGTAGGTCAGCAAGTTTAAAGTCACTCACAGTAGGCTTGGTTTGCCTTTGAGTCTCAGGCTTACAGGAGTTATGGGTTAAATGACTGGCTTTGCAGGTTTGCTTCTTGGCAGTGAGTCTTCACATAGGCAGTGTTCAAGTTGTGGTCTTAACTCTTAGAATGTGAACTTTGTCATGTAACCACTCTAGGCCTTATTTTTCTTACCTATAAAGTTGTGATTTTGTTTAGCAAATAAGGATCATGGCTAAGGACAATGTTACTTAGGGGAAAAAAAAAAAAAAGGAGAGAACAAATTACTCATAATCCTGCCACTGACCTAACTCATGTAGTGTTGATGCTAAAAATGAAAAAGAAAAAAAGTCTTCTATTTAACGTAATTAAGATTATTTTGTTTATACTGCAGTGTTGTATTCCATATAATATTTTTTAGTATATCCCATGTTTTAGAAATTCTTTAAAGATTTTATTTTTAAATATTAGATATAGTTTCACTGTGTGATATATACTGTATTTTAAATCATTTTATTGTTCAGCATTTAAATTTTCAGTCTTTTGTTGTAAATAATGCTTCACTGAAATCTTGATATGTAAATTTTTATAGGCCTCACATTATTTTCTTATGTCTCAGTTCCTACAAGTAGAAATGCTAGCTTAAAGTTTGAAATACTTATCAATGGTATTGATAGCTGTTGGCAAGTTTTTTTTTTTTCTCCCAGAGAAGTTGTCCCAGTTTACTGTTTCACCATCCTACATGGCCTCTGGTTTAAACTAATTGTGATAGCCTACTGACTGTTTTCTCTGCCTTTAGTATCACCTTATTTTTAGGTCATCCTGACACTGTATGCACAGTAAGTTCTTTAAGATACAAGTCTTATTTTATAACTTTTTGCCTTAAAATTCTATAGGTTAAAGTGTATTTACTCGGTGTCATTCAACACCCTTCATGATCTCGCTGCTGTCTAATTTTCCACCTTATTTTATGCAAACCTATACATTTTGTGGATGAGGAGGTGGGAGGGGGATGTGCTAGGCAGAGGAAACAGCATCTGCAAGGGCATAGCTGCATGTAGTGGCATGGTATACTTGAATTGCAACAAGCACATTGATATATGTGAAACTTAAAGGCAGGCTGCTGGAAGTCTTTAGTATAGCATACTCAAACAAAATAGTTGACTAAATAAAAGTAGACAACATTTTATCTATGATTTAGAAAAGTAACTGGTGGTGTAGATAATTGTTAATCAGGACTTTTGGTTACAAATGACAGAAATCCAACTCAAATTGGCTTAAATGCAAAAGTATATTTACTGGCCAGGCAAGCAGAGCTAGATCCAGGACTTGGTGACAGTGGGTTTCCCATCCTCCCCCATTCTTTCATTCCTCCTATGAGCAGTTTTTGCTTACTGGGATTGTGTCCTCACAATCCCGAAAGAAAAGAGAGTATTTTTCTCTGATAGCCTTGGCAGGAAAGTGAAGTCCTGAGGAAGACATTGTCTAGTTTCAGTCATGTGCTCTTTCCTGAACGAGACATGTTGTTAGGGGTGGGTAGTACTCTGGTCAGGCTTGGGTTTCTTGTATGTCTCAGGACCAGAGACTCTCCTTAAAGGAAAGGATCTGTGTGAAAGTACCTGTGTCTGTTACAAGGATGTATAGAACTAGAAGGAGAGTCAACAGTTGAGAGGCTAGTTAGGAGGTAGTTATGATAGCTTAGGTGAGGACTGAAGTGGGTTTGAATTAGGTCACTGTGAAGACAGAGTTTAGGAAAACTTTATGTAAAATGCATAGAACTTGGTGACTGACTAAAAGTGGGAGATGAAGTAAGGGAAGGCTACTGTGTGTTGGGCTACTTTGTACATGGTGATGCCATTACTATTAACCAACATGGGAATTCAGAAAAAGAACACTTTGGGGAAGTGGACTGCAGATGATAAGTAGAATTTTGACATGAGATTGTCCAAAAAGAGATTAAAAGGAGCTAGAAAAAAAAAAGGGGGGTGTGTGTAGAAGAAAAACCAAGTGAAAAGGACCAGAAAAGGGACCAGAAAAATAGGTAAAAATATTATGGACGCAACAAGAAGAGAGGTTATTGCCCAATATTGTAGAGTAGTTGAGAATAATGATGATTTTGTAATAAATTATCATTGATGACCTTGGAGCAATTTCATTTGATTGGTGGAAAGCTAGATTGCAGTGGGTCGAAACAATTAAAAACAAACAAACAAACAAAAGGAGTGGTAGCTTGGTGAAGAGGCAGGAAAGCTTTCTATAGGCCAAAATAAAGGAACAGAAGGTTAAACCAAAGCTGTAAGAAAGGAATCAGAATTGAAAAAGTAAGGTCTATTAGAAGATAGATACAGTCTTGAATGAACCTTTTCCTCTGCAACTACAAGGTCTTCCCATTAGACTGCAAAGTCTTGAAGATTTGATGCCTGAGATGTAAGAAGTACTTAATAAATGAAAGATGACTATTGAATAAATGAAAGATCATAGAGAAAAAGTTGAAAATACAAATATGCTTGGAGACAAAGCAGAGGGAAGTTGATAGGATTCATCTTTGTTTTCTTTTTTCCTCTCTGAGGTAGAAAGCCAGGGGATAAGGCCTTTCTCCAACTTACCTTAAAGCATTGCTGTGAGGAACCAGTGGGAAGATCGATGTGAAACATTGTTAAACTAGAAGGTATTGGTCAAATGGAAGGAAGTAATACTTCATTTCTGGCATCTTAATTTTGAATAGGACTTCAAATCCGTTGATATTTGGTTCTCACCAGCTCAAAAACCCCATTTGCTTCCTTAACAACTGCTAATTTAACTTCTCTTAGGTGTCTGGTGTGTGGGAAGAGCCAAGCTTCGGAGACAGATGGGTCTGGGTTAGAATCCAGTTTTCCCTACTGCTTAGCCTTGTGATTTCCAGTGTTTAATTGGTCCAACTCAGATTTTTTGTCCGTGAAATTGGGATTTAAAAACTAGTTTGCAGGCATGTTGTTAGAATTAAGTGAATGTACATAAAGTGCCTACAACCATAGTAGCTATTCAAGTTACCTGGGATGTTTATCCCTGCCCCATATGAGTAGCCAACCTTATTATGCCTTCAGACTGAAAAATGCCAGATAAAAGTATTATCTTATATTGAAACATTTCATCTTCCTGTTTATTATTCATCGATTTAGCTTATCTCTAAAACTGTGTAATTGTCTTCACAGTGACAGTACTTCAAATATTTTAAAGTTTTCATGTTCTCCCTGATTCCTTTTCAGACAATATCTTCAGCTTTATCAACCCTTTATGAAATGGTTTCTAGATTATGCATTATACTGGCTGCCCTTCTTGAAGGTATTCTAGTTTCATTGCTCTAGTGGTAGTCTGCCCAGTGTCTAGTAATTAGCCTTGCTTTTCATAGAGAAGGAAGATGAGATTAATAGGAAACATTTTGGAGATAAAACTCTCATTTTAACAGGTCAAAATTAAGGTGTATTTTACTATTTCATCCTAAAGTATTCTGTTTTCTTATGTTTGACATTTTTCTTGTATGTCCATGGCATTTATAAAATGATTTCCTTGCAATTACCCTCTTCCTTCTTGCATGCTTACCCCCAATTTTGTTTGTATGTCCACGTCTATCCCACATCGCTTGGGGAAATCCCGAATATTACAAGCTAATCAGGGTAATCCTATTCTGCCTAGTAGTGATTCATTTGGGAAGGGACATGTGATCAAAGCCTGGCCCTTTGCATTTCAGGGAAAGTCAGCTTGTGGGGCTTCTAGGAGTCTTCCTCATACCTGAAAAGGGAGACACGGAAGGATATTTCCACTTCTACTGCATGACAATATGTGTTTAATAGGATCCCATGAAGTATAACAATTAACATGTGGCTATGAAGGGAGTTATCCTAAGGTTCTTGCTGAGTCTGACAGAGGGAAAAGCTGAAAGGAGCGTAGGTCATATATGATGGCATTGGATAACTGAATCAGTCACCCTAAAGCCACCTTATTTTAATTCTTGATGTTTGTGATGATAATCCCTTTGTTTAAGCCAGTTGAGAGTAACATCTTATTTTATAAATTATTTTTGGCTTAGGATAGGCCTAATATTAACAAATGTGTTTAATATTCTATTACATAGAAAGTAGACACTGGTGGAAGGCCCATTAAGATGTCATGATGGGCCGGACATGGTGGCTCATGCCTGTAATCCTAACACTTTGGGAGTCCGAGGTGGGCGAATCACCTGAGGTCAGGAGTTCAAGAGCAGCCTGGCCAAAATGGTAAAACGCTGTCTTTACTAAAAATACAAAAATTAGCTGGGCGTGGTGGCATGCGCCTGTAATCCCAGCTACTCGGGAGGCTGAGGCAGGAGAATCACTTGAACCCAGGAGGTGGAGGTTGCAGTGAGCTGGGATTGTGCCACTGCACTCCAGCCTGGGTGACAGAGTGAGACTCTGTCTCAAAAAAAAAAAAAGATGTGATGATGGCAGCAGTGTTGGTATAGTGGTGAGCATAGCTGCCTTCTAAGAGGTAATGATGAGCGTCTAATTTTAAGATCAGCTATATGGGGTTGAAAGTTTTATAAGTAGTCTTACAAAACTGAATGTTCTAAATGTAAAACACAGACACACAAAAAATTTCTACAATACAGTAACTGATAGCGGATTTAACAACCTAGTTAGGAATGGGCTAATTATCAATTCTTATAGGGGCCTCTTCTTCCCATTTAAGAAGTTCAAAATTGTCTACAGCTAAAGGAGTTGACATCGTTTTACTCTGAATTAACATTGTTACAAGCATGGCTTTTTAAAAGTTTATCGAAGGCGTGAAAATTTATGTATAAAAGAAACTCCACACCTGAGACACATTACAAACATACCTTCCTTCTTTCAACAATAGAAGGTGCTATGTAAAATTACAGCACTCTTTGATAAAAGGAACTAAAACTCTCTGAGTCATTACTTGAATTTAAAAATAGCTATGGTCAGTATTTTTGTCTCCAATATGGTTCAGAAAGACATGAATCATTTTTTTTTTAGTATTTCCCAAACGATAGCCACTTTGAAACGGAAGTGATGTATGCAGTTGGGTTCAGTTTGTTTGTGAAATAACGAATGTACACTTCAGATACTGATCTTACTGTACTTTCGGGAATTCCTTGGACATCTCACATAATTATTGCTTATAAAGGTAAACATTTTGTAACCATAGCAACTTATTTTAAAACTGAAAATTTTCTCCCTTCAGCTTTTAAAGTGCATTAACTTCATACTACATTTACTCTGGCATCACCACATTGTAAAAACCAGAATGAATTGCACATAATCTTTCCTCAATCTTTTTTTAAGAAGGGCAAAATTCAGCCTGTTTAAAATAAAAATTTTGCACTCAACTGATTTTAATATGAGGGCTAAATTGTCTTTGATACAGTTGCTGAACAATAATTAACTTTGCAAATAATAATGTAGATTTCAGAGAATGTGTTTATCCTTGGCCTGATAGAACATAAGTCATATGTCAGAGATACTACTCATCACATATCTTAGCTAAAAATTTTACTAATCAGATTGACTAGGATATTTTAAAAAGTATCACAACTTTAAAAAAAAGACCTCTAAAATGATGAGTCCTTTTCCTTAATTTCAAACTGCTTCTCAAGGTAATCAAAATTATGAAGAAAATAACCTAACTTTTAAAGACATTACTTAAATGCAGTACTACATACTTGCTAACAGAGTAGTTTTTCTCCCTTTGTTCCTTAGTTTTGGCATATTAGGTGTATTCTAGAAAACTAACCTGTGTTAGTTTGGCCTGTTGAATTTTTTACTTATATTCTTTTGGAAGGAAGTAATTCTCTTAAGGCTGAAATCTAAAAATAGTCATCTAAATATTGATTTAAACCTTAAGTTCATATGTGTAACTGTTGAATCTACACTTACTTGGAAAAGTCAGTGAAACTCTGTTTTCGTAAGTACCTGCTACGTAAGTACATGTGTGTTGGGAGGAGGAAAGAGCGCAAAGTCAGCATTCTTCTAGTCCCCCATTATAGTGTTAAAATGTTACTAGTCTGCCTGTCTATAAAAACCTTCCTTCCTTTGAGGCACATACCATTTGGCTAGGTGATCCTTCTATTTCTTGTTGCTATCATCTGTCACATCTCATACCCCAGTTCCACATCTGGATCATGTTTGTCTGTCATCTAGGTGATTTCATTTCTTTGTAGATGACATTTTGAACATACTTAACTATTTAACAACCTCCACACCAGCAGTCATCTGTACTTGGCTGTAACCACCTCCACTTGGCTGTAACCACCTCAATGACCACATCCTACAACTTGTCTCATTTGCTGTAATTACCTTTGCTTCTGTATGTTTGTTCTTATCTATCCTGGACACCGTGAGCCATTGCTTTTAACTGCTCAACAGTCACTTATACTCACTTTTAACAATTATATATTATAAATGATAGTTTTGAATCTTCAACCATTTTCTGAAAAATGTGATAGAGTTTTTACATGGAATGTTCTAACTAGCAGACCATTGATTTCTTTGACAAAGCACCCTTCCTATAAATTAAAGGAGGAGCAAAATAATGAGGTTTATGGAGAGTTTTATTAAAATATCCATTTTTTTAGAGAATGGACAGTTAGAAGGTATCTGTATATGTCAGTTACAATTAATAACTTCATATGCTACACTCTTTCCTATGATGGACTTGGTAGCAGGTATAGTCTATATCTCGGCCTTCAGTATATACTGTCTTTTACTGTCTTTTATCTTGTACTGGTTAGATTTTTACGTGTATGACATAATGCCCTATTTAAGTTGCATAAGGAGTTTGAAGGTGATATATGATACCTTATAATTCCTTGGCATGGTATGTATAGTAGAGATATGAATGTCTAATAATTGTTTAATCAGTGCTGTGGTATTTTTGTTGAGTGTTTTAAAAAGTAAGGTATTCTTGCCAAAAGACTTTTAGATAATTTCAGTGTACTGGATTGAGTAGAATTGAGCCAGATCTCACCATTCTTTATGAATTTTTTTAATATTCACCTAGATGTAGGCAACTTTGGGATTTAACATTTCATTTAGAAGTCATGAGGGTAGATGCTAAGATAATGGGCTCTGTATTAAGTTTAAAACAGAGTTTGAGAGCATGAAATGCACCTTAGATATTGATGTAACAAGTAACATTCTTCATTGTATAAATTTGGAAACTAAAAAAGTCCCAAATTTCTTAAACTCCAATAAGCACTGGTTGCTTAAGTCAAAAACCTGGGAGGTTTCTGATTATCATCTTCTCCATCACTCTTGTAGCCAGTCTATTAACATGTCCTATAAATCCTATTTCTAAAATATATTTCTTTTTTTTTTTTTTTTTAAATGGAGTCTCGCTCTGTCGCCAGGCTGGAGTGCCGTGGTGTGATCTCAGCTCATTACAGCCTCCACCTCCCAGGTTCAAGCGATTCTCCTGCCTCAGCCTCTTGAGTAGCTGGGATTACAGGCACGCGCCACCACACCCAGCTAATTTTTGTATTTTTAATAGAGACGGGGTTTCACCATGTTGGTCAGGCTGGTCTCAAACTCCTGACCTCATGATCCGCCCACGTTGGTCTCCCAAAGTGCTGGGATTACAGGTGTGAGCCACCGTGCACGGCCTCTAAAATATATTTCTGTCTCTCCACCTATATGATCATGTCCTAATTCAGATCACCCACTCTGTTGGATTACTGCAGTGGTCTCCTAACTAGTCCTTTGACTTCCATTCTTCTACCCCTTTAATCCGTTCTTCGTATCAAAGCCACATAATGTTTTTAAAGCAAAAGCAAATCATGACTTCCTTAATTAAAAATTTTTAATGAGTTCTCAATTGATGAAAAATACAAACTTTATAACTTGGTTTACAAGGCCTCTCTATCACATGACCATACCCACTTCTCCAACTGCATGTGATATTGTCCCTCATGATTGCTTCCCCAGCCACATGGGCCACCCATTAGTTCCTTGTCTTTCAGACATTTTTTTTTATTCGAGAATTTATCACAGTTGCAGTCATATAGTATTTATTTGTGTGTATGGTTCATTAGAACAAGGATTGACTATTCATAATTTTGTTTTCTCAGCTTGGCAGAAAGACTGGCACATAGTAGATGAATGTATACTAGGTGAATGGATGGGGCAGATAAGTGATTGGCTGACTAGATGTTACTGAGCCTGTTTCTCATTTAGAGATTTGATAACAGTACCCACCAAAATGGTGGCTGAAGATGATTGAGAATATTTGTGGTAACTGTTTCCATCTCTTTCTCTCTCCTCTGATTGTCCTTAGCTTATCCAGGAAAATATGAATTATTTTCCAGCAGATTTCTGATTATTGTTTCTAGTACAATATGTTACAGCTCAAGTTTCTAACTCATTTTATTTATTGAAGATTTAAGTAGCCACATTGTACTGGAGTATGGATGTTGGAAGAACAGGGCTCGAAGGATATATGTCCACTCATAGATAATTAAAGGAAGAGTAAGATTATCATTTAGAGTTAGGCTCAGCTCCAAGTACCAGAGATGCAAAATTACAGTTTCTTAAACAAGGCAGGACTTTTTATTTCTCTCTAACATAAAAGTCAGAAAGTAGACAGTCCAAGGCTTGTATGGCAGTTCTGTTTGGCAAAGTCCTCAAAGACCCAGCTCCCTTCTAGTGTAGTTTCACTACCCTAGACTATGGTCCTTGTTTGGTTTAAGATAGTGGCCAATCATCTTTGTTCCAGGAAGCAAGCTGAATATGCTAGTTGGTCTTTAAGAAAGTTTTCTGAAAGGCACACAACACCTACTTAAAATTTTGGTCAAACTTTTTCATGTGGCTCCTAGCTACAAGAGAGCTGAGAAATGTAGTCTTTATTGTGTGAGGCTCTGTACTTACCTAAAGCTGAAATGGAAGCCTGGAGGAATGGACACAAAATACAGATCTCTGCAGAAAACACATGTAATATTAGAATGTGCTAACAATCTGCAGTATACAGTACTATTAATATTGGAAGGGTTAACAATTTATTATTACGAATGTAACGTACCAGTGGGATCACACCACTTGAGATCGTCAAACGATATTGGTTAATGGCCATTTTGGCATTATGACTGCATAAAAAATAAGTGTCCTGGATCATAAATATATTACCTGCAGAGAGTTAAGTCTGATCTATTATGAGGATTTTGAGTTGTGTTTTGAATACCTAGTGACTTTCTTGCAGTGGCTCTAATAATCACATAGATAATTGCATGGATTCTGGCCTGTGTAGCCTAGAAAGCAGCTATTCCTTGATTTCTCCCCACTCACCCTCTACCTCATTTTCTTTTAACTCTGTTCATAAGACTTTTTTTTCCTAAAGTATATGGATAGATGAGGCGTAGCTCAAGAAGATTGGTGAGGATTCTTGATCTGTCAGAAATGTTTTCTATAACATTGTTTGAACCCACTTCCTTACCATCTTTCACCACAAGCTTTTTATTTTCAAATACTCAGAGACCAGCTTGTTACTTGCCACAGAGTAGCCACTTAATATACCCTGAGTATTCTATTCTATGATAATACGGAGTTCACAGATGTGTAAGACAAAAGGTGAGGTTTAGGTTGGATCTTGTTGCAGAAAGGAAAAATCGTTTGTGTCAAAAAAAGAAATTCAGGTGTAACAATTAGGAACCCAAAAATTATCTTCCAGTGACTTAATGTTTTTATAATCAGTAAAAAGGTTTAAGCCAGCTTTACCATTATGTGATTCCATTAATAGTAGGAGTAAGCTCTTAATAGGATACATTTTAGTATAAAGAATAGAAGGATTATAAAGCTGTCAGAGTTGAACTTGTTAGCTTATTAAAAACTTAATCTAATATGGCCTAAAAAATAAGTACCAAAGAAAATAACCACATCCCCTTGATATTTCTCTAAGTGGAAAAAAATGTTGAACTTACAGTTTGCACAATCTTTATCAGCAGTTTTTTATCAGAAGTACTTTCTCTGTTTCTAAGTTCTTAAATATTCACTTGTCTCCTTTTAAGATGTGAGTTCCTTGAGGGTAGGAGCCTGTCTTATTCAATAGAAGAAGACACAAAACAGTGCTGCTAATTTAAATAATTTAAAAACTGACATATTTCTCTTAGTATTTTTTATCTGCTTTTGATTTTATAATATACCATGGGCTAGTACTTTCTATCCTTTTTCCCAAAGGAATTTTACAGTCCCTAAACTGTAAAATCTAGTGAAGGTAGAAGAATGGAAGAACCTGTAGTCTTTCTTGCCTAAGTTTACTGCTCCCTCTCCCCAATTAACACTTAGTATGTGCTTGTCTAGTTACTAGAGTCTAAAATGAGCTTTTAGCAGACTCTCAAGAGATCACTGAAAAGTGTGGGGACTTGGCAACTGAATGGGATCTCCAGACATTAATCTGAATTACCTCACTTGTACTGGGTCAAGAGGAGGAGGAGTTTAATAGCCTTTGATCCACTCACTGGCTTCACAAGGGATATCATTCAGCTATCCCAAATATCCATAACAGTAAGGTTATCTTGTTTAGATTTCACAACACTATGAAGTAAATTCTGTTAATGTCATTTAATAGATGTTAAAATGAGCACAGAGAGGTTACTAAATAAGTGAGTAGCCCAGGATCCCAGAATTAGGTTAGTGGGAAGCCTGGATTAGAACTTCAGGCAATTTGACCACAAAATAGCCTACATTCTCAAGCACTGTACTGTTACTCTATTTCTCTTAGACAAAAATCTTTGCAGGTTATTTTTTTCTTATATAAGTGTCAAGAAATTTAGGCTTAGGGAATTTAAGTGGTTTGTCCAAGGACACAGCTAGGAAATGATGGAAGCAGAATTGAACTTCAGGTGGGCTGACTCCTGAGCCCTTAGTTTTAACCATCACCCCATACCTTTGTTTTATATCCTGTCAACTTCTGAAATTTTAATTGTTCACTTATTAGAGATATGAAACTCACTTTGTTGCACCTTAATGCCACCTATATTTTCTGGTTAAAATATATGTATACCAACACACCCCCACTATTCTTGTTTATAAATCTCCACCCTTCCAGAGTCTCGTGACGACAGAATTCATTTCAATGAAATTATTTATAGGTGGAAGAAAGTGGAAGGAGACAATATGTATGAACACAGTCCCTACCTTCAAGGAGTTTGTTTTCTGGTTGGGAAAGACCTAAGTGTGGAGGTTGACTTAGAACAAGAAACAGGATGTACCTGCTTAAGTCTAAGTAGGTGAACTTAGGTACTAGATACTTTGGAACAAGTTAAGATTGTTAAGATAAAAAGAGATTTTGCTTTGTGGGCTTGGGAACCCTGAAGATGAAATATAGGATATTGTTACTATAGTTGTTTCACTTTCAGATATTTCAAATATTAAGATTTTTTGATTCAGCTATGTGGAGATGGATAACATAATTGATGTATGTTCAATATTTACATACCTTTAATTTGGCATAAAAGTATTTTATATATTTTAAAATATAACTAATGAATTGTTAGCATGTTTTAATTGGTACAAATATGTTAGAGTTATTGCTTCTTCCATAGATTGATACATTTTATAGCTTTCAATGGTTCTTGTTTTAAATTCTGACATTCTTATATTTGTATCATGCTGGGATTTTTTGTTTTTTTTTTCCTTTTTATGGTTTTAAGACTTGCTTTGAAGTACCCATTTAAAAATAACTCGTTTTAGAATATAGCAATAAATAGTATATTCCTTTGTTACCTAAACTTTTCACAACCTTTATAGGTTACCTGTTTGTTAAGATCACTTTTATAAGCTAGTATTACAGGTTGCAAAGATCTGGAGATGAGTGGAGAGAAGAGAGTGTGTCTGTATGTGTGTGTACTCAGTGATAGCAGAATAGATTAGAAAGAGTATGTGTTTAAAATAACACACAACTTTATTAATTTATACAACTTTGGGTAAAATACATCATTTCTGAGTCTGTTTTTCCCTCTATAATGGGAATACAGCAAGGTTATTGTATTAAATGAGAATGTACAGCACATAGCATATCACAGATGTTCAAAAGTAACTATTATGTTTATTATTGTTTATTAATAAAAATGCTAGTTAATATGAAGAACACAGATTGAAGGGGGACCATGGTATTTTCTTTGTAAGTTTTCTCTTGAGAAATATCCCCCATGTTGGGTAAACAGAGAAAGAAGAAAAAAAACGATGAAATGATTGGCTTTGACATTTATTTATGGCTTTGGGAAATTTATAGGGAGGGAGATTATTTGTATTACCCTGTGCCCTTTTGACATAGGTAATTCAGGACGAAGGACATTTTTTTTTTCATGTACCTCTTTAACAGATTTTTAAGGCTTTATTCCCTATCCAAATGGGAAGGTAGGATTATTTTATTTCTTCAGTGAAAAATCAAATGATTTATATAATTTTAGAGTTAGGATTTCTACATTATGAAATTTTTGCTTTTCCCTTTAAAATATGAATCAATGATTGATTAAATTCACCAATTTAGAAATTGTTAGACAATCTTAAATTTCATTTGTTTAAGCTTTGCATTCTAGAAAATAAAATACACCTGGCAGATTAAAACTGATCTTGGTAAAAATATGAATAAAACAATTTCATGGTTTTTATAATCTAATAAAATATTTCTCCATCTTTAAACCTTTTTTATGAGTCCATTGCAGGCATATTCTTACTGCAACTGTCATTATAGGGTTAAACATTTGCTTTATTGTAACACACGAAAGCAGTTAAGCCGTTTGGAATTGTTTACTTGCTAAAACCACTGTTAGTCAGCAGAGGCAGTACACCAGATTTCCTTGTGGCTTTTAGTGGAAAATGTTAAAAGCGCACTCATTTTTCAGTTATAGAATTTTTTAGTTTGATTTGGATTAGTCACAGAACTGGCATGAACCTTCTAATTGTGAAGGCTGTCCAAATGCACTATTTTTTTCTCCTGCTAGAGGAAGTTACATCCCGAGAAGTAGCTCAGATCTCTGGTAAGTGTAACATGTGAGCATTACTAGGCATTTCATCCTGTGGGTCTGCAGTCTTTGCTCTTCAGACTGTTGCTCCGTTGGAATGCTTCTGTGGGACTGATACTGAGGTTCTATAGATATTTTTTAAGGACCTACTCATTTGGGGATGTCAGTGGTGTTTTGCAAGATCATCTGAGGAACAGGAAAGCATTTGAAATCTGAAAAGGATAACTGTGGCGGTTTTCACAGTGGAAGGAAACTATATTGGCAAAGAGGCAGATGACTGAATAAAGTAGTTGGCTCAAAGAAGATGCACAGTCTGCTATTTTTTTCTCTGAATGAAGACTGTTTAATGGAAGCTGTATTCATGTGGAGATCAAAGGAAACACTGGAATGATACACTACTATGTTTTTCCCCCCCCTTTTTTTTTTTAAAGAAAACAAAAAGCCTGAAGCAGTAATTTGAGCTCAAATGCCTTCTAATTCCTTCACAGCCTGCTTGTTCTACTAGGATTCTCCACTAACACCATTTCTGCCTGGTGCCTGTGCCCTTTTGCTGGAGCAGCCACAGACAACTGCCTGATGGAGAAAGAATGAACGCTCTGCCTTGCTTATGCTATCGATGGGAATAAAGCTAACTGTGTTTCTTCTATTATATGGGAAACCTGGATTAATCAAGCTGTATTCTAGTACCAAGAGTCGTATTGTCTCTTGTGGTCTGACTCATCACATGTAAACGTACTGCAGCTTTGCTATTAATGCAGAGTGGTTTTTTTTTTTTTGTTTTTGTTTTTTGCCCCTTTCCCAAACACTGAAAGAATTGTTAACCTCTGAGCTTCATTTTCAGGATTTGTGCTGAGCTCTAGATCTTTTTTCTGTGAATAGTATCTGCATTAAACCAGTGATGAAGAAATGAAGACAAATTAGAAGTGGAAACAGAATAGTGAGATTTTATTTTTTATTTTCAATTATAAGCAAAACAGCTACTGGTAACTATATGACCTTGCAGGCAAGAGTGGGTATCGCTGTGATCATCTCTGTCACAGCAGTTGTTTCTCATTTCATTCTATATTGTGTGGTGTTGTGTCACCAAAAACAATGATTGTTTTGTGCAAGTAAATTTCAGAGATAGAGCAATAAGACTATTTTGGTAGAGGAAAAATATTTTTAAATGAGCTTGGACTCAGTTTTAGTTATTGACATGTTGGTGTGAAATTTCTTCTTAAGTATTGCAGTAATCCAACAGAAATAATAGAATTTCGTTATATTTAGGAAGTTACAAATTATGTAGTCATAATTTTAAACTTGTTTTTCCAGTAGTACTTATTAACTTTAAAAAAAAAAAAAACCCAGCTGTGCTGTTCAGAGAATGTTTGTAAGTGTTGTACAGAAGAGGAGGAAAAACTACTTGTGCTCTTCCAACTGTGACTTTTATCACATAGCTTGGAATTTAGTGTTTTAAAAGATCGAATGAGTCGAGTGTGTATTGTTGTTTTGGAGGAGGTAGAAGATGAATCTCCTGCATTCATTTCTAAATTGCCACAGGAAAATAAATCCCTACATTCTCCACCTTCTGGAAATGTATTGGTAAGATATGTAAGTTTATATGTTTACTATATTCTACTGAACTAGTAGTATAAATCTTGTTTTTTAAGAATAGATGTAAATTTCCAATAGTTTCTTTACAAACCCAAATTAAAGCAATACGTGTGTAGATATGATGCAGTATTTTTGTATAAAATGCACATTTTTCGTTTTTACTTTTTTGAATGCTGAGATAACATTTCAGTCTTTACTATGTCTTAATCTCTTTAAAAGACTGTTTAAAAATAATTTGAGAATTAGTAGTTATGGCAACCACGTTTCTGTTTTCATTTTGTGGTTTCAGAAACTGATGTAACAAGAATCAGGAACTCTGCATATTTTAGGAAAGGTTGACTACCCCCAGCAACACTAAGGCATGGCCTTTTCTGTAATGAATTTTATGTATTTACATATAAGACTTTATATGAGATTCAGTCTTCATCTTTAACCTTGGTTTTAGTGCTACTGTCAGCTGGCTCCTTGACTAGTATAGTATACCTTATCAAGAGGCTGTATCGTTGATTAAGAAATTATTATATTTAGTTATGCATGTGTTTGTCTTTTCAAGTTATTTAAGTATCCAGTATTTTTTGGTCTTTGATTAGTGGCTATTTTCATCAACTGCCAGGTTTGCTTTCTTGGGATTTGTATCTTTATACATGTAATGCTAATCCATGTAAGATAATTTGATGCCCCAAACAGACCTTTTCAAAAAAGCCTTCCTTCATGGGCTGGAAATTGCTTAAAAAGTTCTGTCCCACAAGTAGATGTTGAGATCACACATTTGTATTTGGAAGAGTCTTTCTTTTTGTCATATACAGAAACAAAAGGCTTCTACTTACAAGAAATAAAATCTGATTTTGTTTATTATACTACCTAAATTGGGTCAAACTGAATTGATTTTTTTTTTTAATTAGGCCTTTTTTTTCCAAGTAGGAATCCTGTACTTTGACATGATTTGGTTTTATGAAACTTCTGGCTAATGTCAAAAGTGATTATTGCTACAGGGAAGAAAACTTGTAGATTCCAGAACTATGTAAAATATCCTTAGTCACCCCACATGGATGATTCTAATGTTTTTATTACTCTCTTCTATTTTAGCCATCACTGGTGCAAGCTATATTTAACGGAGATCCTGATGAAGTTCGAGCACTAATATTTAAGAAAGAAGATGTTAACTTTCAGGTAAAACAGTTAATTCACTGATGCCAGCCTTTAAAACTGCTTTTTAAAATTCTTTCCTAGAATTGTGATTTTTGTTTACAAGACATAATATAACTCTGTAACAGTTGTTTTAAATGAGGGCAGGAAGGTATTGAGGCAAAAGGGAAAACACTGGACATATACTCAGGGCAGTAGCAGCCAGTAGGGGTCTTTTGTTCTCCCAGCTTTTTACTTTGAAATTTTTCAAACATAGGGAAGTTAAAAAAACATGCTGACTACCCATATACCTTTCACTTACTTTTGGCATTGATAACATTTTGCCACATTTGCTTTCTGTATTTATTAATATACAACTTTTACATATATATGTAGTAAGTTGCAGAAATCATGATACTTCACCATTAAATACTTAACTGTGCATTTCAAATGAGGATTCTTGTAAGTGTATATCTAAATATAAGATCAGATTTGCTTTTTGTAAATAATCATGGTGAGTGTTTTACAATGGTGCTTGATTAATTTTTGTCAGATTAGGTTTTCAGTAAAGTCATTGTTGGAAAAGTTTTCAGACTTAACGATACAGTAGTATATTCAGTGCTGACATGATGGACAGTTTTAGAAAGGTGGATATATGGATAATTTTCTCTCTCTGTTATGTTTTTTCAGTGGCCAGTATTTAGTTTACTAAGTTGTGGCTGAAAGTACATTACGTACTCTAACAAAATTACATCCACTAATGTATATATTTTTACCAGAAACAAATGTACCCCTGAGTTATGGAGGGGGTGAAAAGTCATATGATTCACAAAGTCGCTGTGGCAACACCAAAACAGATGACCTAGAAATGATTGTGGTTTTAAGAAAGCACCCATTGCAAGCTCATTTTTAACTCTCATCTTTCCTCCTTTTTTTTTTAATATAATACTGCTGTGACCACTTAATGTTAGGTAGATACAAAAAAGTTTTACCTTATTTTTAAAATAATGAATTATCTGAATAGATTTGAATCATTGGCTAAAACTGTTGTTAATTTTAACATTGGGTAATGAACAGAATGCTATCATTATATATTTTTTAAAATTTTTTCTAAGTGAATTGCCTTCAAGTTTATATTTAGTTGGAAACATGCACCTAATTCAGGATTTATGTATGTATGTATGTATGTATTTATTTAGAGACAGAGTCTGGCTCTGTTGCCCAGGCTGGAGTGTAGTGGCATGATCTCCGCTCACTGCAACCTCTGCCTCCCGGGTTCAAGCGATTCTCCTGCCTCAACCTCCCAAGTAGCTGGGATTACAGGCACCTGCCACCACGCCCGATTAATTTTTGTGTTTTTAGTAGAGACAGGGTTTCATTCACCATGTTGGCCAGGCTGGTCTCAAACTCCTGATCTCAGGTGATCGGCCCGCCTTGGCCTCCCAAAGTGCTGGGATTACAGGCGTGAGGCACTGTGCCGGGCCATGATTTATTTGTTTTAAATGAAGTGTCTGGCTACTTTACCCAGGGTATACTGAAGAGTATGCGTTTCTTAGAAAATAGCTCAAGGGGTATAGACGCATGAAAAGGTGGAAAACATGTTTTCCATTTAACTCCTAAGGTTTTCTTGTTATTTTGGTTTTATTTTAATAGTACTGACAAATACTACCTTGATTAGAAAGTTTGAACTATAATTCCATTTACCAGGGCTAATTTCTCCATCATTACAAAGTTTATTGTAGCTGACATTACTTTTATGTTATATTTAATCAATTTATCCTAAATTAAAAAAAAATTCAGAGTCATTGAGAGCATCAGCTCACTCATCAGTAGGCCTTTCTTGAGAGTAACTCTTTGACAATTGTCTTCAGTGATACAAAGGTTTTTGACAACAACTTTTATGATTGCTTTTAGGCCTTTTCTCTCGTGACCCTTTCTTAGTAGTTGAGAGTGTTGCCTTAAAGTCAAGATTTGTTAACTTTTTGGCCATTATTTGAATTTAAGATGGTAAATATCATCTGATTTTGTCTGATAAGGAATCATATGGGGTTTTAAAAGGCAATGGGTGTTAAATGCACTGACTTTTAATAGGTAATAAAATATTTTTAAGCTTTATGTCAGTGTGACAGTCGTGTTTTTCCAAAGTAAATTTATTTAAATAAGTATTTGGAGAATAACGTTGGACTTTTTGAAACTCAGGTTTCTCTTAAGTTTTTTGAAGTTGTTTTTATTCATTTTTAGAATGGATATAAGTTCAGATTTATTTCTCTACCATTAAATAGTCATTGTATAATTTTAGATGAGTTTCTTTAGTCACACCCTGAGGTTTTGAATATTGTAGACCACTAAACAGCACGTTTCTTAGTAACACACCTAATAGATTTTTCTTCTTATTTTAGTGGGTTTTAAAAAAAATTTGTGGGTACATAATAGGTGTCTATATTTATGGGGTACATGGGATGTTTTGGTACAGGCATGTAATGTGAAATAATCATATCATGAAGAATTAGGTATTCATCCCCTCAAGCATTTATCCTTTGAGTTACAAACATTCCAATTACATTATTTAAGTTATTTTAAAATATACAATTAAGTTATTATTGACTATAGTCACCCTATTGTGCTATCAAATAGTAGGTCTTATTCTATTTTTTTGTACCCATTAACCATCCCCACCTCCCACTCAACCCCCCATTACCCTTCCCAGCCTCTGGTAACCATCCTTCTGTTATGTCCATGAATTCAGTTGATTTGATGTTCAGATCCCACAAGTAAGTGAGAACATGTGATGTTTGTTTTTCTGTGCCTGCCTTATTTCGGTTAACATAATGATCTCCAATTCTATCCCTGTTGTTGCAAATGACTGGGTCTGTTTTTTTATGGCTGACGAGTACTCCATTGTGTGTATGTACCACATTTTCATTATCCATTCATCTGTTGATGGACACTTAGGTTGCCTCCAAATGTTAGCTATTGTAAACAGTGCTGCAACAAACATAGGAGTGCAGATCTCTTCGATACACTGATTTCCTTTATTTTGGATATATACCCAGCAGTGGAATTGCTCGATCATATGGTAGCTCTATTTTTAGTTTTTTGGGGGACCTCCAAACTGTTCTCCGTAGTGGTTGTACATTCCCACCAATGGTGAACAAGGGTTCCCTTTTCTTTACATCCTCACCAGCATTTGTTACTGCCTGACTTTTGGATAAAAGGCATTTTAACTGGGACAAGATGATATCTCATTGAGTTTTGGATATCTGATGATTAGTGATGTTGAGAACCTTTTCACCATTTGTGTGTCTTCTTTTGAGGAATGTCTATTCAGATCTTTTGCCCATTTTTTATCAGATTATTAGGTTTTTTCCTGTAGAGTTGTTTGAGCTCCTTATATTCTGGTTATTAGTCCCCTGTCAGAGGGGTAGTTTGCAAATGTTTTCTCTCGTTCTGTGGGTTGTCTCTTCACTTTGTTGATTACTTCCTTTGCTGTGCAGAAGCTTTTTAACTTGATGTGATCCCATTTGTCCATGTTTGCTTTGGTTGCCTGTGCTTGTGGGCTATTGCTCAAGAAATATTTGCTCAGACTAATGTCCTGGAGATTTTCCCCAGTGTTTTCTTGTATTAGATTCAGTTTGAAGTATTTAATGCATTTTGATTTGAATTTTGTATATGGCAAGAGATAGGGGTCTGGTTTCATGATTTTGCATGTGTTTATCCAGTTTCCCAGCACCATTTATTAAAGAGACTTGTCTTTTCCCAGTGTATGTTCTTGGCACCTTTGTCAAAAATGAGTTTGCTGTAGGTGTTTGGATTTGGTTTTGGGTTCTCTGTTCTGTTCTATTGGTACACGTGTCTGTTTTTGTGACAGTACCATGCTGTTTTGGTTACGATAGGTCTGTAGCATAATTTGAAGTTAGATAATGGGATTCCACCAGTTTTGTTCTTTTTGCTTAGGGTGGCTTTGGCTATTCTGGGTCTTTTCTGGTTCCATATAAATTTTAGTATTTTTTCTATTCCTGTGAAGAATTCCATTGGTATTTTGATTGGGATTGCATTGAATCTATAGATTGCCAGGACATTTTAACAGTGTTGATTCATCCCAATCCATGAACATGGAATATTTTTCCATTTTTTGGTGTCCTCTTCAATTTTCTTCATTCGTGTTTTATTGTTTCCATTATAGAGATCTTTTACTTCTTTGGTTAATTCCTAAGTATTTAATTTTATGTATGGCTATTGTAAACAGGATTACTTTTTAGTTTCTTTTTCACATTGTTCACTGTTGGCATATAGAAATGCTAGTGATGTTTGTACATTGATTTTGTATTCTGGAACTTTACTGAATTTATCAGTTCTAGTTTTCTTGTGGAATGTTTAGGTTTTTCCAAATATAAGATTATATCACCAACAAACAGGTATAATTTGACTTCTTCCTTCCCAATTTGTATGCCTTTGATATCTTTCTCTTGTCTGATTGAGCTAGATAGGACTTCCAGTACTATGTTAAATAACAGTGGTGACAGTGGGCATCCTTGTGTTGCAGGTCTTAGAGGAAAGATTTTCAGTTTTTCCTCATTCAGCATGATACTAGCTGTGGGTCTGTCATATATGGCTTTTATTATGTTGAGATATGTTCCTTCCATATCCAGTTTTTTGAGGGTTTTTATCATGAAGGGATATTGAATTTTTTAATCAAATGTTTTTTCAACATCAGTTGAAATGATCATATGGTTATTCTTTATTTTTTTGATATGATATATCATGTTAATTGATTTTGTGTTTTGAACCATCCTTGCATCCCACAGATAAATCCCACTTGATCATGATGAATGATCTTTCTAATATATTGTTGAATTCAGTTGTGCTAGTATTTTGTTGAGGATTTCTGCATTAATACTCATCAGCGATACTGGCCTGTAGTTTTCTTTTTTTGATGTGTCTTTGTCTGGTTTTGGTATCAGGGTAATACTGGCCTTGAATGAATTTGGAAGTATTCCCTCCTCTATTTTTTAGAATATTTTGAGTAGGATTGGTATTAGTTCTTCTTTAAATGTTTGGTAGAATTCAGCAGTGAAGCCATTATGTCCTGGCCTTTTCATTACTAGAAGACTTTTTATTACAGCTTTGATCTCATTACTTGTTACTGGTCTGTTCTGGTTTTGGATTTCCTCTTGTTTCAATCTTGGTAGGTTGTATATGTCTAGGAATGTGTCCATTTCTTCTATATTTTCCAGTTTATCAGCATATATAGTTGCTTACAGTAACCACTAACAAGCCTTTGGATTTCTGCATAAGTCATAATGTCTGTGTAAGTCGTAATTTCTGTGTAAGTTGTAATGTCTCCTTTTTCATTTCTGATTTTATTTGGATCTTCTTCTCTTTTTTTCTTAGTCTGGCTAAAGATTTGTCAATTGTATTTTTTTAAGTCAACTTTTTGTTTCCCTAATAGATTTTTAACAAACTTTAATTTTAAAAAATTATATATTCATATTATTTGGTATGACATGAAGTCTTCTAGAAGTCATGTAACATAGTTTCACTAGCAAATACTAGAGTTTTATATTTGGCAGATTTTGGCCACAGATATAATAATTGACTACCTGAATAAATAGAGGTTTTTTGCTTGTGTAATAATTTAATCTAGAGCATGGTAATTTGGGGTTGTTTAAAACAGCAATGTCAGAGCTCTGGGTGAGCTTCTCTGTGAAACTCTTGGCTTTCTCATAATAAAGAGATGACTGCTGTATCATGTACTTATGGGAGACAACCAAAGACATTGGAAAAGAGACTCTCCTGTACATTTTCTTTTCTTTTCTTTTCTTTTTTTTTTAAAAAAAGGAGAAAACCTCTCTTCGAAAGTCCCCACAAAATTCCTTCCTAAGGTTCCATTGGTTACAAGACTACTCTAAACTAATTCACCAGCAAAGCAGAATGGGGTTCGCTTTTTGCTAGATCAGTCTTGGTTCATCACCTGGTTCATCCCCTGGAGCAGGAATAGGGCTTCAGTGGACTTTATTGAATATATTGCCATATTCAGGAGTAAATCAGGATTTTCATAGGAAGGAAGAAAGGGAAAATAGTTGTTTGGATAGGAACCTAACTGGACGGTTATTAGTTGCCTAAAAACTGTTGAAATAGCAAAATTTTGGAAAAATAAGTCACCTGGATGTGGAAGAAGCACTGTAAACCATAAAAGGGTGAAATGCAATCAAAATGTTTTAAAAGCAGAGTGGTACATAGAATGTGAAGAACAGTTGGACTCTAAGTTGAAAGACCTAGATTTTCATATCTTCTTAGCCTTATTGGCTATACAAGTTGAGTGAATCCTGTTAACTTCAGCCCTCACTCTTCTTTTTTTTTGGGGGGGTAAATGTGTAGGGTTACATTAATGATCTTCACAGTCTTTCCCCACTCCAAATTCAGGACACTCTAAAAATTCTAAATGACTTTCAGTGACCTCCTGCTTTTGCCCAAAAGCTTTCATTTGTGTTTCTAGATTTTCGTGACCAAAATAATAAATGCCTTTCCCTAAGATTTACTAGAACTTAATGCCATGTTGTAGAACCCAAATAGGTTAATCTGAAATATTAATGATACCACATTTTAGAGGAAAACTTTGATTCTTCTTTATAAGAAAATTATTTTCTACAAATATTAATTTTTTATTAAGAGTATTAAAATTGGTGTTAATTGTAGAACTTTACTTTTGAGACAGACATAGGCATAAGCCATTTTGTATTACTCAATTTAACTTGTACAACAGTTTTATAAAATTGACAGGTTAACATTTCTACTAAAATTCACAAAAATTAACCGTCTGCAGAATCAGTATAGCAGAATGGGAATTTGAACCCATGTCCGACTTAATAGTAACTGGAGAAATAAAGCATATTGTTGAGAGAGAAATATTTTTTCTTCTGCCAAATAGTACTATAAAGCAATAATAGTTGGAAAATGGATGTTTCTCTCTAAAATAGTTATGTCTGTGCCCTATGAACTCCTGCCTTTTAAGCTGTGATACAAAGATAATCCTAATTTTTATAATACCAAGTGCTGTTACATTTTATCATTGCAAACAAGTGATGAGACAAATAAGACACAAGCCTTCTTTAGTGCCATATTTTTTTGGTAGATAAAAATGTCAAAGTAGTATTACACAAGGATCCAGCCAAACTGTTTTTAGTGTTTAAACATAGGAAGGCTGAGATTATGAGCAACCCTTTTTAAACTCTAAAGAGCTGATTTAAGAGCTAAGCGGTAGATCTTAGATGTAGCATATAACTTAATATTTTTGAAAGTGTTACCTTGTATATTCTGCTTATTGGCTTCTGAATTTAGATATACTTTATTATTCAAAAATGAATTGCAAAAGTAGTCCTCCAAATTATTATCCCTTGTTTTCAAAACCGCTTTCTGAAATCATTGAAATGATGTTCATTTTACATTTTTCACATGAAGTGCTCAGCAAATACAGTCTTTTCTGAAAATTAGCAAGAAGCAGTCTAATCTTGAACAAGTCTTTCTTAGTGGCCACATGTTGCTTCTGCTGACTGTCAGTACACCAAGCTGTTGATGTTTCTGAGCTCTTAAAAAATCTCTTCACTCATTACTTGAGGCTGTGTGCACTCTCTGTCCTAAAACCATATGTGTGTACATGGTCTTTTCTTATAGCTATTCACAGTAACTAGTGTTGGAGCCCACAACCCTCCATCCCTATCTCAGGTGTATCTACCCAGCTTTCAGCTGGCTTGTATGGAACGTGGAGTGAAGGTGGGGGCAGGCATGGGAGAAGAACCAACTCAGCTTTCTCCCAGGAGAGAAATGACACCTCCCTCCAGCTCTTTGTGGCCAGTGCCTCTAGATTCCAGTTTCAAATTTGTAAATTATCTTCGTCAATGTTGAGGTTTCTCCCAAGATCCATAACCAAGTATATGTCCTATGTCACTATGACTAAATGATTACTCTGATGGTCCTGAAACAAAGAAGGTATTATCCACTGGAACCAGCAGTTTTTGGAGGTTCAAAATACAGAAATTTGTATTCCACTCAGGTATTTATTTTTAGTAAGCATGTTATACATGAGTTCTGCATTTTCCTTTTTCATTCCCAGTGTATTTTAGGAGTCAGTCCATATTAGTCTATAGAGACTTTCCTCATTCTTTATAATTTATTTCATAGCATAATTTATTTAACTAGCAGAACTAGTTCCCTCTTAGAGGGCATTTGGGTTATTATTAACCCTCTTCATTGGTAATAAATGAGATCTTTTCATCAAGTTAACAAAAATTCTACTTAAATGGACAAGCAAAAAATTTTAAATGTATTTATTATCTGTTATTAAATATATTATTAACTTCATAGACTACCTTTCCTCTAGGTTCAGTATTTAAAGCAATTTTAGTGCATATGTTTATATGAATTGGTGGACGGTAAATACTGGCATTTTCTATAAAGCTCAAGTATCAATACTTGCATACTCAGAAGTAATGCTGATGGTTACTTATACAGATGTTGATAGTTATATGGTATAGCAAAAATATGATAAATTATGTCCTAAATTTCATACTGAAATGAAGTAACTTTGGTCTGAAAGTTCTCAGCTAGTGCCTCAGACTATTTTTTTAAACTTTTATTGAGATACAATCGATGTATAATAAACTGCATATATATAAAGTGTAAAATTTCATAAGTTTTGATACATGCATACACCTATGAAACCATCACCACAGTCAAGATAGTTAACATTTCTATGGCTCCCAAAGGACTCCATTTGCCCCTTGGAAATCCCTTCCTCCCTCCTCTCCCTGGTAATTACTAACCTGGTTTGTACATTTTGTTTTTTCCTAGAGTGTTATATAAATGGAATTACACAATATGTCATTTTTTTGGTCTGGCTTTTTTTTTGTAATAGATTTTATGTTGTAGAGCAGTTTTAAATTCACAACAGTGTTGAGAGGAAGATACAGACATTTCTCATACACTTTACTGCCACCACAAATGAATAGCCTTCCCATTATCAACATTTCCCATTAGAGTGGTACATTTGTTAAAATTGATGTACCTACATTAATACATATCATTATGGCTCAAAAACCAGAGTTTACATTAGGGTTCACTCCTGGTATTATACATTGAATGAGTTTGGACAAGTATATAATGACATGTATCCAGCATTATAGTTTCATACAGAGTAGTTTCACTGCCGTATCCTCTGTGCACCCTCTATTCGTTCTTCCCCCCAGTCCCTGGTAATTTTTTTTACATTGTCTCCATAGTTTTGCCTTTTCCAAAATGTCATATAGTTGGAATCATATAGTATGTACCCTTTTCAGGTTGGCGTCTTTCACTTAGCAGTATGCATTTACATTTCTTCTATGTTTTTTTAATGGCTTGGTAGCTCATTTCTTTTTAATCCATTATCTGAATGTACCACAGTTTATCCATTCACCTACTTAAGGGCATCTTGGTTGCTTCCAAGTTTTGGCAGTTATGAATAAAGCTACTATAAACTTCCACGTGCAAGTTTTTGTTGGGACGTATATTTTCAGCTTCTTTGGGTAAAATCAAATAACATGATTGCAGGATCATAAGGTAAGAGTATGTTTAGTTTTGTTAAAAAACCTGTCAAAGTGGCTGTTTACCAGTGTGCACTCATAGCAGGTATAAATGAGAGTCTCTATTGTTTCATATCCTTGCCAGCATTTGGTGTTATCAGTGTTCTGGATTTTGACCATTCTAATAGGTGCGTAGTGGTGTCTTATTGTTGTTTTGATTTGCAATTCCCTGATGACATGATGTGGAGTATCTTTTCATATGCTTATTTGCCATCTGTATATCTTCTTTGGTGAAATGTCTGTTAAAGTCCTTGGTCCGTTTTTTAAACAGGTTTGTGTTCTTCTGGTTAGGTTTTGGGATTTCTTTGTAGATTTTGGATAACAGTTCTTTATCTGATAGGTCTTTTGGAAATATTTTCTCCCAGGCTGCCTTTTCATTCTTAGGCAATGTCTTTTGCGGAGCAGAACTTTTGAATTTTAACGAAGTCACAGCTTATCGATTCTTCTTCATTGAACATGCCTTTGGTATTGTATCTAAAAGGTCATCCCCAAACCCAAGATCATCTGGATTTTCTATTTTATCTTCCAGGAGTTTTATAGTTTTGCATTTTTATAGTTTCATAGTTTGGGCACAGGTACCTGCCATGGGGCTGAGATGTGGGTTATGGGTAGCTGCTACTGTGCTTAGAACTGAAATTGACCAAAATTAATTGCAATTTACCATGACCACAGTAAATCATAATTTACCCCTCTGAGTCTTTCCTTGAAAGTAGCAAGGCTTCATTATATGACAGAGTTCCAAAATAGTTATATTGGACAGATTCTGCCAGTGGAATTGTTTTCTAGTTGGGGAGACAGATTCCTGGTGCTTCCTACTCTGCTGTATTCTCAGAATCCTCTCCATTCATTTACTTTTAGCCTACTATTTGCATCTTTATATTTTAAAAGGTTTTTTACAGACAATATATACTTGGATATTGTTTTTTGATCGAGTCTGACAATTTTTGTCTTTTAATTGGTGTTTTTAGACCATTGACATTCAGAGTGATTCTTGTTATAGGTGGATTACTGTTTATCATTTTTGTTACTGTTTTGTATTTGTTACCATTGGTCGTCCATTCTTCTTCTGCCTTCTGTGGTTTTAATTGAGCATTTCATGTGATTATATTTTCTCTCCTTTCTTAGGATATCAGTTATACCTCTTTTTTTTTTAAGTAAATGTCTTACAGTCTACAATATGCATATTAATCTAATGGACATCTAGCTGTCAAATAACACTATACCACTTGACAGGTAGTATGAGGATCTAACAACAAAAGAATCCTAATTCCTCCTTATCATTCCTTGTATCACTGCTGTCATTCCTTACACTTACATATAAGCATACATGAGCACATATATGTGAGCATTTGTCATTATATTGCTGCCATTATTTTGAACAAACTATTGTCTGTTAGATCAATTCAAATAAAATGTTTTTATTTAACTTACTCCTTCTTTGATGCTCTTCCTTTTTTATGTAGATCTGAGTTTCTGACTATAACATTTTTCTTCTGAGAGAGAAGTTCAGCTGACAAATTCTCTCAATTTTTGTTTGTCTGAGAAAGTATTTATTCTTTACTTTTGAGGCAATTCCCAGGGTACCAGAATTCTAGGTTGGTGGTATTTTTTTTTCTGTCAATGCTTTAAATATTTCTCCGGACTCTTTTCTTGCTTTCATGGCTCCTGAGGCGTAGTCAGACATAATTATTATCTTAGCCCCTGTGTGGGTAAAGTTTTTTCCTCTGGCTACTTTCAGAGTTGTATTTATCTTTGATTTTCTGCAATTTAAATATGATATGCCTTGATATATTTTGGGGGATATTTTTCCTGTTAGTGTTCTCCTGGATCTGTGGTTTGTTATCTGACGTTCATTTGGGGGAAACTCTGAGTCATTATTACTTCAAATATTTCTTCTGCTTTTTTCATTCAGCATAATTATTTTGAGATTCATCTAGGTTGTGGCATGTATTAATAGCTTATTCCTTTCTTTCTGTTGCTGAGTAGTATTCCATTGTAATGATATACAGAATTTGTTTATCCACTCCTTTCGTAAACATTTAGGTGCTTCTCTGTTTCATCTGTTACAATTAAATGTACTGTGAACATGTGTGTACAAGTCCTTGCATGAATGTGTGCTTTTTTTTTCTCTTGTGTAAATGTTTAGTGGTGGAATGGTTGAATATGCTTGTTTAACTTTTTAAGAAACTGACAAACTGTTTCCCAAACTGATTGTATCATTTTACGTTCTCACCAGCAGGATATGAGAATCCTAAATTTTCAACATTCTCACAAATATTTCGTATAATCAGTCTTTTAAAATCTTAAATATTTTAATAATAGTAATATCTCAATTTGGTCTTAATTTGTATTTCTGTAATCTTTTCGTGATCTTGTCAGTCCATTTATCTTTGGTGAAATGTCTTTTCAAATGTTCTTGTGAGTTTTTTTAATTGGATTGTTTTCTTACTCTTGAGTTTTCAGAGTTCTTATTTATATGTTCTGGAAACAAATCCTCGATCTGTGGCTGTATTTTCATTCTCTTAAGAGTGTTTTTGAAAAGCTCAAGTTTTATTTTGATGACATCCACATTTATCAATTCTTTTATGGATCTCGGTTTTGGTGTTGTATCTTAAAAAAAAACTGTCCCATTGTCATGTTGTTTTGCTCATATCTTCTAGAAGTTTTATAGTTTTAAGTTTCACATTTATCAACAAATCCACTGAAAAGGATTTTCTTCCAAAAAGGAAAGAGGCTTTATGCCAGCTAACAGTTTGTACACCAGGAAAATGCAGCCTTCTGTACAAAACAAAGGTGTGTTCTAAGAGAATGAAGAGAAAGTTTGTCTTTTATGGCAAAAGTTCTCGCCCAGGTTCCCACTCTGATCTGCTTGTACAAATGAGGGATGCAAACTCAGTTAGTTCTGATTGTTTGAAACTTGTTGAGTTCTGATGGTTCGGCACAGATCACAGTCTATTGATTGATTCAGGTAGCATACACAGAACAGACAACTATGAAAGTCCCAAAGTTTAGTGAGTATGGCATTTTTCCCTGAACACTCAGTATGTGTGTAACCTCTAATTACCAAATGGCTGCTTGACTGTATTTCAAATTTAGTTCCACTTAGCCACTCAGGATTCCTCTTGAAGGATTGACCCTTTCAGAGTTCACACATTTAAATGTGCTATTTTGACTTAATATTTGTGTATTTGTGTATGATGCAGAGTATATGACAAAGCTTATTAATTTCTCTCACCAATATTTTGTAATTTCATTATAAATGTCTTTTGTCAGATTTATCTGTATTTTATAATTTTTTGTCCTAATGTAAGTGGCATTTTATTTAATTTTAAAATATCCGAATAATTCTGCGCTACTGAAACAAGTTTCTCCTGAGTACTCTACTCCATGCTCCAGGAATTATTAGTTTTCCCTAACTGGCTAGTTGGAACAGAACACTCTGTTCTCTGTGATCCGTCATTCTCGTTGGAGGTGATATCACTCCTAATTGAGAGGAAATAGATTCTTTGTGGGTATGTAGGTATATGAAAAATCTTACATATTCCAATGATTTGTGGCCCTCTAAATGGCCAAAATGCATAACTTAGAAATACAGTGGTATTAAGATTTCATGGGGAATGATTAGGAAAAACTGTCAGAAAAGAGTAGTAAGGAAGAAAAGGTTGAAAAACACTGCTGTTTCTTTCACCAGCTTCAGGTAGTATTCTTACACTCCTTTCCCACTCAGTACTCAGTTGAGTACTAAGGCGAGATTCTGCAGATCTTTGGGAGTCTCTCCATGTACTACTTTCTCCTCTGTTGCTCTGTCCTGAGAATTCCAGCCCCTTTGTTCGCTGCAGACTGTCTCCTAAACTCACAGGGAATTAAAAACAACAACAACAAAACTTTGTATACAGCATTAAGAATTTTATTGATTGAAGCAGCTGACATTCCACTGAATGTTTTCAGACTTAGACATTACATATTTTGTGAAATGGTAATTTTCTTTTATATTCCAGCAGTACTTCTGGAATAGAAATTCTAAACATTAGCCTGCCGAACAACTGGATTGCATTTGATGATTACAATTGTCCAGTCACAGATGGCATCACCTCTACTTTTTATTATTAATATTAGTTTTAATTGCCAAATCATAATTGTATATATTTGTAGAGTACAATGTAATATTTTGGTATATGTATACAATGTGGGATGATTAAATCAAGCTAATATATCCATCACTTCACTTATTGTTTGTGATTTTTTTTTTCCTTCACCTTTTTGTTCCATCCAGACCTGCCCACAATGAGGGCAGATCTTCCCCACTCAGTCCACTGACTCACATGCCAGTCTCCTCCAGAAACATCCTCATGGATTTCTACAGAAATAATGCCATACCAGCTATCTAAGTATCCTTTAATTCAGTCAGATGGACACCTAAAATTAGTCATGACAGGTCCTTTGCCTCTTTTAATCAGGTTGTTTTCTTGCTTTTGAGTTGAGTTTATTATATACTTTGAATATAAATTCTTTATCAAATATACGGTTTGCTAATATATACATGTGATTTTTTTTTTTTCTGTGCAAAAGCTTTTTCATTTAATGCAGTCCCATTTGCCAGTTTTTGTTTTTGTTGCTTGTGCTTTCAGGTCATATCCAAAAAAATATTGCCCAGACCAGTATTGTGGTGCTTCCCCGCCTTGTTTATAGTTTTATAATTTCAGGTCTTATATTTAAGTCTTTAATGTATTTTGAGCTGATTTTTATATATGGTATGAGATAAGGATCCAGTTTCATTCTTCTGCATCTGGATATCCAGTTTTCCTAACATCTTTTATTGAAGAGGCTGTTCTTTCCACATTATGTGTTCTTGGCACCTTTGTCAAAAATCAAGTGACCATAAATGAGTGAATTTATTTCTGGGCTTTCTGTCCTGTTCCATTGGTCACTGTGTCTGTTTTTATGCCAATACTATGCTGTCTTGATTACAGTAGCTTTATAATATATTTTGAAATCAGCAGTGTGATGCCTCCAGCTTTGTTTTTTTCGCTGGTTATTGTTTTTAACTATTCATGGTCTTTTATTGTTTCATATGAATTTAAGGGTTGTTTTTTCTATTTTCTGTGAAAAATTACATTGGAATTTTGATAGGGATTGCACTGAATTTGTGGATTGCTTTGGATAATATGGACATTTTAACAATATTAATTTTTTAGTTCATGAACACAGTATATCTTCTCATTTATTTGTGTTTTCTTCAATTTGTTTTCATTAATGTTTTATAGTTTTTAGTATACAGATCTTTTACCTGTTTGGTTAAATTTTCACCTAAATATGTTACTTTTTTTTGTTGTTGCTATTATAAATGGGATTGTTTTCTTAATTTCCTTTTTAGATAGTTTGTTGTTAGTATACAGAAAGGCTACTGATTTTTTTTGTATGTTGATTTTGTATCTTGCAACTTAATTCATTTGTCAGTTTCAGTCATTTTTTGGTGTCTCTTTAGGGATTTCTCTGTGTAAGATCATGTCTGCAAATAAAATTTCATTTCTTTCTTTTTTATTAGGATGCCTTTTACTTCTTTCTCTTGCCTAATTGTTCTGGCTAGGACTTGCAGCACTATGGTGGATAGGAGTGGTGAGGGTGGGCAGCATTCTTGTCCCTCGTCTTAGAAGAAAGCTTTCAACTTTGTACGTTAAGTGTGATGTTAGCTGTGGGCCTGCCATTTTTGGCCTTTACAGGACCTGTTATTGATGTGTAATTTTAGTGTTTTATTATTCTACAAAAAGCAAGTAAGCCTTAGAAATATCTGATTACTGCTAAATTTGTAGAATGGAATAAATTCAGTACTTAGAATAGGATGCTGTCTGTATTTTTATATATTATTATAGAGCAGTGTCTAGATTACAACATGAATTAATAACTAGATTCTAAAATACCTACAGGGAATTTGTCCTGGGGCAAGAACCATGCCTTCCATATTGTAGGATAGTCAGCACTGGAAAGGGATCTTAAAGATTAAGTAGTTAAATCAACTCCGTTACAGATGAGGCAAAACTAAGGCCCTTGGAATTATTTGATTTGGTTGCTTCCATTTGGTCACTTTCCAAGATCTCAAAGATATCTTAACGCAGTTTTCTTTATGTCAAATTTAGTTTTTTGTCCATATTGTCTGCCCTGGTATGTCACCTCTCAATTCTACCTAGTGGCTTAGCATTATAAGTAATTTCTTTTCTCTTGTAGCTATAAGCATATAAGCTCTTTAGTAAATACTTGCTTGTTTAATTTGATAATATTTGGTATGTTGGTTTATTCACTTGTCTAGTAATATGTGCCAGTTACTATGCTGGTTCCTGTGAAGGCAAGTCCAATCATGCATAATTTCTTCTCCCTGCTTTTTAATGTTATTTCCTTATATCAGATTATCAGTTGTACCTGCATTCTCACCCTCTTCCTTTGCCTCGTCTTAAGCTTTCAGGCTGCAGTTTATGGTAGGCAGACTTTTAAGATGGTCCCCTGTATTATTTCTGGTATTGTAAGCATGATAGGGTATTGTATGAGTTTGTTCTCCCTCTGCTATGAAGAACTACCTGAGACTGGGTAATTTATTAAAAAAGAGGTTTAATTGACTCACAGTTCTGCATGGCTGTGGGGGCCTCAGGAAACTTACAATCATGGCAGAAGGCACCTCTTCACAGGGTGACAGGAGAGAGAATGACTGCCAGCAGGGCAAATGCTACATACTTATACAACCATCAGATCTCCTGAGACTCACTTATTATCATGAGAATAGCATGGGGGAACTGCCCCCCATGATTCATTTACCTCCACCTAGTCCCATCCTTGACACGTAGGGATTATTACAATTTAAGATTAAATTTGGGTAGGGATACAGAGCCAAACCATATCAGGTCTCATTCCTGATTAGTTTATGTCATCTGGCAGAGCACAAAGCTGACTCTAGGTAAGTGAGATTATCTAGATGGGTGTGCCCTAATCACATGAACTCTAAATCTGGGTCTAGAGTTAGGAACAAAGAGAGTAGGAGATTAGACGTATGAGAGGGATTTGATGTGAAGGATATTCTCTCTTGCTGGCTTTGAAGATGGAGGGAGCCATATGGTAAGAACTCAGGCATTCTCTGCTAGTGGAGGGTGACCTCTGGCTGACAACTGGGAAAGGAAAATGGAGGTCTTAGAAGGACAAAGAACTGACCATTTCCTGAATGAGCCAAAAAACAGATTTTTTTTCCTTTAGTCAGGTCTCTAGGTGAGAACACAGCCCATCAACACCTTGATTTCAACTTTGTGTAACCCTCAGCAGAGAACCCAGTCACACCATGCCTGAATTACTGCCCTTAAAACTGTGAACTAAAAGATTATTTGTTTTAAGCTGTTGCACTTTTTTAAAATAGCTACTATTTATCATACTCTGGGTATAAAAACAGGGAATAAACAAGATTCCTATCTCCAGAGTTAGAGCCATTGAACATGAAACAAGTCAATTAATATGATGATTGTTACAAGGGAGACGTTCAGAGTGCTATGGACACCTATTAGGCTGATGTAATACCAGCTGGGAGACCACGAAAGGAGCTCCAGAAAAAAGATACTTATGTATGATACGCATTTTTTATTGCTGCATAACAAATTACTAAGTGTTAGAAGCGAATGAATATAAAGAAAACATAGCCCCTGACTTCAGCAAGTTTATGATCTAAAGGTATTTGGTTATATTATGTGTGGGTATTGACGGGGCTAGGGCGGAGAGGGTGTGTGTGTGTGTGTGTGTGTGTGTGTGTGTGTGTGTGTGTGTGTGTGTGTGTAGTTTGGTTTTGGTGATGGGAGCAGTCAACTGTCCAGGTTGCCCCTCTGAAGTCACTGCTCTGACAGACCATAAACAGAAAACTGCAAATGATAACAAACTTACTATTTCATAAGAGAATACTACCATTCTCCATATTTCGGGTACACATGTGTTTTGTTTCGCCCTTTCTGTTTCAAGTTTATTGAAAAGAAGCCTGTTTAGCTTAATTGTACTTGGGCAGCTGACACTTGACTAGTTCAAAAGATAATAAACTCATCATTTAGAACACATGTGTCTTTGTATATGAGAAATAAATAACAGTTACAAATACTGTAGGTCAAGGTTTCATCATTGGTTTGGAAGATAAATATGTACAGTGAGGGTTTGGGGTTTTATTTACACAGAAACTAGATTACTTCCCCCACACCCTAAGATTGCGTTGCACAGATCTCTGGTAATAAAATTTCTACTTTTATTCCTGATTCCGTGTAGAACCAAATTGATGCTTTGGGGAGGGGGCATGGGTAGATAAAGGATAAGTAGTTTTTTCAGTTTTCAGGTGACTTTTTTCTTTTTTTTCTTTTTTTTTTTTTTTTTGAGACGGAGTCTCGCTCTGTCACCTAGGCTGGTACAGTGGCGCAATCTCAGCTCACTGCAAGCTCTACCTCCCAGGTTCATGCCATTCTCCTGCCTCAATCTCCCGAGTAGCTGGGGCTACAGATGCCCACTGCTAAGCCCAGCTAATTTTTTGTATTTTTGTAGAGATGGGGTTTCACCACGTTAACCAGGATGGTCTCGATCTCCTGACCTTGTGATCCACCCACCTCGGCCTCCCAAAGTGCTGGGATTACAGGTGTGAGCCTCTGCTCCTGGCCCAGGTGACTTTTTTTCATTTTGAACATTAGTTCAGGAGAACAAAACTTCCTAAACCAACAAAAGCAACGACTGTTCTTAGGCTGGAAATATCATTTCAGAGCTTTTGTTTTCTGTCAATTCTTTGATATATTTTACCTCTTAATTCAGATGTGTTTTAATTGATATTTTGGAAGAATGGTTACACTTTCATAACCAACTTTTTCCTCCTCCTTTTAACTTTTTTAAAATTAGGAAATATAATAAACTTATGTAAAACAAATGTACAATTTAATGAATATGTGAATGTCACCACGACCCAGATCAGAAAACAGAACATCATTAGCACCTCAGAAGTGCCCTTGTTGGTGACCACTTTATGATCAAAACTTTCCACCCCACCCCTCAGTGTTACCCGTAAATTTTTATAATAGTCTCTTCTGGTTTTCTTTATAATTTTGCCACCTACTTATTCTTCCCCAAGCAATATAATTTAGTTTTGCATATTTTGAATCAAATGGATCATACAGTATATTTTCTTCGAGTCTGGGTTCTTTTGTGCAATGCTATTTTGTTTTAAAAATTGACCTGATTCCACTGAATGCATCCAACACAGTTTATCCATTCTGCTATTGATGGATAATTGGGTTGTTTCACATTTTTTTTCTATTTTGAATGATGCAGCTATTTGTAAACTTGTCTTCTGATGCACATAAGCGTGCATTTCTATAGTATAAATACTTGGCTATACATATATTCAGCTTTACTTGATAATGTCATATTATTAAATAACTTAAACTTCCATGAGCACTGTGTGAGAATTCTTATTCATCCACATCTTTGGACCACATTCTTGGTTTTTGAAGTATGTAGTGTACGATATGGTAAAGTGTTTATTTGGACATAGTCCAGTTTCCTAGCATACAGCTTCTAAAAAACCCTTGTAATTTCTGGGGTGATAAGTGTCTTTTTTATGCTTATGAGGTGCTATCTGAGCTATTTGAGGCCCCTCAGATAGCTTAAAGATGAGGGCTTGTCACCTGAAAGACCAAAGCATGATTAGAGGGCTTGAACTTTTCAAGCCCCCCACCCCCCAGTCTCTGGAGAAAGAAGAGGGACTGAATGTTGAGTTGGTCACCAGTAGCCAGTTATTTAATCAGTCATGCTTATGTAATGAATCCTCTATAAAAGCCCAAAAGGACTGGGTTCAGGGATTTTCCAGTAGCTGAACATGTGGCAGTTCCTGGAGGGTGGTGCACCCAGAGAGGGAATGGAAGTTGCACGCCCTTCCGTGGAAGCTGTGTGCCTTATACGTCTCTTTCATCTGGCTGTTCATCTGTACCCTTTTTTGTGTTATTAATACATCAGTAAATATAAATAAAGTGTTCCCAGAATTATTTGAGCTCCTCTAGCAAACTAATCAAACCTGAGAAAGAGGTAGTGGGAACCTCAATTTATAGCCAGTTGGTGAGAAGTATAGGTGAAAACCTACTAGTAGGGACTGGCATCTGAAGTAAGGGGCAGTCTTTTGGGACTGAGCACTCACTTTGAGATCTGATGCTATCTTCAGGTAGATAGTGTCAGGATTAAATGGAATTAGAGTACACCCAGCTGGTGTCCTCCGGGGAATTGCTTTATGAGGAAACAACCTCCACACATCAAGTATCAGTTTTGTATTGAGTGGTGTGTGAGTAGAAGGGGAAAAACTGATTTTTCCTCCTACATAGTTGTATGTTGTTATTTTAGCTTGCTTTTTTATGACAGTTTCAGGCACATTTTATATGTTAATTAAGCATGCATATAGCCAGCCTCTTTTATGAAGTACCTGTTAAATCTCCTGGGCCGGGCACAGTGGCTCACGCCTGTAATCCCACCACTTTGGGAGGCCAAGGTGGGTGGATCATTTGAGGTCAGGAGTTCAAGACCAGCCTGGCCAACATGGTGAAACTCCATCTCTACTAAAGATACAAAAGTTAGCCAGGCGTGGTGGTGGGCACCTGTAGTCCCAGCTACTGGGGAGGCTGAGGCAGGAGAATCGCTTGAATCCTGGAGGCAGAGGTTGCAGTGAGCCGAGATTGTGCTGCTGCACTCCAGCCTGGGCAACAGAGTGAGACTCTGTCTGAAAAATAAATACATACATACATAAATAAATCTCCTGCCTACTTTTCTTTTGAGTTGTCTCTTATTAATTTGCAGCGGGTCTTTTTATATTCTGGATATGAGCCCTTTTTGACTTGCGTGTGTTGCAGATATCTTCTCCCATTCAAACTTGTCTTTTCAGAATTCTTTATGGTATAATTAAACATGAGGTCTTAATTTTTTATGCCTTGTTTTTCAGTTTTTTAAAAATAGTTAATGCTTTTGATATCTTGTTTCAGAAGTCTTTCCCTAACTTGAGTTGTAAAGATAATATTCCATATTCATATATGAGTGCTTTTAACATTTTGCTGCTTACATTTAGTTTTATAATATATTTGCAGTTAAATTATACATATAATGTGAGGTAGTGTTTGGGTTTGGTTTTTGTTTTCATTCTTTTCCAAATAGGTACCACATTGTCCCAGCATAATTTAAATGCCCATATTTTGTTGGGTGGTTTTCTTATTTTTGAGTTTTGAGAGTTCTTTATATATTCCGAATTCAAGTTCTCTGTCAGATCTGTGATTTGCAAGTATTTTTTCCCAGTGCATGCTTTGTCTTTTTATCCTCTTAACTATGTCTTTCTCAGTACAAAAGTCTCATTTTGATGAAGTTTAATTCATTAACTTCATGGATTTTGCTTTTGGTATTGCATCTAAGAGCTCTTTACACAACCCACAATTTTCTAAGTTTAATAATTTTAGATTTGGGAAATAGGTCTATGATTCCTTTTAAGTTAATATTCATATTAGGTGTTAGGTATAGATGGAGGTTAATTTTGTGGCATGTGATTATCCAGGACTATTTGTTGAAAAGATTATTTCTACATTGACTTGCCTTTGTACTTTAGTCAAAAATCAATCATATTTGTGTGGGTTTATTTCTAGACTCTGCTCTGGTCATGTCTGCCTTTTTTCTCATACCACCCTCCCTTGATTACTTCACTTTTATAGTAATTATTGCAGTCAAACAGCGTGAGGCCCCCAACTTTGCTGTTCCTCCTAAATTGTTTCTGCCTTTTTAGTTTGTCTTTCTACGTAAATTTTAGCTTTTTAATATCTACAAGAAATCCTGTGAGGATTTTTATTGTGATTGCATTGAATCTATAGATCAAATTGAGGAAAACTGGCATTTTAGCAATAGTGAGTCTTCCAATTCATGAACATGGTCTCTCATCATTTACTTAGGTGTTCTTTGATTTTTTTCTTGCGTGTTTCATAGTTTTCAGCATACAAATCTTGAAATTTTTTTTTTCTTTTTTGACATGGAGTCTTACTCTGTTGCCCAGGCAGGAGTGCAGTCTTGGCTCACTGCAACCTCCATGTCCTGGGTTCAAGCAATTCTCCTGCCTCAGCTTCTCAAGTAACTGGGATTACAGGCGCACACCACCACACCCAGCTAATTTTTGTATTTTTAGTAGAGGCAGGGTTTTGCCATGTTGGCCAGGCTGGTCTTGAATTCTTGACCTCAGGTGATCCGCCCACCTTAGCCTCCCATAGTACTGGGTTTACAGGAGTGAGCCACTGCATCTGGCCCAAATCTTGCAAATTTTTATTAGATTTATGCTTAAGCATTTATTTTCCTTCTTTCTCTTTTTACCTTTTGATGCTATTCTAAATGATACCTTTTTTTTAGTATAACTTTCACTTATTAATTGCTAGTAAGAAATATAGTTGGTTTTGTATATTGACCTTGCATTCAACAACTTTTCTAAACTTAGTCTAGGAATTTTTTTTTTTTTTAGATTCCTTGGGATTTTCTTTATAAATAATATGCCATCTATGACTAGAGATACTTTTCTTTCTTCCCTCTCAATTGATAAGATTTTTTGCTTTTCCTTATTTTACTGACAAGTACTTGGGTAGGAGTGGTGAGAGTAGACATTTTTGCCTCATTCCTATCTCAGAAAAAAACATTCACTCTTTCACCATTAAATTACCTGTCAGCTGTAGATTTTTGTTGTACCCTTTATCGGATTAAGAAAGTTCCCCTCTAAGTTTGCTGAGAGTTTTAAAAATTATGAGCTAGCTGGGCGTGGTTGTATGTGCCTGTAATCTCAGCTACTCAGGAGGCTGAGGCAGGAGAATCGCTTGAACCCGGGAGGTGGAGGTTGCAGTGAGCCGAGATCGCGCCACTGCACGCTAGCCTGGGCAACAGAGGGAGACTCTGCCTCAAAAATAAATGAATAAATAAATAATTTTTTTAAAAATCATGAGTACATGTTGGATTTTGTTAAATGCGATGATTATATGACCTTTCTTTTTATTAGTCTGCTAATATGTTGAATTACACCAGTTGGTTTTAGTTGAATGATACTTGTGATCCCAGAATAAACTCCAGTTGGTCGTGATGTAGTACCCTTTTCAAATATTGCTGAATTCAATTTGCTGATATTTAGTTGAAGATATTTATGTCTCTGTTGATGGGGGATATTCATCTCTGGGTTTTTTTGTTTTTTGTAATTGTCTGGTTTTGGTATCAGGATGATAATGTTGGCTTCATCTTTTTATGTTTTGGGGATTTTATTGATAATCCCCTCTTAGTTATGATACAGACTATTTTTTCCTTTGATCATTCTGACTTGAAGATTACTAATTATATTGATCTTTTCAAAGAATCAGCTTTTGAGTTCACTGATACTCTGTTTTTGTTTTGTTTTCATCTTTATCATTTTCATCCTTCTGCTTTTTTTGCTGGTTATTTTGCCCTTTTTTCTAGTTTAAGTGAAAGCTTAAATTATTGATTTAAGACCTTCTTTTCTGATACAAACATTTAATATATAAATTGCTCTCTATTGCTTTAACTTTATCCCCCAAATTTTAATGTGTTGTATTCATTTTCATTCCATTCAAAATACTTTTCTAATGTTCTTGGAGACTTCCTCTTTACATGGGTTATTTAGAAGTAGTTTTCTACATTTATTCTACTTTACTACTGAAATATGCTTTGAATCCCAAATACTTGGCAATTTTCAAATTGTCAGGTTATCTTTCTGTTATTTATTTCCAATTTAATTTTGTTATGGCCAAAGAACATACTTAGTATGATTTTGCTTTATTTTAATGTGTTAAGGTTTGGTTTTGGCTCAGAATATGGTTTATCTAAATGTTTCAAGTGCTTTTGAAAATAAATGATATCGTTTGGATGTTTGTCCCCTCCAAATCTCATGTTGAAATGTGATCTTCAATCTTGGAGGTGGAGCCTAATGGGAAATGTTTGGATCATGGGGGCAGATCCTTTATAAATGGATTGGTGCCTTCCCAGCAGTAAATGTGAGTGAGTTCTAGCTCTCCTACTTCATGCAACAGCTGGTTGTTTAAAGAGCTTGGCACCCCCTCTTCTCTCTCTTGATCACTCTCTTCACCTTGTGACACCCCTGCTCTCCTTTTGCCTTCTACCACCATTGTAAGCTTCCTGAGGCCCTCATCAGAAGCAGATGCTGGTGCCATGCCTTTTTTTTTTTTTTTTGAGACAGAGTTTTGCTCTGTCACCCAGGCTGCAGTGCAGTGGCGGGATCTCGGCTCACTGCAACCTCCACCTCCCAGGTTCAAGCGATTCTGCTGCCTCAGCCTCCCAAGTAGCTGGGATTACAGGTGCCCGCCACCACGCCTGGCTAATTTTTGTATTTTTAGTAGAGATAGTGTTTCACCATGTTGGCCGGGTTGGTCTCCAACTCCTGTCCTCAGGTGATCCGCCCGCCTGGGCTTCCCAAAGTGCTGGGATTACAGGCACGAGCCACTGCGCCCTGCCTGGTGCCATGCTTCTTATACAGCCTGTACAACCATAAACCAAATAAACCTCTTTTCTTTATAAATAACCCACCCTCAGATATTCCTTTGTAGCAGTGCAAAACAGACTGATACAATGTTCATCCTTTTGTTGCATGCTATAAATTGTACAATAATTTTACACAGTAAATAAGATGTGTTAAGTGCTTTATGCAATGGCTTGCACTAATAAAAATCTTCAGGTTTGCTCTCCTTCTCTAAGACACTCTCACCATTCTACATAGTTACTACAGGAACTGCCATGTTAATCTTCCCCTACTTTCAGTTAATATAGAAGTAAGCATTAAATTTATGAGCAAATTTGGTGAGCACCAAATTAAGCCAATCAGATATTCTTCCGGGAGATTGAATTAAGAGACTTCTCCTTGGGCTGCTGAAGTTCTAAGAGTAAATATCAGGAGTTGGGATGGCTTATTCCCTACCATGAAAAAAAGTGTTCTGTGAAGACAGAAAAAGCAGCTCATGTGCAGAGAAGAAACAGAGACAAAAGTGTTTCAAGTGTTTGATTTCAATTGTTCTTACGACCTAGCCACATGCCTGCCTTTCCTCAATTTTGGTTGTTCAGTGCTCAATTCCATTAGATGCTTCAGTGTCCTTCCTTTAAATCGATTTTGCCTAAACTGGTTTAAGTTAGATTTCTGTACCCAGTAATGCTATCTAATATATATATATATATGTATATATATGTATTCAATACATAGTAATTATTAAGGATGATAATAGAAATGTGGACTATTTATGATTTTTCTTTAAAGTTACATTGCTCTGATAAATGCTAATGATATTTCATATTATAATCTGAAACTTTAAGGTTCCACAGAGGTTTTCAAAGTATTCCTTGGAGGAAGAGGATCATAGCATGCATCTTGGAACTAGTTTTAACAGTTGTTTTACAGTTGTCTGTCAGAGGTAGTTCTAAAATGTGCTTCATTCTCATACCCAAAGTCAATATGGAAGTCTTCTACAACCTATATGGCAAGTGTTCTCCACTAACATAATTTGTTAAATCCTTTCTAGTGCCTATAAGGTACATAACTTTTTTTTTTTTTTTTAAGTTAGACCAAGGCTTTTTCAATGGATGTGGAGTCCACTGACAGGTGTTCAGTGTACTCTTCCTTGCTCAGACCATACTCACAGTGCATTATCTATAACTTCCATTTTGAGTTTCTGTAGCTGATGTGAGAAATTAGACCCTTAAGAAATAATCTTAGGGCAAAACCCCTAAGGTTTTTACTGTTCACTGTTTGCCTTAGTGTTTCCAATTGTCTCAGCCATACCCAATTCAATAGCACTTCCCTTTTTTCAGTAGTTTGCTTTTATTGATTCTTCAGTTGTGGTAACAAACACAGCTTACCCTTGATAAACATACCCCATCATGGGAGCAAAACTGTGTAGGCTTGTTAGTGGTAAACTACTAGTCAGAATATTTAATGTGCCAAAGTCATCTATTAATTTTACTCAGGAAGCCGAGGATATTGGTTAATCTTGTGAGTCAGTTAAATAAAGATTAAGAATTTTTTGTGTTTTATAATTTTAGGTAACCATTTAGTGGGCATTTAAGTTGTTACTAGCATTTTGCCTCCTACAGTGATTCAATAAATATACTTAATCATTTTATCTGGATATGTAGGCTTTTTTTAAAAAAGCCTTAAAATGGAATTACTGTGTCTAAGGGGATCGTCACTTTTTAATTTTAATACATTTTGGTGAAAGAAATCTTAAATATTTTATTACCTAATTTTCAATGTTTAACTGTAGTAAAATATGATATATAAATTCTTTCTTTCAAAATTAGCCAGTTGTATTTCTCCCTTTTCTTCAAATTGATTTGCAGAGAGGAAAAACTGTGTTCATATGAATCATAAAACACATTAATGGGATTCGAGAGGCATTGAGTCATAGAATTCCAGACATCCCTCACACACAGATGACTCACTTTCTGTGTTGTTGTGCTATGTGTGTGGTTTATCTGGTGCAATAGATGTTTCTCAGTTTGACTAAATCTGATCATATTTAAACACTCTAGGAAGTTTGCTGTGTTAATGAGTAACACTGAAAAGCCTAGGCAAAGTATCCTTTCTTTTAAAAAAATGACTAAATTAGGACACATCTTTGCATGTATTCTGTTACTTTAGTGGTTCTGTGTTAGCTCTTTCAACAATTGTTGAATAATTTCTGTGTAGAGCATTCTGTTTCCTGGGGTGGTATATGTTGGAATAAAAAACAAGGTCTTGTGCTAATTGTGGTGAGAGAAAGAACCCTTAGCTTACTGAACAATTTAACATTATTGGCACTATATCAACCTCCCTTTACTGGAACACCTGTTACTATTTTAAGGACAAAAGCAGCATTAAAATTATAGGAAGAAATGTTTGAAGAGACCAGTGATAATTATATGTTACACACATTTGCCCCCCTGCCCCACCGCCGCCCCCCGCCAGAGAAGATCTTGCTCTGTTGCCCAGGCTGGAGTGCAATGGCATGGTCATAGCTCACAGCAGCCTCAAGCTCCTGGACTCAAGCCATCCTACCTCAGCCTGCCGAGTACCTAGGACTACAGGTGCATGCCACCAGCCCAGCTAATTTATTTACTTATTTATTTTTTTGTAGAGATGAGGTCTCACTATATTGCCCAGGCTGATGTAGAACTCCTGGCCTCAAGTGATCCTCCCACCACAGCCTCCCAAATGTTAAGATACGTCTGTATAATAACATCACATACTACAGCTAAGCCTTTTTTGGATTGCCTGTAGATATTTAATCCTTCTTTTGCCTAGCAAGCAGGTTTTTACTTTAATTCTCAATAGCCCAACTATTTTTTCTTAAAGTAATTAAGGGATTCCTAAACAAGAAAATTATTACAAAATGAAGTATAATTTTTCATTTGTTTAAATCTTGAAAACTGTATTAGTATTCTAATATGGTAAGAGGCCCCCCAAATATACTACCTACTTTAAATAAGTTTATTTATCTTAATAGCATGAAAGTCAGTGATCCAAGCTAGTAAGGCAGCTCTTTTCTGTAGGATTATTTATTCCAGATCTTGTTGCTTGACAGTATGCTAGTATATTGGCCTGCATTTCCATGGTCAAAGGGGCTCAGTTTCACATGTGCCTTCCAGCCTGTGGGAAGCAGGAAACAATTAGCCCCTTTCTAGAGTAGTTTTGTTTTTGTTTTTGTTGTTTTGTTTTGTTTTGTTTTGGTGACAGAGTCTCTCTCTGTCATCCAGGCTGGAGTGCAGTGGCGCCATCTCAGCTCACTGCAAGCTCTGCCTCCCGGGTTCATGCTATTCTCCTGCCTCAGCCTCCCAAGTAGCCAGGACTACAGGCACCCGCCACCACGTGCGGCTTTTTTTTTTTTTTTTTTTTTTTTTTTTTTTTTTTTTTTTTAGTAGAGACTAGGTTTCATTGTGTTAGCCAGGATGGTCTCGATCTCCTGACCTCGTGATCCACCCGCCACCTCAGCCTCCCAAAGTGCTGGGATTACAGGCGTGAGCCACTGTGCCCAGCCTAGAGTAGTTGTCTTTTAAGTTGAAGATGACCTGGAAGTTGTGCCCATTATTAATTTCCACTCACATACCATTGGTCCACACCAAGCAACAACTTCAAGGGAGGCCAGGAATGTATTCTCTCACTGGGTGGCTAAGTGACCAGCTAAAATTTTATTCCTGTGGACAAAAGGAAGAACATAGTGGAAAACAACTAACTATCTGTCACAAAAGCCTTTATCAAAAATGAGGGATGTAAGTTTCAATGTGAGTATTTCTGAATAGTTTTTTTCAAATGCAGCCAAGTCAGTAATACTCTGTTGTAACTTTAGATAGGGTATCTATGAATTAAAAATCCCTGAATGTGACATTACTCTAAAATCTTGCATCTTGAACTGGAGAGCACTGTTGTTTTCTGGTAGGAGGTCCATGAAGCATGCATTAGAGGTAGCTTCTTTTCCTGGAGGAAGATTTGGATGAGTATGTATTTTTTATATTGAAACAGACATGAATATATTTTGGAGATGAAAGTAAAACTAGCAGGAATGTTAAGAAAAAACTTAAAATTGCTTTAAAGTATAATGTCGAATCCCCCGAAATATTTTCCCTTTTTGCCCCTAAGGGTACTGTTGTGAAAACATTTTGATAAGCAAATCTTTTGGTTTGTTTAGGTTAACAGTTCTAAACTGTAAAACTGTGGAAATATACTGACGAAAAAATTAGTATGAAGTAAAATTTTCCTATATATATCAGCAGCACAAGCATCTTTATTCAAAGAAAGTGTTGCTATTTCTTTGTCATTTTAGATTTTTATTTTTATTCTTTGCTGGACTTTATACCACTATTTTAAGGTCAAGTATTTTTTTAGGCTTTTGCCTTAGCAAGGAAATACCCTGTGTTTTTGTTTTGTTGTTTTTTTTTGTTTTTAATAGAGACAGGGTCCTGCTCTGTTACCCAGGGTGGAGTACAGTGGTGCAGTCATGGCTCACTGCAGCCTCATTCACTTGCAGGCTCAAGTGATTCTCCTAGCTGGAACTATATGTGCATGCTACCATGCCTGGCTAATTGTTAAAAAAAATTTTGTAGAGACAAGGTCTTGCTGTGTTGCCCGGGCTTGTCACATCCTTTTATTTTATTGGGACTTGCAGACTAGGCTAGAGTTATAGAAGTAATAAGTTGATAGTTAATAATGGTTTGGTGGGGGGAGGGGTTGTTGTTGTGGTTATTAAAACTATTATTAAAATTAATCTTATTTTAAAACTTATTTCCCACCTTTCCTTATTATCACAGGACAATGAAAAGCGAACCCCATTGCACGCCGCAGCTTACCTTGGAGATGCAGAAATCATTGAACTTCTTATTTTATCTGGTATGGTAACCTCTGAGTAATAAGAACACATTATGTATATTTTTGTTATTCTTAATGTTTCTCAATCATAATTGACTATTTACTGCATGGCCTGTTGTTCATATTTGTTTTATCAGCTGAAACTTATTTTTATATTCATTCCATAAATACTGATCACATATCTTTTTCTGGGTGCTTAGAGTACATTAAAGAACAAAACAAAGATTGCTGCCCTCTTGTAGCTTATACTCTGATAAGGAAAAACAAGCAATAAATACAAGTGAATTTTATAGTATATTAAATGATGATGAGTGCTTTGAAAAAATTGAAAGGTAGATCAGGATAATCGGGGTGGGATAAGCATTATATGTAGCGGGTTTTTTTGGTTGGTTTTTTTTTTTTTTTTTGGTTTTTGGTTTTTGAGATGGAGTCTCGCTCTGTTGCCAGGGTATAGTGGCACGATCTCAGCTCACTGCAACCTCCAGCTCCCTGGTTCAAGTGATTATCCTGCCTCAGCCTCCCGAGTAGCTGGGATTACAGGCACATGCCTCCATACCCAGCTAATTTTTGTATTTTTAGTAGAGACGGGGTTTCACCATGTTGGCCAGGATGATCTCGATCTCCTGACCTTGTGATCTGCCTGTCTTGGCCTCCCAAAGTGCTGGGATTACAGGAGTGAGCCACCATGCCCGCCTACATAGGGTATTATATGGAACAGTTATAGTAGGCCTCATTGAGCACAGAATTATAGGAGATGGTTGCAGTTCTCCTAGGTGGAGGTAACGGTGGTTTATAGCAAATACAACAGTGGAGACAGTAAGAAATAGTCTGATAGTAGATATATTTTGAAGGCAATGCCAGTAAGATTTCTGTGTTTAAATAGCTTTTATCTAACCCTACTTGAGGGCTTGTAAAATGCTTTTAGTCAATTATACTCCTTTATTATTTTTTCTAAACTATTTAAGTCTTTATAATATGAAGTAATACTAGAACTGTCTATGATAGAATAGCTCCTATTGTGGTCAGACTACGTGCAGTCCCAAAAAAGGCAAGCAGACAGACAGAGTTTAGAAATACTTTTGTTATAGCCAGATGATTGTAATGATATTTATTGGGAAAGGATATATGTCATTGATTTGAGCTTGTATTGCCAAATTGCATACCTACATGCATAATGAAATTGGATTAGTAGTAGTATTCCTTTGATAGTTTGTGGAAAGGAGGGCTCAGAGGGAGAAATTTTGTGTGAAGATTTCGTTAAATAATAGCCCAGAGTTTTGCCGTTACAAATTCATAAAAATTTAAGAATCAGTTGGATTTTTAAAAAATACCTTATTTCTATATCAGATTTCATGATCATATAAAATTAAATATGGTTAAACATGGACCTGGCTAATATTTTGTTAGCTTCTTTATGAATAATTTCACCGCTGATGTACTTCCCTGAAGATGCCTGTTCCTTATTAATTTTCAGCTAAAATTTACTCAAGATAAGAACTGAGGAGGTTGACAAAATTATTTCTTTTAATAATATAAATTAATGGGACTCAAGTTTATGGAATTTTCTACACAAACATCATCCAAGAAACAGTTTAGGACTGGATAAGAAGTCTACTGCTGCATTTTTTATTTTAACACAGAATTCTGATTATTTTTGTTTTGTCATAAATATTATTTTATATGATTCCACGTGGAGGGTTTGTTTTTTTTTTTCATTTTTTATTTTTACACCCAGGAGAAACTTTTCAAATGCTCAAAGTTGACTTAATCCCTTCCTTTTAAAAGTGAATGTTTGCAACAAGGATTTTTAGTTACTTGTAGAAGGTTGACTTCCTGGTTTCTGTAAGTATGATGGTCAAATGAGTCTTATCATGAGCATGATAGTATCTAGATGTCAGCTGTGAAATAAGCATTTGAGAGAATGCTTAGTTTCTTCTGAATAATCCAAGTACAAATCATGTGTAAAATTAACCATGATACTTGTATAAAAAGCTATTTGAACTTACCTTTAAAAAATACTTTTTTTATTTTTCTTTGAGACAGAATCTCGCTCTGTCGCCCAGGCTGGAGTGCAGTGGCACAATCTCAGCTCAGTGCAACTTCCCGGGTTCAAGCGATTCACCTGCCTCAGCCTCCCGAGTAGCTGGGACTGCAGGTGTGTGGCACCAGGCCTGGCTAATTTTTGTATTTTTAGTAAGAGATGGGGTTTCACCATGTTGGCCAGGCTGGTCTTGAACTCCTGGTCTCAGGTGATTTGCCTGCCTCAGCCTCCGAAAGTGCTGAGATTACAAGTGTGAGGCACTGTGCCCAGCCAAAAAGTACTTTTAATGTTTTATCAGTGTAAAGAGGTAATATAGCTCATGTAGCTATTTTTCAAAGGAAAAATACAATTTTGGATGAATTCAATTGTTCTCAGTTCTCAATAAAAAAAAATTAAGTTTTTACATTGGCCTTAGAGCTGTACATTATCTCCCCACCCCAGATTTCTTCTGACTTGAATTCCTGCTACTCTCTTTTTGTTTGCTCTGCTCTAACCCTACTGGCTGCCTTCTACCTCTGGTTCTTCGCACTGCTGTTTCCTTAGCCTTAAACCTTCTTCAGCCGCTTACACCATGAACCTTTTCATGTCCTTGCTCAGATGTCGCATCATCAACAAGATCTTCCTTGGTCACTACCACTACCACCTAATCCCCCTCGCCTGTGTTATCTTTTCTCCTAGTGTTTATTGTTACCTGACATCCTTTTTAAATTACTTGTTTACTGTCGTTTTATCTCCTCCAGAATGTAAACTCCAAGAAGGCAGGCAGTTAGTCTACTTTGCCTTCCTAGCATATTTATTTAAAGTGCCTGGGATGGTGATTATAGCAATATAAGCTTAGACTGTGTCTCCTTTTCAGAAATTTGTTTACATTTTGGTTTGTTTCTCAAGTCTTTAATGGAAATGAGAATGGGAGAGGTGGGGATGGGTAGAAGTTAAGGGTTGAAGGGTATCAGGTAAGTGGAAAGGGAAAGAAGGCGAATGATTTGTCTTTGAGTGCAACTCAGGGTCTTAGACTTTTTTCTCTTTAGACTTACCAGTTAGGCTCTAATTTAGGAAAAATAAAACAAAAACTTACATGGGTTTGGAGTAAAATTAGCTGGAGTAAAATCCAAGGCTAGATTTCTATTGAACTAGAACCTCAGCTTTCTGCTTATAAACAAAAAAAATAAAGAAATAAACCAGGCTTTGTGTTGCCATGAGAGACACTACAGATAGTGTGAATGTCACAAGCTCTTTTGCCAGACAGATTTGGATACAGTCCTGGCCTTACCTCTTAGCACCTCCATGATCTTTTGAAGTTTATTTGCTCTCTGAGCCTCAACTTCCTCATCTAAAAAAATGGGAATAATATAAAATTTATAGGCTTAAAGAAGCAAATGAGATTATGTCATTAAGATACCTAGAAAAGTCCCTGGCATATAGTATTCAAAATTATGGCTATTTTTTTTTAAGGAGCATTTCTATTTTTTCCTTCACTTTTTTGGTTCTGCCAAGTAAATAAATTCCTTGATATCAGGAATTATCTTCTCTGTGACTTTTAGATATGCTTTCTTAAAAATTCTCCGCTGTCAGTTTTGAAGTCCAGTTATTACGTTCTGAAATGATAAAGAGGAAGGAATGACTTACCTACTGGGGGAAAATGAAAAATAATTTATTTCCACAATCTAGAAAGACAAAGGTTGAAAAAAAATAGACTCTATATACTCTGGAGAAGTGTATTTATATGTTTTAAATTCTACAATCAAGAAACAGCCTTTAAAGCTTTAATATGATATAAGTACCTTCCTGAACAGGGTAGGTATTTGCTCCCCTGAGGAAATAGTAAGGGCTCCTGTAATTTATGGATAACAGAGCTCTAACAAAAAGATAGGTAGTAATCAGGATGTGTATTTAACTTACGAAAGTTGACACTATAGAGGATAACTCCCATAGCCTTTTATAAAAATATCCTTTCACATAAATGAGGAAGGAACCAGGAGAGTTTTTTTTTTTTTGTTTTGTTTTTTTTTTTTTTTTTTTTTTTTTAAAGACATAGTCTTGCTCTGTTACCCAGGCTGGAGGGCAGTGGCACCATCTCTCGGTTTACTGCAACCTCCACCTACCAGGTTCAAATGATTCTCCTGCCTCAGCCTCCTGAGTAGCTGGGATTACAGGCATGCATCACCAGGCCCAACTAATTTTTGTATTTTTAGTAGAGATGGGGTTTCACCATGTTGGCCAGGCTGGTCTCGAACTCCTGACCCCAGGTGATCCACCCACCACGGCCTCCCAAAGTGCTGGGATTACAGCTGTGAGCCACCATGCCCAGCCCAGGAGAGATTTTGAAATCTGAACCAGAAACCTGATCAGGAAGGAATTTTGATTGGTGGATATTTCTTCAGTTCATTCATGTTATATCCATTTTAAATTCCTATTAACTCTTTAAATTGAAAGTTGATTAGGACAGTTTTACAGAAGATATACTACACATTTTAGAAGTCAAGTATAAGCTAACCAGTGAATTCTTACTTTTATATTGGAAATAGATTTCCAGAATAGCAGGGTAGTAAAAGACTAATCGTATCCAAATTTTAGTTCAGAATAAATATCAGAAGAATAGTCTTCAGACAATATATAGTATATAGACTCATAAGGTTCTGTATAGATGCTCCAGGAGTTCTGCTTAAATTTGGTTTGAATGCCATGGTTGCTGAGGCCCAAGTTAAACTGACTGATTTCTATAACCCTAATTTTAAATTCTGGATCCATCAAAACAGCCTTTTAATGAATTATGGTAAGTTGAGTTATAAATTAGAATTGAAACTAGATATTTGATCTGATCAATTCTCTAGGTAAAGATGAGAAAAAAATACATGAAGAGAAATATAGGCAACAAAATTAGGCTAATTTGTTTATAGTTAGTAATGAAAATTTAGTGTAGGTGTTTACACTTCATGTTAATTACCAACACCACATTTTAGTAGCAGGTAGGTATAATCTTAAGTAAATTAAGCAATATGAAATAATGCTTATTTGTATAAAAGTCGTGTAAGATTGCATTAAAGTCATATGTTTTCATAAGAACATACAATAGTCAGTTACTGTAATTTTGTATTTTAAAAACTACTGCGATATCCATAGCAAGAGTTCTATATTCTCTAAATATATTTCTCTAACATAAAAAAATAGAAAGATTGAGATTATTTTAGAGTCATTTCCTTCTGTGTTCATATTTCAGGTTTTTATTATGTCTGACTTGTGATTAAAAATTAGGAAATAAGGATATTTATATTTTCTCCAATTGGTTTCACTCTTTTGTGTTGCCTTGGCCCTTTAAGTGATGTGGAAAACCAATGGAGAGTTCTGTTTGGAGTGGAATAACATGCTCTGACTTATGTTTTTAAAGATTGATTCTCTGGCTTTGGCTTCAAATTCTTGACCATTTTAAGTCATGTTTATCCTACTTTTTGTTATTTCTAGGTTTTTATCTTTAATAGTTTTCCTTTTTTCCCCAAACTCAGCTAGCTCTCATAGTCTCTCTACATTGTCTTATCTCTTTCTTGTAACTTTTCTTTGAGGTCTCCTCTTCAGAACTTAAATTCAGTGAAGTTGAGTATATAGAGTAGCTCATGAATTCATCTTATTTTCTGGGATGGTTTTTTCCAACTGCATTTCTCCTAGTTTACTCTACTCTGTATATTTTTATCCTAGTCCTGTGCTGGATGCTTTCAGATTCTTACGTATCTTCGAGGAATATGCCTCTTTGCAGAACAGAAAGGAAGGGGCAAAAAGTGAACATCTGTTAGGTTTGTTTCTTCAAATAACTCTCAAACCAAATTTTAAGTTCAGGAGTACATGCACAGGTGTGTTATATAGGTAAACTTAAGTAACCAAATTTTAAGTTCAGGAGTACATGCGCAGGTGTGTTATATAGGTAAAGTTAAGTCATGTGGGTTTGTTGTACAGATTATTTCATCATCCATATATTAAGCCTAGTTCCCATTATTTTTCCTGAACCTCTCTCTCCTCTTATCGTCCACCCTCTGATAGGCCCCAGTGTGTGTTGTGTCCCTCTGTGTGTCCATATGTTCTCATCATTTAGTTTCCTTTTTTTGTTGATATACCACAGGTAGTTGGGCTGGCTCAGCAGCTTCTTAGATCAATGAGTTCTTAGATAGTAATCTGCTGGTGATTGGCTGTTACTCTCCCTCATCTCCAGCTGGGTAAAAAATTAATAAAGATGCCTTCTTGGTCTCTTTTTTAGCACTGCCCCACTTTATTCTTATGCAGTGTGAGGTTAAGAGTTCTGTAGGTGCTTTTCCTGTGAATTACCCAGACAGCTCTAGATCGTCTGAAAGATTTTTAGGGATTTTAGGACACAGCAGAGAGAAAGGAGCAAATGGGACACACATGCAAACATGACTTTTTAGAGGACTCGGTAACCTTCCCAAGATCTGAAGAAGCTTCGCTTGACTCAGTGTCCTTCAGTTTGGTACACATTTCACTGTTATTGATAGAAATAATTCATAGTTTGGTTTGTGGTTGTAACTGTTTCCTTATTGTATTGAAGATGGTATCTCTTCTCATTCTCTTTTATATTTTGGTGACTTGTTTTAGAGTAAAACTACTCACTTTCTTTAACTTGCAGTCCAGAATTCTTCAGAAACCAAGTATTTGTACATGATGCAACTCTAAGATTTGTGGATGAGAGGTATAATTTTTGGCGTGGCACCTGTAATCAAACAAGTGAATACATCCATAGAATCTATAGTAATACTAGAGTCCACTGGAATTAATGTTAATAATTATTATGGAATGGGGTGAAATAATAGCAAACAGTGAGCTTATTACATTTTAAATACTGTTAAATTTAGCCATTTCACTAATCTCATTTTAGCCTAAATTTGTGAAGGTATTATATAAGGAAACTAAGACATTTAGCTTTTAAACTTTCAAAGTTTTTATACTGCTAGTAAAAGCTAGAGGCAGAATTCAGATCCAGGCAGTTTGACTACAGAATCCGTGTTCTTAATCCTGCCGTAATCAGAATCTTCCTTTTTTCTTCCCACCATAATTTCCACCCTCCTCCCCCAACCACCTATTTAGCTTTTAGTAAAATTTACATGTGAAGTCACTTTTATTGAAGAACTTTTAAAGACTATTTGCTGGCCACTGAGGTATAGATATTTTGTTTGGGAGCTTATTCACTTAATGCTTGCATTCAAAACTATATGGTTAGCAGTACCTCAGACCTTAGACTGCCTCCAGTAAGTATTAAGTCCTTAAATGACTGCATTGTGGAAGGCATTTGTCAAAAATTCATTCGATTGGCCTTTTATAAAAAATACTCTCCTTACTAGAAAACACCGTTCTGATGTTTCTGGCATTAAGAATGAAACCTAAAGTATGTGTCTCTTCTTTTTACTTCAGTGCTGGTACATTAGTTTGGTGGGGCTGCTGTAACAAAGTACTACAAACTGGGCGGCTTAAACAATAGAAATTTATTTACTCAAAGTTCTGGAGGCTGTAAGTCTGAGATCAAGGTGCCGTCAGGATTGATTCCTTTGGAAGGCTGAGAGGGAAGGATCTGTTCAGGGTATCTCTCTCTGGCTTGCAAAATCGCTGTCTTCTCCCTTTATTTTCCCTCTGTCCATGTCTTTTTGCAAATTTCTTCTTGTAAGGACACCAGTCATACTGTATTAGGGCCCACCCTAATGACCTCATTTTAATTACCTCTGTAAAGAGTCTATCTCCAGTTAAAGTCATATTCTGAGTTGCCAGGGGTTGGGAGTTGAACAAACCCACAATAGCTGGTATCCACAACACTCTTAAAAGATACAGTGCAGCAGCTATTTTTTTCAGCATTATAGTTGGAAAAGTGGAAATGTCATTGGTTTTTGCTCATTCTACTCTGAGCCTGAAAACCGAATCTGAACCTTTTGCCACTGCACTGTTAGGTAGCCAAAGAAAAGCATTATTTCCAGTTTGGGAAGAGGGATAAAAGTACTTAGCTTCTGGCCCAGCTCACTGGTTATGGACTATCTCCTCTGTGATTTAGGAGCAAGGAAGAAAACAATTCTCTGCAAATAGAAGTTTTGGAAAATGATTTGTGAGACTATTTATAATTATTACAAACATGTATAAAGTTAGCAATAACTTTAATAGTACCTACTATCAAGTTCTTAGCCTAGATCAGAGGTTGGCTAACGTTTTCTGTAAAGGGCCAGATACTAGTTACAGGCCATACAGACTCTGGCAAGATACAAGTTACAGGCCATTCAACTCTGTTGTCATAGTGAAAGCTACATATTTAATATTTAAATTGAATAGATGTGGCTCTGTTCCAGTAAAACTTTACAAATTAGGTGGCTTGAAGCCTGTGGATAGTAGTTTGAAGACCCCTAACATAGATCTTTTTAATGTTAGAGTGAGGTGTCTTAGTCCTTTCGGGCTGCCATAACAGAATATCACAGACTGAGTGACTTAAAAATTTTTCTCAGTTCTGGGGCCTGGGAAGATCGTGATGCCAGAAGATTTGGTATCTGGTGAGGGCCCACTTCTTATTTATAGCCAGCAGTCTTTTTAGTATAACCTCATATGGTGGAAAGGGTGAGGGAGCGCTCTTGGGCCACTTTTACAAGGGCATTAATCCCATTCACTGCCTTCATGACCCAATTACCTCACAAAAGACCTCGCCTCCTAATACCATGACATTGGGGTTGGGATTTTAACATAAATTTTGGGGGAACGCAAACATTCAGACCATTTGACAAGGTTTAATAAGTATGACATAATTTATTCTGAATATTCCAAAATAGGATAGAACGTTATAACTGGAAATGGATCATAAGGATGATTTAGCACAATGCTTTATTTTACAGGTATAGTTGACCCTTGAACAATGTGGAGGTTAGGGGCACTGACTCCCCCAACCCCAACACAATAGGAACTTTGAATATAACCTTTGGCTCCCTAAAAACTACTAATAGCCTAATGTTGACCAAAAGCCTTACTAATAACATAAACAGTTAACACATATTTTACATGTTATATGTATTATATACTGTATTCTTACAATAAAATAAGCAATAAAATGAAAATACTAAGAAAATCATAAAGAGAAAACACTGTGTATTGAATGGACGCAGATCATCATAAACATCTTCATCCTTGTCATCTTCACATTGAATAAGGTGAAGAGGAAGTGGAGGGCTTGCTGTCTGGGGTTGCAGAGATGGAAGAAAATCTACATATAAGTGGACTCATGCAGTTTGAACCAGTGTTGTTTAAGGGTCAGCTGTAATTGAGGTTCAAAAATCAAAGAATTGGAAGAATTTAGTGACCAATTAGATTAGGAGAAAATAAGTCAATCAGTTGTCTTGCAGAATGAAATCTGGAGTCAAATGGGATACTCCTAATAGAATTGCTGACTGTAGAACTTCGCAGAAAGAGTGCCCTTTGTTGTTTAAATCTGGGGCCCATCCTCACCCAATCCTGTCCATACATATTCATATCCACCTCCCCCTCACCTCACCACACACACAGCCTAGGAGCAGGGATTATGATTTGCAAAATGAAGACCCAGGCCCCAGGAAACACTTCCAGGTCACACAGCCAACTAGTTATACAGCCATTATGAGATCACGTATCTCTCCTGCTCCAGTGTTCCTTCCACTAACCCATGACTGTGTCTTCACAACGTTAGACCTCTCTTCAGCTGCATTGCTGGCTGCCTAGAGCCCTAGACTAATGTAAGTAAGTAAATCAAGTTTTTGTTTTTGAATTTATGTTTTATTTCCGAATAGCTAGACATTTAATTCTAGATTTAGGTAACCTTTTCTTTTACAAAACTATTGTTTCAGAGTGCACTTTTATATGGGTGAAATATTACGTGTAAAGATTGGGTGAGAGGAAACTGATTAGCTGGGTTTTCCTATATAATCTATAACTGTGGTATGAAATGGATACAACCTGTTTAGGTGATCCTGCAGTTGATTTTTAGTTGTGTTATTTATTGCATGTAATATCAGAAACTCAGTCACATCTCTACTCTAGAAAGGTGAATCTAAATTCAGATATATGTGTGAGGATAGGCTCTGGCCGTTTATCTGAAGGGAAAGTTCAGTTGGTATGCATAGATTTGTGGGGGACAAGAAAAGACTTGTTAAAATATTGATTATACAGTTGGACATAACCATTTTGAATTTAATGAGGTGCTTCTGGCATGTAAGTTTTCTGTAAATATTGGTTTATAGTACTCACTGATGGTATCTTTCTTAAATTGCTATGTGTGTTGTCTTTTGTTTCTTAGCAGTGCTTTTTCGCACCACAGGCTATGCCAGTAACCTAACTTCAACAAATGACAAGGGACTGCTGTTTTATATTCTTTTCTGTCTTAATGAGTAGGAAATAGTAAAGAAATTAATCTTCTGTTGGTTACTTAAGGTCATCCTTATAAACCACAAATACTATCTTCTACCATGTAGAGGGCATGTGATTATGCCACCAGAGGCGGTTAACGACATTTGGTTTTATTTCTCTCTACAAAGACTGTTTTTTGTTTTAAGTGGGTATGGTTTCTCCCTGCCTCCCCTGTATCTCCATCCTCATTATTAGCTGTTGTGGCTGGTGTTTAATACTCCAACTAGCTATTGAACTAGTTAACTATATTCTGGAAATGTCTTTTCCATTTCTAGAATGAATTTGTCGTTTAAAGTATATATGAATATATAGATAACTTTGGAGTATTCTGTGTGGAACAGAACTCTATTTAGCTTTAGACAGCCCACTGACATGAGCTCTGGGAATCTGAACCATCTGAAATGTGCTGCTATGTTTGTTGCTTTTACACTCTTTTTCATTTTACAGGAACACAGCCAACTGCTGCTCTTGTAGTGTACATTACTGTGTCATATTTATCTGTTTATATTGTAAATCACATGTTAACTAATGTTGGTGGGGGAATATTGTTTCATTGTTGCCCTCAGATATAGCCCTGATTTCTCATATAGTTGACCTTTATTTTCCAAGGAATTAAAAACATTTGATTAGGCTCTTAGAAGAAATGCATGATTTTTTTTATTTTTTATTATTTTTTTTCTTTTTGAGACGGAGTTTTGCTCTTGTTGCCCAGGCTGGAGTGCAATGGCACGGTCTAGGCTCACTGCAACCTCCACCTCCCAGGTTCAAGTGATTGTCCTGCCTCAGCCTCCCGAGTAGCTTGGAAGCTTGGATTGCAGGCGCCCACCGCTGTGCCTAGCTAATTTTTTTTTGTAATTTTAGTAGGGCCTGGGTTTCACCATGTTGGCCAGACTGGTCTTGAACTCCTGACCTCAGGTGATTTGCCCGCCTTGGTCTCCCAAAGTACTGGGATTACAGGCGTGAGCCACTGCACCCGGCCGATATATACATATTTAAAGGTATAATATAAAGTTGCATTACTACCCTAGTACCTCCATATGCCCAGTTTTCAATGTGCCTCCCACCACCAACACAAACGTATAAGCACCCCCTCTCATTAATATCTTAGCATTCCTGTAGGGTTTCTTTATGCATATTAAGCAAATACAGTAGTACCCCCTTTTGAAGAGGTATGTTCCAAGACCCCCAAGTAGATGCCTGAAACCTCAGATAGTACTGAACCCTATATACTATGCACAAGTTTCTTTTTCCCTCTTCAGAATTTCAGGTAGAAGATTTGTTCTTACTGTAGATCTTAGCAACCTCAGCATGATTTTTTTTTTATTGAGAACTTACATCTTTTCACTTAAAGGAAGCATTTTACTGCTTCTTTTGGCATACTCAAATTTCCAGCATCACTACTCTTGCACCTTGGGGCCATTATTAAGTAACGTAAGGGTTACTTGAACACAAGCATTATGATACCATGATAGTCAATCTGATAATCAAGAGGGTCCCATAAGGAAAGGGTGAATGGCATATGCAAGATACGATGGACAAAGGGATGATTCACATCCTGGGTGGATGGAGCAGGATGGTGCCATATTTCATCATGTTACTCAGAACAGTGAGCAATTTAAAATTTATGAATTATTTATTTCTGGAATTTTCCCTTTAATATTTTCAGACCATGGTTGACTGGGTAACAAGCTGTGAAAAGTGAAACAAGGGGGGACCATTGTGTGATAAGATAAAAATAATTATCTCTTCCTTTTTCTACATAAAAGTAAAGCGTACTAGTCATACAATTACTGCTTTTTTACTTTTTGTTTTCAGATCTTTATTAACACAGAGTCTCCTCAGTTTTTTGTGCCAGCCACCTTCTGTTTTTTGAGACAGAGTCTCACTATCTTGCCCAGGCTGGAGTGTGTGGTGCAATCTCGGCTCACTGCAACCTCTTCCTCCCGGGTTCAAGTGATTCCTGCCTCAGCCTCTGAGTAATTAGACTTACAGGTGCACGCGGGCCACCACATCTGGCTAATTTTTGTATTTTTAGTAGAGGCAGGGTTTCACCATGTTGGCCAGGCTGGTCTTGAACTCCTGTCTTCAAGCAATCTGCCCACCTCAGCCTCCCAAAAGTGCTAGGATTACAGTCATGAGCCCCTGTGCCCTTCTATTCTCCTGCTAATTAATACTTTGAATCAGACTTCTCAGCATCCCTCATGAGACCTCATTTCTTATTTACCTTTGTTGATTCAGGATACTGTCTGTACTAGGTGTCTGTGTTGATACCCTTTGGGCCTTACTGCCAGAGCTTTCCGTTCTACTGTGTATAGATATGCATGTGCACATAAATATAAACCTGTAGAAAGAGGCACAGGGCTTAAAGAGAACCATTGAAGTCCTAAGCAGATAAGTGGGAAAACGAAAGACGCTAGCTTCTGTGTCACTCCTTCACTATCTGTAGGGTTCCAGCTTCCAGCTGGCAAACATTTCAAATGTGTGTACTTTGTACATTCCGTCTTCTACCCAAAACAAACGTTGGCATTACTGTGATTAGGCAGTTTGTGTTTTAACCATCTAGGGTTCCACAGTGCCTGGCAGATAGTTGCCCAAATATTTATTACATGGGTATGTCATGCTCTCTGACTGGTTCTTTATTTGCTGTCTTCCTTTCCTTCTTCCATAGCCTAACTGTGAGCATTGTTCAAAGCTCTCTAATTAGCTCTTGATTCTTTGTGTCCTCACTGCCACTGCCCACAGAGAACTCAGCTACTCTCAGCATCTCAACTACTACATTTGTGGATGTTTCTTACACCTCCATTTCATTTATTTTCTCTCATTTTTCAAGGCTTTAAAGTCTACCTCTAACATATTTGCTATTATGTACTAGGCACATTTATTATATGTTAATCTTTGTGAAGAAACTTGGGTTCAGAGGGATCACACAACTACTTAGGGACCCAGAGCTACTAATTGAAGGCATTACTTGAAGTCACTGCACTTGATTATTCCCTGACTCCTCACACTCAAAACCTAGAAATAATGTAAGCGTTAGGAAGTATGAAGCTTTGTTTCTGTTATAGTTGACCCCAACGTTAGGTTATTTTGTATACCTGTATTTCATCATTTAGAAAATGAGTGATTTAGGATTTGGGATATAAATCTAGGATTGCTTATAGGATAGGATCTGTCAGCCAGTTCTATACTTCCAAGAACCAGGGCTGTTTCTTCTCTACTTAGATATATTAATAGAATTATCCTACCATGCATGTGCTGCTTTTATTTGATTTGGATTTAATATGGGAGATAAATTATTCCCTCCTCGAATAATGTAAATTTTTTTGTCTTAATGTGTTTGCATTCTATTAAGGTTAATTTTTGTCCATTGACTTAATGATTTTTAAACAACTGTACAAAATTGATTTGTTTAAAAAAATTTCTTTCTTAAGCTTTAGGTATAACCTAGAAAGACATGAGTTGGTTCATTTCTTTCTCAATTATTTTTCTAAATCTGTAACCATTGTTTCTATCTTATACAATGTGTTTTAAATCATGGCTGGAGAACTATTTTGATGTTATCATATTACCTTATGGCGTGATATATTCATTAGTAAAGAAATGTAATGAAGACTTTAAAATAGTCTGCATTTTATCTCCAAGTATATTCTTATATTCATTTATTTGATTTTTTTAACACACATTCTAAAATGGGGTCTGATTTCTACCTTGGATATGCTCTGTATAAAGGTGGCTTTTCTAACCTATATATAAAATGATGTTTATTTTGTTTTAAATTAAAAAACTAAGACTTTATTGGACAATTATATCAATTTAAAAGGCTAATTTTGTTTTATATTCTAAGGGTAATTTTATCAGCAGAAAGTGTAAAAAATAAGTTTTTTTTCAATTGTCATTTATCCAATTTGGATTATATATAACTACTATTTCAGGAGATTTATTAAAAATATTTTATGTACAATATTTCAATTTATTTTTTTCTTCTTGTTGCAGGAGCTAGAGTTAATGCCAAAGACAGCAAATGGTTGACACCTTTACACAGAGCAGTTGCATCTTGTAGTGAGGTATGAAATTTCTCTTAGTAAATATGTTTTATATGAAAACATTAAATAGGCGTACCCCTGAATCCATATTCAAATTCTATGTTTTCAAAAGAAGGAAAAGCTACTGAGATACCTTGACTGGTCATTTTACTTTAGAATTTGTACAAACCAAGTTAATTGTTTCATTTCTTCTTTTGTTTATAAGGCCTCTTGCAGTCTGAAGTAGCAGAGAATAGAAAACCCTATCTCTGTCCCTTCTACAAGAGAAATCATTTTTCTGTCCTATATATTCTTCCTCAGGGCTTTTCTCTACCTATTTACAATAGTCTCTTACAAAGGTTTCACTGATTGTGATCAAGAAAGAATCTCATCAGTGTATAATAATTAATTGAAATGTTACTTAGCTAAATACTGAAATTAGCTTCAAAACCATTACTTGATTGCACATTTTACTGGTTATAAATATATAACTTTAAAATGTTTGAGAGGGATTACAAGGAAGAATAGTTCCTTCTTGTGTACAGCCTTGTATATTGTTTGCTTGTTGAGATAACTGACATTTTTAGAAAATGTTCATTATTTGCACAGTATTTTTATATTTCTCATATCTTTCAGTCCTGAGGACATCTTTGTAGGATAGACGTCTTGAGGAAACTATATAGTTAATGATTCATGAAAAACTACTCAGCTGTTAAATGATAGAGATGAGACAAAAACCTGAATCATCTTTTTTTTTTTTCTGTTATTTTACTTTATAATGTGTATTCGGTGCTTTTCTAAAATGCATTGTGTCCAAAGTACCCATTTTACCTACTTTACAGTAGTTGTAACTTGTTGCAAAGCTTAAAAAATAATTTAAAATACAAAAGTATGTGATAGTATAAGTTTATGTTCATCTAGTATTTCTTTAGTTATTCAAATTGTGAGGTTAAGAAAGGAACTCCTAAGTGTAGCTACTGCTTCTTCTGTCCATCATGGGACTATGTAGTTTGGGAGAAGGAAAGGGAACTCTAACTAGTGCCTCATGAGAAACTATGGAGCTTCTGTCTCTTTGTCCTTTGTATTCCTCATTGTGAACTACATCTTGAACCCAGAGCAATAGCTGGGCAAGTGAAGAGTCATAAAGGTGAAATGTGACTGAGAAGGATTACAAACCCTGTAATTAACAGAGGCAATCTATTAGCTGTAGCCTCCTAGTTAGGAGAAGGATGGGGACAGTGGGTGCAGTTGAACACACAACCTAACTCTGAACTGGGTCCTTGATGTGCTATAGCTTATGAACTTATGGAACTTAGATTTGGAGACACTGGCTTCAATTATTACGTGCAACTTTTCAGCTGTGCGATGTTGGACAAGTCTAGGAATTATAAAAACTAAGACATACTAGCCAAAATACTTTGAATTCTGAAATTCCATTGTAATGTTATTAATTTTGTGGTTAGCTCTCCATAAAGATGTTTATTTAAATAAAAACAGTTAAGATAAACATTACTGTTATTGGAACATATTAATGTTAGCCATACCTACGCATTTTGTTTTAAGATTCTTGGGATTATGGCTATTAAAATAATGGATTTTTACCAGATTAAGTCATAAGAAGGTACAATTTATATATTTGCAGAAGTTGTAAAACAGACCAAAAATTACTAAAGAAAAATTAACATTAAAGGAAGACAGCAAATTCTGCCAGAGACTTAATTCCTAATTTTTAAAAACTATGTGCTCAGCCTGAATTTAAGGGCAAGTTGTAGGTTAGAAAGCAAATAATCCTAGTAAGTTTCTTAATTCTACTCTTCAGTCTAAAAATTACAAGGCAGATGACTAAACAGAAACACAACCAAGAACCCTCAGAGTCCGCTTCACTCCCCTGCTACCTCCACTGGAGCAGGTGCTAGTATCCACAGCTGAAGGACCTGAAGACAGATCACATCACAGGACTCTTTACAGACATTCCCCAGTACCATCCCGGAGCCTAGTAGCTCCACTGGGTTACTAGACCCAGAAGAGCAAAAACAATCACTACAGTTTGGCTCTCAGGAATACCCATTCCTAGGGGAAGTGGGAGAACACCACATCAAGGGAACACCCAGTGGGACAAAATAATTTAAACAGTAGTCCTTGAATCCCAGATCTTCCCTCTGACATAGCCTACCCAAATGAGAAAGAACCAGAAAAACAATTCTGGTAATATGACAAAACAAGGTTATTTAACACCCCCAAAATATACCAGCTCACCAGCAATGGATGCAAACCAAGATGAAGTCTATGAATTGCCAGGAAAAGAAGTCAGAAGATTGATTATTAAGCTAATTAAGGAGACACCAGAGAAAAGTGAAGTCCAACTTAAATTAAAAACATAGGCCGGGCGCGGTGGCTCACGCCTGTAATCCCAGCACTTTGGGAGGCCGAGGCGGGTGGATCATGAGGTCAGGAGATCGAGACCATCCTGGCTAACAAGGTGAAACCCCGTCTCTACTAAAAAAATACAAAAAATTAGCCGGGCGCGGTGGCGGGCGCCTGTAGTCCCAGCTACTCGGGAGGCTGAGGCAGGAGAATGGCGTGAACCCGGGAAGCGGAGCTTGCAGTGAGCCGAGATTGCGCCACTGCAGTCCGCAGTCCGGCCTGGGCGACAGAGCGAGACTCCGTCTCAAAAAAAAAAAAAAAAAAAACAAAAACATAATATAGAATATGAAAGGAAAATTCTTTAGTGAAATAGGTAAAAACAGTCACAACTTCTAGAAATCAAGGTCACACTTAGAGACATGCAAAATGCACTGGAAAGTCTCAGCAATACAATCAAACAAACAGAAGAACTTTAGCGCTTGAAGACAAGGCTTTTGAATTAACCCAATCCATCAAAGACAAAGAAAAAAAATTTTTTTTTAAATGAACGAAGTCTCCAAGAAGTTTGGGACTATGTTAATTTTCCAAAGCTGAGAATAGTTGGTGTTCCTGAGGAAGAAGAGAACTCTAAAAGTTTGGAAACTATATTTGAGAGAATAATTGAGGGAAACTTTCCCAGCCTTGCAAGAGATCTGGACATCCAAATACAAGAAGCTCAAAGAACACCTGGCAAATTCATCACAGAAAGATTATCACCTAGGTACATAGTCATCAAGTTATCTAAAGTCAAGATGCAGGAAAGAATCTTCAGAGCTGTGAGGCAAAAGCATCAGGTAACCTATAAAGGAACACCTATCAGATTAACAGCAGATTTCTCAGCGAAGCCCTACAAAGCTAGAAGGGATTGGGGTTCTATTTTTAGCCTCCTTAAACAAAACGATTATCTGCCAAAAATTTTGTACCCAGTGAAACTAAGCTTCATGAATGAAGGAGGGTATACAGTCTTTTCCAGACAAAAATTCTGAGAGAATTCACCACTACCAAGCCAGCGCTACAAGAACTGCTAAAAGGAGCTCTAAACCTTGAAAGAAATTCTTGAAATACTCCAAAATAGAACCTCCTTAAACCGTAAATCTTACAAGACCTATGTAACAATAATATGATTTTTAAAAAAAGGTATTCAGGCAACAAATAGCATGAGGAATAGAATAGTACCTCACATCTCAATACTAACATTGAATGTAAATGGCCTAAATGCTCTACTTAAAGGATACAGAATGGAAGAATGGATAAGAATTCACCAACCAAGTTTCTGCTGTCTTCAGTAGACTCACCTAAGAGTAAGGACTCACAGAAACTTAAGTAAAGGGGTAGAAAAAGATACTCCATGCAAATGGACACCAAATGTGAGCAGGGATCACTATTTTTATATCAGACAAAACAGACCTTAAAGCAACAGCAGTTAGGAAAAAACAAAGAGGGACATTATATAATGATAAAAGGACTAGTCCAACAGGAAAATGTCACAATTCTAAATATGTATGCTCCTAACACTGGAGCTCCCAAATTTATAAAACAGTGACTACTAGACCTAAGAAATGAGAGAGCAACACAATAATAGTGGGGGACTTTAATACTCCATTAACAGCACTAGACAGATCATCAAAACAGAAAGTCAACAAAGAAACAATGGACCTAAACTATGCCCTACAACAAATGGACTTGACAGATATTTACAGAACAGTCTACCAAACAACTGCAGAATATGCATTCTATTCATCAGCACATGAAATGTTCTCCAAAATAGACCATATGATAGGCCACACAACAAGTCTCAGTAAATTTAAGAAAACCTAAATTATATCAAGTACTCTCTCAGACCACAGTGGAATAAAATTGGAAATGAACTCCAAAAGGAAGCCACAAAACCATGCAAATATGGAAATTAAATAACCTGCTCCTGAGTGATCGTTGGGTCAACAAGGAAGTCAAGATAGAAATTGAAAAATTCTTTGAACTGAACAATAATAGTGGCACAACCTATCAAAACCTCTGGGATACAGCAAAAGTAGTGCTAAGTGGAAAGTTCATAGCATTAAATGCCTATATCAAAAAGTCTGAAAGAGCACAAATAGACAATCTAAGGCCATACCTCACAGAACTGGAGAAACAAGAACCACCCAAACCCAAACCCAGCAGAAGAAAAGAAATAATGAAGATCAGAGCAGAACTAAATGAAATTGAAACCAAAAAAAAAAAAAGGAAAGATAAATGAAACAAAAAGCTGCTGCTTTGAAAAGGTAAATAACACTGATAGACCATTAGCAAGATTAACCAAGAAGAGACAAGATCCAAATAAGCTCAATTAGAAATGAAATGGGAGATATTACAAATGATACTACAGAAATACAAAAGATTATCCAAGGCTAATGTGAACACCTTTACGCACATAAACTAGAAAACCTAGAGGAGATGGATAAACTCCTGGAAATATCCAACCCTCCTAGATTAAACTAGGAAGGTATAGAATCTCTGAACAGACCATTAACAAGCAGCAAGATTGAAATGATAATTTTAAAAATTGCCAGCAAATAAAAAGTCCAGGACTGGATAGATTCACAGCTGAATTCTATCAAACATTTGAGGAAGAATTGGTACCAGTCCTATTGATACTTTTCCAAAAGAGGCAATCCTTCCTAAATCATTCTATGAAGCCAGTGTCACCCTAATACCAAAACCAGGGAAGGACGTAACAAAACCACAGACCAATATCCCTGATGAGCATAGATGCATAAGTCCTCAACAAAATACTGGCAAACCAAATCCAACAGCATATCAAAAAGATAATCCACCATGATCAGGTGGGTTTCATACCAGGGGTGCATGGATGGTGTTATTAACATACCTAAGTCAGTAAATGTGATACACCACATAAACAGAATTAAAAACAAATATCACATGATCATCCCAATAGATGCAGAAAAAGCATTTGACAAAATCCAGCATCCTTTTATGATTAAAACTGTCAGCAACATCAGCATAGAAGGGACATATCTTAAGGTAATAGAAGCTGTCTATGACAAACTCGCATCCAGCATTTTACTGAATGGGGAAAAGTTTAAAGCATTCCCCCTGAGAACCAGAACAAGACAGGGATGCCTACTTTCACCACTTCTATTCAAAATAGTACTGGAAGTCCTAGCCAGAGACATCAGACAAGAGAATGAAATAAAGGGCATCCAAATCAGTAAAGAGGAAGTCAAACTGTCACTGTTTGCTGATGATATGATCGCATACCTAGAAAACCCTAAAGACTCATTCCAAAACCTCCTAGAACTGGTAAATGAATTTAGCAAAGTTTCAGGATACAAAATTAATGTACACAAATCAGTAGTTCTGCTATACACTAATGGCGACCAAGTTGAGCATCAAATCAAGAACTCATTCCCTTTCACAATGGCTGCAGAAAAACAGTAAAATAGCTAGGAGTATACCTAACCAAGGAGGTGAAAGACCCCTACAAGGAAAACTACAAAACAGGGCTGAAAAAAGTCATAGACAACACAAATAGAAACATATCCCATGCTCATGGATGGGTAGAATCAATGGTGCAAAAATGACCATGCTGCCAAAAGCAATCTACAAATTCAGTGCATTTCTCATCAAAATACCACCATCATTCTTCACAGAATTAGAAAAAAAAAATTCTGAAATTCATATGGAACCAAAAAGGAGCCTGCATAGCCAAAGCAAGACTAAGCAAAAAGACCAAATCTGGAGGCATCACATTACCTGACTTCAAACTATGCTATAAGGCCATAGTCACCAAAACAGCATGGTACTGGTATAAAAATAGATATATAGAGCAATGGAACAGAAATAGAACCCAGAAATAAGGCCAAATACTTACAGCCAACTGATCTTTGACAAAGCAAACAAAAACAGTGGGGAAAGGACACCCTGTTCAACAAATGAGGCTGGGATAATTGGCAAGCCACATTAGAAGAAGGAAACTGTATCATCATCTCTCACCTTATACAAAAATCAACTCAAGGTGGATCAAAGACTTAAATCTAAGACCTGAAACCATAGAGATTCTAGAAGATAACATCAGAAAAAACCCTTCTAGACATTGGTTTAGGCAAAGACGTCATGACCAAGAATCCAAAAGCAAAAAATAGATGGGACTTAATTAAACTGAAAAGCTTCTGCACAGCAAAAGAAAACAATCAGCAGCATTAACAACTCACAGAGTAGGAGAAAATCTTTGCAATCTATACACCTAACAAAGGAGTAATATCCAGAATCTACAAGGAACTCAAACAAATCAGCAAGAAAAAAACAATCCCATCAAAAAGTGGGCTAAGGACATGAATAGACAATTGTCAAAAGAAGATGTACAGAGGGCCAACAAACATGGAAAAATAACATCACTAATTATCAGGGAAATGTAAATCAAAACCACAAAGCGATACCACTTTACTCCTGCAAGAATGGCCATAGTCAAAAAAATGAAAAAATAATAGATGTTGGTGTGGATGCAATGAAAAGGGAACACTTTTACACTGTCGGTGGGAATGTAAACTAGTACAACCATTATGGAAAACAGTGTGGAAATTCCTTAAAGAACTAAATCTACCATTTGATCCAGCAATCCCACCACTTAGATATCAATCCAGAGAAAAAGAGGTCATTATAAGAAAAAGATACTGGTACACACATGTTTATAGCAGCACAATTTGCAATTGTAAAAATATGGAACCAGCCCAAATACGCATCAGTCAATGACTGGATAAAGAAAATACTGTATTGGCCAGGCGCGGTGGCTCACGCCTGGAATCCCAGCAGTTTGGGAGGCTGAGGTGGGCAGATCACCTGAGGTCAGGAGTTCAAGACCAGCCTGGCCAACATGGTGAAACCCCATCTCTATGAAAAGTACAAAAAAAAAAAAAAAGCCAGGTTTGGTGGTGCCCGCCTGTAGTTTCAGCTACTCTGGAGGCTGAGGAGGATCGCTTGAACCTGGGAGGCAGACGTGGCAGTGAGCCAAGATCGCGCCATTGCGCTCCAGCCTGGGTGACAAAAGTGAAACTCTATCTAAAAAAAAAAGAAAAAGATAACTAAAAATTACAAGGCTATGTAGTATTGATACTCTTTTGCAGGATTATGAGAAACAGCTATAAAATGTGGCCATTCCAAAAAGATATAACTTCTGTAAACACTGAGTATCATTTTTCTTTTGAAAAGAAGGTCTCCTAAGTAGTAAAACTGCTAGAAAACCTAGTCATTAGTGTCAAGAGTATCACTTACACCATCGTTACTTATTTTCATTAAGTCCTGAGAGCAAAAGTAGCTATACTTATTACATTTAACAGAAAATATAGCTATGGCCACAGAAAGATGGGTTTTTCACCTGTAGGTGGCTTTTGGTTTATATTTTTGAGATACCATGGGAGAATTAAATCCTGTGCAAGCTGATTGGAGTGACTGTTTTCTAAATTCTCCTAAGGACAGAATAGCTAGCACAGTGATAGATGCATAGAAGAGAACTTAACTTAGCACATACCGTACTACCTTAGTGCTTAATTACCTCACTGAAACTAGGTTAAGAAAGACTGCTTCAGGTTAAATATTCCTAGACTCCCCAACTCTCCTTCAGTGACATAGTTTCCACACCACCTCCTACTAGCTGGCTATCTCAATCTGTCTCTACTACTATGATTTATGACTGTCATTCTTTAAGAGTAGCATATAGTTCAGCTCTGTGTAAGTACTGCATATTTTTCTGAATAAATGGATATCCGAGTATTAGGAGTTGGGTTTTGTTTTTGGTGTGCGTGTGTGTGTGTGTGTGTGTGTGTGTGTGTGTGTGTGTGTGTGTGTGTTAAAAAGCCACACTGCACTGCTGGAGAGCATACGACTTATATTTTAACCTAATCAGGAATTACATTTTAGGTCTGTCAAGATAACTGAGTTTAAATTCCATTATCACATGAGATATTGTGTGGTCTCTCCAAGCTTTGTGTTTATTTGCAAATATGTTTTGTTTTTTTTTGTTTGTTTGTTTGTTTGTTTTTTATTGATCATTCTTGGGTGTTTCTCACAGAGGGGGATTTGGCAGGGTCATAGGACAATAGTGGAGGGAGGGTCAGCAGATAAACAAGTGAACAAAGGTCTCTGGTTTTCCTAGGCAGAGTGTTTGTGTCCCTGGGTACTTGAGATTAGGGAGTGGTGATGACTCTTAACGAGCATGCTGCCTTCAAGCATCTGTTTAACAAAGCACATCTTGCACCACCCTTAATCCATTTAACCCTGAGTGGACACAGCACATGTTTCAGAGAGCACAGGGTTGGGGGTAGGGTCACCGATCAACAGGATCACAAGGCAGAAGAATTTTTCTTAGTACAGAACAAAATGAAAAGTCTCCCATGTCTACCTCTTTCTACACAGACATGGCAACCATCCGATTTCTCAATCCTTTCCCCGCCTTTCCCCCCTTTCTATTCCACAAAACCACCATTGTCATCATGGCCCGTTCTCAATGAGCTGTTGGGTACACCTCCCAGACGGGGTGGTGGCTGGGCAGAGGGGCTCCTCACTTCCCAGTAGGGGCGGCCGGGCAGAGGCGCCCCTCACCTCCCGGACCGGGTGGCTGGCCGGGCGGGGGGCTGACCCCCTCACCTCCCTCCCGGACGGGGCGGCTGGCCGGGCAGGAAGCTCACACCCCCACCTCCCTCCCGGACGGGCAGGCTGGCATGGGCAGGGGGCTGATCCCCCCACCTCCCTCCCGGACGGGGCGGCTGGCCTGGCAGGGGGCTGACCCCCACCTCCCTCCCGGATGGGGTGGCTGCTGGGCAGAGATGCTCCTCACTTCCCAGACGGGGTGGCTGCCGGGCGGAGGGGCTCCTCACTTCTCATATGGGGCGGTTGCCAGGCGGAGGGTCTCCTCACTTCTCAGACGGGGCGGCTGGGCAGAGACGCTCCTCACCTCCCAGACGGGGTCGCGGCCAGGTAGAGGCGCTTCTCACATCCCAGACGGGGCGGCGGGGCAGAGGCGCTCCCCACATCTCAGACGATGGGCGGCCGAGCAGAGAAGCTCCTCACTTCCTAGATGGGATGGCAGCCGGGAAGAGGCGCTCCTCACTTCCTAGATGGGATGGCGGCCGGGCAGAGACGCTCCTCACTTTCCAGACTGGGTAGCCAGGCAGAGGGGCTCCTCACGTCCCAGACGATGGGCGGCCAGGCAGAGACGCTCCTCACTTCCCAGACGGGGTGGCGGCCGGGCAGAGGCTGTAATCTTGGCACTTTGGGAGGCCAAGGCAGGTGGCTGGGAGGTGGAGGTTGTAGCGAGCCGAGATCACGCCACTGCACTCCAGCCTGGGCACCATTGAGCACTGAGTGAACCAGACTCCGTCTGCAATCCCGGCACCTCGGGAGGCCGAGGCTGGCGGATCACTCGCAGTTAGGAGCTGGAGACCAGCCCGGCCAACACAGCGAAACCCCGTCTCCACCAAAAAAATACGAAAACCAGTCAGGCGTGGTGGCGCGCGCCTGCAATCGCAGGCACTCGGCAGGCTGAGGCAGGAGAATCAGGCAGGGAGGCTGCAGTGAGCTGAGATGGCAGCAGTACCTGCAAATATGTTAAGCCCTTGTTTTTCCTGTGCTTTCCTTCAAATCAATGGTAAGAATTGCTAAAAAAAAAAAAAAAAAAAAAAAAAAAAAAAAAAAAAAAAGGATAGAACCAAAGGGGAAAACTGGTACTGTGGAGCCTCTTCTATACTGACCCCATGGTAATAATAAATACTCTCTGAGTACAGTTGTTTAACCTTCAGTCATTATCCCATATTTCATAATCTCATTTGAATTAATGTCATGGAATGTTTACTTAGCTTTTAAAAAAAATCAAGACACACCAGCAGCATTTCTTACACATTCCCTCTAATAACTGAAAATTTAGAATTTAGATTACTATAATAATGTTTTTTGTTAATAAAATCATCTGTGCCGTTAGTTATCCCCACATTATTTTCCGTGTGCTTATGATGATACACTGATAATATGATGTAGAATTATCCTAGGGTATGACAGGCTCTTTGATTTGTAGTTCTAGAAATTCACCTCTTCTTTTTTAATGTCTCCAACCTTTAGGGATTTTCTTCAGTTTTCTCTGAATTTTCAAAGATCACTGCTATTGTGATCTGACACGTTTTTTGTTTTTTGTTTTTTTTTTTTGAGATGGAGTCTCGCTCTGTCGCCCAAGCTGGAGTGCAATGGCGCGATCTCGGCTCACTGCAAGCTCCGCCTCCCAGGTTCATGCCATTCTCCTGCCTCAGCCTCCCAGGTAGCTGGGACTACAGGCGCCCGCCCCCCCACCTGGCTAATTTTTGTATATTTAGTAGAGACGGGGTTTCACCCTGTTAGCCAGGATGGTCTTGATCTCCTGACCTCGTGATCCACCTGCCTCGGCCTCCCAAAGTGCTGGGATTACAGAAGTGAGCCACCGCACCAGGCCTGTGATCTGACATGTATTACTCTGAGTAGGAAATAATGGATTCAGGGTTCACACCTTGATCTGTCTTGATACTCTAGTGTCTTAATTGCTATGTTTATTGTCTTATTTAGGTGCCCACTTACCTACGCTTACCTACTGTGAACCAGATTTGTTCTTGCTTTTTAGTGAAACAAAAAAGTAGAATTGATTTTCCTGTTTTTACTAATGGAACATAAGTATTTCCCAAACTTTCCAGAAGCTTTAATGTTTGTGTTATGAATTCCAAAATGGGAGTGGATAAGGCAAGGCTGACATCTCTAGTATTCTGTGTTTGCCCAGTTTATCCAATTACAAATTGTTCATTTTATTTTAAATTATTTATTATATCCACTAACATACCTACTAACATTTCCCAATATAGTGTTAGTTTTAGATCCCCCAAGTCACAATGTACTGTTCTCAGAGGTGAGGATCAGGAATCTTGATAGTGTTTATACCTTGTTTTCCATAATTTTTGTGAGTATTCATATATGTATTCTTTCCATATTCCTTTTTAAATTGAAATATAACTTACAATTAAAATGCATGAATTTTTTAGTGTACACCCTTAAGTTTTGCCAAATGTATACACCTGTGTAACCTTTATCCCAGTCAAGATATAGAAGATTTCTGTTACCCCAGCAAGTTCCCTCATGTCCGTTTTCAGTCTTCCCTGTCCCCAGAGGCAACCACTGTTCTGATTTCTCTTAGCATAATTTCCGTATTCTAGAACTTTATAAAAATGGAATCATACAATATGTATTCTTGTGTCACGACTTCTTTTGTTCAACGTTTTTGAGATTTATCCATGTTTCATGCATTATTGGTTCATTTTCATTGCTGAGTAATAGTACAGATATACTGTTTGTTTATCCATTTTTCTGTTGATGGACATTTGCATTTCTGGTTTTTGGTGGTTAGGAATAAAACTGCTATGAGCATTCTTGGATGGATTTTTTAAATCTTTTGGATAAATCACTGTTGTGGAATTGTGGAGTGATAGGCCTCCATATATCTTTGATTAGCTGGCTGACTTCCTTAGCAATTCGATAGATGACTGGGCATTTCTTCAGTCTTTTGCCATCCCTGTTAAGTACTGGTGCTATTTCCCATGTTTCAAACTGTTCTGACTACTTTTTATTTCAGAGGCCTAAAATGGTATGGGTGATTCATGGCTAATAGCATTTTGTTCAGTCTTCCTTGATGCTCTGTATATTTATAGCTATTTTCACTTTCTAACACTTTTCATGTACATTAGTTTATTGTGCTTTATAGCATACTTGAAAAGAGTGGTAGGCAGATGTTATTTCCCCCACCCCCATCTCCTTTACAGATAAGAACATTTAGGGTTAGTTTTATAGGACTTGAATAGTATGCCTTGTAAATAATAGAATTGACATGAGAACCCAGATCTCTTTCGGTTTTGGTCGTTTTCATTTTCATATGTAGTTTGGCATTCATTTACTGTTGCGGGAAGTCAGGGACCCCAAGTGGAGGGACTGGCTGAAGCCATGGCAGAAGAACATAAACTGTGAAGATTTCATGGACATTTATTAGTTCCCCAAATTAATACTTTTATGATTTCTTATGCCTGTCTTTACTGCAGTCTCTGAACATAAATGGTGAAGATTTCATGGACACATCACTTCCCCAGTCATTATTCTTGTGATTTCCTATGCCTGTCTTTACTTTAATCTCTTAATCCCATCATCTTTGTAAGCTGAGGATGTACATCACCTCAGGACCCTGTGATGATTGAGTTAACTGCACAAATTGTTTGAACGATATGAAATCCGGGCACCTTAAAAAAAGAACAGGATAACAGCGATGTTTAGGGAACAAGGGAGATAACCATTAGGTCAGGCTGCCTGAGAGCCGGGCGGAACAGAGCCATATTTATCTTCTTTCAAAAGCAAATAGGAGAAATATCGCTGAATTCTTTTTCTCAGCAAGGAACATCCCTGAGAAAGAGAATGCATTCCTAGGGGGAGGTCTCTAAAATGGCTGCTCTGGGAACGTCTGTCTTTTTACACTTGCAGATAAGGGATGAAATAAGCCCCAGTCTCCCATAGCGCTCCCAGGCCTATTAGGAAGAGGAAATTCCCACCTCATAAATTTTGGTCAGACCAGTTGTCTGCTCACAAACTCTGTCTCCTGATCAGCACGGGAGTTTTGACCTGCTCTGTTTCCGACCTGGGCCGGTTCACCCCTCCTTAGGCAACCTGGTGGTCCCCCGCTCCCGGGAGGTCACCATATTGATGCCGAACTTAGTGCGGACACCCGATCGGCATAGCGCACTACAGCCCAGAACTCCTGGGCTCAAGCGATCCTCCCACCTCAGCCTCCCGAGTAGCTGGGACTACAGGCACGCGCCACTGTGCCCGGCCCCTGTCTCCTGATAAGATGTTATCAATGACAATGTGTGCCCAAAACTTCATTAGCAATGTTAATTTCACCTGGTCCTGTGATCTCGCCCTGCCTCCATTTGCCTTGTAATATTTTATTACCTTGTGAAGCATGTGATCTCTGTGACTCATACCCTATTCGTACACTCCCTCCCCTTTTGAAAATCACTAATAAAAACTTGCTGGTTTTGCGGCTTGGGCATGTGATGTCTCCCCAGACACCCAGCTTTAAAATTTCTCTCTTTTGTACTCTTTCCCTTTATTTCTCAGACCAGCCGACACTTAGGGAAAATAGAAAAGGACTCACTTTGAATTATTGGGGGCAGGTTCCCCGATAATTTACCAAAAATTAGGATTATCACTGAAAGAAAAATTTTGTTGAGTTTAGTTCTGATTATATTGCTTAATGTTGATGGCATACTGAATTCCTTGGAATCCTGCCATGAGTCCAATTTATAGAGGTAGTGTTGTGATGTTTTCCATGCGCTTCTGGGAGATAAATCCCTTGGACAGTAGACTCTTAAATTGCCTTAACTTTCTCTCTAAGCAGCACTGCAAAAAGAACCTTGTCTATGTTGTGTCTTTTTTTTTTTTTTAATGAAATTGATCCTAGTGATTTTTCATTTTGTCAAATATAGCATGTATAATACATTGAGAAATAGTATGTTTTTAATTTTTATATATGCAGTGTAAAAAATCTATTGCTTAAAATTGTTCAAAGAGCCAGGTGTGGCTCTATGACTGGCTCATGTTTGTAACCCCAACACTTCAGGAGGCCAAGGAAGGAGGATCACTTGAGGCCAGGAGTGTGAGACCAGCCTGGGCAACATAGCAAGACCTTGTCTCTACAAAATAACTAAAAAATTAGCCAGGGGTGGTGGCATGCACCTGTAGTCCTAGCTACTCAGGAAGCAAAGGTGGGAGGATCACTTAAGCCAAGGAATTTGAAGTTACGGTGAGCTATGATTGCTCTCTTGCACATTTTGATAGGAATGTTTATGCATTTAATGGTAGGGTAGGGAAAGGGAATGTTTGATCTTGATGCATCTTATATGGCTCTGAGTACTCTCAGTATCGCTTTACATTCAAAATATTTTCTTTCCTTGGGTAAATTCCTACTTGTTTATAGTGAGTTCTATGAGAGCTTTTTTATTTTCTTCATATGTAGATACATATTTATACACACACACGCACACTATATATAGAAATAATTTCTCAAACTCTTAACTCATTTGTCTTTTATAACTTTTCATATGTTTTAGGAAGCAGTTCAGGTACTTTTGAAGCATTCTGCAGATGTTAATGCTCGAGACAAAAATTGGCAAACCCCTTTACATATAGCTGCTGCTAATAAAGCTGTAAAGTGTGCTGAAGCTTTGGTACCTCTTCTGAGTAATGTAAACGTATCTGATCGAGCAGGGAGGACTGCATTACATCATGCAGCTTTCAGTGGACATGGTGAGGTAGGTGGCATTCAATTAGACCATTATTTTTCTCTCCTCCTGTCCACCCCCCACTTATTAAAGAACTTGCATTTTTGCATAGTAAAGGCATACAGAACTATTTATCTTTCTCATTTTTGTCTAATTTTGCCTCCTTTTATAACTTTCTCAAATTTAGAAATGTATGTAGTAGATACTACTTGTGCACAGTTAACCTGTGGTGACCAAGGAAAACAATACCAACTCTTAACACAACAGGAAAAGTATGTTCTATTATTGTGGCAGGAAAAATATGTGAAGACAGAGATATGTTATTGTTCTTCCAGAAGTAAATAGCAAAGGAAGGCAGAATTTAGAAAACATGCTTTTTAGTAGTTTATTAACATTTAGTCAAGATAATACTTTAGTGACAGAACCATCAAAACAATTTAAGAAAATTGCTATTTAGTTATCTTACACAACAAACGTTGTCTGTGCTAGGTGTCATAGCAAAGATTGGGGTTTATGTGTACACCAAAGATTTAGAGAAGGTAACAGAAGAACCTTTGAAGCCAACTTGTCTAGTCTTTCATTTTTGTTGCAGGGGTAGGAACTTATAGGTAAAGTAACATTCCCAAGATTCTGTGGCTGGGAGCTAGTGGCTGCCATGTCTTTTTCAAAGTAGTTCCCACTTATCTACAGAGGATATGTTCCTGGACCCCCTATGGATGCCTGAAACATTGGATAGTACCAAACCCTATAGATACTGTGTTTTTTTCCTATACATACCGATGATAAAATTTAATTTATAATTAAGGCACAGTAAGAGATAATAATATGGAACAATTTTAATACAAGTTACATGAATGTAGTCTATCTCTCAAAATATCCCACTGTAACTGTAGTGTAGTCACCTGTTTTCAGACTATGGTTGACAGCAGGTAATTGAATGCAGAAAGTGGAACTGCAGATAAGGGGAGACTACTGTACTTCTCTGATTTTCCAGTGTAAAGAATCCTTGCCTCTACTGCAGTTAAGGTTACAGATGTATCCCTATTTGAGATCTGCGGTAGCCTTCCAGTGGAGAAATTATTGTAAATATGGTTAGTTGCAATTATTATTTTTGGTACATTGTGAGGTAAGCAGACTATGCAGTGACTGACCTTCAGGTATAATTATACTGTAGGCACTATGTTTGTGTTTGAATTAAGTTTAAGACATTTCTAGAATGAGAATGCACTTTTAACATTTTGGACTATGAATAGGAACAAAACCTCTTATTAAATATTTCAGTCTTAGACTTTCCAGATTTGTACTTAGTTCATAAAATACCAAGGCACAAAGTGGCATCCTAAAAAGGTACTGATGCCTGACTTCAGTAGCACCCACAGTTAACCTTTTTTTCATGTTTTGTCCTGTTATGTTAAATGACCTTCAGTATTTAGTCTAGCTCCTTCTGTTCAGCAACTGCAGAAATTTAGTGCCAGAGAAGTTGAGATAAGTAACTGTCAGAAATGTACATTCATAGACAATTGTGCTTCACAATTTTGATGACACTGTGTTTACTTCTATTCCAGATGGTCAAACTACTCTTGTCTAGAGGTGCCAATATTAATGCTTTTGACAAGAAAGATAGGCGTGCTATCCATTGGGCAGCATATATGGGTATGTACTTTTTAAATTTAGTTTTTGATATTATATATTTAGAAAAGTTGTACATTTCAAGTTCTTGCTGTTTGTATAGCATTTGTCTTTAAGGGTACTGAAAAGCTACACAGTATCTGAGTTTGATGCCCAGGTAGAACAACCCTGGTAATGGGGGAGGTTTGGAGTACACTGGGTCCAGTTCATCTAAAAGCTGTTTGAAATTAATTCCATTTACCCTTAAAAAAAGAGATGTCCCAGACACAGGCCTGGAATACATAATTTAGGATTGATGTTTACTAAAGCCCATTCTTATACCCATTTTTGTTTGTATGAGAATATAAGGTAAAAGTAACAAAGATGCATTAAGAAGCCTATTATTTTGGGCCAACCAGTGGGTTAAATGTGTATTACCATGTTTGATTTCTATAATAGTAAATTTATAGAAAGAAACTGGGGCTTGGAATACAGACTTTTTTGCTGTAACATAATATATATGTTCTTGAAAAATCTTACAGTCTGCAAAATTGTACTCTAAAACTAATAGAGCTCATGGGAATAATAGGCCTGGGGTAGACCACCCAAAACCTATGCAACCGTGTGACCACAGCACTAACAGAAACATTAATTGGTTCTTGCAGAGCCGGGGAGACAAATCAGCCTATTACAGGATATTTTTAAATGCACAAAAACAGCAGAATAGAAATGCTCGCTTCTGGATGCTAAAACTGCCGAGGAAGGTAGATCTCTAAGTATAGAGAAAGTACACCTTGCCATAAATCCTTAAAGTCCTATAAGGCTGGGGTTGTGCCTCTGGTAAGAAGCCATGGTTGTAGACATTCATTTTTCAAGGTTCTTAAAACAGCTGAAAGAACTCACTTTGCAGCCATAGAGCTCAGGGCTTTTTTTCTTCCTGCCAGAGGTTATAATCCTGTGCTTCTGCTATTTTAACTCCTGGGTGGGAAAAAGCACATATGAACTGACATGTTTTCTGTGTAATATTTGTATCATTCCCTGATTTACCAGTCACATTACCTGATTACAAAGACATCTAGTTAACCACTTTTCTAAGAGCCATAGCCTATCCTCATTACTTTCTGTTCTTGGTTTTGTCTTTTCTTGACTCTCATTTAAAAATAAAAGATTAACAGAAGATTCAATGGAGGAATATTAACTCAAGAACTATATAGTCCATCCCTCATATATGTGGAGGATTGGTTCCAGGACCACCTGCTTATACCCAAATCCTTGCATATGGAAGTCCCATAGTCAGCCATGGGGAACCCCTATGTACAAAAAGTTGGCTCTCCGTGTATGAGCGTTTCACATCCCCTGAATACTATATTTTTGAACCACATGTGGTAGAAAAAAATCCATATATAAGTGGACCCACACAGTTCAAACTTTTGTTATTCCAGGGTCAACTGTATAATATGTAAAATAGATACAAACCAGTTATAATACACTCTTTCTAGATAAATAAGTCTATACATAACATGTCTGTATATTTCAAACCAGTTATAGATACCCACAAGGCCCAGGGAAATCCTATGCCTATAATGAAAACAACCAAAAGCAGTAGAATCCTTTTTCTTTTTTAAGAAAAGTTTTGAAAATCTTTATTCAATTCCAGTATAGTTACTCTGAAAAAAAAATTCTACATAGGTATACTAAATTGAAGATTGTGATGTACAAAACCCACTCTCATTACCAATAAAACATTTAAAATAAGGTGTCAACAGTGATTTTTTACAAAAGCAACAGCATTCATGCATCAGAGACCTTACCTTATCTCTCTCCTTTGTATCAGAAAATTACTACATTTTGAGAAATGATATCAATTGAATAGATGAAATATTATCACCGAAGAATAGTCACATAAAGCATGATTAATTTTAAGAAATGATATTTGAAGAAAATATTAAAGTGCCTTCAATATTTCTAACAGTATGTCCACAGAAAAGAAAAACATAGTTAGAATTAAGCAGATAAATGATGAAGTTGGGAATAGACGGTAATATGTCATTTTTCGTTCCCTTTTCAATAAGCCTCAGAAGGCAATCCCAGATCAGCTCACCACAACCAAAGTGAGCATGCTGATTTTCCCACTCTTGCTTATCCCCATATGACAGTATTTCTCCTTCGAAAAGGTTCTTCAGTAGTTCGTAAGAGTATTTCAGAGGTCCATGGTGAGCAAGAACCTGAAGTAATCTGTAGTTAGCAAACATGTAATACTGGAGATGTGTTTTTGTTTTTGTTTTTGTTTGAGACAGAGTCTTGCTCTGTCACCCAGGCTGGAGTGCAGCGGCACGATCTCAGCTCACTCAAGTCCACCTCCCAGGTTCAAGCGATTCTCATGCCTCAGCCTCCTGAGTAGCTGGGATTACAGGCACCCGCCACCACACCTGGCTAACTTTTTTGTATTTTTAGTAGAGACACGGTTTCACCATGTTGTCCAGGCTGGTCTCAAACTCCTGACTTCAGGTGATCGGTCTGCCTCTGCCTCCCAAAGTGCTGGGATTACAGGTGTGAGCCACTATGCCTGGTCTGGAGATGTCTTAAAGCAGCCATCTCCTTTTTCTTCTAATACTTTCCACATATCTGTTACAAGGATTTGGGCTTGTTTGTAAAAATAAACTTTCTTCCCCTCAAATGGGAAAAAACGTGCCTCCAGACGTTTTCAACAGAATTTTCCTGGCTTCATCGAGAATCCAATGCCTCTCTTCTGTCAAAGGCATGAGAGGAAACATTTGTTTCAGAATGAAGTATATGCCAAACTTGATCTAGGGTTGTTAACTGTGGCATAGTATGAGGTAATAGTAGTTGATGTCCCTTTGCTGAAGGATCTGTTGACTGCCGCGACTGCAGGGACCAATACCATATGTTCTCCCCCATACCTCACAACACACTTTTGCGTGTCCTGCTCTCACCAAATAGCAGATAAGGTTAAGTGTGTCTGTCATGAACACTGAGTTGACCATGGTCTTACCAGCTCCCCTGGGATTGGGATTTAGCTCATGAAGCATCTTCCACCTCTCCACATACAGCTCTGGCCCCTTCACCTTGGCCAGCAGCGGTTCTGCCACCCTGTGTATGTATGCCTCTGCTTTCAGTGAACACATCCCAACTGTGTTCTGCAGTGAATTTAATTTAATTCCCTGGGTGATAGAAGACTGTGCATTCTCCCCCTCCCCTTTCAGACTGTGGAGTGATGCTTTTGACCTCCATTGGGGCAAACTCTTTCCTTTCTAAGCGGGCAACATCCAGAGTCCCTCTGTACTTCAGAGTTTCTACCCACTATGGGGTCATCACCCTAAACAGGGTCCTGCTCTCTCCGGGAGTGGCACTGAGAACTGAGTGCAGCTAAAGTACAGCCTTTCTCCCATCACACTTGCATGACTAGGAAACTGTAGAGACCATGTAGCCATGCACTGGGCAGAAGCCCGAGAATCCATATTGCATTGCAGCTCTGACCTTCAGTGTGAGTGTAAAGGAAGATTAAAAAAAAAATGTAACATCCTTTTCAAATGTCCCCTCCCCACACACCCCCCCCCCCTTTTTTTTTTTTTTTTTTTTTTTTTTGAGACAGTTTCACCCTTGTTGTCCAGGCTGGAGTGCAATGGCGTGATCTCGGCTCACTGCAACCTCCGCCTCCCAGGTTCAAGCGATTCTTCTGCCTCCGCCTCCCGAGTAGCTGGGACTACAGGCGCCTGCCACCACGCCCAGCTAATTTTTGTATATTTAGTAGAGATGAGGTTTCACCATGTTGACCAGGCTGGTCTTGAACTTCTGCAAATGTCCCTATTTTTAAAGCTGAAAGCTTGGTGTATGGTGGTTTACACCAAAGATATGTGCCGCTAGTTATGTACTGGGCCATTTTCTTGTGTTAATTGAAGGTAATAGCCAGAAGCAAGTTCCGTATTGCATCTTAAGGTCCCTTTCTCACAGCCTGTAGTTTTTCATCTTGGTCTTTCTGAATATTCTGGTGTGGCTTACTCTTCAAGACAGGAACAACCAGGTTATGTGATGTAAAACTGTACATCTTACGTTAAGAGGCTTACATGGTAAGCAGAGTGCATCAGTGTTTTTACCTACTAAGAATTAAGCTTGACTAAACAACTGTTTTCATACAACTGAAGGCCAGGGGGATTTTGCAGGTTGCCTGTAGTTGAGCTCCCAGAATAGTTGAATGTGTGTATTTCAAGGGGGCCAGAATGGCTCTGTTGTTTCTCACCCGCTAAGTGTCACTTTTTAGGCATCTCAGTTGAGGTTGAAAAAGATATTCTGTGTTTCCTGGACCTCACCACAAGTTTTAGTCTATTTTGTGCTACTAAAATTAAATGTCATAGACTGGGTAATTTATAAAGAACAGAAATTTTATTTCCTTACAGTTCTGTAGGCTGGGAAGTCCAGGATCAAGGCACTAGCATCTAGTGAGGGCCCTCTTGAAGCACCACATTGTGGGGAGTCAAACTCATCTTTTTTAAGGAGCTCGATCCCAAGATAGCATTGATATGTTCGTGAGGACAGAGCCCTTATTGCCTAATCACCTCTTAAAGTTCCCACCTCTTAACACTGTTGCCTTGGGGATTACACTTCCAACATATGAACTTCGGAGGACACATTTAAACCATAGTACCATATAGCACTGCCCATTTAATTTATGAGCATAACTAGGCAGAGATTTATAATTATCCTTTTTCTGTCTCTTCCTTCCCTGAAGCACAGAATAAGATGAATATCGACATATAGCTTCTAAAACTGTTCAGCCATTCTAGGTATGCAGGATTAAAGAGTTAAATATGTGAAAGTAAGAAGCTATTGACTGGTCACCTCTCTTACAGACAAACCTAAAGTACAAGCATTGTCACCTCTAGGTTATATTCAGAGAATTCATCAATGTTAGTGTAAGAGACATTGGGGATTATGTGTAGTCTTGTAATTTATTTATCCCAGTTTTCCTTATTAGCCCTGGCTTTCCATTTCCTGGTTGAGGCTCCGTTAATTTCCTTTTAGGCCCTACCTCTTATACTTATGCTATTGAATTATTTGTCATTGTTCCCTAGCGCCCCACCTCATCTCCAAATGAATTGATCATTTTCTTCTTCCCACCTTGTGCTTGCTCCTGCCATCAACCTTTGTCAAGGTCCCTTTACACATTCATCTTTCCTGTTGCTTTCAGTACTTTTAGAAATATTCAGCCAAGTTTAGCTTCAAATTACTTTATTGTGATGACTTTGACACAGAAGGTACTGAATAAATATTTTTTACCATGGGCTGGGCATGGTCACTTATGCCTGTAATCCCAACAACTTGGGAGGCTGAGGTGGGAAGATCCTTGAGCCCAGGAGTTGAAGACCAGCCTGGGCAACATAGTGAGACCCTCTCTCTACAAAAAAAAGAAAATTAATATTAGCTGGGTGTGGTGGCACACACCTCACTTGAGCCCAGGAGGTCGAGGCTGCAGTGAGCTGTGATCGCACCACTGCATTCCAGCCAAGGTGACAGAGCCAAAACCGTCTCAAAAATTTTTTAATTGATTTTTAAAAATTACCTTAACACCTCATTGCATTATTTCTTTTCTAGAAACATAATAGTAGATATTTCTTTTTCATATTAAAATGGGGGGAAAGAGGCTGTAAATATCTACTTTAATTGATAATTTATATATAAACAACTGAATCTGCCTGGTTCTTTATGCGTCTTGCAGTATCTTGGCTTAATTTTTTTGAGGGAGGGGTGCCTCTGTTTGAAAGCCTCATTTATTAACTTTTTATAGACTCATTATCTATGAAGGGATTTTTAAAATGACATCACGAGCAATTTCTTCAATGTAACTAATATATTTTGGATGCTTGTTTTCTATGCTGCTCTTGGCCTTGTGGAACATATCAAGAAGTAGAACAGCCTTCTGAAAGTATATATTTGGGGATTCATGCACAAAAAGTAATTAAAGAGTTAGTAATTAATGATTCCGTTTACGAAACATCACAAGGCTTATAGGGCTTCTAGGGAAGAGAGTTGATTGGGTTGGTCAGGAAAGGTTGGATCTGACATGTTTCTTCAAGGACTAGTATAATAGCAATGATTGGGAGGAGACATCCAAGCAGAACGTTCCACATAAAGAAGGTGTTACATGAACAAAGACACAGAGGTGGGAAGGATTGTGGGAGAAGGAGAAAACACTGTATAATCTAATCTGACAAAAAGTGACAAGTTATGAAAGGAGAATAGTGGTCCTCTCACCTTCCAGATACATGGCCCCCTTCCTGGCCTTTCTATGTAGTTGAGTGGGGCCTAGGACTAGTTTTGGCTAATGGATGAAAGCAACATCAGTCTGGGCTGGAGCATTTAATTACTGATGGGAAACTCTGCAGTCTGTTTCCCTTTCTGGCACAGTGACCAGCCACATTCAAGATGATGTCAGTTACATGAGCCTGGGTCCTTGAGTAACTGAGCAGAGCCCTCTTGCCAACCTGTTATGGTTGAGAGAGAAATAAAAACATTGATTGTTTAAGCCACTGAGATTTGGGAGTTGATTGTTAACCATCACACAGTATAACCAACCCTTTCCTCATGGTTACAATGGTGAGTAAACTAAGTTGGTTAAGATCTGGTGGAAATTATAAGGAAAAAGAGTTTTTTGGCTGCATGTTCTAAAGAGCTAACATTCTGAAGAAACAAGCCCAAGAAACCCCCAGATTGAAACGATTCCAGTAAGGCAGAGATCAGAGAGATTGTGAGTTTGGTGCTAAACTACCACAACAGAGTAAATACAGCAATAGGCAAATCACAAAGATTTTTTGGTTTCCCAGTGCATATAAAAGATATGTTTAGTCTCCCTGCAGTGGCTCACACCTGTAATCCTAACATCTTGGGAGCCCAACGTGTGAGGACTGCTTCAGGCCAGGAGTTCAAGATCAGCCTGGGCAACAGAGCAAGACCCTGTCTCTACAAAAAAATTTAAAGATTAGCCCAGTGTGGTGGCATGCATCTGTAGTCCTAGCTACTCAGAAGGCTGAGGTGGGAGGATCACCTGAATCTAGGAGTTTGAGGTTACAGTGAGATTGATCACACCACTGCATTTCAGCCAGGGTGACAGAGCAAGACCCCGTTTCTAAAAATAATTAATTAATTACAAAATATGTTTATGCTATACTATAGTCTATTAAGTGTGCAATAGCAATACATCTAAAACAATATACATGTCTTTGTTTTTTCTTTTTTATTAATTTTCAGTGTTCTTAATTAAAAAATATGTTATTGCTAAAAAAAAATGCTAACTATCGTATGAGCCTTTAGCAAGTCACAATCTCTGATAATGGAGAGTTTTGCCTCAATGTGAATGGTTGCTGAAGGTTTGGATGGCTGTGGCAATTCCTTGAAATGAGACAAAGATGTGCTGCATCGATGGACTCTTCCCTTCACAAAAGATTTCTCTGTAGCATGTGAAGCTGTTTGATAGCATTTTACCCACAGTAGAATTTCCTTCAAAATTGGAGTCATTTCTCTAAAAGCTTTGTTGTCATTTCAACAACATTCACAGCATCTTTGGGAGTAGATTCCATCTCACAAAACCACTGTCTTTACTCATCCATAAGAAGCAACCCCTCATCTGTTCACATTTTATCATGAGATTATAGCAATTCAGGCACATCTTCAGACTCCACTTCTTATTCTAGTTCTCTTGCTATTTCTACCACATCTGTAGTTATTTCCTTCGCTGAAGTCTTGAATCCCTCAGTCATCCATGAGGGTTGGAATCAACTTCTTCCAAACTCCTGTTAATAATAATACTTTGACCTCCTCCCATGAATCAGAAATGTTCTTTCTTTCTTTCTTTTTTTTTTTTTTTTTTTTTTTTTTGACAGAGTTTCGCTTTGTTGCCCAGGCTGGAGTGCAGTGGTGTGATCTTGGCTCACTGCAGCCTCTGCCTCCTGTGTTCAAGTGATTCTCCTGCCTCAGCCTCCCAAGTAGCTGGGATTACAGGCACCCGCCACCACACCTGGCTAATTTTTGTACTTTTAGTAGAGACAGGGTTTCACCATGTTGGCCAGGCTGGTCTCGAACTGCTGACCTCAGGTGATTGGCCTCCCAAAGTGCTGGGATTACAGGCGTGAGGCACCGCACCTGGCCAGGTATGTTCTTAATGGCATCTAGAATGATGAATCCTTTCCAGAAGGTTTTCAATTTACTTTGAGGAATCACTATTTATGGCAGCTATATCCACTTCAAATGTTATTTCTTAAATAATAAGACTTTGAAAGTTGAAATTACTCTTGATTCAGGGACAACAGAGTGACTATTGTGTTAGCAGGCACGAAAACAACAGTAATCTCCTTGTCTGTAAGAGCTCTTGGGTGGCCAAGTACATTGTGAATAAGCAGTAATATTTTGAAAGGAATCTTCTTTTTTCTGAGCAGTATGTCTCAACAGTGGGCTTAAAATATTCAGTAAACCGTGTTATAAACAGATGTGTTGTCATCCAGGCTTTGTTCCATTTTAGAGCATAGGCAAAGTGGATTTAGCATAATTCATGTGGGCTGTAGAATTTTCAGAATGGTAAATGAGCATTGACTTAAAGTCATTAGCTGCGTTAGCCTCTAACAAGAGAGTCAGCCTGTCCTTTGAAGTTTTGATGGCAAGCATAGATTTCTCTCTAGCAACGAAAGTCCTTGATGGCATCTTCCAATAGAAGGCCGTTTCATCTGCATTGAAAATCTGCTGTTTAATGTAGCCACCTTCATTAATAATCTTATATCTTTTAGATAACTTTTTACAGCTTCTATTAATACATCAGCACTTGCTGCTTCACATTGCACTTTTGTTACAGGGACATCTTTTTTCGTTAAACCTCATGAATCAACCTTTGCTGGATTAAACTTTTCCTCTATAGCTTCCTAACCTTTCTCAGCCTTCATAGAATTGAAGAAAGTTGAGGCCTTGCTCTCGATTAGGCTTTGGCATAAGCGAATTTTGTAGCTGTTTTGGTCGTCTATCCAGACCACTAGTACTTTCTCTGTATCATCAGTAAGGCCACTTATCTTTCTTATCATTAGTCCATTCACTGGTAGCACATTTAATTTTCTTGGAGAATTTTTCTTTTGCATTCACTACTTGGTAACTTTGTCACAGGAGGCCTAGCTTTCAGCCTGTCTCACGTTTCAACATGCCTTTCTCACTAAGCTTAGTCATTTCTAGCTTTTGATTTAAAGTGAGAGGTATGCAACTGTCTTTCACTTGAACACTTAGGGGCTGCTGTAGGGTTATTATTTGGCCTAATTTTAATACTGTTGTGTCTGAGTGAAGAGGAAGGTCTGAAGAGGAGATAGATGGGGGAATGGAGTAGTTGGAATATACAACATTTATTAAGTTAACCACTTTTTTGGAGACAGAGTTTCACTCTGTCATCCAGGCTGGAGTGCAGTGACATGATTTTGGCTCACTGCAACCTCCACTTCCAGGGATCAAGTGATTTTCGGGCCTCAGCCTCCCGAGTAGCTGGAACTACAGGTGTGTGCCAGCATGCCCAGCTAATTTTTGTATTTTTAGTGGAGACAGGGTTTCACTATTTTGGCCAGGCTGGTCTCGACTTCTGACCTCAGGTGATCTGCCTGCCTCAGCCTCACAAATTGTTGGGATTACAGGCATGAGCCACCGTGCCTGATCAGTTCACCACTTTATATGAGTGCAGTTTGTGATGCCCCAAAACAATTACAGTAGGAATGTCAAAGATCAGTGATCACAGATCACCAAAACAGATAAAATAACATTGAAAAAGTTTGAAATATTGGCAAGAATAACCAAAACATGACACAGACACATGAAATGAACACATGCTGATGGAAAAAATGATGCCAATAGACTTGCTTGACACCGGGTTGCCACAAACTTTCAATTTTTAAGAAACAAGATGCAATATTTGCAAAGCACAATAAAGCAAAGTACATACAATATGGTATGCCAGCATTAGAAATGAAAAGCTAACTTTAGAATTTATGAAGGTATTAAACTAACCTTAGACCAAAAACAAGATCTAGGCAAAAGGAAGATGATAGATTGCAGGGTTATCACTGAATAACATAATCAAAGGAATTATAGTTGTCCCTTGTTATCCTTAGGGTATTAGTTTCAGACTCCTTTGGATACCAAAATCAGAAGATACTCAAGTTCCTTATATAAAATGCCATAGTATGTACGTATAACCTGTTCTTTAATTCATCTCTAGATTACTTATAATACCTAATACAATGTAAATAGTTGTTGTACTGCATTTTTAATTTTTTTAACTGTTTTTATGTTTTCAAATATTTTCAGTCTGCAGTTGGTTGAATCTGCAGATATGGAACTAGTGTATACAGAGGGCCAACATTCTTTTTAATTACTAATTGTCTCTGCCAACACTTACCAAAATTATCCTGAATTCTATTTTTTTGTCTTGTTTTGTTTCGAGATAAGGCCTCGCTCCATTGCCCACCCTGGAGTGCAGTGGCATGATCACAGCTCACTGCAGCCTTAACCTCCCAGGCTCAAGTAATTCTTCTGTCTCAGCCTCCCAAGTAACTGAGACTACAGGTGCATGCCACCATACCCAGCTAATTTTTTTTTATTTTTGGTGGAGACAGGGTCTCACTGTGTTGCCTAGGCTGGTCTCAAATTCCTGGGCTCAAGTGATCCTCCCACTTCAGCCTCCCAAAGTGCTGAGATTATAGGCATGAGCCATTATGCCCACCCCTAAAGTCTTAAAATTTTCCTTCTGTCCTCTCTCAAGTTAACATGATTCATTGATGACTTGTCATGCATCATCTATTTTGCATTTTTTAAATTTGCTTAAAGATATTTGGGATTATATTTAATAGTTTTCATATGCTCATCTCTATTTTTTTCTTCAAAAACACATTTTTAGGTCACATTGAAGTAGTGAAATTGCTTGTGTCGCATGGAGCTGAAGTGACATGCAAGGATAAAAAGTCTTATACACCTCTTCATGCAGCAGCCTCTAGTGGAATGATCAGCGTAGTCAAGTACCTTCTAGATCTTGGAGTTGATGTAGGTATATTAATTGAACAGTATAAAATTATGGAACCCTTTTATACTTACTATTACATTATTGACAAGTTATTTCAGGTTTAAGAAATTATTTTATACAATGTTTTCATGTTTTAATTGGATATTTATAGTCCTTTACATAATATCTAGTGCACTGATTTATGATCAAGGCATGTAAATAGTCAAAGCATGTTAAGAGGTAAAATACACTTCAAAGGTGTTTTATTGCCAGTTTTTCTTCTATATCACGTTCCAGGCCCTGTAGTTCCATTTCATTTATGGGAATCAGCAGATCAGACACACTTGTATTATTAGATAGCTGGGTTATTGTTAGTCTTCTTTGCCTAGTCTCATACTCTCTTAAAATGACTGTAGCAGTTTGCATTACAGAATATTGGCAAGAGCTAGGCAGGAAAACAAGAGGTTTTTTGCCCACCAAGTGTAAGTATTCCTTACTATATAATTCTGTTTGGTTAAAAGGGGATGCTGCTTTATTTGGACATATTTGATTCCTGAATTGAGATAACTTAGAATACCTGTAGCTTTTCACAAGCCATCCTTTAAACATAAGTACTTTACTCCCTTGTTTATTTATTTATTTTATTATTATTTTTTTAAACAGGGTCTCTGTCTCCCAGGCTGTAGTATAGTGGCACAATCACAGCTCACTGCAACCTTGAACTCCTGGGCTCAAGTGATCCTGCCACCTAAGCCTCCTGAATAGCTAGAACTACAGGCTAATTTTTTTTATTTTGTAGAGATGAGGTCTTGCTGTTACCCAGGCTGGTGTCTAACTCTTGACCTCAAGTGACCCTCCTGCCTTGGTCTCCCAAAGTGCTGGAATTACAGGCATGAGCCACCACACCCAGCCCACTCAGCGTATTTATTCTTACTTCAGGGAGAGTTCTGACAAAGTCACTGATTCTTCAAAACACACATTTTGAAGAACTCATTGGTTCTTTAATAAAACAGTAAATTAGAAGATGTAGCATAAGGATCTGCTAGAGGGATACAGTTTAGATCAGCTACAAAAAACTAAGAAAAGTAGGTGATAGCCTGGTTGGACAAAGAATACATGACAGAACTGTAGGGCTAAATAGGCTCTTAACTGATGGACCATGTGAAACACTTTGCCTGAAGCAAGCTAATAAATACTGAAAGTGTGAGGATCACAAGAAGACGTTGCAAAAATCTCAATTCCTGTACCTCTGTTTCAGCAGAGTGAAATAATATCTTAAAAGACCCTTGATCTAGATAAATGAGGCAACTTTGTTTCTGATTACTGTTTGAAGTCCATTCTGGTGCAATTTTTAAAACTGACTTTATTGACAGTCAGTTACATTTGTAAACTCTGGTGACTATTTGTTCATCAAAATAAGTGGCCAGACTTAGAGCCTTTTAGTAACATCTGGCCCCCAATTGTGTGGTGTTTTTTTGTTTTTTGTTTTTTTTTTAGTTTCGTAGAGAATTACCACAAACTGGAGGGCTAATAGAAATTTAACTTCCCAGAGTTTTAGAGTATGGAAGTTCTAAATCAAGGGGTCAGCAAGGTTGGTTCCTTATGGAGGCTCTGAGGGAGAATCTGTTCCTTGTCTGTGTTCTACCTTCTTGTGAAAAAATCTAGGTTACTTTGATTAAAATTAAGTGTTAACTTTTTTTCTTCCTCTGATTTCTATTACCAGTGATCCCAGAAAAGAAAATGTTAATTAAAGCTGCATTATGTTGGGGCCAACTACAAGATTAGGGTCCAGAGTTTCCACACAAGGCCACCCTTTACTTATGACCAACTATAAGTTTAGAGGGCTTTCAAAACCACTTTCAGGTTTGATAATTCACCAGAAAGTCTCACAAAATTCATTAAAAGCTTTGTACTCATGGTTGTGGTTTATTACAGGGACAAGATACAAACTGAGATCAGCCAAAGGAAGAGACACATAGGATAGAGTGCAGGAGTATTCTAAAGGCAAAATTTCCCTTGTCCACTCTTCACGGAGTCAGGACACATTACTGTTCTTCCCTGGCATCAGTGTGTGACAGTATGAATGAAGTATTTCCAACAAGGAATGCTCACCTGAGCTTCATTTTCGGTTTTTATTGGGGCTCCATTATATGGCTTGATTGGTTGTCCATGTGGTTGATTTCAGTCTCCAAATACATGATACCTGGTGACCCAAAGCTCCCACTCTAAATAGAGACTCTTTTATCAGGAATATCTTAGATTACCTACCTCCCTGAAGCCAGGGGCAAAGGACAGACCTCTCTTTGGGAGAGGTCAGATTCTTTACTACACACTAATCATATAAACTATTCCCTTATTTATTAGAAATAGAAAAACAAGGCTGGGCACAGGGTCTCACGCCTGTAATCGCAGCACTTTGGGAGGCCGAGGCCGGTGGATCATTTGAGGTCAAGAGTTCAGGACCAGCCTGGCCAACATGGTGACACCCCGTCTCTACTAAAATACAAATATTAGCCAGTTGGTAGTGGTGTGTGCATGTAATCCCAGTTACTCAGGAGGCTGAGGCAGGAGAATCACTTGAGCCTAGGAGGCAGAGGTTTCGGTGAGCTGAGATCGTGCCACTCAACTCCAGTCTGGGCGACAGAATGAGACCCTGTCTCAAAAAAAAGAAAAGCAAAACCCTTAATTACATGAATTGTTTCTCATTTTTGAGCATACTCTTTTTACTTGTGATAAAATACCTGCATATGACACTGGAAGATATTTAGAGCCCAAGTTTGTGGCAAAAAATGAATTAAATAAATAGAACATGCCGTTCATTTTTTTTTAAATCTTGATCTGTACTTTATTACTAAGGTTAGCCTTTGTCACTGCAAAATGAAAAAGATGAAAATGTGCATGTTACTGAATATACCTCAGAATCTTCAGTTTGTGTTCATTTTTTATGATTATAATTAATTCTATAGTAAATCCTTTACCTAGAACGCCTTTAAAAATACATTAGTTTACGTTTCCCTGAAATACCTCTTTTGTATTATTCAGTTTTGTCATGAAGTAGACATTGTGTATGTGAATTATATTCCCTGAATGTATAAAATCAATGTAATACCAAAATGCTTGTCAAGGGTTTATTATTTTAAACCAACTTTAGAATTATAAGCCTTATCTCTGTACTTATCTTGTCTCCGTTTCTCACTTTAGTAATTTGATTGCAACCACAGGTTGCTAAAATAGCTCACAACATTGATAATTAGCAAAACTACTTTAACATTCGCATTTTTTTCCCTTCTAATAGATGAATGAACCAAATGCCTATGGAAATACACCTCTTCATGTAGCCTGCTATAATGGACAAGATGTTGTAGTGAATGAACTTATAGACTGTGGTGCTATTGTGAATCAAAAGAATGAAAAAGGATTTACTCCTTTGCACTTTGCTGCTGCATCAACACATGGAGCATTGTGTTTAGAGCTTCTAGTTGGCAATGGGGCCGATGTCAATATGAAGGTAAGGAACAAAATCAGAATCTATAAGTATTTCATATGTCACTGTTAAAACAACATCAATGGTGAATACCATTGAGCAATAAAAAGGAATATTGATAAACTCAAGAACATGGATAAATCTTTAAAATATTATGCTGAGTGAAAGCCTTACTCAAGAGTATGTACATTCTTTCCATTTATGTAAGGTTCTAGAACCAATAAAATTCCATTTATATGGGGTTCCAGAATCTATAATTGAAAAAAATCACAACAATTATTGCCATTGTGAGGAGGGATCAACTGGGAAAGGGGCATGAAGGGACGTTATGTGATGATGGTAATGTTTTGTATTTTGGCAGGGGTTTATGTTATATACATTTGTCAAAACTGATAAGGTGGTTCATTTGTATGCTTTCATAGCATATAAATTTTCTCTTAGAAGGAAAATACTAAACAGATGTTTAACCCTAGTTAATGTTGTGTTTAGAGGTGACATGTATGATGTCTGTATCTAATTTTAAAAAGCATCAAATAACTGGGTGGATGGAAGGATAGATGAATCTACAATAAAAGACATAGAGTAAAATACTAGTGGTACAATTTAGATGGTATGTATATGGATGTTCACTCTACAGATCTTTTCAAATTTTACAGTGTTAGGGAAAAAAAACTGTCAGTGTGTTGCACATAAGGAATAGTTGCTTTTTGGTTTTTTTTTGTTAGAATCACTTTCAAGAGTAAGCATTTGGATTTTAGAATTATGTGAAAATTCTGGGCTGGCATAGTGGCTCCTACCTGTAATCCCACCACTTTGGGAGGCCAGGGTAGGAGGATCACTTGAGCCTAGGAATTCAGGACTAGCCTGGACAGCATAACCTGGCTCCACAAAAAAATAGAAAATGAGCTTGGCATGGTGGCTCATGCTTGTAGTCCCAGCTACTTGGGAGGTTGAAGTGGGAGGATTTTTGAGCCTTGGAGGTCAAGGCTGCAGTGAGCTGAGATCATGCTACTGCCCTCCAGCCTGGGTGACAGAGTGAGACCCTGTCTCAAAAAATAAATAAAGGAATGAATGAAAATTTTGGCCGGATACAGTCTGGCTCACGCTTGTAATCCCAGTGCTTTAGGAGGCCAAGGCGAGAAGATCACTTGAGGCCAGGAGTTCAAGACCAGCCTGGGCAACATAGCAAGACCTCTATCTCTACCAAAAAAAAAATTAAAAATTATCCTGTAGTCCTAGGTACTCAGGAGGCTGAGGCTGGAGGATCACTTGAGCCCAGAAGTTCAAAGTTACAGTGAACTATGATCGCACCACTGTACTCTAGCCTGGGCGACAGGTGAGACCTTGCCTCAAATGAATGAATATTCTGTACCCAAATAAATATGCTTTCACTATATAATTTTATAAGAGAGCACATGCAATCCAGATTTTGAGCATTGCTATTTTATAATATATAATCATTTTATTAGATTTTTTAGAATTCGTTAGTTGTTTCTGTATTAATTTTATCAATTCATCCTTTGAGCACTTGCCAAACTGTATCTGGTGGTATGAAGAAAACCAGACACAAAATTGAGCCATTTAGGATTAGTAAAAATGTTTAAGCTTAAAATGTGATTTTCAGAGCATTTTGATTACATGAGATTTTCTCACCTAACTTCAGTGAAGCCTTTAATGATGCCACGGGTCAATTCTGACAGCTGTAACAGCAACAAATCCATCTGTAATTAGGCCATTGCTTTAAATTGCCCTCTCAACTACAGGACAAAATGTATACATACTACACCCAAGGAAGAAAAAACATGAGATGTCACAAAGTGCCCTAATATGATTAGAGCTAAACCATCTTTTTAAAAGTTTTTAGGTCTCGGTCAAATCACCTAGTAACATTTTTTATAGTTTAAGTAATTACTAGAAAGTTTATTTATTACAGGTTTGAACTGCTTATTTTAATTTGAAGAATTCCTGCACTTTGGATAATCAGGGCCCAGAAAAATATCTAGACAGTTGTGAGGAGAAAAGTTAGTTTTTTCCTCAAAGGCGCAGTAATGTTTCTTTAATGAAAGTTAGGCTATTTCAAAAATAAAAGATTTGGAATTAATCTTGACATTTTCAAAAGCAAACGTCACAACCAAGTTTTCTCAGTCTCTGTGAGACCTGTTTACGATAGTGAATGTGGATAAAATCATCTTTGTGTGTTAGTATTATGGAAATTACGGAACTTTACCTGTGTCGTCAGCTACTATGCATTTTTTGGTTCACATGATGCTGTCTTTAAAAGGTAGAGATTGGGCTTCCTGTTTTATGCACTGCCATTTTGGCATGAATATTTAATATAATTTGATGATAATGAATCACTTGATTCTGTTAGTGTCTACTTAGGTGACTATAGTACCTGTGATTGTTTTTAAGTCTGTATTTTCTTTTGAAATGTAGAATTGAGAATCAGTCCTCTAAGAGGCCCACTTAGAGTAAAATGCTCAAACCAGTGGTCCTATTTGAAGTTACCTCCTTAATAATTTAGAAAACTCAGTGGTGAATTTCATATATGACAAGTGAATTTTTTAGCAAAGGCATTAAGATATATTTAAGTAGATTTGACAGCAACAGCCTGTGATGTTGGTTTCAAAACAGATTTCACGAAAGTCATCTTAACTTCACCTAAGGGTGTATGACATCTCATTTATATGCAATTGTCCAATTATTTTATTGTCAAATTTTGTTGAAACACATTTCCCATGTTGATTTCTCAGATCCCTTCCAGCTCTTACACACAATATGTTGATAGCTGTGAGTTTTCATCCAGCAAGAATATATATTCATTCCTGACAACTGTATTTTTTATAATTTGTAAAATCGGTGTTATTAAGTTATTGATTGACTATGGGGACACTTTACACTTGCCCTTTATTATAAAAATTTGATTTACTAACCCTCATATTCTTACCATATTATCTCTTTTTTCCTGCTTAATCTTTTCCTCCTACTACATTCTCCATTTTGTTGTTTCTGACCTTGATCAAGTTATAGATGACTAGAAATTGGAATGTGAATTTAAGTTTGTAATAACTCAGTTTCTAAGGTTATAAATTCATTTTCCTGCAAAGTGGTAGAGGTAAAATGAATCAGGTTTATAAAGCAGTATAGGTCTGTTTTTTAGAACTGCTTGACATGAGCCTTACTGCACTGATTGCTTCATTTATATGCACACGTTTTCCCACCCACATTGTTCTTTAAGAATAGATTTTGGTCAGCTAAGCAAAATACACCAAATGCTTGTTTTGAAATTTAAACCTAAAAAAATACTGTGAAGTGTTTGGCTTGTAGTTACTGTTTTTGGTTGCCTGTGAGATCAACTGTTAGGATTTTTGTAGCTCTAAATTTTGGTTTTTGTTATTTTTCTTTTTTTTTTTCTTAATACTCCTAGTTTTCTGCTAAAGTGATTTGAGGTGATTAAGAAAAAGAAAACTCCACATTGTTTCTCCAGTTCAGAAAGAAATAACTGTGCCTTCTCCCCGCTAACGTGTCTTATGGCAAACTTTTTAGTTAGTAATCTGAATCTCTTTTTCCTTTGTATACTTAGAATAGGTTTTATTATCAGTATGTAGAAAGTAAAAATGTTGATCCAGTGCCACATATAGGCTTATAATAAAGGATTCTAACCAGGCCCAGTTGTGTGTGCCTTTAGTCCCAGCTACCTTCGGAAGGCTGAGGTGAGGGAATCACTTGAGCCAGGTGTTCAAGTCTAGTCTGAGCAATATAGCAAGACCTTGTCTCTAAAACAAAATAAATAAATAAATAAATAAAGGACTCATCACTTATTAGCTATGAGACCTAGTAAAATCACTTAACCCTGGGGCCTACATTTCCTCATCTATAAAACAAGATTAATGGTATCAATCTGATAGGGTTGTGAGAATTAAATAATATATATGAAGTAGATTTGGTTTTGGCTTTTTAGGAGGAAGGGAGATGGGGAGACAGAATCTCACTCTGTTGACCAGCCCAGAGTGCAGTGGCACCATCATAGCTCACTTCAGCCTCAAACTCCTGAGTTCAAGCAGTCCTTCCGCTTTGGCCTCCCCAAGCGCTGGAATTATAGATATGAGCCACCGTGCCTGACCATATGAAGTGTTTTAAAACTGTGCGTGAAACGTGCTATGTATACATAAATGTTAACTATAGTTATATCTTCCAAATTTCATCATTTTGTTAATCAAATTATTATTACAAGTTTTTATTTGTTTTGTTTTGAGTTGTGGGGGTTGTTTAGTTAGTTTTCCTCTTGTTTTTCTTATCCTTCTTATCAATGGAATCTATGTTTTTCCTTATGTCTGTAAAAATTGGCTATAGCTGGCCAGGCATGGTGGCTCACACCTGTAAACCCAGCACTTTGGGAAGCCAAGGCTGGAGAATCACATGAGCCCAAGAGTTCAAAACCAGCCTGGGCAACTTAGAGACCATCTCTACAAAAAATAAATTAGCCAGGTGTAATGTTACATGCCAGTAGTCCCAGCTACTCCAGAGGCTGTTGTTAGAAGATCACTTGAACCCTAGAGTTCAAGGTTGCAGTGAACTATGATTACACCACTGCATTCCAGCCTGGCTGACAGACCAAGACCCCCATCTCTTTAAGGGAAAAAAAAAAAAAAAAAAAGTCCAGGTGCGGTGGCTCATGCCTGTAATCCTAGCACTTTGGGAGGCCGAGGCGGGTGGATTACTTGAGGTCTTGAGTTCAAGACAAGCCTGGCCAACATGGTGAAACCCCATCTCTACTAAAATACAAAAATTAGCTGGGCATGGTGGTGCATGCCTGTAATCCCAGCTACTCAGGAGGCTGAGGCAGGAGAATCACTTGAACCCGGGAGGCGGAGGTTGCTGAGAGCTGAGATCACACCACTGTACTCCAGCCTGGGCAACAAAGCAAGTCTCAAAAAAAAAAAAGAGAGAAAAAAAAGGCCATAGCTAAAATATTAACATTAAAAATTAGGATATATCCTATCTGGAACATTTTGGAAAGACAGAATCCTTTTGCCAAGATGCTTTTTTGCCCTTTTTTTTTCTGGTTGAACAAATAACAACTGGTACATGAAAAATAATGGTAAAACAAATATATCCTGAGAAGCACTGATGTGTTATCTGAGTGTTTTACAAAGGATTATTGTATTTACTCTGTACAACAGACCAGTAAGATGTAGATGGTATTATCCTCATTTTCAGTTGAGGAACTGAAGGCACAAAGAAGTTAGGCAACTTGTCCAAAAATCTTGCTTGTGGTAAGTAGGAGATCTGAGATTCATGCTTAGGTTATTCTGACTCCAGAGCCTGTGCATGCATGCATCCTCTCTCCTCCTCCCCTTCCTTTCTCGTACTGCCTCCAAAAGATTAGAACTTCTGTAAAATTACTTGTCAATTGGATGGCTTGTTTACTTGAAAAATTCATATTATGGAATCAAACACTTAAGTAGATACTTATGATGTTCTAATTATTATTATAAAGACATGAGGATTTTTAAAGAATATCTGCGTTGTACAGTGTTAGCATAAACTTAGAATACTTGTGACATTTCCATTTTAGTACCTATGCAGAAGGCATGCTGAATGTTGCTGTGAGATTAGGAAGCTGCTAAGTAGTTTATTTCCTTTGCGTTGGTAACATGTATGTTTTGGTTAACTGAAAGATTTTAGAAAAGAAAAGACACTACCTAATCAGAAGAAAAGATAACCTAAATCAGGGATTGTTTTTCTTCATATTTGGAACTCCTTTAGAACTTCTACATGAAATATATATGTGTGCAGCCAGTCTGATTTATTATTTTAAGTGATTTGAGAAAATATTTAGTACACGTAACTATAAACAAATATATGTAGTTTTAATTATTTGTATTTATTTTTTTAAATGTATCCACACAAAATTCACGAAGTTAATTCTAATACTCACTTTTACTTGGTCAAGGAAGGATTCAGAATTTCTTAGAATGGAAATGTTGGAGCAGTGTGAAATTTTGAATCTGAAACTTGGGAGACACATCCTTACTGTCCCACTCCCAATTTTTATAAATTGTAAGCATGGAATTTTTGTATATTTGTGTTTTATGATACACGTGCTAAAAAAATTAATTCCTAATTTTAAACAGCTGTTTTACCTCCATAGGCCTCAGTTAAACTTAATTCATGTAAAATAGTTATAAAAATAAAGATGCAAGAGGGTATTCAAAGTAAAACTAAGGTTTACACATTATGGATATAGTAGAGTGAGTAATTTTTTTCTTCCCCCCCCAGAGTAAAGATGGGAAAACCCCACTACACATGACTGCTCTCCACGGTAGATTCTCCCGATCACAAACCATTATCCAGAGTGGTAAAAAGTATTTCTGTTTTTTTTTTGGGGTTTTTTTTTTTTTTTCTTAAATGTAGTAAAAACATCCACCAAATGAATGGTATTGAGGAATTGTCATCGCATTTTGTGTATTTTTAATACATGATTTCAGAGCTCATGAAAATAAAATATTAAAGAGTATAAAATACCACGTAGCTGTATCTTTCATACTTTTGTTTTTTATGTTTTGTTTCCCTGAACTGTGTTATTTCTTCAGCAGTTAGTATTAGCTTTTTTCAATATTGCTAAATAGAAAATTACTTTCTACCATAATTTGTATTATATATTAATGTGTGTACTCTGTATATACATTATACATGTATCATTTTCCCCTGTTGAGTATCTGCAACTATTTTCAGGATTTTAATTTCTTGAGTTTGTATTCTTTTGTGTTTAAATTAATATCAGGCAAGCTAAACTTTTAAATCAAAAGAACTTTTAGGTGTATTACTTTAAATCAGTGTTTTCCAAGGCATATTCCAAGAAATTTATCCTCAAGATAATAGGTGCTATGGTTTTGCAGGGGAAAAGTTGAAATAGGTTCATGATCCAATATTTTTTGAAGCATTGCATGCAGTCTTGATGACAGAGTATGCACATTAAAGCTCTGAAGTCTTGCTCTAAAGAAACGTGTTTAATTTTGTTTTAATACAGTAGTTTCCAAACTTATTGGACCCCAGAACCCTCTTGTCAATTTAAAAATCTACTAAAATCTTATGCTTAATTCACACAATTGCTTTAAGTATAAAAGCTATAAATCCATTGCCTGGCCCAATAAATGAGCTATGAATGAAATCTAGTTAAAATTGCTGTATCTATTAGTTTGTATGTGAACAGCATTTTTTATTACTTTTCATGTAGTACGTTTGACCTGATCTTTATATGGTCCAGTGTCTGACAGTAAGTCCTATATTGCAGGAGCTGTAATCGACTGTGAGGATAAGAATGGAAATACCCCTTTGCACATAGCAGCACGGTATGGCCATGAGCTGCTGATCAACACTCTTATTACAAGTGGTGCTGACACTGCAAAGTAAGTACTTACCGAGGTGTTGATAACTGATACAGGCAAGCACAAAGGGAAGTGAACTGCAGTTTTCTAGACATTTCACGTGGAAATGTGGATTTTATCCTCAATGTTGTATTAATTGCTTGAACTTTCTTTTGTATTGACAAAGTGGTAGGTTAAAATGTTTAAATACAATTTTATTTGGTAAGCCAGTGTATTTTTATGTATGTTACCCCAGTTCTTTCTCACTTTGAGTAATAACGCAGTTTTGATCAGAGCTGTTAATTTTTGTGATCTCTTTATTTTTAACCTAGAAGTACTTAAAAGTCCCAGAAAGCTGTATGTGCCAGATGCTTTTTTTTAATCCAAATACTATCTGTAGATAATACTTTTCAGGCTGTGCTGTGCCAAGCTCAGGGATTCCTTGGAATCCTACGAAGGAGTTCTTACCCCCACCCCCATTTTGGTCAGAACAGTTTGCTTGTATTTATTTTATAAATTAAAGTTCCCATTGTAATATTTTGTTTGAAAGATGAGTCCTCCTGCTAATGCTCTGCAAGAAACACCATACTTAAATTTATGTTTATCATTCTTTGTATCACATTTACATGTGTTCATTAACAAGTTTTAAATCTTTTTTACTTTCTGTAATGGTATGGTACTGCACCTATCTGTTTTGTAACTTTTTCCAAAAAAATTACATGAGCTTATTAATTTAGCCATCTAGATAGAAATTTAGGCCTTCTTTCACATCTGTACAAGTTGCTCTAGTTCATTTATTTTATAGAATTATTGTATAAAGATTTCACAATATATTCATTCTCCTTATTTGCAAATACAAGTTGCTTACAGTTTTTCACTATTACAGAATTACTACAATAAATATTCTTGAACATGTTGCATTATGGAAATGTTTCAATGGTGGGGTGACAGGGTAGTGAATTTTGCTCCCTAAGCAAATGTCCAGATACATTTTTGGTTGTCACAATTTGGGGAGGAAGGTGTTAATGTTAATGACATCCATTGGGTAGAGCCCAGGGATGCTGCTGAACAGCCTGTAAGCCTGTATGCACAGAATGGCTTCTCACGTTTCCCCAGCAAAGTCCATAATGACAGTAGTGCTGAAGGTGAGAAACCTGACTTTTGGAGAAAAATAGCTGGCTAATAAGTTATGCCCACCATCAAACTTTAACCAAATTACTCTCCGAAGTGTTAGACATTTTGGCTCTTAGTTATCTTTCACTTAAGTGGTCTCTTTGTAATGTATTTAACTGATTGTATTTTTCTTGTGTTAAAATGAAGATACTGTCCTGTTCTATTAACTTTAGGCGTGGCATACATGGAATGTTCCCCCTCCATTTGGCAGCCTTAAGCGGCTTTTCAGATTGCTGCAGAAAACTTCTTTCTTCAGGTAAGTGTAACCTTTGCAGCCTTTTGTATGTCTCCTCAAACCCCTCAAAATTTTTAGATGGTCTCTATCCTGCTTTTTAAAAATTAATGCAGATGGGTCCAGTATGGATAATTTAATAACCCCTTTTAGAACGTGTTGGGTTCAGGTCTGGCGTGGTGGCTCATGCCTGTAATCCCAGCACTTTGGGAGGCCGAGACAGGCAGATCACTTGAGGTCAGGAGTTCAAGACCAGCATGGCCAACATGGTGAAAGCCCATCTCTACTAAAAAAAAAATACAAAAAAAAATTAGCTGGGCGTGGTGGTGAGCACCTGTAATCCCAGCTACTTGGGAGGCTGAGGCAGGAGAATCGCTTGAACCCAGGAGGCAGAGGTTGCAGTAAGCCGAGATTGTGCCACTGCACACTAGCCTAGGAGACAGAGCGAGACTCTGTCTCAAAAAAAAAAAATACAGAAAACCTCTTCATCCCCTGTTAAAGAAAGACCATTAGCAGTTAATCTCCATTTCTTTCTTCCCTCAGCCCTAGGCAACCACTAATCTACTTTTCATCTCTATAAAATTTGCCTGTTCTGAACAGTTCCTATAAATGGACTCACCCAACATGTGATCTTCTGTGACTGGCTTGTTTCACTTAATATAATGTTCTCAAGGGTTATTCATGGAACAGTATCAGTACTTTATTTCTTTTTATTGCTAAATAATACTCCATTGTATCCTATTGCCTTTTAAACAGGCACTCTAGCACTTAAGAACCCATAGTTTTGTTTGGGATTGGAGGGGAGGATGTGATTCTTGATGTTTCATGACACAATTCTTTAGTGTAAAATAATATGTCTGTTATAAATAAGATGTATTCATTCTTGTAGGATTTGATATAGATACCCCAGATGATTTTGGCAGGACTTGTCTACATGCAGCTGCAGCTGGAGGGTATGTTAATAGTATTTTTATTTCTTTAAGAAAAGATAGCTGGTCATGGCAGGTTTTCTCTTATCTTTGTTCTTTTTTATTAATTCTGGGCTGCCAGAAAATAGAAAACAAAACAGGAGTTGTTTGGGAAAAAAAAGTCCAGGGTGGCAGAATACTTTTTTTCATCTTATTCCAGCCAAGTTGTAGGTTATGAGTGAGAGAGAGAGAGAGAATAAACCTACAAAAGGAAATACTGCCTTCTGTAAAAGAACATAATTTCTGGATAAGTAAAACTATTTCTTTAAAAAGTATGTTCTCAAATGAGAACATCAAAATACTGGGAATATTCTGAATAATACAAGTACTCTTTAAGTAGATTTGTTAATTTTTTTTTCCCCCAGGAAAAAAATGTTCATTTTGTGCTGTGTCTTACCTCTACTAGGAAGAGGAAAGTTTGAGATTGGAAGATTTTGGACTAAGTTTTAAATAGTACCACCAGGGAAAAATTAGGCAGTTGGTTCATACGAGCAACAAACTTCAGCTAAAACTCATGGCCTCTGGAACATGCTTCTTATCTAATGCTTCTGATAATTTAGATCTGTGATAAGCCATTTAATTCATGATTTCTCAAAAGGACATTTTGCAAAAACGTTATTCTCAATGATAATTTCTTAAAAATTTTCAGTGATTTCAGAGGACGAGTACGTTGAACCAAGAGTACACCAGCACAGTCTAAGTTGTAGAGATGGATTGTGAGCATGTGACTGGTTTTCTTGTTCTTCCAAGGTCGCCAGAGAACCTTCCAGTTAAAACCTAACTTCCACGTAACTTGCCTACAGAGAGAGGGACAACAGACTTGAGTGTCTGATCACTTGACAGTTACAGTTTTCATTGTAACATAGTAATTTGATGTTGAGGTTTATACAGTTAAATTACAGAAATACTTAAGTTATATCCTTTCCTCCAGTATTAACTAAAGATACATATATGTAAACAGTCATAGTATAGGAGAAGATAAGGGAAAGCTGACAGGACTCATGCAGTGGCTCACAGCTGTAAGCTTAACTACTCAGGAGGCTGAGACTTGGAGGATCGCTTATATCCAGGAGTTGGAGGCTGCCGTTAGCTATGGTTGCATCACTGGACTCTAGCCTAAACTATAGAGTGAGGCTCTGTTTCAAGAAAAAAAAAAAAACCTATAAGCAAGTTGTTTCCTAAAGCCTCCTCAGAATCTCTTTTGCAAATGTGATCTTCCTTTTAAACAATGACAACATGAATCGTGTGTTATTTCCTCAGTGTGCCAATATGTAAGTATATAACTTTCTAAATTCTAGATAAGATGAATTTCAATGTTTTATTCTTCATAGAATGTAAATCATCATTTTTGTCACATTTATCTTCATATAAAAACATGCTTTCATGCTTCTTTAAACCTACCAATTTCATTATAAAATCACTGTCAATTAAGTTTTCTAACTGTATTTTCTCTCAATAGGAATTTGGAGTGCCTAAACCTTCTGCTGAATACTGGTGCAGACTTTAATAAAAAGGACAAATTTGGGAGGTAGGGTATGATACAGTTTCTTTATGGAGCCTATTTTTACTTAATAACTTGATTGACCTTCTAACTGGCTTCTGAAAATTAACTGAACAATTTAGCATCTTGTACACTGATCATGATTCATTGAGAGTCCCAGCTGAAGTCAGTAACTTCCAAATATTCGTTCTCACCCACAGTTTTCTTCTTGAGTCCCTACCACAGCCCTAGCCTACCAACCACAGCCTTGGCCTTATAAATGCCTCTATACTTGCTATCACTTCCCCCCCTCCAAAAATTATGACTATGGAAATGTAAAGCCCCATAGAACCTATGTTTTTTCAAGAAACTCACAATACCTAGAAAATAATGATACAGTTCTCCTTTCTCCAAGTCATTTCTTGGTGAGGGATTCTACTGCCCATATCTTGTTCCAGAGCAGTAGTAAGAGGGAGGAAATAGGTTATAAATATATATGTGTAATTTTTCTTTCTCCTCTTCTATATAAATCTCTCACACACATATATCCACACATCCCACTAAGTATTTCACAACAGGAAGGCAGCTGTGAAATGACAGTCTTTGTAGTCATTCAGCAGGCCTCATTGTTGAGTATTTGTGGTAGCAGTATTTAAAACTACTGTTAAGTTACTTAGAGTAGGAATTGACACAGAGTGCATTAGAACCATACAGGAAAGAATTGAAGGCAGTTGGAATTGGTTTGAAAGAGATGACAGTATAAGCAAAACTGTGTGTGTCAACAGTTTGAGAATTATACATAGCAAAGTGTATGAGAAGGAAGGGTGTATGTCAGAAGAAAATGTGTGAATATATGTCAATGCATGTGATAGAACCAGTGCAGAAGAGAAGTAAAAAGAATTATGCATGGTAGGAAATCAGAAATGAATAGAAGAAAATAAAAACTATTTGACACCATAATTACTTTGAAGAACAGATTGCTCTCATAAGCCTACTTAATGGAAAGAACTAATGACCCACAAAAATAAAAAAATCACTTTGGCTTTGGAATGCAATATTTTTATAGCTAATTTGCTTTTATAATTATACTTTAATCCAGTTTATATTAATTTTTAGTACTTCAGGCATTCTATACTACAAATAACAGAGAGGGCTTCTGAAAAATGCTTTGAGTTGAGAGGGTTGAAAGTAATTCAGGGTTAATTACATTTTTTTTAATGTTTCTTCTATTTTTTTCTCTTACCTTTTGTTCTTCTTCTGAGACATGAATAGAAATTGCTACCTCTGTACTGTGGAACATTTTTATTAATGTAGGGGAAACTTTCCTAAAATGAAAGTTTTCACATTTCTGAGCAGAATATGAAGGTTATTTGAAAGTCACTCAAAGGACTGGGACTGGGATTGCTGCTACTGCCTGGAGGCGATGAAATAACTGCATTTTCATCTTATTTCATATACTTAAAGGTTCTCTGCCACCTTGCTTTCTTCTTCTAGCTTTATGTCCAGTCCTCCGCAAGACTTAGTATATGGTAGTCTAAGTCTCACTGTAAATAAAGTATTTGTAACTGGGAGGAGTAAGAGTCAACTATGCTTTTGTTTACTAGTTATGTCTCTGGCTTTTATCTTTCTTGTATTAACTTGGACCCAAAAGATCTCCACTGCACTACGCTGCTGCCAACTGCAATTACCAGTGCCTGTTTGCTCTTGTGGGATCAGGAGCAAGTGTGAATGACCTTGATGAAAGAGGCTGCACACCCCTGCACTATGCAGCTACATCAGACACAGATGGCAAGTAAGTACCATAGGAGTGAGAGTGGAGGATCAATATTTCTATAAACTGGCATCTTCCATATGGATGTTTTTGTTGCAAATTTGTGTTTCCTCTTTGTATTTTTTGTTGATTATCTTTGCCCTAAGTCTATTTTGGGAAATAGATTGGTTTCATAGTTATTGATAAATCATAGTTATTACTACCTATTCTCAGCACCAGCCTTACTAGCTGATCTGGTGGAAGAAAGATAAAGGTCCCTTCTTGTCCTATCTGCCAAAAGAGCATCTTAATATCACTTTTATGTTTTTTTCCACCTGACTTCTTAGAGGCTACAGCCGTGACTATATCATGGGGAAAGGGAGAGAGGAGATATATGAGTAATGTCATCAGAAGATTGGGTAGAGGTTGGAATACAAGTATCCTTCAGAGGTAGACAGTTCAGATTTGCAAGGAACCCTTGTAAATTGGTGTCCAAAAGGTAGTAATTGAACTGGCAGAATCTGGTACGTAGTAGGTACTACATGTTGCTTAAATAGGTAAATTAGATGGCAGAATAAGTAAATGTTGGCCAAGAATGAATAAGTGAAAACAAGAATAAATGATGCATAAACTGTTTCATAAGTATAATAATATTCACCTAAAGTTATCAGACCTATCTGTAATACCTTGATACATATTTTTTTTTTCTTCTTGCACGAAAATAAACTCATTGAAAACAGAAAAGATTTTCAGTGTCTGGTAATTCCCTATGGTGTGGGTCAGTGAAAAGTAAAAATACCATTGGCAGAAATAAGTAATGGTTTCTGGGGAAAGATGTTATAAAATGTACTTCATATAACAGAATTATTTATTCGGTTTTTAACATTTACTTTTCGCCCTCAAAATAAGAAGCATAATTTGATTCTTCACAAATGTTAATTTAGTATAAACTCTTTAATTTCAAAACCATTTTTATAAGTAACTTTTTTTATGTTGGATTGTGGCTAAAATTCTAGGGGTTTTTCAAACAACCCCATCAAAAATTGGGTGAAGGATATGAACAGACACTTCTCTAAAGAAGACATTTATGCAGCCAACAGACACATGAAAAAATGCTCATCATCACTGGTCATCAGAGAAATGCAAATAAAAACCACAGTGAGATACCATCTCACACCAGTTAGAATGGCAATCATTAAAAAGTCAGGAAACAACAGGTGCTGGAGAGGATGTGGAGAAATAGGAACACTTTTATACTGTTGGTGGGACTATAAACTAGTTCAACCATTGTGGAAGACAGTGTGGCGATTCATCAAGGATCTAGAACTAGAAATACCATTTGACCCAGCCATCCCATTACTGGGTATATACCCAAAGGATTATAAATCATGCTGCTATAAAGACACATGCACACGTATGTTTATTGTGACACTATTCACAATAGCAAAGACTTGGAACCACCCCAAATGTCCATCAATGATAGACTGGATTAAGAAAATGTGGCACATATACATCATGGAATACTATGCAGCCATAAAAAAGGAGGAGTTTATGTCCTTTGTAGGAACATGGATGAAGCTGGAAACATCATTCTGAGCAAACTATCGCAAGGACAAAAAACCAAACACCACATGTTCTCACTCATAGGTGAGAATTGAACAATAAGAACACTTGGACACAGGAAGGGGAACATCACACACCGGGGCCTGTCATGGGGTGGGGAGGAGGGGGAGGGATAGCATTAGGAGGTATACCTAATGTAAGTGACGAGTTAATGGGTGCAGCACACCAACGTGGCACATGTATACATATGTGCCAAACCTGCATATTGTGCACAGGTACTCTAGAACAAAGTATAACAATAAAAAAAAGATTTCAGAATCACACACACACAAAAAAAAAATTCTAGGGGTTTTTTGTTTGTTTTTGTGGGTTTTTTTGTTGTTTGTTGTTTTGTTTCGTTTTGAGATGGAATCTTGCTTTGTCGCCCAGGGTGGAGTGCAGTGCTGCAGTCTCAGTTTACTGCAGCTTCCACCTCCCAGGTTCACAAGCAATTCTCCTGCCTCAGCCTCCTGAGTAGCTGGGACTACAGGTGCCTGCCACCATGCCTGGCTAATTTTTGTAATTTTAGTAGAGACAGATTCACCATGTTGGCCAGGCTGGTCTCAAACTCCTGACCTAAGTGATCCGCCCACCTTGGCCTTCCAAAATGCTGGGATTACAGGAGTGAGCCACTGCGCCCAGCCTAAAATTCTAATCTTAAAGGCAATAGTAATGTGTATTTTATTTGCAAGAATATAAAGTATGTTTTTAGATAGCAACTATTTAAATAAAATCTGTGATAAAGACTATAAATCAGAAAATATTTTGGTAAACTTGGATAAGTAGCTTATCCCTAATTTATCAGTTTTATAATTTCATGGTTTGATTTATTGATTTGCTTAAAATAAGTTATACCTTTTATCACCATCTGTAGTCCTTTACCACTACTTTCACAGACTGGTTATTGGGTACAGCTCAGCATGATCCAGATTCCGCTGAGAGATTGTCTCCCACATTCCTTCCCCCAAAAAAAGATTACACTTTGATCCTTCTGCCCTTAGACAAATGCACTAAACCTGAATTCACACACACACAAAACCACAAAGGAATAACATATAATTCAACCCATAGTGTTGGAGATGTGTGGTTTCATTGTAAGCCAATCTACTTTTCCTATAGAAGGGTACTAGTACTAAAATCACTAGTTTTCTTACTGAATATAAACGGTTTTGAGCAAGTAAGCAATGACTTTTATTATTTAAATATTTAATCCTCAGTATGTACACTAAACAGCCTGATACACTGGAAAGTATCAGGCTTGATACTTGGGATCCGAAAGACCCAATTTAAATCTTGGAGTTTCCATACTGTACCCATTTGAGTATGAGCAAGTAATTGCTAAGCCAAAATATTCTTTATTTGTAAAAGGAAAATGAAACCTCCCTGTTAGAGTTGCTGGGAAAACTAAATGAGACTGTGCATAATCTAGCACTGTTAATGGGAGCCTCTGTTTCCTATCTTTATTAAGTATCAAAATCCCAGAGAGCCTGTCGAGTGCCATCATTTATTGATTCAATGATTTGTTCCATGGGAGCCTAGTGGAAAATATAAGCCACAGTAATTATTCTGGGATACCAGAGGCATCCTTTTAATAAGTGATTGTTTTGGAGGCTTAAACAGTGGCATTAAAGGATTTATTTTTCTTAAATTGTAAAAAATATTTTTCTTAAATTGGGTACAATTGTACCCAATTGTAATTGTATTCCCAGGAATAGCTTGAGTAATAAGAGAATCAGGCATAACTCATTCTGCCAAAGCAACAATGAAATATTTTCTAAAAGAAGAGACAAATTCCTCAGAGCTTCCAATTGCTATTATTCAGTAATGTACATTTGCTTATTTGTTTTTTAAATGGTTTTTTAAAAATCCCCTGTCAGCATCACAGTTTCTACCTTTAAAGCTCCCCAGGAAAAGTTGTTGTTTATACTTTGGAATTTTTAACAATCTGACATTGGTTTTCTTTTGTTTAGGACCAACATACAGTAATTATAATTCTGCTCTGCCTTTTATCCCTTCATCCTCACTTTGAGTAAATAATTGGAAAAATACATGAAATCTTCCGTGACTCATTCTAGTCATTCTGCTTGTTACCCCCATTGTCCTGATGCCTGCGTTCTTGGTAGACAGTCATTCAGCAAGTCCTCTGAAGTGTCTTTATTTTACATCATGTAAGAATCCAGCAAACAAATATATGGCTGCTATCGCAATGAACATATTAAATATGTGAAATATTAATAAATAAAATTATATTTGCCTGTTGCAGATACGTATAGGGCTGTCTTTGAGCAGGATGTCATGTGGGTCTTCTCCACACCTGTGTGTAGTATGTATATAAGAGAAGGAAAGGTTGAGGGCTGTTTTTCCTGATTATAAGGAAGAAATTCCCCTCATACCAGCTCTCCTGAGATAACCATCATCAACAGTTATATTGCTCTGTGTGTATGTAGATTATTTTATGTCCCTCACAGCCTTAATCAAAGTTGAAGTCCTGGTATATGTTATAAAGCCTTTTCTATATCATATATAATTTTTTAAAATATTTTATGGGTTGTTATCTCTAGCCCGCACTTCATAACTCTTCCGTCCTCTATCCATTACCCAGTTCCAAAACCTCTTCCACATTTTAGATATTTGTTTCAGCAACATCGTAACTTCGCAATAACAATTCTCTTAGTCTGTTTGGACTGGTATAACAAAATACCAAAAACTGGGTGGCTTATAAACAACAGAAATCTTATTTCTCACAGTTCTGGAAGCTGAGAAGTCAAGAATATCAAGGCACCAGCACATTCAGTGTCTGGAGAAGGCCCACTTCCTCTTTGAGGGCATATTCTTGCCATATCCTCACATGGTAGAAGGAATGAGAGCTCTTTTGGGCCTTATTTATAAGGACACTAATCCCATTCATGAGGGAGGGCTCTGCCCTCTTGACCTAATCACCTCCTAAAGGCCCCACCTCCTAATAACATCACCTTGAGGTTGGAATTTCACCATGTGAATGGGTGTGGGGGGACATAAACATTTAGACCATAGCAACACTCTTAGGAAATGAGGCTACATTTTGACTTCTAATGGCAGTTTATTTTTGTCTGTTTTCAAACTTCATAAAAATGGGATCATGCAGTTTTTTGTGTGTAGAGGTTTTGTAATGCTGAGATTTATTCCTATGTATCTGATATTTTTTATTACCAAAATCAATCTTTAAATTTTTTTGTGTTGGTATATAGAAGATATATTTGCCTTTTGTATGTGACTTACATTCAACAACCTTGTTAAGCTTATTGTGTATATATATGTAAGAGCAGTGTTTGATACTAGCTCTGCCTTTTACTATGGGGACCTTCAGCAAATTACTTAACCTCTCTGTGCCTATTTAATCTGTGAAATGGAGATACTAGTCTAAACTCTGTCACGACTATGTAGAGTTTAAAATGGTTTAGTATATATGAATTGTTTGGAACAGTTCTGACGTATCCTAATCTTCCTATAAAGGTTAGTTGTATTTTTTAAAACTGATTTTTTGGGCCAGGGGTGGGGTGGTGGGGGGTGGTAAGAACTGTTGTATGCCATGATGGGAAGAGTAGAGAGGAGGGAGGGCCTCTTGGAGTGACAATACCACATCTGTTTTCCTGGCTGAGTGGTCCTTACCCAGGGCTCTGACTAGCCATGGGACACATGAATTTGAATCAGTCTGAACTTGCCTCAGAACTCAAAATAGTAGGGTTCATGAGTGGTAGGGTAAGAGTAGGAGAAATTTAAATAGTTTGAAATGCATTCCGATTTTAACCTATGTGGTTAGTGGGGATGAAGATATTTAATTTGCCTAACATTGAGGAAAAAATTGTAACAGAATATTGTTTAGCCTTAAATATTTTTTCAGATTTTGTGTATATATTTTATTTCAGAGGACAGATTATGGAGAATCTTCATTTCTTAATTGTCTGCGTTTCATAAAATGAACATGTGTTAATGTGCAAACAGAAAAAAGAGTATACAGACTCTTCTGCCCCCACCCTCTAATGAAGTTCACATTTTCAAGATCAAGCAATTTTGTGATTCAGTATTTTATAAGCACCCTAGTTAACTTACCACTGTAAGTGATTAACCACTGTTCTAAAGCTTTGTGGGAACATAGAACAATGGATAAAGGGAAGACCTGAGGTGGTTTAGTCCTTGGTTTGCCATATTCTAGCCAAAAGGATTTGGGAAAAGTCATTTAACTTAGTGTCAGTAATCTTTTTCATTTGTTAGAGATAATGCTTACCCAGAGTAATTATGAAAATTTATATTGTTTAGCAAAATCTGAAAGGTATGCCAATAAAAGAAATTGTATTAGAATAAGTTTTGTATTCAGGTCTCAGTAAGGAAGACCCATTTCTGTTTTATCACTAACATCTAGAGAACTTGATTAAAGATTTTTTTTAAATGCCCTTGGGTAAAATGTTTTTGCCTGTAAAGTATTCCTACAGACTTGCAGGCTTTTTCTGCATCCCAGTGAGCACTGTCCTCTGAATTCGGCACCAAGGAAGGCTGTGTACAGAGTTTACACACTGACTGAAACACTTCCTTTTCCTGACATGTCCTCAGAATTAGTTTGTGAAACAAAACAAAACACCAGTCTTATTACCTTAGAGCCAGACGTGGGTTTTATTTTATTTCTTTATCATAGTGATACCCACTTTAACCTTTTTATTTTATTTATTTATTTATTTATTTTTTGAGACGGAGTTTTGATCTTCTTGCCCAGGCTGGAGTGCAATGGTGCAATCTCAGCTTACTGCAACCTCCGCCTCCTGGGTTCAAGTGATTCTCCTGCCTCAGCCTCCCGAGGAGCTGGGATTACAGGTGTGTGCCACCATGCCTGGCTAATTTTGTATTTTTAGTAGAGATGGGGTTTCTCCATGTTGGTCAGGCAGGTCTTGAACTCCCGACCTCAGGTGTTCCGCCCACCTCCGCTTCCCAAAGTGCTGGGATTACAGGCATGAGCCACTGCACCCAGCTTAATCTTCTTTTTTTTATTATGCTTGACTCCAAAGAATTTTAGCTGTACATAAATATCAAAATTGCACTTAAATGGATGAATATTTGCTGCCATTGAAGATATTACAATGAAGATTCTGAAAGTAATTTCTAAGAGGTCTAAAGCATTTTAAGAAATTCAGCATTTAAAGAAATAAGTGTTAGCATTGAAATAATGGCTCTCATATATTTGTGAGCTAGAGTTACTGAAAGATCAGTTACATTGCTTTAGAATTTCTTTTCATTTGTTTTTATATGACTTCAGTGTGATTTTGGAAACTTTTAATAAGGAGTATTTGATTAAAGAATTTTTTCCCCAGGTAGTTTAATATTTGGGTAGACGTATTTGAATACCAAACAAATTATCACTGAATAATTATAGACTTGGAATTTGAACATGAATACACTTTAGATTATTTAGCTGGCTTCTCCATGTATCAAATGAATAAACAGAGGCTATTTCACTTTTATGGCCCAAGATCACTGGTACCAGTGCTATTTCAGTGCTTTTTTTTTCTGCTGTAATAAAATGTATTAAAATTGTAAATTATGGCCTATATACTGTTGTGTTTCTTTTGCAGTCTCACTCTGTCGCCAGGCTGGAGTGCAGTGGCGCGATCTCTGCTCACTGCAACCTCCGCCTCCTGAGTTCAAGCAATTCTCCTGCCTCAGCCTCCCGAGTAGCTGGGACTACAGGCGCCCGCCACCACACCCAGCTAATTTTTGTACTCTTGGTAGAGACAAGATTTCACCATGTTGGCCAGGATGGTCTTGATCTCTTGGCCTCATGATCTGCCCGCCTCAGCCTCTCAAAGTGCTGGGATTACAGGCATGAGCCACCGCGCCCGGCCCTATATAGTGTTTTTTAATTAATTTTTTTTTTTTTGTCATTATACTTTTAAGTTCTAGGGTACATGTGCACAACGTGCAGGTTTGTTAGATAGGTATACATGTGCCATGTTGGTTTGCTGCACCCATCAACTCATCATTTACATTATTTACATTAGGTATTTATCCTAATGCTATCCCTCCCCCAGGCCCCCACCCCGGACAGGCCCCGGTGTATGATGTTCCCCTCCCTGTGTCCACATGTTCTCATTGCTCAACTTCCACTTAAGAGTGAGAGTTGTGTGTGTAATGTTCCCCTCCATGTGTTCTCCTTGTTCAGCTCCCACGTATGAGTGAGAACATGCAGTGTTTGGTTTTCTGATCTTGTGATAGTTTGCTGAGAATGATGGTTTCCAGCTTCATCTGTGTCCCTGCAAAGGACATGAACTCATCCTTTTTTATGGTGGCATAGTATTCCATGGTGTATATGTGCCACATTTTCTTAATCCAGTCTATCATTGATGGACATTTGGGTTGGTTCCAAGTCTTTGCTATTGCAAATAGTGCCGCAGTAAACATACGTGTGCATGTGTCTTTATAGCAGCATGATTTATAATCCTTTGGGTATATACCCAGTAATGGGATGGCTGGGTCAAATGGTATTTCTAGTTCTAGATCCTTGAGGAATCACCACACTGTCTTCCACAATGGTTGAACTAATTTACACTCCCACTGACAGTGTAAAAGCATGCCTATTTCTCCACATCCTCTCCAGCATCTGTTGTTTCCTGACTTTTTAATGATGGCCATTCTAACTGGCGTGAGATAGTGTCTCATTGTGGTTTTTATTTGCATTTCTCTGATGACCAGTGATGATGAGCATTTTTTTGTATGTCTATTGGCTGCATAAATGTCATCTTTTGAGAAGTGTCTGTTCATATCCTTTGCCCACTTTTTCATGGGGTTGTTTTTTTCTTGTGAATTTAAGTTCTTTGTAGATTCTGGATATTAGCCCTTTGTCAGATGGGTAGATTGCAAAAATTTTCTCCCATTCTGTAGATTGCCTGTTCACTCTGATGATAGTTTCTTTTGCTGTGCAGAAGCTCTTTAGTTTAATTAGATCCCATTTGTCTATTTTGGCTTCTGTTGCTATTGCTTTTGGTGTTTTAGTCATGAAGTCTTTGCCCATGCCTATGCCCTGAATGGTATGCCCTAGGTTTTCTAATAGGGTTTTTTATGGTTTTAGGTCTAATATTTAAGTATTTAATCCATCTTGAGTTAATTTTTGTATATAGTGTAAGGAAGGGATCCAGTTTCAGCTTTCTACATATGGCTAGCCAGTTTTCCCAGCACCATTTATTAAATAAGAAATCCTTTCCCCATTGCTAGTTTTTGTCAGGTTTGTCAAAAATCAGATGGTTGTAGATGTGTGGTGTTATTTCTGAGGCCTCTGTTCTGTTCCATTGTTCTATATACCTCTTTTGCTACCAGTACCATGCTGTTTTGGTTACTGTAGCCTTGTAGTGTAGTTTGAAGTCAGGTAGCATGATGCTTCCAGCTTTGTTCTTTTGGCTTAGGATTGTCTTGGCAATGCGGGCTCTTTTTTGGTTCCATATGAACTTTAAAGTAGTTTTTTCCAATTCTGTGAAGAAAGTCATTGGTAGCTTGATGGGGATGGCATTCAATCTATAAAGTACCTCGGGTAGTATGGCCATTTTCACAATATTGATTCTTCCTGTCCATGAGCATGGAATGTTCTTCCATTTGTTTATGTCCTCTTTTATTTCATTGAGCAGTGGTTTGTAGTTCTGCCTGAAGAGGTCCTTCACATCCCCTGTAAGTTGGATTCCTAGGTATTTTACTCTCTTTGTAGCAGTTGTGAATGGGAGTTCACTCATGATTTGGCTCTCTGTTTGTCTGTTATTGGTGTATGGGAATCTTTGTGATTTTCGCACATTGATTTTGTATCCTGAGACTTTGCTGAAGTTGCTTATCAGCTTAAGGAGATTTTGAGCTGAGACGATGGGGTTTTCTAAATATACATTCATGTCATCTGCAAACAGAGACAATTTGACTTCCTCTTTTCCTAATTGAATACCCTTTATTTCTTTCTCTTGCCTGATTGCCCTAGCCAGAACTTCCAACACTATGTTGAATAGGAGTGGTGAGAGAGGGCATCCCTGTCTTGTGCCAGTTTTCAAAGGGAATGCTTCCAGTTTTTGCCCATTCAGTATGATATTGGCTGTGGGTTTGTCATAACTAGCCCTTACTATTTTGAGATACATTCCATCAATACCTAGTTTATTGAGAGTTTTTAGCATGAAGTGCTGTTGAATTTTGTCGAAGGCCTTTTCTGCATCTATTGAGATAATCAGACAGACCGCTAGCAAGACTAATGAAGAAGAAAAGAGAAGATTCAAATAGACACATAAAGGGAATATCACCACCGAGCTCAAAGAAATACAAACTACAATCAGAGAATACTATAAACACCTCTACGCAAATAAACTAGAAAATCTAGAAGAAAGGGATAAATTCTTGGACATATACACCCTCCCAAGACTAAACCAGGAAGAAGTTGAATCTCTGAATAGACAAATAACAGGTTCTGAAATTGAGGCAATAATTAATAGCCTACCAAACAAATAAAAGTCCAGGACCAGATGGATTCACAGCCGAATTCTACCAGAGGTACAAAGAGGAGCTGGTACCATTCCTTCTGAAACTATTCCAAACAATAGAAAAAGAGGGAATCCTCCCTAACTCATTTTATGAGGCCAGCATCATCCTGATACCAAAGCCTTGAGAATTTTAGGCCAATATCCCTGATGAACATCAATGCGAAAATCCTCAATAAAATACTGGCAAACTGAATCCAGCAGCATATCAAAAAGCTTACCCACCACAATCAACTCGGCTTCATCCCTGGGATGCAAGGCTGGTTCAACGTACGCAAATCAATACACGTAATCCATCACATAAACAGAACCAATGGCAAAAAAAAAACAAACACATGATTAAATTTATTTTTATTGTATTTTATTTCAATAGTTCCTGGGGAACAGGTGGTTTTTGGTTACATAGATAAGTTCTTTATTGATGATTTCTGAGATTTTGGTGCACTGGTCCCCTGAGCAATGTACACTGTATCCAATGTGTAGTCTTTTATCCCTCACATGGAGTAAAATATGATGGATAAAAGACTACATATTGGGTACAATTTGGGAACTTCCCCCTGAGTCCCCAAAGTCCATTCTATCATTTTTGTGCCTTCGCGTCTCCTCATAGCTCCCACTTATGAGCGAGAACATACGATATTCGTTTTCCATCCCTGAATTGCTTCACTTAGAATAATGATCTCCAACTCCAGGTTGCTGCAAATGCTATTATTTTGTTCCTTTCTATGTCTGAATAGTATTCCATGGTGTATATATACCACATTTTCTTTACGCACTCGTTCGTTGATAGATAGCCTAAATAGACTTGTTTCATATTTTTGCAATTGCGAATTGTACTGCTATAAACATGCATGTGCAAGTGCCTTTTTCAAATAATGACTTCTTTTCCCCTGGGTAGATACTCAGTAATGGGATTGCTGGATCAAATGGTAGTGTTACTTTTTGTTCCTTAAGGAATCTCCATACAGTTTTCCATAGTGGTTTTACATATAGTGTTTTTTAAAATTATTTTCCTCATATTTTATTATCACAGAAATGAAATGAAGTATCTCTTATGGATACCTTCTTACCACTTTACTCTGTTTATATACCTCTTCTTAGTCCTCTAATTCAGATTCATTGAGTTCTGACCTTGGTTTCTTGAGGTTTTGTTTTGTTTAACATCCTTTCTTGAGCTTCATGATGAAAAATTTACTCATTCTGTGTTCTAGATAGATAAATAGTAATATTGCCAATATTATGTACTCACCACCACGAAAAGTTTAATCCTATCCAACATTGTTTAGTAGAATAGGTGGTGGTATAGATAGAGACTGTGTAAAAGATAGCCTTCACATATGAAAAAAAAAGCTGTCTGACAGACTTTTGAGGTATCCACTTTGAATCAAGAAGATTCTCATGAATGTTTCATTTGCATTTTTATGATACTTTAGTCAGTGTCATTTAAATGACATTTTTATAGTGTAATACATTTATGATTTTTATATTACTCAAGTATAAGAAAAATTGTCAGTTTTTAATTTCAGTCTCTTTTTATCATTGGTTAATATGCAGGATTTAGGATTTTCAGTATGTTGTTGTTGTTGTATATAGGTGCCTGGAATACTTATTAAGAAACGATGCAAATCCAGGGATCCGTGATAAGCAAGGATACAACGCAGTTCATTATTCAGCTGCTTATGGTCACCGTCTATGTCTTCAGCTGGTAAGATTCCTGAATTCTTGTGAAAGACCTAATGGGAGTTTATAGTCTAATAATGTAACAAAAATGAGAATAAATGGATCAAGGAACAAATTCCATTTTGTTTTTTAACATTTTCAGAATTTATATACCTCTTAAATTCACACTTGCTTTAGTAAGATATATCTCATTCTCTTTTCCTTTTAAAAAAGGAGAAAATTAGATCTCTGAAGAGGGCTACTGATTACCCCATGTTCATGTCTACACTATTTACTTCTCCTGCCCCTTTAAATTAATATTCCTCATAAGTTTCTAAAAAACTATAACTGTGTCTTTTGTGAGAAATAAAAGTCCCTGTGAAAGGAATATCTCCCCCATATATTTAGGGAATTCCAAAAGGCACATTTATTTCACAACCCCTCCTAACAAGGGAGACTCCACTTCTGCAGAGGACGTTTTTATTTCTGCTGTGGTCTGATTCTGGAATAGAATACCACCATTCACCCAAATTTACCAAACCAGAAGGAAAGTCAAGGAAAAGATATTCATGTGTGTAACAGATACTTTAGGTTAAAGATGCTCTTATTTAGACTTACCTTATAAATTACATTAAACTTTGCTTCCCTTCAAGGGGAAATAAAATTCAACGAGCGTAGATATAAAACAAGAAAAGGGAGGTTGACAATTTAATATAGCACTTAGAGCCCTGCTACAAAAATAACTATTTTCCTACGTTATGGATATTCACACCAAAATTTTAGACCTATGTATATAGATTTGACGTCTGTTGTGATATAAAATTGTTTATTCAAAACACCTAATTTTTTGGAGCCAAAGGAAGCACGGGTTTAGGGTAAAAGTTAGCAAAGCTCTATATAAGTTGAGACTTAATATAGATGAATACTTCCCAAGCTAAATATTTTTGTTTTGACTTTTATTTCAGATTGCAAGTGAAACTCCTCTAGATGTTGTAAGTATTAGTCAATTCCCTCCCACCAATTAGTATTGGTCAGTTCCCTCCTACCAGTTATGTTTATCTGTTTGCTCTCATTAGAGCTGAAAGTGTTTTTACATATTAGGCACAAAGACGGTGACAGAAATCATGTGTACAGAGGAAAGGAAGATGTTTACTTGGTGGCAATTAAGTAGCATTTCCCCCAAACTCTTATGCCTGTCTTCAAAGCTCTTAGTCTGTGGTCCTTAGTATACTTTCATAATAATCATGTTTTATAAGTTTGCTGAGTTGCCAAATAATACTCTAAGGTGGATTTGAACTGGGTGGGTGGGAGAGAATAATTGCTGTAGTATGTCTTTCTGACATTTAAAATGCCTCTTCTTTTTCAGTTAATGGAAACCTCAGGAACAGACATGCTGAGTGATTCAGATAATAGAGCAACAATAAGCCCTTTACACTTGGCTGTGAGTACTGCCTTCATAGCCGACTTGATGGCTGCTGGTTTACTGAAAATATCTAATAACCTATTTGTGTTGACTCAAACTAGTACCATAAACTTTTGGTCCATGTAATAGTTATCATGGAATTAAAACTTTGAGAACTTTCTTTAATTCAGAGAATTACTTAATGTGCTGGGTTTTTGTTTTTGTTTTTTCTGTTTCTTGCTTTAGAAAAAAAAAAAAAAGACAGACAGTGATCCTTAGGCTTCCCCCAGGGCCTTCTGGGGAGAGAAAGGGAGAAAATATGGAGAATATGCCTGTGATGGTGAATTTTAAAATGTGCTGCCCTAGTGGAATGCCTTATAAGTTGGCTAAGCAGATGGTATACACACACATTCTGTGGTATTTCTACAATTTTTTGCTTACTTTGTGATCTTGGGGTGCTAACTTGTTGTGTGTTCACTGGTCCTTTAGTTGCTCACACTATAGGATTTGGCTACATTGTCTGTTATGTCCCTTCCACTTTAAGATTCCTCTAAATTTTTTTTCAGTGTCAATCACTAAATGGAGAAGGTTAGGGAAGAATGTGACAATTTTTTAAGTCAAATGAGAATTTATTACCTTAAATTTCAAGTAGATCCTAATCTAGCTTCCTGTACAGAAAGAATTTATTTTTGAGACAAAGCATGTTAGAGTTGTAGGGAAGGGGGTACTTTGAGAATCAGGAGACCAGGGTACTCTCACCAGGTGTTTGTGAGATCCATGATTTTTAGTAAAATGCTTATAAGGATGTATCCTTAATTTAATGTGGAACACTACAAGTTCAGTTATTCATTTGATTGTTTCTTTTCATATGTACTATTATTTTTTATCTTAATATTCTCCTTGCGGGTGTTTTAACACTGACATATATACATTAAATTTTCTGCCATTTCTCCCTACTGATACTTCCTATCATGTTCTAAATAACTAAGAAAGCATTCTTGAAGCTTTCTACTTCTTTGCCCTTTGAGTCCTTGGAAACACCATCACCTCTCCCAGACATGCATAGTAAATAAGTCTGAAAAGGCAAAGCCAGCATGGAAGAAATAGCCATTTTACTATTGATGAAAAGAAATGAAGACTGAGCAGCATTAGCAGCAGCAGCAGCAGCAGCATTCTCATTATAATAATTTCACTGTCATTTCTTGAGCACTTTCTAGGTGCCAGACTATTTCCGCCTTGTGGAGATTCAACTAGTAGCATATTAAAGACTCCCAAAAGCCCTGCAGTCTTTAGGACTTAGTTATCAGTTTAATGATGTTGTTTCCTTAGAAATTCTCATTTGTATTCTACCCCACCCTTCAATTTGGCAAGTTTCTCTTTTTGTGCTTGCAAGTTAACAGTGTGCTATACATTGATTAGTGGGTCGGTCTCTCTCTCTCTCTCTCTCTCTGCCCCCCCATTACTATTTTTTTGTCAGAGATTTTGTATGTGTATATGGTGGTAATGGTAGAAAAAAGAAAACATAGCATAAAACGTACCTTCTTAACCATTTCTAATTGTACAGTTCAGCAGTGTTAAGTATATTTACATTACTGTACAACCAATCTCCAGAATCTTTTTATCTTGTAAAGGTTAAAACTAAAACTCTGTACCCATTAAACATCTCCCTGTTTCTCCTTTCCCCAGTCCCTGGTAATACTAGCCTACCTTCTGTTCCTATGAATTTGACTAATCTAGACACCTCATTTAAGTGGAATCATAACAGTATTTTTTTGTGTTGTGTGACTGGCTTATTTCATCTAGCAGGTTTCATCCATGTTGTAGCATGTGGCTGAATTTCCTTATTTTTAAGCTGAATAATTATTGTTATGTATATAGCACATTTTTCTTTATCCATTCATCTGACAATAGATGCTGGGTTGCTTTCTTCTCTTGGCTATTATGAATAAGTGCTGCTATGCCATAGGTATACTAAATAGTGTTTTTAAACTAAAAATTGAAATAATTTAGTGATTAGGCTTAATGAAATATGATTATACCACCACTTTTGCATTTCATATCTATCTCTAGGAGGTTTTCAGAAGTTACTTTAATTTCTTACACGAAACTCTCCCATTCGGGACAACTTGGTACAGTGAAAACATACTGATCTGAGGCTTAAGGAGACTGGCCTTGATTCCTAATTTTAGTCATACTGGACATTTGGACTTCTTCTCTCAGTCCCATACAAGGATATCATGGGGGGAAAAGCCCTGTGGCAAATCATCATGGCTCCCATTTATTTCTCTTGTCTTTTCATTTTTATTTTTTATTTATTTTTGCTGTTGTTTTTCATTGTCTCACTCTGTCATCCAGGCTGGAGTGTAGTGGCACAATCACGGCTCACTACAGTCTTGAATTCCTGAGCTCCAGTGAGCCTCCCTCCCTCAGCCTTCTGAGTAGCTAGGACTATAGGTGCACACCACCATTCCCGACTAATTCTTTATTTTTTTGTAGAGACAAGGTCTCACTGTTGCCCAGGCTAGTCTCAAACTCCTGGCCTCAAGTAATCCTCCTGTGTTGGCCTGCCAAAGTGCTGAGATATAGGTGTGAGTGACCATGCCCAACCTCATTTTTTTTTTTTTTTTTTTTTTATTTAGAGATACAATCTCATTCTGTCACCCAGGCTGGGTTGCAGTGGTGCATTCCCAGCTCACTGCAGCCTGTACCTCCTAGACTCAAGTGATACTTCCGCCTCAGCCTCCTGCATAGCTGGGACCACAGGCATGTGCCACCAGGTCCAGCTTATTTATTTGTTTGTTTATTTATTTTTGGCAGAGATGAGATCTCACTGTGTTGCTCAGGCTGGCCCCAAACTCCTGTTCAAATGATCCTTCCACCTCAGCCTCCCCAAAGTGCTGGGATTATAGGTGTGAGCCACCACAACTGGCTAAACTCTTCTTTTTATATTGTCTTTTATATTTAATGTATGATTCCTCAGAGTTCATTCTTTCAGTAGCATAATTTTCATTGACCTAGTATTGAGGAACAAAGTTAGATGTAATCCTAAAACAGTAGAATTCCGTGACCTACAGTCACTTTAATCTTTGAGATAGTCAAGCTTAAGTAGTCAAGTTTCTACACAGATTCATTATAAAGAGATCAGTGAGGCCCAGAGCAAGTTTATCTCTTGCTGCTACTTTCTGACATTTTCTACAAGAAATGGCATTATAGTCCTTTGAAGTTTATTTATTTCTTTATGTCCTGCTCAGCATTTAGTCCAGTGTAAATAATATATGTTCAGTTGCCATGTTGGATTTTGAAAAGACTTTTCTGGAAAGCCCTTTTATTAGACTGTATGAAGAAGGCAACTCGGGGCCGGGCGCAGTGGCTCACGCCTGTAATCCCAGCACTTTGGGAGGCCGAGGCGGGCGGATCACAAGGTCAAGAGATCGAGACCATCCTGGCCAACATGGTGAAACCCCGTTTCTACTAAAAATACAAAAATTAGCTGGGGCATGGTGGCATGCGCCTGTAATCCCAGCTACTCGGGAGACTGAGACAGGAGAATCGCTTGAACCCAGGGAGGCGGAGGTTGCAGTGAGCTGAGATTGTGCCACTGCACTCCAGCCTGGTGACAGAGTGAGACTCCGTCTCAAAAAAAAAAAAAAAAGACAACTTCAGTCTGACAAATCTTCAGTCTTACTTTTGTACAGCTAGGACAATGCCTGGTATGTGGTGATATTCAAGCAGGGCTCGGTTATGCATTTCTTTGCTAAAAGAATTACTTCTTTTTTAGCTATGGCACATTATGGGGTGGGTATGGTCAGTTTAATTTGAGAAATCCGAATATTCAAGCACTGACTCAAGTTGCTAGCTGTCTTTGCAGTTGATGTGGAGCACTGAACTGTGATTAAGAACACAGGCTTGGCTGGGCACAGTGGCTCATGCCTGTATTCCTAGCACTTTGAGAGACCAAGGTAGGAGGATGACTTGAGGCCAGGAATTTTGAGACCAGCCCGGATAGCATAGCGAGACCCTCATCACTACAAAAATTAAAAGAAAAATTAGCTGGGCATGGTGACGTGTACCTCTGGTCCCTGCTACTCAGGAGGCTGAGGTGGGAGGATCACTTAAGCCCAGAAGGTCAAGGCTGCAGTGAGCTATGATCACGCCACTGGACTCCAGCTGGGGCAACAGAGCAAGACCCTGTCTCAAAACAAAACAAAAAAAACACAGGCTTTTTAGAATCAGACTTGAAATCAAGACTTTAAATGAATCCGTGTCACACATCCATTGAATGTCTGCCGTGAGCCAAGCATTGTATACTCATGAAAAGATGACCTGTCATTTGAACTTGTATTATTTTTAGAATGCCTGTTCCCTAACACAGTAGCCTACTATGTTGATTATTAGAAAGATCTGTAGTTAACTTCCTGAATTCTCGATGTAGAAGTTTGGATTATCTCAAGTAGGATAATAATATGAAGACAAGTTTGCTTATTTACATTTATTCAAGTATTTAGGAAGTCAGTCTAAATATGTATGTTTTAAATTTACATTTTTATTTATTTCTAGGCCTATCATGGTCACCATCAAGCACTGGAAGTGTTGGTACAGTCTTTGTTAGATCTTGATGTCAGAAATAGTAGTGGAAGAACACCCCTAGATCTTGCAGCTTTTAAGGGCCATGTTGAATGTGTGGATGTACTCATTAATCAGGGAGCCTCAATCTTAGTAAAAGATTACATTTTGAAGAGGACACCTATTCATGCAGCAGGTATGCCAGATATTATGCTTGATTTATTTATAACTTCTATCCAATACTTTTTTTCAATTTCTGATATATAATATTTCCAGTTAATTGTCTTTAAAATTTTGACCTTTTTTTTTTTCAAATCATATATGGATTATTTGACCTCACCAAATAACTTTATTCACACAAATGAATTTACAAAGCCTCCGTCATTCATAAACATTAGGAGTATCCCAGTGTTCAGGGAACTTAAATACAGTGTATTATATCAACCCAAGTAAACCAAGCACAAAAAATATTCATATAAAGTTGTTTACATGTAGGTCCTAGACTACCAGCTTCTGTGTGAAAAAGGAAATAAAAATAGATTTATTAACTAGTGTTTGAAACTAACTTTGTGCCTGGCTTAAAACCTCCCTCATGCTCCAGCCTGTCCCACACAAGTGTTTAAGAAGTCATTAAAACTGTCCTGCTCTCATGAAAAGAAGCTCCTCTGCACAAAAGATGTAAGTGCCCCCAAGTAGCTCCCTTCCTCCTGTGGCCTCTCTTGGAAAACAACCTTGGCAGCCTCCTTGCTGATACCTTCTGCAATTTTAGGGGCCCCTCAGGGGGCAGTGGCAGTGGATTCATCTTTTGATGATGGCTGCAGATGCTAACATTGGCCAATTCTATGTCACACCTACTGGTTACTCTTTGAAGGCATTTCTCCAGACAGAAGCCCCACTACCGTCAAAGCTTAGGTAGGGCAGGATCAGAGAGGCGCCTGTGTTGTTTTGAAGGTTGTGCTACAGCCTGGACTTATCTCTGGACTTCTCCCTCTAAAACCCAGTGGCCCAAAGAGCTGAAAAATGTCAGCTTGGCTCTTCAAAAGTTTCCAGACCCAAGGAGATTACCAAGAGCTACAACTGTCTGGGGAAATTTTTGACTTTAAGTGGTAAAATGATTGTATTCTCAGGGAATACCAACAACAAGACTATCATCACTTAAAACATTATCTGCCTTAGAAGTTGGGTTTATGTAATAATCTAACTTCTGAAACACTTTATCAACAAAACAATGCAGTATTTATTTCTTTCTGGTAGAAGTTATTTTGGATTGGTATAATCTTTCATTTAACAAGTGATACACGTTTTGACTTATTTTACCAGTGTACTGCATTAAACATTTATGCAGACAGGCTTTACAGAGCACTTTATGCAAGAACTATTCCATATTGTGATATTATGATGTAGCAGATACGTTAAAATACGAAGGTCTATAACCAAGTCAGTTAAATGACTTGCTACCCACTGCGTATCACTGGCAGATGCAGATTCACAACTCTCTATTTTTATAGAGTGATCCTTAAGAATACATTTGAATATATGTCTTGGATTTTTTTTCTAGTCCTTTGGGAAGCTTACATTTTAGAAGACTATTGATAACACCCACTGTTACTCCCAGAGCCGCCCTTCAAAGCTATCAGATGTTCAAGTGGGGCTGAGAAAAATATTTTAATAATACATTAGAACCTCTAATAAACATATATACACTACTATATGGTTTGAACAAGAGGTTAAAATGCATTACTTGCTGTTACCTTATTCTGAAAAAGAGTGAAGTTATATATCACTTTGCAAAGCCAAACTTGGTGGCGCATGCCTGTATTCCCACCTAACTTGGGAGGCTGAGGCAAGAGGGTCACTTGAGTTCAGTTTCATTGCACTCTAGGCAACATGATGAAACCCTGTTCCTAAAATATAAAATAAAAATCAATTTTGTACACTGGATGGGATCTGTGAAAAATAAGTACATTTTAAAAATATTAATCTATAGCTAGAAAAATTATAATTGCAGATCATATGCAGAACTAATTTAAAGCTTGCATGGAGTGGTTGCACTCTCAATAGGTAAATATTGAACTGAGACATTAGCCAGTCCCTTAGAAGTAGTTAACCAATGCCATATAGTTCAGCATAAATCCTACCCACAAAAAGAACCACAGGTTACTCTTAGTGCCTATCTATTCAATAAATGCAAGCCTTGTATCTATAGATGCCTTTCAAATTTGGAGGTCTATAGAGAGCATCTATAAGCCATGAAAAGAACACTGAGGGTTTTTTTTCCTGGAGGTTTACCAGTCATTTCCCACAGAGATGCTGTGCTTGCTGTTTGGGTATTGAACTTAGATGACACAAACATTCATCAGTAGCGACTGTGAACTGAGTGTAAATGAACTGATTTGAAAAATGATGGGCCAAACAAGTTCTTCTTGAACATCCCCAAGTGTTACGACCCTGTTTTTTGTTGCTAAGCTGTGAGAGCTGCTGGCAGAGTGCAGCATACAGATTGGACTAGGGTAGGAGAGGTGATTTAAGCCACAAGTTTAATAACTATTAGTATTTAATATAACTGTGGGAACATACTGTGGAATATTCAGCACCTAGCTTGCTTTTGCTAGTTTTGTCATCTTTTAATTAGAAGAAATAGTGATAGACGTTCTTTTCTGTATCATATGCAAGATACATTTTTTTCTAATGTATTTCTTTAAACTTCAGACTTTGTATATATTAACAGGACCTGAATTTTGCAGAGGATTTAACTTACTTCAAAAGCTCTTTTCTTTGGACTACTTCTACTTGTACCCTTGCCCATTTTATGCATTTGGACTTAACACATGCATTCTTTAGATGGATCATTTTTCTTGTACTGTATGTATATATATATATATCATTTGAAATTATTTCAGCCATAAATAACAGAGTACCCTACTGAAAATAGCTTAAGGGGTTTAGTGTCTCATATACAATGTCGAAAGGCAGGCTGGGCACGGTGGCTCATGCCTGTAATCCCAGCACTTTGGGAGGCCGAGGTGGGTGGATCATGAGGTCAGGAGTTCAAGACCAGCCATGCCTAGATGGTGAAACCTCATCTCTCCTAAAAATACAAAAAAAATCGCCGGGTGTGGTGGCAGGCGCCTGTAATCCCAGCTACTTGGGAGGCTGAGGCAGAGAATTGCTTGAACCCAGGAGGCGGAAGTTGCAGTGAGCCAAGATCACACCACTACACTCCAGCCTGGGCGACAGAGCGAGATTCTGTCTCAAAAAAAAAAAAAAAGCAATATCAGGCAGATGCAGTTCCAGGGTTGGTTGATTCTACAACGGTGTCAGAGCTCTGGATTAAATTCTGTTATTCTCTTACATTTGCATTCATGTTGTGGGATTATTGCTGCTGCTTTTAAGGATTGCATCTAAAATCAGGAAGGAATGGGGGCTTTTCATTATTAAAGATAAAAGTATTTCCCAGCAGCCTCTAGACTTATCGGCATCTCAGTAGTCAGACCTGGTTCCTGTGCTGCTCACCTTAAAACTGATCACTGTCAGAGGAGAATGGGGTTCTTGTGATTGACTTGGTCTAATCATGGTATCATCCCTTTGCTGGAGTCAAGGCACTCTTCCTGACCACATTGCCAGAGAGCTAAATAAAATGAGCATTCTTTTAGAGGCAGATGATAGGGCATGGGTGCTGGGTAGGCGGTCTGCCTGTCATGTTTTACTGTGAGGAATTCACATTTATTCCAGCTTTAACAGTCAAAGGCCGTAGAAACCTTCTTTTTACCTATAGTTTTCATTCTTGCATATTAAATTCAGTGCAACTATCCCAAAAGTAAATTCTAGAAGATGTGCTTTTAGATGGACATTTTCTATTTTATCATTATATGTAATTACTGAAATGTTTAAATTTCACTTTACAGCAACAAATGGTCATTCAGAATGCTTACGGCTATTAATAGGAAATGCAGAACCACAGAATGCAGTGGATATTCAAGATGGAAATGGACAGTAAGTTTCGATAAATAATTGTTGCATCACAGAAGGGCGTATTTCGAAAACCAGAGTACAGTCTTAAGTGACAGCACTGAACCTATTCCTGTTGTTGCTCAGGACGCCTCTGATGCTATCTGTTCTCAACGGGCACACAGACTGTGTTTACTCATTGCTGAACAAAGGAGCAAATGTAGATGCCAAAGATAAGTGGGGAAGGACAGCGTTGCATAGAGGGGTAAGCAGAAATATGCTCTTTCCTTTCAAAAAGCTTTTATGACCTCATATTACCTAGAACTGAACTAGGTTATGTTTATTTTTTCTTCATTAAATGTTCGTCAAATAGTCTTTACCATTTCTTTCAGTATCTTAGTTTTTAAATGCTAATTTTGAACAATTACAGAGTACAACTTAATCTAGAGAACAATGTTAGAACAAAATTTTAAAACTCTAAAACTTTTAGTAGAATTAATGTCAATTTGACTTTTTCCATTATCTCACTTATTTTCTTATACACTTTAATCTTTTTTCACCTTTGAAATATCATTATTTTCATTGAATACCAAGTTTCTCTCTTCCTGTTTTCATACTATTTGCATTTTAGAAGGGTTCTTGCTTTAACTGAATTTTTAAACCACTTCCAATAAAAATACAGAATTACTCATAAAATGATAAATGGCTTTAATTGATGGAAGGATATGGAGAGTATGGTCTTTAAAGTTTTTAATTAGCTGAAATTGGCATGTAATGTTTAGCATAATATGTTTGACTACCTTTAAATTATTTTCTTTCAGGCAGTTACAGGCCATGAAGAATGTGTAGATGCATTACTTCAACATGGTGCTAAGTGCTTACTTCGGGATAGCAGGGGCCGGACGCCTATACACCTGTCTGCTGCCTGTGGACACATTGGTGTTCTTGGAGCCCTTTTGCAGTCAGCAGCATCTATGGATGCAAATCCAGCCACAGCAGACAATCATGGATATACGGCACTTCACTGGGCTTGCTACAATGGTTAAGTATACAAACACAAATGCATATCATTGTGTAGTGAACAGAGATAAAAGAATGACATATTTATAAGGCAAATTTTAAGTTTAAAATTAGCAAAAACCTTGGGAATAATCTACTGTATAGGCTCACGTACTAATAATACTTAGTACGTAGGCTCACTCCTGTCCTTTGTCATGCTAAAGCCAAGACACTAGTTGTCAAAGGTGTTCTGAGATAAGCCATGAAGTATTTTTGAGGTTTTTCTTTTCTTTTCTTTTCTTTTTTAGTTTTGGTAGGATCTTGCTATGTTGCCCAGGCTGGTCTTGAACTCCTGGCATCAAGTGATCCTCCCACCTCAGCCTCCCAAAGTGTTGGGATTACAGGCATGAGCCACCATGTAGCCTGAAGTTTTTCTTAGATCCTTATTTCCACAAATATTTTGCATTTTTAGGAGGTTTTTAGAATGTTTCCATTGCTTTTATATAGTGTGCTTGTATTTTGATTGTGTTCTTTTACTATTTTTTTTTTTTTAAGAGTCCCACTATGTTGCCCAGGCTGGTCTTGAACAACTGGGCTTAAGCAATCCTCCCACATCAGACTCCCCAAGTGCTAGGATTACAGGCATGAGCCATTGCACCCAGCCATGTTCTTTTACTTTCTAAATACAATCATATTAGGGGAAAAATAACCAAAAGTAGGAGAAACAGTGAGATGTATCACATTCTAAACTGAAATCTATGTATGTTTTCTGAGCACATTGCAAGATAACATTCTTATATTACCAGTAATATCCATGTTCAATGTTTTAAAGGAATAAATCCCTAGCAGGTCTTAGAATTAGAAACTTTGATGGGTTAACTCTGCTACATGGTTAAAAGAGATTTTCTTTGGCCTCCTACAGGCTCACAGTCACAGTCATCGCTTTTATAGGTAGACTCATAAAAGGTCACGTAGGGAAGCATAAAGCTACTTTGAAGTTATAGATGTTAAAAATGCAGTTTGGCTTATGAAATGCCACTAATTAAAATAATTTATGCAATGAAGCATGTTGAGATATTTTTAGATTTGATCATCTTAGAAAACTCAAGTACATTATATACAGTGCAAGCATCAGTGTTGTCAAAGTTCAAGCTTCAGGCTTTAGTAGAGAAATTAGAGGTTTTTAAAATTTGTTTTCAATTTCAGTGTAGCTTCAAGATTAATGTTAATTATGACAGCAGATCTACAAAGCTGTAGTTCACAATTCTAATAACCTTCCCTCAAAATGCAGAGAAAATATAAGTTGTCTCTTTATATAAATACCCATTTGCTAAAAATAAATAAGTATAATATCTGTTGTAAAATCAGACTGCCTTACCAGGAAGTTGAGATTTCCTATCTTTCTATAATATGCTGTTTCATAGTTCTTTCACTGGGAGCTGTTCTGACAAAGTTATCAAGTTAAAGCAAAAGAGGAAAAAGCTGAATCTTGTAAAATTATAACTTCATTAAATGTTTCCACAAGTATTTCTGAGATACAATATTTTGATTTTCATATTAGTCCTTATGCCAAAGTTGGGAGTTGTATTCTTTTGCCGTTAGAACATTTTGGGTTCTTGAGGTTTGTCCTGTTATACTGTTGGTTATCCTTCAGCTGAGTACTGATAGCACCATAAAAACTTGAATAGTTAAATCTGTTGCTCATTGAACAAGCTAGTTTAGTCTCTTTGTTTTTTACTACCTTAAATCCTTAACCAAAACAGTTTTGAAAACTATAAAACCTTTGGGGTTTAACTTCTCTTTTTCCCATTTCTACTCGCTAAGGCAAGTAGAAATGAGTGTAGTGAAGTGGCCAGAGACTAGTACTCATACTAGAACAAAGAAGATACTGTATTTTGCCATTGATGTTTGATTTGTTTCTGTAATGTGACTTGACATTTTACAAGTATAAGGAAAACCCAAAATATCTAATATAGTGGGAAAATATCTACAATTGTGAGTTGTGTTTCTGTAAAAAAGTCAGTGAGATAAAACTGTTCAGAAGCAAAGACTTACTGCTTGGTTTTTAAAAAAATATATCCCTGAAGATTAACCATTGGAAAAATCACACAGTGAGATATTTTTCCTCAGGAAGAGCATTTAGTTGTAAATGTACTGCTGTAACTGTCCTTTGGAGAGTTGCTTTCTATTACAGTGTTTGTTATCAGATCTATATGTAGAACATTTTCCCTAAAGTGAGTTCCTACTCTATCACTGCTAAATTTAGACTCTAAGCACGTTTTGTGCAAGAGACAGAATTTTGCAAGAACTGCATGCCTGGTTGCCATTTAAAGATCATAACAAATGTGTCTGATTTTCAGCCTGTAGCAAAATTGTGGTGATGCTGAATTTGAGCTGGAAGGAATTTAATGTGTGTTGGCTATATGCAATAAGCGACTATATAGACAGCCTAAAATTAATACCATATTTATAGCCAAAAGCCCGTTTTATAATTTGGCATTCTGAAAGTAGAATATGTAAAATGGTTTTTACTTTAACTAGTAATTATTGTACAGCTGGAAAGAAAAGTGGAAGCATGCCAACAGAACAGAAAACAACCTCTTAAAATTAAAATGAAATGATGGCCAAGTTTTAGAAAAACACTGGCTGTAGATACTAAAAGTTCACAATTTCAGTTTATATAGTCATTCAATCACAGAACTTAAGAATACTTATTATTCCTTTAAAAAATGTGTTCATTTTTATGAAGCTCTAAACATCCTCAGACTAGCCTCTGAAACTCAGGAGGACCCAGTTTACCATCCTATCTATCTTTCATAAATGATGATAGAAAGTTATGAGATTGTCTGCTTGATATCACCCAGTAATGATTTCTGGAGGTCACAAAGGGGCCCCACTGTTCCCTTTTCTCAGTCTGTACTCAGATGGTGAGTGGTTCTCAAACCCTTTGGTCTCAGGAACTATGGATTGATACTGACTGTATTAGAAATTGTAATTGAGAAATTTTTAAATACTTACTGATTTATTTAAAAATAATGTCTATTACATGTTAACATAAATAATCTTTTTTTATGAAAACTATTTTCCAAAAGTATTTTCTTTTTAGTGAGAAGAGTAGTACATCTCTTCATAGCTAATTTAAGAGAATAGTTGGGTTCTCATCTGTGTTTTTATTCATATTTTTTTTGCGTCACCCCAGGGTTCCCTAGGCCACACCTTAAGAACCCATATACCTGGAGAATGAGGGGCTCTTAAGTCAACAATGGACAACTTTCCATTGCTGTATCTTAGTAATGAGTTAACATTCAGAACGATGGCATTAAAGGAGTTTCTCAACCTCAGCACTATGACGTTTTGGGCCAGATGATTGTTGCAAGGGACTCTCCAGTGCATTGCAAGATGTTTAGCAGCATCATTGGTTTCTACCCACTAGATGCCAGTTGCACTGCCCCACCTTCAGTTGTGATAAACAAAAATGTCTGTAGGCATTGCCACATACAATATCTGCTGATGGGCAAAATCCACTTGAAAACTACTAGATTAGAGAAAAGAACTGACAAAAGATGGAACACAATTACAGGTTTTTCTAAAAATTACTTTTCCACAATTATAGGGTAAAGTTTAAGCTGATTAAGTTTGAGTAATTTAAAAAGAAAAGAAAATATAACATCACTTTGGTAGGCAAATATTAAACCATGAAAATGTATAAAGAGGCCATGTAAGAATCTTATTCCTAAAGTAGATCCCAAATGACTAATGAAATAAAATAAGCAACATTTTATTTGTAGTAATTAGGGTATTAAATTAAAACCCTGGCTCTGGAATTAGGGTAAGAAAATTTGAAATTTGGATTTTTCTGTTTTTGAAGTTACTGTTAAAAACTATGGACCAGATATTGATGAACAGTCAATACAGTCAGCCCTCCATATCCATGGGTCCCCCATCGGTGAATTCAACTGAATGTCCATCAGAAATATAGTTAGGCTGAACATGTACAGACTTTTTTTTTGTCATTATTCCCTAAACAATACAACAACTATTTATATAGCATTTACATTGAATTAAGTTGTAAGTAATCTAGAGATGACTTAAAGTATATGAGAAGATGTGCATAGGTTATACACAAATAAACCATTTTGTACAAGGGACCTGTATAAGGGACTATGGAGTTTTGCTGTCAGTGGGGAGTCCTGGACCCAATCCCCCAAGAATACCAAGGCTGGATACTTCTCCTTTACCACAGCAATATCACTTTGGTAGGAAATTGTCCTACAAAAATACTTCCTAAAATAAAAACAAAATGTTGGCCGTGGTGGCTTATGCCTGTAATCCCAGCATTTTAGGAGGCTGAGGCAGGCAGATCACTTGAGCTCTGGGATTCAAGACCAGCCTGAGCAACATGGCAAAACTTCATCTCTACAAAATATCAAAAAATTAGCCAGGTGTGGTAGCCTTGCACCTGTTGTCTTAGCAACTCAGGAGGCTGAGGTGGGAGGATCACTTGAGCCCAGGAGGTTGAGACTGCAGAGAGTCATGATCATGCCACTGCACTTCAACTTGGGCAACAGAGCAAGACCCTGTCTCAAAAAATTGTTTTAATAAAATAAAAAAATACCAGAATGTTTCATTACAGCGTTGTTGATAATATCATGAAGAATTTTTTTAAACTAGCAATCACTTTAAAATCCATAATTAGATTAAATAATTTATGATATACTTTGATACTGTGAAGCTCTTCAGAACATTAAAGAATAAGATTTTAGCCGGGCATGGTGGCTCACACCTGTAATCCCAGCACTTTGGGAGACTGAGGCAGGTGGATCACCTGAGATCAGGAGTTTGAGATCAGCCTGACCAACATGGTGAAACCCCGTGTCTACTAAAAATACGAAAAAAGCTAGCTGGGCATGGTGGTGGGCGCCTGTAGTCCAGCTACTTGGGAGGCTGAGACAGGAGAATCACTTGAACCCAGGAGGCAGAGGTTGCAGTGAGCCAAGATCGCGCCACTGCACTCCAGGCTGGGCAACAGAGTGAGACTCCATCTAAAATAATAATAATAATATTTCATATATGCTATTATGGAAGGATATGTGTAGTTAATATTAAGTAAAAGGCAAGTTGCGGAATTAAACATCCCATTGCCATTAAGAAAAAAATAAAAAAATAGCACAGTCATTTCTCGTTTGCTGTTGAGGATTGGTTTCCAGGACCCCTTGTGAATACCAAAACCAACAGGCGCTCAAGTCCCTTATAGAAAATGGGATAGTATTTGCATATAACCTATGCACATTCTCTGCTATACTTTAAATCATCTCTGGATTACTTATAATAACCAATGTAATGTAAATGTTATGTAAATAATTGGTATGCTGTATTTAGGGTATATGACAAGAAAAAAAGTCTGCTCTGTTTTTTTTTTCCCCCAAATATTTTTAATTTGGGGTTGGTTGAATTGATGGATGCAGAACCCACGGATACAGAGAGCCAACTGTATGTATTTTGTGCGTGCAGTTGTATATGCCTAGAAATTTTCAGGAACTACTGGTGGCTTAACAGCTACCAATGGTTATATTCCAGAGAGGGGATCTGGGAGATGGGATGAGGGAGAGACTTTTACATTTTTCCTTTAAACACTTACATGTACCTGTGATTTTTGCCAGTATCTCCTTTGAATTTTAATACCTGGTTCTTTACACCTATTTAGGTCACGAGACATGTGTAGAACTGCTTTTAGAACAGGAAGTTTTCCAGAAAACGGAAGGAAATGCTTTTAGTCCATTGCATTGTGCCGTGTAAGTAAAGCCAGAATGAATCAGATTTGGTTTGAGTGTTTTAAGAAATACACCATTGCTGTGAGAATGATCACCTTGTTACCTTACACAGGATAAATGACAACGAAGGTGCTGCTGAGATGTTAATTGATACATTAGGTGCCAGCATTGTGAACGCCACAGATTCAAAAGGAAGGTAGGAATTCAACTATGTATTAAATAGTTTTAGCCAGGCACAGTGGCTCATGCCTATAATCCTAACAATCTGGGAGGCTGAAGTGGGAGGATGACTTGAAGCCAGGAGTTTAAGACCAGCCTGGTCAACATAGCAAGACCTGCATCTCTACCAAAAAAAAAAAAAGTGCATGATGATGCATGCCTGTGATCCCAGCTGTTCAGGAGGCTGAGGCAGGAGGATCACTTGAGCCCAGGAGTTTGAGGCAACAGTGAGCTATGATTGCACCACTGCATTCCAGCCTGGGTGACAGAGTGAGATCCCGTCTGGGCCCTACCCCCCAAAAAGGTTTTATTTTCAATAAGAAATAAATTTTAACTACTGGCTGGTGTGAGAGAATTTACAGAAAACCCATTATTAAAAGTTGATTTTTATATTTGCGAGTATAAATTGTTATAAGATCTCAATTATTTTTACATTATAAAAGGTTTTTCTATTTATAGATTTTAGGAAGTTTTCCTCCTTTAAACTATTTTAACATGTAAATATTTTTCCCTCTCTTTCGAATTTGTTTCCCAAAGATTATTGTTAACAAAGTTAACAGTTTTCTAAATGGGAATAAAGCCTGGAAAAAAGTCCAGCAGTTGTAATAAGTGGTGGTATTCAGATTAGGATTTATTTCTTTCAAAATTTCCTTTAATGATGTAATGTTATTTTAGCAATTTTGTAATTAATCTTTACTTCATACTAGTTCTAGTTTAATTAAAGCCTTCTGTATTATTGAAAGTACAAATTTCTATGAGAGAAATTAGTAAGCTCCATTGAGCCTATTTGTTTGTGTACAGGCAGTGCTTTTGTAGCCTAATATGTAAACCCTTAAAAACAGCATGTCACAAATTAAAGAATATTTTTCCAGCATATATAACATTCAAATTTAGTCATATATTTCAATTTTTCTTTATCACAGAACTCCTCTCCATGCAGCCGCCTTCACAGACCATGTAGAGTGTTTACAGCTGCTGCTCAGCCATAATGCTCAAGTCAATTCTGTGGACTCTACAGGGAAAACACCTCTTATGATGGCTGCAGAAAATGGACAAACAAATACAGTTGGTAAAGAAACTTCTTTAAAATTGTATTTTCCTAAGTATGTGTATCACTTATGTATAACTTAGATCCCAAGACTTCTGACTTCAACTAGTTATCTTACCACTCCTAAGACTTAAAACCTTTTACCTGTTTGCAATCCACATTTTCATTTAGGGATACAATGTTTTAGTTTGCCCTGACTATTGAGGAGTCTACTTTACCATGGCCTTATAACATAGTGGTTAAGAACACTGGCTGTGGAGTTGGATTGCCTGAATGTGAGTCCTAGATCTTTCAGCTAAATGACCTTATGCCTCAGTTTTCTCATTTATAAAATGAGAAAAATAACAGTATCTACTTGGTGTGTTGTTGTGAGGGTTAAATAAATTACTTTAAATCCAGAGCATATAAAACAGTATTTAAAATTTAGTGCACAGTCACAAAATAAATGTTAATTGCCATTGTTAGAGTGTGTGACTTATACAACAATATAATTGTCTCATACAATTATATGAAGATATATATGTTATATATTACAATATTTTTCTTGTACTTAAGTTTTTGTGAGAGGGACTTTTTTGCTTTGTATCTTCATTTCTCTACAGTGAGTTATTGGTAATCTAAGAAACATGTTCATAAACATAAGAATTGATGCACTTTTTCCTCCCAGAGATGCTGGTTAGCAGTGCTAGTGCAGAACTGACTTTACAAGATAACAGTAAAAATACTGCCCTCCATTTGGCTTGTAGCAAGGTATGTATACATCTTAAGAATATGTTTCCATTGTTAATATTAACAGTGACCTTAAAAGTTTTTTGACTTCACTAAAATGAACAACTCAGGACCAAACCTCTCTAATGATCACTGGTATTAGATTTCTTGAACAAAATTGACTTATAAGGCACCATGGCGTATCAAAGTCTCCAGTAAGCCAAATAAGTTTTGGAACACAAGTCTAAGCATAATTATCCTCTTTCCTTAATCTTAATTTTGTCCTCTTCTCCTACCCTCACTCCCAAGATGTGTTTGGGCAAATATTAAGATATTAGCCAGGAAAATTCATGGTATATGTATGGTGTTGTACATAATATATGGACTAGGATTGCAGATTGTTGGGTGTATAAATGTATCTTTAATGGTGCTCAAGTTTTTATAACTTATCTGCCACAATTATAGGGTCATGAAACTAGTGCCTTGTTAATACTGGAAAAGATAACAGATAGAAACCTCATCAATGCAACCAACGCAGCCTTGCAAACGTGAGTACTGTCAGTATCTAGTATAAACTTTGTGACCTATAATTATAAAAATGATAAATGGATTTTTTTAAACATGTGACTATTGGAATAGGTTTCATTAGTCATAGAAGCAATTTTAATAGTTTTACAACTGTCAAAACTCATTTCTAAAATGATCACAACTAAAAGCCATATTATTTAAAATGCTTTTGAACTGAAATTTTATTATAACATTGACAATAATGTATTTTTTTCCTTAATCCACCTACCTAATTTTCTGAAGGAAAGTAGTACTATTTTGTGTATTCTGTGGAAATCAACTGTAATAATATGTTACTTGAAACTAACAATAAATGAGGTAAGAAGCTTTATGTGTGTCTGTAAGCCAATAAGGTTTCTTAAAGAATCAAAATTTTTAATAATGTGAGCAGCCAACCTCCAGATAGACTGACAGAGATCTTACATCAGTGTCTCTCATTGTCCCTTGCTATTCCATTTTGAGGTTTAGTAAAGATAAAAATCTTAGAATATTGTTGCCCGTTCTGGGATTAGTCAGATCCCTTGAAGGTCCAAAAATTAGTCATGATGCTTGTAAGCTGTTTTCAAAGCCTATTAGAATTTATGCTACTGCAGTTTACAGTTTTTAATGTATAGTCTGTATCTTTACCAGCCTCATTCCTTAACAACGGAGGAATGCAATTTCAATGGTAAAATGTTTTTAAACATTGAAAAGAAAAGTAACAAAAGGATTGGGTGAAGGTAGGGACCTGTCGATGGGACCTATGGCTGAGCTTGATGCCGAGCTACACGTTGACAAGGTGTGACAGTGCACTGCACAGAGGTTCTGCTCTCCCTGCCCCCATCTTTGTTATTAGGACTAGGTTTCTCGAGTTTGTACCTCTTGGTCTTCACAAGTTGACAAAAATGCTCTTTGACAGCCAGGTGTGTATGTGTATGTGCATGCACATGCACATATGTGTACATGTATCATGTTTTTTCCCCTAGACCTCTGCATGTTGCTGCCCGAAATGGGCTAACAATGGTGGTTCAGGAACTTTTGGGAAAAGGAGCAAGTGTGCTTGCAGTAGATGAAAATGGTAAGTTGGTTCTATATTCTCTTCCCTTAACCTAGAGCTTTTATCTTTTGATCCATATTTGAAGAGAAATAAACTTGGATATTTTTTATTGGTCAAAGAGGAGAGCTAAAGTTAATATTGAAGAGTAGTTTGTGGCAAAGGAATAAGGGCAAAAGAAATAGGAAAAGTTATCTAACAGATGTACTTCCGAATTCCTATATCATCTGTTACAGCAAAGTTAGTATTTACTGTTTATACTTGCCACTTTCTGTTGTTTTAGTAGCCAAAGATTTTGTTCTTTCAGCAAATATGTATCAAGATCCTAGTTAAGTACTAATATTCTTATTTAAAGCCAGTGTTTCTACTCATGCACTAGATCCTGTCCCCTTTTGCCTACTTCATAATGTCAGTTTGACAGTTCTCTTTTGTGTCCTGGAGTAACATTTTTCGCTCTCTTCCTGTATTATTCCTCTCAGTATATAAACATTAGTTCCCTCATCCTTAAAAAATAATTTATAAATCTCACTGCTCCTGCCAGCTACTGCCATATTTCTCTGTCCCCTTTTGCAGCAAAACTACTCTCTTGCTGTCCGCAGTTATTCCTCTCATTCTTCCATTCTTTTGTTGTTGTTGTTGTTGTTTGTTTTTGAGACGGAGTCTAGCTCTGTTGCCCAGGCTGGAGTGCAGTGCCATGATCTCGGCTTACTGCAACCTCCGCCTCCTGGGTTCAAGCGATTCTCATGCCTCAGCCTGCCCAGGTAGCTGGGATTACTGACACCTGCCACGACGCCTGGCTAAATTTTGTATTTTTAGTAGAGACGGAGTTTCACCATATTGGCCAGGCTGGTCTCAAACCCCTGACCTCAGGTGATCTGCCTGCCTTGGCCTCCCAAATTGCTGGGATTACAGGTGTGAGCCACAGCGTCCAGCCTCATTCTTCCATTCTCTCTTAATTTCCGTATAGTCAGGCCTTCTCCCCCTCACCCCTACACATAGCAAAACTGTTCCCATCAAAACCACCAATGACTTCTACTGTGTTAACTACTACTTAGCTCTCATTTTACTTGATAGATCAGCTTTTGGCACAACTGATCGTTTCCTTTGATAAATTTTTTTACTCTGCTTTTTGAACCCCACTCTTCCTTGGTTTTCCTTCTACATTACTAGTTATTCCTTCTTAATTTCTTTTACAAAATTTCTCCCTCTTCTTCTAGGACTCAATTCTTCGTTCTTTTTGCTTTCTCTATCTACATTGACTCCCTAGTGCTCTCATCAGTTCCTTTGGTTTTAAATACTACCTATAATGCTGAGGATTCCCAGATTTATATCTCCAGCCCAGACTTCTCACAGTCTCTATATATCCACGTGCCTAATTGACACATCCATGTGGATGTCTGATAAACAGCTTAAACCTAGAATGTGCAGAACTGAACTGTTGATCCTTTCCCACTCCCCTTGCCAGACCTACTCTCCCCACAGCATCATGCTCTCTCCATTGAAGACAATTCTCATTCTTAACAGTGGCTCAGGGCAAAACCCCTAGAGTCATCCTTGATTCCTCTCACTCATACTCAATGTATAGTCCATCAGCATATACTATTGACTCCACCTCTAAAGTAGATCTAAAGTATGCCCACTTTTTTCTTTACTGCTACCAGACTGACCTGGATCCTTTTAAAGTATATGAGAACATGTTACTCTTGAATTTCGGTTCTTCTTCTTTTTTTTTTTTTTTTTTTTTTTTGAAGAGGCAGGGTCTCACTCTGTTGCCCAGACTAGAGTACAGTGGTGAGATCATAGCTGATTGTAACCTTGAACTCCTGGGCTCAAGAGAACCTCTCACCTCAGCCTCCCAAGTAGCTAGCACTATAAGTATGCATCACCAGGCCTAGCTAATTTATTTTTTGTGCTGACAGACTCTCACTATATTGTCCAGGCCGGTCTTGAACTCCTGGCCTCAAGCAATCCCCCCACCTCAGCCTCCCAGAGTGCTCCACCTGGCCCCACTCATAGTTCTTAAAATGACCTTACTAGGCCCTACATGATGTGTCCTCCACCTTGTTACCTTTCTGATATTATTTCCTACTCTTCTCCTTTCTCTACTTCATTCTGCCATGCCAGCCCCTCCATAGCAGGGTTATACATGCATTGTGATCTTCATTCTGGCTGTTTACTCTGCCTGAACACTCTGTCCCCAAACATCCCATGACTAAATTCGTCACCTGTTTCAAATCTTAGCTCCAGTTTCATCTTCTCAATGAAGCATATTCTAACTATTCTTTACTACAACTTGCTAGATACCCCTACCATAGCATTCTCAGTCCTTGTTAACCTGCTCCACTCTTTCCTCTTTTTTTACATAAAGCTTTTAACATATTGTATATAATGTACTTTTTTGTTATGTTGATTTTGTGTCTTCTCCACTAAAGTGAATGTAAGCTCCACAAGAACAGTGAAATCTTTGTCAGTTGCATTCACTGATATATTCTTAGTGTTCTAAATAGTGCCTGAGCAAGTGGAGGCTCAGTGAATATTTGCTGCATGAGTGATTATGCCAAGCACTGTACTAACTTCTGATGATATAGTGTAAAATAAGACATAGTCTACTCCCTTGAATGGAGATAAGAGTGCAAACAGCCTATTAACGATGCACTTAAAATAGTTTAATTGGAATAAGCATAGAATGCTATGAGAGTACTTAAGAGGGTCTTCAAATCCTTTCTTGCAGGATCAGAGAAGGCATCCCAAAAAATGCAACTGCTAAGCCAAAATCCAAAGGATAAGGAGAAAGTGGGGGAGGAACTTTCTAAGCAAAGAGAGTGGCATGTTAAGAGATAAAACTGGCCGGGCATGGTGGCCCATGCCTATGGTCCTAGCACTTTGGGAGGCACAAGGCGAGTGGATCACCTGAGGTCAGGAGTTCGAGACCAGCCCCGCCAACATGGCAAAACCCCGTCTCTACTAAAAATACAAAAATTAGCCAGGTGTGGTGGCATGTGCCTGTAATCCTAGCTACTTGGGAGGCTGAGGCAAGAGAATCGCTTGAACCCAGGAGGCAGAAGTTGCAGTGAGCCGAGATCATGCCAGTGCACTCTAGCCTGGGTGACAGAGCCAGACTTCGTCTCAAAAAATAACCCCCATGCAGAGGAGAGGAGCCTGTTTTTAGTCATATTCTGACTAGAAAACACACCTGAAACAAGCTTCTTTCCCCACTCCCGCTCTCATCCAAGGCATCCTGGCCTATGTAATGGGTTGTTCTGCCTGCCAGCAGCAGGAACAGCAGCAGGCACCTTTAGAAGAACCCTTGAAAGAAGTGTGGGCAGTGAAGCACTCCCCCAGCTACTTTGAACAAATAAAATTTAATTAAAAATACGGACAGCCTTCAGCCACTGCTGCCAAACTTGGAAGGACATCAGTTGTTCTCTTTGACCCTTGACAAAATGGGAACTTTACAAAGGGGGAAAAATTACTTTTTGTGGCTGGGCACAGTGGCTTACTCCTATAATCCCAGCACTTTGGGAGGCAGAGGCGGGAAGATCACTTAAAGCCAGCAGTTTGAGACCAGCCTGGGGAACAAAGCGAGACCCTGTATCTACAAAAAAGTTTAAAAATTAGCCAGGCATGGCATGTGCCTATAGTCAGAGCTAGTCAGGGGGCTGAGGTGGGAGGATCACTTGAGCCCAGAGGTTGAGGGTGCAGTGAGCATGATCATTATACTGCACTCCAGCCTGGGTGACAGAACAAGACCCTGTCTCAAAAAAAAAAAAAAAAATCCTTTTTTTATCAAGGCCAATATAGCATAGATGAAAATATGTGGGAGAACTGGAAGCAACCAGATGCCCAGTAGTTGAAATGTATAACTAAACCATAGTATAATCACACAATGAAATACTGTATAACAATGAAAATGAACCAACTACAGTTACATACAACATTGATAAATTTCATATAATGCTACACAAAAATGCCAGATATGAAATAATACATACTACATGATTCCATTTATATTAAGTTTTTTAAAAACTCTAAACTGTAGGCTGGGTAAGGTGGTTCACATCTGTAATCCCAGCATTTGGGAGGCCGAGGCAGGCAGATCACTTGAGGCCAGGAGTTTGAGACCAGCCTGGCCAACATAGCGAAATCCCATCTCTACTAAAAATATAAAAAATTAGCTGGTCATGGTGGCACACACGTGTAATCCCAGCTACTCAGGAGGCTGAGGCAGGTGAATCACTTGAACCCAGGAGGCAAAGGTTGCAGTGAGCCAAGTTTGCACCACTGAACTTCAGCTTGGGTGACCGAGCAGACTCTGTCTCAAAAAAAAAAAAACAAAAAAAAAACTATAGTGTTTATGACTCCAAGTTGAAAGCAAGGAAATTACTACCCCATAAGTCAGGATAGTAGTTACCATTGTGGAAGAAGAAAGGTGTAACGACTGGGTAGAGGATATATGGAGGCTTCTGGTATGCTGGTAATGTTCTCTTTCTTAATCTGTATGGTGGTTATACAAATGTATGTTATGTGATAAAACTATTAAAGTTCCATATGGTATAATTGAAGCTTGGCATCACACTATTATCACTTCTCTCCCGCTCCGTCCTCAAGACTGAGTCTTGTACCAACTGAGGTACCAAATGTTTCCTCCTTGGTTTGCTGTGTTGACACTTTGTGGTAACTTACGACTAAGGTCAGTTGTCTTCCGCTTAAAAAAAGGGAATATTTACAAAGGAAATATTTGTTTTGATTTAGTAGTTTTTAAAGTTCATCTGCTTAGTTTGTCTACTGTTTTTCTTCAAGAGACTGTGACCCCAAGAGAAAAGTTAAATTGACAACTAAGTGTCATTCATTCAACACATATCTTTTGAGCACCTGCCCTGTGGCTGATTCATGAAGCTGTACACATTTAAGATTTCTTAGCATCAAAAAGTTTCCTTACATAACTACAAATTAAATTTTTTTATTTTTTCTTACCTTGACACTGATATAACTGCAAATTAACAGTAAATCTCTGCCTACCATCCTGAAAGAATATTCACGATATGTGGTGTTTTTCTTATTCTAGCCCAGTTTTTTCTGTGAATTCAGATGGATACGGATAAGTTGTGAGACCTTGGGGAATCATTCTTCTCTGGGCCTGCTTCCTCTTCTGTTGTCTAGTCTAACATCCCCTTCCACCCTAGGTTTCTATGGCTATTCTTTTTCTACTTATTAGAAACTTGCGAATCATGCTGGTTACAGCAATTTATTATAAGCTAAGTAATGTAAAATATGTCTAAAGTTGAAGTACTTTAGGCTTATTTCCTTGTCTTTGGTGAAATACATCTCAGGATGCTTAATTTTTAAATTTTATCTTTAATTCTAGGCTATACCCCAGCTTTGGCCTGTGCTCCCAATAAGGATGTGGCTGATTGCCTGGCTCTCATTTTGGCCACCATGATGCCTGTCTCATCAAGTAGTCCTTTATCATCCTTAACATTCAATGCCATTAACCGTTATACCAACACCTCAAAAACAGTCAGCTTTGAAGCTTTGCCCATCATGAGGAATGAACCTAGCTCCTATTGCAGTTTCAATAACATTGGAGGGGAACAGGAGTACTTATACACTGACGTGGATGAGCTCAACGACTCCGATTCTGAGACCTACTGAGAGGCTGAGGAGGAGGGAGTTCTCACAGTAAAGCTTCAAACTGTGCTTTTTCAGGAAAAAGGCACTTTGATATTCACGTAGAAATTCAACCTAAGAGGAAAGATCCCACAGTGAGCCAATGTTAAGAGATCTGATGGCATTAGGAGGAAGAGTTTTAAAGGCAAGTTTTACAAAAGGAACTTCTAGAATCTTGAAATAGACCTGACTGAGGAAAACACATTGATGTCAGAATTCTTTGTGGAATTGTTTAATTTGGTTTTGCAGTGCCAGGAACAATTGGGGACACTGTGCACTCTAACCTGCTTACACAAGCAACACTATTGTAACAGAAGAAATAAAGACACTAGATTTAAATTTTATCAATAAAATTACAACTAAATTTAAAGGCAATAAAAGTTTGGTACAGTAGGCATTATGTGCACAGCAAATTGCAAAAGGACCAAATAACTGAAAGGTTTTTTTAATAAAATGCCATTTTGTGGAAACTGGAGTAGATTAAATGAAACATTACCTAAACCAAACTGCAATATTTCTGGAAATGAAGCTGAGATTTGGTTTTAAATGTTGAGTTTTTTTGGGTTTTGTTTTTTTTTTAAGAAAACATCTGAAAGCCTTCCAATGCTGTATTAAACCATGAGAGAAAGCAGATGTATTTTTACATTTTTTTCTTTTACAGAACTATTTCAAATTTCCAATTTTTATACTATTAGAATTAAAAACCAGCTGACTGGGTGCAATACGGGTGAAAATACTTGTGACATAGACATTGAGATGGATTGGGGTCAGGCTGTTGCCCTGTTTTGAATGGTTTGGGTTTAAAATAGTACTATTTTTGTTTGAAAATGTAAAGAATTTCCTAGAAAAAAATTCATGAAATCAAAAAGTAGACTATTTCACCCTATTGCAGCTAAGTGGTCCTGGGGCATGGAGTCTTCAACCTCTCTATGAATGGCACACCTTAGTCACTTATGTTACTTTTGTGTCCCCACCATGGGTTGGGGGATTTTTTGTTTATTCTGATCTATGAGTTTTGAAAAAGTGAATAATCAAAAGGAAAATAATTCCTTGTTGTTCATAAATTAAGCATCACTAAAGTCTCTTGAAAGGCATTTCTGTATTGGGCAAGATTTAAAATACTAAAGCCTTAGGTCCTATTCATATTTAAAGTAGCATGTTTGTAACCTGTTACTATTTGGAGAGAGAAGCAGTTGCCTGCCAAATTGAAGACTACCTTTCAAATAGCAAAAGAGAGAGAGAAGGCTGATATTTCGGCTTTTAAATAAAGATTTGTGTGGTTCTGCTTTTACTGTAACTGTCACTTTCCCAGTGAAAATGATTTCATATACATTGAGGGTCTTACAGGTATGGGTAAAGTTCTATAAATTGCAACAAAATGATACCCAATTTCATTTTATCCTTTTTGTATTGTGAAACTGGAAACTTTATGACATTGTAAATTATCAGCTGGTTTTTCTGAATATAAAGTGTGAAAACACAGAACAGTATTTTGATCTATTTGATAATTTTGTGGGTTTTTTGAAGAATTAATGAGCATGTACATAGAAATAGTGACTGCTTGAATACTGTATTTACTTGCACTCTTTCAGTACATCAAGATTCCTGTATATTTTAGAGTATAATAAAACACAGATGTGAGTTGTATTTAATGAATAATGTATTTGTATCTGTGCATATTATCTACAAATCTATAAAGTTTCTAGGGCATTGACTACTAGATTTTAAGCATTTTTTCTAAAATATTTACAGAAATTATAAATCTAATCCCCCATCTTTTCTTTATAATATAAAGAAGTCATAATGAACCCTTCCTAATTATTAGTAGTAGGAAGGTGAATATGCATTTTAATGACAGTGGACTACATTTTCTATTGTACCTTTTGAAAAAAAAAAAAATCAAGCAGATTCTAAAAGTATACATATGTGTGCTTTCTCTTTCCTTTTAGGAATTCTCTTCTGAATTCCCTGAGGGAATTTTCTAGAATCTCAGAATTGAAAGAGACCTGAGGTTCATCCAGTCTCTAACCTCTTAACAAATGCAGGAGTCCCTTCTACAAGGGTGATCTTTCCACCTTGAACACTTCCAAGTGACTCTACCTCACCAAGCAGTCCATTCAGTTGTTGAGCAGCTCTAACTGTTAGAAAGGTCTTCCTTAGATGGAGTTGAAGCCTCCCTCCCGGTAACTTCTGTCTTTGGGCCTGGGTCTGTCCTCCAAGAGAACCCTGAGAATGTTGGAAGGATGAATCTCGCACATTCTGCCATGTCTTCTCTTTTACAGGCTGTTTGACTTCTCTGCTGAAGTGATTTCCAGAAGGACTCATTTGACACACTATTAGATTTACCACATCTAATGAAATCCAAGGTGTAGCTATAAAGTGACAAGCTGTTTTTAATTTATCACATACACCAGAACTTCTATCCTGCATCACTTATATGTAAATGATGCTGTTACCAAAAACATTAAGGTAGTTCTTGCGAATGCCACCCCACTAAGAAAACTATTTCATTACTTTTGTAATCCATCTGTGAGAGTCTGCCCCCCAGCTTAACCACTTCCTTTGGTCTGCACCCAATGAAGGGAAACCCCAAAGTACTGTCTCAAATGGTATTTGAACTACGCCAGTATTGTTGGAATAAGTACATTAATTACTTGAATGAATGAACACAGCACCGTAGAAATTTCCTTTATGGTTACACCTTGTATGTCTAAAGCATTCAGGCCCTGTTCTGTAGTGTTTCTTATCCTCACACAGAGTAGAAAAGCCTGTTTGCTTTATTTAACTTATACATAAAAGATGACATCTGAAATATCTGATGTGTATTATAATACCAGCTTCTGCTCTAGAACTACTTTGGGTGAAATGGTGGTAATAGCAAATGACCTCCTTTAACAAGACACTCATCTCAAACAATGCCATTTAGTTCAGGAGATCTCTAAGTGTAGCTGTAAATTTTGGGGTTAATTTGGCTTATATTGGACCTTTTAAAAGAAATAAAGTTTTTTAATGCAATAAATCAAGTGTCTGTCTCTTTTACATGCAAACTTCTTTTCCCTTAAACTGTCTAGCATTGAATTGACAAGTTTTTTTTCCTTTTCTAATAAAAAAATGACTTTTTAGCAAAGTTGTTTTAGACTTAAATGAACCTATCTATATGGGATTTTCAAATATATTTATTCAACAAATACTGCTTGCCTGCTGTATACTTGGGAGTGGGAATGGGCAGAAAACCAAGAAATTGTGATCTTGTCCTTTAGGAGCTTACAATTAATTTCATTGTGGAAAGGTATAAGTAGAAAGTAATAAAAGTGTAATTGAGGTAGAGATTAATTGATAAAAGGTACAGAATAAGATCACATTGGGAGGGAAGATCAGAACAGGCGTCATGGAAGACTAGGTGCGGACATTGAGAATCAGATTTGAACAGATGGAGAAGGGTGCAAACCCTATGTGAAAAGAACAAAATCAGCAGCTCTTTAAATGGTTGGTGGAGTTGGTGGAGGGGCGCTCTGGGATAGAGTAGATATATTGGCACTTAGCAATCCTGAGCATGGAAAGATGATGAAAATATACAAGAGAGCTAATTGGAAACACGTACAAGATTAGATAATAGAAGTGAGAACAAGTAGATATAAATAGGCGATGGGAGGAACAGGTGAAGAGGGCTTTAATAACCTTTCTCAAAGTGGTCTTTATGCAGGTAATAATAATAGAAAATGCCTATGCAGCATTTATCATGTACCAGGCAAGGTTGTAAGTACTTGAAATAAATTATCTCTTAACCCACACAACTGTTCTACGTGGTAGGTACTATTTATAGCACCATTTAACAGATGAGGAAAGGGGGAGATGAAGTAGTGTTTGCCCAAGGTCACCTGGCTGGTAATTTGTGAAGCCTAGATTCAAATCCAGGCAGTCATGTCCATTGTCGGTGCTCTTAACCCCCTAATGACTGCTGACGTGCAATCTGGTCTTTGTTGAAATTGTTGATTTTGAAGTTGAGACACACACTGAATACTAAATTATGTAAGTTCCCCTCATTTTATTCTCCTAGATTATTTTTAGGAGAAACATGTAAATCTGACTGCAACAGGTGTTTATTGAACACCTGCTATGTGCCAGGAACTGTGCTAGGCTCTTGGCATACAGCAGTAAAGGGGGAGGTAACATAGTTTGCCCTCAGGAGTGGATCCTAAAAGAATGATGTCTTCTTACATTTCAGTTGCTGTTGCCACCTAACCACCCCAAATCTAAGTTGTTTAATCACTCTTACTCATGCCTCTGCAGATTGGCTGACATCAGCTTGTGTGGGTAACTGCTTCAAGCTGGGTCTCTGGCTGGGCTTTACTACCTGCTGTGAGTTGTGCTTCCAGTTGCTCCCATCTATGTTCATTCTTGGGCCTGGGCTAAAATAGAAAAGTTATACAGAAGTTTCCACACTGATGGTAGAAGCACAAGAAGGCAAGCCCAACCACACAAGTATGGTTTGTGCCTTCTGCGTGCATCACATCTGCCAACACTCCACTGGCCATAACAAATCGTGGCCACGCCCTACCTCCGTGGGATGGGGCAGTATTCTCTGCCATTTTGGGGAGTATAGTTTGGGTTCCATTTCCACAGTTAGGCCAAAGTGATGCCAACCGATTTGTTGCTGTTTCAACTTTTCCATGGGAATGCTTGGTAGCCTTTCCTTTGTTCCTGTTCCTTCTCTTTTTGTGGTACCCTTACAGTGTGGGTAGTCCAGATATAAAACTGGGCAACAAACATGTATTTTGAGTTGGAAAGTTCTTGCTTGGCAGTGCTACTGATTGGTTGGTTGGTGGATCTGCCCTTTTTCAAAGGTAGAAAACCAACCTCTTCCCTACTTCAGTCTCCAGAAGAATGTAGCACCAGTCCCCTCTCTGGTGTGTTAACTGTGTTCATCCCTTTCAAAGCACAACCTAATCTGAAAGAAGATAGGAAAGCTTGGCTAGTGACTACTTTTAAGACAAAAAATGCTGATATCTAGTGCTCTCCCTTCTAGATCAGTTCTCCATCTCTCCCTCTCCAGCACTTAAAAAATGTCTCCATTTCTCTGCTTCATTCCTCTTTTTGTGTTACTTCTCATTTCCTTGTGGTTGTCTCATTCCCCTTTCCCCTATGACTCTTACTTGTCTACTATCTTAATTAGAATTGAAATACCTGTCTACTAGCTTAATTAGAAAAGAAATATTTCCTTAATTTGAAACTAATTTTTTAAAACATTTTATGATCAAGGGAACATGTGCAGGTTTGTTATATAGGTAAACTGCATGCCGTGGGGGGTTAGTGTACAGATTATTTCATCACCCAGGTAATAGGCGTCGTACTTAATAGGTAGTTTTTTGAACAGTCTTCCTCTTGCCACCTTTCACCCTCAAGTGGGCCCTAGTGTCTGTTCCCCTCTTTGTGTCCATGTGTTTTCATTGAAAAAAATAGTAATTTAATCTTATATTTCTTTCTCTTTACCCTTCTTTAAGAAAAATTAAATTTTCATCTTTTTTTTAAATCCCTTCATGGAAGCCAACATAAATTTTCATCTTTAAAGCCCAAATGGTCAAAAAGCTTTTGCTAAATGATGTCAGTGAAAATGGCAAGAGGAATGACCTCCGAAAACTAGCTGCTTCATAAGAGCCGTGATAAAACTGGCAAAATTTCTCAGAATCGACTGTTTAGAAGTCTGAAAATTAAAGGCTGTCAGCAATCTCAGGAGCATTTAGTTCAAGAAAAACTACTGAATCTACCTAAGACCAACAGCCTTGGTCATGTTTTAACTTGGATTAGTTGCCTTTTTCACTGTTCAGCTGTAGAAGCCCTGAAAACTAACAGCCCACATTCCTGTTGCAGCCTAGCAGCCACCAGAAGGAACAAAACAAAGCTAGAGCTCTTTCAAAACCTCATTCTCCATTATTTGACCAATGCACTTAACAACAGAGTATCAAAGTATGTGAGGCAAAAACCGGTAGAACTGCAATGAGAAATAGATGAATCCACTATCATAGTTGGAGACTTCAACACCCCTCTATCACTAATGGACAGAACCAGCAGGCAGAAAATCAGTAAGGACATAGTTGTGCTTAACACCATCAACCAGCTGGATCTAGTGAACATCGAGACCAGCCTGGCCAACATGGCAAAACCCCGTTTCTACTAAAAATACAAAAATTAGCCAGGCATGGTGGCAGGCACCTGTAATTCCAGCTACTTGGGAGGCTGAAGCAGGAGAATTGCTTGAACCTGGGAGGTGGAGGTTGCCGTGAGCTGAGATCGCGCCATTGCACTCCAGCCTGGGCAACAAGAGTGAAACTCTGTCTCAAAAGAAATGTTCTAAAATCAGTCATGTATGTGTTCACCTTAGGAAACTAGAGAAAGAAAAGCAAAATAAATCCAAAGTAAGCAGAAGACAAGAATTAAGAGTAGAAATCAATGAAATTGAAAAAATATTTCAGTAGAGAAACAACAAAATCAAGACTTGGGTTTTTTTAAAGATTAATAACATCAGTAAAACTCTAGCCAAGCTAAAGGGGGAAAAAAAAGGACACAACTAATATCAGAAATGAGAAGAGACTTCAATACAGAGCAGAGCCCATAGATGTTTAAAGGATAATAAAGGAATATCATGAACAACTTCATGCCAACAAATTTGATAACCTGGATGGATCTTAAAAGACAATTTGCCAAAATGTACACAAGAAGAAATAGGCCTATATCTGAATGGACCTATATCTATTAGAGAAATGGAATCAATAATAACCTTCCAAAACAGAAAGCACCAGACCCAGATGGATTCACTGCTGAATTCTACTGAACACGCAGGGTGAAATTATACCAATTCTATACAGTGTTTTCCAGAGATAGAAGCAGAAAAAATATATCCTAACTTGGTCAAGGAGGCCAGCATTACCTCAATTTCAAAACCAAAGATTATAAGAAGACTGTAGGCCAGGCGCGGCGGCTCACGCCTGTAATCCCAGCACTTTGGGAAGCCGAGGCGGGCGGATCACCTGAGGTGAGGAGTTCGAGACCAGCCTGACCAACATGGAGAAACCGTTTCTAATAATAATAAAAATTAGCCGGGCATGGCGGCGCATGCCTATAATCCCAGCTACTTGGGAGGCTGAGGCATGAGAATCACTTGAAACCGGGAGGTGGAGGTTTCAGTAAGCCAAGATCACGCCATTGCACTCCAGCCTGGATGACAAGAGCGAAACTCCGTCTCAAAAAAAAAAATATTTCTCATGAACATAGATGCAGTAATTCTCAGCAAATCAAGATACTAGCTAGATACAACACAATCATGATAAAAATTCTCAGTAAACTAGGAAAATGGGAACTTCCTCAACTAGATAAAGAACATCTATTAAAAAAAAAAAAAAAAAACCTCCAGCCTGGGCAAGATGATGAAACCCTGTATCTACAAAAAATACAAAAATTAGCCAGGCATGGTGGCACACACCTATAGTTCCAGCTGCTCAGGCGGGTGAGGTGGGAGGATTGCTTGAGCACAGGTGGTCATGGCTGCAGTGAGCCATGATCATGCCACTGCACTCTAAGATCAGGAACAAGACATGGATGGCCCCCTTCACCACTGCTTTTCAACATCATACTGAAAGTTTTAGCTAATGCAATATAAGACAAGAAAAGGAAATAAAAAGTATGCAGGTTAGAAAGGAAGAAGTAAAACATTTTCACAAATGACATGATCATTTATGTAGAAAATCAGAATGAATTTTAAAAGTTGGAACTAATAAGTAATTATACCAGTATTGCAAGATACAAGGTTCATATACAAAAATCAATTACTTTCTCATATGCCAGCAGTGAACAGTGAATTTGACATTTAAAACACAATACTATTTACATTTGTACCCAACATACAAAGTACTTAGGTATAAAACTTGTAAAAATGTATAAGATCTATATGAAGAAAACTCCAAAACTCTATTGGTAGAAATCAAAGAAAAAATAAATGCAGAGATAGTCCGTTCATGAATAAAAAGACTATTTTTAAGATGTCAGTTCTTGCCAACTTTATAGATTCAGTGCAATCTCAATTAAAATCCCAGCAAGTTATTCTGTGGGTATCAACAAACTGATTTTAAAGTTTATATGGAGAGGCAAAAGCCAAGAATAGCCAACACAATATTGAAGGAGACGAATAAAATGAGAGGACTTACACTACCCAACTTACACTACCCATACTATAAAACTACAGTAATCAAGACAGTGTGGTATTGGTCAAAGAATGGACAGATCAGTGGAACAGATAGAGAACCCAGAAATAGACCCACATAAATATAGTTAACTGATCTTTGACAAAGGAGCAAAGGCAATGTGACAGAGTGAAGACAGTATTTTCAACAAATGGTGCTGGAATAATTAAGACAACTACATGCAAAAAGTGAATCTAGACACAGATCTTACATCCTTCCCAATAATTAACAAAATGGATCACAGAACTAAATGTAAAATGCAAAACTATAAAACTCTTAGGAGAAAATCTACCTGACCTTGGGTTTCACAATGACTTTTTAGATATAACACCAAAGGCACCACCCATGAAAAATGATAAGCTAGACTTCATTACAATTTTTAAATTTCTGCTCTGTGAGACACTGTCACAGAATGAAAAGGCAAGCCATAGACTGGGAGGAAAAAAATTGCAAAAGACGGATAAAGAACTATTATCCAAAATATACAAAGAACCCTTAAAACTCACAAATAAGAACACAAGCAACTTTTAAAATTGGACCAAAAACCTTAACAGGCATCTCACCAAAGAAGATACAGGTGGCAAATAAGCATATGAAAAAATGTTCCACACATCTCATCAGGGAAACAAAATGAGATGCCACAACACACCAATTAGAATGGTGGAAATTCAGAACACTGACAACACCAAATGCTAGTGTGGATGTGGAGGAGCTCTTTTTCTTTTTCTTTTTTTTTTTTTTTTTTTTTTTTTTTTGAGACAGAGTCTAGCTCTGTTGCCCAGCCTGGAGTGCAGTGGCATGATCTCAACCCACTGCAGTCTCCACCTCCCGGGTTCAAGTGATTCTCCTGCCTCAGCCTCCCGAGTAGCTGGGATTACAGGCATGCACCACCACGCCCGGCTAATTTTTGTATTTTTAGTAGAGACGGGGTTTCACCATGTTGGCCAGGCTTGTCTTGAACTCCTGACCTCAAGTGATCTATCCTCCTTGGCCTCCCAAAGTGCTGGGATTACAGGCATGACCCACCATGCCCAGCTTGGAGGAACTCATTCATTACTGGTGGGAACGCAAAATGGCTCAGCCACTTCGGAAGACATTTTGGTAGTTTCTTACAAAACTAAACATACTTAAACCATATGATCCAGCAATCCTACTCCTGGGAATTTAATATGGCATGCTGGAAAAGGCAAAACTATGGGGGCAGTAAAAAGATCAGCGGTTGCCAGGGGATATGAGGGAGGAAAGGAATAGGCAGAGAACAGAGGATTTTTAGAAGAGCAAAGTTACTCTGTATGATACTTTAAACAAAACCACCTGTAAACTTGCCACTAAGAGATCATAAACACATAAATTGGTTTTATATTTTCCAAATCTATAACTATGAATATGAGTCATTTTTAAATGGAGTCATATGTCCGGTTTGTAAATTTTTTATTTGCTGTAAATTTCTGTGTCAACACATTGTATATAAACACAATAAATGTGATCCTTGGTGGCTTCTTAGTGTTCAATTGTAAGACATTGGATATGTAGGCTATTGTGTTTTAACATGGATTCAAATGAAATGAAAAGCAGAGGGTTCTGAAACAAGACTAGACCTGTGTCTGGAGTCGAATCAGAAGTGGAAAAGGTCAGTTTTCCTGAGTTGTAATTCCCTTCATGGGTAGCAACGGATGCAGAGAAAACCACATGAATAGCAGCTAAGGTAAAGCACCTTTCCGTATGGCTGGGACAGTATTGCCACGAGTGGGAGGCAAGAAGGAGGGAGCACATGGGCTCTTGGAGCCAGTTGGTCCCAGCAGGAATTCTGGCTCTGCCACTTCCTAGCTGGGTGACCCTGGGCAAATCTCCTAACTTCTCCCCACCACAGTTTTCTTGTCTGTGAAATGAGGACCATAGTACCTCCCTCATGGGGTTGTGGTAGGAATTAAATGAAAAAATACATGGGAAGTGCCTGACACCTAAGCGTCCAGTGAGTGTTAGCTTTTCTTATTCTTGCTTATATTTTCCATTGGGTTTATGAGAAGAATTAAATGAAATAATAAACAGTCTAGAATCTGAACGCTGTCACTTTTTGGCTGTGTGACCTTTGGGCAAATAATTAAACCTCCCTGAACCTCAGATGTCCTATCTATGAAATGATAGGACAGTCATTAGTAGGATGACCTATCATAGGATAAAAGGAAAGTCATCCTACTGATCTCACAGCACTGTTGGAGATTGAAGGGAAGACTGCATATAAAGGACTTGGCACACTGCCTAGTATGTGGGACACACTCCTGAAAGGCATCTTAGAAAAGAGGGATTTGCTGCTCTGACATTCAGTTCCCTAATCTACATGGTCATCTTAGAGTGAATAGAAGTCGTTAATGATAAGGAAACGAATAAAAAATTGAAATATTAACTCTGTTAGTCTGGGTCCTCCAAAAAGCAGATGTCAAGACAGTTTTAAACATGCAAGAATTTTACTAGAGAAAGCGCCTATGTGAAAGGAAATAGAGATGATGGAGCCAGGGGTGGCTGGAAAGCTGTCAAACCACAATGCAAGTCTAACCCCAGTGAAGGAGATTAAGATCAAAGGTTGAGTGGGAACATCCTACCTGCCATGTGTGTCTAATGAACATTTGGCAAAGCACTTGGGAGTCTTTGAACTGAAGTGAGCCACTGACCTAGAGTGCCCCCCTTCCCAGGCATGGATCTGCCTTATTATCCCCCCCACACTCAGTCATGGATGAGAAGCCATGTGTGGAAGCACGACCTTCATTATAAGCACAGCAATGGATTTCAAACTGCACCAGGAACCCTAGGTCATTATGCTTCCTAGAGTAGGTGTGTGAGATATACTAATTTTGAGTTAGGATTCTTGGGCCCATAGAGCCCTGGAGATGCCCTCAACCTTTATAAACTTGATTCAAGCATTTACTGAGAATGTACTAGGTCCTGGGAGCCTTGCTCAGCACCAGCCCCAGGCCTAATGGAGTTTACAACCTGATGGGGAACTGGACATGGGGACAGATACATACAGCCCCCTGTGATCAGTGGGAGGCAGCAGGGCTGTGTGGTCAAATTTGTGGACTTTTGAGGCAGACAGGACAACCTGTATGATTTTTGGCAAGTTACATAACCTTCCTGAGTTTTCATCGACTCTGTCAAATGTGAATGGGAAGACTCCAGGGTTCTGGTATAAATGAGATGAGTTGATTCCCAAAAGTATTCTGCAGAAAGAGAGTGACATAGTAAGTACTCAATAAGCTATTCTAGAGGAATGCATTGAATACAGATTGGAGAGCAGTTCGTTTTCCCAGAAGAGTCAGGGAAAACTAAAGGGATAAGGTAGCATTGAAGGTGTGCCTTGCCTGGGAGGACTGAGCTCAGTTCCTCAAAGTGTCAAGCAGCCTTGCTATTGGGCAGGGTAGCTTCCACTCTGTGTTGTTAGGGGATCTTGGATTAAAGGGGTTTGACTCACTCTGAATATCCGGTTTAAAAAAAAAAATCGGTCTGAAGTTTGGGCAAGATAAAAGTGGGCTACATGTACAAAGGCTATACCCGAGTGCCTGGCAAGATTGCCTTGGTACTAATTTCCATGGCACCCAAACGTTCCATTGTCCCTGTGGGGCAGCATGGCGTCACTCAATTAACAGGTGCTGGAAAGAGATATTCTCTCACTAACCAGGTAATAGCCATCAGGGGGCTGAAACACATGTTCCACGCAGAACAGGGCTTTGTTAGCTGTGCCATCTGTAACTTGTCCATAGGACACTGTGGACAGGAGCACCAGTGTAACTTGTATTCTCTCTCTGAACTCTGAAATTCCCTCCATTTCCTTTTTCTTTCTTTCTTTTTTTTTTTTTTTAGATGGAGTCTCACTCTGTCACCTCAGGCTGGAGTGCAGTGGCGCAATCTTGGCTCAATGCAACCTCCACCTCCCCGGTTCAAGCGATTCTCCTGCATCAGCCTCCCGAGGAGCTGGGATTATAGGTGTGCACCACCATGCCCAGCTAACTTTCGTATTTTTAGTAGAGATGGGTTTTCACCACGTTGGCCAGGCTGGTCTCCAACTCCTGACCTCAAGTGATCCGCCCACCTCGGCCTCCCAAAGTGCTGGGATTACAGGGGTGAGCCACCACGCCCGGCCCCCTCCAACTGTTTTGTCAACCTGTTATATCTTGGGTTTCTGGTACTCTTTTTTTTTTTTCAGTGTTGCTTGAAGACTTTTATATTGTTTGCAAGATTCATGCCTAGAGAAACTGACAAAGATTCCTGTGGAAGGTGCCCTCGAACAGTCCATCACTCACCCATAGGCACAATCTTCTGAGCCCACAGCAAAAAAGCAGCTGGGACCATCCCCACCCAAGAAGGGTGCTTACCTGGAATATGGAAAGGCTACTTACTTGCATAGTGCTTGTAATGTGCCTTACCATTGCTGTAATAATTACATGAAGTTATGATAATAAATAGCCTAATTAGCTCATTAATTTCCCATGTACAAACTGCTTATGTTCAAAACCTAGCTCACATACAGCTCTGGGGGGCATTGAGCCAGTTGTTCAGCCTCTCTGTGTCTCAGTTTCTTCATCTGTAAAATGGGATTAATAAAGATATCTATCTTACAGAGTTATTGGAAAGATTCAAGGAGCTACTATGCCTGCTAAGCACTCAATAAATAAAAACTGACATCAGTACAGCAGCCTACTTTGAGGTAGACTTTAAATAGCCACAAATTCTTTTACACTCCTCCCACTGATGAGTGGGCTCTGTATTTCCTCTCCTTGAATCTAGAAGGGTGCTGTAGCAACTTTACTGATAGAATATGGCAGAAGTGCCACTGTGCCTGTTTCTGGCCACAGCTTTAAGAAATTGGCAGCTTCCTCTTCCTGTCTCTTATAATACCCTGTCTGGGAAACCTGAGATGTCTTGTTAGAAGTCTGACTATCCTCAGACCAGCATGCTGAAAGACCACATGGAGAGGCCCAGAGGAGCCTTCCAGCTGCCCTGTCAATGTGCCAGGGACCTGAGTGGAGAAACTACCCTGGAAGTGGGTTCTCCATCCCCCACCACTCCGGCCAGAAAGAGGTGGGCTGCATAACTGAGTCCTTCCCAAATTCATGAGCAAAATAAAATGGCTGTTCAAGCCATTACGTTTCATAGTTGAAACTTAGAAACTAAGTGGAACTTAGTGAAACTTAAGTTAGTGGAACTTAATGAAATGAAGTGACACTTATGCACTTAGCAATAGATAATCACAACACTGATTAAGAAAATCTAAACATATTAAACAAATGAATGAGTTGGGAGGGGGTGGCTAGCCTCCAGCCCGGAGGGAGAGGATTCATATTACAAATTGAGTCTTTGTTTTTGTTTTATAAAATATTCTATGTTGGATATAAAAATGCTCTAGGAATAAGTGCTCAGTGCCGCAAAGTAAAACCAGCACCCAGGCAAAAGTTTTCTCAGCAAGGCAATTTACTTCTGCAGAAGGGTGCCACTTGAGTCAATCAAGATTGCAAGAGCACAAAGAACAAAGGAGACCAGGCAGTTTTTATATCCTTAATGCAATCCCTACCTCTGTGTCCCTCCCGCATGAGCTGGGGTCAGACTGCGCAATCTGAGCTGACCTGACTGGCTACTTGGAAATATTTTTCTAAATATGGAGGGGAAGGGGACGTGAGGTACAGTGGTGAAGTGTGTGAGACATGCAGTTTGAGGGGAACAATGGGTGCAGGTAACCAAGGCAACAGATGTGAGGTATTGATTAGAACTGATGGGAAGGGGGTAGGCTATTTTACAATAACTAGGGGCAAGGAGGAACAGAAAAGTTGAGGTTTGAAAACAAAGGTCAAGGAAGTTAGCAGGCTAAATCTTTAAAGAGAAACTCAGAGAAATTCATTGTATCTTACATCTATAATAATAACAAAGTAGGCTGGGTGCAGTGGCTCATGCCTGTAATCCCAGCACTTTGGGAGGCCGAGGTGGGTGGATCACTTGAGGTCAGGAGTTTGAGACCAGCCTGGCCAACATGGTGAAACCTTGTCTCTACTAAAAATACAAAAATTAGCCAGACATGGTGGCAGGAGCCTGTAATCCCAGCTACATGGGAGGCTGAGGCAGGAGAATTGCTTGAACCCGGGACGCAGAGGTTGCAGTGAGCCGAGATCATGCCACTGCACTCCAGCCTGGGCAACAGAGTGAGACTCTGTCTCAAAAACAAAACAAAGTAAAAACAACAAAGTATTCTCTGTCATACATGAATACTGTTTCGTTTCTTATTTACTATTAGAAAAAGCATAATTTACAACTAGAAAACAATGAGAGTCTCCAAGGATATTTGAGCTGAAATCATCTCATGTAGTCCCCTCTTTTACAGAGAGAGGACCTTAGGCCTTGAGAGGCACAGGTACATGGCTGAGGTCACACAACAATTTAAAAGCAAGCCAGGCCTGGTCTCTGGGCTCCCAAGCCAGCGCATTCAAAATCTGGGTTTATTTTTTCACTTCTTATTTTTTATGTAAATTTGTAGGAATAAATCTGTTTTGTGACATATGTCCCTTTTACTATTCAATATACACTGCACCAAGGAAAGATCTGAAACAATTTTCAGGGGCCAGTAGAACACAAGGGCCACATTTTGTGGTATTAATTGCAAAACAATGAAGTTCTTCACCCTTTTCAGATTCATTTATAAATGCCAAAATACTGGCTTTTATTATAAGTATCTTTATATTCCATCAACCTAATAATTTTCCTTACATACGTCAAACTCCCAGCATGCTTCAACCCCTAATATGCAGCAATTTAGAGGATATGCACATTATAATTCAGAGGACACAGCCTTCTTTGTTCCTCTAATAGTTACTAAACAATTTGGATTGCAACCATTCTTTGAAGATGTGCGTGTTTACTGAAAACAAAGCCTTTCTGTTGTGCATGAATGTAGGGGCTTTTCCTCCTGTGGCTTTGACGTGTCTGATGTCTTTTAAAAACTGATGCAGGCCGGGCGCGGTGGCTCATGCCTATAATCCCAGCACTTTGGGAGGCCAAGGCGGGCAGATCATCTGAGGTCAGTAGTTTGAGACCAGCCTGACCAACATGAAGAAACCCCGTCTCTACTAAAATACAAAATTAGCCGGGTATGGTGGCGCATGCCTGTAATCCCAGCTACATGGGAGGCTGAGGCAGGAGAATTGCTTGAACCCGGGACGCAGAGGTTGCAGTGAGCCAAGATCATGCCATTGTACTCCAGCTTGGGCAACAAGTGCAAAATTCCATCTAAAAAAAAAAAAAATTAGCCAAGTGTGGTGGCAGATGCCTGTAATCCCAGTTATTCAGGAGGCTGAGGAAGGAGAATCGCTTGAACCCGGGAGGCAGAGGGTGCAGTGAGCCAAGATTGCCACAGAGTGAGACTTCATCTCAAAAACAAAAAAAAGGATGCAGGACTATATTAGAAAATGTTAAGCTTAACATGAATAATTCCAAAGAAATGTTTTGGTTTTTGTCCCTTAAACTGCTATTATAGATTTTTTAATTGTTATTTTTCCCTTAAATAGCTATTTATTACATTCCCCTCAGTGAGTCCTCATGGCTTGGATATGAGGTGTGACTGACTTAGGAGGAGGTGAAGCATCTGAAAACCTGTCATCAGCCAGAAGAATCATTTTAAATGACCATGTTATTCCCCTGCCTAATCCCCTGCAATGCTGTCTGCCCACATAAACCCTAACTCTTCCCCCAGCCTGCAGAGCCTGCAGAACCAGCCAATGCCCTCTCCCCTGACTCCATGCTCCTTCCCTCCCCTTCACTTGCCCCAGTGCCCAATGTTGCCTTACTGGCCTTTTACATTTTTAAACTTGTTAGTTCTTCAAATACTGTTGTAGCCATTTGGAAAAATAAAATCTGCACAAATATCTTTTAGCAATTTGTTTTGGGGGTTGTGTGTGTATTTAAATCCCATGTTTATATGAACACTAGGTGATAATAAGCTCTCGCTAAAGGTAACAGTCTTGGCCGGGCGCAGTGGCTCACGCCTGTAATCCCAACACTTTGGGAGGCCAAAGCAGGCAGATCACTTGAGATTCAGCCTGGCCAATATGGAGAAACCCTGTCTCTATTTTAAAAAATAAATTTTAAAAAACAGTAACAGTCTTATGTGACTTTGCATCCTCCACAATTTCTAGCACAGTATTTTACACGGAACTAATGCTTAACTTTCACACGTGATTTTTTGAGAGTTGCAAGACATCCATAGTCGGATCAACAATTTTTAAAGAATTAGAACACCCCCAAAGTTATACCTTATCTTACAAATCACATTATACATAATTACATCTTTCTTTAATTATCAAAGAATCACTTTAGAACATTAGAGTTCTTCCAGATCACTGAATAGGAATTTCAACCATTACATTCCAGTACTTAGAGAAAATGTAAATATAATTGCCTTTAGTCAAACAAAACAAAAATAATATATTTGGATGATGAACAAGTCACCCAGAAAGGGCTGAAAATTAGCATGACAGGGAGAGAAAACATTTCTGGGTTGGCGACGTTGAAACACTGGCTGTGCATTAGTCCAGGTGTGGGAATTCCAGCCTCGTCCTATGTTGCTGGGATTCTGTTTAGTCTCAGGCAAGGACTTGCCTTCCAGGCCTTAGTTCCTTCTTCTGTAAAATGGACACACTTGCCTGTTTCAGAGGACTGAGGTGATGATTAAGACCCGTGCACCTGCTTTGGTATGCACCGCATTAGACAGTGGGCTCACACTTGATTAGGATCGGAATCACCTGGAGGACTTGTTAAACACAGATTGATGGGCCCTACTCCCAGAGAGTCCGATTAAGTTGATCTGGGGTGGAGCCCAAGAATTTGCATTTCCAACAATTTCCCAGGTGCTACTGGTGCTGCTGCCTGGAGCCCACCTTTCGAGAGCCCCTGGTCTGCACCATACCAGGCTGTTGGATAACTCTGTCTGGGGTGGATTAGACAAAATTCTGCGGGCAGGAGGTTTTCCTGGCCACTGTCAGAATACCTCCTCTAGAACTTCCGATTTCAAAGCAAACAAGTTTGTTCAGCATGGACCCTTCTTTTTGTTGTTCTCCCTCTATCTGAGAACATCTCCCTGTTGCATTTTGCTATTCAAAACCAGAAGAAAAGAGAGTAGATGTAGATGATTTCTGGCTTTGTGTAACCCAACAAATAATAGCCACTAATAGCACTTGATATATATATAGTGGGAGAGATACCTGTATAGGAGCAGTCAGGATAGCTGGGAGATTGAGTGTTGGATGAATTTTAACTTGGATGTGGGAGATTAAGGTGCTGGTAGCAAGACTATTGTATTAGTTTTCTATTGCTGTATAATAAATTACCTCAAAACCTAGGATTTTAAAACAACACACATTTATATTTTATAGTTTCTGAGACTTAGGAAATCAAGAGTGACTTTGTGGGGTGGTTCCGGCTCAGGGTCTCTCATGAGGTTGCAGTCGTTTCCCAGGGCAGTGGTCATCTGGAAGCTTGACTGCAGCTGGAGGACCCACTTCCAACATGGCTCGCTCATGCAGCTAGCTGGTGGCTGTTCCTTGCCAAATGGGTCTGTCCATAGGGATCCTTGGGAGATGGCAACTGGCTTTCCCCAGAGGGAGGGACCCAAGATAGCAAGTGAGCAACCAAGATAGAAGCTGCAGTATCTTTTTTTTTTGGAGACGGAGTGTCGCTCTGTTGCCCAGACTGGAGTGCAGTGGTGCTATCTCAGCTCATTGTAACCTCCGCCTCCCGGGTTCAAGCGATTCTTCTGCCTCAGCCTCCCGACTAGCTGGGACTACAGGCGTGTGCCACCATGCCGGCTAATTTTTGTATTTTCAATAGAGACAGGGTTTCACCATATTGGCCAGACTGGTCTTGAACTCCTAACCTTGTGATCCGCCAGGCTTGGCCTCCCAAAGTGCTGGGATTACAGGCGTAAGCCACCGTGCCCGGTCTGCAGTACCTTTTATAACCCAATTTCAGAAGTAACATGCCATCGCATCTGCCATATTTTATTGGTTACACAAAACGACCCCAGAAAAATGTGGGAAGTGTTGTACAACGGATACCAGCAGGTGGGGAGCACTGGGGGCTAATCTTGAGACTAGCTACCAAGGTTATTTTCATTAAGAAGCTTCTCTCTCCCCTAACTCCTCTATTTCTTCTCAAATGAACTGGTCCATGAGCTTGCAGAATGTTCTGGAAGAACCATGCCAGGGCTGCATTTATCTTCCCTGCATACTCTACCCCTCTCCATTCTGTTCTGTGACCTCCCCAACACTGACTTCTAGATAGCACCAACCAGATTCTCTTATCCTCTGCTTTCCTGTTGGGTCCAGCCAGTGGGAGGCCGCAGCAGGAGTCAGGAGCGGAGAAGAGAGAGGAGACAGGATATGGATCGCCTGGCTCTCTGCCTGTCACACCGCTACGGTCTGGCTGTCTCTCTCACAGCCCCTGCTCCCGCCAGCCTGCTCTCTCCATAAGCTTCCCTCTCCTGCTTCTGGTAACCATTTCAGCCCTTCACACCTTCAGGCCTGGGGTGCTCATAGCTCCTGCTGTCGCTGGCCGCTGGGTAGTGCATTATCCTTTCTGGGTTCCCCTACATCCTGCCCACAGCTGTGTAAATCACTCTGTTCTTAAGATCTCCTCAATCAAGATTTGCAGTCTCCCTCCTGCTATGGCCCTTACGGCAGCAATACCTGACTGGCATCACAGTGAAATTTCTGCTCAGAGGAAAAAAGCCTCGTGGACATTTACTGTTTTGGCCCAACTATATCCCACTCCCCTTCCCCTGGTAACGCTGTCCCAGTGTTCCCCTGGGAAACAGTCCCCACCCCTCAATCCATGAATTTCAGGTCAGAGCTAAGCCTATCATCCCTCACCCTAATAGTGGCCATGTGACTCAGTGCTGGCTGATCAGAATATCACAGCCCTGGCCGGGTACGGTGGCTCACGCCTGTAATCCCAGCACTTTGGGAGGCTGAGGCAGGCAGATCATGAGGTCAGGAGATCGAGGCCATCCTGGCTAACATGGTGAAACCCTGTCTCTATAAAAATACAAAAAATTAGCTGGGCGTGGTGGCACGTGCCTGTAGTCCCAGCTACTCGGAAGGCTGAGGCAGGAGAATCGCTTGAACTCGGGAGGCAGAGCTTGCAGTGAGCCGAGATCATGCCATTGCACTCCTGCCCGGGCGACAGAGCAAGACTCCATCTCAAAAAAACAAAAGAATATCACAGCTCTCTGGCCGATCATTGATTCAGGATGGGCACGTGCCCTAAGCAAGAGCCCAGGTTGTTCATCTCTGAGACTTTAATTAGGGACTGTGTAAAAAGAGGAGCTTCTTCTCTAGAGCTGCTGAGAGGGGCAGATGAAGCCTAGAAGTCATGGCCATTGTTGCAACTACACGAGAGTCTGTCTGTGGGAGAAAATGATAAAGAAGAGTGCAGAGTAGAGTGTGATACTGTGTCCAGAGACACCATTTGAGCCCCTAGATTCAGCAATGGCTGAAGAGAATTTATTCTTAGACTCCCCAGTTACGAGTTAATATATTCTTTTTTTTTTTTGCTCAAACAAAAAGAAAAAGATGAAGAGAATGAGAAGGAAAATGAGAAGAAAAGTTATCTACAAAAAATTATATATGCATGATGCCTAGAGTTCATATATTGGTAATTTCATTTTTAACGGTGCAGCTGTTATTCAGATTTTTGTTTTACTTCAGTACTGAACACAAAAATAAAAAAACTTTCCAAACGGAAATAATGTTTCGTTGTGTTTTTTCTCAGCCTGTCTGAGAAACATTCTAAACATTCTTTGTGACTACCTATTCATTCATTCATTCATTCAGCAGTCAGCAAGCATAGAGCAGATTTTGTAAGCCAAGACAGTGCCATGCTGAACGCTGCAGAGACAAAAGATGAATAGGACACTGGCTCTGGTCTTAGAGGGTGGGTCTCCGTGGAGTCACGATAAAGATGCAAATCCAAGACTCAGCACATATTTGCATGTGGGCAATTCATTAATATCTCTCTGTCAGTTTTCCCCATCTGTAAAATAGCTGTAGCAAACCTTCTTTAGGGCTCATGGCAGTTAAGGGAGACCATTTATGTGCATCCAGCACAGAGCTGTCACTCACTACTAGGTGGCTACTCTAGGCATGGCTCATGTTCCGGCAGAGGGAACTCAGATAAATAGTTCAATGAGAAAGGGCTCTGTGAACTGGGAATGGGAAACACCAGTTCAAAAAGTGGAAGAGTCACAAGCTGTGATGAGAGAGTAGACCTTGAAGGATGGATGAGTGTTCATCAGAAGACGCCATTTCAAGCAGACAACAGTACAGGGGCCAGACTGTGCTCAGCACACTGGAGGAGCTTAAAGAAGTAGCTATGGCTGGACCAGAAACCCAGGTTCACAGTAAGGGCCATCATGTGAGCTCAGAGGTCAGGCGGAGCTGAGGCTGTGCAGAATGTGAACTTTGGCCTGAGGAACAGCAACTGTTGGGAGGTGAGAAACGGGAGAGCTGTGATTTGGATTGAGCAGAGTGGCAGCCCACCTGCAGGATGGTACCCAATGAGGTTCACCTCTGGGCATCTAACACCCTCTGTCTCTTTCCATAGGGAGCAGGGCTGACCTGTGTAACTCAATAAGATGGTGCCAAATGATGCAGTGTGACTTCTGAGACTAGTTAATAAAAGACATCATGGCTCCACCTGTGCTCTCTTGGATCATTTGCTTCAGGGGAAGCCAGGGGCCACATCATGAGGACACTCAGCTATCCCTATGGAAAGACCCAAGTGGTGAGGAGCTGAGACCTTTTGCTAGCAGCCAGCACCAACGTGCCAGCTGTGTGAATGGGCCATTTTGCAAGTGATCCTCTGTATTTGTTTCCTAGGTCTGCCATATCAAAGTACCCTGAACTGGGTGGCTTCAAACAACAGAAACTTATTGTCTCATAGTTGTGGAAGCTGGAAATCCAAAATCAAGGTGTTGGCAGAGCCATGCTTCTTCTGAAACCTGCAGGGGTGGGTTGTGTGTGGGGAGTTGTTTCTTGCCTCTTCTAATTTCTGGTGTTTGTTGGCAAGCAATTTCTGGTGTGCCTTGTCTAGTAGAGGCATCCCTGTGATCTCTGCCCCTGTTGTCACATGGTCATCTTCTCCCTGTGTGTGTGTCTTCTCCTCTTCTGATAAGGACATGTCATATTGGATTAAGGGCCCAGTTACTCTAGTGTGATCTCATTTTAACTTATATCTTCATTGCATCTGCAAAGACCCTATTTCCAAATAAGGCCACATTCTGAGCTATTGGGGGTTAGGACTACAACGTATCTTTTTTGGGGAAGACGCAATTTAATCAATAATATTCTCCAAATCCAGTGAGGCCTTCAACCGGCTGCAGCCTTGGTTGATATCTTCACTGTCACCTCGGCTGACATCTTGACTGTAGCCTCATGAGAGACCCGCTTTCCTGCCCCACAGAACTGGGTGAACTAACAATGTCCATGCTTGTTTTATGCCATTAAGTTTTGGGGCACTTTGTTATGTGGGAATAGGTAACTAACATTCAAAGGGAGGTTAGGGAATGAAAGACTGAAGCCAGGAGACCAGGACCTTTCTCTGGCCTGAGAAGGAACATGGCCTCCCAAGCAGTCCCACTCACAGATCTTCAGGCCACATCAGCTCTTGTCTCAAATCTAGGCCTTTGTGCACAAAACATTTCATACTTTTATGCCTATTTTGTCCTATATAAATCCACTTTGTTGAGAAATTGTTCTTTGAGTGGTCATTTCACTTGAGCGGTTCTGAGTTTCATTGAGAATCAAGAGCGGCCGACTCACCATCGGTCCTCTCTGAGGAGATCTTCTGTGCAGGGACACCTCCTGGGCTACTAGCCAGTGCTCTGATTGGCTGGCCTTGGGCTGGGTGCCTCCTCCTGGTTCAATATACCATGGCTGGGGGGTGGGGGCACAGGTACCAAGCAGGGCCACCTGTGGGGAAAAGTGGCCTGGGTGGGTTTCCCTCAGCAGGGGCTCTGGACAGGCCTGTGTCTTGAGAGCAGACATGGTGGGCTCTGGGACTTGGCAGTCTGTGAGGAGGCCTGGTTTTTTCCTCTCTAAGAACAGGGCTTTTAAATCCAGTGTGAATACAGCTCACTGTGCCTCTCACTTCCCGTGTGAGAAAAACCACAGAAAAGCACAGCTGCACCTACATGAGAAACCACGCAAACCAAGCCACTTCCCCCAAGTCTGGTTTAGCCAAAAATGCATTTGATTTCCTGTCTCCATGTTGTGGTCAAGATTGCCATTTGCTTCCTGAGTTTCAGGATCACAATCGACAAAAACATAATCACAACCATTAGTCATAGATATATTTTTTCCCTGAAAATGATTTATTTTCCCGTCCTCTACTTTGTTCTGTCATCTGGCAGCTACTTCTTTTAATTGTAAAAATTACTTTGTTCTACCACCATTAGTTGCTTTTCCCCTCATTTCTACTTCACGAGCAATTCATTCTAAATTGTTGGTAGAAAATAACTCAGGGAAAGTTCGTGGTGCTCTGCCCAGAAGGGCAGAATGAGGATCCTGCAGGTGCTGATTAGATGTTTACTGGGTGAAGTAGTTCTGCCAAGTCTGTATTTAGCGCTGGCCTCTCTTTCTCAGGCTTATTTGAATCATCTTGGCATAAGGCAATGATATGCATTTTTAGGTAATTTCTGTCTCCCTGGGGTTTGAGGCAGGGAAGCAGACTGGGCGGTGGGTAGCCACATCTGGGGCCGCTTCTGGACTGCCAGCTCACGCCTGGTGGGAGCTGCGCTGGGCGAGAAAGCGAACTCCGTCATCTGGTGGGAGAGGTCCTGCTCCCCTTCCAGAGGGACTTCCTAGGGCGTGGGGAACCCAAGGCTTGCTCAGGAATTCCAAGTCCTTGCTGCTTATTCCCTGAAGACTTGACTCATCCCAGACCTTTCCGAGGGATCAGTGAGTCAGCAGGGGCTGGTGCTGGCTCTGCTTTTTCCCACATGGTTTATTCAACATGCATTCTATGAATAAAAAACCGAGGCCCAAGGTCTCCCCAGTGAGGAGTTAATGGTGAGGCCATGCATGGAAACCCCATCAGTCTGACTGCAGAATCCACATTGTTAATTGTCCTGCCTAAAAGCCAGAAAAGGATCTGGAGGCCTACACCGTGGGGGAATAGGGAGATCATTTCATTTTTCTTGCTTTATAAAATCGTGTGATGTTTAAGCATATACTGTTTAAAATAACTAAAAAGGAGTTCAAACTAAATGGCCACATTTAAGAGGCAAATCACTGAAGACTAATTATCCATTCTGTACTTAAAAAATGATCTGAAACAGCTACTAGGCATGCAGTCAAAATCCTTTTTTAAATGGCTTTGAAATATTGGACACAAATTACACAGAAATCAGTGGCCTAAAAATGTCTTCACCATATTGAGTCTGATAATTTTGCATCTGGAATTCCTAACATGGGAAGCTCCTGCTCTGTGCCTGTTGGGTGATTGAATAAATGCATGACTAAAGTGGGCCACCCTTCATGCCCTTCACGGCAGTCCCTGCAACTTATCTCTATGGGGTGCCAGGCATCGCTGCAAAGCAACGAGATCCTCTATAGGGCTCCAGATCAAATTATACCAGCATCAATCCATCCTGCACAGTCGGGCAACGTGCCCAACTCTTGCCCAAAGCTACCGTGATTTATTAAGGTCCCTGGAATCCCTGGATGAGCTGTGTCGTACAGAAAGAATTCTATTACTCATACCTTCCCATGGCTGCCCCCGTCTCAACATTTCCAGTCCCCACCCGCCCTTCACCCCGAAGCGTTGCACTCTCTCCAGTTATTCCAGGTCCTGCCTACACATTCCATTTACTGACAGAAAATTCCATTACTGGCAGATGTGAGGAACGCTTCTTTTCTATTTTTAAAAGCCGCTTTAAGGTCTACGTTTCTGACGTTGCTGGTGGCGCTAGCATTGCCATTTCATCTGGCTAGAGTTCTGGTCGACCAGAATGGGAAGGTTCCCCACAAGGGCCATTTCTAATTGAGCTTTTGCTTTGAGAGCTTGTTTCTTACCTCAGGAAATGTTTAAGGCTTATGAAATATTTACATGTCCTGGGTGTCACTTGATCAACAAGATAAAAAAAAAAAAAAAAACCCCAAGCCACTGCTTTGTGGATGTGTAAAATATAAACTGACATTTATTTTTGTTTTAGCTTGAGACCAATCGCATACTGAGAGATTTGTTAGAGGAAGATGTGGCTTGAAAAAGATAAATGTGAACAGAAAATACCCCCTAATGTCTCGATGATTGAGGTTTAAGAGGAAGACACTGAGGGAATCTGCCTCTCCTACTTTTTCCACAGTTCCCAGGGTGGAATCTGGTGCCACAGAAGTGGGCTCCTGCCCTTAAGGCAGAAAGATGGTCCCAGGGCTTGTAGCCTGTGGAAGTGCAAGGCTGTCAACATGATGGCCAGAGTCCGCCCCACAGACCACACACTTTTCCTAGTCCCTCTCATACAAGCGCCCATAGAGAGCCGCCGTCACCAGCCCAGAGGACAGCCTACTTTTCCTCAGGAAATAGTGGTCATTCTCCCAGCCAAGCTGGTCAGGGACTTCTAGGGTCATCCCTGAGGTCAGAAACAAAGGAAAGATATAGGAAGTACTGAAGTTGCCCCACAGGTGAAACTCAAATATCCCCGTGGCCTCTGTGATTTCCTGTCCACAGGTGTCGAAGCCAAGACCCCCACACCTGACCAGGGCACACACTTGGATGTAGTAAGTGCCATGTACTGTGTGAAGCCCATCAAAGACCCCCAGGGCATACAGCTCTTTGGATAAGGTGGGCCTCTCGTAAAGTAAATAACAGCAGAGGCCATTGGAACAGACGTGGAGATAGCCTTCCTTTCCCCAGACAGGGACCAGGGTGAAATTGTCATACATCATCTCAGAGTGAAATGTGGGAGGAGCATTCACGTTCCACTTGGTGGCCTCATCACAGTGGACTTCCTGAGCATCCTTCTCACAGTACGGATCGCCTGACAAAATTTTTAAAAACTTACTATGGGATGGGTCCGTTTCACCTGTTGCATTCTCTGCACCAATGAGACCCACTGGATTTTTGGCCACCTGGGCAATTATAAGGTGACTTTTGGGATTTTCCATGTCATGGTACCAAAAGGACTCCAGAGGGGTGTGTATGCCACTTCCTGTCATCCCCAGAACTGGGTGGTGGACATTAGCTGCCAGAACGTTGATGCCAAAGGCAACAGCAAAAGCTTTCTGAATCTCAATTGCTGCCAAGAGTGGGAGCTGGTTCATCCAGGCAGTTGGGTACACAACATGCTTCACCTTGTAGTCTCTGAGGACTCTGATGGCAGGGTCAAAGAACAATATATCAAAGCATGTGAAGATGCCAAACCTGCCAGCAAAGGGGGTATCAAAGGTGATGAGATCCACTTTAAGAGGAACATCGAATGCTGCCTCAAAGTAGAGGTTGTGTTTACGGTAGCGGTCAACAAGGGTTCCATTATTGCTGAACACGACATTTGTGTTGAACTGGTATCTCCCATCTTTTGGGCACCTTGGGTCACTGCTATGACAAGGCTCCTTTGTCCCAAGATTGGCCACCAAGAACATATCTCCCCTGATGGCCATACAACTCAGGCGCTGGAGCACCTAGAGGAAAAAAAGGTGTAAATAAATGAGGTTTTTGCCTGTAATCCCAGCACTGTGGGAGGCTGAGGCGGGTGGATCATGAGGTCAGGAGATTGAGACCACCCTGGCTAACACGGTGAAACCCCATCTCAACTAAAAATACAAAAAATTAGCCGGGCGTGGTGGTGGATGCCTGTAGTCCCAGCTACTCGGGAGGCTGAGGCAGGAGAATGGCGTGAACCCAGTAGGCGGAGCTTGCAGTGAGCCGAGATCGCGCCACTGCACTCCAGCCTGGGCGACAGAGCAAGACTCCGTCTCAAAATAAATAAATAAATAAATAAATAAATAAATAAATAAATAAATAAATTAAATAAATGAGTTTTTAAAATCCTTCCTTTTGCTTCCTCTTCTTTTTTTTTTCTTTCTTTTCTTTTTTTTTTTTTTCAGAGACAGGGTCTTGTTACATTGCCCAGGCTGGACTCAAACTCCTGGCCTCAAGCAATCCTCTCGTCTCAGCCTCCTAAGAAGCTGGGACTACAGGTGTGCACCATTGTACTTGGCTCTCACAATTTTTAAATATAAAAGTACTTATATTTATCCATAATAAACAGCTATCATAAATCAATAAGAAAAAAGCAACCACTACTGAAAATGTGCAAAGGATATAAACAGGTGATTCACAGAAGGACAAAGAAAAGTGACCCACAAACATCTCAAAAGATGCTCAATCTCATTAGTGAGAGAGAAGTGCAAATTACAACAATGAAATAGCTATCATTTCTCACCTTCATAAGACTGGCAAAAATTCAAAAGATTCTTCTTTTTCTTTTTTTTTTGAGGCAGGGTCTGGCTCTGTCGCCCAGGCTGGAGTGCAGTGGCACAATCTTGGCTCACTGCAACTTCCGCCTCCCAGGCTCAAGCCATCCTCCTATCTCAGCCTTCTGAGTGGCTGGGACTACAGGCATGCACCACCACACCCAGCTAATTTTTGTATTTATTGTAGAGACGAGGTTTCACCATGTTGGCCAGGCTGGTCTTGAACTCATGAGCTCAAGCTATCCACCAGCCTTGGCCTCCCAGAATGCTGGGATTACAGATGTGAAGCACTGTGCCCAGGCTCAAAAGATTATTCTATCTTGCATTGACCAAAGGATGGAAAAAGAGGCACTCATACTGTATGACTGGGGCTGTAAAGTGAAATCAAAGTTTTTTAAGCGGGAAATTTGGTACTCTTTAATATAATTTAAAATGTACATATCCTTTGAGGGATTCCATTTCTTTATTTTATTTTATTTTTTTTTTTTTTTTTGAGGCAGAGTTTTGCTCCTGTTGTCCAGGCTGGAATGCAGTGGCGCGATCTTTCTCACCGCAACTCCTGCCTCCCAGGTTCAAGTGATTCTCCTGCCTCAGCCTCCCAAGTAGCTGGGATTACAGGTGTGAGCCACCACACCTGGCCTGAGGGATTTCATTTCTAAAAATTTTATTTTACAGAAAAACTTGAACATGTTTACAAAAATATAATAGCAAAAATTTAAAATGAATAAGCATATAGTATGCTTAAAAAGAGGATGTCAAGGCCAGGCACAGTGGCTCATGCCTGTAATCCCAGCACTTTGGCAGGCCGAGGTAGACAGATCACAAGGTCAGGAGATCGAGACCATCCTGGCTAACATGGTGAAACCCCATCTCTACTAAAAATACACACACAAAAAAAATTAGCCGGGCGTGGTGGTGGGTGCCTGTAGTCCCAGCTACTCGGGAGGCTGAGGCAGGAGAATGGCATGAACCCGGAAGGCAGAGCTTGCAGTGAGCTGAGATCGCGCCACTGCGCTCCAGCCTGGGTGGCAGAGTAAGACTCCATCTCAAAAAAAAAAAAAAAAAAGAGGATGTCAATAACTATGAAATGCATAGAAAAGAATACAACTGAATGCACATCAAATTGTTGATGGCAGTTTCTCTAAGCAAGGGCATGGGATGAGGTGCAGGCTGTGGTGAAGATGAACTTTTCTTTTTTTACTTTTGGTTTGGTTTAAGTATACATTCCTGTATTTATTGTGTAATTAATAAATGGAAAGATCCATAGATGAATAACTGCCTTGTAACGTCAGACATTCTTTAATGGAATGAACATGTGGCACATGGATCTTTGGGAGTTTGGGTTGGATTTTGGGGATGTTAAGGTCTCCTATCAATCTTAGTTAACATGTCACAGCTTCTGGTCCCTGACTTAGATCACCTCTGTGTACCCTCAGCCTACTGAGGAAAAAGGCAGGAATCACCTCTGTGTCATTGAAGCGGTGAGGCTCCAGGCATGGGTTCCACCTGACCACCTGGGGAGACGGCATGAAGTCCAAAAATGGATAAATGGATGTTCTTGTAAAGTTGAATCCATGAATGCCATCTTCTGGAAACACTATAATCTGTACATCCTGAAAATGAAAACATCAAAGAATAGTCTGTTATCAGATGGCAGGAAGAACCGCTGCATTCATTCATTCTTCTGTTCATTCTTTTGGCAACCATCAGGAAGTTACTCTGTAGCAGGAACCAGAGGCACAGAGATGGTGTCTTTACTCTCCTCAGAGATCTTAGTCTTGGGGATACTGTCTCACTCCACCTGATCCCCAAGGAACAAAGACAAAGTCCTCTAGGAACAACCATTAACTGTGCCTGGGGTCATGTGAGGGAAGGAGGGAATGTGTAAGCTCCATTGAAAGTAAGCTCAGGAGTTTGACAAGCGAATAGCTAGAAAGGATTTAGAGTTCTTAGGATACCAGGGGAGATGGGGCCAACTACTGGGCCTTGAATACATTGGGCCCATTAACACACGTGGTATCTTCAGTCTGGTGGTTGTCAACTTCCATTGTGCATTTAAATCAGTTGAGGAACTTCTGAAAAACCACTGATGCCGGGACCACCCCTACAAAGTCTGATTTGATTGACTGTGGGTGGGATAGTGGCAACAGTGTTTGTTTAAAGGTCCCCCGGGTGATTCTCATTTGTAGCCAAGGTTAGGATCCACTGGGCCAGTGGGTAAGAGGCAAGTGTGCTCATCTCAGCCTGGAAACAAGAACTCGCTTGAAATCTCCATTCCCCAACTGGGAATTAGGAGGCTCCCTTCGGGACTCTGACCACCCTAAAGGCCTTTTCCCACACCTGGCAACATCCTGTGTTCCCTGGCTGTGATGGCCCGGAACTCCCTGTGACATCTACAGCAACCTAAGAAAATACAAACAGGGCCGCCCTCAGCTCTCAGGGCTGGGGCATCATTCTTCCACTGCTCTCCACTTACAGGGTTTAAAATGTCAAGCCGGGAACACCAGCCCCAGGGAGGAAGGTGGAGAAGGCAGGCAGAGAAGGCATGAACAATTCAAATTAGCAAAGTTTGAGACACTTATTTCTGGAATGCATTGCAAACTTTTAAATTTTTTTCCTGGTTATAAAAGCTTCAAAAGTTTTACTGTAGAAAATTTGGAAAACGGGAAAAAACAATCATAATTCTATAACACAGATACTTATTGTTAATATTTTGGTTATTTTCATTACTTTTTCTCTCTGTATACATGTATGTGTGTATATAATGGAGATAATAATAAATATATGGTTTTACATCTTGACTTCCCTCATTAAGAACTTTAAAAAATACGGCCAAGCATGGCAGTTCACGCCTGTAATCCCAGCACTTCAGGAGGCCCAGGTGGGCAGATCACCTGAGCTCAGGAGTTCAAGACCAGCCTGCCCAACATGATGAAACCCCGTCTCTACTAAAAATACAAAAATTAGCCAGGCATGGTAGCGGGCACCTGCAATCCCAGCTACTCAGGAGGCTGAGGCTGGAGAATCACTGGAACCCGGGAGGCAGAGGTTGCGGTGAGCTGAGATCGCACCATTGCACTCCAGCCTGGGTGACAAAGTGAAACTCCACCACAAAAAAAAAAGGAAAAAAAAAAAACTTTCAAAAATCCATTTGTAATGGGGCCACATCATATTTAAGAGGACGCCATAATTTATCCTCTATTATTGGAATTTGAAGTGTTCCCAACTTTTTGTAATAAAAAGAAAACTGTGGTGACCATCTGCATAGTGTGCTCAAAACACTTATTGCATAATTATACACTTCACACAAATCTTTGATTGCATCTTTTGATTATTTCTTTGGAATAAAGTCTTACAAGTGAAATTACTGGATCAAAGGGTATAAAAATTAGAGTTTTAAGTTTTGTTTTGTTTTTTGAGAGAGAGTCTTGGTCTGTCGCCCAGGCTGGAGTGCAGTGTTGTGATCTCGGCTCACTGCAATCTCCGCCTCCTGGGTTCAAGTAATTCTCGTGCCTCAGCCTCCTGAGTAGCTGGGATTACAGACATGCGCCACCACACCTGGCTAAATTTTGTATTTTTAGTGGAGATGGGGTTTCACCATCAGGCTGGTCTCAAACTCCTGACCTCAAGTGATCCGCCCGCTTTGGACCCCCAAAATGCTGGGATTACAGGCATGAGCCACAGCACCTGGCCTAAAAATTAAACTTTTAAGTTCTTAACACACACTGCCAAACTGCTTTCCAGAAATACTATACCAATGTATGTTCCTTCCAGTACAGTATCATCTCATTGCACACTTAGCAATGACCATGTAAAGAAAAATTATCTCAAACCTAAAAATAAGGCAAGATGGAGATGCAGCCTTTCCAAATTATACTAGGGTACTGTTTAATAGGCTCACTCAATTATTCTTTAATTAGCTGGAGAATGTACCACCGTTTGACTTTGCTATTTAAAAGATCACCTCAAAGATTACAATGTTTTGCCCTATAGGACATTACCCAGTTTTGCATCTATTAGGAAATTCATTTCAACAATCACTGGACTGACTGATATACACATTTCCATTCCTTGAATTTTCCTTTGAACCAGCTTTACCATCTTACTGGTTCCTTAATTAATGAATTAAATAAAAGCTTTATTCATTCTATATTTGTATGAGTCATCTTTTCAGATTTTTGAAAATTATATTTGGATAGACATTTTTCTTTATTAAAAACAAAACTTTGGTTTTTCATGGAGAATAACATTTAAATTATGTATACATACTAGATTATTATCAACCAGGAATGAGGAGAGGAACCAAACCTGAGCTGGGCAAAATTTTGGGTCTGATGTGATGAGTAATCCTATCTAGGAAGTAAGTTGCATTCTTGATAAATGGCTTCAGCAATTTTCTGGTAGATCTCAATGAGATCAAGAACCCCTTCCTTCTGAGGAATGAAGGTTACAATCCCAAGTGACTGCCCAGCCTAATCATCTTGAAACTAGACTCCGTTTTTCCCCTATGAATGCCCCTACTGAGACAGAAATATAGTCATGCACTGCATGATGACATTTTGGTCAATGACAGACCACATATGTGATGGTGGTCCCATAAGATTATAATACTGAATTTTTATTGTACCTTTTCTATGTTTACATATACAAATGCTTACCACTTGTTACAACTGCCTACAGTGTTCAGTACAGTAATATGCTGTAAAGGTTTATAGCCTAGGAACAATGGGCCATACCATATAGCCTAGGCGCATAGTAGGCCGTACCATGTAGGTTTGTGTAAGTACATGCTATGATGCATGCACAATGACACAATGGCCTAATGATGCATCCTTTCAGAACATATCCCTGTCATTAAGCAATGCATGACTGTATTTCAATTGGTTTGCTCAGGAACCTCTTATAACAACTTTGATATAAAACTTTCACACAAACTTGCCATCAATTTGTCTTAGAAGTTGTTTTAAAACATATAACCAGATTTGCTTAATACCCTGTACATATCTTTGATTTCAACCCTTAGTACATGTGGCTTGGTCACTTTGTGGCTAAGATAAGAAAGTGCTTGTGGAAGACAAGTCTGTGGCTTGGTGAGTCTGCGTGGCCAGCAGTCTCTGATCTGTGCAGGGTATTAATACGTCAGGGCTGCGTGTTCTGGGATTTCTCTGGAGGCTGGCAAGGGCTCCTGAACCAGTTGTTTCTGTTCTGCCGGTCTGTAAGGGTTGGAAAGTCCAAGACTTAGGACCCAGTTTCCTTTCTTAGCTGATGTTTTCTGCCAGAACACCATGGGCTGTTACTTGTCTGAGTTGAAAGTGGTTTGCATTTACACCTGTAAATGTATTCATCCTTTTAATTTATGTAAGGTTTTTCTGTATGCAATTCTCGATTCTTTGAAGAGATGACAACAAATTTTGGTTTTCTACTGTTATGTGAGAACAATAGGCCCCAGCAACATGTCATCGTGTAAGGAAAAATAAAAGTGCTGCTGGAAAACAAACAAACAAAAAACATATAACCACGTATGGGAGCTGAGATATCTGTAAATTCTAAAAGTGATCATATCAACAGCTTAATCCTGGCCCCTGGAAAACAAATAGAGACGGAGTGATGCTGTGCAGCTGGCGTGGTTTCAACAAAACCGTGTTAAGTGTTTCCTCTGGGGGCAGATTATTGAAAGGTGAATGCAGGAGAATTCTACAGCCACAGTCTGGGTTTCAGTGTGTCATTTGCCAAATGTCTCAGAATGGTCCGGTGGATAGGGGAGGGAAGCAAGAGGCAGATGACATTTCAGGTGCTGGACTCAGTGCCATGCAGGCAAACATCTCTATCAAGAGAATGCCTGCCCTCTAGGAGATCAGTGTCATCAGGAGGTCTGAGGGCACAGCCTGGGGTTTTTTTACACTGACTTCAGCATAGACATAAATGAGGTGTGTATCATATGTGTGAATGACGTAAAGGTAACTGATACTTGGGATGTCAGTAAAGATCCCTAAATAGCCCAACAGGCTGGAATGATGAAATTTAACAGCATAAATGTGAAGTCTTGCCCTCAGCTTAAATCAATCACCTTTATAATTTATAAGTACAGGATGGCAATGGCAGCATGTGTGTCTGCTCATGTGAAAAGGTGTTTTAGTTGACAGCAAGTGCCTTATACACCCATAATGAGACATGTGGCTGCCAGCAGTTTTCTGGGGACAACATCTAGAATGCGACAGGTGAGAGTTCTCTACCCTGCCCTTATTAGACAGAATCGGGATAGCTGCATACAGTTCTGAGCACAGAGAAAACATGGAAGTCTTCAGTAGAAGGTTTGGAAACTGAGTCTCCTAAGGAACTGTGGAAGGGACTGAGGATACAGCCTGGGGGACAGATGCCAGGGGGATCATGACAGCTGTCCTCAAAGGTGGAGAAGATGGCATGCCGTGATAAGGGACACGGTCCTGCTCCCTTTAGCTCTGACGATAGAATCGTGGTGGCAGTTACGGGGAGGCTGACTGCTGCTCATTGAAAGGAAGACCTGTTCAGAAGTTCCCACCATTGGAACAAACGGACCTGTGAGTCTGAGCCACTGAAGGTGTTCAAGGAGAAACCGTATGTCAGGTTGGGACTAAAGAAAAGTGTCACCCTTGCAAAAGTTGTCTTGGTTGAAAAAAAAGAAGCTGGACCAAGTCTTCAAGTTCCCTTTCAACATCATGTTATACACACATACACACCCCCTGCCCCCAAACACCCCCCCACCCCATACACATAGCCTTTGTATATATATTATAGACTAAAATTTTAAAATGTTGCAATTTTTTAATTGCTGTGGCTGTCCAGGCCATCCCGACCACCCTGCTCTAAGGCAGGGACTGTTTGGGGCAGGACCTGCTGGTTCTGCCCTTTAAGTTCACAGAGAGCAGGAAAGTGTTGCTCACAATGAGTTTACATCCTGTTGAGGCACAGCAGGGCTTCCTCAAGCAGCTGCGCTTGGTCACCCTGCCACCAGAGTTACAGCCCAAACTTCCCTTCGGGTTTGTGTTTTCCAGCAGGGCATTTTCTTAGGCAACCTCTGATATTTCCCTCTTTGCCCCCAGGGGGGCCTCTCCTTTGTCCCCACCCTTCCTGAAGGGAGCAGGAAATTCAGGCCAACCAGGAAGCCTTCACAAAGGCTGGCACTGACCTTCCCTTTGTCAGTTTGGGGTCAGTTCTATCTGGGCGAAGGTCTCAGACTGATCGTAGTCCGACATAGAGACCGGAAACGAGCCTCAAACAGTCTGAAGGGAGCAAACGGCATTCTTGCAGATGCTTACTACTTCAGTGAAGCTTCGAATGACTCAGAGAGGTCATCACGCCCAGTCATCTTCAAATTTTTCTGCACATTAGACTGCACTGGGGAGCCTTAAAACAATCCCAGTGCCAGTCCACACCCCTTCCACACCAATTACAACGGACTCTCCAGGACCCGGGCAGCCATAGTGTTTACCACTTACCTCGTGATTCTTATGTACAACCACACTTGAGAACTGGGGATCTAGTCCTGGGCTTCTCATACTTGCCATGTGAAAGCATCACCTGGGGATCCTGCTGCAATGCACATTCTGATTCAGTAGGTCTGGGGTGCCGCCCAAGATTTTGTATTTCTAACAAGCTCCCAGGGGATGCCGGTCCACGGACCACTCTCTGAGGGGTAAGGCTCCTAATTCAACTGACTAACTCAACTCAGGTTAACTACCTGGATGCTTTTTCAGAGGGTGGTAGGAAGCCTGGGATTACCCAACCACTGATCAAGGGGTAAAGAGCAATCTGCTCTGTATGAGAGAAACTCAGGTTCCGAGGAGCATTCTTGCCTTTTGGGCTGCAGTCATCACTTGCTGTTCATAGATGTCAAGGTTCTGGTTCATGAGCTCCAAGGCCTCTTGGCGGCTGATGAGAGCCAGAGGGTTCAGACTCAGGATGGATGGATGCTCATACACGGCAGCCACATAATATTCAGCCTCGTGATGGTCAGCCACGCTCTCCTCCCCGGTGTGGGCTCCCAGGGCAACCACGTAACAGCCGCAGAGGAAAAGAGCAAGCTTACTTCTGGCTCCAGACATAATGCAGACCACAAATCTGGAATGTAATGGGGCAAGGGGAAAACAGCTGAATAAAGAATCCTGCCAAGAATTTAACGTTTGCAGCTGTGATTTATTAATCCCAGCAATTAAACTCACTCGCAGTGATACTGCGGCTCAAAGAGTTTGTTTCATGTTCCTAATAAAAGAGTATGTGTTTCTCTCCAAACACGTAGCAAGCCACATTTAAAATGGCTCACTGTGTTAATAGTCTGGTTTTAGAACATTTCCAAAACAGACTCAACGTTTGCTATGATTTTCTTACCCAGTGTTCAGCAAGACTGTAGTGCGTCACTACCCACTTTTCTAGCTGTGCACTTAGATTTTAAGCAGTAGTAACTATCCAGATTATTTGACATAATTCTGTGATATATTTCACACTCTACCCTCTGCCCTCTATCCATACTACAGGTCAGCCATCCGTAATGTCTGTGATTGTCATGACCCTAATAACACAGCTTGGCTTTCCTGGCCATCAAAACCTAATGAATTACAATTCTCCCTGCATTTCTTTGGTTAGTAATAAATACTATGGATAACTCTCCCTTTATTCAGCACAAAATTATTTATTTGGTGCCAAGAAACTGCTGACTTCTACATAAATGCCAATAGCTACTTTCTTTTATAGACAAGCAAAGTATCCCAATAAAAGCATGTTATTTTTTCTCCTTGAACTTGAGAATCGCCATTGCACATTATCACTTTCTTAACCCCATCTCTGTGACTCCAAAACTCTTGCTCAAAAGCCTACTCATTTGGAAATAAAATCCTTTTTGCAGTGATAAAATGCAATTTTCTAGAAAATAAACTACAAATTTCCAGAGAGTAAACTCAGCTTCATAGCTTCTACCAGAAAAGACTAGAAATAAATGATACTTCTGTGTGTCTCCTCCTTCCTCCCAGAATAGGAATGTTTCTTTCTAAACAGTGTGCATTACTGTTTTAGAGTAAATAGTCCAATTCTGCCTTTAAAAATCAGCCTGGCCTCCCAGCTAAAGCGTCCTCTCAGGCAGAGATTTACTGGGTAGTGTGCCAAGGCCAGGCCACCTGCCCATGGAGATGTCCTGGGGCTGAACAACTGCCCAGGAATCCGGATTAAAAGTCAAGATAACAAAGACAAATCAAAGAATCATATTGCTGCCCTTTAAAAAGAAAATGACACCCTGTCCAAGTCTCAACTCATAACTCCTGTGTTTGCATTTTAAAACCAAACTCCCCAGGCTACAAATTTCTTTATTTTTTATCAAAAGTTCCAGAAACAAACCATAGCTCTTTTCGTCAACAGACTAAGAACTAGAAATGCTCATCTTGGCAAAATTAAATATTCCTCAGAATGAGAAGTATTCTCCCACCCCAACCCGGTTCCATCTCAAACTGTTATTTCTTTCCCCAGGGAAATGTACCATCCAAACACCAAACCCCAGGATTTGTTGCCATTCATCTGGGACACTGTAAACAATGTTTTAAGATAAGAACAAGGAGTCTTTGAGTGAGCAGTCATGAGTTTTTGAGTAGAAACAAAAGTATAATTGATAAGCTTTCTTATCTGAATTTTGCCTCTAAAGACAAGCAAGGAATAATTTAAAATGTCTCAGAAACCCATTTTTCCATTCCATCTCTGGTTTCACAATGATAACAGAGAGTGATTTTGGGGGCAAACTTTCATCTTCAAAGTCATACTGACAATATTTCTGAAGTATAACGCAAAGGCCTCACTAAGAGGTATGGAAACTGAGGCCAGGAGAGGAGGGTATGAACCAGTCCCCAGTGGGGGCAAGTGAGGAGTGCCTGGGGCCAAGAGTGGCATTCACATTACATCTCTTTCTCAACTGAGAGCTGGGTACCACCGATGTCGGGGTACAGAACATTTGTTTATGTCTAAAGGACTTGCAATCCAGCAAAACAAGGAAACCGCAAAATCCGCAAGGTATCACATTTCTTTCTATCTGGAGAAGATAAAATTTATTTTACAAAAGGAGCCCGGTAGGAGAGCTCTAAGTGGCAATCATTTGTGTGTGAACAAAGGTAGGTCGATAATAAGAGGTTATGCAGATTCAACCAGGTATTCATGCTTGAAAGAACCAAGCTTAATGAGGTAGAAGAGAATGAGTAATTACAATAAAAATAGGTCTAGTCAGCCGGCCCTCAGTATCCATTGTTTCTGCATCCATGGATTCCACCAACCTTGGATTGAAATTACTGGGGTGGGAGGGGGAGGAGGGAGCCCAATAAAAATAATAGCACAACAATAAAAAATAATAGCAATTTAAAAAATACAGTATAACAATTATTTATATAGCATTTAGTTTGTATTAGGTAGTGTAAGGGATCTAGAGATGATTTAAAGTGTACAGGAGGAAGTGTTTAGGTTACATGTAAATTCTACACCATTTGATATAAGGGACTTGAGCATCTGAGGGTTTCGGTATCCACGGGGTCCTGGAACCAGTCCCAACAGATACTGAGGGACAACTGTACATCAATTTGCCCTTCCCAAAGAAACATTTTACCCAAATTAGCAAATGCTGCTTTTCTCTCTTTGGCATCACACATACCTTCTCAGGAAAAAGTAAATAGGGCCTGTGGCAAGGACTCTGAAGGGTTCAGCAGGCAGCAGCGGGAGGTGCTCAGTTGTAAAGTGGCAGGACTAGAGGTAGGGCTGGAGGGGCCCAGGCATCCCCCAGAAGCCTTCCAGCAGCTACCAGGTGCTGGCCCGTGAGGTTATGCACGGGACGACTGGGGTGCGGGGCCTTCCTGGGAACAAGGGGCCCTGGAAGTCATGGGGTTCTTGGAAATACAGCAGCTGACCCATCTTTAGAGCTGGTCAGGACCTGGACCATAAAGAAAATGGTAACTAGAGGTGTGACAAGGTGGCAATGTACTTGCTTTCATTGAAGGGCATCTGACATAGGAGAGTAAACTGCAGGAAGGGTCCAGTGTGAAAGCACAATTGAGGCAACCATGTGCACGCCCTCTGAGATGAGGGCCTTGGCTCGTGGGGTGTACTGAACCCCACTTCCAGGGAACAGCAGAACCAGGAAGGTGCTGGCTTCAGACAGCCATGCAATTCCCAACTGTGGGCCAGCCCCAGGGGTTAGGTGTCAGGGGTCCAACAGTGGACAAGACAGACCCTTCCTCGTGGGGCTCGTGCTCTGGATAACTGTGTGAGATGGTGATTAAGCACAAAGGAGAAATGAGGCAGTGAAGGTGGTAAGGTGAGGCGAGGGGGACAATTTTAAGCAGTGTGGTCAAGGAAGACCTCGATGAGAGGGTGATGTTTGGACCGAGGCCTGAAGGGGGTTCGGGAGGAAATCACGTGGGTCTGCGAGGTGAGAGCACGGCAGGCAGAGAGCCTGAGGCAGGAGCATGCCTCACGGGCGGGTGCAAGAAACAGCAAGGACAGCAGGGGGCTGGAGCCAAGGGGACAAGGAGAAAGTGGCAGCAAAAGGAATCACAGAGAGAGAAATGACAGGGACCTGCTTAGTGGTCTCCTAACATCCCCCTGCATTTGTCCTCATCCTCTTCCATTCTGGACTCATAAGAGCAGCCAGTGAGATCCAGAGAAAGCCTGAGTCTACCAAGGTGCACCTCTGAAACTCTTCCAGTGACTCCCCAGTTCACGTAGCGCAGAAGTCAAAGTCCTTACAATAAGCCAATAGAAAGCATCTGGGAGACAGGAAACACTTGGCAGGTGGGGAGAGATGCAGAGTGGCATCTTGAAGTAAGCATCCTGATCTTGGACGGCCCTACAGAAGCTCTGCTTCTGATTTCATAAGGAAAACATTCCCCCAACACCAGTCCTGATCAGGAAGGTTCTTTCCATCTAATAGGAAAAATCAGTCTCAATTACATGGAAATCTATTTCATGTAAATTTGGTAATATGTCAATCACTAGATATTTTTACACACAAGGGATTTTTCCCCACCTTGCTAAATGATTCATCTTAATAATTAGCTGTGTTTCCTTCCTAGCCATGCTATTACAATAGTGTCTTCTGAAATAAAATGAGAGGGATTATTATTAAGGCATTCTTAATAATTTCAGAGGCAGATACATACATTAAAAAATCTTTAAAAGATAAATAAAACATCTTTTTAATAAAATATCTTGTCATTCTTTACTTGTCAGGGAGAATAGCAATCCTATGATTAGGAAAGGAGGCAGGAAAAGTTGGCAGAGGAGATGTCACATCCTGTGGAACAAAGCCTGAGGGAACTGCTAAGTCATTAGGAACCGGCATAGTATACATTTCTATGTGTAGTGACTGAATGCCAAGAAAAACATTGGGAAGTTCCAACAGTCTTTAAATTATTCTCATGAATTTCGTGACTTCATTGTCTAAATTCTTTTACATAAACAGGAGAAATAATGTCTATCTTCACCTAATTTATATGATCTGAATTTAAAGAAATCACAAAAATGATCTTTTATTTCCCAGAAAGTCTTCTCTTGCCTCTTGTTATCTGATTGTCACATCTGAGTGTGCTGGTCATGAGCTTGTCCGTGACCGGCCCCTGGAACAAGAAGCTCCACAATGGTTCTCGCGTGGGCAGCTTTGTTTAAACCCACCCACTACCAAGACGTTTGATGTCTCATTCGGAAAGTTCAAGGGTAAACACTTGTGAGTGACAGCTGATGATTTAAGCCTGAACTCACCAGCAACTGTGAATAAGTTATCAAGCTAATATGTCCTCTGAGTTGAGGTGGTAAATTGTAATTTCACTTTCAAAAAAAATTCCAGCTATTATTTTAAAAAAAGAGAATGATATACAGAAGTGTAACTGTGCACTGTGCCTTTGATTAGCCAGTTTCTGCTCCATTGGCTAGAATAATTTATCCTAGGAAACCAAATGTGCAATCAAAGGATCTTGACATTTCAACTGAAACACGTTATATCTTTCTTTTCCTCAAATGAGAAACTGCCTTCACAGTTTAAGTCAAATAAAACTTCTTCCTGAAATGCCCAGGTATTTAATGTAAGAAGGCTTTTTTGCACATGGAATTTGAATAACAGTCTGTCTTTCACTTTCTATAGACAGAAGGAACCCCGGCTGAGACTGATTCTCAGACAGTTGCTACTGCCACTCCGTGGACAAACTGAGTATCATTAACCCAAGTGGCTACGCATGTGACCTTAGGTATCGCAATAGCAGAGCCATTCTTAAGCAGTAAATGGATGGCTTTTCCCCCCTTTCCTTCTCCATTTCTAATACTTCATCTATCTCTTTTACAGTTAAACAAGACCCAGAAAGCATCTGACTTTCAAGATTTGAGTTTCATGAAAGCTGTTTTTTACTCACCACACTCCCACGATGGCATCTTTTTGAATTTGTTGCAATTTCATACAATATGACTGGATGTAAAAAGTGACGCTGCCCATTCCCCCTGTGACACACAGCGTCTGCGTGGGGAAATCTGTCTGAATTAAGGGATCTACAATCAATGCCACATTGCATTTTACATGCAATATAAACCGTTTGAATATCCATTATTATTATTTTTTTATCTTCCTGCCACACAAAGCAGAGAAAGCAGATGGTAAAAATTCCATCTTCATGGTGAGGGAAAACTCCAGGACTGGTTAGTAATGATAATGAGACTGGGAGCCAGGTCTCCTGGCTTCTGGTCCAGCCTGCCTAGTGCATGTTGAAGAACCAGGGCAATTTAGTGGTCAAGCTTTAATGACCACTGCGGAGGTGAAACCCTGTCTGTACTAAAAATACAAAAAGTTTGCCGGGCATGGTGGCACGTGTCTGTAATCCCAGCTACTCCGGGAGGCTGAGGCAGGAGAATCGCTTGAACTCGGGCGGCGGAGGTTGCAGTGAGCCCAAATCGCACCATTGCACTCCAGCCTGGGTGACAGAGTGAGATTCCATCTCAAAACAAAACAAAACAACCACCGTGGAGTCTTCAATACGCTGCAGGGGAAATAAGCAGAAATTTCAAGGTAGCTCTCCCAAGGGAGATTCTGGGTGATCAGACCAGAGCAGAGGGTCTCAAATGTAAGCACGCCATCAGAGTCACCTGAAGGCTTGAACACACAGATCTCTGGAGCCCATGCCTGGAAGTTTTGATTGAGTAGGTATGGAATAGGGTCTGAGAATCTGCATTTTATGGCAAATTCCAAGGTGATGCTGATGCTCCTGGTCTGAGTCACACTTGGAGAACCAATTGAGTAGAAGATAGAGGAATGTATATCCTATATTCTGACTCCTATTGTTCCCTTATGTCAAAGAAAGTTATGAGTCAGAAACATCATCTTCATTTCTCAGGTGCCTCTCCAATAGGGCTGATGGAATCTGGGCAGATTTCAAAGTATTTCTACCATATTTAATGAAAATAAGCAGCAAAGAAAGCATTAAACACTCAAACTAGAAGGAAAAATCTCCCCTAAACAATTTGATGCAGGTCAGTTAAAGGACTCAGTGCTTGTCTTAGCTATGGCAGGAATACCATTGAAGAACCAGGTTGTTATTGGTTTTTACTTAAATAAAATTCCTGATTTAAAAAAAGGTGGGGGGCAATATGGTAGACTAGATAATCTGAAAAATGTTTCAACCATATCCTGCAAAAATGAAACAGATTATTTTTAAATGCATATTTGAGTTTGCAGGAAAGTTAAAGGAAATCTTCGGTGGTCGAAAATGAACTGTGAAAAAGTCTTAAACTATTGATTGGAGACCTTGACCAGGCAGCAAGGAAAATACACACACATAAAGCTTTTCCACTGTCAGTCAGTCCTGGGACACATGAATGGTGGGGGCACTTCTAGCTACTCTGTTCTTCTGGAATGCTTATGGCTTCCAAAAACCATCGTCAAATTCTCTGAAATGAGTTTCAATGAGTGTCAGCAAGGTATTGCTTTTAAAAGCCTTTGGGAAATTTCTTACCCATTTCCTTCTTGGACTACCTTAAAGAACACCTTCTAGATAATGTGGACCTGAGGGCTTGACATCCAGAAGAAAAAGAACCAGTGCATGGAAAATGTGATGTCCTAGAACTACGTGTCAAAATTTTCAGGGAAGATGTGCTCAGAAATGTGGGCCATGTAATGGCTTTGTGATTATTAAATGTATGATGGACACAATATTGCTGATTGTATAGTGCACACAACATCTCTAGATGTATGGTGGATGCAACATAACTGTATGATGGATACAACCTCTCTAAGCCTGTGGTGGATACAGAATCTCTAAGCTTGTGGTGGATGTAACCTCTCTAAGCATGTGGTGGATACAATGTCACTACATCAAGTCCCATTACCCTTGTGCTCATCTCTGCCAGTACTCAGGAGTGAAAAATGCAGATGGAGATGCTCAGGATGCAAAGAGTGGAGAACAATGTGGTGGGTAATAGGGCCAAGGAACCCTGTTCCCCAAATCAAAAGAATAACCCTTGGGGCTGGGCATGGTGGCTCATGCCTGTAATCCCAGCACTTTGGGAGGCCAAGGTGGGTAGATCACCTGAGGTCAGGAGTTCAAGACCAGCCTAGCCAACATGGTGAAACCCCAACTCTACTAAAAGCACAAAAAATTAGCCAGGCGTGGTGGCAGGCACTGTAATCCCAGCTACTTGGGAGGCTGAAGCAAGAGAATAGCTTGAACCTCGGAGGCAGAGATTGCAGTGAGCCGAGATCGTGCCATTGCACTCCAGCCTGGGCAATAAGAGCGAAACTCCATCTCAAAAAACAAAACAAAACAAAACAAAAGAATAACCCTTAATAGGATAGGCTAGAAACACTGACGCTGGATGATAGTAGAAATTATGAAAGAAACAATTTAAAAAGCTAAAGTAAACCACAGTGCTGGAAATAACACATCAAAGGCCACCTTCTCTCATGCAGAGGCCAAGAGGCATATATTTAGGAGTGGCATAGTCAAAATTACCAAGAGAGGCCAGGCACAGTAACTAATGCCTGTAATCCCAACACTTTGGGAGGGTGAGGCAGGAGGATTGCTTGAGCCCAGGAGGTTGAAACTAGCCTGGGCAACATGGAGAAACACTGTCTCTACCAAAAAAAAATTTTTTTAATTAGCTGGGCATGGTGGCATGCACTTGTAGTCCTAGCTACTCGGAAGGATGAGATGGGAGCATCACTTGAGCCTGGGAGGCAGGGGTTGCGGTGAGCTGTGATTGCAGGACCCTGTCTTAAGAGGAACAGCAAAAAGCAGGCAAATGGGTCCTGGTGCCGTAGCTTCTGAGAACCTGTGGAGGTGCTCTTGATCCATGCGTGGTGGGAAGCACGGTGAGCCGGCATGCCGTGGCTGCTCAGGGGTGTTCGGTTGGAGGGCAGAGCTCAATCAAGAATGATGGTAACCTTTCCAGATCTGTTCACCAACTTGGCTGTCTTCTTCACCCATGGCATGGCAGATGTGTAGAGAAATGATTAGTATCTCTATCTTTGCCTTTCTTCCTGGAGGCATTGGACATTTTGGTTTTCTTCTGCTTTGGTCAAATGAGTAACTATTTGCATGCCTTTTTTCCTCTGACAGACGGTTCCAAGTCAGCCATAGCTGCATTCTGGTTCTAACACAAGTGCCATTGCCTTGTGCCATCTAGAGTCTCAGTAGGACAGACATATGACTAGCTCCCCTATGTCCTATAGCTTCTTTTTCTTTTCTTTTCTTTTTTTTTTTTTTTGAGACAGGGTCTTGCTCTGTTGCCCAGGCTGGAGTACAGTGGCATGATCATACATAGCTCACAGCAGCCTCAAACTCCTAGGCTCAAGTGATCCCTCCCCAACAGCCTCTCAAGTAGCTGGGACTACAGGTGCATGCTACCATGTGTGACTAATTTTTTAATTTTTTGTAGAGATGGGGTCTTGCTATGTGACTCAGGCTAGTCTCGACTCCAGGCCTGAAGCAATCCTCTCACCTAAAGTGCTGGGATTACAGCTGTGAGCCACCATGCCTGGCCTCTGTCCTACAGCTTTACCTGGCATGAGTGTCTGAGTCCTCCAGAGGTGGGGCTCCCTGAGGGTGCTGGGAGTACAGGATTGGGTAATGGAGGTTTCAGCGTCTTCCATGATAGTTGTAGGTGCAACATTCCTCAGCATTAGAGGCAAAGCAGAGGATCATCTAGCTCCTTTTGTGAAGAAGTTACTCTTAAAGTAGAAGGAGACTGCTACCCATAGCCAGGATTTCACCCAAATCTATTCTGACCAAAAGCCCACATGCTTTTTAATGCAACCACACTCAAAATAGTGGTGGTGGTGGGGGAGGTTGATTGAATATGATACTGGGATGGATGAATAACAACAGGAATAATAGCATCTTAGGCCATACACAAAAATAAACTCAAAATCAGAAGTTGAATATCAAATGTTAGAAAAGCTAGCATAAATTAGAATTAGGTATCAGATACTTGAAACAACTTTCTAAAATTTGGAACAGTTGAAATAAAAGAAGAAACAGATTGACAAATTAAAATGTACATGCAAAAAATAAACATCAAGACAACACTTATAAACAGGCAATGAACAAGAACAGATTTTAACAAGAAAATAAATCATAAACAAACACTTTGGAAGGCTTTGAACTTATATGCAAAATAAAAAATTAAAACTGGGCCAGGCGTGGTGGCTCACGCCTGTAATCCCAGCACTTTGGGAGGCCGAGGCAGGCAGATCACGAGGTCAAGAGATCGAGACCATCCTGGCTAACACGGTGAAACCCCATCTCTACTAAAAATACAAAAAATTAGCTGGGCGAGGGGGCGGGTGCCTGTAGTCCCAGCTACTTGGGAGGCCGAGACAGGAGAATTGCTTGAACCCGGGAGGTGGAGATTGCAGTGAGCCGAGATCGCACCACTGCACTCCAGCCTGGCATGAGAGTGAGACTCCGTCTCAAAACAAACAGAAAAAACAAAACAAAACAAACAAACAAACAAAAAACAACTCCAGAGGGACCCAGTCTTAGATGGAGGCACCCGCACTTTTGTAGGTTTTACCTCTAGGAGTTCTACCAGGTTCTCACAATGAAGACTGGAGAAAAAAATCCTCCCATGCTTCTGCCAGAGGAAGAGGGAAAGGAAACAAAGCATTCTGGTCTTTAGCAGGCCTCTCCTCCAGAGAAACTATTTTTACCTATTGGGGTTTTATCAAAGCTTAACTGACCTGGGGGAAGGGAAATACCCAACTCTAGCCCCATTCTGTCCCGCCTGAGTGGGGTTGGGGGCTGAGAAGCACTTGTAAAGTTCACAGTCCATAAACACAGGCTCCCTAAAGATCCCTAAAGACAATAGAACACATTCCCTCCCACCACATTTCAATTAAATGCCTTTTTACTGCTGTTCCTTTACTTAGTACATCGAGTCCAACTTCCAACAAAAAATTACAAGGTATACTAAAAGGTAAAAAATTGAGTTTGAAAACAGAGCAGGCATCAGAACCAGAGTTAGGCCAGGTGCGGTGGCTCATGGCTGTAATCCCAGCACTTAGGGAGGCTAAGGAGCTTAAGGCCAGGAGTTCAAGACCAGCCTGGCCAACATGGCAAAACCCTGTCTTTACTAAAAATACAAAAATTGGCCAGGCTTGGTGGCACACGCCTATAGTCCCAGCTACTTGGGAGGCTGAGGCACGAGAAATGCTGGAACCCAGGAGGCGGAGGTTGCAGTGAGCTGTTATCACACCACTGCACTCCAGCAGTGACAGAGGGAGGTGACAGAGGGAGACTTTGTCTCAAAAAACCTCCCAGAAGAACCAGAGTCAGATATGGCAGGGATGTTGTAATTATCAGACTAGCAATTTAAAATAAATATGATGAATATGCCACAGGCTCTACTGAAAAAAAAAACAACAGCCAACATGCAAGAACAGATGGGTAATCTAAGCAGGGAGATGGAAATTCTAAGAAAGAATAAAAAAAGAAATGCCTGAGATTAAAAAACACTAACAGAAATGAAGAATCACTTTAATGGATTCATTAGTAGATTGGACATGGCTGAGGAAGGAATCCCTGAGCTTGAGAATATGACAATAGAAATGCCCAAAACTGAAAAGCAAAGAGAAAAAAGACTGAAAAAAAGAAAAAAATCAACAAACAGTGGACTACAAAAGTTATAAATATGTACAATGGGAATACCAGAAGGAGAAAGAATAGAAGCAATATCTGAGGCAATAATGACTGAGAATTTCCCCAGATTAATATCAGACACTAAACCACAGACCCAGGAAGCTCAGAGAACACCAATCAGGTTAACTGCCAAAAACGAAAATAAAAAATAAAAAAATCTACATGTAGGCAAATCATATTCAAATTACAGAAAAGCAAAGATAAAGAAAAAATCCTGAAAGAAGCCAGAGGGAAAAAACATCTTATCTATAGAGGAGCAAAGATAAGAAAGATATCTGACTTCTCAGAAATCATGTAAACAATAAGACAGTGATGTGAAATATTTAAAGTGTTGAGAGGAAAAAAGTACCAGCCTAGCATTGTGCGTCTGTATTAGTCCATTCTCACACTGCTATAAAGAACTACCTGAAGCTGGGTAATTTATGAAGAAAAGGGGTTTAACTGACTCACAGTTCCACAGGCTGTACAAGAAGCATGGCTGGGAAGCCTCAGGAAACTTAGAATCACGGCAGAAGGGCAAAGGGGAAGCAAGCACATCTTCACATGGTGGCAGAAGATGGAGAGAGCTAAGTGGGAAGTGCTACACGCTTTTAAACAACCAGATCTCATGAGAACTCTATCATGACACAACACTAGAGGGATGGTGCTAAACTGTTAGAAACCATCCACATGATCCAATCACCTCCCACCAGGCCACACAACTCAACATGAGATTTGGGTGGGAACACAGAGCCAAACCATATAAACATCCTACAAAATTAACCTTCAAAAGCAGAGAAATAAGATACTTTCAGACAAAATCATGTGACAAAATCACATAAAATGTTCAATTAAAACACCAAAACTCAGAAAAAGACTGGAAGACAAAAACAGGAACTACGAACAAAGGCAGCAAGTAGAAAAAAGTAACAAATATGATAGATAATAATCCAACTATATCAATAATCACTTTAAAAGTCAATGGTATAAATATATCAATTCGAAACAAGAGATCATTACAGTAGATAAAAAACATGACTCAACTATATGTTGTCTACAAGAAACCCACTTTATAAAGACACATGTAGATTGTGTAGTAAATGGATGGACATACCATCCTAATAGTAACTGATATGGTTTGGCTGTGTCTCCACCCAAATTTCACCTTGAATTGTAGTAATCCCCATGTATCAAAGGTGGAGCCAGGTGGAGATAATTGAATCATGGGAGTGGTTTCCCACATACTGTTCTCATGGTAGTGAATAAGTCTCATGAAATCTGATGGTTTTATAAATGGAAGCTCCTCTGCACAAACTCTTGTCTGCTACCATGTAAGACATGCCTTTGCTCCTCATTTGCCTTCTGCCATGATTGTGAAGCCTCCCCAGCCATGTGGAACTGTGAGTCCATTAAACCTCTTTCCTTTATAAATTACCCAGTCTCAGGTATGTCTTTATTAACAGCATGAAAACAGACTAACATAGTCATTAAGAGAAAGCAAGAATAGCTACATAAATTTCAGACAGAGCTGACTTTAGACCAAGGAAAGTTATCAGGATTAAAAAGTGGGTCACAAAATGATAAAGGGGTTAATTCAACAAGAAATAAAAATCCTTAATGTGCATTGTGCCAACAATGGAACATCAAAATACATGAGGCAAAAATGGACAGAACTGCAAAGAGAAACAGATGTATCCACTATTATAACTGTAAACTTCAACACCCCTCTATCAGTAATGGATAAAATCCAGAATGCAGAAAATCAGTAAGGACATAGTTGAATTCAGTAGCACCATCAATCAACTGTATACAAGGGACATCTATAGACTACTTCATCTAATAACAGCAAAGTACAGACTCTTCTCAAGCTCACATGGAACATTTACCATGACAAAACACACTGTGAGCCATAAAACACAACTTAACAGATTTAAAAGAGTAGAAATAATACAATATCTGCTCTCAGACCACAGTAGAATTAAACTAAAAATCAATAACATAAATTTAGCAAGAAATACCCAAAATACTTGGAAATAAAACTGCACAGTTTTAAATAACAAATGGGTCAGAAAAGAAATCTCAAGAGAAATGTACAAAAGAATTAAGATATAAGATCAGTAGTCTAAAGTTTTACTTCAAGAAACTAGAAAAAGAAGAGCAACTTAATTCCAAAGTAAGAAGAATGACAGAAATAATAAACACTAGAATAGAAATCAATGAAATGTAAAGCAGGAGATCAATAGAGAAAAATGAAACTAAATTCTGGTTCTTTGAAAAGATCAAGAAAAATCAATAAGCCTCTAGCCAGGCTAAGAAAAAAAAATAGAGAAGACACATATTACTGACATGAGCAATGAAAGAGGGCACATAACTACAGATCCCATGGACACCGAAAGAATAATAAAGGAATATTATAAACAACTTTATGCCCCAAAATTTGATAACCTAGATGTCAATTTAAGAAACTGATGTCCGGGCACAGTGACTCACGCCTGTAATCCCAGCACTTTGGGAGGCTGAGACAGGTGGATCACCTGAGGTCAGGAGTTTGAGACCAGCCTGGCCAACATGGTGAAACCCCATCTCTACTAAAAATACAAAAATTAGCCAGGCGTGGTGGTGGGCACCTGTAATTCCAGCTACTCAGGAGGCTGAGGCAGGAGAATTGCTTGAACCAGGGAGGCAGAGGTTGCAGTGAGCCAAGATCGCACCATTGCACTCCAGCCTGGGCAACAAGAGCGAAACTCCATCTCAAAGGAAAAAAAAAAGAAAATGATAACCAATTTCTTAAAAGACAGAATTTACTAAAACTCACACAAGAAAAACAGACAATCTGAAGAGGCCTATATGTATTAGAGAAATTGAATCAATAATTCAAAATATTTTAAAACAGAGATCACCCAGTCCAGGTGGGTTCATTGGTGAATTCTACCAAACATTCAGAAATAAATTATACCAATTCTCTACTATGTCTTCCAGAAGACAGAAACAGAGGGAATACTTCTTAACTCATTCCATGAGGGCAGCATTACCCCAATACTGAAACAGACAAAGACATTACAAGAAAAGAAAACTACTGTGAGGATTAATTTTAGGTGTCAACTTGAATGGATTAAGGAACACTGTAGAAACCTGGTAAAATGTTACTTTTGGATGTGCTTGTGATCAGCATGAGGAGATGAGTGTGTGAGTCTAAGTGCACTAGGTAAAGATGAGCCACCCTCACAATGTGGGCAGGCACCATCTAATAAGCCAAGAGACAAGAGAGAACGAAAACAGAAAAAGCAAGTGTGTTGATTTATCTGCAGGAGCTGGGATATACCCTTCCTCTCCTGCCCTTGCGTGTTAGAACTCCCTGGCCTGTGGACTCCAGGACTTGCACCAGCAGCCCCCTGGGTTCTCAGGCCTTCGGCCTTGGACTGAGTTATGCCATTGACATTCCAGGGTCTCCAGCTTGCAGATGGCCTGTTATTGGACTTTTCAGCCTCCATAATTGTGTGAGCCAATTCCTCTAATAAATCTCTTTCGTATATCTCTCTATATATATCCCATTGGCACTGTCTCCCTGTTATGGGAAGTCAGGGACCCTGAATGGAGGGACCAGCTGGAGCTGCGGCAGAGGAACATAAATTGTGAAGATTTCATCTTAATATGGACATTTATCAGTTCTCAAATAACACTTTTATAATTTCTTATGCCTGTCTTTAATCTCTTAATCCTGTTATCTTCGTAGGCTGAAGATGTATGTCACCTCAGGACCACTGTGATAATTGTGCTAACTGTACAAATTGATTGTAAAACATGTGTAGTTGAAAAATATGAAATCAGTGCACCTTGAAAAAGAACAGAATAATAGCGATTTTTATGGAACAAGGGAAGACAACCATAAGGTCTGACTGCCTGTGGGGTTGGGCTAAAAGAGCCACATTTTTCTTCTTGCAGAGAGCCTATAAATGGATGTGCAAGTAGGAAACATATCGCTAAATTCTTTTCCTAGCAAGGAATATTAATATTAATACCCTGGGAAAGGAATGCGCTCCTGGGGGGAGGTCTATAAACGGCCGTTCTGGGAATGTCTGTCTTGTGCAGTTGAGGTAAGGATTGAGATAAGTCCTAGTCTCCTGCAGAACCCTCAGGCTTGCTAGGGTTGGGAAAACTCAGCCCTGGTAAATCCGTGGTCAGACTGGTTCTCTGCTCTTGAACCCTGTTTTCTGTTGTTTAAGATGTTTATCAAGACAATATGTGCACCGCTGAACATAGACCATTATCAGTGGTTCTGCTTTTGCCCTTTGCCCTGTGATCTTTGTTGGACCCTTATCAGTGGTTCTGCTTTTGCCCTTTGCCCTGTTCCCTCAGAAGCATGTGATCTTTGTTAGACCCTTATCAGTGGTTCTGCTTTTTGCCCTTTGAAGCATGTGATCTTTGTATCTACTCTCTGTTCTTACACTCCCTCCCCTTTTGAAACCCTTAATAAAAACTTGCTGGTCTGAGACTCAGGCAGGCATCATGGTCCTGCTGATATGTGATGTCACCCCTGGCGGCCCAGCTGTAAAATTCCTCTCTTTGTACTGTCTCTCTTTATTTCTCAGCCAGCTGACACTTATGGAAAATAGAACTTACGTTGAAATATTGGGGGTGGGTTCTCCCAGTATCTCCCTAGAGAATTCAGACTAATACAACTACAGAGCAATATCTCTCATAAATATAGATGCAATAATCCTTAGCAAAATCCTTAGGTTGGTGCAAAAGTCATTTGCCATTACTTTCAATGGCAAAAACCACAATGACTTTTACACCAACAAATATTAGCAAATTGAATCTAACAATCCATAGAAGAAATTATACACCATGACTAAGTGAGATTTATCTCAGGTATGAAAGGTTGGTTCAATATTTGAAAATCAATTTATGTAATCTATCACATTAACAGGCTAAATAAGAAAGATCACATGGCCTAGGAGGTGGAGGCTGCAGTGAGCTGTGTTTGTACCACTGCACTCCAGCTGGTGTGACAGAGTGATACCCTGTCTCAAAAAAAGAAAAGAAAAATCACATGATTATATCAATAGACACAGAAAAATAGATGTCAAATAGATGTATTTGACGAAGTACAATACCCATTTGGAATGATAATAACTCTCAGTAAACTACGAATAGAGGGGAACTTGCTCAACTTGATTTAAAAAACCACCTACAGCTAACATCACAGTTAGTGGTGAGAAACTAGAGACTTTATACAAAGATCGGGAGCAAGGTAATGATGTCCCTTCTCACCACTGCTTTTCAACATCATACCGTAAGTCCTAGCTAATGCAAAAAGCAAAGAAAAGATACACAAACTGGGAAAGAAGAAATAAAACCGCCTTTGTTCACAGATGAAATTGTCATCGATGTAGAAAATTGGAATGAATTAATAAAAAATATCTGGAACTAATAAGTTATTATACCAATGTTGTAGGATACAAGGTTCATATGCAAACATCAATTTATTTCTCATATATCAGCAAAAAACAGTGGACTTTTAAATTTAAAACATAATACTATTGGCTGGGCACAGTGGCTCACGCCTGTAATCCCAGCACTTTGGGAGGCTGAGGCAGGTGGATCACGAGGTCAGGAGATTGAGACCATCCTGGCTAACATGGTGAAACCCCATCTCTATGAAAAATACAAAACATTAGCCAGGTGTGGTGGCAGGCGTCTGTAGTCCCAGCTACTCGGGAGGCTGAGGCAGGAGAATGGCGTGAACCCGGGAGGTGGAGCTTGCAGTGAGCCGAGATCGCACCACTGCACTCTAGCCTGGGTGACAGAGTGAGACTCAAAAAAATAAAAAAGAAAAAAATTTTAAAAACCATAATACTATTTATATTCGTACCCTACATATGAAATATTTAGGTATAAATCTTTTAAAAATGTTTAAGGTCTGCATGAAAAAACTACAAAACTCTGTTGAAAGAAATCAAAGCAGCACTAAATAAATGCAGAGACTCAATATCGTTAAGATGTCAGTTCTTGCGAACAACTTGATCTATAGATTCAACACAATCCCAACTGAAATCCCAACAAGTTATTTTGTAGGTATCAACAAACTGATTCTAAACTGCATATGGAGCAGTGGCTTATGCCTGTAAGCTCAGCACTTTAAGAGGCCAAGGCAGGAGGATCATTTGAGGCCAGGAGTTTGAGACCACCAGCCTGGGCAAAATAGAGAGACCCCATTCTCTACAAAATTAAAAATAAAATTAAGTTAGCTGGGCAAGGCGGTGTGTGCCTATAGTCCTGGCTATTCAGCAGATGGAAGTGGGAAGATCACTTGATCCCAGGAGTTCAAGGTTATAGTGAGCTATGATCACGCCACTGCATTCCAGCCTGGATGACAGAGCGAGACCTGTCTCTAGATAAATACATAAAAATAAATTGTACATGGAGAGGTAAAAGACCAAGAATGGCCAATACAATATTGAAGAAGAATGAAGTCAGAAAACTCACACTACCAACTTCAAGACATTATAAAACTGTAGTAATCAAGACAACATGATATTTTATCAATTGGCCAAAGAACAGACAAATAGATGGAACAGAATAGAGAATCCAGAAATAGACCCACATAAATACAGTCAACTGGTCTTATTTATTTATTTATTTTACAAATGAGGTCTCGCTATGTTGCCTAGGCTGGACTCAAATTCCTAGGCTCAAGCAATTCTTCTACCTCAGCCTCCTAAAGAAAACTATTGAACTCTACTGAGCAGCTGGGACTACAAGTGTGTACCACTGCACACCAGGCTATAGTTAACTCATCTTTGACAAAGGAGCAAAGGCAATGTGATGGAGCAAAGACAGTCTTTTCAACAAATGGTGCTGGAACAAATGGACACCCACATGTAAAAAACAAATCTAGATAAAGATCTTATACCCTTCACAAGAAGTAACTCAAAACAGATCATAGATCTAAATATAAAGTACAAAACTATAAAACTCTTAAAAGATAACATAGGAGAATAGCTAGATGATCTTGTGTTGGACAAAAAAGAAAGAATTGATACACTGCACTTCACTAAATGTAAAACTTTTGATCTGCAAATGAAACTATCAAGAACAGAAGAAGATAAGCTACAGACTGAGAGAAAATATTTGCAAAAGATTTATCAGATAAAGGAATGTTATCCAAAATATCAAAGAACTGTTAAAACTCAACAATAAGAAAGTAAACAACTTGATTAAAAAATAGGCAAAAGGCCGGGCATGGTGGCTCATGCCTATAATCCCAGCACTTTGGGAGGCCAAGGCAGGCAGATCACGAGGTCAAGAGGTTAAGACCATCCTAGCCAACATAGTGAAACCCCCGTCTCTACTAAAAATACAAAAAATTAGCTGGGTGTGGTGGCTCGTGCCTGTAGTCCCAGCTACTCGGGAGGCTGAGGCAGGAGAATTGCTTTAACCCAGGAGGCGGAGGTTGCAGTGAGCCGAGATTGCACCACTGCACTCCAGCCTGGGTGACAGAGTGAGACTCGAAAAAAAAATACATAAATAAAATAAAATAAGCAAAAGATCTGAACAGACATCTCACCAAGGAAGATACACAAATAGCAATAAACTTATGAAAAGATGTTCAGCATCATATGTCACAAGGGAATTGCAAATTAAAAATTAGATACCACTATGCACCTATTAGAATAGTCAAAATCCAAAACACTGACAAGACTAAATGCTTAGTTTGGTGAAAGGAAAAAAACAAAACTTTTTTTTTTTGAAGATGAAGTCTCGCTCTTGTCCCCTATGCTGGAGTACAATGGTGCGATCTTGGCTCACTGCAACCTCCACCTCCCAGGTTCAAGAAATTCTCCTGCCTCAGCCACCCGAGTAGCTGGGATTACAGGCGCCTGCCACCACGACCGGCTAATTTTTGTATTTTTAGTAGAGACAGGGTTTCTCTATTTTGGTCAGGCTTGTCTCAAACTCCTGACCTCAGGTGATCCACCCACCTCGGCCTCCCAAAATTGCCGGGATTACAGGTGTGAGCCACCGCGCCCGGCCCAAAACAATTTTTAAAAAGACCAAATGCTGTTGAGAATATAGAGCAACAGGAAGTCTGATTCATTGCTGATGGGAACACAAAATGATCCAACCACTTTGGAAGACAGCTTGGCATTTTCTTACAAAATGAAGCATACTCTTATCATATGATTCAGCAATCGTATTCTTTGTATTTACCCAAAGGAGTAGAAAACTTATGTCTCCAAAAAAACTGCACAGGAGTGTTTATAGCAGTTTTTTTCATAGTTACCAAAACTTGGAAGCAATCAAGATATTCTTCAGTAGGTGAATGGATTAATAAAGTGTGATACATTCAGACAATGGAATATTATTCAGTGCTAAAAAGAAATGAGCTATCAAGCCATGAAAAGATATGGAGGAACCTTAGATGTATATTACTAAAGGAAAGAAACCAATCTGTAAAGGCTACATACTGTATGATTCCAATATGTAACATTTCCAGTGGTGGAAAAAGCAAAATTGCAGAGATGGTAAAATGATCAGTGGTTGCCAAGTGTTAAGGGAGAAAGAAGTGAATCCTAATGTAAACTATGGACTTCATGTTATAATAATGTGTCAATGCAGGTTCACTGATTATAACAAACATACCATTCTAGTCTGGGATATTGATAACAGGGAAGGCTATGCATGTATCAGGACAGGGAGTATATGTAAACTTTCTGTACTTTCTGCTCAATTTTATTGTGAGCATAAAACTTCTCTTTTAAAAAAAGCATTTAAAAAATAAAAACTAAAATCAAGTAACTGAAAACTGGAGTGGTGAGGTGATACTGGAACATGTCCCAATCTTGATATCCAAGGGGTTTAGATTTTAAAGACCATGAAGGACAGAAAGACAAGATGTGGAGGTTGGAGTGAGATCTGTGCATATAGCTAGGAACCTTAAGGAATGATTCCTTTATTGAAAGGATGGACAAAAACAAATATCTGCCTGCCTGCCAAAGTAACTATCTGACGTAGAAACTTGTACATCTCATCTTGGGCTCTGAGCAGGGGAAAATAGTACTCCTTGAAAGTCATAACCAACATAATCAAAGGTTTTCCTTATGTGGGTTCATGATTCAAAAACTCACAACATACATGACCCAGGTAACTCTATGCCAAGAAATGAGCACAAAGTGATTTTGAGATGTTATCAGTCCTAAGATGCCTGGAAAAGCCTATCCACATACTCTCTTCTTGAAGACTGAGTGTCCTGGGTTGAAGAACAAGGTAAACAAGAGCTCAAAATTCAAAATTACAAAACACACAAGGAAGCAAATATTATGCAAGAAAGTTAAAGAATACAGCAAAATCAGGCCCCCAACAACTTCAGATGGAAGGATTACTAGTGAAAATTTTCAAATAAGTACACTGAAGTTGATTAAAGAAGTACTCAGAGGACTCTAAAACAGGTAAAAGAATAAGATATTGTTGGCTGGGAGTGGTGGCTCATGCCTGTAATCCCAGCACTTTGGAAGGCCAAGGCAGGAAGATAACTTGAGCCCAGGAGTTGGAGGCCAGCATGGGCAACATGGCAAAACCCCATCTCTACAAAAAATACAAAAATTAGCTGTGTGTGGTGGTGCATGCCTGTAGTCCCAGCTACTTGGGTGGCTAAGGTAGGGCGATTGCTTGAGCTCAGAGGCGGAGGTGGCAGTGAGCTAAGATCACACCACTACACTCTAGCCTGGGTAATAGAGAGAGACTCTGTGTCAAAAAAAAAAAAAAAAAGAAAAAGATATTGTCAAATAAAACCAAATGGAGACATTTTGTGGCATGGCCGTTAGAATCATTAAAAAATTTGTTTAGAATGTACCACAGAGATGACAAAAGGGAAAAAAAGAAGATGAGACATGGAAGACATATATGATGTTCCATGATATTTCTAATTGGAATTTCAGAAGGAGAAAATAGAGGCTGGGTGCAATGGCTCATGCCTGTAATCCCAACACTTTGGAGGTCAAGATGAGAGGATCACTTGAGGCCAGGAATTCAAGACCAGCCTGGGCAATATAATCTCTACAAAAAGTAAAAAAGTATTAGCTGGGCATGGTGGTGTACACCTGCGGTCCCAGCATCTCAAGAGGCTGAGGTGGTAGGATTGCTTGAGCCCAGGAGTTTAAGGCTGCAGTGGGCTACGGCTGTGCCACTGTACTCCAGCTTGGGCGACAGAGCAAGACCTTGACTTAAAAAAAAAAAAAAAAGAAAGAAAGAAAGAGGGAGAAAATACATAAAATGACACATGACACATTACACATGTTTGAAGGTATAATAGGTGAGAATTTTAATAATAAAATACAGAAATCCATAGATTCAAGACAACCAAAAAGAAATCTATACACAACATAAAGAAACCAGAACACGAAATATTTGAAGAAGAAAAAAATCTTAGACGCAACCAGAGGGAAGAGAGATTGCCTTCAAAGATATGGTGATTTGAAAACAGCAGACTTTTCAAGAGTAACAATAGAAGTAAGAAAACAAAATCTTAAATGTGCTAAGAAAAAATAACTGTGAACCAGAATGGCCTTGTTCACACATAAACCTCCTACAGTAGAGGAAAAACTCACTCAAAAATGAGTAAATAAAAAGCTCAAGATCTTTTGAAAGATACTATACGAAAACAAAGGTTATACCCCAGAAAATTGCCACAACACAAATAAAAACTGTGACAAAACATTCTGCCACGAGTGAAAAAAAACTGCTTATATTAAATAAAAGCACAAAATAGACCAAGAGAATTAAAAGATGAAAGGGAAAAAGGGGAGAAGGGGAGGAAAGGAGGAGAAGAGGAGAAGGTAAGGAGGGGGAAGAGGGAAGAAGAGAGAAGGGAGAAGGGAGTGGGGAATAGAAAGCTGGGAGACAGATGAAATATTATCTGGCAGGGCTCAGGAAAGAAGCAGAAGAAAAAATTAAAACATCAAGAAATTATGGCAAAGATAGAAGCAGCAAAAGAAATCAGATGATGCTGTAAATAAATAAGCAACATGAATGGAAATACAGAATTGAAAAGGAGTCCACAGAAAATGATAGACAGGGAGAACAGTGAACGAGATCCATCATATGCATAATTGGAAAATGCATAAAAGAAAAAAATAATGTGTGGTGGACACACCCTAAGGTGACTCCTTGTATAATCCTCTTTTCTTGAGTGCAGGTGGAAATTGTACTCTGTTACTAGCCAATAGAATATGACAAAGGTGAAGGGCTTTCACATATGTAGTTAAAATCCCAAGCCAGTTAATCTAGTTAATCAAAAGAGATTACCCTGGTGGGTCTGAATTAATCAGGTCTTTAAAAAAAGAACTGGGGTGCTCCAAGATTTCAGACACACTCTCTCCCCGGCTGACCTTGAAGAAGCAAGCCACCATGAATACTACAACTGCAAGGAAATTCATTCTTTCAACGATCAGTTGAATTTGGAAGAAAACTCAGCCTCAGATGAGACCATGAGGTCAGCTGACAACTTCACTGTAGCCTTGTGAGATGCTGACCAGAGGATCCAGTAAAACTATGCTCAGACTCCTGACACATAGAGACTTTGAGATAATAAATGGGTCTTGTTTTAAGCTGCTGAATAGGTCGTAGGGTAAATTTTTATACAACAATAGACAACATATAATGAAGCAAAAAAAAAAAAAATTAAAGATGTAATTGAAGAAAACTCACCAGAAATAAAAGCATATTTCAATTTATAGCTTGAAAAGAGATAGCAAAACTCAAGAAAGAAAGGAACAGAACATCAACATCGGCAGATAGCCTAGCAAAATTCTTGATCTTCAAAGATAAAGTAAGAATCATTTGGGAAGCTAAATAAAAAGATCAAGGGTATTTATTAGGGGCAAAATAATCAGGCTGTCCTCAGACTTTACTACAATAACATCAATGCCAGTAAAAGCCTATAGAATCCTTCCAGAAAATAAAATATAAGCCAGAAATTATATATTATGCCAACCTATGGTTGAAGTAAAGAAAAAAACCAGATAATAGGTATGAAAATATAAGAACTCAGGGACTATTATTCTCATCAGTCTCATCAGCCTTCTTTGAAAAAATGCATAGAGGGTAATCTTCGGCCAATTAAGAGGTGAATGGAAAAACTGGCAAGAGCCTTGAATGTAAAATAAACATGAGGATTATATTTATAGAACACAGTGCAAATGTTATTAACTCTGGCAATGTAGAAATTGTAAAACTAACAAAAGGTGGTAACAGTGAGGAAAAGAGTAATGGCATGCTCAAGAAAGCAAAAGGAAGGAAATAAAAATAAGAGTGGAAATTAAATTAGAAAACAGAAAAATGACAGAATGAATAAGTATGTCCAAGGAGTTGTTGTTTAGAGAAAAAAAAAGGTAAAGACAAATGATCGGCTAGCCTAATTAAGAAAAAAAAGAGAAACAAATATACAAAACAAAGAGAAATCTATAAATGCAGAAGAATTTTTTTTAAAAAAGAATAATCACCTCATTCAATCCTATATTGATAAGCTAGAAAATTTAGACGAGTAGTTTCCTAGAAAAAAAATACATTATTTGTTTTTTCTTTTTTTTTTTTGAGACTGTCTCACGCCATCACCCAGGTTGGAGTGCAGTGGTGCAATCTCAGCTCATTGCAACCTCTGCCTCCTGGATTCAAGCAATCCTTGTGCCTCAGCCTCCAGAGTAGCTGGGACTGAAAAATATATTTTTACCAAAACTTCGGATAAAAGAAAAAACTAAACCATGCCAACAATCATAGAAGAAATAGTTATCAAACAATCATTCCCTCCCATTCTCCACCCTCAAAACAGGCCCAAATAGTTTCTAGAAGAATTCTTTCTAACTATAAAGGAAAAAATAATCCTAATGCTACTCAATGTGTGTGAGAATATAGTAAAAGAAGGCATTTTTTTCTTATGAAGTGATAAAAATCTGATAATAAAACCTGACAAAGGCAAGAGTCATGTAGGACCCAGGATCCCTCTCTTTCTGGGCCTAACTTCTTGGCATGTAGCTTCCATTTTCAGAGTCATCTTGTGGTTCCAAAATGACTTCTACAACTCCAATTATCATGTTGTACAGAGGAAGAGTACAGAGGGTACTTGCCAGTTTCATCAGCTTTCCTAAAAGCCCTGCCCAGTGACTCCTATTTAAATTGCTTTGGCCCATGTGTGGACGCGTGACCACTCCTAGCTACAAGGAAGGCTGGGCAATGTAAACTGCATTATCACCTTGAATAAAATCAGGATTTTTCCAGGTAAAATACAGGTGGCCCAGTTAAATTTAACTTTCAGATAAATATGTTGGAACATACTTACGCTAAAAAAAATTATGCATTGTTCATCTAAAGTTCAAATTCAACTGGGAGTTTTGGAGTCCTGTTTTTTTTTTTTTTTCTAAATCTGACAACATTACCCATGAGGGATCAAGTAACCATGACCCTGACTTTTATACTCATCACTTCTTTGTTTTTTAAAATAGCTTTATCACCCAATGTGCATCCCTAGACACTGTAGTTTAGTCTTGTCCATTAAAAAATACCCTATCTTTTAAATCTCTTTTAATCTAAAGGTTCCTCTTCCATCCCCTCTAGTTGCTTAAAATTAATATAATAAACAAGATGGCTTCAAAAGAATGAAGTCCAGGGACTACTTGTCCTACCAACATCAAGACTTATTTTAAAAACACAGAAATTAAGATAGTGTGGGATTGGTGTTAGGATAGGAAAAGAACAGAGAGTACAGAAATACTCCCATAAATATGCGAGCTTGACATTCCACAGAGGGGAAATTATGTATCACTGGGATGAGAATGAACTATATTATGAATGGTGCTTGGACAACTGGATGTTATGGTAAATTGACTATAAAAAAGGCCAGCAATTTCTCCCCTCTCTGTATCCATGTTCCATTATCATGTAACTCGAATGCCTTTAACTTAGAGTCTGAGCCCAGCCACATAACTTGCTTTGGCTAATGAGATGTTAGCAAACACCGCACATAGAGGCTTGCACAATGAGGCTCATTCCCTTTTGCAACCTGCTGCCATCCAATGAAGAAGTCCAGCTAGCCTGCTGAGTGGTAGAGCTATGTGGCTCACTGGCAATATGCCCGCTATCCCAGTGGACAACCAGCTAACCTCCAGGGGCTGAGTGACTCAGTTCACTGGCAACTGACTAACAGATACATGGGTGAGCCCAGTTGAGACCAGCCTCATAGGAATATATGTTAAATAAATGGTGGTTCTTTTAAGCCACTAAGTTTTGGGGTGGTTAATTACACAGCAAATCTAATTGACATATTATATGGATTCTTACTTCTCAACAAACAAAAATCAATTCCAGGTAGTGACTTAAATATGAAAAATAAAACTTTACACTTTTTGATATAGAAAAAAATCTTCATAACCTCAGGTTACAAAAAGTTTTCTTTAGCAAGTTACCAAAAAAATAAAAAAATTAAAAAAAAAATAAGGAAGACCAGTTGTCAAATGTGACTATAAAAAAACCCTTTATACCTCTAAAATCACTATTAACAAAGTTAAAAGACAAATAATTAGCATTCAGAATACATAAAGGACATCTACAAATCAAAAAGCAAAAGATAATCCAATAAGGAAATGTGCAACAGATGTAAACACGTAATTCACAGAAAAAGAAACACGCATGGCCAATATATATATACAAATATAACTTAACCTCATTTGTAGTCAGAGAAATGGAACTGAGAAGCCATTTCACATTTAAAAATTTTTAAAGCTCCACAGTTGAGACTATGGAGAAAGGGTAGCTCTCATACACAAATGTTGGGAGTATAAATTGGTACAATACTTTGGAGATCAAATGATGATGACCTCCACCTTGATATATATGTAGAAACTCTCACACATGTGCACAAGAAGGAAACATGCAAGAATTTCAGAGCACACTGTTTCCAAAAAAACTAAAAATGACCAAATATCGATCATCTAAAGAATGGATAATGTGGGAACTACAAACACCAAATTCAAGATAGTGGTTACCTCTGTAGGACAGGAAAGGAGGTGTAATGGGGAAAGGACACACGGGGGTTTCATTATATTTGTGATGTATTTCTTAAGCCAGGGGCTGGGTACATGGGTGTATATTAATCTCTGATCCTATTCATGTGTCTGAAAGATGTCATAAATGTTAAATGTATTTTTTTTGAAGTGAAAAGAATAAATCACAGCTAAGCTCCAAAGAAGAACTCAAACGTTATGATGTAAAAAGAAGTTTAAGGGCTTAAGTTCATCATGAAGATGTCCCCAGTTCAACCCCCAAACCCTGGGAATCACTCAGAGATTCTTCCCTAGAGATAAATCTTTGTTTTGCTGACATGGAGAATAGATTATTATCAAAACAAAGCAATAAAGTACAAATTAAAAAGTTAAAGGAAAGGGCTGTAATGAATGCTAATGGCAGAAGAAGCAAGTGAAAACAGAAAATATTTCAACACTAGTACCATATTACATGGGTGATAGCTGCTTGCCTACCCTGTGGGACACTCCCCCGAGTATGGAATTCCATCATACGGAGAAATACTATGATTTCTTTTTTTTTTTTTTTTTGAGACGGAGTCTCGCTCTGTCGCCAGGCTGGAGTGCAGGGGCGCAATCTCGGCTCACTGCAACCTCCAACTCCTGGGTTCAAGTGGTTCTCCTGCCTCAGCCTCCCCGGTAGCTGGGATTACAGGCGCACATCACCATGCCCAGCTAATTTTTGTATTTTTAGTAGAGACGGGGTTTCACCATGTTGGCCAGGATGGTGTCAATCTACTGACCTCGTGATCCGCCTGCCTTGGCCTCCCAAAGTGTTGGGATTACAGGTGTGAGCCACCGCACTGACCTATATTTTGATTTCTAAGCCATTTGAGATAAATCTCTTACATCCTCATAGCACAACATACAGTTGTCACTATTTCCTGGTGCATTTTACACAAGTAAACGTCCTCGTCAGTGATGTAATGACTGCTGCTGTCAAACTATCTCAAATGTTCTTAAAAAAACACAAAAAACAAAAAAACCCAAAACCCATAATGGATGAACACAAAGCTAAAACAAGGGAACAACATTCCTTCTGTTTTCTTCCCACAGCACTCCCTTCTCCAGTTCCAGGTCTCCCTGGCATTAAAATGTAGAGTAAAGGCACAGGGCTTGCCAGCCCAAGCCAAAGGCAGGAATCCAAGCTTTCTCTAGGTCACAGGGTACCTGGGAAAACTCCCAGTGTCTGTCAGCTGGCATCAGGCACTGGGAGTTTTTATTATCAAGCTTTTTTATTAATGAGTTATTACTGATATCAATCCTCAGCTCAATAATAAAGTTGCTTTTCACTGGGTTTGTTTCAAGCCTGTTGCTGAGCTTTGGTACTCTGAAGTCCACAGATTTAATGAGAAGCAAAGAAAATCAATTTAACCCACTTTATTCAAAGAACCTTTTCATTACATTATTTTACTTCCTATGTTGACATATTTCCTACAACACATTTCCGGCTGTACAGTTTTTGCATTGCTATAAAAAATAGTGTTCTACATAGACTCCTTTTTTTGTTGTTTCCGCCTTTTTATTTTTAAGATATTCAGTATCAGTTTTATCTTATGTCAGGCAATTTCATTTTTAGCTTCTATAATGTATCACAAATGACCTTGATTCATTTCCTCATTTGATAAGTAAACATTTCACATTTTGATAATACATTTGTGAGAATACTTAATCACAAGTTCAGCTAGTGTTATGCTTTAAAATAATCACAAGGATTTTTAGTGTCCTTGTTAGTATACGGAAATTAAAATGCACTATCCCAATTTGGGGGCTTTAAGAGTTACTGCCTGTAGAAGCTGCAGTCTTTAGAGAATAAATTGTCTCCAGGCACTATATTTGCAATTCTTACTAAATTACCTGGTTGCCTGGATATCTCCCTGGCCCAGAGAGAAGAAAACCACCAATTTGCTCTTTTTCATAATCTCAAATCCAGAACCTACAAATAGAGTAATTGGTATGCAGATTCTTTGATGACTAGCTCTGCTCTTTGGAGAGCATGTTATGAGTATTTTAGCCTTTTCTTTTAAAAAGGTTAGATTTATTCATCCTTTGACTTCCTCCCACCAATCAGTAAATAAGCAAAAACAAGTAACATTTCAGTAAAATATCCAACAAATAAAATTTTATACCTATTGCCAATGAAAGTAATAAAGAATGTGGATAGTCCTTACGGAGTATGCACAGAGGGCCTCTGAGAAATTACAAAAGAATCCTGGAATCCTGTCAGGGGTATCCAATCTTTTGGCTTCCCTGGGCCACACTGGAAAAAGAAGAATTGTCTTGGGCCATACATAAAATACACTAACACAAATGATAGCTGATGAGCTAAAAAAAAAAAAAAAAACCAAAAACAACAACAAAAAAAAGGGTCGGTGCATAAATCTCATAATGTTTTAAGAAAGTTTATGAATTTGTGTTGGGCCGCATTCAAAGCCATCCTGGGCCAAGGGTTGGACAAGCTGGCTGTAATTACAATTGGATTGCAAAGGACTTGCTCCTTGGCCCTGTTAATCCAGTGAGCCAGAACTCAAATCATTTCTTTCTGCTGAATCATCAAGCCCAAGTTAACAATTGAACACTGCATCCTGAACTGAAAGGTGCAAAGGTGAAAGCAAGTTTAAACAATCCCAATGATTTTTCTCTTTGTTAAATGGCAGAAAACAACCAGTTGAGTATTTATCCTTTTGCAAAACCAGTTAACTGAATTCCAGTTATTTGTTCCAATTCAGAGTTCAGTTTTCATTGCACTTCATACTGAGTGGTTCTGTCACTGTTTCTTTTGACACAGAAGTAGGCCCAGTGAACTGACTACCATCGATACAGCTTGTTCTGTCAATGTCAAATCAGTCTTGAACCTGTCAATCCAAATTAATCAACAGTATTACTTTGGTGACAGGCAATCATATGTTTAATTAGTAACTCATGCTTCTGGCATGAAAACAGAGCTAGGGTTCTCAACTCTGGGCTGCAAAGCAAAATCAGGTAGCAGCTTTTAAAAAATACAGGTGCCTGACTTGTCCTAAGATGCTGATTCAGGAGATCTGGGGTAGGGCCCAAGTAACTATTTGGAAAAAGCTTTCCAAGTGACTCTAATGCAACAGGGGCAGAGACTGTCACAAAAGGTACTGATATAAATAATACATGATGGAAGGGGAAGTCTGTACTTCTTCAACAAGGACAGGAGGCATTGTGTCAAGGACTACTCAAAGTGCAAAGATGATTTCACATCTTTTTTTTTTTTTTTTTTTTTTTTGAGACAGGGTCTCGCTCTGTCACCCAGGCTAGAGTACAGTGGTGCAATCTTGGTTTACTGCAACATCTACCTCCCTGGCTCACACGATTCTCCCACCTCAGTCTCCCGAATAGCTGGGATTACAGGCATGTGCCACCACACCTGGATAATTTTTGTATTTTAGCAGAGATGGGGTTTCACCACATTGGCCAGGCTGGCCTCGAACTCCTGACCTCAGATGATCTGCCCACCTCGGCCTCCCAAAGTGCTGGGATTACAGGCATGAGCCATTGTGCCCAGCCCGTTTCACATCTTTCTGGAATGTCAATTTTACTTGACAGGTAAGCAGTTTAAAATGTCATTTTTATTTTGGGTGGTGATTTCATAGATATATATATATATAACTGTCAAAACTCATCTAACATTTAAAATCTGGACATTGAATTGTATCTTTATTATATCTCAATAAATGTCATTTTAAAATTAAAATATGGATACATTCTAGAGTATAATACAAAATCTGCATTTTCTTTTTAGATACACTCTGAGACTTGAAAGAAGTCACCCTCTGAGATGGGTCCCTGATATGGTTTGGTTATGTCCCCACTCAAATCTCATCTTGAATTATAGCTCCCATAATCCCTACATATCATGAGCGGTACCTGGTGGGAGGTAACTGAATCATTGGGGAGGGTTTTTCCCATGCTGTTCTTGTGATAGCAAATAAGTCTCAAGCTGTGATGGTTTTATAAATGGGAGTTTCCCTGCACACACTCTCTTGCCTGTCGCCATGTAAGACGTGCCTTTGCTCCTCCTTCATCTTCCACCATGATTGTGACGTCTCTCCAGCCATGTGGAACTGTGAATCTATTAAACCTCTTTTTCTTTATAAATTACCCAGTTTTGAGTATTTCTTCATAGCAGTATGAAAAGGGACTAACACAGAAAATTGGTAATGCAGAGAGTGGGGCACTACTGTAAAGACAGCCGAAACTGTGGAAATAACTTTGGAACTGGGTAACTGGCAGAAGTTGGAACAGTTTGGAGGGCTCAGAAGAAGATAGGAAAATGTGGGAAAGTCTGGAACTTCCTAGAGACTTGGAGGGCTCAGAAGACAGGAAAATGTGGGAAAGTTTGGAACCTCCTAGAGACTTATTGAATGGCTTTGACCAAAATGCTGATAGTGATATGGACAATAAAATTCAGGCTGAAGTGGTTTCTGATGGAGATGAGGAACTTATTCAGAGTTGGAGTAAAGGTCACTCTTGCTATGCAAAGAGACTAGTGGCATTTTGCCCCTGTCCTAGAGATCTGTGGAACTTTGAACTTGAGAGAGATGATTTAGGGTATCTGGCAGAAGAAATTTCTAAATGGCAAAGTGTTCCAGAGGAAGCAGAGCATACAAATTTGAAAAATCTGCAGACTGACGATGCAGTAGAAAATAAAAACCCATTTTCTAGGGAGAAATTCAAGCTGGCAGCAGAAATTTGCATAGGTAATAAGAAGCTAACTATTAATCACCAAGACAATGGGGAAAATGTCTCCAGGGCATGTCAGAGACCTTCACAACAGGCCCTCCCATCACAGGCCCAGAAACCTAGGAGGAAAAATGGTTTCATGGGTCAGGTCCAGGGTCCCCCTGCTGTTTGCAGCCTAGGGACTTGGTGTCCTGCATCCCAGCCATGCCAGCCATGGCTAAAAAGGGCCAATGTACAGCTCAGGCCTGGCTTCAGACAGTGCAAGCCTGAAGCCTTGGCAGCTTCCACATGGTGTTGAGCCTGCAGGTGCACAGAAGTCAAAAATTGAGGTTTGGGAACCTCTGCCTAGATTTCAGAGGATGTATGGAAATGCCTGGATGTCCAGGCAGAAGCTTGTTGCAGGGGTAGAGCCCTCATAGAGAACCTCTGCTAGGGCAGTGTGGAAGGGAAATGTGGGGTGGGAGCCCCCATACAGAGTCCCTCCTGGGGCACTGCTGGTGGAACTGTGAGAAGAGGGCCACCGTCCTCCAGACCCCAGAATGGTAGATCTACTGACCACTTGCACCATGTGCCTAGAAAAGCTGCACACACTCAATATTAGCCTGTGAAAGCAGCTGGGAGAGGGGGTTGTAGCCTGTAAAACCACAAGGGCAGAGCTGCCCAAGGCTGTGGGAGCCCACCTCTTGCATCAGCATGATCTGGCTGTGAGATACGAAGTCAAAATGATCCAAAGATCATTTTGGAGCTTTAATATTTGACTGCCCTGCCAGATTTTGAACTTGCATGGGGGCTTTAGCCCCTTTGTCTTGACCAATTTCTCCCATTTGGAACGGGTATATTTACCTCACTCCCGTGCACCCATTGTATCTAGGAAGTAACTATCTTGCTTTTATTTATTTATTTTTAAATTTAATTTTATTATTTTTTTTGAGACGGAGTCTCGATCTGTCCCCCAGGCTGGAGTGCAGTGGCCCAATCTCAGCTCACTGCAAGCTCTGCCTCCCGGGTTCACACCATTCTCCTGCCTCAGCCTCCTGAGTAGCTGGGATTACAGGCGCCTGCCACCATGCCCGCCTAATTTTTTGTATTTTTAGTAGAGATAGGGTTTCACCGTGTTGACCAGGATGGTCTCCATCTCTTGACCTCATGATCCGCCCGCCTCGGCCTCCCAAAGTGCTGGGATTACAGGTGTGAGCCACTGCGCCCAGCCACTAGCTTGCTTTTGATTTTACAGGCTCATAGGCGGAAGGGACTTGCCTTGTCTCAGATGAAACTCTGGACTGTGGACTTTCGAGTTAATGCTGAAATGAGTTAAGACTTTGGGGGACTGTTGGGAAGGCATGATTGGTTTTGAAATGTGAGGATATGATATTTGGGAGGGGCCAGGGGCAGAACAGTTTGGCTGTGTCCTCATCCAAATCTCATCTTGAATTATAGCTCCCATAATCCCCACATGTGGTGAGAGGGACCCAGTGGGAAGTAACTGAATCATGGGGAGGGGATTTTTCCCATGCTGTTCTAATGATAGTAAGTCTCATGAGATCTGATGGTTTTATAAAGGGCAGTTCCCCTGCACACGCTCTCTTGCCTGCCACCATGTAAGACATGCCTTTGCTCCTCCTTCACCTTCTGCCATGATTGTGAGGCCTCCGTAGCCATTTGGAACTGTGAGACCATTAAACCTCTTTTTCTTTATAAATTACCCAGTTTTGGGTATTTCTTTATAGCAGTATGAAAATGGACTAACACCGTCCACATATGCAGGGAGGCAACCACTTCACTCTCCTCTGCTTGGGGTGGGGTTGAGGGGTTGAGAAAAAGAGGGGAAGACCTTTTGAAAAGACCCAGGACTACAGTTTGAAAATGTCTGGGTTTAGAAATCGTTTCACTTCCAGTGCTTCTCACTCATTTCACTACCCATGACCCACTCCCCTCTCATCTCTTTACTGTCCACTTATCACTGTTCTTTTTGCTTAAAATGACTCCAAATCCTCAAAAAATTAAAAGTTCCACTGTTTATTACAATTGGAAATTTTATGTTTATTGTCACTGAGCAGAGGGTCTAATGACTCCAAGGCAGTAGTTTCAGATATTGCACATTGCAAACGATTTTCACACAAAAATGTTTTAAAAGGCTATCGGGTGCAGGGCTGGTTGTAGGTAGGGACCCAACCTAAGAATTATGAAACGCCATAGTTCCTAATTTTGGAAAGATATTAGCGGAGAGTAATATGGATTAGTAGCAAGGGCTGGAGAAAACAGTGCTCTATACTACCTTCAAGGTGCTCTTTTCATCGCTTGTGACCCAATGGCTGAATAGTGGGTAGGAAACAGGATTCAGGATCTCAGGCACGGTCTGGATCTACTGACTCTGAGCGTCATTTTATCTCTTGCTGGGGTACACATCTGCTTCTGGATTTAAGTAACGTGCGCTACAATAATTTAAGGACTATAAAACCACAAGGTTATGAGAGCGTAAACCACAAAGCGTGTAAGTAAATGCCTAGAAAACGCAACGCGGTAGCACAGCAGCAACGCACAAACAGCCCCAGCAAACGACGCGCGCCGGGCTTCCCAGCTCCCGGCAGCCTTTGCGCAGCCCTCCCCAAGTCCAACTGGGCGCCCGGGGCGGGGTCTGGACCGCACGCCCTTACCACACCCCCTCCGCGCCGCACCACGCCCCCTCCGTACCTGCTCTTAGCGCGCCTTCCGCCCTGAATATGCGCATGCGCCATTCTCCCTTTACAGCCCCGAAAACGCTCCAGCTGGCCGACTCGGAGACAATGGCGAGAGGCCTCAGAGTTCGGCTTCTTACCTGCTTTGCATAGGCAGCAATCTCCTGCTAGTCCCGCCTCCCTCTGGCATTCTGGCGCGCGAATGGAGGAGCCGAGAAGAGAGCGCAGTTCTGATTGGAGAACGCGCGTGTTTACATTCTCACCTCTCCCGGGAAGTGGACGAATTTAGACCGCCTCTTCCTTCCCGTTGTTTAAGGCAGTTGGTTGCCCTCCTGTCCGTCAGAGGTGCAGTACCAGAGGTGGCGTGCTGCCGATTTCGCGTTTGCCTTGCTGGATGATTCCGCTTGTTTGCCGGCTGCGTGAGTGCTTAGAGCTTTTCGGTGGAAGATGCCGGACAGTAACTTCGCAGAGCGCAGCGAGGAGCAGGTGTCTGGTGCTAAAGTCATCGCTCAGGCCCTGAAAACGCAAGTACGATGGACCTTCCTGGAATGAAAGGCTCCTACGGAAGCTGGCGGGGACCGCGATGTTGTCTTGGAGACGAGTAGAAATGGGCGATGGGGGTCGGGGGGTTTTCCTTTTAGCGCCCGGGAGGGAGGGAAGGATGTGGCGATATGGTGGGGCCTTGGGAGTTTACTCCCCTGTTCTTCGTTCCTCAGGATGTGGAGTACATATTTGGCATCGTAGGCATCCCAGTGACCGAAATCGCCATTGCTGCCCAGCAGCTAGGCATCAAGTACATCGGGATGAGGAATGAGCAAGCGGTGAGTATGGACTCAGGTGGCTGAATGCGTTACTGGGAATGATCAGTAATAGCGGTAGGTATGCATTGCAAACACCCAGATAGCGCTTACCACTCTTCTGCTACTTTACATATATCATATCAATCACTGTTGAATATTAACTGTTGTTACACCAAGTTGACAGATGAGAAAAGACACAGGTTAAGTAAAACTTGCCTTTGGTGACACAGCTGGTAGTAGCAGAGCCAGGGTTTGAACCCACGTATTCTGGGTCTGAGTCCATTCTCTTACTACTATACTGTATGTCATGATTGGAATGGACAGTTTATGAGTAAAGTCTGACTTCCCTATTAGGCTACAAGCTCCATTAGAGCAGGGATATTATTTCTTCACGACACATCTGTACCCCCAGTGCTTAGTGTGGTGCCTGCATAAGAAAGGTGTTCAGAGATTACCTGTGGGATAAATGAGTGAAGGCCAAGGCTTTGTTGTATGATTGGTTCGGGGCAGGGTGGAGGATATCACAAATGGTAGTGCCTTGATGGAAACTCAGATGGCTCAGATCCTAGCCTGATGCTTTTTCCACCACATCATGCTGCCACCTTTCTTAGAGGCTTATTTGGAAGCAGGATAAGGAAGATACGACGTTTTGTCAATCCACTTTAAGTGCATCCTCTGCCAATCCACCTTGCTCTTCTCTCAGTAGTGCGGGCTTGAAAGGTCAAGAATCCACTTCTGTGATATCACATACTCTCAGTCCAGCTGAGGCTAAATATTCCTGCTTTACACTCCCACCGTTGCCTTCTAATTTAAATTCTTGCCTCCTCTTGCCCAAACAACTGCCTGGCCACCCTAAGTGGTGCCTTTTGCCATCATACATGAGTGCCTGGAGGGCAGAAGTTGTGATTCATTTGTTATATCACCACAGTGCCTGGCTTGGTTTGTGCTTTCACGTGGTGTAGATGCTTAATATTATACATTATTTATTAATTGAATGACATTCTTTATTGAATGACATTCTTTATTGAATGACATTCTTTATCTACAAGGTTTGAGATTTGTATTTTTTAATCTTAAAACTAGGAGGTTTTGAGTTTCTGTTGCTTCTACATTTTACTTGTCTTTGTTAGAACAACATTCTGTTCTTTCATCTGTGTGAAAAAATGAAGCTATTGACCTATGAATGGAACCTATACTTAACTGTTTTTGTAGAGATGACATATCTGCCACTGATTTCTTCATACAGCAAACATTTATTGACTAAGTACTGTATACTAAGGATTGTGCTACATAACCTGTAGGAGAGAGGGATGTAAAGAAGGAGTGAGGTTTAGTCTTGATCTTCACGTTGATCAGTCCTGGAAGGTGAGGGTAAGACTTACAGAAAAAGACTCATCTATTATAACTCTCACAATAGATGTAGTAGCACAGAAGGGGTGACTGGTTCTCTTTGAGGACAGAGAAGATTGCCTGTAGAGGTAATGTTAGTTCATGTGGTTCCCTCAAGGTAGGTAAAGGCATGGTGAGCTGTGAGACTGGTAGGTAGGTTGAGGGGAGGTTGTGGGAAATCTAAAAAGAGTTTGAATTTTTTTTTTTTTTTAACAGTAGGCAATGGGGGAGACTAAAGGTTTTTCTAAACAGGTGGGCGATGTAATTAGATTTGTACTTCAGAAAGATGATGCGAGGCATGGTTGTACATGCCAGTAATCCCAGCTACGAAGGGGGCTGAGGCAGGAGGATTACTCAAGTCCAGGAATTAGAGGCTGCCTGGGCAACATAGCACGACCTCTGTCTCTAAGTTTTATTTCAGCCCCTATAAGCTTAGTTGAGGGTTCTTTAGGTCCCATGTGCTGTGTTGGGTGCTGGATACAGAGATGAATGATAGTTCCTGGCTTTAAGGGGCTTACAGCCAAGCTGTGGAGACAGACACAGACAATTGTATTATAAGGTGGTAAGTGCTGTGATAGAGAGATATCCAGGGTGCTATAAAGCCCAGAGAAGGAGTACCCAGGCTCAGCTTCCCACAGGAGATGATGTCTGAGCTGTCCTGAAGGATAAGCAGGCATTAACCAGTTAGGAAAGAGGAGGCAGGCTCCTCTGGAGATGATTCCTAGATTTTGGGCTTACTTGATTGATTGTGTAGATCATATTGTCTGTGACTGAGACTGGGAATATAGAGGGAAGAGCCAGCTTGGAGGAGAAAGGTGATGTTCAATTTTGAACACATGCATTTGAGATGTTGGTGGAACATCCCAGTGCATATGTCCCTCAAGCATCCTGACTCTATGGTAGTCAAAGGAAGACTTAAATGGTACCTGAACTAAGGGTAGTGACAGAATGATTCAGAGGGAACATGAAAACAGGCTAAGGCATTCAGGACATGTTTGTGATAAAGAGAAAGATGTAGTTGGGTGTGACTTCATTGTCTTTGATTAGATCCATAGAGTAATCAAGACATACTGACCAATTGGCCAGCAAGTAGGCAGATTGTCAGCAAGTTCATTGTTCTTGAGAGCTTACTGTGTGTGGGCACTATTTTGAGTGTTTTACACATACGAACTGATTTCATCCTCACAGCAGTGCTTTGAATTATTTTCATTTTATAGATGAAGAAACAGAGATTTAGAGCAACTTGCCAAAATTACACAGTAGAAAGTGGGGAAGCTGGGATTTAAATCAAAACAGATTGGCTCGAGAGTCCACTCTCTAAGTACCATGTACACTGTTCTGCCTGTGAATGGAGGTAGTTTAGTAGAGGAACAGATCTTTTATGGTCATAAAACCAGTTATGGCCAGGCGCGGTGGCTCACGCCTGTAATCCCAGCACTTTGGGAGGCTGAGGCAGGCAGATCACCTGAGGTCAGGAGTTTGAGACCAGCCTGACCAACATGGAGAAACCCCGTTTCTAAAAATATAAAATTAGCCAGGCGTGGTGGTGCATGTTTGTAATGCCAGCTGCTCGGGAAGCTGAGGCAGGAGAATTGCTTGAACCTGGGAGGTGGAGGTTGCCGTGAGCCAATATTGCATCATTGCACTCCAGCCTGGGCAACAAGAGCGAAACTCCGAAACTCTGTCTCAAAAAAAAAAAACAAAACAAAACAAAATAAAACAAAACAAAACAGTTACCTCTCAACTTTTGACATTTCCTACCAGAGGAATATACTTTTTGTTACGTGTTGTTGTATATTTTGCATTGCCTAGCAACATTTCTTACCTAGCTATCATAAGTGGGCAATTCTTTTGGGTGTCTAAATAAAGTGTTCTTATTGCAGCAGGTATTTACATGCCTGCATTTCTTAGGAGTTGTCTTATTCTCCTAATGTGAATTTGGCCTTATGTGCAAAAGGAAAGAGAGATGGGGCCAGTAGAGAATAGCGACACAGGAAAAGAGCAGAGTCTTTGTGCAGGTTCTCAGTGGGTGTATGATAGTAGAGCCAGTTAAGATTATGATCCATAAACATTTCCTTTTTTTTTTTTTCCACATTTATGTCGTTAATGTGGAGTTCTTTAAGACAGTATACTACTTCATTTAAAGCTGAATGAAGGCTAGGAAATACGCAATTCATTATTATTTCTAAAGAAATGAGAAGAAATAATACTGGGAAAAAAATGATGTCCCAGACTAAGAAGAATTTGAGAGAGCACTCAGCATTTTCCCAGGTTATCTTGTGTGCATTTAATTTAGTGCCCCCTCTCTTCCTGATTATGAGCTGAAGTAGAGTTACAAGGTAAAAACTATCCATATGCAGGCCATAAAGGAAATCTCAATAAATCGCCAAGGATTGAAAGCGTGCAGTATATGTCACCTGACCATGTGGAAGTAAAGTGGAACTCAATAAGAGATCACTAAAAAGAATCTCAGACCTTTGGAAATTAAGCAACATACTTTTTGGTATTTTGTAAATATTTGAAAAGATTAACAAAATGAATAAACTTCAAGATAGACTGATTGAGAATAAAAGAGAAAACAGATTACCAATGTCAGGAATGAAAAAGGAGGTATCACTACAGATCCTAATTAACCAATGGGTTGAAGAAGAAATCACAATGGAAAGTAGAAAATATTTTGAATAGAATGATAATGAAAAGATGCAACTCAAACTTGTAACCTATAACTAAAGCAGTTCTTGGAATCATTTTAAACAAATTATTAGTAAAGAAAATTAAAAACCAGTGTTCTAAATTTGTATTTTAAGAAGCTAGAAAAAGAAAAGCAAATCAAATTCAAAATGACTGAAATAATAAATACAAGAACAGAAATCAATGAAATAGAAAACAAACAATAGAGAAAAACCAACAAAAATTTTCGAAGAACTAAAAAAATTTGTTCTTTGAAAAGATGGATAAATTTGATAAACCCCTCATGAGACTGATGAAGAATAAAAGAAAGAAAACAAATTACCAATATTGTTAATAAAAGAGGACATTCCTATTGATCCTGCAGATATTTAAGCAATTGTAAGAGGATGTTTTGAATAACATACATATGAACAAATTTCCTGAAAAACTAAAATTTAGATAACCATTATTTGAAATTTATGTGTAGAACATTTATTACTAAGGTTGGAAATATTTTAATTCTGCCTTTACCACTATGTTCTTGTCTATTATTTAATAGTAAGTTGCTGTCATAAATGTACTATAAGGATCCCAATATGCTCAAGTCCCAGTGTTGTTTTCTCGTAGGCTTGTTATGCTGCCTCCGCGATTGGATATCTGACAAGCAGGTAAACTAAAATTTGTTTCACTTCAATTACTTTAATATTTTGGGGTAGAACTATTACGTCTTTCAGCTGAAGGATGAGTTCATTTGGAAAGATTATAGAAAAATATATTAAATAACAAAGGATAAAAAACATTTAAAACTCTCTGAGGACCACATCAAAAGAATAATGATACCAGAAGTGTTTCAGAGTGGAACACATTGCCATTTTGTAGAGTGAATCACTGGTGATCAGATAGTGAGTTGATGTATGATACCTTGTCTTGGATCTCACAACTACCCCAGCACACTTAATACAAAAATGCTTGGTTCAAAATGTGACTGTTGAGAGCTGTTCCACACGTTCTGATTTTTTAGTGTGTATCCATGTTACCTAACTACCACCCCCTTTTTATTATTAAAAATTAATACATTTTTAAAATGTCCATTTTGGAAAACTTGGAAAATATAGAAAGCACAAAGAAGAAAATGAAAATCGACTAGGCACGGTGGGTCACGCCTGTAATCCCAGCACTTTGGGAGGCTGAGGCAGGTGGATCACCTGAGGTCAGGAGTTTGAGACCAGCTTGGCCAACATGGTGAAACACCATCTCTACTAAAAATACAAAAATCACCCTGGTGTGGTGGCATGCGTCTGTAATCCCAGCTACTCGGGAGGCTGAGGCAGGAGAATCGGCTTGAACCCAGGAGGCGGAGGTTGCAGTGAGCTGAGATTGCGCCACTGCACTCCAGCCTGGGTGATAGAGTGAGACTCCGTCTCAAAAAAAAAAAAAAAAAAAAAAAGGAAAAAAGATGAAGAAAATCACCTATGATCTCAGAACTGTTAAGAATTGGTCATTTTCTTCCAGTTTTTTCCCTTATCTATGTATTTTTTAAGCAGAATTTGGACTCTCACAGGAATGTGTATCATACTTTTTTCACATATGTTAGTTTTAATACATTTTTTTATTTCCAAAAATGAAACTAGTAATTCAGTTGCTAAGAAATGCAAACTAATAAGATTCTCAAAGTCTAGACCTCACCAGAATAGTTTTTTTTCTGTGATAAGGAACTTGTGAATTTGAACCTGAAAAAAATAGGCCATCAAGTAACACTATTGTCACTGTTTTCTGCCGCTTTATTTACATATGACAAATATTTTAATCTTTTCATTTAGCTTGGAAAGCATTTAAATTATAGTTATTAATTAATGCCTTAATGTAAAAAATGCTAGAACAATGATTAAGAGAATGGTTAAAAGTTCATACTTTTTTTTTTTTGAGATGGAGTCTTGCACTGTTATCTGGGCTGGACAGTGCAGTGGTGCAATCTCGGCTCAGTGGAACCTCTGCCTCCTGGGTTCAAGCGATCCTCATGCCTCAGCTTCCCCAGTAGCTGGGATTACAGGCATGCACCACCACACCCAGCTAATTTTTGTATTTTAGTAGAGATGGGGTTTCACTATGTTGGCCAGGATGGTCTCTGTCTCTTGACCTCATGATCTGCTGGCCTTGGCCTCCCAAAGGGCTGGGATTACAGGCGTGAGCCACCATGCCCGGCCGAAAAGTTCATATTTAAAACATTTTTGCTGTTTGAATGAACTTCTGGAGCTGCACTGGCAAGTATAGTAGCCACGAGCCGTATGACTTGTTTACATTTAAATTAATTAAAATTAAATAACATTTAAATCATAGTTTATCAGTTTGTAGTAGCCACATTTCAAGTGCTCAGTAACCATGTCAGTAGTGGCTACCGTATCATACTGCAAATGCAGAACATTTCTATTACTATACAAAGTTCTGTTGGATAGTACTGTTCTAGAAGTTTAGTTTACTTGGTGGTAATTACTTATTTTCAAGTCTGTCTTAAACAGAAATTTTTAAGAAATTATTTTATAAGTGTAAAATGGTGAACTGAATTATATTGAGATACCTTTTTCCCGAGTGGTTTAAGCTTAGAAAGTCACACTGAAGGGTAAAACATTCAAGTTCAATATTTATTTATTTGGAGTCTCACTCTGTCGTCTCCATGCTGGAGTGCAGTGGCACCATCTCGGCTCACTGCAAACTCCACCTCCCAGGTTCCAGCGATTCTCCTGCCTCAGCCTCCCAAGTAGCTGGCACTACAGGTGTGCACCACCATACTCAGCTAGTTTTTATATTTTTTAGAGACAGGGTTTCATCATGTTGCCCAGGCTGGTCTTGAACTCCTAGACTCAAGTGATCCATCTGCCTCAGCCTCTCAAGATGCTGGGATTACAGACGTCAGCCACCGTGCTCAGCCTCAAATTCAGTTTTAAAAGATTTTGGGGACCAGGCGCGGTGGCTCATGCCTGTAATCCCAGCACTTTGGGAGGCCGAGGCGGGTGGATCACCTGAGGCCAGGAGTTGGAGACAAGCCTGGCCAAACATGGTGAAACCCCGTCTCTACTAAAAATACAAAAATTAGCCGGGTGTGGTGGCACATGCCTGTAATCCCAGCTACTTGGGAGGCTGAGGCAGGAGAATCACTTGAATCCGGGAGGCGGAGGTTGCAGTGAGCCGAGATCACACCATTGCACTGCAGCCTGGGGAACAAGAACGAGACTTCGTCTCAAAAAAAAAAAAAAAAAAGACAAAAAAAAAAACACAAAACATTTTGGGCAGAGCACTGCATTCAGAATTACTTTCCTATCAAAGATCAGTCGACGTTATATTTATTTGTTAAGAAATGAAAAAAAAACCTTTTTTCATACAAAAATGAACTCAGCAGTCAAAAATTTGCTTCTGTATACCATTAACTTGATTTAGTCCAGATGTAGTCCAGATCAAAATAAGTGGTTAGAGACATAAGGTGTGAAAATGATAGGTACCTTATTTCTCACAAGAAATCCGATATCTTTCTTTTTTTGGGCCAGGCATGCTGGCTTATGCCTGTAATCCCAGCACTTTGGGAGGCCAAGGCAGGCAGATTGCTTGAGCCCAGGAGTTCAAGACCAGCCTGGGCAACATGGTGAAACCCCATCTCTACCAAAAAAAAATACAAAAAATTAGCCGGGTGTGGTGGCATCTGCCTGTAGTCCCGGTTACTTGGGAGGCTGTGGTGGGAAGATCACCTGAGCTTAGGAGGTTGAGGCTGCAGTGAGCCCTGATCATGCCACTGCACTCCAGCCTGAGCAACAGAGTGAGATGCTATCTCAAAAAAAAAGTGTGTATATATATACACACACGCACATATATATGTGTGTATATATACACACATATATACGTATGTGTGTATGTGTGTATATATACATATATACGTATGTGTGTGTATATATACACACACATATATGTATATGTGTGTGTATATATACACTTTTTTTGAGATAGCATCTCACTCTTGCCCAGAGTATATATGTACATATGCGTACATGTGTATACACGCACACATGTGCGTACATGTGTATACACGCACACATGTGCGTACATGTGTATACACGCACACATGTGCGTACATGTGTATACACGCACACATGTGCGTACATGTGTATACACGCACACATGTGCGTACATGTGTATACACGCACACATGTGCGTACATGTGTATACACGCACACATGTGCGTACATGTGTATACACGCACACATGTGCGTACATGTGTATACACGCACACATGTGCGTACATGTGTATACACGCACACATGTGCGTACATGTGTATACACGCACACATGTGCGTACATGTGTATACACGCACACATGTGCGTACATGTGTATACACGCACACATGTGCGTACATGTGTATACACGCACACATGTGCGTACATGTGTATACACGCACACATGTGCGTACATGTGTATACACGCACACATGTGCGTACATGTGTATACACGCACACATGTGCGTACATGTGTATACATGTGTATATGTATACAAGTGTATATACAAGTGTATATGTATACAAGTGTATGTATACGTGTGTGTATGTATACGTGTGTGTATGTATACGTGTGTCTACATGCATACGTGTGTGTATACGTGTGTCTACATGTATACACGTGTGTGTATACGTGTGTCTGTATGTATACATATATATAGAGTATACTCTGGTGCCCAGAGTATATATACATATATGTATACATATATATACGTATGTATACATATACACGTATGTATACGTATATATGGATCCATATATACACGTATGTATACGTATATACGTATGTATACATATATACACGCATGTATACATATATACGTATGTATACATATATACATGCATGTATACGTATATACGTATGTATACATATATACACGTATGTATACGTATATAGTGTGTATATATACGTATATAGTGTGTGTATATATACGTATACGTATATACGTATATATACGTATATAGTGTGTGTATATATACGTATGTAGTGTGTGTATATATACGTATATAGTATATACTATAGGTATATAGTGTGTATATATATACACTATGTATATAGTGTGTGTATATATACACGTATATACGTATATATACACTATATACATATATAGTGTATACACTATATACGTATATGTGTGTATGTATATATATCGCGATATATATATATCGCCTTGTTTTTTAATTAAAAATATTCTAATAATTGTTTTATCAGTTATAGTAAAGACTTGTATGTCCTTCCTTTGAAGTCCAAGATTGCCATGTTTCACACTAAAGTGTTATGAATCAGTTGTTACATTTGACCTGATTTTAATAAATTCTGTTTTGCTTTTAGGCCAGGAGTCTGCCTTGTTGTTTCTGGCCCAGGTCTCATCCATGCCTTGGGCGGTATGGCAAATGCAAACATGAACTGCTGGTAATGACATTATTATTACTGAAAACATTTTCTTAAAAAGGTCACTGCAGGATTTTACTGAGTAGAGCTAATGCTGATCTAGGGTAGAAAGACTTGGAAAAAAAAAACCCCTTCAATTCTTAGAAACTGAAAGTAGAGTTAGTTACCGGGGAGGGAATGAGGAGGAGGAGGGGGAATAGGGAGATAGGTCAAAGGGTACAAAGTTTCAGTCAAGTACGATAAAGCCTGGAGATCTAATGTACAACATGAAAGCCATAGTTAATAATATTGTGTATTGTAAATTTGCAAAGAGAGTAAATTTTAGGTACTTTTACCAAAAAAAGTGACTATTTCTACAATATCTTAGGAAAAAAAGTAACATGAATATGTTAATTTGCTTGACTGTAGTAATCATTTCACTATATGTACATCAAAATATCATATGGTATACCTTAAATAGATATAACTTAAAAAAGAGTATTAGGAAGAAAATTCAAAGCACCAGTAATTTAGTTACTTAGAGATAAACACTTTCTTTTTTTGAGACGGAGTCTCTCTGTCGCCCAGGCTGGAGTGCAGTGGTGCAATCTTGGCACACCACAACCTCTGCCTCCCAGGTTCAAGTGATTCTCCTGCGTCAGCCTCCCAAGTAGCTGGGATTACAGGCCCCTGCCACCACGCCCGGCTAATTTTTGTATTTTTAGTAGAGAAGAGGTTTCACCATGCTGGCCAGGCTGGTCTCAAACTCCTGACCTCAGGTGATCCACCTGCCTTGGCTTCCCAAAGTGCTGGGATTACAGGCATGAGCCACCGCACCCAGCTGCCATAAACACTTTTAACATTTTAGAGTTCCTAATATGTGTGTGTATGTGTGAACGTATGTGTAGTTCTATTTACTTTAAGTGAAGAATTATTTTTTTAAAGATCCAAGCTCAGTGTGTAAAATGTGGCTAATTTTTCACCTTGTTTTGCATAGGTAGGAAGATATTTGAAATTCTTATATTCATTTAGTTTGCTTTATATATAAACTATTTAGTACTTATTCTCTGATCTTGCCCTTAACTCCGTCTCTGGCACTTTACCAGTGAGATCAGGTTGAGGGGGGTTAGGTTCTAATCAATTTGGAACATATTTAATCTTTCTAGTGGAAAGGACATTGTTTTCTTTCTTGCCCTGTGTTTCTTATAGTTTCTTCTTTACTTTCCTTTTGATCTTTCTCTTCTTTATCTACTTTAAGGTGTTATATTTTTTAAGTACCTTAAGGTTTCCCATATCTTTTTTTTTTCCACATTGAAGGATAAGAATTTCATTGCTGAGGAATGTCACTTATTTTGCAATTTCTAAATAGATTCACTTAGGAAAGTGTAAAATTTTTCTTCCCCTTATCCCAAGAATAAGAAAGGCATAAAAATTTATTTTATGTCAATATACCTGGAAGCTTAGCGTCAGCATCCAAAAGGGGAAGGGGAAGAAGGGAAGGAAAACATTTACTATACATTTTGTCTTTTTCTGATATTAAGGAAAGTTCTCTCATATCAGGTTGCTTCTTAGATATTTTTTAATCTACAATTTCTTTCTTTTTTTTTGAGACAGAGTCTTGCTCTGTTGCCCAGGCTGGGGTGCAGTGGCACAATCTCGGCTCACTGTAACCTCTGCTTCCCAGGTTCAAGCAATTCTTCTACCTCAGCCTCCCAAGTAGCTGGGATTACAGGCGCCCACCAGCACGCCTGGCTAATTTTTGTATTTTTTGTAGAGCTGGGGTTTCACCATGTTGGCCATGCTGGTCTTGAACTCCTGATTTCAAGTGATCCACCCACCTTGGCCTCCCAAAGTGCTGGATTACAAGGGGTGAGCCACCTCACCCAGCCTTAATCTACAGTTTCTAAGAAAAAAATATAATATTCTCTCCCTTTAACATTTATTATTTGTTGTGAATTAGACACTGTGTTTAGTGTTTTACATGATGATCTAATTTGTAATTATCTTGTTAAAAAAATGATTGTTTCAGGCCCTTGCTTGTGATTGGTGGTTCCTCTGAAAGAAACCAAGAAACAATGGGAGCTTTCCAGGAGTTTCCTCAGGTATCCAACTTTAAGATTTTGGTTTTTTTTATTTTTAATTTTTGAAACAGGATCTTGCTTTGTTGTTGAGGCTGCAGTGCAGTGGTGCCATCTCAGCTCACTGCAGTCTTGACCTCCTGACCTCAAGCAATCTTCCCACCTCAGCCTCCCAAGCAGCTGGGACTACAGGTTCACACCACCATGCCTGGCTAATTTTTGAGTTTTTTGTAGAGACGAGGTTTCACCATGTTGCCCAGGCTGGTCTTGAACTCTTGAGCTCAAGCGATCCACCTGCCTCAGCTTTCCAAAGTGCTGGGATTACAAGCATGAGCCACCGCACTTGGCCTGCAACTCTTAAGATTTTAGTAACACAATACATACACACCATTAAGAGGTAGAGAGAAGATATAAAAAAGCCTCCTGTTTGCAAAATAAAATAAATAAATTAGAAGTACCTGAAGTAACTTAAAGGTAATTATCTTGAGCTACTATAAGACAACTTCAGGGTGGATATTAAGGGTGAGCTTAGGCCCTGCTTAGAAACAAGCTTTCAAGAAATACACCTTTGTGACAGGATTTTAAGCTCTGAAAATAGGCTCTTAAAGGAGTCAAGAAGATGTAGGAATAAAAATGATTTTGGACTATGCCTCCCAGACTTTAGGGAAATAAGAGGAAAAAACTTACTCAAAATGATTATCAGTAGACTCTGGACAAGTATATTTTTATTTTAGAAGGAGGAAAGAAAGCATGTCAAAATTAAAAGAAACTTGAAAGAATATGTCAACAAAATGCTACAGTTTTAAGAATAAAGCTGGACACGTGGTTCGTAACTGTATTCCTAGCTACTCAGCTACTAGGCTGAGGAGGGAGAATTGCTGGAGCCCAAATGTTTGAGACCAAACATATGTCTGTACAACATATTCAGGTCTTATCTCTGTCTTTCTTTCTTTCTTTTTTTTTTCTTTTTTGAGACAGGATATGGCTGTGTTGCCCAATCTGCAGTGCAGTGGCGCAGTCTTGGCTCACTGCAGCCTTTACCTCCTAGGCTTAAGCCATCCTCCCACCTCAGCCTCCTAAGTGGCTGGGACTATAGGCACACGCCACCATGCCCAGATAATTTTTGTACTTTTTGCAGAGACAGTGTTTTGCCATGGTGCCCAGGCTGGTCTTGAACTCCTGACCTCAAGTGATCCACCACCTTGGCCTCCCAAAGTACTGGGATTACAGGCGTGAGCCACCACACCCATCCAAGATACCGTGTCTTTAGAAAAAACAGTTGTTGGAAACAAATAGCTGAAAGTGAATGATTGACACTTAAGATATAAATATATTTGAGCATTTACAGGACAAAGTTAAAATCATTAGACAGCCGGGCATGGTGGCTCACCCCTGTAATCACAGCACTTTGGGAGCCCCAAGCGTGTAGATCACCTGAGGTCAGGAGTTTGAGACCAGCCTGGCCAACATGGTGAAACTCTGTCTCTACTAAAAATACAAAAATTAGCTGGGCTTGGTGGTGGGTGCCCGTAATCCTCGCTACTTGGGAGGCTGAGGCAGGAGAATCACTTGAACCCAGGAGGCAGAGGTTACAGTGAGCCGAGATCGTACCACTGTACTCCAGTCTGGGTGACAAGAGTGAAACTCCATCTCAAAAATAAATACATAAATAAAATCATTAGACAAAGTCTATTTGTAAATCAGAAATCATTACTGAGAACTTCAAAAAATAAAATTTCATATATGATAAACTAAAATACTGAACTCTAGTATAAGTTAATGCAAAAGTTATATTTTTATACTCTTAGAAGGGAATCGAAGTTTTATTTAGTTAATAGTAGACGATAACAGTTATTTAAAAGATGCTTATGTGTTTGGAAAATAAGTAGAGCAGATTAAGTTAATTAAAAGGAAATCTAAAGTTACTGCAGAAACTATATACGTGAAAAAGAAAACAGGATAAATGTCCACTACATATTTTTTTCCTGAAATGGAAAATAATAGTTTATTAGATCAAATTTAAAAACAGAAGAGAAAGAATCCAAGTATCTGGTTTTTGTGGAAGTCCTTAAAACTAAAGGGCATGAACATAGACTGAAAATCGGAGGGTGATCTTAATTTTGTCATGCCTGTGGGACTATCAGCTTTTCATAGATTTCATACTAAAACATCAAGAGAAACAGTTTCTATATAATGCCTCAAGATATATAGATCTGAGGCATTTTCCTGAAATGGAAAATAATAGTTTATTAGATCAAATTTAAAAACAGAAGAGAAAGAATCCAAGTATCTGGTTTTTGTGGAAGTCCTTAAAACTAAAGGGCATGAACATAGACTGAAAATCGGAGGGTGATCTTAATTTTGTCATGCCTGTGGGACTATCAGCTTTTCATAGATTTCATACTAAAACATCAAGAGAAACAGTTTCTATATAATGCCTCAAGATATATTAAACAGTGAAAAATTATCACTACTGAATTCATATATTCGAAACACCATAGCAAGAAAGTATATAAAAGGAACACTGGCAGAAATGTAAGAATAGATTATTATTATAACAAAATCTAACAGATGAAGTTTTATATTCTTATCTGTGAAATTGCTGGATCCAAAGATATGCTGATTTAAATTTTTTGTAGATTTTAACTTCCTTTCCCATTTATAGTCTCACCAGCAGTTTATAGAAGTGCCTATTTTCCTGTGTTGTGTTAGATGGTGGGTATTATCAGACTTTTGCATCTTTGCCAAAAGATTTTGCATCTTTGGTATGATACGCTTCCTGAATCATACCAAGGCAAAACTTTGTACTTTGAATAGGCTTTTAAGGGACAGTCTAGGCAATATATTTTCTCCATCTTGCCTCTAAACATAAAAGAAATTAATGACTTAACATTTTGTCTTCTTTCAGGAGAGTAACATGATTGTGAGCTGAATTTTAAGTGATTTTCATTTTCCATGTAGGTTGAAGCTTGTAGATTATATACCAAGTTCTCTGCCCGCCCAAGCAGCATAGAAGCTATTCCTTTTGTTATTGAAAAGGTACAGTATTTAATAACAAGCTCTCCAAGTCAACTGATTTTTCTCAGTTGCTCATACTTACTGTTATTTTTATTCTCAAAAGAATGAGTGACAATTAGGAACATACCCAGGCAGTTAAAAATGGCATTGTTAGAAAGCTATTTACATTTTAGTGTTCACTGTCATTACATTTAATTATAGAGAGGTAAAATAAGTTATTTTTGGAAAAAGTTTCTCCTGTGTTTTAGTTTTTAAAATTACCTTTTTAATTATACAAAAGTAAAGAGAAAGGTTTATAATGAACCCTTGAGTACCTTTTCTCTTGTGCTTTTGCAAAAGATTATTTTTGAAAATTGGGATTAAACCAAAACCCTCTAAGACCCTCCGTTAGTTAATTAATACAGCATACAGGTTGATTATTCCTTACCTGAAATGCTTTTCAGAAGTGTTTCTGACTGCAGATTTTTTCAGATTTTAGAATATTTGCATATATATAATGAGACATCTTGGGGATGTGACCCAAGTCTAAATATGAAATTCATTTATTTTTCATATGTACCTTATACACATAGTCTGATGATTATTTTTCCCTTGGGGATGCTGAATAAACTGTTTAGACACCTGCATTTTGACTGTGAGCTGTCACATGAGGTCAGATATGGAATTTTCCACCTGTATCATCTTCTTGGCACACACTAAGTTTCACATTTTGGAAGATTTTGGATTTTTGGATTACAGATACTCAACCTGTATTATAAATTATAATCAGCATTTATACGTGAAATTACATTTTAGCTGTTTCAAAACCAGGAGTTACAGAAACCATTTGATACGTGTAACAGCATCACAGTTTCTGAAAACACTGCCAGATTACTAAGATTAGGAAGCAGATGAAAGTACATATTACAGTGCAAAAACTTGGCAGGCAGAGCCGGGTGAATAATTTCCCAAGCTAAAGTGTAATAGAACATGAATTTTAAAGCCCTAAATGAATACTTTCTTATCTCTCTCCCTTTTAAACAAAAAATCTTTAAAAATGTAGTCAATAGAGGACATTTCGATTTTCATCATAATTATTTTTTTCTCCACAAGGATGTCCAGAAAAATGAAAAGTGTTCATTTTCCAGTTTTAAATTATCTTTGAGTAGAATATGATAAGACTGAGATTTTACAAATCTTTTCTTCTACTTGTAATGAACGTAGGCAGTGAGAAGCAGTATCTATGGTCGTCCAGGTGCTTGCTATGTTGACATACCAGCAGATTTTGTGAACCTTCAGGTGAATGTGAATTCTATAAAGTGAGTAATAGTTATGCTGGAATTCTTTCTTCAATGTACATGTATTATCATAATGCCTACCTTTTTAGAAGAATTTACCCAGCAGTTTATAAGTTAATTTCCATTTGTCTTAACTTGATTATTTAGTAATTAAACTGAATCCTAGCCAAAGGGTTAATTTTCTTAATTAAAATGATATTAGTAGTTATTTATGGATTTAATTACTAAACCAAATACTTAGAACTTCCTGAACTCCTCGTTGAAAATATTCCTCCAGTAACCATAAATATACATCCCTCGTTAATGTAATATGGGTCCTTGAGAATCTTTATAATGTAAGCCAAGAGGTTGGGTGATTATTAAAAAGTATTAGGACTCAGGATAAAAAACATCTAGCTGTCTCTCTCTGTGGTTAACAAATATTCCAGTATAGAGGTTTCTATGATTTCTCATATTCTCATATTTCTTAAATAAACACTAAGTGAAAAGAAGTACAAAAAGCATTTTTCACTGGTATCTAAATCATCCCCTGATAGAGATAGGTACTTAGGGTTAAAGCATCATGGGTACTGTTTAGTGCGTTTCTGCTGTTGTGGACCAAATGGTTCTCTAGTGACTACAGAGAGTCAGTGGGTCTTACTGTATACTCTGTGTACCAAAGAGTGATTTTTTTTTCAATTTGAGACTGAGTCTCTCCCTGTTGCCCGGGCTGGAGTGCAGTGGCACTATCTCAGCTCACTGCAACCTCTGCCTCCTGGGTTCAAGCGATTCTCCTGCCTCAGCCTCCCAAGTAGCTGGGATTACAGGCGCCCGCCACCATGCTTGGCTAATTTTTGTATTTTTAGTAGAGACAGGGTTCCATCATGTTGGCCAGGCTGGTCTCGAACTCCTGACCTTGTGATCCACCAACCTCGGCCTCACAAAGTGCTGGGATTACAGGCATGAGCCACCGTGCCCAGCCAGGAGTGATTTTTTATTTCGGAGAGTCAGATAAAAAAGACACTTGTTTATTCTGCCTAATACCTGAACATGATAATCAAAATACTACTAAGGGGAGGAGGGTAAGCTCAGGTAAGTTAACTCTGTAAGCCTTCTTCTAAATTTTATACAGATTGTCCTTTTTTATTATATGTCTAAATATTTTGACAATATGTCTAAATTTTATACAGTATAATTTATATTAATTAGAATAAATGAAATAGCACAGGACTTGGTGTCCAGAAATACTTAACTGTGACAGTTTGAATATTTCTTTTACTAATGCATATTATGATACTAAAATATTAACACCCAGTGAGTGGAACTGTAGTGGGGCTGGGTGCGGTGGCTTACACCTGTAATCTCAGCACTTTGGGAGGCCGAGGTGGGTGGATCACCTGAGGTAGGAGTTTGAGACCAACCTGGCCAACATAGTGAAACCCCATCTCTACGAAAAATACAAAAATTAGCCAGGCTTGGTGGCATGTGCCTGTAGTCCCAGCTACTCAGGAGGCTGAGGCAGGAGAATCGCTTGAACTTGGGAGATGGAGGTTGCAGTGAGCCAAGTTCGCACCGCTGCACTTAAGCCTGGGTGACAGAGTAAGACTCTGTCTCCACAAAAGAAAAAAAAAAAGAAAAGAAAAAAAAAAAAGAGAAATGTGGTAAGGTGTTTAAAAGCATGGACTTTGGAGACAGAATGACTAGTTCAGTCCTGTCTCTGCCACGTGCCATCTGGAGATCTTGGACAAGTTACTTTCTCTGAGTCTTTTTTTCCTCAGTGGTGAAATGGAGATGATGTTAATACCTAACCTCATTGTTTTGACAGTTAAATGAGAATAAATGGCACATAGCAAATATTAGATTTTATTATGTTTTTACTGTTAGGACAGCTACTGCTGCTACTACAGTACAAAGCCATTAACTCAGATTTTCTGTTAATGAATTGGCCATTTCACTGGTTATTAGATGATATCAGGGAATAACTGTTAATTTACTAGATGTGATAATGATGTGATAGTTGAATATAGGAGAAGGTCCTTATTCACAGCTGCATGGAGAAATTTTTAAGGGTGAAGTGTCTTGATGCCTATTTACTTTAAAATAGTTCATGAAAAATAAATGCATGTTTATGTGTGTATATATGAAACAAATGTGGTAAAATGATATTAAGTTGTTAGATCTACATGGGGGTGTATGGAGATTTATTGTACTATTTTTTCTACCTTTCTATATATTTGAAATTTTCACAATAAAAAGATCATAGTTGGCCTCTTTTAATTAATAGGGCTCTTTTTTTCCAGGTACATGGAACGCTGCATGTCACCTCCTATTAGCATGGCAGAAACCTCTGCTGTGTGCACGGCGGCTTCTGTTATTAGGAATGCCAAACAACCCCTTCTTATCATCGGGAAAGGTAGCATGAATAGAACTCTAAATCTTGCTAGGCTTTTGAAAGTGCCAATTCTTTTTACAAACTTTCATTGTTTATTAATGTCTATTCTAATGTTTGAGATTGGAATAAGAATTCTCTTCATCCATTTAGCATTATTTGTTTTGAAATTACAGACTTATTCTTTAATGCCCAGAGATTTCACCCTTTTAAGGAAATACTACCTATTTAATTTCTTTGGTCTTATTAGTGAAATGTGCTTATTCTATTATAAAACATTTTGGAAAAATCAAGAAAAGTAGAAGTTCCTTCATCTAAGGTAACTTTTTAATATTTAGTACATTTCTATTCCTTTTTACACATAGATTATGTACTGTGCTCATATTATAGACCGTTTTATATTCTACCTTATTCATTTAAGATTATAATATTTTTCATCTTAAAAGTATTTCCTAAATATAATTTTTAATGTCTCTTCATGTGTACGTTAACACTTACTTTCCTGGCAAATATTTAAATCTTTGCCAGTAACTGTTTAGAGTAGCTGTGGCAGACATGTTTGTGCCTAAAGCTTTTTCTATATTTAGGATTTAAGTTTCCTAGAAAGAAAAGTTAGAGGGTATGAGTATTTTTAAGACTTTTAGTGTATATTGTCATATTGCTTTCTCTGGAGGTGTTGTACCAACCAATTTATACTCCTGTCAGCAATTTATTATAGTATCCATTTCGTGTTCTGGAACTGAGGCTGCTGGGATCACCTATGACCATGCTAATCAATTATCAACTGCTTAGGAACTAAATCTGTAGAAACTAAAAATAGTTTGATAGTGTATGACAAAAAAATTGAGGTCAGAACTGAGTGGAATGTGTTGTATGATGTATTAGCTCTGTGACTTTGGGAAACAACTGCTTTGAGTCTCAGATTGCTTCACTTGTAAAATAGGGATATTAACTACCTCAATAGGATATAATTAAATAGCAAAATATGTGGAAAGCACTCAGTGGATGCTAGTTTTCATTCTTCTTTTAACAAACATTTGATGAATGCTTATGATAAGGCAGGGATTACACAAAACATTCATGAGGGATACAGAGAAATAGTGGTTCCTACCTATTGGGGAGGGGAGATAGACCTGGTAACAAGTAAGTGCGGTATGTTCTTGCGTGGTGTGTACAGAGAGGTTGAGGTGGGTTTTCAAGGAAAGCAGCAACAATTTGCTTGTGTAGATAGTATGGAAGGACTATCCAGAAGAGATGACACAACAGCTGCATCTTGAAAAAGCAGACAATAGTTCACCAAGTGGACAGAGACCAAAGGCAAAGCAGGAAGAGAGAACTGAGTGTACAAAGACATTGAGACAGGAAGGAGAATACAAGAAAACTTTCTGGATTAAAGAAAAGGAACTATTTTTCATCATACATGTATGAGAAGGGATTTTAAGGTAGTTTTGTAGAGTGGAGCATTATATTGAATCTGCAAGTGCATGATACTGTTTACTAGGATTCAGTAGAGAATTATATATACAGAATATGGAATAATATACTAGCCTTGAAAAATTATAAAATAGCAAAAAAAAATAGTGGTCTTGATGACATTAGAAATGGAACATTTGAACAATAAGGTATTTTTAATGTCATCAAGGGAATAGGGCAGAGGGTTATTCCCAGGCACATAACTGTGAAAACAAATGATAACGTGGGCCGAGTGTGGTGGCTCACGCCTGTAATCCCAACACTTTGGGAGGCCGAGGTGGGCGGATCACCTAAGGTCAGGAGTTCGAGACCATCCTGGCCAACATGGTGAAACCCTGTCTCTACTGAAAATACAAAAATTAGCTGGGCGTGGTGGCAGGCGCCTGTAATCCCAGCTACTTGGGAGGCTGAGGCAGGAGAATCGCTTGAACCCGGGAGGTGGAGGTTGCAGTGAACCGAGATCGCGCCATTGCGCTCCAGCCTGGGTGACAAGAGTGAGACTTTGCCTCAACAACAACAACAAAAAAGATAATGTGTCCCACTGGGGTTAGCTCTGTTACAATCACAGAATTACAGAGCCTGTAGAAAGATCTGCAGATCTTTAGAAACTTAATGCACCTTAGAATTTCCATGCCTGGACTAGGAGGCCTTGTGTAGAGGAGGTTTACTGGAGATGAGGACCAACATATGAGGGTAGAGAGAGCCTTTCTCTTTCAGGGCAACATTTTTCCCTGGCCACCTGGGCCTCTCAATGAAGATAGTGTGTTCAGGGACTTGTAGAGTGTAGTTTAGTAGGACCATAGCATAGAATGGGTAAGTGACAGTAGCAAGAGCTGTGAGATGTGACTTTTGTTTTGGGATAGACATCCTTCAGGATAATTGAGAGTGTTATTGGTGGAAAATTAGAACTCTTACTTTGTTAAGCATTTTAAAATACCAGCGATAAAAACTGTAATCACAATTTGTTTTGAGTTTAAGCCCAGGTATAGGCAGAAGGAGAGTATTTGAGAAGATCTACAAGTAATTTCTTAGGAGGTCAAGGAAGGAGGATTGCTTGAGCCCATGAGTTCAAGACCAGCATACCAGCTGGGCAATATAGGGAGACCTCGTCTATACAGAAAATTTTAAAAGTAGCTGAGTGCGGTGGTGATGTGTGTCTGTAGTCCCAGCAACTCGGGAAGCTGAGGAGGAAAGATTGCTTGAGCCAGGGAGGCAGAGGTTACAGTGAGCCAAAATCATGCCACTGCACTCCAGCCTGGGTGATAGAGTGAGTCCCTGTCTCAAAATATAAATAAGTAAAAAGCAATTTCACATGAACTTTTTTAAGGGTCACAGTGCCTATAGCTTAACTGAATTGTCCAATACATTTGCATTTCTTATAGGTGCTGCTTACGCTCATGCAGAAGAGAGTATCAAGAAATTGGTGGAGCAATATAAACTGCCATTTTTGCCCACCCCTATGGGGAAGGGTGTTGTCCCTGACAACCATCCATACTGTGTAGGTGCAGCCAGATCCAGGTGTGTGGCATTCCAGATTTTAAATACAATGGCTTGGTAGATTTTAGGCTAATTTAAATTATTTTGTGATCTTCATCTAGGATGGAGTTCTGAAAGAATCATGGAATTTTAAGCATACCTGTTTATTTTTGGACTATCTTCTGGCTTTCATTTCATATGAGAAATCTGCAGTCATTCAAATTATTGTTGCTCTGTATGTAATATGTTGTTTTTCCATGGCTGTTCCCAAGATTTTCCTTTGTCTTTTGTTTTCAGCAGTTTAAGTATGATGTGCCTGGAAATGGTTTATTTTAATTTAGCCTTTTGGGATTCTCAAATCTTGAATATTTAAATTTATGTCTTTCTCTAAATTGTCTTTCTCTAAATTTGGAAAGTTTTCATCATTCTTTCTTCAAATATTTTTTCTATGTCAACCTTCATCCATTTTGATACTGTCTGACATGTCCCCGAGTATCTATCTGTTCATTTCTTTTTAATCCTTTTATTTTATATTTTGCTTCTCTGCTGAGATCTTCTATTTTTACATTTCTTTTAAGAATATTTTTCTATACTTCATGATGGGGTAAATTATAATAGTTTCTGCAGTCTTTGTTTATTAATTCCAACATCTGAGTCATCTCAGATTGGCATCTATTCATTATCTTTTCTTTTGAGAGTTGATCACATTTTTCTGGCTCTTTTTGTACTGAGTAATTTTGGATTGTATCCTGGATTTTTGGATATTGTATTTGGAGATTCTGGGTCATATTAAAATCCTCTGTAGAATGTTGATTTTTGTTGGTTTCTCTTAGCAATCAGTCAACGTGATTAGATTAGCTTGACTACAAATCGAAGTGTGAACTTAACCATATATAAGTAGTTCCAGGGTCACTTCAGTTTCAGAGCCTTTGCTGTGCTGTTTTGAGTCTGTCTGCACATGTCCAGCTCAGGGGTGAGCCCCAGACATGTACTGGTTCATACCCAGAATTAGGGATTTATTTTCTCTCCTCTGTAGGCTCCACACCCCCACTCTCCCATTCTCAGTTGCCCCTTTTCCTGGCTCTTGCTGCTCCCTTATAGTATCACATAACTAAAGCTGCCCTCTGAACAAGCTGCAGAAGAAAAAAATAATGGGGATTGTCCCCATACTCTTCAGACCACAGGGACCCTTTTTCCCAATCCCTCTTGCCTCAAAGATGACGTTTCTCTTGGAATTTCAGCTGCTTGGGAGCCACCACCATGCAGCTCTGCAGTAAGGCTGCCCTCAGAGCAGAGCTTGGAGATAAAGAAAAAAAGAAAAAAAATCTGACATTTCCCCCCATACTCTCCAGCTTGCAGTGGCCCTTTTCCTGATCCTTTGGCCAAAAAAACAGTTTCTCTGCAAGTTTTCGCTGCTTGCAGTTCTGCAACTAGGGCTGCCTTTGAGTCAAAGCCAGGAGACAAAACACGGGGGAGAAATACCTTGGAAACTTACCCTCTGTGTGGGTTGCTTCTTCAAACTTAGCCAATCTTGGCTGGCATTGGAAGTTTCCTCTTTTTAGATTTTTAAGGCATGCTTTTTAATATACTATAACTTTTTTCTTTTTAATTTCTTGAAATGTCTTTATTATGAAATATTCTAACTATACACACAGGAAGAGAGAATAATGTAATGAACACTTACATAACCACCACTCAACTTTATCAGCATCAACATAAAAAATATAGACAGATGAATCTCTAAGTAAAAAAAGGTTTCATTTGGCAGTAATGTATAAGAAGTAGGATTGCATCAGTTATTAACATTGTTTTATATTGCTTTAGGGTTTTTGGTTTTTTTTTTTTTTTTTTTTTGAGACGGAGTCTTGCTCTGTCACCCAGGCTGGAGTGCAGTGGCGCGATCTTGGTTCACTGCAAGCTCTGTCTCCTGGGTTCACACCATTCTCCTGCCTCACCCTCCCTAGTAGCTGGGACTACAGGCGCCTGCCACCACACCCGGCTAATTTTTTGTATTTTTAGTAGAGATGGGGTTTCACTGTGTTAGCCAGGATGGTCTCCATCTCCTGATTTTGTGATCCGCCCGCCTCAGCCTCCCAAAGTGCTGGGATTACAGGTGTGAGCCACTGCGCCCAGCCGGTTTTTGGGTTTTTTTTGGAGACAGGGTCTTGCTCTGTTGCCTGGACTGGAGTGCAGTGGTGCAATCACACCTGATTGCAACCTCTGCCTGCTGGGCTAAAGCAATCCTCCCACCTCAGCCTCCCAAGTATTAATAGCTGGAACTACAGGTGTGTGCCACTACAACCCAGCTAATTTTTGTATTTTTTGTAGAAACGAGGTTTCACCGTGTTGCCCATGCTGGTCTTGATCTCCTGGGCTCAAGGAATCCACCCTTCTAGGCCTCGCAAAGTGCTAGGATTACAGGCATGAGCCACCATGCCTGGCCTAAGGTGTTTTTTTTTTTTCTTTTTAGGAAGCAAAAAATTATGGATTCATTTGCAGTCCCCTAAATATCTTTTTTGATGCCATTTCTTGCTTCCCTTTCTGTAGTTTATTACTGTCATGTGTTTGGTGTTCTTCATATTTTCATTCATGGGTTAAAATTAATTCTGAGGGTTTTTGATTTTTATTTTGTAGAGACAGGGCCTCACTGTGTTGCCCAGGCTGGACTCAGACCCCTAGGCTCAAGTGATCCTTCCACCTTGGCCTCCCAAAGTGCTGGGATTACAGGTGTGAGCACCTGGCTTCTGAGGGCTTTTTAAATGTAATGTTTGCTGCTAGATCTTTAATTGTTCCTCACTTAATGCTATCTTAATATGTTGTATTTTTATTTATATTACTATATACAGTAACCAAGTTAATTCTTACACTTAATTTTTTTATACTTAGGTTGAAATGAAGTTTATCTTCAGTCTAGCCAGATTTTAAGAGGATAATATTAATGACATTACCAGTGTAAAAAAGGTTACAAGGGACTATAAATAATTGAATCAATGATTTCAAGAGTTTTAGAGTATCAGTAAGCAAGTCCGTCCTGCTGATTGCAGTTATCTGTTTGTTAAATTGGGTCTCATAGGACTAATACAATATTAAAGATGATTTTTGAGTATGTACTCAATTTATGAGTATATAATTTCTGTGAAAAATTGCATTTATCACTGAAGAAGACAAAAGCAGTAGATACAGATCCTGTATGGCAAAAGACAGGAAAAAGGGGAAACAGATAAAAAGCAGAAAAATGAGAAGTGAAAAACAAAACAAAACCCACAGCAATTATGACAATTATGATAATAAACTCTCCTGGAAAAAGGCAGACATTCAGATTAGATTAGATTAGTAATAACAGCAACTGTATGTGTTATAAGAGCCACATCGGAAACGTAATGATACAGCTTTAAAACAAGACTGGGCAAAGATATGTGAAGTAAAGAAAAAGAAAGCAAGGGTGGTTGTTTACGAAAGTAGAAATCATTAAAAGATTAGAAGTTATATTGACAAAAGTATTAAAATATATAAAATAAAACTTAGAAATCTAATTGGTGTAATATTTTAGAAAGCAATTCTGGAATATGAATCAATAGTCTTAAAAATAACCTGCTTCTAGGGACCAATGTGAAGAGTGCATTAAGACTTAAGTGTGAAGATGTGCAAGCCAGCACTATTAATAACAAAATATCTAGCAATTGAGAAAACATTAAATAAATTTTGGTATATTGTGTTCAGCAAAATATGTAGCCTTTAAAAGTTGTATTTAAGAACTTAATGAGAAAGGAAACCTTTTTTTTTTTTTTTTTTTTTTTGAGACAGAGTCTCGCTTTGTTACTAGGCTGGAGTGCAGTGGTGTGATCTCGGCTCAGTGCAGCCTCGACCTCCCGAGCTCAAGCAATTCTTCTGCCTCAGCCTCCTGAGTAGCTGGGACTACAGGCACGCACCACCACAACCAGCTAATTTTTGTATTTTTAGTAGAGATGGGGTTTCACTATGTTGGCCAGGGTGGTCTCCATCTGTTGACCTCATGATCCACCTATCTCTGCCTCCCAAAGTGTTGGGATTACAGGCATGAGCCACCGCACCAGGCCAGGAAAACATTTATGTAAGCAAAAGTATATGAGACAGCCAGGTGCAGTGGTTCATGCCTGTAATCCAAACAATTTGGGAGGCCAAGGTGGGCGAATCACTTGAAACCAGGAGTTCGAGACTAGCCTGGGCAAGATGGCAAAACCCCATCTCTACAAAAAATTAAAAATTAGTCAGGTGCAGTGGCACGTGCCTGTAGTCCCAACTGCTCAGGAGGCTGAGGTAGGAGGGTTGCTTAAGCCTGAGAGGAGAGGATGCAGTGAGCCATGACTGCACCACTGCATTCCAGCCCGGGCAAAAGAGAGAGAGACCCTGTCTCAAAACAAAATAAAAAAAGTGTATGAGACAGTATTATAGTATATAAGCTCAACTATGTAAAAATGTATTTGCGTAGAAAACAAAAGTAGATGAAAATTTGCCAGTATATTCATAATAGTTTATAAGTTGAAAGTATTATGGGGTGATTTTGTTTTTTGCCTTATACTTTTTCTGTTTTTTTTCTGGATTGCCTACAGTGTACTTGTACTAATTTTTCTAATTATAAAAAAGTAATAAAAGAGTGTAGATACAGCTTATGGTAATGTTTTTTAACTTAATTTATATTTTAGATAACTATTTATATAGAATGGTTTTATAAATTATTTTAGCTTGAAAGATCAAATATACCCTAGAAGCTGATTCTGAAGTCTGATGTAAGCTCCAAATGATTTAGACTTTTCAAATACTTCAGAGATGAATTTTCGAATAATTCAAATAAGAAATGTAGTTATACTTTCATATCAATTTTTTTAATAGGGCTTTGCAATTTGCTGATGTAATTGTGTTATTTGGTGCCAGACTAAATTGGATTTTACATTTTGGACTGCCTCCAAGATATCAGCCAGATGTGAAGTTTATCCAGGTACTTAGAGAGGAGGAACTTAAAATCAGAAATGTCTATGTTCATTATTCTCCCTATCAGCCGTAATCAGCTCTGTTATCTTCTTGATTACTATTAAAAAAACTGTTCTCTTTTTACACAAGTAGAATTTTACAAATTGTCTAACATAATTATAGGTACCAAAATAAGCTTCCTTTTCTAGCCTATGAAATATAGTGTGCCACTTCTAGCCAGAAAACCTTTCAAAATCAAGTTTCAAATAGTTTAGAAAGCATAATTTGTCTTTTATTCACAATTCAAGTATATTTAAAGGTAGAGAAAAGAGACTTAAGTAGGATGGTAGACTAGAACAAAACATTTGGCCTTGTTAGGGAGTGAGGTTTTCTTTCAGATGCCAAAACTTTCACCCTTCCAATGGGAATTTCTAAATGACACTGTTTTACAAGTCATTAAACAGCATCCGGAATGTATTCTGACCTGTCTTTGATGATTCTTGTATCATTATGACCCACCTTATAAGCCATTTTCTTTACTGGTGTGGAAAGTACTACCTGCATAGTGGTGTGCAAACCTTTTTGCCCTACACGGATTCGCCCCATTTTACTTGATGTTTTTGCTTGGTTGTTTTTGAGACAGCATCTTGGCTCTGTCACCCAGGCAGGAGTGCAGTGGCACGATAATGGCTCACTTCAGTCTCAACCTCTCGAGCTTAAGTGATCCTCCTGCCTCAGCTTCCTGACATGCTGGGACTATAGACGCGTACAACAATGCCTGGCTAATTTTAATTTTTTTGTAAAGACAAAGTCTCGCCATGTTGCCCAGGCTGGTCTCAGCAATTCTCCTGGCCTCAAGCAATTCTCCTACCTCAGCCTCCCAAAATGCCAGATTACAGACTTGAGCCACTGTGCTTGGGTTGCTTGATGTTTGATGAGCCAGCTACAGTTGCCCTTTTCCCAGTCTACCTTTTACTTCTTAAGGAGTCAACTTCTAATTGCTCCTTTCCCAGCTGAGCCAGTTGAGAACTAAAACTGCAGACAAACAAGACAGAGTTACCTGGAAGATGCCAATACCTCTTGATTGCCCTCTTGATTATAGAATGAGATACATCCCCTTTGGGGTGGCTAAAGTATTCCTCCTTGCAGAAGCCATCATTTGTCCATGGCCATCCAGACATGGAACTTCTGAGTAAATGGAGAAGTAATCGTGCCATGTTCTTGGAATTGTTCTCTAAATGTGGTTCCCTGGGCCAGGCGCATCAGCACCACCTGCGAAACCTGTTAGAAATGCACATTTCTGGACCCTACGCCAGACCTATTAAAATAAAAAACTCTGAGGTAGACTCCTACAGTTTATGGTTTATCAAGCCCAGAATATACCAGGTGACTCTGATATATGCTTATATTTGAGAACCCACACTCTAGATAGGAATTCCAAATGTAATTCAATAGAACTTACTGATTAGATGCAAAACTATAATTGATCAGGTCAAATGCATTCCCTATGGGTATAATGAAGCAATACCAAAATTCCATAGAGTAGATTTTTAAATGAGGGAAGATAATGAGGCTCTCTATACTAGCTATGATACTAATATAGTTCTATGGACTTTTACTTTTTTTATTAAGGAACTTCTGAATATCAAATCTTCTTTATCATGTGTTCTATATACACAGTTCATTTATTCAATCGTAATTGCCTTCTTACATATTTTTCAGAATAAACATGGGTTGTTCTTTAGCCTTGTCTCTTTTTTAGGTTGATATCTGTGCAGAAGAATTGGGGAATAATGTAAAGCCCGCTGTTACTTTGCTAGGAAACATACATGCTGTCACTAAGCAGGTGAGAACTTTTGTTTTAGTTTATGTGGAGTGCTTATTAGGGAATAGTCAATTCTTGAAAATGTTTTAATCTTGATTCACTTGGTAACGGGTCTACTATTCATATCTGTTTTAAACAAAATGTATGATTGAAAACTATTCTTAAATACAACTTTGGAACTTGTTAAGTCCAACTTCTGGTACATAGCTCATTTTTATGTAAGTTAAGCATTTTTGGAAGATGATTGAAAATGTAACATCTTTCAGTAGGCAAACAGTAATATACTAAATTTACTAATTTATTAAATAGCATCCAGCTATCTGAAAAAGTATACCTTCCAAAGGAACTGAACTTACTGCCAAGAAGTGGCAAGAATGGCTTAGCACTGGAAAAATCTAAAAGTATTTCTTTAGGTAAAAAAGAGCTTTTTACTCTTCAAACTAATCAGTGACTTTTCCACAGGTTGTTATTATTTGTACATAGTTTGTACATTTCACTGTGACAGGAGATAAAATATAGTCACATTTATCACTTGATTTTGGATGATACAATTTGGTATTGTTGTCATGATTACACAATATAGGATATAATCTTGAATCACATATTAAATCACTCTGGAGCATTTGGTCTGTACCATAGGAGTCCGTGGTTATTTGTTGGTTTTCCTGCAAGAGTTCTGTGGAAGGAGTGGTTTTCCTTCCAGTGTCAAAGACCGAGGAGGGTTTCAGAGCCCTTGCTTGAGGTGTGGAGGAGGTAGCACTCCAGTCTGTCCTATGGGCATCCCAGCATCTGGCAGAAACCCACACTGACCAAACAAAAGCCTTCCATGTTACCCATTGATTTTCTATCAGGTGTTAGCATCTGGCAGACACCCACACTGACCAAACAAAAGCCTTCCATGTTTCCCATTGATTCTATCAGGTGTTTACTAACTGGAAGAAAAAAAGAGTCTGAGTAATGTGAAGGGTAGTATGGCCGTATAGTCTTCTTTAAGAAGATACTTCCGTGTTAATATGATTTAAATTTATTTTTAAAAAGCAGACTGGGCATGGTGGCTCATCCCTATAATCCCAGCACTTTGGGAGGCCGAGACAGGTAGATCACCTGAGGTCAGGAGTTCGAGACCAGCCTGGCCAACATGGTGAAACTTCGTCTCTACTAAAAATACAAAAATTAGCTGAGCATGGTGGCAGGCACCTGTACTCCCAGCTACTCAGGAGGTTGAGGCAGAAGAATTGCTTGAACCTGGGAGACAGAGGTTGCAGTGAGCTGAGATTGCGCCACTGCACTCCAGCCTGGGTGACAGAACGAGACTTCGTCTCAAAAAAAAAAAAAAAAAAAAAAAAAAAAGAAAAAAAAGGCAAAGAAAAAGTTTATGTGTTTGTGTGTGTGTGTTTTTTTTTTTTTAAGCTTTTAGAGGAACTTGATAAAACACCATGGCAGTATCCTCCAGAGAGCAAGTGGTGGAAAACTCTGAGAGAAAAAATGAAGAGCAATGAAGCTGCATCCAAGGTAAAATCGGACCTACTGACGCTCAATAACAGGTCAGGCTCATGATTCAGTTACTTCTGCCGTAATGTGACATGTGCATTCCTAAAAATCACCTTGATGTGCAAAATTGTGCAGTGAAAACCCCAGGTCTCATGGAAAAAGGGATTTAGTGGCACAACTCTCAAAAACTTTGTGTAACATAAAAATAAGATAAGAACCTAATGTTTTAAACGTGTTAAATGGTTAAGAAATATATGCCAATGAATATAGCATTTTACCTTGAAAAAGACCTGAAGTTTCTGAAAGGTTGTAGCTTGTGAGTTACTGTGAGCTGGTGGAAGGAAGGTGATTGGACATTGGATAGAAAGTCATAATAGTGGAAGTGGATGGGTGTGCCTTCAGTTTGATGGTGGCATAGAACATCACAATTAAACACCTGTAATCCTAGTGCTTTAGGAGGCCAAGGCAGTAAGATCAATTGAGGCCTGGAGTTTGAGACCAACCTGGGCATAGCAAGACCTTGTCTCTACAAAAAAAAAAAGAAAAGCCAGATGTGGTGGCACACACCTGTTGTCTTGTCTCCTCAGGAGGCTGAGGTTGGAGGATTGCTTGACTCTAGGAGTTGAGGTGGCAGTGCAGTAGTAGATCATGCCACTGCACTCAAGCCTGGGTGACAGAGTGAGAACCTGTCTCTAAAAGAAAAACAAATTAACTATTAAGTGGTTTTTTTTTTTTTGAATCCTTAAATCTTGGGTTGAGATGTTTTTCTGCTTTTAAGATATAGGTCCTTCAGGGCGTGCTATTATAATAGCTGTTTCATAAAAATTGAAATTTTGATCCAATGTATAGCCTTCTTTTTTATTTAACATTTTTATCACTGCTGGAAATTTTTTTGCAGCGCTCTCATTTGCACTCTTGGCTTTGCCTGGTAGCTAAGGTTTTGGAAATTGTAGTGATGATACTAGAAACCATCAAACTGTCTACTACTAGCACTAAAATGAGTCAGTGCTGCAGGATTTGGCGATTTCTAGTAAAGTGTGTGTGTGTGTGTGTGCATGTGTGTGTATTGTGCTTTCCCTATGTGAGAAAGGTGGTTTTTTTTTATTGTTTTGTGTATTCATATGTATCTTTGTTCAGCTGGGTGCAGTTTTCTGTGTCTTATGCGTGATTCCACCAGTGTTTCTTACTGGTGGAATCACGCATAAGCAAATATAAAATTTGAGTTATGCTCACTTGGTTCCCTAATATATCAATTGTCTTAGAATAAATTCACATTTTCGCATCAAACATTATAGCAGAATTGATTGTACATGAATCTGTCTTACATTGGAATTTTTTTTTTTTTTGGGGACAGAGTCTCACTCTGTCGCCAGGCTAGAGGGCTGGAGTGCAATGGCGTGATCTTGGCTCACTGCAACCTCTGCCTCGCAGGTTTAAGCAATTCTCCTGCATCAGCCTCCCAAGTAGCTGGGACTACAGACGTGTGCCACCACGCCCAGCTAATTTTTGTATTTTTGGTAGAGATGGAGTTTCACCATGTTGGCCAGGATGGTCTTGATCTCTTGACCTCGTGATCCGCCCGCCTTGGCCTCCCAAAGTGCTGGGATTACAGGCATGAGCCACCGTGCCTGGCCTACATTAGAATTTTAATCAATGACTGTTTCTATCTGGAGCCAGTCTCAATTTTTTTTTTTTTTTGAGATGGAGTTTCACTCTTGTTGCCCAGGCTGGAGTGCAGTGGCGCGATCTCAGCTCACTGCAACCTCTGCCTTCCAGTTTCAAGCAATTCTCCTGCCTCAGCCTCCCGAGTAGCTGGGATTACAGGTAGCTGGCACCATGCCTGGCTACTTTTTTTTTTTTTCTTTTTTGAGATGGAGTCTTGCTTTTGTTGCCCAGGCTGGAGTGCAATGACACGAGCTTGGCTCACCGCAACCTCCGCCTCCTGGGTTCATGCAATTCTCCTGCCTCAGCATCCCGAGTAGCTGGATTACAGGCATGTGCCACCATGCCTGACTAATTTTGTATTTTTAATAGAGACAGAGCTTCTCCATGTTGGTCAGGCTGGTCTCGAACTCCCGACCTCAGGTGACCTGCCCACCTCGGCCTCCCAAAGTGCTGGGATTACAGGCGTGAGCCACCGCACCCAGCCAATTTTTGTATTTTTTTTAGTAGAGACAGGATTTCACCATGTTGGCCAGGATGATCTCGAACTCCTAACCTCGTGATCCGCCCGCCTTGGCCTCCCAAAGTGCTGGGATTACAGGCGTGAGCTACCATGCCTGGCCACCAGTCTCAATTTTATTTCCTGAGTCATATCATGACTAATCTTTTCTTTCGCATAGGAACGATGTTGGTTTAAGATAGAAGGGACTTGCTTCTCTTCTTTAGTGCAGGAGTATAGGAGGGTCCCTCTTTACCTTGTGTATAATCTCCAGCAGAACAAAGTAGCATAGGTGAAGAGGCAGTCCTGGGGCCAGATGGGACTGTTGCTGCTAAAGCTCTCTATGGCTTTTTCTCAGCCCTGAAAGGCATGTGGCTAGACAAAGGCGTTTACCTTGCTGTTTTTCTCTCCATTCAGGGACTCTTTAGAATAGTGGGGGTAAGATAGCTCCTTTAACTCTTAAGTGTGTTGGGGGAAAAACTAGATTTTCAGATTGTATTCTAAAATTGTGACATTTTAAGTTTAGGGTCATAGTTCAGATGAAAATATTCTGGAATAAATTTCACTTTTTCTAAGGCACCGTTTTCCTAAGAGTGCTCAAATAAGAACGTTTAGTTTTATGTAACCCAGTGCTTCTCAGCTGTCTTTACTGTAGGACTTCTCAATGTCTTTAATACACTCCTGTGCATTGCAGATCTCCAAGAGGCGGGATATTCCCGAGCTTATTTAATTGTGTTCCCAACTGGGACTGTGGTACACATGTCCCCCAGGGCTGTTCACAGGTCAGCCAACTTCTCAGAGTGGCCATTTTATAGCCATTTGGAAACCTTGTAGCTTGTAGTTGTTGCGTATTTCCAAATAAGTTTGATAGCATCTTATTAACATTGGTTATTTTCATTGTATCCCAATTTAATTTGATTATATTCCCATCTACTTTTCAGGAACTAGCTTCTAAAAAATCCCTGCCTATGAATTATTACACAGTATTCTACCATGTTCAAGAACAACTACCTAGAGACTGTTTCGTGGTAAGTGAAGGAGCAAATACTATGGACATTGGACGGACTGTGCTTCAGAACTACCTTCCTCGTCACAGGTAAGACTTCTAAAGAAGAAAGAAGTCGTAATTCATTATAATGTGTTTAATATGAAACTGTAATAGTGCAGATTAAGAAGACGTTTGAGAATTAATACATGTTTAGTATGTAAGGACATATTTCATAAAAGTATCCTTAGGTGAGGTTTTGTAGAGTTTTTATGCTTGATGTGTTCTTGGTATCATGATAATTGTTTACTTAGTATTCTAGGAATATGTTTATAGTCTTCCAAGCAAACATGGGTGGCTTTTTTCTATCCTTGACAAATTAGTTCCTAGCAGTCTAAAGATTTTATATTGAAGAAAGAGAATGTTTTTATGGTTCTTCATTTTTCCATCAACCATGTAAATATGACTAGAAGGTTTGTGCCAATCCCATCCTCTATGACATGCCCCAGAGGGTTTCATTTTAACTTTGTTCTCCAACAGGCTTGATGCTGGTACTTTCGGAACAATGGGAGTTGGTTTGGGATTTGCTATTGCAGCTGCCGTGGTGGCTAAAGATAGAAGCCCTGGGCAATGGATCATCTGTGTGGAAGGAGACAGTGCATTTGGGTTTTCTGGCATGGAGGTAGAAACCATCTGCAGGTAAAACATCATCCTGAATCAGAGCATTTGATTCTCTAGAATATGAAAAATGACACACAAGACCCAGTCACCTGACAAATACTTATGAAGCGTTCACCAGGTGCCCTGTGCACAGCACTGTGTTCTGTCCTGAGGATGCTAGTGGCAGTAACCCACGGTCTTTCTCTTCCAGAACCGTATCTTTCTGGCCTCCTCACTGTATGGTAAAAACCTGTAAAACTGTGGGGAGTGGTTTTGAGGTCACTGAGAAAAAAATGTTGGGGACTGAAAGAAGCTTGTTTCCTGTGGGAAATAGCAAGTGTGGTGGTTGAAGAGCATGGCTTCTGCCAGTCATGGTGGCTCACACCTGTAATCCCAGCCCTTTGGGAGGCCAAGGCAGGCAGATCACTTTAGGTCAGGAGTTCAAGACCAGCCTGGCCAAAATGGTGAAATCCCATCTCTACTAAATATACAAAAAAAAAAAAAAATTAGCCAGACGCAGTGATGCATGCCTGTAATCCCAGCTACTCGGGAGGCTGAAGCAGAAGAGTTGCTTGAACTGGGAAGTGGAGGTTGCAGTGAGCTGAAATCGCACCACTGCACTCTAGCCTGGGTGACAGAGCGAGACTCCATCTCAAAAAAAAAAAAAAAAAAAAAAGGCAGCATGGCTTGTGGGACAAATGGCCTGGATTTAAATACTGGTTCTATCAAGTCAGAGCCATGTGACTTTAAGTCACTTAACCAAGGCTGGGCGTGGTAGCTCATGCCCGTAATCCCAACACTTTGGGTGGCTGAGGTGGGCAGATCACCTGAGGTCAGGAGTTAGAGACCAGTCTGGCCAGCATGGTAAAACCCCATCTCTACTAAAAATACAAAAAATAGCCAGATGTGGTGGTGCATGCCTATAGTCCCAGCTATTTGGGAGGCTGAAGGCAGGAGAATCGCTTGAACCTGGGAGGTGTAGTTTGCAGTGAGCCAAGATCGCACCACTGCACTCTAGCCTGGGCGACAGAGCAAGACTCCATCGCAAAAAAAAAAAAAAAAAAAAAGTCACTTAACCAAGCCTCAGTCTCCTCTCTTCTAAAGCAGGAATAGTATCCTTTAGGCAGAAATTCCTTGAAAAAAAAAAAGTAGGAATAGTAATAGTTCCTACCTTAGAAAGATGATTATGAAAAACAAATGAGGTAATCCAAGCAGTTTTTTTTTTTCAAGATGGGGTCTTGCTTTGTCACCCAGACTGGAGTGGAATGGCGCAACTGCGGCTCACCGCAGCGTCAACCACCCAAGTTCAACGGATCCTGCCTCCTTAGCCTTCTGAGTAGCTGGGATCACAGGCATGCACCACCATGCCCAGCTAATTTTTTGTATTTTTTTGTAGAGACAGGGCTTTGCCATATTGGCCACACTGGTCTCAAATTTCTAAGCTCAAGCAATCCACCCGCCTTGGCCTCTCTAAGTGCTAGAATTACAGGTGTGAGCCACCATGCTTGGCCCCAGCTAAATTCTGAGGTGATGCTCAGTGAACATGAGTCATTTGGATCATGTGTGTAGTTATGAGAATTCATGGAGAAACTCATGAATTGTAGATCCTCACTATAGAAGGATGGGGGTTTTATTTTTCCAGCTATATTTAAACTGTAGTAAAACCATTCTATTCTTAGCCAGGGCTCTTATTAGGGCTTTTGTGAATCATGTTTTGGGGTTGGCAAAGCTTTGGTAGATAAAACGTTCAAGATTTGGGAAGGTATAGTTGTCCCTCTATATCAGTGGGGGATTGGTTCCAGGACCTTCCTCAAATACCAAAATCCAAGGATGCTCAAGTAAGTCCCTGATATAAAATTGTGCAGTATTTGCAAATAACCTATGCATACCCCCCATATATTTTTAATGATGTCTAGATTACTTTAAAATACTGAATACAATATGAATGCTATATAAATAATTGTTGTGCTGTATTGCTTAGGGAATAATGACAAGAACAAAGTCTGTGCATGTTGAGTACAGATCCAATTTTTTTTCCCAAATATTTTTGACCCGCAATTGGTTAAATCCACGGATGCAGAACTCAGATAATGAGGTCTGACTGTATGTGTCTGTTAGAGTGTCTTTATTGACAACCAAGTGATATACACAAAAAAGATGACTTATGGGGAAGTTAGCCTTTTAGTGGATAATGACTCCTTTTGAGCATGGAGAGCAAATAATTACCACAGTCCTGTTATTTAACAGTATGCAGTTTAGTTTTGTTTTTACCACTTGCCCTTGGAAATTATGTTAGAAAATAAAACCTACATTCTTTTCAGTCAATAACATTTAATCAACCTTTTCTTTTTTGTCTTTGCTATACTGTTTAGCACACTGTTAAATACTCCTTTTCTGTACTGACTACACCATGTAATGTGTTTCTGATTATGTGTGTGGTAGTTTGAGTGCAGATTGTGTGTGCTAGTTACTTGTGTATCTTCCACAGCATCTAGCAAGAGCTGGGTGTCTGTGGGGAGCTCAGTAAATAGAAAGGTACGTTTCAAACACTGTTCCTAGGAACCAACTAGAAGTGGTACTTTAGAGAGTATTAAATAGGGAAGGTGTTCTTCATATACCATCTAGACTTATGAAAACCCAGATTCAGAAAAGCTCAGTGATTTGTCTGAGGTTCATAGCTAATAGCTAAAGGACTATCAACTTTTTTTTTTTTTTTCTGAGATGGAGTCTTGCTCTGTTACCCAGGCTGGAGTGCAGTGGTGTGATCTCTGCTCACTGCAACCTCCGCCTCCCGGGTTCAAGCGATTCTTCTGCCTCAGCCTCCCGAGTAGCTGGGACTACAGGCACATGCCACCATGCACAGCTAATTTTTGTATTTTTAGTAGAGACGGGGTTTCACCATATTGGCCAGGCTTGTCTTGAACTCCTGACCTTGTGATCCGCCCACCTCAGCCTCCCAAAGTGCTGGGATTACAGGCATGAGCCATCATGCCCAGCCAGGACTAACAACTCTTAATCTTGCATTCTTTCTGCCTTTCCATGATGTTTCTGTTAATTATTTGATATTCTTTCTTAGGATAATAAATGCTTGATTTTTAGTCTTCCTCTAATAATACAAAAAGCTTATAGGAAACTATTCATTTTTAAGTTAAAGTTTCAACCCAAAGAAAAGAAATTACTTTAAAATGAAGAATGATTTCCTTCATATTTTACTCTCACTTTAGGTACAACTTGCCAATCATACTGTTGGTAGTGAATAACAATGGAATTTACCAAGGTTTTGATACAGATACTTGGAAAGAAATGTTAAAATTTCAAGATGCTACTGCAGTGTAAGTAACCAAGACCAATGTCTGTTTACTTTCTCTTTCCCGTTTTAATCTCTTTTTAAAAAGTCTTCTATATTGGCAGTAATGTGCCTACATGGTATGAGTATTGTCCGTTTCGATTGTCAGCCCTTCTAAAGAGAAGGAATCCTGTCTTAGTTCCTCTTTGCACAAATATCCATGATTAGGTGCTTCAGTAAATAATCAGGGAGCCACTGAAGACTCAGATAAATGAGTGTGATGTCTGAGCCTTGTTAATGAAAAGGCTTATTGCAAAATGCTCCCTGGACTGGGAGCAATAGTAGGACTACTGATTCCTGTTACACCATTTGGAAATGTGGATGTTTACGTATTATTTGTGTTCCAGAGGTCTACCTTCCTTTCACCACTTAGCTAAATCTTGATCATCTGATGGCAGAGCCAGATTAAGACAGTATTGTAGCTGGCCGTAGAATGTGAGACAGATATGAATTTGTGAGCCAGCCTTGGGGTGGAACAGGGTATGGGTGTGTCTATTTATGCCTCACTAACTTTATTTGTTGTTTTCTTATTATTTGTTGTTTTGCAGTAATCTTTTTTTTTCATGTTTTTCTTCTGGATTCATAATAGTTGATAATGTAGCCTGTGCTGTCTAGTATAGTAGCCACTAGGCATGCTGCAACTGTTGCAAATTAGATTTAAATTACTTCAAATTAAATGAAATTAAAAATTTAGTTCCTCAGTTTAGTCACATTTCAAGTGCTCACAGCAACAGGTAGATAGTGGCTACTGTCTTGGATGGCACAGGTTTAAAACATTTCTATCATCACAGAAAGTTCTACTGGACATTGCTATATAGACAATTATAAATATAGGAAAAACTCAGTGTACTGGCATCTCAGCTTAAGTGTTGAAGATAAAAGTATGCCTTTGAGTTCAGCTGAAATTTTTTTAATGAAGTATTTCAGAGAATGACTTTTTTTCTACAAGGTTTAAGATTTAAATTTCATTGACTCATGACCTTGTTTTTCAGGGTCCCTCCAATGTGTTTGCTGCCAAATTCACATTATGAGCAAGTCATGACTGCATTTGGAGGCAAAGGGTATTTTGTACAAACACCAGAAGAACTCCAAAAATCCCTGAGGCAGAGCCTAGCAGACACAACTAAACCTTCTCTTATCAACATCATGATTGAGCCACAAGCCACACGGAAGGCCCAGGTAAATACAGTTGCTAAGCAGAAAGCAAGAAATGCATCTGCTTCCCCTATCCCCCTCCAAAAAGTATCTACCAAACAGAACACCCTCTATCATCCACAGAGGTCTTTCTAAACCATTTCTGAGTTTGGCAGTTTCATGTACTTGTTCAGTGAATATTGAGATATGTGTTAGGTGCTACGAATAGCATGGTGAGCCAAACCAGGCTCGGTCCTCACGACTTCATGGAGCTTTTGTAGTCTGGTAGGGGAGAGGGACAGTCTGGTAACCTCACAACTGAACACACTATGACAGAGTGAAGCAATTACTTGGAAGGAAAGGAATCCAGTTCTGAGCAAACGTACCACAAAGGAATCAGATTTATGTTGGGGTTACAGGGAAGGCTTCTCAGAGGAGGTGATTCTTAAACGGAGATCAGAAGGATAAGCAGAGACTAACTCGGCAAAGGGGAGAGGGAAGAGATGTGCAACAGGCTCTGTAGCAAGAGGAAAGAGGAAGCATGGCAAGTCTGAGGAAGAGGGAGATGCAACTGTAATACAAGGATTTGTGCAGGTACATTCAAAATTAGTTACTTTGACCTCCAGGGTGAAACTGCAGTGTTGATTACAGCAGTAAAGTAAATGACAAAGTTCATAGCATGAGCCTCTCCTATCCCAGAGTAAGTTGCATTTCATACTTAATTTTCTACTGCCATCCTGGTTCTGCCACTTGCCGCCTCATATAACCTGTCTTCCGTGCGAACAGTTTGTGTATCAGCCACTCTTATCAGAGCAGATATTTTTTTCAAGTACTTTCTGTCTTGGTTCTTATATATATGGAATCTCTTTCTTTTGTGAACAAAGCGGTGGATGAATGGGTAAACAGATACCTGGATAATCAATGAAATATAAATTAACTAATTTAGACACTAAAATATATAGAATTCTATTGAAATTCTATTTGTGTAAAAACAGATTTCAATGACTTTGGCATTTACTTCCTAGCAGAGAGAGGAGATACTCAAGAAACCTAGTGATGAGGAAGATGAATGCAGAAAAACTAGCCTAGTAAGCTGAAGGGCAGGGGGCATTAGCAGGGATTTCTGTGGAGCAAGCAGGCAGACTGTTTTAAGGGAGGGTCTGCCACTTTCAGAATCTATCTGTACTCCTGTGGGTTTGTGGATTGCCTTTTCTTTTTTTAAGTTCTATTTAAAATGATTTATGCTAGTCAGACACTCAATAGACAGGCTTTTTCATCTCATGCCACTTTATGGATTTATAACTAGGTTTATACTTTCCAGTGACTGGGATGTTAGTTTGGTAACCAAAAACACCCTCCTCCGGGCATCAGGCCATCAGAGCCCTGGGGAAACTAAAGCCACTGTAAGAAGCTTAATGAATACATATAATCTTGATGGCTGGGCACGGTAATCCCAGCCCTTTGGGATGCCAAGGTGGGCGGATCACTTGAGGCTGAGAGTTTGAGACCTGCCTGGCCAACATGGTGAAACCTGTCTCTACTAAAAATACAAAAATTAACTGGGCATGGTGGTGCATGTCAGTAATCCCTGCTACTCAGGAGGTGGAGGCACGAGAATCACTTGAACCCAGGAGGTGGAGGTTGCAGTGAGCTAAGATTGTGCCACTGCACTCCAATCTGGGTGACAGTGAGACTGTCTCTCAAAATAATAATAATCATCATCATCATCTTGAGACCTATGTTAATCACAGAAAAGCCCTAACAAATTCTGTCATCTCTGCTAGTGAGTTCATGCTATTGATTTGCTTCCAATGATCTGTTCTACAGTTTCTCTATGAATTTTGTTTGGATATTGCTGGATATTGCTGGAGAAATATGAGTTCTCGTCTTCCTCTTTTACAATTCTATGAGGATTATTTTTATATTTCTTACATTTATCACTTTGAAATTATTTATTTTCATTCCAGTGGAATTTACATACATTATACTTTCCAAACTGTTGATTTTTGTCTTTCTGTCCGTCTGCCATTTATCATTGATTCTCAGTGTAGGCTGGCCACTTCCTGCCTCAATATGGGAATGCCTATATCTGTGCCTGTGTCCAGGCCATATGTATAGGATGGTGTTAGTTCTGGAAAAGACTTCCGTGCACAGTTCTTCCTACTCATGTCCTCAGACCTGGGAGCTCAGCCCTCTGTGGGCCTCCTTCATCTCCCTTCTCCTTCTGAGTGTACTTCTGGTTCTTTTAGACTATAGTTTTTGTGCTCTGATTACTGTGAATGGAAGAGGACCCAGAATGCCATTTTAGGTTGTTTTATAGGACACAGCAGGAAGATTCACTAATAGGTTTTTAGGTCCTTTTTGGGAAAAGCACCAGAACAAAGACAAACCTCATTTTGCCACCATTGTGTAGGACTTTTAGGTTTTAGAACAAGTGAAACAATGAGGATATAATTTGAGACAATCATTTCTTTTGACTGAATGTTTGTTGTCTTCTTTTTCTAGGATTTTCATTGGCTGACCCGCTCTAATATGTAAATAAAGACGCCAGTTGGTGGTCTTGAGTTTTCTCTTTCTTGCAAGATGAAATTTTATTTTCCACAGCAAAATTACTCTACTGTTAAAATTGTGCAAAATAAAATAAACATTTAAAATGACATTTTACAGTAAAGGAATTGATTAAAAACAGAAAAAGTTAGAAAAAGTAACAGAAAAAGTTATTCTGCCACAAAACTACTTACAGATGAATGGAGAGCTTTTATTACATAATAGCATTGTAACTGCCTAAATGTTGATTTACATATCAATATTATTTTACTGCTATAGCTTGGATGTTTGTTCCCCAAAACCTCATGTAGAAATTTGATCCCCAGTGGTGGAGGTAGGGCCTAATGGGAGGTGTTTGCGTCATGGGGATGGATCCCTCATGAAATGTTTGATGAGTTCTCAGGGTAATGAGCTCTCCCTCTATTAGTTACCACTAGAGCTGGTTGTTAAAAGGAACCTAGTGGCCAGGCACAGTGACTCATGCCTGTAATACCAGAATTTTGGGAGGTTGAGGTGGGCAGATCACCTGAAGTCGGGAGTTCGAGACCAGCCTGACCAACATGGAGAAACCCCATCTCTACTGAAAATACAGAATTAGCTGGGCATGGTGATACATGCCTGTAGTCCCAGCTACTCAGGAGGCTGGGGCAGGAGAATCGCTTGAACCCAAGAGGTGGAGGTTGTGGTGAGCCGAGATTGCACCACTGCACTCCAGCCTGGGCAACAAGAGCAAAACTCCGTCTCAAAAAAAAAACAAAAACAAAAAGGGAATCTAGCACCCCGCAGGGAACCTAGCACCTTCCCTGCCTCTCTCCTGCTTTCTCTCTCCCTGTGTGGACTCTGCACACACTGGCTCCCCCCATGAGTGGAGGCAGCCTGAGCCCTCATCAGATGCCCAGTCTTGAACCTTCCAGCTATCAGAACTGTGAGCTAAATAAACCTCTTTTTAAAACAAGTTACTTAGCTTTAGTAAATATTCCTTTATAGCAACACTAAACAGACTAAGGCAGTTACCTGTCTTTTAAAAATTGAAGAAAAAAGCTGTAAGAATTGTCTAATGTAGAGACATGTTCAGTTAGTTGAGATACATAGGCTCTTTCTGCTTCCTATTTTATTTTTTGACCACTCAGTACCTAAGTGTCACCAGTATTTAATGGGGCTGGTCCTATATTTTATGAGGTTGTTTTTTTTTTTTCCTGGAAGGAATTTACTGAGCCAAAGGCAAAGTCACATCACACCCAAACTAATAATTTCAGGATATATTTGGACTAGCGACCTAAGTTCAAGCATACCACATTTAGACCAACAGAGTTAACCTTAATCTATAAAGAACTCAGACTAGGGACAGTGGCTCACACCTGTAATCCCAGCACTTTGGGAGGCTGAGGCGGGTGGATCACTTGAGATCAGGAGTTCAAGACTAGCCTGGCCAACATGGTGAAACCCTGTCTCTACTAAAAATAAAAAAGTTAGCTGGGCATGGTGGCACACTCCTGTAATCCCAGTTACTCAGGAAGCTGAGGCTCGAGAATCGCTTGAACCTGGGAGGCAGAGGTTGCAATGAGCCGAGATCCCGCCACTGTTCTTGAGCCTGGGCAACAGACTTAGTGTGACTCCCTTTCAAAAATAAAAAAATAAAAATATAAAGAACTCTTATATATAAGAAAAATATTAAGGTGCCAGTAGAAAAATGGGCAAAGGGCGTGAATGTACAATTCACAGAAAAAATATAAATGCTCAGTAAAAGCATGAATATGAATATGTAAGTTATACTGAAAATCCCTTTTTTTTTCCTGGCCTATCCACTTGGCAAAGAACTTTCTAAATTAATCTGAATTTTGGTGAAGTGGAAGTGAAAATGGAGACTCCTATGCTGCTGATGGAAGTTGAAGTTGGTACATTTCTGTAGAGTAATTCTAGCATTGCAGGTATTTGGAGTCTTAAAAATGTTCATACCGCGTAAGTTTTGACCCCGTGAGCTTTTTTTTTTTTTTTTTCAAGACAGGGTCTTGCTCTGTTGCTCAGGCTAGAGTGCAATGACATGATCACGGCTCACTGCATCTTTGACGTCCTTGGACTCAAGTGATCTCTCCATCTCAGTCTCCCGAGTTGCTAGGACTACAAGCGCATACCACCATGCCTGGCTACTCTTTTATTTTATTTTTGTAGAGACAGGGTCTCACTATGTTGCCTAGGTTGGTCCCAAACTCGTGGGCTCACGCTATCCTCTTGCCTCTGCCTCCCAGAGTGCTGGGAATATAGGCATGAGCCACTGTGCCAGGCCCCATTGAGCTTATTTGGGAATATATCCTGAAGAAATAATAAAATATTTGGTCAAATATTTATATAAAAGGCCATGTAGCGTAGTTTTATTTAGGAACAATTCCAATGTTTAATAGTAGGACATTGGTTACATAAGTGATGGTCTATCATCATAAAATAAAAATTGTATTATTTATTAATTGAAAAATAATCACAATACAACGTGTGAAAAGGGCAAGCTACAAAATGAAATGGAGTGAAGTAAGGAAATAACCATAATCATGCATACCTGCTTGCTTACAGAACAGAGATGGGCACAAAATAAACTAAAATTGTAATACAACTTGGTAGATGGAATTGTAGGCAATTTTTATTTAATTTTTTCCTTTATAGAATTTTAAAAATAATTATGTAATTTTTATTATCAGAAGCAGGCACTATTTTAAAAGAATATTTGAAATGGAAAAGCATCACTTATTTTCAGGGTCATTCGTGTTTTTTATCTGCAGTTTTACATAAATTGAAGCATAGGACTTTATATCAAAATTCAGCTTGTTTGCACCACCCATATCAGACTTGTCTACACTGGCTAGTTTAGGCACAAGTGACCACCATGAAGTGGTAGACTTCAGTTTTAGGGGTGAACCCAGAAGATACTGTGACTTGGCCCCTGACAGGCTCGTGGAAGCAGCCTCATTTCTCAGGTATTCTTATGTCCTGCACAGGAGGAAGAGACTATGAAAAGGAGCATTCAGACTGGATAGTTCATGTAACCTCATCAGTCTCCTCCCACTCTGCCTCCGGACACACCTCTGGCAGCCGAATGCAATATAAGATTTTGCCATTAGGTGGTGTAGAGGGCTTGATTAATATTTGTAAGTTGAACTGTGTAAATTTGTTACTAAATACTAGATAAAATTTGGGGAAAATGCCCCTTTCCTAATCATACTCTCAGAGAAAAAAAAAATGCTGACAGGTTATTAGACTGTCCAGCAGAGGTCAGTCTAAGTGTATAAAGACCACATTAGTCCAGGGGCACTAATTGACAGAGTCCATTGACTGCTTATTTAGTAAAAATGATCTTGAAATTAATCTCCTCATAGAAGATTTTCCTTAGAAGGATAAAATATTGAAAATACCCCTCTAAAATGAATCTATTGGTTGATAGATATTTGATAGAATATTTTGTAGCCCCTAGTTTAATAATGAATTTCTTATGTGATCCTATTATATGTGTTAATAATATCCAATTGCCTCATAAAAACTGAGCTTCGAAAGATTATGGCAGTTTTCTTAATTTAGAAAAACCCAGAATCCAGGGTTGAGGAGATGAATGGGAAATGAGTTTTATTATTATTATCATTATTTTGAGACAGCGTATTCTTATGTTGCCCAGGCTGGAGTACAGTGGCACAGTCATAGCTTACTGCAGCCTCGAACTCCCGGGCTCAAATACTTCTCCCACCTCACCCTCCCAAGTAGCTAGGACTACAGGTACATGCCACCACAACTGGCTAATTTTTAAAGTTTTTTGTAGAGATGGGTCTCACACTGTTGCCGAGGCTGGTCTCAAACTCCTGGGCTCAAGCTGTCCTCCCACTTCAACCTCCCAAAGTGAAATGGTTTCTTAGGTTACTTTCTCTACTAATAGTCTTTCCAGAAATCTTTCATATTTCATGGGGTTATTTGGGGATTCAGAAAGCCACCCAGAAGCTCCTAGCCCAATGCCTGGCATATAAAAGGCACTCAATAAGTGCCACTGCATTTTAGGAAGGTGAGAATTTAGAGAAGAGAACACCACTTGGAATCCCTGCTTAGCGGTGAATGTGAAAGTAGACATAGTGGTTTCCCTTTTCTCAAGTGACTGGGTCTTACTTCAAGTAAATTAGACATTTCCTGGAGATCAGGGGTTGTGTATTTTCACTTCTCTATATAGCCATAGTACTCTTTAAGAGTTCACTAACTACGTGTTAAATGGGAACTCATGATGGTTAACAATAGCTCAGTGGAGATGTTCTACAGTTATTTCATACATGCTACTTTGAAGTAGCTCAGCTTATTTTGTGAAGTGAGTGTATGTGCCATAGGGAAAAAAAGTCTCAAATCCATTGCAAGAAAATGGTAGGACTTTTGGACACTGAAGGAAAAAGAAAATGAAATGGAAAATTATATTTAATCCCAAATTGTTTTTGTTCCTTTATTTTCAAGACAGTTAGGCAGTGGGGAAGCAGTGCATGCCAATGAAGAAGCAGCCCATGACTCTGAAATAATGCAAATGTAAAGTGATTACAGTAGAACATCATATGACTGTTTTAAGAAAGTAGGAAACCAGGCTGGGCGCGGTGGCTCACGCCTGTAATCCCAACACTTTGGGAGGCCGAGGCGGGCGGATCACAAGGTCAGGAGATCGAGACCATCCTGACTAACACGGTGGAACCCCGTCTCTACTAAAAATACAAAAAATTAGCCGGGCGTAGTGGCGGGCGCCTGTAGTCCCAGCTACTTGGGAGGCTGAGGCAGGAGAATGGCGTGAACCCAGGAGGCGGAGCTTGCAGTGAGCCAAGCCATTGCACTCCAGCCTGGGTGACAGAGTGAGACTCTGCCTCAAAAAAAAAAAAAAAAAAAAAAAAGAAGAAAGAAAGTAGGAAACCAGTTACATTCCAGATGGGAATTATGACTGAGAAACCCCAAGAAAACTGACTACTGACTATTACAGAGAGTAAAATACAGATGAAGTGTAAATTATCTGGTGTTTTCTGGTTGCATTTGCTGCTGCTAATCTGAATAAATGGAATAATGTGGAAAGAAGAAATTGACAATCCTATAAACTTTACTCTGGGAAGAGATGGAGATAAAAGTGTATGCCTTGGATTCTGATCTGACTGGCAGGATTGCCTCTGGCTTTTGCTAGATTATCTTGAATCTTCCCTCCCTTCCAGGGCCCTCTCTTTTAGAAGAGGCGCTAGCTGGCCAGTGAACCCATGGCACATCCAGGTTGTATGGTCACTCTTCCATTTAGGGAGCTATGAAAGGAACACATAGAAACTCCTGGATCTCCTGTTTCAAAGTTTGAAGGAACCACTTTAAATTTTGATTCAGGGCCTAGAAATACCTGCAGAGATGGCAAGATCCATGATTTTCCTTCTATGCAGTGGTTGCTGGAGCCTGCTCTGTGGAGTGGCTAATCTACAGCCATGTAGTTCACTCCCAAGGCTCACTTCCCTCGTCCCTCCATATTTGCAGGAATTGCCTCCCCATTGCACAGTCAAGTTAGACTCAAGAAGTCAGACCTGGTTTCACCTCAGCCCCAGCTTTGCTTGTGCTGTTTCTGCTGTGATGCTCTGTACACACCCACCCATTTTTGCCGTGTGGAGTTGGCTATATGCTTCAAGGCCCAGCTCAACAGTCCACTCTTCCATGAAGCCTTCCTTTCTCTGAATGTTCCTGCCGCACCTGGGGTGCACCCCTGTCACAAACTCAGTGTTCACGGTGAGCTAAATTCCCATCTCCCTCACCATCTTGTTTTGGGAAGGAAGTAATCCAGGAAGGGTTTATATCACAAAAGCTATAGCAGACAATTTTAAACAAGGATGCAGGGTGAATGGATGAACTACCAAGGATCAGAGGTCCACCCTGATGCCTGGGTATTAAGTAAGCCCAGCGGTTCTTAGAGCAATGCTGGGGATGGGGGGCTGGTGATCGTGAGGCCCTAAAATGACTGAAGTTTTATTTCCACCCTGGCAAAATGAAGGTCAAAATTAAAATTAGATAGAATTACTGAAAATAAATATTTCTTTCACACTGTTGTGGACTGAGATTTATATCCACTACATTCATCAAACCATTTAATGGTTCGTAGTGCCATCCCTGGCTCCCTACCCTCCATCAGCCACTCCATCCATCCCCTCTCCACACCACCCTACATTACTCTTGCGTTTCAGAATTTTTATGGTTATTTTATTTGTTTATTTTGAGACAGAGTTTCCCTCTGTTGCCCAGGCTGGAGTACAATGGCGCAATCTCGGCTCACTGCAACCTCCTCCTCCTGGGTTCAAGTGATTCTCCTGCCTCAGCCTCCCTAGTAGCTGAGATTACAGGTGCCTGCAACCACACCCAGCTAATTTTTGTATTTTTAGTACAGACGAGGTTTCACCATGTTGGTCAGGCCAGTCTCGAACTCCTGACCTCGGTGATCCACCCGCCTTGGCCTCCCAAAGTGCTGGGATTACAGGCATGAGCCACCAGGCCCAGCAGTTATTTTCACTTGATGATTTTTCCATATTAACCTTAGTAGCAAAAAAATCTGATATTTTAATTACAGTGTATTTTAAAATATAGTGTGTTAACAGAAAATATTCGGTAAGGCCAACATATCAGGAGACTGTTGGTATTGAAAAAATAGTTATTACTCAGAGTTCCCAAGAAGAGGTCTCAGGTAGAAAGAGAATGAGAACTAGTGGGCTAAAACCCTATTGTGATTACTGCAGGAAGAAAGAAGTGAGGCAGGGTAAACAAGTTTAGGATTTGTTTATTTGAACAATGTCGATATGCTCAGGAATGGTGTAGAGGCTGTCCCTAGCTGTCTGAATGCGGGCCTGGGGTGATTGGGTAGGGAGATAATCTCCCAGAATGTGAGAGCACCATAAAGAGGGCCATGAAGAGGGAAGTTGGGGTTATGAGCTCTGGATTGGTTGGCTTGTGTATGAAAGGCGAGTTGTTTGACCTCTCCAAGGTCAGTAAGGCTCAAGCAGGTGAATCATTTGCTATCACTGGGAATTGTCTAACCCTGTGCTGGGCAGTTCTTTCAGGGTCATTGAGGCCTAGTTGTCAGTGGAATTTTAAAGTTTTCATTATATTGATCTTACACAATTTTTGTTAAATTTGTTTCTAGATATTAATCTGTTTTGTTGCTATTTAGTGGCATTGGCAAGTACTTCCAAAACAAGGCTAAATGGCATTGGTGGGCACGCACCATTTTCCTTCTAGGTGTTTTAGAATCAGCACGTCATTTATCTACTTTCCTCCTTCAGGAGGGAGTAAAAGATGACAAGAAAACCTCCCTATTAGGAGTTACTGAGGCTGCAGGGTTGAAATACATGACAAGATCAAAAAAGAATACCTACTACCATTTCCAAGTTGGGGCTTGTGGTCACCTGCAATAACAAGTGACTTATTGGCAATTAACCCCCAGTCAGGGCTAGTTGAAATGCTAGTCAATTACTTGTTGCCTAAACCACCTTCCTTCATAGCACTGAGACCAATGACAAAGGCAAACATATTGAGAAAGCTGCTCCTCTGTAGTCTTCACCTTCAAAATCTCAGACCAGAAAAGAGGGAGGAGGTGGCGCAAGATGGCTGAATAGGAGCCTCCACCAATCATCATCCTTGCAGAAACACCAAATTAACTATCCACACAATAAAGCACCTTCATAAGAAGCAAAAATAAGGTGAGAAATCACAGTACCTGTTTTTAACTTCCTATCACTGAAAGAGGCACTGAAGAGGGTAGGAAAGACAGTCTTGAATTGCTGATGCCACCCCTCCCCCATGCCCCAGCAGTGGTTGTGTGGCATGGAGAGAATCTGTGCATTTAGGGGAGGGAGAGTGCCGTAACTGTGGGACTTTGCATTGGAACTTAGTGCTGCTGTGTCACAGCAGAAAGCATCATGAGGCAGAACTCAGCTGGTGTCCATGGAGGGAGCATTTAGACCACTCCTAGCCAGAAGGGCTAAAGTACTCTGGAGTCCTAAATAAACTTGAAAGACAGTCTAAGCCACAAGGACTTCAATTCCTGGGCAAGTCTTGATGCTGTGCTGGGCTTGGAGCCAGTAGACTTCAGGGGCACACAGTCCAGTGAGATACCAGCCGGGGTGGCCAAGGGAGTGTTTATACCACCCCTTCCCTTGCCCCAGGCAGTGCAGCTCGCAGCTCTAGGAGAGACTCGTTCCTTCTGCCTAAGGAGAGGGAAGAGTAAAGAGGACTTTGTCTTCGAGTTCAGCCACAGTAGGGTAGGGCACCAGGCAGTCCTGAGGCCCCCATTCCAGGCCCTAGGTCCTTGATGACATTTCTAGACCTACCTGGGCTAGACCCCTACCACTGCCTTGAAGGAAAGGATCCAAACCTGGCAGGATTCATCACCTGCTGATGAAAGAGCCCTTGGGCCCTGAATAATCAGCAGTAGTAGCCAGGTGGTACTCATCATGGGCCTTGGGTGAGACTCAGATGTGCTGGCTTCAGGTATGATCCAGCACATTCCCAGCTGTGATGGCTACTGGGGGAGACTCCTTCTGCTTGAGAAAAGGAGAGGGAAGAGTAAAGGTGTCTTTGTCTTGGAGCTTAGGTACCAATTCAGCCACAGTGAATAGAGCACCAAGCAGGCTCTTGGAGTCCCCAGTATGAGGCCTTGGCTCTTGGATGGCATTCCTAGTCCTGCCCTGGGCCAGAGGGGAGCCCAGTGACCTGGAGGGAGAGTCCCAGGCCTAGCAGTATTCATCACAAGCTGACTGAAGAGGACTTCAACCTTGGGTGAACATTGGCAGTGGCCAGGCAGTAGTTGCTGTGTGCCTGGGGTGGTGGTGACCACAAACAGACTCTTCTTGTGGAAATGGGAGGGAAGTGTGGGAAGGACTTTGTCTTGTGACTTGGGTGCCAGCTCAGCCTCAGTAAAATAGTGAACCAGGTAAATTCCGAAGTTTTCTGACTCCAGATCCTGTTCCCGGATGGCATCTCTGGACCCAGTCAAGGCAGAGGGGACCTCACTGCCCTAAAGGGAGGGACACAAGCCTGGCTGGCTTTGTCCAGCTGATTGTAGAGCCCTAGAGCCTTGAGTGAATATACACAGTAGCCAGGTAGTGGTTACCGTGGGCCTTGAGCAAGACCCAGTGCTGTGCTGGCTTCAGGTCTGACCCAGTGCAGTCCCAGTGGTGGTGGACATAGGGGTGCTTGTGTCATCCCTCCCCCAGCTCCAGAAGGAACAGCACAGAAAGATTACATTTGTTTGGGAGAAAGTAAGGTAAGAGAACAAGAGTCTAGGCCTGGCAATTCAGAGAATTCTTCTGGATCTTATCCAAGACCGCCAAGGTCTTGGGGTATTACACAGCATTACTGGGCCTGGGGTGCCCCCTAATGCAGGTTTGGCTGCAGCAGCCAAAAACTTGGATCACAACACACAAGTTCCTTCAAATGCCTGGAAAGCCTTCCCAAGAAGTATAGGTACAAACTGTCTCAGGCTGTGAAGACTACAATAGATACCTGTATTAGTCCATTTTCATGCTGCTAGTAAAGACATACCGGAGACTGGGAAGAAAAAGAGGTTTAATTGGACTTACAGTTCCACATGGCCAGGGAGGCCTCAAAATCATGGTGGGAGGCAAAAGGCTCTTCTTAAATGGTGGTGGCAAGAGAAAACGAGGAAGAAGCAAAAGCAGAAACCCCTGATAAAGCCATCAGATCTCCTGAGACTTACTATCATGAGAATAGCACAGGAAAGACCAGCCCCCATGATTAAATTATCTCCCCTTGGGGTCCCTTCCAAAACACATGGGGATTCTAGGAGATACAATTCAAGTTGAGATTTGTTGGGGGACACAGCCAAACCATATCATTCTGTCCCTGGCCCCTCCAAATCTCAATGTCCTCACATTTCAAAACCAATCATGCCTTCCAAGAGTCCCCCAAAATCTTAACTCATTTCAGCATTAACCCAAAAGTCCACAGTCCAAAGTCTTATCTGAGACAAGTCAAGTAAGTCCCTTCTGCCTATCAAAAGCAAGCTAGTTACTTCCTAGATACACTGGGGGTAGAGGCATTGGGTAAATACAGCCATTCCAAATGGGAGAAATTGGCCAAAACAAAGGGGCTACAGGGCCTATGCAAGTCCTAAATCCAGGGGGCCATCAAATTTTAAAGTTCCAAAATGATCTCCTTTGACTCCAGGTTTCACACCCAGGTCACGCTGATGCGAGAGTTGGGTTCCCATGGTCTTGGGCAGCTCTGCCCCTGTGGCTTTGCAGGGTACAGCCTCCCTCCTCGCTGTTTTCGTGGGCTGGCATTGAGTGTCTGCAGCTTTTCCAGGTACATGGTGCAAGCTGTCAGTGGATCTGCTGTTCTGGGGTCTGGAAGACAGTGGCCCACTTCTCACAGCTCCACCAGGTGGTGCCCCAGTACGGACTCTGTGTGGGGGCTCTGACCCCACATTTCCCTTCTGCACTGCCCTAGCAGAGGTTCTCCATGAGGGCCCTGCCCCTGCAGCAAACTTTTGCCCAGGCATCCAGGTGTTTCCATGAATATTCTGAAATCTAGGCAGAGGTTCCCAAACCTCAGTTCTTGTGACTTCTGTGTACCCACAGGCTGAACACCATGTGGAAGCTGCCAAGGCTTGAGGCTTCCACCCTCTGAAGCCACAGCCCGAGCTGTATGTTGGCCCCTTTCAGCCATGGCTGGAGCCGCTGGGACACAGGACACCAAGTCCATAGGCTGCACGCAGCACGGGGACCCTGGACCCGGTCCATGAAACTACTTTTTCCTCCTTGGCCCTTCAGGCATGTGATGGGAGGGGCTGCTGCAGAGTTCTCTGACATTGCCTGGAGACATTTTCCCCATGGTTTTGGGGATTAACATTAGTCTCCTTGCTACTTATGCAGATTTCTGTAGCTGACTTGAATTTCTCCCCAGAAAATGGGTTTTTCTTTTCTATCGCACAGCCAGGCTGCACACTGTCCAAACTTTTATGCTCTTCTTCCCTTATAAAAGTGAATGGCTTTAACAGCACCCAAGTAACCTCTTGAATGCTTTGCTGCTTAGAAATTTCTTCTGCCAGATACCCTAAATCATCTCTCTCAAATTCAAAGTTCCACAAATCTCTAGGGCAGGGGCAAAATGTTGCCACTCTCTTTGCTAAAACATAACAAGAGTCATCTTTGCTCCAGTTCCCAAAAAGTTCCTCATCTCCATCTGAGACCACCTCAGCCTAAATTGTATTGTCCATATCACCATCAGCATTTTGGATAAAGCTATTCGACAAGTCTCTAGGAAGTTCCAAACTTTCCCACATTTTCCTGTTTTCTTCTGAGCCCTTCAAACTATTCCAATCTCTGCCTGTTAGCCAGTTCCAAAGTTGCTTTCACATATTCAGGTATCTTTTCAGCAATGCCCCACTCTACTGGTACCAAGTTACTGTATTAGTTCATTTTCATGCTGCTTGTAAAGACATACCCGAGTCTGGGAAGAAAAAGAGGTTTAATTGGACTTACAGTTCCATATGGCTGGGGAGGCTCAGAATCATGGTGGGAGGTTAAAAAGCACTTCTTACATGGTGGCAACAGGAGAAAATGAGGAAAAAGCAAAAGCGGAAACCCCTGATAAACCCATCAGATCTCGTGAGACTTACTATCACGAGAATAGCATGGGAAAGACCAGCCCCCATGATTCAATTACCTCCCCCTGGGTCCCTCCCACAACACGTGGGAATTCTGGGAGATACAATTCAAGTTGAGATTTGGGTGGGGACACAGCCAAACCATATCAATACCTAACTCTTCAATGTGCATGCACTGATGAACATCTGCAAGCATCAAGACCATCCAGGAAAACATGACCTCACCAAACTAACTAAAGCACTAGGGACCAATCCCAAAGAGACAGAAATATGTGAACTTTCAGACCGAATTCAAAAGGAACTCGGTTTTGAGGAAAGTCAAAGAAATTCAAAATAACACAGAAGGAATTCAGAATCTTTTCAGATAAATTTAACAAAGAGATTGAAACGATTAAGTAGAATCAAGCAGAAATTCTGGATTTGAAAAATGCAGTTGACATGCCGAAGGATGTTTCAGTCTCTTAACAGCAGAATTGATGAAGCAGAAGAAAGAATCAGTGAGCTTGAAGACAAGCTACTTGAAAATACATGGTCACAGACAAAAAAAAAAAAAAAAGAAAGAAAGAAAAGAATGAAGCATGCCTACAAGATCTAGAAAGTAGCATCAAAAGGGCAAATCTAAGAGTTATTGGCCTTAAGGCCGGGCATGGTGGCTCACGCCTGTCATCCCAGCACTTTGGGAGGCCGAGGTGGGTGGATGATGAGGTCAGGAGATCGAGACCATCCTGGCTAACACGGTGAAACCCCATCTCTACAAAAAATACAAAAAAATTGGCCAGGTGTGGTGGCACGTGCCTGTAGTCCCAGCTACTTAGGAGGCTGAGGCAGGAGAATCACTTGAACCCGGCAGGTGGAGGTTGCAGTGAGCCAAGATTGTGCCACTGCACTCCAACCTGGGTGACAGAGCAAGAGTCCGTCTCAAAAAAAAAGTTATTGGCCCTAAAGAGGAGGTAGGTAGAGAGAGAGATGAGGGTAGAAAGTTTATTCAAAAGGATAATAACAGCTTCCCAAACCTAGAGAAAGATATTAATATTCAAGTACAAGATGGTTATAGAACACCAAGCAGATTTAACCTAAAGAAGGCTACCTCAAGGCATTTAATAATGAAACTCCCAAAGGTCAAGGATAAGGAAGTCAGCCTACAAGCAAGAGAAAAGAAACAGTATACAATGACGCTTCAGTACGTCTCGCAGCAGACTTTGCAGTGGAAACCTTACAGGCCAGGAAAAAGAGTGACATGACACATTTCAAGTGCTGAAGGAAAAAACTTTTACTGTAGAATAATATAACCAGCAAAAATTTCCTTCAACTGTGAAGAAGAAATACTTTCCCAGACAAAAGCTGAAGGGTTTCATCAACACCAGACCTGTCCTACAAGAAATGCTAAAGGGAATTCTTCAATCTGAAAGAAAAAGACCTTAATGAGCAATAAGAAATTATCTGAAGCTGCAGAATTCACTGTTAATAGTAAACACACAGAAAAACACAAAATATTATAACACTGTAATTGTGGTGTGCAAACTCATATCTTAAGTAGAAAGACTAAATGATGGACAAGTCAAAAATGGCCAGGCACAGTGGCTCTTGCCTGTAATCCCAGCACTTTGGGAGGCCAAGGTAGGCAGGTTGCTTGAGCTCAAGAGTTCAAGACCAGCCTGGGCAACATAGTGAAACCCTGTCACTACAAAAAAATACAAAAAATTAGTTGAGTGTAGTGGCATGTTCCTGCACTTTCAGCTACTCAGGAGGCTGAGGTGGGAGTCACCACCCTGGAGGTCGAGGCTACAGCCAGCCTGGGCGTTAAGTGAGAGCCTATCTCAAAACAAAACAATAACTGCAACAACTGTTCAAGACAGAGTTCAGTAAGGTATAAATTAAAACAAAAACAAAATAAAAAGTAGAGGGAAGAAGTTAAAGTGTACAGATTTTTTATTTTTATTTCTCACACTATACTGATGTAAAAAGTGTAGCATTTTAATTAGTTTTCTCTTTGCTTGTTTATACAAGTGTTAAGTTGTCATCAGTTTAAAGAAATGGGTTATAAGATATTATTTGCAAGCTTCATGGTAACCTCAAATCAAAAAACATATGATTGATAACACAAACAATAAAAAGGAAGAAATTAAAACATACCACTAGAGAAAATCACCTCGGCTAGAAAGGAAGACAGGACAGAAGGAAAGAAGGAAGAGAAGACCACAAAACAACCAGAAAACAAGTCATTACTTATCAATAATAACATTGAATGTAAATGGACTAAATGCTCCAATCAAAAAGCATAGAGTGGTTGAATGGATAAAGAAAAAAAAAGACCCAATGATCTGTTGCCTACAAGAAACACACTTCACGTATAAAGACACTCATAGACAAAAGAAAGGGATGGAAAGAGATACTCCATGCAAATGGAAATCAAAAAAGAGCAGGAGTAGCTATACCTGTATCAGACAAAATAGACTTCAAGACAAAAACTGTAAAAAGAGGCCAGATTATTATATAATTATAGAGGAGTCAATTCAGGAAGAGGATATAACAATTATATATGCATCCAATACTGGAGCACCCAGATATATAAAGCAAACATTAATAGAGTTAAAGAGAGAGATAGACCCCAATATAATAATAGTGGGAGACTTCAACACCCCACTTTCAGCATTGGACAAATCATCCAGACAGAAAACAAAGTAACATTGGACTTAATCTGCACTGCAGACCAGATGGACCTAATAGATATTTATAGAACAATTCATGCAATGGCTGCAGAATATACATTCTTCTCCTCAGCACATAGATTATTCTCAAGCATAGACCATATGTTAGGCCACAAAACAAGTCTTAAAACATTTTAAAAAACTGAAATAATATCAAGTCTCCTCCCTGATCTCAATGGAATAAAACTGGAAATCGATAATGAGGAATTTTGGAAACTATACAAACACATGGAAATTAAACAGTATGTGTCTGAGTAACCAATGGGTCAGTGAGGAAATTAAGAAGGAAACTGAAAAAATTATTGAAACACATGATAATGGAAACACAGCATACCAAAACCTATGGAATACAGCAAAGCAGTGCTAAGAGGGAAGTTTATAGCTATAAGTACCTACATCAAAAAAGTAGAAAAACTGGCTGGGTGCAGTGGCTCACGCCTGTAATCCCAGCATTCTGGGAGGCTGAGGTGGGTGGATCACCTGAGGTCAGGAGTTCAAGACCAGCCTGGCCAACATGGTGAAACCCTGTCTCTACTAAAAGTACAAAAGAAAAAAGCTGGGTGTGGTGGCACATGCCTGTAATCCCAGCTACTCAGGAGGCTGAGGCAGGAGAATTGCTTGAACCCAGGAGGCAGAGGATGCAGCGAGCCAGTATTGCACCACTGTACTCTAGCCTGGGTGACAGAGCAAGACTCCATCTCAAAAAAAAAAAAAAAAGAAAAAATAGAGAAACTTCAAATAAACAACCTAACAATATATCTTAAAGATTTAGCAAAGCAAGAGCAAACCAAACTTAAGATTAGTAGAAGAAATAATAAAGAGCAGAGCAGAAATAAATGTAATTGAAATAAAGAAAACAATGCAAAAGTTCAACAGAACAATTTTTTAAAAAATAAAATCCTTTCGCCAGATTAAGGAAAAGAGAAGACCCAAATAAATCAGAGATGAAAAAGGAGACATTACAACTGATATCACAGAAATTCAAAGGATCATTGGAGCAACTATATGACAAGAAATTGGAAAACCCAGAAGAAATGGATAAGTTCCTAGACACATACAACCTACCAAGATTGAACCATAAGTAATACCCCACAAGCACAGGCAACCAAAGCAAAAATAGACAAATGGAGTCACATCAAGTTAAAAAGCTTCTGCACAGCAAAGGAAACAAAGTGAAGAGACAACCCACAGACTGGGAGAAAATATTTGCAAACTACTCATCAGAATATATAAGGAGCTCAAACAGCTCTGTATGGAAAAAATCTAATACAATTAAAAAATGGGCAAGAGATCTGAACAGACATTTCTCAAAGTAAGTCATACAAATGGGAAACAGGTATATGAAAAGGTGCTAAATATGGTCATCAGAGAAATGCATATGAAAACTGCAATGAGATGCTTTCTCACCCCAGTTAAAATGGCTTTTATTCAAAAGACAGGCAATAACAAATGCTGGAGAGGATGTGGAGAAAAGGGAACTCTTGTACACTGTTGGTGGAATATAAATTAGTACAACCACTATGGAGAGCAGTTTGGAGGTTCCTCAAAAAACTGAAAATAGAGGGCCGGGCACAGTGGCTCACACCTGTAATGTCAGCACTTTGGGAGGCTGAGGAGGGTGGATCGCTTCAGCTCAGGTGTTTAGACCAGCCTGGGAAATATGGCAAAGCCCCATCTCTACAAAAATACAAAAATAAAAAATTAGCCAGGCATGATTGTATATGCCTATAGTCCCAACTACTCGGGAGACTAAGGATGGGGGATTGCTTGAGCCCAAGAGGTAGAGGCTATGGTGAGCCGAGAGTGTGCCACTGCTCTCCAGCCTAGGTGACAGAGCAAGACCATGTCTCAAAAAAAAAAAAAAAAAAAAAAAAAAAAACCCACTAAAAATAGAGCTACAATATGATCCAGCAACCCACTCCTAGGCTTATACCCAAAAGAAAAATCAGTATATTGAAGCAGTATCTGCACTCCCATGTTTATTGTAGCACTGTTCACAGTAGCCAAGTTCTGGAAACAACCTAAGTGTCCATCAGCAGATGGATGGATAAAGAAAATGTGGTACATATACACAATGGAGTACTATTCAGCCATAAAAAGAATGAGATCCTTTCATTTGCAGCAACATGGATGGAATTGGAGGTCATTATGTTAAGTGAAATAAGCCAGGCACAGAAAGACAAACTTCACATGTTCTCACTTATTGGTGGGAGCTAAAAGTTAAAACAATCGAACTCATGGACATAGAGAGGTTACCAGAGGCTGGCAACAGTAGTCAGGAGAGAGGGCAGTGGGGATGGTTAATGGGTACAGAAGAATAAAAAGAATGAATAAGACCTAGTATTTGACAGCACAACAGGATGACTGTAGTCAACAATTGTACATTTTACAATAACCCAAAGAGTATAATTGGATCGTTTGTCACAACAACAACAAAGAAGGATAAATATGTGTGGTGATGGATACCCTATTTACACTGATGTGATTATTATGCATTGTATGCCTGTATCAAAATATCTTGTGTACTCCATAAATTTATACACCTGTGTACCCACAATTTTATTAAAAAATTTCAGACCAGCTTCCCCTTGATGAGTCAGCAGATGACCTTTTCTCTCCTCGCCTTCCCCACTGTGATGTGTGTATAGTTGGGGGCACCATTAGCTAGGGGCATTTCTGTTGTCCAGGTCCTCTGGAAAGTAGATGCCAAGGTAGGATTAAATACATGAGGGACTTTATTAAGGGAAATGCCTCTGTGAGAGAAAACAGAAGAGCTGGAAAAGGCTGAGAGCCATCAGACTGCAATGCAGGTCAGACCTCAATGAGGAAAGAGGGTAGGAAGGATGGGCAGAAGCATCCTGGCTGGGTGCCATCTGAGGAGAATTTGGCAAGACTTTTATCAGAGGAGTCCCATGCCTCCCAGGAACAGGGCCACCTTCATATTTCTACTGGACATTGGAGAGGAGCAGCACAATGCCTGGGAAATGTGGCCTTAGCGTAAATGTGGGTGACAGATTTCAGAGAGTGGCAGCTGGGGCTCTTGGTCAGTTATGCTCCCGTGATTGGAGACAGATTCTCATGGCTGCACAGGTACTTTCTGGAGGTCTCTTTGTTGCTGCCTTTAGACTGTTAGAACTGAAAAATCGGGAGGTGAAGTTTGCTTAGCAGCACTTACAATCTAAGGATCTGACCCAAGTCCATCTGCATCTCTCCCTCTTCGACAGACAGATGGTATGTCGGAAAGTGTTGAGTGTGGTAAGCTGGAGTTTCTATTCTGGCTCTGCTTTGGGTTATACAACCTCTCTGAACCTCAGTTTCCTCATCTCTATAATGTGGGTTCCAGAATGCCTAACTCTATAGAGCTAAGACCATATGCTGTTTATAGAAATGCTTATTATGAAACCTGGCACCAAATAGCTCCTTGAAAAACATAAGCCCCTCTTCCTTCGTTCCGTCTTTATGCCTCTGGTCCCCCTCCCTCTTAGAGTATAGGATGAGGAGAAAGCTAGCTTTGCTCCATCGTGGAATCCTCTGTTAGACAAGTCCCTACATCCATATTGTTACTATGTGCCATTGACACCATGTCTGTTGCCCACTGGAGAACTGGCTGCAGCCGGTGTTTAATTTGGCCACCTTCCTTCCACATCTCAGCACAGAGCTGGGTTGTCAGTGTCAGTGCAGGAAAGAGCACATTCATTTCGACCCAACTGAATTAGCCAGGCCAGTCGGCAGCCAGGAAGTCATGTGCTGCTTTCCCGAACCAAATATAAATTATTTTTAGATTATTCATTGTTTGGTATTGTCCATACCACAGCTCCCTCCTATTAGAGCACATCAGAGAAAATTGGCTGCAGCCAATTAATGGATATTTAGCAAACCATTTGCCAGTCCTGGGCCTCTGTGTTCTCATTTGTGAGAAGAGTGGTTGAAATTGACCCATAATTCTCAACCCTGGCGGCACATTGAAATCACCTGGGGAGCTTTTAAAAATCCTGATTCCCAAGCCACACCTCAGACCAATTACATCAGAATCTCTAGAGTGGGCCCCAGGCATCAGTATTTTTTAAAGCTCTCCAGGTGATTCCAGTGTGCAGCCCAGTTTTGGAACCAGTGAAGGAGGATTTCAAAGCTTCCTTCCATCTCTAATTCCAGGGATGATGATCTTGAAAAGGGTATAGTCTACTTCTAATTTAACTCATTGAAATAGGAGTTACAAGAATGAGTATTCCAGCAATGTTATAATTTTATATTCTCAAGTTCCCTGTTCTTAATCATGTTTCTGTTTGGCATCTTGGTCACTCACTGTTTAGATTCATAAATAATACTTTTTTTCTATATAAATATTTGTTTACTTCATGTGTCTGCCATTCTTTGTTTTCACTTATGTTGTGGCAGGTGTACATTTCACAGAATTGGTGAACTTTTCTTTATTACTCTATAATAGAAATTAGCTCCTGAACTCCATTTCCACTTAGTATTTAAGTGTACAGCTCGGTGAATTTTTCATATGTATGTGGCCATGTAACCACCACCCAGATCAAGGTATAGGGCATTGCCAATAATCCAGAAGGCTCCCTCATGCCCCCTCCAGCCAACCCATGCATCCCCCACAGCCATTACTCTTCTGACTTCTATCAGTAGAGGTTAAAACTCAAGTCTCTTTTGAGTAAGTCTTTAATTTAGGCTCATTCCTCTCCCTTGTTTTCTTCTTCTCTGGGGACGATCTAATTTTCAGGGGCCTTATTACCATCCTGCCATCAGGGGAGAGTTCTTCTTCAAGAATGACTGATTCTTTAATCTGTGTATACGCAATAAACCATCCCAAACCAGAGTGACTAAATCCAAGACATTATTCTCTCATATTTTGTTGGTTGACTGGATTCAGTGGTTCGGCTTATCCTGCTTGAGCTGTCTTATGCAGCTGTGGGCAGATGGCAGCTAAAGCCGGATCCTCTGGAGGACAGCACTGGGCTGGAAGGCCTGAGTTGCCTGCCTTCTTCACTCTGAGAAAATAAAAATGAGCTTGGGCTAAGAATGTAAAAAAAAAAAAAAAATCTGCCTAAATAGGCATCAGGCTGGAATAACAGATGCAGATTGACATGATTTGAATCTGTGTCTCCACCAAATCTCATGTCGAATTGTAATCTCCCATGGTGCAGATGGTGGGAGGTGATTGGCTCATTGGGGCAGAGTTCTCATAAATGGATTAGCACCATCCCCTTGGTGCTGTTCACATGATGGTGAGTGAGTGAATTATCGTGAAATCTGGTTGTTTAAAAGTGTGTGGTGCCCCCACTCTCTCTTCCTCCTGCTCTGGCCACGTAAGACACGTCTACTTCCCCTTCACCGTAATAGGTTTCCTTAGGCCTTCCCAGAAGCCAGGAAGATGGCAGCATCCATGCTTCCTCTACAGCCTACAGAACCACTAGCCAATTAAACCTTTTTTCTTTATATATTACCCAGTCTCAGGTATTTCTTTATAGCAGTGTGAGAATGGACTAATACATGGATAAAGCCAGATGTGAAGTTAACAGGAGGAAATTTTTCATCCCGAGGCACACTGCAGCTATAAGTGGCTAACAGCTGCCTTTCTTATTCAGTGAGAAGCTTTGTTTTCTAAAATCATAGATTATTAGAAACTTTTATAAGTAAGAATGACATACTCCGTGCCTGGAGGAGCTAAGTCACTTTGGCACAGAGAAACAGTTTTAATTTGCAACTCAGATGCAGAGGGTTTTCTGGACACAACATTCTACATCTGCCATAGCTTTCTAACATACAAGGAAGCAGGAGGACCTTGGCATTTCCGTCATAGTCCAGACCTGATGTTGAAACCTTTACACAGAGCCTGCTTTGCTTTGAGACCATCAACACTCAGATTCAATACTAAAAATCAGTGAATTGTATAGTCTAAAATGGTGACTTACGTGAATTTATGGTCTGTGGAATATGGCATCTCAATTTGTTAAAATGACAGACATTAAAAGACTTTGAATGTTGTATATGGCTTTGCATCTGTTGGCACTTCCTGGGCCAGTATTGTCTTATTCTTATTAGTCGGCTCCCAGCAGATCTCCATTGCTTCAGTGTGTAACCGGGCTAGCATACCTAAGGTTCCCTCATGCCCCTCATCCCTCACCCTCTGGTCTATACCCATCTCATCCTTTTATTTTATTATTTTTTTTTTTTTGTCGAGATTGGATCTCGCTCTGTTGTCCAGGCTGGAGTGCAGTGGCACAATCTCAGCTCACTGCAACCTCCACCTCCCAGGCTCAAGTGACCCTGCCACATCAGCCTCCTGAGTAGCTGGAACTACAGGCATGTGCCACCGTGCCCAGACAATTTTTGTATTTTTTGTAGAGACTGGGTTTCACTATGTTGTCCAGGCTGGTCTCAAACTCCTGGTCTCAAGTGATCCACCTGCCTCGGTCTCTCAAAGTTCTGGGATTACAGGCATGAGCCACCGCGGCTGCCCCCTACTCATTTTTCTTGAGCCCCCTTCTCATCTATATAATGCACATATATTCTTCAAATGCTTTGTGTGAAAATTGTTTGACTCTTAATGTCACTTTTGAGTTTCCTTGATGACTTCAATTTATAGAACAATTTTTCAGTTCAAAAACAAGCAGAAAAAAATCTACTTCATTTAAATTCCACCTTTTCCCTAAATCCTGTACTAACTCTACTTTACATTTGTTTGGTGAGCTGCCCCACGGTTCCTCTGGGCTGCTGTCTCCCTCATTGCAATGGATGAATAAACCTGATTTTGTTAGACTTCTTATTTGTTTCTGACAGCCTTAAGCTGATTGGTCCAGGACAACTGTGGCCCCTTGGTACTCCTCCATGTGGTCTCTCTCCAGAAGGGTACCTGGTTTTTCTCATGAGGGCAAAAGTAAAAGCTGCCAGGCCTGGAACTGGCACAGTATCACTTCTGCTGCATTCTAATGGTTACAGCAAATGACAGGACCAAGTGAGGTTCAGTGTGGGAGGGGACTACACAGGAATGTGACCCCTGGGAGGTGTGGTTGACTGGGGGCCATCTTTGGAGACCAGCTACTATAATTGTCCCCTCTCCTCATGGAGTTCCCATCCTGAGGCTCCACTTCTAATTTGCTAATGGATCTACTCTTTGCAAACAGGACTTTTCCAGTTTGCCATCTGCTCAGCCCCTTCCCATGGGGACATGGGAAGTTTCTGGCATCATTCCTCATGCTATGCTGGGATGTACAGATCTCTGCAGGTCTCTCAGGCCCATCTGCCTGGACTTCTCCCTCAGACGCTGGAATGCTGCCACTGGATGCCATGTTGGGCATGGGCTTCTCCTTGGGGTCCACACTCTGGAAAGTCAGGCAATGGTCTCTTCTGTTCAGGGATTCCCCAGACTTGGCTGACCCATCCACTCCCTGAGATGACCCAAGGAATGGAGGACTTCAGGAAAATAATAAGAAAACATGGAAGAGAAAATGGCTAATGTTCTGTTTTAGGTAACTGTCAATGTTGCTTACTGGTATTGTTTTGATCTAGATTTGAGGGAATAATGATAATCAAGTTTACATAACTCTTAGGAGGGTTCATACACATAATTTTATTTCATTCTTCACAGAAACCTTTTGGAGGGAGTGGTATTATTCCCCAGGTAAGGAAAGAGGCTCAGGGAAATTAAGTGGCTTTTTCAGGGTCGCATATGGTGTGGTTTTATCTTGAAGAGTGCAATTTTAAAAGAGAAAAGATTCAAAAGAGAATAAATGGGGCTGTGTTTTTAAGTTGAGAACTTTTGAATTTTTTCCATTTTGATCTTCTTGCAAAATTCTGGGCTTAATATTTAGGTGACAAAACTGAGGATTACCTAAAGAACAAGCAATGTCAAAGTACAAGGAGGAGCAGTGATAAAGTGGTAAAGAGATAGATCATAACTCTTTTATATCATTCAGCTTCTACTGAGTCACCGTTGTGTGCCATGCACTTTGCTAACCTTGTGTGTAGCAAGATGTGAGCCTCTAGATTGCTCATCTGAGAAAAGACACTAGACACAGTTCCCACAGAACAGCTAAAGGGGCGACCAGACAAACTATTGGCTGAGATTTGATTCAGTGAGATTGATAAATAAGAGAAAGCAGGGGAGATGGTGCTCCTCAAATTGTAGGAGATGTGAGGTGGGCTTCTCCAGGGACACAGGCTTCAGGGCGCTGAACAGTGACCACTTAGGGGAGACATCTAGCACCTAAGCAACAATAACGTGGCAGTGTGCATGAGGTGTGCATCTGAATCTCCTCCTCAGAGTCGTGGCAACACGGAACTCAACACAACAGGAGGGAGCTTTGATGAGTTCCAGCCAGTGGGATGAAAGTGCTCACCAAAGACTTTGGTATTGGGATCTTTGAAAATTTCTTCCCAATGGATATTTTAATATATCTTCATCCTGCCATTAAGTCATTATGCAATAAACACTTTACATTCATGTTTTAAAAGACTTTATTTTTTAAAGAGCAGTTTTAAGTTCACAGCAAAATTGAGAGGAAGGTACAGAGATATCTCATACACCTCTGGTTTCCATACAGGCATAGCCTTCCCCACTATCAACAGCATTCATTATTTATTATTATTATTATTGAGACAGAGTCTTGCTCTGTTGTCCAGGCTGGAGTGCAGTAGCATGATCAGCTCACTGCAGTCTCCACCTCCTGGGTTCAAGTGATTCTTCTGCCTAAGCCTCCTGAGTAGCTGGGACTACAGATGTGCACCACCACACCCATCTGATTTTTGTGTTTTTAGTAGAGATGGGGTTTTGCCATTTGGCCAGGCTGGTCTTGAACTCCTGGCCCCAAACAATCCACCCACCTCAGCCTCCCAAAGTATTGGGATTACAGGCATAAGCCACTGCACCCTGCCAGCATTCATTATTTTTAAAAGCCAGACTCCATTTTTAATAGAAATAGATTACTAGCTGGCTGGAGAGAGAGGTTATCAATAAAAACAATGTTATATGCTGGTGTAGTTTTCTTTTTCCTTTTCTTGCAAATATGTTAAAAATTGTACATCAGGAATATAAACCATTCAGCTTTCTTTGACAATTTGACTCAACTGGAACAAATAGGGTTGAGAATGATCCAGAGAAAAGTAAAACAAATTGGCTATTTATGGAGCCAGTTACTAATATAAATGGAAATGCTTTTAGAACAGGCTCTTTCCAGAAATCTCCCAGACTGACTGAAATAGAGCAGAATAAAAACAGAAAATTACTTTAGAAGGTCATTTGCATATTAGATGCTACCATTTGTTAGTTGCTTTGAGTTTGTGAAGTTCCTAAGTCAAGTACTTTGCAGATTCAAACTGATAGGAAAGGGGAGAAATGTAATGGAAAGTTGGAGCACGTAAGAAAATCCAAAAAAAAGTAATGAGATATGCTTTTAAGTTGGCCTCAATTCAAAATGTGTTTTTGAATTTGCAAACCACAGGGCTTCCTCCAAGGCGTCAGTTCTCAGAATTTGTGTACCAATAAAGTGAAAGGCAGTTATAAACAAAAATCTAAAAGAAAAAATAGGTTATATATGCTTTTAGGGTGGATATATTTAATGGAAGGGGAAGAACATAGGAAGGAGATAAGAGACCAGAAGAACATAGCCACAAAACATAATATTCCAGGGAAGTTGTAAGTTTGTCCAAATTACCCTGCTGAAAATGGCCACCTGGATAAATGTGCCCCAATAATTCAATCACTGTAGGTGCATTCATTTCACTCAATTAACCCTTATACCAGTGATTCTCGCAGTGTGGCCCATGGACGAGCAGCAGGAGCATCATCTGGAAACATAAGAAATGGAAATCCGCACCCAACTCCCAAGACTTTCTGAGTTAGAAACTTGAAAATCTTTGTTTTAAAACATTCTCTGAGTGACCTGATGCATGCTAAGATTTGACCTCTCTGCTTACCCACTGGGTGATATGTTTTTAGTTGTAGGTGTCTAAGAAGAAAAATTGGCCCATTTTTCTTCTATGCAGGTGTACATGGATGTTTGGCCTCATTCCTGAGGCACAGGATGGTCAAAAGGATAGGGAAGTGGAGTTTCGGTGTAAGTTTGTTCTGGGCCACGATGGCATACAAAAGCAAGTGTGCTGGGCTAGGATAAAGACTGTGTGCCCCTACAAATTCGGGGAGCTGGCAGAGAGGATGCTAGGATTCATTTGCATAACGAACTAGGGAGCCTTATGAGAAGGAAGTCACTCTAAGGAAGGAGAACCTTGGTGTACACAAGTTTGACTCAAGAAAAGCAGATGAATGGGAGAAAGTGATGGTTTTGAAATATGTCTACAGATTCATTGGTACTCCTTCCTTCAAGTGGTGAAGCTTAATTCTCTCCTTGAGTGTGGCCTGGACGCCTGGAGGCATTTTCCTTTATATTCCTCTTGGATCGCTTGCTCTTGGGTAAGCCATTTGACATGTCCTGAAGACAGTCATGAAGCCCTATAAAGAAGTCCAGGTTTCTGAAATCCTCCAGCCCCAGCTAACTCTTCAGGTAACTGCAGAGACTGAGCTCATTGCATCCTCCTGCAGCCTGACTCATATTGCCTGTCTCCACCCTCTGCTGCCTCTCCCCACCCACACTTGCACTGGAGCCCTCAGTTTCAGTCTGTATTACATTTTAACATGCTTTTTAAAGATCACTTTATAAGAGGTTTGGGATTTTTTGTGGGACAAATGGTAAAAATCAAGTGAGATGTAAGATTTTATTCAAAGGGGATAACTCAATTAGGAGAGTGCTTTGGCTTGACCCTTGTATTGTGGCAAAAGTTGGAAGATCTGAATTTTTGGTGCTTTGAAGAAGGATTAGGGATATAAGATACCAATGAGACAAGAAATAAGAAGTACTGATAACTAGTTTATTGAAAGTTTGGGGCTCTTAAAAGAGCTTTATCACATCTCCCTTTCCCAGATTTTGGGTTATAGTTTAAGCAGGAATCATAGCTTTCGCTGTTCGTTTCAGCTATTAACCAGATATCTCATTTTCAAGCGTTAGAAAGTCCAGCCGTGTCTATATCAAAACTTCTCATTCAATTCAAATAGCAAGGGAGGTCTCTACCTAAAGAGAGGTACTGGCTGTCTCTATGTGCCTGATAATAGGTAGCCTAAAACCTGATCCATTTCCTGTGCCTGGCACAGTGACGCCCCCCACCAGCACAGGAGTAGGGAAGATGTCCTTAATGCATCTGCTCCATAGCGGCCTTCTTTCTCCTTAGGCTAGGGCAGGGCTAAAGGGAGCCATGAGCACTCCTCCCTCCTCCCCTCTCTTCCCCAGGGCTCCATCAGCAAGTTGCCATGTGTATTCGAGTCCAAACATTCCCATAGTGGGCTAAGGGGGAAACTTTCCACATGACCATTCCTTTGATTCTCACAAACCCAGGAACTCCAGTTTGCAAATGAGGAAGCAAAAACTCAGACAGGTTTAACAACTTGCCCATGATCATATAGCTGGGAAATAAATGGACTTAAATTCAGGTCCTTCTGACCCCAGAGATGTGTGCTTTCTTCCACAGCTGAAACCAGTTAAGCTGGGTGTTACGGGCTGAAATGTGTCTTCTCCAAATTCATGTGTTGAAGCCCTAACCTCTAGTACTTCAGGTATGACTGTATCTGGAGATTGGGTCTTTAAGAAGTGGTTAGGATAGGCCGGGCGCAGTGGCTCACACCTGTAATCCCAGCACTTTGGGAGGCCAAGGCAAATGGATCATGAAGTCAGGAGTTCGAGACCAGCCTGACCAATATGGTGAAATCCCGTCTCTACTAAAAATACAAAGAAAATTATCCGGGAGTGGTGGCGCATGCCTGTAATCCCATCTACTCAGGAGGCTGATGCAGGAGAATCGCTTGAACCTGGGAGGCGGAGGTTGCAGTGAGCTGAGATAACACCACTGCACTCCAGCCTGGGCGACAGAACAAGACTCCGTCTCAAAAAAAAAAAAAAAAAAAAAAAGTGGTTAGGATAAAATAAGATCATGAGAGTGGGCCCCAATCCAATCCAATTGGTGTCCTTATAAGAGGAGGCAATTTGGACACATGAGGCACCAGGAATGTGTACACACAGGTAAGACCACTCGATGACACAGCAAGAATGTGACCATCTGCAAGCCAAAGAGAGAAGTCAGAGAAGAAACCAACTCTGTCTGCATGTTGATCTTGGACTTCTGGCCCCCTGAACTGTGAGAAATAAATTTCTGTCGTTTAAGCTGCCCAGCAGGGGGTACTTTTTATTATGGCAGCCCTAGCAAACTAATACACTTGGCTAATGCATTTTCCAGGCAGTGTGTGGAGAATCACAGGCTGTCATTGGGGTTATGTCATCATGTCAGCATCTTCCCATCTGAAGACTATTTTTTTCAAGGATCAATGACCTGGCACTTCCTGAAGCCAGAGCTGAGGAGAGCTGGTTCTTTTGTCCCAGGCTAGGTGACATCCCTGATATGGGAGATGTCTGGCATATTGTGGAGAGAGACTGGGGGAGGCAGGTGGGCATCAAGGCACTCACCCAGCTGCCGGCTCACACAGAGGGCCCTGGAACCTCACATTCCTGGGCCAGACTTGTGCAAGGTGCCTTCCATGTGTCATTCCATTTAAAGCAAAGGCCCGTGGGGCTGCAAACCCATGATTCTCTTGGCAAGAACCACATCTGTTCTGAGACTTTATAAAGGGAAACTTGATCCAGGCTGAATTAGCTTTTTTTTTTTTTTTTTTTTTGAGACGGAGTCTCACTCTGTCACCCAGTCTGGAGTACAATGGATCACTGCAACCCCTGCCTCCCAGGCTCAAGCAATTCTCCTGCCTTAGCCTCCCAAGTAGCTGGGATTATAGGCGCCCACCACCATGCCCAGCTAATTTTTGTATTTTTAGTAGAGATGGGGTTTCACCATGTTGGCCAGGCTGGTTTCGAACTCCTGATCTCAAATGATCCGCCTGCTTCCACTTCCCAAAGTGCTGGGATTACAGGCATGAGCCACCGCGCCTGGCCTGAATTACTTTTAAGGTTCTAGATATATGCAGTGTAGTTTGTCTAACTTGCATGCGTCATGCAAATCAACTCATTAATTCATTCAACACTATTGAATGCCTTCTGTGAATCAGATTTGGCACCTGGAGGAATAAAGAGATAAAGCAGCAAGGGCCTTGTGCTCAAGAATTAATAATCTACTTAGAGAAATAAAGCACATACCTAAATAATTACGGCTATAGACCAAACATTTGTGTTCCCCCCCAAATTCATATGTTGAAACTTAATCCCCAAGTGATGGTATTAGGAGATAGGGCCTTTGGGACGCGATTAAGTCATGAGTTTAGAGCCTTTATGAATGGGATGAGTGCCTTTAAAAAAGAAGTCTCAGAGAGACCCCTTGTTTCTGCCATGTTGAGGACACAGAGAGAAGACTGCCATCTATGAACCAAGAAATGAGCTTTCTCCAGACACCAAATCTGCCACCACCTTGATCTTGGACTTCCCAGAGCTGTGATAAATAAATCTCTGTTGTTTATAAGCCACCCAGGGAAAGATATTCTGTTATAGCATCCCAAACAGACCAAGACAATTATATTGCAAGGTTGAAAGAACAGACTAGAGCTTCATTTACATTTACACATATACATACACGCAAACCTCAATATTCATATTTTGGAATAGTTTAGATCACTCCTGCCACATGGCAAGACATTCTATAAGGTTTTTTGTTTGTTTGTTTTTTTGAGATGAAGTCTCACTCTATTGCCCAATCTGAAGTGCAGTGGTATGATCTCAGCTCACTGCAAGCTCCGCCTCCCAGGTTCAAGCAATTCTCTGGCCTCAGCCTCCCAAGTAGCTGGGATTACAGGCATATGCCACCACACCCAGCTAATTTTTGTATTATTACTAGAGACGGGGTTTTGCCATGTTGGCCAGGCTGGTCTTGAACTCCTGACCTCAGGTGATCCACCCATATTTGCCTCCCAACTTGCTGGGATTACAGTCGTGAGCCACCATGCTCCTTTATAAGGTATTTTAGATGCTGTGTGTCTAATCCATACTGTTGAAGAGGAGACGCCTTTCCCCACATTTCTGCCTGGGCTACCACCATCTAAGTCCATGCTCCCATGCCCTACAAGAAAAAAAAGGAGTTATCAGTTAGATTGATCAGAACCAAGGACACTCTTTGGGTCATTTTACTCATGGGTGGGTGTCACCCCACCATAATGATCAGCACCGTGGCATGGGCTACCTTTGTCTCATGCTTATGGTCAGGAGGCTTCCTAGCAGCTGCTTACCCAGATCTGGACTCTGTGTGCCACCTCTCTCCTCCCTATCCCTGGAGGGGAGGCAGACAGGAGCCCAAAGAGGAGCTGGCCATCTTAGATTCCATGGGGAGGAAGCAGGCAATTCTCTGTGGTCTCCAGGCCTAACCCACATTCTCCAACTTTAGCAGAACCTGTTTGGTTGTTACCACTATTATTAAAAGGTGACCTCCCATTTCCATTTGGCTGCTAAGGCTTACATGGAGCTTCCCTAGTTAGGGGTCCTGAAGGAAGGAGGGAGGAGGGCTGAGTCCTGAGATCTGGATAGTCGTTGTCCAAGGAGCCTCAGCAGTAATCTCTGACACTTTATCGAAACCCCAGAAGGATTCCTTCAGAGGAACTCTGAAGAGTTTCCTAGCTAATGAGTGGCAGAGCCAGGTATCAAAACAGGTACTGTCTGCTTTAAACCATGGTGCTCTTGCCCTCAAGCCCGCTGCCCAAGGAGTGCCAAGGAAGAAAAGCAGAGCATGAACTAGGCAAGTTCCCAGAGGGAACACATTTCTCCTGGCAAAGGCTTTGTTGAGGGGGAAACATTTAAATTTGGGAGAGCTGGGAGGATTTGGACATGAAGGGATGGGGACAGGAGGCTTTCCAGGTGGAGAAAGTGCAGGGATTCTGGAATAGGATGTCAGGCCAGGGAAAACACAGGGCAAGCTGTCCTTGCTAGCAGTTCCCAGCAGGAGCAGGAGCTGGAGTGCAATAAGCCCAAATAAAATGTTCCCCCACTGTCCAGCCGTCCAAATTTGGAAGTGGTCTTCTGCTATGCTGAGCCACCAGAATCTGTCAGCAGTCTATCATCCAAGCATACCTCATTCTATTTCTCTTCAAGGGCTCCCAGCCAAGAGGCCCTGCCACTGCCCCCAAAAGGGCCATGATCATGCCCACACTGTGCCCTGGGGTGGGGCAGTTCACTCACCTGTCTCCCCATTTCCCTACTGTGTCTGGTCCTGGAGCTGGGTAGTGTGGTGTAAAGAATACAGGCTTTGAGGTATGTGGGCCAGCTTTGTGTTCTAGCTCTGTGGCCTTGAGCAGATTACCTAAGCTACCTTTGTCAACCTCTATCCATAGAGAGAGTAATACCCATCTCATAGAGTTAGCTCAAAAGCCTAGAGGCTTCCAAGAAATCACATCTGTAGGAATATCATAGGTATTTAATGATTGGTGGTTGTAGTTGGTATTTTCATCCCTTAAGGTCAGAAATGACTATTCCGTGAATACTTCCCAGAGAACTACAATTAAAGTTCATCTCTTACCTTCCTCATCGACTCTGGCACTCCTTCCAAATTCCTGTAACTCAGATGGCAGTCAAGCCTCCCAGATCACCACTGACCCCAGTTCCATAGCTCTGATCACGCTAAGTCCTCTCCAGATTTCTGCAGCGTCTCAGGAAAGACTTTTCTCCCCGTCCCATCCCTGTGTTGTCGTACGCTAGCCTAGAAGCCAAGCCTGGCACCTGCACCTGTGTCTGTGAGAAGGCTGCTCACTGCAAGCCCTTTCTGTGTTCTGGTAACTTTAATAAAGGCCTGGAGGCTGGGGAGAAGGAGGTGTCAGGTTGGGGTGAGTGTGACCTGGAAAACAATAGAGGTGCAGAGAATTGGGAGGGGAAGGAGCCAGGGTTCAGAGAAGGAAAACACACACCACCTCTCAAGGAGAAGCAACAACATTCCATCAGAAGAAGACAGGGGAGGGTGGGGTATTTGGTGGCGCTGCAGACTTTGGAAAATACAATCTGCTACACGACCTTAAATATCTATCCAATCTGATCATTACTCACCACCTCCATTGTCACTTCTTGGAAAACCAACCATCATCTCCACCTTCAGTGTCCTCCTGTTAGGCCTCCTACTTCCCCCTACAATCTACTGTGGTGAAGCCAGGGGTGATCCTGTTACAACACAAATCAGAGCTGCCACTCCTGTTCAAAACCCTCCACTGACTTCCATCTTAAAACAAAGTCCAAACTCCATGCGTGGCCTACAAATGCCACATGACCTGACCCCAGTGGCTTCTTGGATCCTATTTCCTTCACTCTCCCTCTTGCTTACTCTGCTCGAGCCACGTGTAACTCCATTCTGCTCCTCCTGGAAAAACCAAGCTTGTTGGTGCCTTAGGATGTTTGCACCTGATGCCTTAGAATGCTTTCCTCCCAGATATCTGCATGGCTCGTTTTCTCAGGTCTCTGCTCCGATGTCACCTCCTCAGGGAGGCTCTCCATGATCAATTATTTCTCTCCATTATTCTACATTACACTGAACACCAGTGTGCTTCTGTCTTGAGACCTCCTTAGAATGTAAGTTCCCAAGGGCAGGGACTTTTGTACACTCTGTGCATGCTGAATCTACAGCTTGTAGATCTTGGCCTGTGTTGTGATAGGAACACAGTAAATATTTATTGAATGAAAAAATAATGGGCCAGGCATGGTGGCTCACGCCTATAATCCCAGCACTTTGGGAAGCCGAGGCAGGTGGATCACATGAGGCCAGGAGTTCAGTACCAGCTGGCCAACATGGTGAAACCCCGTCTCTCCTAAATACACAAAAAAATGTGCCGGGCATGGAGGTGCACATTTGTAATCCCAGCTACTCGGAAAGTGAGGCACAAGAATGTCTTGAACATGGGAGGCAGAGGTTGCAGTGAGTTGAGATTGTGCCACTGCACTCCAGCCTGGGTGGCAAAGTGAGACTCTGTCTCCAAAATAAATAAATAAATAAATAACAGGAAAACAGAAAAATAATGAGTGAATGAATTCTCTGACCTCTCTCTTACCTTCCTGAATCATTGCTTTTCTGTTTCTGTCTTCTCTAGTTTAACCTTGTTCATCTACTTCCTGAGGACACTCTTGTGGTTTTAAAACTTCACAGTTACATTTAGTAACTCTTTATATAAGGAAACAGATTGCCACATAATCCATGATAACTGGGTGGAAAATTTTTAATCTCTCTTGTACTTAAAAAAAAATCACCTGTTCCTCTTACCTGAGATTGCATATGTTTACATTTTGGCCTTGGAGATAACCCTTTCCCTGTGGCTGAGTATTTTTAAAGCACTTTAAGGCCTTAAGTGGATTAAATACAGAACATACTGTGACCTCAGGTTTGTGCGACTTGTACTACAACCTGCAGGATGGGAGGAACCTCCTTGTCACAGGGATTGTAAGGCTTCATTGGAGCAGCGTGGGTGCCTATGTATGTTCTTGTCCATCTCTGAGGAGATTATTTCCTACACAGCCAGCCTCAGCTAGTAGGTGACTCTACGATACTCCCTAGCAGTGCCTGATTATTGCGCATATTGGCTAAGCTCTCTCTTCTCATAACTGGGATGCAGGATGCATAATTATATGCAGTAAGAGTGGTTCCCTTTCTTACCCTTTACTTCTCAGTCTTGGTCAGCATTAGCCTATTGTTATTAAAGGTTTTGCCAAACACAGCCACATGCCCTTGATCTCCACCTTTAGCTGGGCAGAGACAAGATCCAAGCTTTGAAAATGGCTTTGGGCCAAATCAAGTTGCTAGGTGGGCCTTCCTCCCCACCCCATCCAATCTCCTCAAATGCAAGAGGAACCATCTCTCCAGGAGGCAAGGTGGTGTGGTTGGGGACTGGGATTGGGGTAGGGGGCCGGTGATGGGCTGAGGGTGTTGGGGGAGGTGATGGGATTGTGGGTGGTAATATTATTTCAATAAATATATAAAAATAAAAATTTGCAATTAGCTTGTGTTAAGTACAAATAGTATACTAGGAATATGCATTTGAACTGGCTAGAGAGTTCGCAGTGAATGTCACCTAAGTTTCCCAGGGTTCACCTTAGGGGAAATCTGGGGCAAGCTCCACCTGAAAGAGCGAGGCAGATTTGTTTCGCCCTTTGGTGGCTTACTAAATATTATGAGCTTACTTATTCCTATGATTCTTGAAATAAATAACGTTAGGATTTATTTGTTCAGGATTCAGGATGTTTTTCCTTCCTATGGGCTTTAGTTCAAGAACCATCAATCCTCGGGTTGTCATAAAGCATTTTGGGGTCTCCTCGGAAGTCCCTGGCCTTCCCTTATGTCCTGTCTCCCTACCAAGAATGTGGTTTTGCATCCTCAGAGTTGAATGATTCTTGGACTCACAACCTTTCTGAGTCTGGTTTCAGGTAAAGACAGGTTGATTGGTGTTCCATGGAGAACATGTCTAGCCCTAAAGGCTAGAGCACTGGTGACATCTGATTCGATGTGTCATTCAGCAGCCTGCACGCTTCATATCTAGTCTTGCTAGGCATTGTTCCAGCCAGCCAATGACCTGAACCTCTGCTGCTGTCCCCAGAACTTCACATAAGCCTCAGTTTTCTCATCTGTAAGATGGGAATTATAATTCTAGTCTTGCTGCCTCACTTATGACTATCGAATGAAAAAAAGATAAGGATTTCATACAAAATAAAGCCCTATATACGATTATTTATCATACCAGTAACATGTTTAGTGTATAACATGTAGATAAGAGAAAAGTGGGGAGCTAAATAATAAGAATTAAATAAAAATGGGTTTGAGGGTCAAATATGTTTGGGGTAAAAGCAAAGTCAATGCATTTCTTTACTGCCGGACTTCTCAGTGTTTTTGATATGCCAATAAATGTTGTGAATTTCCAACAGTGACATAAAACAGGCAGGGTTTCCTAATGTCCATGAACTCCTCTGCTTTTCAAAAACCATGCATCTCAGAATGAGCACACCCCCCAGCATAGTATGAAAAACACTGTATTGGTTAAGATTACTGTCGCTAGTGTTGTGATTGCACTCCAGATGGCTCAAGGCCAGCCTACTATCTTTGCCCTGAAAGTGAGGAAATCTAAGCTCCTGGCCCTGGAGATGTAACTATGGGCGAGATGCCTGGATAAGTCTAATGGGTCTTATCAGACTCGTTAGCTCTTCTGGCCCTCTGATGAAGCTATGCTTTGCATTCCCAGGCCCCATCAGTTCTGGCTTTGATTTAAGACCAAGTTGCCAGGGAACAGTGAGCTGTGAGGAGGGGCTTTCCTGGGGCTTCTCAGTTGCCCAGGCTTGCCTCCCGCCTGCTGGTGGGAGGTGGCTATGACCTCTGCATAACTGAAGTATCATCCATTCTGGGCCAGAGAGACCAGGCTCAGAGCTCTGTTTCTCTGCCAGGACCAATCAATAACTCTCTGCTCTTCACAACACGTCTGCAAAAGACTTGTTGGACCTCGGGCATGCAGGATTGGCGCCTTTTTCCTTTCTGCTGTTTTCTTTACTCCTAAGGCCGCCCTAACTTGATTTTGTAAAAATAGAATTTTGTTTTTAAATTACAAGTTAAATAAAGCTCATTGTAAAAATTTTAATACAAATATGTATAAGCTTGAAAAGGGAATTCTCCTTTTATCTTCTCTTATCCCATATACTGTGGGATGTACATCATTCTAGATCTTTCTCTACGCACATATAAAAACTGATAAAGAGATTTGCTTGTTTGTTCAGAAATTTGGTCGGATATACTGCCACTTTCTTATTTCACTCGACAGTGTTCCATTGACAATCTTCCATGTCAGTGCATACATGTGACATTTTTCTTATTTTTTAAAGTCAAGTTTACTGATGGAAAATGTACATATAATAAAACTGACCCTTTTTGAGAGTACGGTTTGATGAATTTTGACAAAATATACAACCACTCTAATCAAGATAAAGAATATTTTCATCACTGCTAGTTCTCTTGGGCCCCCTTCTCTTCTCACAATTCTAACCCCTGGCACCATGGATCTGTTCTCCAGCCCCATAGTTTTGCCTTTTCCAGAATGTCCTACTAATGGAATTATACAGTATGTAGCCTGTTGTGTCTGGCATCCTTCACTTAGCATAATGCACTTGAGATTCTTCCATGTTACTTAGTTTATTCCATTTTATTGCTGAGTAGTTTTGCATTGTATGTACACATGCAGTTTGTTTATCCATTCACTGGTTGATGGCCATTTGGGTTGTTTCTAGTTTTAGCTATTACAAATGAAGTGGTTATGAACTTTCATGTACAGTCTTTCTGTGGACATGTGTTTCATTTCTCTTGGATAAATACTGAAGAGTAGAATTGTTGGATGTATAATAAGTGTATATTTGACTTTATAAAAAACTGACATTTTTTTCCAAAGTGGTTACACCATTTTGCATTCCCACTAGCAATGTTTGAGAATTCCAGTTGCTTCATATCCTCACCAACACTTGGTATTGTCAGTCTTTTAAATTTTAGCTATTCTAGTAGGTGTGTAGTGGTATCTCACTGTGGTTTTAATTTGCATTTCCCTAATGACTAAAGATGTTGGGTATCTTTACAAATGTTTATTTGTCATTAATGTATCTTCTTTGGTGAAATATATATTCGCATCTTTTGCCTTCCTTCCTTCCCTTCTTCCCTCCTTCCTTCCCTCCCTTTTTTGAGACAGGGTCTCATTCTGTCGCCCAGGCTGGAGTGACGCAGTAATGGCTCACTGCAGCCTTGACCTCCTGGGCTCAGGTGATCCCTTATCTTCACCCTCCCAGGTAGCTAGGACTACAGGCATGCACCACCACACCCAGCTAGTTCTGTTTTTTGTTTTTTGTTTTTTGTTTTTTTTTCATAGATACAGGGTTTTGCCATGTTGTCCAGGCTGTGTCCATTTCTTTATTTCATTTCAGTTTTTTTTTTTTGAAACAGAGTCTTGCTCTGTTGCCCAGGGTGGAGGGCAGTGGTGTGAGCCCAGCTCACTGCAACCTCTGCTTCCCAGGTTCAAGCAATTCTTGTGCCTCAGCCTCCTGAGTACCTGGGATTACTGGTGTGTGCCACCACACCCAGCTAATTTTTGTATTTTGTGTTGAGATGGGGTTTCACCATGTTGGCCAGGCTGGTCTCAAACTCCTGGCCTCAGGTAATCCACCCACCTTGGCTTCCCAGGGTGCTGAGATTACAGGTGTGAGCCATGTCTGGCCTGCCATTTCTTTTAATTAAGTTTTTTATCTTATTATTATTGAGCTGTGAAAGTTTTAATATATTCTAGCTACAAATCATTTATCATATATGTGTTTGGCAAATATTACGTCCTAGTTTTTGGCTTGGCTTTCCAATTTAGTATTCTATTTTGAAGAGCAGAAGCATTAAAGTTTTTATAATGTCCAATTTAACTTTTTTAAATTTAAGATTTGTATTTTGCATCTTATTTAAAAAATCTGTACCTAACCCAGGGTCACTAAGATTTTCTCCTGTTTTCTGCCGTAAGTTTAATATTTTAGCATTTACAATTAGGTCTGTGGTCTATTTTAAAATAATTTGTATGCATGGGGCAAGGTAAGGGTTAATCTTTATTTTTATTTGTTTGTTTTGCATATGGAAGTCAAATTTTTCCAGCACCATTTGTTGCAAAGACTGCCTTATTCTTTCTAGTCACTGCATAACATTTTGAATGGATGTCCCAGGATTTATTCCACCAATGTTTCATTCATGGACAGTTAGGCTGTTTCCAACTTGAGGCAACAATGCACACCCTTGCACCTAAACCACTGGGTAGTGAATGAGTATTTCTGAGAACTTCTGGGTCAGACGGCATGTGCATTTTAAGTTTAATGGGGCCAAAAGATTGTTTTCCAGTGTACAGTCCTGCCTACAAGGTCTGAGAGGGAAGACTCTGACTTTGAATGGCTTTATTGGTGTGAGCTTTTCTCAAATCTCAAATAGTTTCCTTCTGGACAAATCTAATAGTCTATGTTATTAGATTCTGGAAACATCAGAGCCCTTCCAGGAGGATTTGAAGAAAGATGATAATTTCTGTCTTGGTCAGTTAGGGTAATCTTATAAGAAATAGGTTCATAAAATATAAGATACCTAAGGAAATGGAAATTTACTAAAAATTGTTTAATAAGTATTGGGGCCTTATAAATAACTCTGTGTTGGGGCCTCCTCAAAGGGTAGAGGCTCCTGTCGTAACTTTAGATCAGCAGTGACTCATTCTCCAGTGACTTGAATTATAAATTTAGCCTCTCTGTCTGCGGGTCCTAATTCAAGGTGGCCATCCATAGTCCCTCTCACACTCTCACCATACTCACCAAAGCCCTCCCTTGTATCAGGCGCAGGCCACCCAGCTGTATGTGCAGAGGCTCCAAGGGGTGCTGGGGAAATGCAAGTTGTGCAGAAAGCTGGAGCATAAAGTTATGCTACTTTTGTACGTTCTTCTTTTTTCATCCTACCCAGTGGTGTGATTTGATCAAAGTAACTTACATTGTTGAGGATCTGTTAGGTGACAAGGACTGTCCTGGGGGCCTTGAGAGTACATAGAGCTGTGGGATAGTCCCCTATCTTTAGGGATGTTAATGCCAGCTAAATAGCAACACAAGGTGGTGTTCAAAAACAATAGCAGCAGGTGTCACCGGTAGGACGTATTGACAGAATTTGTTCCAAGGGTATGGTCAGTGGTGAATTCTTTGTGCTGAGAGAAGGAAGAAGTCATACTGGCTTTGCAGAGGAGGAATCTGAGCTAGATAGTAAAAATTCATATTCTGACACCAAGTTACTCAAAAGATACCTTCCTCCCAGGTAGACTGTACCTTCTCCAAGCCACTGGAAGCTGGCTGCTGGGGCTCCAGGAGTTAACAAGAGTGAGCCTGAGAATGTCCTGATTGAGTTTGGCCAGCAATCACAGCTCCTTCTTGTAAAAATTTTGGGAGCAGCTAAATGGGGGTACCCTCTCTTTAATCTGTCCTATAAATTTTGAATGTAGTTCAGGTATATTTTTCATGCTTTCAAAAGCTTTCCTTATCAACTCTGTATCAGTTAGCTATTGCTGATGAGCAAGTCATCCTAAAACTTACTGGTTTGAAACAATAGCCGTTTTATTTGCTCATGACTTCGTAATCTGGGCTGGGCAGTTCTTTCGAGGGTCTCACTTGGGGTCACTCCTGTGGCTGGCATCATCTGAGACCAGGACAGGGCTAGATGTTCCAAAATGGCCTCACTCGCCTGTTGATGCTGCATCTGGGATAGTCAGAACAGCTGGAGGCTGGCTGCTTCCCCCTCCATGTGGCCTCTTCAATAGTCCAGACTTTTTAAAGTGGCAGCTGATTTTCAAGAAAAGGCAAAAGCAGGAGCTGCCAGGCCTTTTAAGGCCTAGGCCAGGAGATGGCACAGTGTCCCTTTAGCCACATTCTATTGGTCAAAGTAAGTCACAGAGCCACCTCAGATTTAAGGGAGGGGAACTAGCCCTGCTTTTTGCTGGGAAGAGTGTCATGCACACACTGGGTTGGGAGGACTTTTGGAGGCCATCTTTGCACCCAGGCTACCATGGCTCCCTTGGGTCTCCTTTGTGCTGTTCCTATGTGCAAGTTCTAATCCGTGTAGGATTCATCCCCATTACCTCACTTAACTTTCCAACAAACCTTTAAAGGGAACATTGTCTCCATTGTATGGATGAGAAAACTGAGGCTTAGAGAGGTGAGCTTGTCCACTGCCACTCAGAGCTGAGAGTCAAGCCCAAGTGTGGTGCTACAGCTGTAAAATATCACTTTATACCACGCCCTGACCCAACTCCACCTTCCCCATAATGAGCACAGGGGCAGGATGCCCACCCCAGCATCCAGTAACTAGCAGACTGTTTCTGAGTTAACTCCTATGAGGCATGTAATATGTAAATTAAAGCAAAATGAACAACTCTGTGAATTATTATTTTGTTTTAGTCATCTAATCATCTCTATAACAGGCTTTTATAAACTCATAAAAGGTATTAAGAATGTGATAATTTTTATTTGAATAATTTTGTCTAGCCAAAGATTAAGTTAGTGATGTTATTTTTCTGAATATAGTTTGATAAAAATCATTCACTTTTCTATACTTTTACTGTTTTCATTTATTTTGCCTTGCATTGAATCAAAAGGTTGCAGCTTTTGGAGAGAGAAACACTTTTTCACAGAGAAAGCTGTTTGGAAATATAAACTACTTCCTTCCTCCTTTTTATTGGATGATTAAAGAAAAAAATTAAAAGTTAACTTTACATTTGTTACACAATGGGTAAAAATGTCACAGGCTGACAGTGGAGGGGTTTTTCTCCATGAAATTCAGTTTGAATCAGGAGAGTTGTTTCTGCCCAGTTCCAAGGAGGTAGATGGTGGCACATAACCAATTAGGAATCTCTCTGCCCTTGAGGACTGCCTCCAGTGAACATCTGAGACTTGGCTGCCTTCTCATCACCTCTTCACTAGCCACTTACCTCAGTCTCCAAAAAAGAAAATTTTGACATCTTAATTTTAATGTGGGCATTTGATATGGAGCTTGAGATAAATATAACTCTCTGTAGCATGGAGACAGTTTAATGGGAAATGGTTGGCATTCTTTCTTGGTAAAGGCATGGGAGACAGGAGAGGTGGGGGAGGGAGAGAGAGGGAGGGGGTGAGGAGGAGGGAGAGGGAAAGAGAAAGAGGGAAAGACACACACACACACAGACACACACACACACGCACACACACACACACAAACACACGCGCACGCAAACAGCAGTGAGGAAGAGAAAAGCAGAGATAAGCAAGGCTCCGCAGCAGCCTCCTTTCTAACTTGACCCTCGCCAGACCCTGGCCAGCATGGTTGTCCTGAATCCAATGACTTTGGGAATTTATCTTCAGCTTTTCTTCCTCTCTATCGTGTCTCAGCCGACTTTCATCAACAGCGTTCTTCCAATCTCAGCAGGTAAATGATGGCCACAACTTTCCTCTCTTCCATCTGTCAGGGGACAGGGGGAGGAAGGAAGATTGTTTTGCAATGTGTCCTGATGTTTTTGCCATTCAACTGTTGGTGGAGGGAGGTTGGAAGGAAGACGGCCACCCCAGCAGCTTCCTGTCACCCGAGCTTGTCTCGGAAGCCCCTTCTGTCCTTGTTCCAACCGGCTCCTACCTGGCTGCTCAAAGCAGAGACACTTTGAAAAATGGTTTCTGCCTCCCCTATTCTCCCCATTTGCTGCATGATTTCATCTTGGTCAGGAATTTGGGAGAGCTTAAAAGAGACAGAGGTGTGCAAGTAATAGAGAAGTGAGTCTCAGATGTTTCTATAAATACATCTCTGACCTCTTCGAAGGGGGCTTGCCTCACAGGGGCTGTTGTGGAGTAAACAAACCTCTTTCCAGACCCAGATAGCATCCATGGCCACAATAGTCCCTCGAAGGGAAAATGCAGGTGGCAGGGGCCGGTGGGGTGGGGGGTGAACAGCGGCGGGGCAGTTGCAGCCTCAGGACTAGGTTTTCCCTTTCTCCAGACCTGTCTTCCTGGGTGCGACTTCCCTTCAGCCTCAGACAAGGCAGCTGGAGGTCCTGAGAGAAGTGAGCTTTCCAGGGAGAAGTGGAGGGGGTTCCACAGTGACAGCCAGGTCTGGAGCTGAGTGTGTCTGCCGGGTATGAGGCTGGGAGATTTGGGGAAGGGGCTGTGTCTGCCAGCCTGCAACCTTTTCTGAGGTCAGCAGCCTGTTGCCCTTGTCTTGTCTGACCCAGAGCAGGGGAAGTATTCGGTTACTAGTATGGCCTATTTAAACCTTTCTGAGGAAACTCAAATGTTTCCGGAGGGCTTGAAGGAGGCAGGCAGACCCTCACAGCCCCCCTCAATTCACCTCAGTGACCCCTGACTCTCCCCAGCAAAGTTTTAGTTATGCCTCCAACATGAGTCTCATAAATACTTCAACTGAGACAGAAATTTCACTATCGCTGCCTTTGCTGGAAACACAGGGAGGGCCAGAAATGCCAGGCTCTCAGAGAGGGCACATCTCTGAATCCAGCTCCCAACTGCTGTCCATTGATAAAAACAGCTCATCAGCAAGTTGTGTAGCCAACGTTTGTGGGCCATGAGGGAGTGACTCAGAGACTGGTGTGAGGCTAATTATAAAAGTGTGAGAAACAGAAGGAGGTGGGGGCAGATTTGTGGAGAATTCAGGAGGGTGGGCAGGAAAGGTGAGTGGTGGTGTCACCGTGGGTGTGTGCCCACATGCCCCTGCAAATTCAAGTTAAGAGCATCAAGCTTCTTCTAGGAGTGAGTAGTCATTATTCATTCCCCAGTTCAAGGGAGAAGCTTGAGAGTTAATTTGGCCTAATTTGGTGGTTCTTAATCATGTTTGGGTCATGGATTCCTTTGAGAATCTGCTGAAGGTTAGGACTTAAGGAAACTCAGTTTTCTGGTTCTAGCCCTGCCTCTGATGAGCTCCCTGACTTCTGAGAGACAGTGGCCTTACACTATAAGCACCATGTGGCCAGGGCATGTGTCTCTCTTGTACTTTACTGTTTTCCCAGGGTCAGAACAGTGCCTGGCACATAGTAATCAATAAATATTTGATGAATGAATGAATAAAAGCTTCTCATCTGCAAACTGGGGTTTACCATCATTTTGTATTACTTAATTTAAATAGCACCAAAGTGGTTAAGGAGTTCAGAAAACTAGAGAGAAAAGAACCTCTGGTTTTCTTTTGAACTCTTTGCCTTGGAGAGCACCCTGGCACAACATAGATATCTCTTAGGTAAGCTTTTTGCAGACTGTACCAATCAGGGCAACAGCAGGATAAAGAAGCAACTCAGGTGGTTCAGATGAAAAGATCTGAATGAAGGGATCACTTTGAGAGGTGTGGGCGGGGTTAAGGGAACCAACAAGGAATGCTGAGGCACCTAGAGATTAGCAACTGCAATATGCCTTTACCACCCTGTGCTTGAAAAGGCAAGAGGGGCAAATAGGAAAATGGATCCCAGGCAGATTTGGAGCCTTAGAGAAGGGGCCATTAAGCAAGAGCATTGGTCATGGAAGGCCCTAAAGCAGGGAGAAAGTGAAGGAGAAGTACACCATCTTCTCTCTCCTCCCATCCAAGCACCTTTTGGCAGCGCCTCTCATTGGCCAACCCAACTTGAAGCCAGAGGGCAGAGCCTGGAGGTCAGGGACTGGAACACTGAGGGCAGAGAGCCAAGGGGAGGGTTGGGATGGAGAACAACCAGTGCGCACATCCACAGGCACTTCTGGCTGGGAATGTGGTCATTAGACATTAGGGAAAACAATGGAATAGACCTAGCGGGAATCACTAAGGTAACCAGCTCAGTATCACAAAGATATGTTTTCTCCGGTGGTCACTTGGCTTTGCCCCCCTAATTTAGTCACCATGGCTTTATGATAGCACAGTTCAGAAATAAACTTAAGCTTTAAAAAAATGGAAGCTGTTCCTTGTAATCCTTTGGAAATATTTTCCAACAGTTTGATATAAAATATTCTATATTCAGAAGCTTATAGACTCTTAATTCTTCTGAAGATAGGCTGTGTATACACAGAAAATAAGGGCAACCAGGAAAATCTTTTCATTCTATGCATTATAACTTAGTGAGTGCCTACTGTGTGCCTGGCACTCTAATGTGTGCTTCAAGGGACACGGAGACAAGTAGGATGTGGCCTCTGCTCTGAGGGATTCCATGATCACCTGCTTTTGAAACACAGGTGGCGTGTGGTAAATGCCCCGGAAAGGGGTTGTGATGGAGGAAGAGCTCTCATGGGCCTGTAAGCCAGTACTTACCTTCATAGATAATCCACTCCTTCACTGTCTTCAAGAAAGACTATTCCAGCAGTGCCATGTGCAGCACCAGCTATCTGGATCAGAGGTTCATTACCTGGCAACCTCCTCTGCTGGGTCCCAGAGGAGAACCAGGAAGGAGCAAAAAACATCAGAGGCCAGAACTGATGATAGAAATGCCATCGCTAAAGCACATAATATTTGATACACACAAAACTATTTCAGGCCTTTATTCTAAGCCTATTAACTCTTACTTTGGGCACCACTCTAATAGACATAGATAGTCCGTGACTTGAAAGCTGGTGATTATATATAGCATATTAAATTGGGGAGGGAGGAGTTGCTGCTTAAGCTAGACACAATGACGGATGATAAGAATGATTACAAGAAAAACAATAAAGAATTAGGAAATGGGCCTGAGATTTCAAAAAGAATAGTAGGCCAGGCGCGGTGGCTCACGCCTGTAATCCCAGCACTTTGGGAGGCTGAGGTGGGTGGATCACCTGAGGTCAGGAGTTCGAGACCAGCCTGACCAACATGGAGAAAACCCTGTCTCTACTAAAAATACAAATTTATCTGGATGTGGTGGTGCATGCCTGTAATCCCAGCTACTCAGGAGGCTGAGGCGGGAGAATTGCTTGAACCTGGGAGGCGGAGGTAGCAGTGAGCTGAGATCGCGCCATTGCACTCCAACCTGGGTAACAAGAGTGAAACTTCGTTTAAAAAAACAAACAAAACATAGTAGACTAGAGCTACCTCTAGAGCCTCTGCTCTGTCTGTAACCCCTGAAGGCGTCATTGACTACAGTACATTAACTGGTTTTCATTATGATGAACATGAATGGACCAGTGATGACTGGATTGTGCCTACTTTATCTTGCTTAAGAAGGTAGATAAATGCCATTTATATATTAGAATGATTTCTATTGAACATGGCAATTATTAAAAATGCCAAGATTCCCACGTTTGGTGTATTGCGTTAACCATTGGTGGGTAATAAACCACCGTGACACTTGGTAGATCAAAACAACAACCATTTATTGTTGAAGTTCATGTGTTTGTGGGTAAACTGAGGGTCAGCTAATCTAGCTTGGGTTTGGCTGGCCCTGGCTGGACTCACTTATGGGTCTGTGGATTGACTTGGCTCCAGTATCCACCCACAGTGGTAGCTCAGTAGTAGTACAATTTCCAGAATGTGGAGGCACAGACACAAAGACAATGATATTTACCGGAGGGCAGGCCTTCCACACAGTTTAATTTGTGTAATTCTCGCAGCACTCCTGAATGGGGGCAGCACCACTTCCCCTTTCAGATGAGGAAATGGCAGCTCAGAAAGGTTAAGTGACTTGCCCAAGGTCATGCAGCTGTTATGTGGGAGAGCTGGAGACTGAAATCCTGCTTCTTTAAGTCCAGGGCTTTCACCAGTATATACCAAATCTCCTTATGGTTTTGGATAAATAGTGATATTGGCCTTTAAAGTCCTGTAGGCTACCCTCCTATCCTCTGGAAACTCTCCTCTGGATTCTTTTTTGTTTGTTTTTTCGAGACAGGGTCTCGCTCTGTTGCCCAGGCTGGAGTGCAGTGGTGCGATCTCGGCTCACTGCAACCCTCCGCCTTCCAGGTTCAAGCGATTGTCATACCTCTGCCTCTTGAGTAGCTAGGAGTACAGGCACGTGCCACCAAGCCTGACAAATTTTTGTATTTTTAGTAGAGATGGGGTTTTGCCATGTTGGCCAGGCTGGTCTCGAACTCCTGACCTCAAGTGATCCGCTGGCCTTGACCTCCCAAAGTGCTGGGATTACAGCCACCACGCCTGGCCTGGATTCTTTATTTTCCATTCCCTCCTGCTTTTTCCTCAGTATATCAATGCCCAAAGCTCTAGCAAAAGATTGAATATTGCTTTATATTAAAGTGTGCATGACTTGCCAGGGTACTGATTTATCTCTGCTTTGATGGTTCTTGCATTTTAATGGAGGTTAAGGATCTAAGCTAAACAATACTCTAGTGAAATGGTGTCAACCAGGGTGTTTGGGGGTGGGGAGCCAGGGGAATCCACTTCACAAGCCTTCCCTTTAGGCATTGTGAGCCGACCCATCCCCATCGATGACCCTGCAGACACATGTGGTTTCCCTCATTGAATACAGGATTTTCCAGGAAGGCAGGACTCTTCAGGTGATGTTTGGGTCCGGGTCTCAGAAACCAGATGGTGAGAACACCCAAATCCAGTCCTGTAGAGTGAGATCAGATGGAAGGATGTGATTTCTGTCTGGGTACTGGAATCTTCTCCTGTTGCCTGCTGGGATGTAACCCAGGGCAGGCATTTTGTGGCCTGTAGGGCCTGATGTCCAGCCCCGTGCTCCCCTGCCTGGAAGCCAGCCAGGCCACCACTTGGGAACTATCCATATTCTTGGCACTAGATTATGGACCATTTATTTGTGTCTGATGCTGATCAGCTATTGTTTAATGCTCCGTAATGCACTTGCCAGCCATCTCCTCTGATTTACCGCCCCATATTTCCTATGGATAATAAAATCAGAGAGGATTCTTAAATTAAAGAACTCTCTAAGGGGTCCCAGGCTTCCTGCCAACCCCATCCCAAGCCTCTGCGTGCAGCAGTGGGCTCATGTCCTGTTCAGACACAGAGAGGGGTGGGTGTGAGAGGTGGGAGACTTTCCCTTCTGATAAGTTGGGCCAACCCCCCACCTTACTGTTTGCCACACTCACACCTCCTTTTTCAGATCCACAGCCACCACTGCCACATCCATACAAAAACAACACAGCTCCAGAGTGAACAGAGAGCCGCTCTGGCTTCGATGAGACACCAAATAACCTCGTGTCCCATTTTCTTTATTTTATTTTATTTTTTATTTTGATTTTTTTGAGACGGAGTCTCGCCCTGTTGCCCAGGCTGGAGTGCAGTGGCACGATCTCAGCTCACTGCAACCTCCACCTCCTGGGTTCAAACAATTCTCCAGCCTCAGTCTCCGGAGTAGCTGGGATTACAGGCTCCCACCACCACGCCCAGTTAATTTGTATTTTTAGTAGAGACGGGGTTTCACCTTGTTAGCCAGGCTGGTCTCGAACTCCTGACCTTGTGATCTGTCTGCCTCAGCCTCCCAAAGTGCTGGGATTACAGGCATGAGCCACTGCCCCTGGTCCCCATCTTCTTTAAATGCAATTCAGTCAGAAGTACCACTTGTATTTCTCCTATGGACTGGCACCAATGATTCCCACAAGCCTCTTGTTTTACAAAGCACTTTCACAACTACAGTTGTCTTTCCCTTCACAGTAGCCCCTACTGTGAGGGGTCCTGGGTGCAAATTGTGCCTCCCTTGGTTATGAACTGTGTGATGGTGAAGAGCTCATTTCATGCAGTGAGCCCCAAGTTTCTCATCTGAAGAATGGATATAATAGTCTCTGTCTCACAGAATTGCTATGAGGATTTATTAATTCAACAAACATTTCATGAGTGCCAACTATATGCCTGGGGATATGCAGCAGTGAGCAAGCAGACAAAAATATCCCACCCACATGGAGTTTCTGTCATCTCTCTGAGAACTTATCCAGTCCTAAGAGATGAATGAAAGACACGTGGGACAGAGACGGAGTTTGTGAACCAGCTGCCCAAAGACCAAATCCAGCCTTTATGCTTAGCCCTTAGAGTACTAAAGGTGGGGGGTGGTGATTTCTAAAAATTGCCTTAGTGGCTAACATTTAAAAATTGAATGCTTTAACATTTAAAAACAAAAAGTATTTCTGATATCTATTCAGCAAAAAAATTAAATAAAATAAAGAAGCAAACATCTTGAAAAGCAGGACAAGCTGCTGGACGCACGTTCTGGCCATCACTGGAATGGAGCTTCTCCAGCTCACCAAGTCTGCTCTTAACCCCCATCCACCTCCCTTACTACATCTACCTCTCTAGCCCCCTCTGGGCATGTGACTCTGGTCTCTGGGACCAGGAGCCCTGCTGGCTTGGCCTCTGCCTTCCCCTTCTTCTGCATCTGCCTAGAATCCCAAAGCTCTGCACAGCTTAGTTTGAAAGTCAACAGTCTAGATCAGAGAGTCTCAAACTACAGCACTGGTTCCCAGCCCTGGTTAGACAAAAGAATATGCACCCAGGTTGCATTATGAAAGTCCAGAGTCCAAGCTGAGCAGACGAATTAGATCAGAATCTCTGGGGTATTGGATCAGGCATTGGGAATGCTTAAAGTCCTCCAGGTGATTCTAATGTCTGGGCAGGGCTAATCACTGAACTACGGCCAGCATGGAAATCACCTGGAGGGCTTTTTAAACTGCAGACCACTGAGACACACCCTGGGAATTTCTAATTTAGTACTTCTAATGTGAGGCCCAAGAGTGTGATGCTGCTGGTCGGTGGACCATGCTGTAAGAGCCTCTGTTCTAGCTCACCTCTGAGTTCCTTTATTAGTTTCCTATGGCTACTGTAATAAATCATCATAAACTTAGTGGCTTAAAACAGCACACATCTATTATGGTTCTGGAAGTCAGAAGTCTGAAATCAAGGTGTCGCCAAGGCCGAGCTCCCTCAGAAGGCTCTCAGGAAGCATCCATTTCCTGCCTTGTCCAGCTCTAGAGCTGCATTTCTTTCATTCTTTGGTTCCTGGCCCCTTTCTCCACCTTCAAAGCAAGCAGCATAGCATCTTGCTTCAGTGGTCACATTACCTCATTCTGTGTCAAATGTCCTCTGCCTGTCTCTTATAATGACCCTTGTGGTTGTATTTAGGGGCCACCCAAGTAATCCAGGATGATCCCCTCATTTTAAACTTCTTAATTTAATCATATCTACAATGTCCCATTTTCCATATAAGGTAACATTTACAGGTTCCAGGGATCAGGATCTGGATATCTGTGGGAGCCGCCACAGGTTACCTAGTTTTTCCACTAGGTAAACAGACCCACGAGTGTTTTGTTAAAGTGACATCAGAATCAAAGGCACCGTGGTGTGTACTGTCTTCATTTGGGTTCCTTCTCAGAAGCGGAGCCTGAGACAAGGATTTGAGTGCAAGTAGTTTATTTGGGAGGTGATCTCAGAAGGGCAGTGGGGAAGTGAGACAGGGAAGAGAAGGCAATCAGTATGGAGTGTGTTCGGGAGCAGGTTACTGCTATGAGCAACTGGGGCTCAATTCTACTGGGGGCCTTAGGGAGACAGGCAGGGGACTGGGATATTTATCCATCAACTCCTGGGGATTTTCACCACTCTCTTCTTCCTGCTTACCCCAAACAACTTCCCATGGTTGGAGAAGCGCTCTGGCATAGACACAAGACTCTGTAGTGGGAAGCTGAAAGCATGAGCAGGATCGACGAATGGGCGGGATTGATGAATGTGGGCAGGGAAGTGTCCTCTGCTATAGATAGTGTGAGAGAACAGCTGTGTCCTGCTGGCCCTTACACAGTTCCTTGCCTCCATCGCCTCTCTGGACAGTAACAGTTATAGCTCAGCAGCCCTTCCCTGTCGGGATGCAGAAGTTGGGATCCAGCGGGCCATGGAACCACCACTAAAAACACTAAAGTTACCTTTCATTGAGTATTTTCTGGTCACCAGACTCTTGACACATATTATATTTAATCTTCACAACAATGTCACAAGGTAGCCATTAGTACCCCTATTTTACTAAAGAAGAAAGGAACATTCATAGAGGTGCAGTCACACAGTGCCTGGGTCAACATTCCACATCAGAACTTCTGACCCCAAACCATGACAAAGGCAGAATCGCAGAGTGGTTAGGAGTAGGGCCTCTGGTGCCGCACTGCTGGAGTTCAAATCCTGTGTTCCCTTAGCTTTGTGACCTTGGCAAATTACCCTGTTGGTGCCTCAGCCTCCTCGTCTATGAAATGGCTGTAAAAGCAGGATTTCACTCCCAGAGAAGTTGTAAGGATTAAGTGGTCTAATTATGAGCATAAAGTACTTTCAGTAGTGCCTGGCATACAATGTGTGATATATACATATTTCCTGTCATTCTTTCCAGAACCTCTTGGTGTCTCTACACATGGCAAGAGGTCAGATCTTTTTCCATAATTAATTGTGTCAAAAGGCAAAAATCCCAAATACAACCCAGAGAACTTTTTGCTTAAAATATCCAGTGAGTTACGGCAAAAAAGAAGAGACTCAGCTTCCACCCACTTTGCATTTATAAACCAGCCCCTAAAGAAGGAACACGTTGCCCAGAGAAGGAGGCTTCTCGTGGTGACCGGCTTCCCCAGATGCTTTAAAAATACACCTGGCCCTCTTCCATCTCCCAGCCCAGGAGCATTTAGCTCCATTCAAGCCCGCACTTATCTCTCATGGCAACCAGCATAAACACAGGCATGGGGCGCGTGTTTGGGAGCTGGTGACAGCTGAAGGAGAGGCCTCGTGGCTGCTACAGGCTTTGCACCATCAACCAGCTGCGGGCTGCAAATGAAAAAAGAGAGGAAAGAAAAGAAGGAAGCATCGGTGTGAGTCGGGCAGGTTCCTCCCTCCCAGGCATCCCACACTTTCCTCACTCATCCTTCTGTACCACTCTCCTCTTCCTTCTTTGAGAAGTTTGGAGAAGGCATCAGGAGCTTTCCTGCTGCTGCTGGGAGTTCTGTCCTGGGACCATGCTCCACAGAGGACTTTCCAGGGGTTTCGGGCCTGGCATGGGGCTTCTTGGGGACCCGGGAAGACAGGGAATGGGGCGACATTGGCCATCCTACTTGGAGAGACTTTCCTGCCCACCTGCTCTTCTTACTTCACTAGGATTCCGGGTTTGTTCCAGTGTTTGGACTTGTCCCCCGTATGAGGGGACTGTCGGGTGGGTTATGATCATGAGGAGTTGAAACTGGACTGCCCTTTGTGTCCAACAGGGCCAGCTTGGCTTCTGAGACCGTCCTTACTGGGGTGGACCTCATGGAGTGGCCCCCAAAAGGTTTCCAGATTCTCTGTGGTCATCTGGAAATGAAATTCTCAACCACTGAGCACAGTGTCCAGGAATTAGGGAGGCTCCAGGTGAGGAAACAATCTGTTTTCCTTCTGTCGATCTTCTCGAGAGCTGCGTGGAGCAAGGTCATGGTAGGGAACCATCATGGTGGAAAACACAGGAGTCCCCTGTCTCTAGAGAGCAGCAGGGCCCTGCAGGAGCAGCATTGGTTGGGTGGTTTGTCCCCTCACTCTTCCTGTCTGCCAGTAGAAAGTGAGGATTGAAGGGCCGAGGTGACTTTAGGAACAATCTGGGCCCCAGAAATGCTTTCCCCAGAGTATCTGCTCTGGCCCTTACTTCCCTCTGCTGTGGAGTCCTGAGAATAAGAGTGCATTGGCTGGACAGGCTTAGGAGCCGGCTGCCCTGGGCATGACTGCCAAGATTATTTTGTTCATGTCCAGTAGAAGATCATATGGAGACATGTAGGCAGGGGGTTGGCCATTTGCCTGTTTACTTGTGTTTTTAGACAGACTTGCAGCGCAGTCCTTAGGAGTTCAGGTAAAATTAGGACACATCTGTAGTGTTGGACAAGTCATTTGCTCTCTTGCAGGACCCAGTTTCCTCATCTGTAAAATTAAGGGGTGGACCAGACTTTAAATATCCTCTTAGACTTAGACTTTCCCTGACTTTGTGGCTAACATGCTATTTGCAAATTTACAGAATTAGCACCCACACAAAGAAGGGGTCTTGGCGTGTATTTCTCTTCTGAGCATTGGCACTGAGAACCCATTATGTGAGAGTAAAAGGCATGGAGTTCCCATTCACACAGCTCTGGATTTGAGTGAGTCTCCGTAACCCATTAGCTGAGAGATCTTGGCCATGTGATCTTTGTTTTGGTTTCCTTCCTTCCTTCCTTCCTTCCTTCTTTCCTTCCTCTCTCCCTCCCTTCCTCCCTTCCTCCCTTCCTCTCTCTTGGTCTCTTTCTCCCCTCCCCTCCCCTCCATTCCCCTCCCCTCCCCTCTGTTCCCCTCCCCTCCTGTCCCCTCCCATCCTGTCCCCTCCCATCCTGTCCCCTTCCCTCCTTGTCTCACTCTGTCACCAGGCTGGAGTGCTGTGGCAATCACGGCTCACTACAGTCTCTACCTTCTGGGCTCAAGGGATCCTCCCACCTCAGCGCTCCTTCCAGTAGCTGGGATTACAGGCACATGCCACCATAACCAGCCAAGTTTTGTATTTTTTGTAGAGACAGGGTTTTGCCATGTTGCCCAGGCTCGTCTTGAACTCCTGGGGTCAGCGATCCACCTGCCTTGGCTTCCCAAAGTGCTGGGATTATAGGCATGAGCCACTATGCTCAGCCACGGTTTAATTTCTTAATATTTCAGTTTCCACATCTGTAAAATGGAGATAATAAGAGTCTCCATTTTAGACGGTGATGAGGATAAAATGAGCTAATACCTACAGAGCTTTGCACTGCACCTGACATACAGTTTGCTCTCAATTACTGGTTGCAACCATTATTCCAAATGGTGGAGAGAAACTGGAATTCAGCCACTTGCCTCCTCCTGGGATGTTTCATTCCACTATCATCCCATCTGCTTTTTTTTTTTTTAGACAGAGTCTCGCTCTGTCGCCCAGGCTAGACTGCAGTGGCGCGATCTCGGCTCACTGCAAGCTCTGCCTCCGGGGCTCACGCCATTCTCCTGCCTCAGCCTCCCGAGTAGCTGGGACTACAGGCGCCCGCCACCACGCCTGGCTAATTTTTTTTTTGTATTTTTAGTAGAGACGGGGTTTCACCATGTTAGCCAGGATGGTCTCGATCTCCTGACCTCATGATCCACCCACCTCGGCCTCCCAAAGTGCTGGGATTACAGGCGTGAGCCACCGCGCCCAGCCCCATCTGCTCTTATTCGGTGCTGAAGATTCCAGTTTCAGAACTGAGACTCTCTGTCTAAAGCCTGAGGCTGAGTTGGGGACATCCCAGTGCACAGGCTATGGAACCGGAGGTCTGGGTTCAGAATCCCAACTCCACAGGACCTTGGATATCATAGAATCAATTTTCCTCACCTGGAAAAGGGGAATATACAATCCATAACATCATTGCAAGGATCCAAGGAGAGAGCCTGGGAAGGGCCCAGCCCTGGGCCTGGGTCAGAATATGTACTCAGGAATTACTGTTGTACTTTGAGGGGCAACATTTGACTTTCAGGACATGGGATGCTCACACCTGATAACAACACCTTAGCCATTCTGAGTTCTCAGTAGAAAGGTCTGCTAACCAGCAAAGTTCACAGGCAGGAGCTCTTCCTTTGGCTGTGAAGGAGAAAGCTTCTCCCCTTCTAAGACAGGGGTGATCTTAGGAGGAAACCCCACAAGGCACTGCAATCCTGAGAGTGTCCACTTTTTGGAAATTGGGCAGCTCTATGCAAAACCTAGCAAGAAGACAAGCCACTTACTGTATCTAGTTCATCCACATCAGAACAGACCCTCTGTCCACATGGCATCTGTCTTGCATGCTTCCTTTGAGGTGACAATGGCCATCAAGTCACCAGGCCTGCCTAGTGCAGGTCCTCCTGGGCAGTCAGAGGAAAATGATTAAATATGAGATTTTCAAGTGGAATGCCAGCAAATAGTGGCTGATTTGACATAGATGCCCAATATTCTGGCCATATACCCATCTGCTGCCGCTTTGCATTTTGCTCAATGTTTATTTCTAATTGAAGCAATAAAATCCATTTGAATTGATTAAGATCCTCCTTCTTCTTATAGTTATTATGTATGTAATTTTTTTTATTTTTAGTAAAGACAGGGTCTAGCTATGTTGCCCAGGCTGGTCTTGAACTCCTGAGCTCAAGCGATCTGCCTGCCTCAGCCTCCCAAATTGTTGGGATTACAGACGTGAACCACTACACCTGGCCTGCAGTGTGGTTTTAATTTTCATATAATTAAAATTATATACAATTTATAATATATAATTTAATTCTTATATAATGAATGAGACTGAAAATTTGCCCATTTTTCATCTATCGGATGGGCAAAATTCAAAAGGTGTAACATCAGACTGTTGGTGAAGGTGTGTGGAAACAGACACTCTCATCCACTGCTCCTAGGAGGGGATGTGAATTGATGGGGGCTTTGTGGAATTATTTGATGAATAATTTGATGAATTATTCACTTATCAAACCTGGCTTTCCGTCTCTAGATTCATTATGGCCATTACTTAATATACATAGCATTTGAGATACTTCCCCTCAATCAAATGACCAGTATTTATTGTACCGCCTACAATATGCTTGGCTACTTGTTATACAAATGGTTGGAGTTTGTGTGAGAGCAAAGCAATCAAGACAGGGAGACAACCCATCTATGTTCAAGTCAGACTCTACCACTTACCTGGGCACTTATTTGAGCTTCAGTTTACTTATCTCAGATAAGTAATGTTTCAAATGAAGGCAACATTCCGGTTGTAGGCCGATGCTTAGCACATAGTGCTCAATATGTGTTGTTGAGAGTTGTGACAGCTGGCGTTGGCAGGCTACCTAAGGTAGTTTAAAGACTGTTTTTGTGTTCTGCTTTAGGCCACAGGAAAACACCAGAATAAGTTACAAATGAATGAAGATTTAAATATAAAATATGAAACTATAAAATGATTAGAAAAAACCTTGTGAGATTTTTTGGGTAACTTGGGTGTTTGGAAAAACCCAGAAACCATAAAAGAAAATAATTATACATTAAATTCTGCTACATAAAAAAATAATGTGGGAGGCGAGAATTCTACCACTGAACCACCAATGCCTCTCATAAAAAAATAATGTGTGGCAAAAACCAACTCAAAAGGCCAAAACAAACTAGGGAAAATATTTGCAAGCCATATAATAAAGTGTTTCTTTCCTATATATAGGAAAAATAATGTAAGAGAAAAATTGACAACCCAATGAAAAAAATGGAAAAAGTATAAATGGCTTCAAAATGTTTGAAAATATTCTCAGTCTCATTTACTATATGAGAAATGAAAATTAAAACCATGCTGAAGGCTAGGTGCAGTGGCTCACGCCTGTAATCCCAGCACTTTGGGAGGCTGAGGCTAGCAGATCACTTGAGCCCAAGTGTTTGAGACCAGCTGGCCAACATGGCAAAACCCCATCTTGCTAAAAAATACAAAAAATTAGTTGGGCGTGGTTGCACACACCTGTAGTCCCAGCTTCTTGGGAGGCTGAGGTGGGAGGATTGTTTGAGCTTGGGAGGTCAAGGCTGCAGTGAACTGTGATTGCACCACTGTACTCCAGCCTGGGCAACAGAGTGAGACCCACTTTTCACCTATCAAGTAGGCAAAATTCAAGAGGTCAAACATCAGACTGTTGGCGAAGGTGTATGGAAACAGGCACTCTCATCCACTGCTCCTAGGAGGAGACGTGAATTGCTGGGGCCTTTCTGGAGATGAATTAGGCAATATGTGTAAAAATTACAAGTGCCCATACTTTTTGACCCAGTATTTTTATTTCTAGGAATTTATGTAATGGATAGTCTTACCAACATACACAGAGATGCATGTGGAAGGTTATTTAGTTGCATTGTTTGCATCAGCAGATGTTTGCAAATCATCCAAATGCACATCAATGGGGGCAGAATGAACAAATTATGGTTCTTCCAAAGAAAGGGATATTATGCAGCCATAGAAAAGAAAGTGGGGTGGCACGGTGGCTCACAGCTGTAATCCTAGCACTTTGGGAGGGTGAGGTGGGAGGATCACTTGAGGCCAGGAATATGAGACCAGCCTAGGCAACGTAGCAAGACCTCATCTCTAAGAGAAAAATAGAAAAGAAAACAATGTGCATGCATTTTATGTAGTTACAGAATAATTTCTTAGAAATACTGTGAAAAGCCTGGTGCACTGGTGTGTGCCTGTAGTCCCAGCTACTCAGGAGACTGAGGCAGGAGGATCGCTTGAATCTAGAAGTTCTGGGCTATAGTGCACTATGATGATGGGATATCCACACCAAGTTTGGCATCACCACAGTGTCCTTCCAGGAGCGGGGTGCCCCATTGCTCAGGGAGGGGTGAACCCGCTCAGGTTAGAAACAGAGCAGGTCAAAACTCCTGTGCTGATCATTAGTGGGATTATGCCTGCACTCCAGCCTGGGCAGCATAATGAAATGCTGTCTTTTAAACAAAAATACTGTGAAGAAACCAAGAGGGAGTATCATATGTATAATAGAATATTACAAGTAACCCTTTGAGTAAAAGGGGGAAAATATTATACCTACCTATTTGCTTGTATATGCACAAAATATTCCCAGAAGTATACATAGAAAACTAAGTAATGGTTGGTAATAAATAATTGGAACTGGGTAGCTGAGGGAGAGGGGTAGGAGAAAGAATTTTAATGTATACTTGTTTGTATGTTTTGAATTTTGAATCACATGCATGTAATACCTATTCTAAACAATTAAACAAAACACCATCTGTACAAAATACTACCTTTCATCTGGAGCACAAGATGGAATTTTTTGTCTTTAAAAGTCCTTAGATCCAAAGCAGCAAGGAGAATTGAGATCTCAGAGAGTTTCCAGATTGGTAGAATCACAGGATTATAGTGCTGCAAAAAGCCTAAGGTTTATCTTGCCAACTTGCTCAGTTGATAAGTGCTAGTGCTCAACTGAGTCCAAAGGGATCAACCCTAGGCTCCCCAATTTCTGGAATCCAAGGGTTTTAGTGACTTTGAGACCAATGGGTAGAGAAGCCAGTCTGTGCCAGTGGGCAGCCATGGGACTCCCAGGAACCCAGCCTCCCTCCTCCCCACCTGTTGTGGACCCTTGGACAATAGATCCTGGAGGTGGGATGGGGGGTGCAGGGATGGATCTAGGGAAAGGAATAAGTGAGCCAGGTGGTTTTGAATTACAAGTGCCTATAGAGCTAAACTGTCACCATGGAAAAATGAAGGCATGGAAACGTAGTGGCTGGAAGCACAGGGTCTTTCCACGCAGTCACAGTTGTCAGCAGGTGTTGGAAATAACCCACCCTTTGGGCCCGATGCAGCTGGAAGGTTTTGTCTCTGACCTATGGCCAGATCTCCCGAATAATTCTACAAACTTGTCCTCCCCTGTCAAGCACTGGCAGAAGATTTAATAGCACCGGCTGATTTATGTTGGCTGCTGTAATCAAATTCAGAGTCAAGGCGCAGCCAGCCATGGAGAGGTTTCTTTATGTTCCCTTGGCTCCTAATAGCATTGTCTCCGCCTTCCTCTCTACTTACCACATGCCATTTGGTCAAATTAGAACTTGAACTCAAAAAGCAGATGCCTTTCTTTAGATAAGGTCCAAAATAATTCTCTTGTCAGGGAAAGGGGGATGGATTTGTTTCCTTGACTCTGTGTGTGCAAAGGAGGTATTTTTGATATATGACTTATATAAAATAATGACCGACACGAGATGACTGATTTTCTTTCATCCTTGTAGTGAGGATAGACTTTTCCTCCTCAAGACATCTCTGTGGGTTAGGGGTGGGAGACAGAAGAGAATAACTTCTTATATGGTTTGCAGTGATTCAATGACCTGCTCAAGGCCTCTCAATGAGCGGCTTCAGGTTCCTCCAGGTGGCACTGGTGCCTTAGCTCTGTGCAGCTCCAGGGGCCCCTAGACATTTGCCAACAAGGGAGTTGGGCTGACCTACTCCCAACCCTAATCCTTGTGAACATATCTTCTGGTTCTCTGTTGACTATCTAAAATTTTTTAATGGTATTCTTTTTAAAATTAGGAATAATTTCAAACATTCAGAGAAAGTAAAGATAATTGTTCAGGGAACACCAATATGTCCACTGTTTGGGGCTGAATTGTGTCTCCCCCAAATTCATGTTGAAGCCCCAGTAATACCCAGTACCTTAGAATGTGACTGTATTTCTTTTGGTTTTGGTTTTGGTTTTGTTTTTTGAGACGGAGTCTCGCTCTATTGCCCAGGCTGGAGTGCAGTGGTGCAATCTCGGCTCACCGCAACCTTCAGTTTCCGGGTTCAAACGACTCTCCTGCCTCAGCCTCCCAAGTAGCTGGGATTACAGGCACCCACCACCACACCTGGCTAATTTTTGTATTTTTTAGTAGAGAAGGGGTTTCACCATGTTGGCCAGGCTGGTCTCCAACTCCTCACCTCAAGTGATCTACCTGCCTCGGCCTCCCAAAGCGCTGGGATTATAGGCATGAGCCACCATGCCCAGCCAGAATGTGACTATATTTGGAGATGAGGTCTTTATAAAAGTGATTAAGTTAAGATAAGGCCATTAGGGTGGGCATTAATCCAACTTGACTGGTGTTCTTATAAGAAGAGGAAATCTGAACACACAAAGAGACACGAAGGATGTGTTCCGAAGAGAGGCCATGTGAGGACATGGCAAGCAGGTGGCCATGCCCAAGCCAAAGAGAGAGGCCTCAGGAGAAAACAAACCAGCCACACCTTGGTTTTGGCCTTCCAGCCTCAAGGTCTATGAGAAACAAGTCTCTGTTGTTTAAGCCATTCAGTCTGTGGTACTTTGTTACCCCAGCCCTAGAAAACCAATACACGAACCGCAGCGATTCTGCACTGGCTATCATTTTGCTGTAATTACTCTATCATATATCTGTTTATTAATCTTTTTTATTGATGGATTTCAAGTGAGTTGCAGATTTGTCACCCTCTTTGAAGAATAGAATAGGGGAGGTAAATCCATGTTTGATTGAAGACCACCAGCACACCTGATTGAACCCTCTCTGTGGTCGGGATAATCAGAGATTGTTTACTCATGGGAGTTTACAAACCAGGAAACTGAAACCCAGAGATGAACAGTCATTGGGTTTGATTGGAAAGACGTGATTCTGGGCGTTGGTAAGTGGTTCCAACCTTAGCTGGCTGAGGCGACACTTCTGGCTCTTTTGGGTGCCATTTCTTCTGAGGTTTCCTGCTCATTCTCTCTAGGTGGTGGTGGTGGAGGAAGATCTCCACCGTGTGCTGGTAACTGAACCTCCAGAAGTCTCTGGAGTCAGACATCCAGATTCAATCCTGGCCTACTGCCTACTGGTTGTGTTTGACCTTGGGTGCATCCCTTAATCTCCCTGAGCCTTACCTGAAAATGAGGATGACAGTACTAATATATACCTTGTGGGGCTGTTGCGGGGATCAAAGGATTGAATGGGGAACATCACGGAATGTGTCCCATTGTTGGCACCTCACTACTGGGTTAGGGCAATGCTATCTGCTGTAACAGGTGAGCATTTTAGTGGCTTATCCTAATCAAAATTTATTTTTTGCTCACCTAACAGTCCATGTCCCTGGTTGGGGGCAGTGCACCTCCATTCTGGCATTCAGGGGTGCAGGCCCTTTACATCCCGTGGCTCCACTGTCCCCCAGGAATTGAGTCTGTGCACCCAGGCAGAATCATTGGCAAGAATAATGACATGCCCCCATCTCTCTATACTGCAGAGGGCTGGGAAATGCAGCTACTTCACAGGGCTCACTCTGGCCTATGGAAGAGGGAGCACACATTTTGGAGGGAATGTTAGCCTTTTCCACACAGTCTCAACTCAGAGAAGGTCCTCTGATGGGAAGTCAGTGGCTGGGAGTTAGTAGAGGAGGCAGCCAGCTAACCCGGAAACTGCCCCACCAGACTAGAGCAGTGAGGACAGCAGGAAGGTTGGAAGTGGTTGGGAACCAGTGAGCCATCACCAAGGGTCAGCGTCAGATGACCACAGGAGGTCACCTCCTCCTAGGGCTGTGTGCAAGGTGCCTTTGGAACTCTGACCCCAATTCTGTACTTGCTATGTGGTCCAGATCAAGTGACTTAACTTCTCCAAGAGTCATTTTTCGCCTCTGTAAAATGAGGATAATCAGTTGTGAGGGTTAAATGCAATAATGCCTGGGAAATGCTGAGCATGGGTCATCGTCGTTTCGTGATGTGGGTTTTGCCAAACGAGTCTGCAAGTATGCAGCGCAGGCAATGCTCCTTCCCCTCATCTCAGGGAGGATGATACTAACAAGTCATGACCCTCTTTCCTCAGAGTCCTTCTTAACACAGCATTCCAGGAAACCTGTATTCATCAGTGCAAGTTAGGCCGGGCGTGGTGGCTCACACCTGTAATCTTGGCAGTTTGGGAAGCCAAGGTGGGCAGATCACAGGAGGCCAGAAGTTCAAGACCAGCCTGGGCAATATGGTGAGACCCCGTCTCTACTAAAAATACAAAAAACAGCCAGGCATGGTGTTTTTCCTGTAATTCCAGGTACTCCAGAGGCTGAGGCACTAGAATCTCTTGAACCCAGGAGGTGGAGGTTGCAGTGAGCCAGGATTGTGCTGCTGCACTCCAGCCTAGGTGACAGAGGGAGACTTTGTTTAAAAAAAAATTTATAAAAGACTGGGCATGGTGGCTCATGTCTGTAATCCCAGCACTTTGGGAGGCTGAGGCGGGTGGATCACCTGAGGTCAGGAGTTCAAGACCGGCCTGGCCAACACAGTGAAACCCCATCTCTACTAAAAATACAAAAAATTAGCCAGGCTTGGTGGCAGGTGCCTGTAATCCCAGCTACTCCGGAGGCTGAGGCAGGAGAATCTCTTAAATCCGAGAGGCAGAGGTTGCAGTGAACCGAGATCATGTCATTGCACTCCAGCCTAGGCAACAAGAGCAAAACTCCATCTCAAAAAAAAAAAAAAAAAAATCAGTGCAAGTTAGCAGATGAGATAGATGAAAACTCTTTGTTCCCAAGAGATTAGTCTTCTACAAGACTCTCCTGAGTAAACAAAACCATTGGATCTAGAGGTGAGATTAAAGAAAAAATTATTCTGACACTGGTTAAAATGGTGAGGAAGACTTTATCCAAGACTATTGCAATAGGTTTAAAGACTATTGTAATAGGACACAGAGATCAACCTTAGCTCCATTACAACAAGGACAAGTGGGGAATTATAGCCAAGAAGCAGGTTGGGTGGGTCAGTGGATTAAAAACTAGTAAGAGGAGACATCATGATAGGGGGATTTTGGCTGAAACAACTTAACAGGATTCTTGCTGAAGGCAGACCAGGTTGATCAGTTCTCAAGGGTGGGGGATTCTCTCTAAACTGACTTATCAAGATTCTGGCTATAACTGGACTCTGCAAGGATGGACACAGAAGCCCACGTTCAAAGCCTAGTCAAGAGGAGGGCTCAGGGGAACCTGACCAAAGCTTGGCCGAGGAAAGAATGGTTGTCAGTGGGAAGGTAGAACTCAGGTCTTCCTACCTATTTCTCTGCCCACCAAGGTTTTGGGATGGGACAGCGGATGTGAAGTGCTCCAGGGCTGGTGGGAGCCTTGGCACTGCCCCAAACAGGTAGATGTCTTTGCCTCTGGATCCCTGGGAAGGCTGTGGGAGTTATCTATGTCACACAGGCTCTCTGTGAGGTAGTGGTGGGAGACACAGCAGGAGCAGCATGCAAAGCAGAATCTACTTCAGCCCCATCGGCAGGGAACAGGCCTGTGTGTGGCAGCAGCAGGGACAGGAGCACCTGGAACAGCTCCCGGGGATGTCGTATTCCAGAAGAGGTCTCTAGCCTGGCTGATAAATCCCAGAGCTGTAATTAAGACAAAATACTGTGAATGTGACACCTGCTGACAGCTGCAGGAAGGCCCCAGAAACTTGTATTGTGAATTAGATTTTACAGGCAGCTCTTGCCGTGGTGAACTGGTGCCAGGCTAAGGCACCTGAGGGAACTTGAGGGCAAAGATTGTTCACCAAGGGGTAAAAGGGGAGATCCTTCACCCCTGTCTAGGAACCACTGATGTTTCAGGAATCACAGACCCTGAGAGATGCCAAAGTTGGAAAGGGCTTAGAGCTCATCTGGTCCAAGGCTTTCATTGTACATCTAGAAAAATCCAGACCCACAGGGGAAATGGGTTGTCCTAGGTCACACAGTGAGTTAGTGCCAGGGCTAAAGACCAGGGCTCTTAATCCCAGGCTGGCACACTTGGCTGGAGAGCAATTAAAAGTAGTTGAGCATACATCCAGAAATTTGACTTAAATTAAATGGTGCATGCTTGGAAAGACAGAGACAATGCCAGAGAATGAGACAAAGTTATAGATAGAGAGACACAGAGACAGAGAAAGACAGAGACAGAAAAGAGAGTAGCAGAAGGAGAGAAACACAGAGAAGAGGCAGAAGATATTCGTGAACCTGAACCATTAGGTTCAAATAGAGATTCAAACACCTGCCAAGTTGGACAGGACCCCAGCGATCATCTAGTCCAGCTACTTTTGTTTTTACAATAATGAAACAAACTACAGCTGAGTGGTTTACATATGTCAAACCTTTTTAGAAAAAGTTTGATGCCATGTGGTTAAAAAAAACACAGTAAGTGCTTTTGGTGTGAAAAGTGGCAAAACTTCCATCTCTGAAGGTTTGCGAAATGAAATTTGAAAAATGAAGAGCTGCAAGAATATGACTCAGAATAGAGAAAGTCAGGAAAATGTGATGCAGATACTTCTGCAACTCTCTAGGACTCAGGACTGAGGACTCCCTGGCCTTATTGCTACTTTCTCTGAGGTCTTAGACCCAGTTTCTGAGAAGGACAAAGGGGAATTCCCCAGAGAAGGAACACAGCCTAAGCCTCACCTCCCACTCCTCCCATCTTGATATAGCAAGTCTCTGCTTTCAAGTATCAGCTCAAATCCCACCTCTTCCAGGAATCCTTCCTTGATATCTCACTTGGACCCTCTACCCCTCAACCGTTACCCATTTCTTCCTTCTATAAATCCCTTCAGGCATCCCTGCCCTATGTTAGCCACTCTTCTTTTTTTACCTTATACAACAGTTATCCAAGAATATGTCAATAAGAGAGCCCTTATTCGGTGCCAGGAATTCCAAAAGCTGTAGCTCTAATCCTCACAGCAAACTATCAAAGTCGGCTTTGCACGCCCACTTTATAAGTAAGAAAGCTTAGACTCCGAAAGAATGAATAACTTCCTCAAGGTCACACAGCTACTAAGTGGCAAAACCAGGACTTAAGCCCAACTTGGATGACTCCAGGGCCAGTACTCTTCCCGTGACACTGAACGACACATTCCAAGGGCGGGAACTGTGTCTAGTCATTATGTCTTGCACAATTTGGTACTTACTGTGTTTCTGAATGAATAAAACAGTAAATGAATGAATGAACATAAGTGTCCTTTCTTTTGAAGGTTATAGTGCAGGGCTTGGCAAACTACAGCCTGTGGGCCGAATCCAGCCTGCCTCCTATATTTGTGTAAACTTTTACAAAACATGACCAATCTCATTCCTTCATGTATTGTCTATGGCTGCTGTCCTGTACAATGGCAAAGTGAGGTTGTAACGGAGACCATGTGACCCACAAAGCCTAAATATTTACTATGTTGACCTTTATAGCAAAAGTTTGCTGACTCCTGCTATAGCTTATGGTCTTTACTAAGCTGATCAAAACAACAGTGCTTATTGCTAAGTAGTATAATAATAATCTTGTCTTTTATAATCTAAAATATTGTGTGTGTCCATGCTTGTGCACTGGGTGTGCCTATAAAGTACCAGATAGATTTAAGCATGTAACTGGTATATGCCGCTTCATCCAAAAAGACTTGCCTACATGCCCTTTGGAAATCTATATATTTTGTTTGTTTGTGGTTTCGTTGTTGTTGTTTTAGTTACGTTTAGCTTTGTCAGCAACACTTTGGCCCAGACAGGATTAGAGCTGAGACCCCTGGCCATGAAGGTCTTCCCTGAAGCAGAGGAGGGCAGGCTCCCCTTGGACGGTCTCGGTGGGGGGTTGACTTTGAGGCTTACCAGAGCAGTCAATACTGCTGTGGTATTTTGAGTCAAGTCGGTTTTTGAGCCAAATGAAAAGCAGCCTGTTTGATTGCTCTCAATTTCCTCTTGGCTTGCAGGGGGATAAGTATCCCTGGGCTCCCAACCTCATATCCTCCCCTGGGCTGAAGGCACTCTTGTCCTCCAAGCCTCCCCTACAGCAGTGTTCATGGGCAGCTGGAGCAGGGCTGCCTACCCATTGCTACTCCCAGGAGCTCAGGACTGGCTCCAGACCCCTGGCATCTGGAGCAGAAGCAACATCAAAGCAGGGATTGGCCAACTCCCACCCCTAATGCCAAACAGGCCAGGCACTGGGAGCACTCAGAGGCGTGACGAATCTCAGCCTGTCTCCGGCTAGTGTTCCCTGGCCAGTCCGCTTTGGGCCCTGCCTCACAATGACGGGCTCATCATTCAGCCTCGCTCATCTGCTCATCATTTCAGGACTGCTCTGTTACTCGGCAGGCTGCTTGGGTGAGTTGTGTGTGCGTGTGTGCACGTGTGTGTGTGTGTGTGGATGCACATGCATTGTTTTGGAAAAAAGACTCTTGGAAAGCAGACTGTACTAGGAGGTTTTAGCAGCCTTTAAATTTTTTTTCTTTTTAAGTTTTTCTTTCACAGGGCTGTTTCTCATTGTGAAAGCCTTTAAATTTTAAACTGCTCAGCCAGTGTTGAAGTTGCAATGCAAAGGGGTTTCACAGTAGAGTTGGTGGGGACCTGGCATACATGCTAACGGGTGTGTGCACTTGTCTGTGTCCCTCTTGTGACCTTGACTGACACAAGTACCTTGTGCTGGCAGCTGGTACCTTGGCTGGCAGCTGGTACCTTGGCTTTGAAGTAAAATCGTGTTCTGTAGTCTGGGCCCCCGCTGGCGTTGGGTGGCTGAGACAGTCTCCATCACTCTTGAGTGGACTGCCTTGGGTAATTTGGCTCAGAGGCACAGCCACCAAACCACAAATTGTTCTTTGTAGGTTGTATCCTTGCCTGCTCAGGGACATACAGCAGAAGGCAAACTCTACCATGTTCTTTCAGAGAAGTTCAAATTACGTGCAACTTTTAGGATCAGAATTTGTCTTTCAAGGTTTGTTGTGGGGATTGAAGGAAAATTGTAGGGTGCAGCCTTCTCTGGAACATGTGAATTGGGGGGAATTTTGGGCAAATTGCATTCAGTTAATGTAAGAACTTTACTGTAGCTGAGACCCAACTCACTACAATAAAGTCAAAGCACTCTGAGCTGCCATACAGCGTGTGCCCTTGGCTTTCTCTCTTCTTTGGGGTCTGTCTCTCTCATGCAAGTTCCCACAGGCAGGGAAAGGCCCCAAAAGAGGAGGAGGAAGTAAAAAGCTGACTAGTCCACCAACTGGACAGGCAGGTGCAGAACAGTTAAATGGCTGCACTTGTAATTCTCTCAACCTGCTGAGGCAGGATGCTTATGTCACTTCTTTCCTTTGACAGTTTCTAATGACACATTTGTTGGATTGAGGGGGTGGGAGGGAAGGCTACTTGATGGAAAAACAGAAGGCAGAAATGGAAATGGCTATTTCCAGTAACCTATTGTGGGGCTGGCCTTGCAAGAGGGTAGATGAAGATGGATACAGTGGTGGTTCTGGTGTCATACTTATTTTAAAAAGGGACTAAAGGAGGCCAGGTGCAGTGGCTCATGCCTGTAATCCCAACACTTTGAGAGGCTGAGGTGGGCGGATCACCTGAGGTCAGGAGTTCAAGACCAGCCTGGCCAACATGACAAAACCCCATCTCTAGTAAAAATACAAAAATTAGCCAGGCATGGTGGCACTCGCCTGTAATCCCAGCTGCTCAGGAGACTGAGGCATGAGAGTGGCTTGAACCCTGGAGGCGGAGGTTGCAGTGGGCTGAGAACCCACCACTGCACTCCAGCCTGGGCAATAGAGTGAGACTTCGTCTCAAAAAAAAAAAAAAAAAAAAAAAAAGGCAAAAGGACTTTGGAGATGATTTGGGCAAAACTCTTTGTGGTACAGATGAGGAAACTAAGTTTCAGATTGAGTAAGTGAGTTGTACTGGCTCACATGGCCACTTGCACCTAGACTTAACACTCTTTAATCAAATCCATGTCTTTCCAAGAGTAAATTGGAGAAAATCGCTTTCCAAAGATGTGCCTCAGTTTCTTGAAATGAAACAAGAGAAAGTCTCCTTTTCAAGAATGGGTATTGAGTCCAAAGGGCAAAACCAGCATCATCGACAACAAAAGCTTCAAACACTTGCCAAAGCCTGCATTAAACAATTACCCATAATTTGGCAATGCACTGGCCACATACAACATGAGCTTGATGTCTTTAAGTTGGGACATGCGGTCCTGAAGTTCCGTGATGGTTGGCATTTCCAAGGCAGCTGCCTGGTGCTGAGCCACGTGCTGCTCCCAGGTTTCTGCAGGCTCCACGGAGATACGCACAGGATTGCTTTCAATACAACAGAGCCTTCCGGGGCTTTTCCAGACTGGAGCCTGAGCTCAGACACAATTCTATAGAGACAGTCCATGAGAAAGACCCACAGGCCACTCGGATGACACCAAAATAGACATGTGAAGTCCTGGCTTAGTTGACTGGGAGGGAGGAGGGAGGGGGAAGCTGCTCCCAAACACGTCCACCTGATGGAAATATTCTGAACAGGAATGAGCTGTAAATAAACTAGGCTCCTAAAAACAAATAGCTTCAGGGAGTCAGGGGAGGGCAGAAATAGATGGCCTTCCCCTGCTGGGAAGAAAGTGGGTCAAGGGGGAAAGGGTGAGGGGGATGGGGTGGGGGAGCCGAACAATGCAGAAGCCTCAGCCAGAAATGCAGCTGATAATTTGTGGTCACTGAAGAGGTCTCCAATTTCCAGGAAGAAAGGAGAGAAGTGATTGCTTTAAATGATACAAGGTCCTTCATCAGTGGAAGGCCACACAGGGTGCTGGGTGAAGGAAGGCACTGGAGGCCATATATGGTCTGGAAAAATAATGGTGATGAGTGCATATTAGCAGTGTGGGCCTGCCAGCCTCCCAGGTGCTTTTGGAACACTGCAGCCTCAGCCCTTAGCTGTGTGCTGAGGCAAAAGAGAAGCAAAGGAGAAACTGTAGCCAGGGGACCTTAAAAACGTTCCGGGATTGGTGTGAACCTGCCAGCCTCCTCCACCCTACAACTGAAGCTGCCCACTCCTAGCGACTCAACACTCTAGGAAACTTGGAGAAGCTTGAGGAGGAATACATTGGCATTAATGTCAAGTTCGGGAACAATGTATCCATATTATTTTACCACTGAGAAAAGTAGCCCGTGACAGCTGGAGCTGCCCTGACTCTCAGAGCTCGGCATGGTGTTTTGCAACACAGAAGCGATGTCACAGAACACCAACTTCAGACAGGGTCACCCTGTGACCTTGATGGATTGAGAAGAAAGTAAGAATCACTTGATAATCACAACTGAACACAGACGAAAACAGGACTATCATCCAACCACAAAAGTAACTAAACATTCTCCTATCCTTGCTAATATGAGTGATTGCTGCTGTTTAAAAAACCAATCACAGCTTTGGTCTTGCTCCACTCTCTTCTAGATATGAATTAAGGTACTCAATTATAGAATGGCCCTTTCTTCCTGATGGCATCCAATTCAGAGTGAAGCCAGACTTCATTTCCTCAGTCTCCCCTCCATCACTTAGCAAAATCCCCAACCCTAGGATCAGTCCTTCCCAGCATCCTCTAACTGAGATGCCCCACGGTTCCTTCCGGTGTGTGTTCTCCCTCTTTGCAGTGAGTCAATAAACCCAGCTTGGTTCCCTGAAGCCTTTGCTTGGAGGGCACTGATGCTATAGCCCCAAGTTGTTGTTATGGGACTTGAAGCTCCAGACCTTCATTTCTACCACATGCAGTCATGGTGTAGAGCTCAAGAGGAAGGGCTCCGGAACCAGACTGCCTGGCTCTGTCACTTACTAGCTATATGACTTCGGACAAATTGCTTAACCTCTTTGCCTCAGTTAATGGATCTGTAAAATGGAGATGATGATAACAAGAGTAGTACCTAGCTCTTAGGGTTGCTGTGAGGATTAGGTGAATTTCTATGTGTGAATCACTTAAATGGTGCCTTGCATGTGGTGTTTGTCATTATTAATTCAGCAAACGTTTGTGGAGTGTCTAGCATATGCCAGATACAGTGCTAGACCCTGGGGATAAAAGCTGGCTCCTGCTCTCCCAGAAAGCACAGTTTGGTCAGAGGGATACAAGGAAATAGTTTTTCCCCATGGAGGAAACCTAACATAGGGGTAAACCCAGAGAAAAACAGCAGGGCCACTCAATCTTGCCTGGGAAGTCAAGGAAAGCTTCCTGGTGGAGACGGCATCTAGTGGAGGCTGCTTGTGGGAGGGCAGGGAGTGGGGTACAAGCAGAAGGCCTCTGAGCTCTGCAAGCCTTTCCAACTACAGATGCCATTTAGGTACTTTCTGCTTCCCACAGGCCTGGCCCAGTGCCTGGCAAAGAGTGTGCTCAAATGAATAAATGTCTAACACCCATAAACTAGTGCCTGCTGTGACTTTTCTTTCTCAAACTCTGACCACTGTTGCCCTGGGTACCCTGCAACTTCAAAACCACCCTTGATTCTTCCTGCTTCTTCCCTCCTGCAACATGTTGGCCCCGTTTCTCTGCATCAGTCCCTCCCTTCCTGTCCCGTGCCCTGCTGCATGCTCCCATTCTCCAAGCCTGTCCTCCCCACACCTGCACCTTCCTTGCACACAGTGTTCTCCAGCACCATTTTGATCCTGTCACTCCTTTACCCTGCACCTGCCGTGGTTTCCTACGACTTTCCAATTAAAGCCTAAACCCTTTTGTGGGGTATCCAAAACAGCACAATCTAGCCCCAAATTAACTTTCCAGCTTTCCCTGCATCCTGACCCCAACAGTCACTATTCCTTTAAGATAAGAGCTTCCTCTTCAGTGCAATGGCACAATCTCGGCTCACTGAAACCTCTGCCTCCCAAGTTCAAGCAATTCTCCTGCCTCAGCCTCCCAAGTAGCTGGGATTACAAGCATGTGCCACCACGGCCAGCAAATTTTTGTGTTTTTAGTAGACACGGGGTTTCGCCATTTGGTCAGGCTGGTCTTGAACTCCTGACCTCAAGTGATCTGCCCACCTCAGCCTCCCAAAGTGTTGGGATTACAGGCGTGAGCCACCACGCCTAGCCTGTTTGACATATTTTGGAGTGCCTGTCTGCCTGGCCTTCCTCAGGAGAAACTCCTCCCACAGCCTCTGTTGAGCTGGTGACAGACCCTGAGATCCTGCTAAAGACTGGGTCTGAGTCTGGTCCAGGGCAGGCTCTGCTTAGCTGCCCCCATGACCTGTCACCTGGCTGGGCAAACAGATTCCCTGTGGTGGCTATTTGAACTAAGACCCACAAGGGGATGTTCCAGACAAAGCAGATGGGGGAGGTAAAAGAGGTGAGGCAAGACTGGGTCAGCCGTCATGGAGAGATGGGCGTGAAGACGCCAAAGAGGATGGAATGGATCAGATGCACAGAAAGAAGCATAAAAGGGGAGATGGGGGACAGGGGATCGAGGAAGGTGAGAGAAATACCAGGACAGTGTCATGTCCCATTGACTCATTGGCTCCAGCTCTTTCTGACAGTTGTTAACTTTACAATAAATCTCCTTTTTCCCCAGAGCCCATGTGAGTGAAGCTCTGCTTCTCACAATCCAAGTAGCCCTGAATGGAACATGGGTCTTTCTCCTGCCATTCCTCCCGCTCCCTGGGGAGCCTCCCCTCCTTCCATCAGCCACCTCCCCAGCTAGCCCTTCAAGGCCTAGCTCAAGTATGCATGACTTCCCCAGATATTTTCGTGGTCTGGAAGTCTTCCTGTCTAAATTCTCCTTGCTTTTCCAGAATTAGCATGAATGCCCTCTTTCCCAAAAGACAGCTAGGTTTATCCCAGCTGGTGGCCACCTGTTGTTCCTGTTTTTCTGAATTCCTTCAGTCCCTCGTTAACTTGTATGACCTGGAGTGGATGCTGCTTTGGCGTTGAGTGCTGGGTTCTATGGAACTTTTTGTGACCAAGCTAAGCACCAAGCATTGGATAGGCCAACAGTTTTCACTGGGGCCATTTTGGAAATTTTCAAGGTATTTTTGGTTGTTTCAAAGGCTGGGATGGGTAGCATCACTGTCTGTTGAGCCGGGTCAGGAGTGAGAGCTGTCTTGCAAAGGGTGGGATAGAATTGTCCCACATCCTCCATGACTTTGAAATGTCCCAAGGAACATTCGTACTTATATATAATTATCTCATTCTAGAACTGAATTCTCTTTTACACAGCATTTTTTTTTTTTTTGAGACGGAGTCTCGCTCTGTCGCTCAGGCTGGAGTGCAGTGGCGCGATCTCGGCTCACTGCAAGCTCCGCCTCCCGGGTTCACGCCATTCTCCCACCTCAGCCTCCCAAGTAGGTGGGACTACAGGCGCCCACCACTACGCCCGGCTAATTTTTTTGTATTTTTAGTAGAGACGGGGTTTCACTATGTTAGCCAGGATGGTCTCGATCTCCTGACCTCGTGACCCACCCACCTTGGCCTCCCAAAGTGCTGGGATTAAAGGCATGAGCCACTGTGCCCGGCCTTATGCAGCATTTTTAAAGCACTGTTATAATATAAATTGAGTTTTCTAAGACTACAATTATGGAGTAATGGTTGTGCTTTATCTAGTCGGGAATTTTACCCAGTGTTGTTTATTATTTCAGAAAATCACATCACATGGTGGACACATTCCTTGTAGCATGAGACTTGCCAATACCATAATCTTTATTTGAGCTGTTGCATTCACTGTGATTTCATGTAAGTGTGAGCATCAAACCACAGCATTATGTATTCTAATATGGTTATGTCTGACCACTTATAATCAAAATGTTTACTTTTGTATCATAAATCACTTTCTTTTTTTTTTTTTTGAGATGGAGTCTCACTCTGTTGCCAGGTTGGAGTGCAGTGGCACAATCTCAGCTCACTGCAACCTCCATCTCCCAGGTTCAAGCAATTCTTCTGCCTCAGCCTCCTGAGTAGCTAGGACTACAGGTGCATGCCACCGTGCCCAGCTAATTTTTGTATTTTTAGTAGAGATGGGGTTTCACCATGTTGGCCAGGATGGTCTCGATCTCTTGACCTCGTGATCTGCCCACCTTGGCCTCCCAAAGTGCTGGGATTACAGGCATGAGCCACCATGCCTGGCCCATAAATCACTTTCTTGTATTTCTCTTTTATGTAGAATTAAGAGCACTGTATTGATTTTTTAAATTGTCTGTCAGCGTGCTGTACTATTTGTGAATTTCATTTCCGGATAATAAAGGTGTCTTTATAAAATATTTCCCGTAAAAGGTCGCTTTAGGCCTGAGAGGGCTGAGGGTCTTTGGCACAGGCCAGTGGAATGCTCCATCATCAAGGGTGCGAGCGAGTGTGTGTGCACGGAGCTACCATTCCCGTGGACACCGCACGACCTGGCGACTTCTGGGGAGCACTTAGCACTTGTCTAGTGTCTGAGGCAGGTCCTGGAGCACAAGGTGGAGATGGTCGGCAGATGCTGGCCCCTGGGAGATAAGACAGAAAACTGGGTTCAAGGTTGAGAGCCTGTGGTGGTCAATGTGGCGTGCATGTTCTGTGAGGTCAGAGGTTTCGTGAAGGGGTGGAAGTGAAGGTACATCGTGACACCAAAACTGAGAACTGAAAAACCATAGCTTTGGGTGATTATGGATATTGCTGCTATGAACATTTTAATACATGCATTTTGGTGAAAACACACCCACTTTTCTTTTTTTTTCTTCTTTTTTTTAGGGCCATTTCAAGAGAAATTTTTACTTTTTGGTATAAAAATAAAACTATAACCATTCAAGCTGGCTCTTAACTAAAACGTTTATCTTGAAAAATTTGCAATAACCCCCACTGGATTCATTAGGTAGGGACACAAATCAGGGCTTTCTCAGTGCAAACACCAGAGAACATATATATGGTCCTGGCCAATGCCCATCATTCAGAGATGCCGGGGAGGAGATTCAAGCTTGGAGTCAGAACCTGAAACTTTAAAGATCACTTGCAATCATGATTCTGAATGCACCCACTTTTCTATTGGTAAAAACCTAGGAGTGAAATTGCTGGGCTAGAGTATATGTCTATGTTCAGCTTTAATAGAAGATAACAAGCAATTTTCCAAAGAGGTTGGATCAATTTACATTCTGGCCAGCTAATGTGTGATAGTTGTGGTTGTTCCACATCCTTGCCACATTTCTTATATTCTGTCCTTTTTGCTTTAGCCATTCTGGTGGATGTGTAGTGGTATCAACCCAATGAACATCAGCGATGTTCAGCAGAATGGATGAGTAGGTTGTGATATAGTCACTCAGTGGGACACTATTCAGCAGTAACAATGATAAACAGCAACCTAGATGATTTCCATAGACACTATGTTAAAAGAGAGAAGCCAAAGACAAGAGTTCATATTGTATGATTCCATTTACATAAAGTGCAAAATTAGTCAAAATGAATCTCTGGTGTTAGAATTCAGGATGGGAAGGGGTGCAGAGATTGGAGCTTGAAGGAGCTTCTGGGCACTGGGGAATGCTGTTTCTTGACCTGGGTGCTGGTTTCTAGGATACGTCCACCTTATGGAGATCTGTTGAACTGTAACTTATTGATCTGTGTACTTTTTGTAAGGCATACTTCAACATTGAACATTTACTAACATTGAACATGGGTGAGACTTTTTGTAAAAATAAAGCTACAAAGGTTCAGGGCCCTCCCTTTATTTCCTGATACTGCAGATTAGGCTACCCATATATTGAGACATTAAACCGTAACTCTCCAGTGAAATGAGTGACACGTGAATGTGTTTGTAAAGTCTAGAGTCAATGTATGTGTTTTAAATCATGGGTCTGGGTGTCCTGTAAGTAATGCTACCACTGGCCCTGGCTGCCTCCCTGTCTAAACAATTTCCTTCTGAGTACAATATTAAAGTTATTAGCAAGCACTTTCTTCTCCTCAACTACTGGGGGCATATGATGAAATCTGTTTGAACTTTGCATTTCCTGCTACATCTACAAAGTGACAAGTCAGTATCTGAGGAAGGAGAATTGAACCTTATAATGGTCAGTGTCCAGACAAGTCATCTGCTTCTTTATGAACCATCTTAATCTAGCAAAGGCAAGGGCAAGGGAATAATTGCTATGTCAAGTAGCCAACAGGAGGCCTATCCACATCTAACAGGCTAGAAATTAGATGTGGAAGTCTGGGGTGGCAGGATGGGTCTTCCCTGGGCACGGTGGGTGTGACAGAGGCCCAGCACTGACCACATGCTAACGAGCGGCAGTTTTCTCTGAACAGCCCTTCCCAGCCTGGATCAGAAGAAGCGTGGTGGCCACAAAGCATGCTGCCTGCTGACGCCTCCTCCACCACCACTGTTCCCACCACCATTCTTCAGAGGTGGCCGAAGTCCGGTGAGTACTTTGGGATTTATGAGAGGAAAAAAAGTGCAGGCTACTCAGTGCACACCACGCAGCCCCACCTGCCTGCCCCACTCCACCTGAGCTGCCTCCGGAATCTTTTCTGAGAGCCTCAACCCTCCACTGTCACCCAGAAGTTGAGCCCCGGAATGGACATTTTGCAGTTCCTGGGGTGTGTCCATTCTCCAAATATCTTAAATAAATGATGGAGGGAGATTCTTCTTAGCAGGAATTGGATTTGGCAAAGTTTCTCATCTTCTCAAAAACCATGAGGTGAATTTATAATATAACTTCCTGGGTTCCCATCAGCTGCTCAAACATGGAATTTCCCCTTCTGTTTTTCTTCTCCCCAAGTGTTTATGAAATTCCCTTCTGCAGCCCGTGTCTAACACAGACCGTTTCCATGAGGTGACTCAGGAAATAGTTCTCCCGTAGCCACACTGAGGTGTGAGAGGGAGCAGAATTTGGAAAGAAAGGACCAGGTGAGGAAAAGAGCAAGATTAGGGAAACTGGCCTAGAAGACAACAGCCAGGGCATTCTGGGGACTTGGGATTCTCAGCTCTTTCCCAACGCTCTGTCTCCTGAGCTGTCCAATTCAGGAGCCACTAGCCATATGTAGCTATCTGGCACTTGCAATGTGGCTAGTTCAAGTTGAGGTGTGCTGTAAGTGTAAAATACATACTGGATTTCGAAAGAAGTAGTATGAGAAAAGAATGTAAACTATCTCATTAGTTAACTTTCCAATACTGAATATATGTTAAAATGATAATATTTGAGTTTTGTTGGGTTAAAGAAAGTATATTATTAAAATTAATTTGACTTTTTTCTTTTTACCTTCTTGAAAGGTAAAAAAGTGACTACTAGACAATTTAAAATTACAGTGTTGCTCTTATTGGTGCCTCACGTTAGTTATGTTTCCATTGGACAGTGCTAACCTACACATTGGATAGAGGCCCCTGAAATGAGCTTCCAAACTCTATCCAAAGTGGCTACGAGGTGTCTGTAATCCATACAAGCCAGGTTCGTCTCAAGAGCAGATGAGAGAACAGAAACTGGTAGCCCAAGGTGTCATCTTCTTGGGGCAGTCATTGGGGTGTCAGGGAACTGCCAGGCTTAGAGACCTGATCCCGGAGCAGGTCTGTGTCCAGGATGGTGACCCTTCCTCTGTCCCCTACGCCTGACCTCTAACTCTGTGTTGCTTTGTACTGAAGCTTCTCTCCCCAGACATGAAGAATCTCATGCTGGAACTGGAGACCTCGCAGTCCCCGTGCATGCAAGGCTCGCTAGGCTCCCCTGGGCCTCCCGGCCCCCAGGTTGGTGCACTCTACCGGACCCCTCTCGCTGTCTTCTGTTTAGAGCAGGAAAGCCCACTGCACAGAGCCTCTTAGTGTCTGCTCTTTCTCATGTGATACAAAGCTGTTTTTCCTTCTCTCGCTTACTTCCTGCTCCAAAGCCACTTGGATAGAACACTGACTCTTTGCTAGGTAAATTCTGGCCTCCCATCCTTGATTTCCTCATCTATGCAATGGGGATAATAATTGTCCCTACAATACTGAATTTTGGGGGAATCAAATGAGGATGCCACCTCTATGGATATGGTTTTTATTACAGTTACAATCAGACAAACACTTGATGACAGTGCCCCTTATGTAACCATTGACCCCTCCTGTGGACCCAGAGGTGCCTGCGTTCAGCACAGGAAAGTGGAGGTGCAGAGGAGATGGTTTCCTGCCTCACTGGGCCCCCAGGTATTGCTACCAAGCAGCCCACCCCTCCCCACCAAAGCTAAAGGGGAAACAGTCAAAATGCTGCAGAAAGGATTTCTAGACAAACAAGAGTACCCTCCAGAGACCCCACCCCACAGAGTCCTGGCCCCTCTGGCCTGCCTCCAAGAGGGTGCTCCATCGGTGAGGGACAGCTGGGTCTGAGCCTTCCATGGGGAGGAGAAAGAGGGTGTAAGGAGCAGTTAGTTCCCAAGTGCCTTCCCATGCAGGGGGCGTAAAAATGACATCACCCACCTGGGTAAACACTCCTGTGGCTTCTGGACACTTGAAGGCTCACCTGGATTACAAAGCCCCACAAGAGGGGACTCCGGCCTGTATCTCCTACATCACCTCATACCACCTCCATTGTCTCGTTGACTCAGCCACAGTGACCATCTCTCGGGTTCTCAAACACTCCAAGCTTGCTTTAGCCACAGGGCCTTTGCACTTGTGGTTCCTGCTGTTTGGAATGTTCTTTCTGGTTTGTATCATGGCCAGCTCCTGTTGGCCACTCAGGACTCAGCTTCTATGCCACCTCCTTAGAAATGCCTTCTTCTACCACCCACTCAACCACTTAAAGTAGTCTCCTGCCCACACGACCACCACAATCACTCTCTGCCACAATGACCTACTTTAATTCTCTGCATGATTTTTTCATCCTGTTACAGTTTTCTTATCTGTTCTTCTGTTCCTGGTCTCCCCTCTGTAAAACGTAAGCTCAATGGCAGGGGTTGGCAAACTATATCTGTGGATCAAATCCTGCGGCAAAGTTTCAATAAAACATCGAAGTTTTATTGTCTGTGGCTGCTTTTTCACGACAAAGGCAGAGTTGAGTAGTTGTGACAGAGACCAAATGTGGCCCACAAAGCCTAAGATATTGACAATGTAGCCTTCTAAAGAAAACCTGTATCAAACCTTGGTCTGTGGGAACAGAGACATTGTCCATCTCACTCACTATTATATTCCCTGTCTACAACAGTGCACGGGGTTGGTATAGGTTCTCCGTAATTACTTGTTGGATACAAGAAAGAAAACAGGACTTTGAACCCAGAGTTGGCCAGAGGCTGCCACAGAAAAGCTTGGAAGCCTGCAGAAAAGCAAGATGAGAATCCTCGGAGGTGCATTTCTATCTTCCCACCTTCAGCAGTCTACACTAACAGGTCTCAGGCATGCTAGAACCCATGGAATATAGAAAAGAAAAGGGGGATTTTCTGCTGACCTCAGGACAGTGGCTCTCTGGTCACACACATCTCTAACCTCGTGCAATCCCCTTTGAAGCATGTGGAGGCTGTGTTGCCCAAATGCAGGGTCCTGTGTAGCCACCTTCATGTCCTTAGAACACAATGTGGATGCTGTCCCTACTCAAAGTGAGGTCTGTGAACCAGCAACATTGGTATCATATGGGAGCTGGTTAGAAATGCAGAATGTCATCCCCCTGACAAATTCATTCTATCAGAATCTGCATTCTAACAAGATACCACCCCTCCACCAAGTGAACGGAGTGGGTCATCTGCACATTAAAGTTGGAGAGGCACTGAGCTAGAGCACAATGACCTTGTGAAATAGTTCTAGTCCACTTCAAGAAACAGAAAGAACTAAGGCTTGGAAGAATCAAGAGATTGGAATGAAAACCCTCCTCTTCCCTATCCAAAAATAGAAGGTGAATAAACCAAAGATACTGGTTCTCAAACTTATCTACACATTACGATTCCCTGGGGGAGCTCCAAAAATTACTGATGCTTGTTCCTCCTCCCCTGAGATTGCTATTTATTATTATTATCATTATTATTATTGGGAAGAGAGTCTCACTGTGCCACCTAGGTTAGAGTGCAGTGGCTTGATCGCAGCTAACTGCAGCCTTCACTTCCCAGGCTTAAGTGAGCCTCCTACATCAGCCTCCCACAGGAGGGTGGGACCACAGGTGCACATACCATCATGCCTGGCTAATTTCTTAATATTTTGTAGAGACAGGGTCTCAACACATTGACCAGGTTGGTCTCAAACTCCTGGGCTCAAGCAATACTCCCACATTGGCCTCCCAAAGTGCTGAGATTATAGGCATAAGCCACCCCACCCAGCCTGAGGTTGTTATTTAATTGGGCTGGGTTGGGGCCTGGGCTTTGGGATTTTTCAAACATCTCCAGAGAATTGTAATGTGCTGATAGACTTGGGAACCACAGGCTGAGGGGAGCTGTTGTTATTTGGATAAGTTTTGCAGAAATCATATTTCAGGGAGGGAGGTTCCAAGACAGCCGAATAGGAAGAGCTCCAGTCTATAGCCCTCAGTGTGAGCGATGCAGAAGACGGTTGATTTCTGCATTTCTAACTGAGCTGTGAAGAGAGTAGTGGTTCTCCCAGCACAGAGTTTGAGATCTGAGAATGGACAGACTGCCTCCTCAAGTGGGACCCTGACCCCCAAGTAGCCTAACTGGGAGACACCTCCCAGTAGGGGCCGACTGACACCTCATACAGCTGGGTGCCCCTCTGAGATGAAGCTTCCAGAGGAAGGCTCAGGCAGCAACATTTGCTCTTCTGCAATATTTGCTGTTCTGCAGCCTCCACTGGTGATACCCAGGCAAACAGGGTCTGGAGTGGACCTCCAGCAAACTCCAACAGACCTGCAGCAGAGGGTCCTGACTGTTAGAAGGAAAACTAACAAACAGAAAGGACATCTACACCAAAATCCCATCTGTACATCACCATCATCAAAGACCAAAGGTAGATAAAACCACAAAGATGGAGAGAAACCAGAGCAGAAAAGCTGAACATTCTAAAAATCAGAGTGCCTCTTCTCCTCCAAAGGAGTGCAGCTCCTCACCAGCAATGGAACAAAGCTGGACAGAGAATGACTTTGATGAGTTGAGAGAAGAAGGCTTCAGACGATCGGTAATAACAAACTTCTCCGAGCTAAAGAAGCTAAAACCTTGAAAAAAGATTAGATGAATGGCTAACTAGAATAAACAGTGTAGAGAAGACCTTAAATGACCTGTTGGAGCTGAAAACCACAGCACGAGAACTACACAACACATGCACAAGCTTCAGTAGCCAATTCAATCATGTGGAAGAAAGGGTATCAGTGATTGAAGATCAAATGAATGAAATGAAGCGAGAAGAGAAGTTTAGAGAAAAAAGAGTAAGAAGAAATGAACAAAGCCTCCAAGAAATATGGGACTATGTGAAAAGACCAAATCTACGTCTGATTGGTGTACCTGAAAGTGACGGGGAGAATGGAATCAAGTTGGAAAACACTCTTCAGGATATTATCCAGGAGTACTTCCCCAACCTAGCAAGGCAGGCCAACATTCAAATTGAGGAAATACAGAGAACGCCACAAAGATACTCCTCAAGAAGAGCCTGCCTTTCAAGAGTTCCTGAAGGAAGCACTAAACATGGAAAGGAACAACTGGTACCAGCCACCACAAAATCATACCAAACGGTAAAGACCATCAACACCATGAAGAAACTGCATCAACTAATGAGCAAAATAACAAGCTAACATCATAATGACAGGATCAAATTCACACATAACAATATTAACCTTAAATGTAAATGGGTAAATGCTCCAGTTAAAAAACACAGACTGGCAAATTGGATAGAGTCAAGACCCATCAGTGTGCTGTATTCAGGAGACCCATCTCACGTGCAGAGACACACATAGGCTCAAGATAAAGGGATGGAGGAAAATCTACCAAGCAAATGGAAAACAAAAAAAAAGCACGGCTTGCAATCCTAGTCTCTGATAAAACAGACTTTAAACCAACAAAGATCAAAAGAGACAAAGAAGGCCATTACATAATGGTAAAGGGATGAATTCAATAAGAAGAGCTAACTATCCTAAATATATATGCACCCAATACAGGAGCACCCAGATTCATAAAGCAGGTCCTTAGAGACCTACAAAGAGACTTAGACTCCCACCCAATAATAATGGGAGACTTCAACACCCCACTGTCAACATTAGACAGATCAATGAGACAGAAAGTTAACAAGGATATCCAGGACTTGAACTCAGCTCTGCACCAAGCAGACCTAACAGACATCTACAGAACTCTCCACCCCAAGTCAACAGAATATACATTCTTCTCACCACCACATCACACTTATTCCAAAACTGACCACATAGTTGGAAGTAAAGCACTCGTCAGCAAATGTAAAAGAACAGAAATTATAACAAACTGTCTCTCAGACCACAGTGCAATCAAACTAGAACTCAGGATTAAGAAACTCACTCAAAACCACTCAACTACATAGAAACTGAACAACCTGCTCCTGAATGACTACTGGGTACATAATGAAATGAAGGCAGAAATAAAAATGTTCTTTGAAACCCATGAGAACAGAGACACAACATACCAGAATCTCTGGGACACATTTAAAGCAGTGTGTAGGGGGAAATTTATAGCACTAAATGCCCACAAGAGAAAGCAGGAAAGATCTAAAATAGACACCCTAACATCACAATTAAAAGAACTAGAGAAGCAAGAGCAAACACATTCAAAAGCTAGCAGAAGGCAAGAAATAACTAAGATCAGAGCAGAACTGATGGAGATAGAGACACGAAAAAACCCTTCAAAAAAATCAATGAATCCAGGAGCTGGTTTTTTGAAAAGATCAATAAAATTAATAGACCGCTAGCAAGACTAATAAAGAAGAAAAGAGAGAAGAATCAAATAGACGCAATAAAAAATGATAAAGGGGATATAACTACTGATCCCACAGAAATACAAACTACCATAAGAAAACACTATAAACACCTCTACACAAATAAACTAGAAAATCTAGAAGAAATGGATAAATTCCTGGACACATACACCCTCCCAAGACTAAACCAGGAAGAAGCTGAATCCCTGAATTGACCAATAACAGGCTCTGAAATTGAGGCAATAATTAATAGCCTACCAACCAAAAAAAGTCCAGGACCAGACGGATTCATAGCCAAATTCTACCAGAGGTACAAGGAGGAGCTGGTACCATTCTTTCTGAAACGATTCCAATCAACAGAAAAAGAGGGAATCCTCCCTAACTCATTTTATGAGGCCAGCATCATCCTGATACCAAAGCCTGGCAGAGACACAACAAGAAAAGAGAATTTTAAATCAATATCCCTGATGAACATTGATGCAAAAATCCTCAATAAAATACTGGCAAACCAAATCCAGCAGCACATCAAAAAGCTTATCCACCATGATCAAGTGGGCTTCATCCCTGGGATGCAAGGCTGGTTCGACATATGCAAATCAATAAATGTAATCCAGCATATAAACAGAACCAAAGACAAAAACCACATAATTATCTCAATAGATTCAGGAAAGGCCTTTGACAAAATTCAACAGCCCTTCATGCTAAAAACTCTCAATAAACTAGGTATTGATGGGACGTATCTCAAAATAATAAGAGCTATTTATGACAAACCCGTAGCCAATATCATACTGAATGGGCAAAACCTGGAAGCATTCCCTTTGAAAACTGGCACAAGACAGGGATGCCCTCTCTCACCACTCCTATCACAGTGTTGGAAGTTCTGGCCAGGGCAATCAGGCAGGAGAAAGAAATAAAGGGTATTCAATTAGGAAAAGAGGAAGTCAAGTTGTCCCTGTTTGCAGATGACATGATTGTATATTTAGAAAACCCCATCATCTCAGCCCAAAATCTCCTTAAGCTGATAAGCAACTTCAGCAAATCTCAGGATACAAAATCAATGTGCAAAAATCACAAGCATTCCTATACACCAATAACAGACAAACAGAGAGGCAAATCATGAGTGAGCTCCCATTCACAATTGCTTCAAAGAGAATAAAATACCTAGGAATCAAACTTACAAGGGATGTGAAGGACCTCTTCAAGGAGAACTGCAAACCACTGCTCAATGAAATGAAAGAGAACAGAAACAAATGGAAGAACATTCCATGCTCATGGATAGGAAGAATCAATATTGTGAAAATGGCCATACTGCCCAAGGTAATTTATAGATTCAGTGCCATCCCCATCAAGCTACCAATGACTTTCTTCACAGAATTGGAAAAAACTACTTTAAACTTCATATGGAACCAAAAAAGAGACCACATTGCCAAGACAATCTTAAGCCAAAAGAAGAAAGCTGGAGGCATCACACTACCTGACTTCAAACTATACTACAAGGCTACAGTAACCAAGACAGCATGGTACTGGCACCAAAACAGAGATATAGACCAATGGAATAGAACAGAGCCCTCAGAAATAATACCACACATCTACAACCATCTGGTCTTTGACAAACCTGACAAAAGCAAGAAATGGGGAAAGGATTCCCTGTTTAATAAATGGTGCTGGGAAAACTGGCTAGCCATATGTAGAAAGCTGAAACTGGATCCCTTCCTTACACCTTATACAAGATTAATACCTTATTAATTCAAGATGGATTAAATACTTAAATGTTAGACCTAAAACCATAAAAACCCTAGAAGAAAACCTAGGCAATACCATTCAGGACATAGGCATGGGCAAAGACTTCATGACTAAAACACCAAAAGCAATGGCAGCAAAAGCCAAAATAGACAAATAGGATCTAATTAAACTAAAGAGCTTCTGCACAGCAAAAGAAACTACCATCAGAGTGAACAGGCAACCTACAGAATGGGAGAAAATTTTTACAATCTACCCATCTGACAAAGGGCTAATATCCAAAATCTACAAAGGGCTAATATCCAAAATCTACAAAGAACTTAAGCAAATTTACAAGAAAAAATCAAACAACCCCATCAAAAAGTGGGTGAAGTGTATGAACAGACACTTCTCAAAAGAAGACATTTATGCAGCCAAGAGACACATGAAAAAATGTTCATTATCACTGGCCATCACAGAAATGCAAATCAAAACCACAATGAGATATCTCACACCAGTTAGAATGGCGATCATTAAAAAGTCAGGAAACAACAGGTGCTGGAGAGGATGTGGAGAAATAGGAACACTTTTACACTGTTGGTGGGATTGTAAACTAGTTCAACCATTGTGGAAGACAGTATGGTGATTCCTCAAGGATCTAGAACTAGAAACACCATTTGACCCAGCCATCCCATTACTGGGTATATACCCAAAGGATTGTAAATCGTGCTGCTATAAAGACACATGCCCACGTATGTTTATTGGGGCACTATTCACAATAGCAAAGACTTGGAACCAACCCAAATGTCCATCAATGATAGACTGGATTAAGAAAATGTGGCACATATACACCATGGAATACTATGCAGCCATAAAAAAGGATGAGTTTATGTCCTTTGTAGGGACATGGATGAAGCTGGAAACCATCATTCTGAGCAAACTATCGCAAGGACAGAAAACCAAACACCGCATGTTCTCACTCATAGGTGGGAATTGAACAATGAGAACACCTGGACACAGGGTGGGGAACATCACATACCAGGGCCTGTCGTGGGGTGGGGGGAGTGGGGAGGGATAGCATTAGGAGATATACCTAATGTGAATGACAAGTTAGTGGGTGCAGCACACCAAGATGGCACATGTATACATATGTAACAAATCTGCACGTTGTGCACATGTACCCTAGAACTTAAAGTATAATTTAAAAAAAGAAATCATATTTCAAACAGGCTTTGCACTATGCATGTTCACCTGCAGATCCTGGGGTTGCAGTGGGGGCCTGGGGAATTTTGATGAATTTCCTCTCTGCTGTTTTGGAGAATTTGGAAAACAGCTGACTGAGCATTTTGCAGGCACATTCTGGCTGTGGATATGCAAAGCTTTGATGCAGTGAGTTGTAGGGTCCCTGAGCTAGAGTCAGCTCCTCTCCAAGGCACAAAAATGCACTCTTTACTTGCCAACATTCTTAGTGTCTTAAAAAAGAAGACTTTTTTCCTGCTGAAGAAAGGCAAAAATTATTTGGCACCTAGTACCCACAAATTGACCATGGGAATTTCCAAGGTGGCAGCTGCTGCTATGTGCAAAACTTAACTTGTCTCTTGTCAGGCCCCCAGGGAAGTTTGGCAAGAGTAACTGAAAAGATATGAGAGGTGATGAAGCCTCTTGTTTTCAGCAAATGGGATTTATTCAAGACTCTTTTGTTGCTCTCAACAAGCACTTGGGATGTTTTATGCAAACAAAGAGTTACAGGGAGAAAATTAAAACCACAGAGTAGATATGTAAGCATTGCAACCATGGAGCCACTGGAAAACCAGCTCAGAGAAAGCTAAAGAGGAGGAACAGAGGAGGGGACTGGGCTGGAGGGCAAAGGAAAAGCCTCCATGGGTCCCTGGAGCCCTACATCTGCCCAGAGAATGATGTTGCTGCTGTAGGAGCCCAGTGCACCAAGAGCCTCACACCCATCCAGCTTCAGACTGATATATACTTTCTTCACTTTTTATCTTGATTGATTAGGGTCCACCGGGGCTTCCTGGCAAGACAGGACCAAAGGGAGAAAAGGTATGGACCACTACTTTCTTCAACCCTTCTTTCCTTGGCAATTCCAGCCTGTTTTCTGGGCATCCCACTGAGAATTTCCTAGTTGAGATTTCCAAACATGTGCTAACTCTGCCTTGGTGAGAGGCTGGGTTCCATGATGGCTGGGCTGCTGCAGCACATATGGGATACCACTGGTGTATTTTGACGTGGCCTATCGACATGGCAGAGGGGCCGTGAGCAGCAGCCAAGCAACTGAGCCACATGGCCATGCCCAGTCATCAGCTCTACTAAGGCTTCTGCTTCCAGAACATCTCTTCCAAAGCAGCCTCTCCTTACCTGTCTTCTCCATCCATAGGGGGAGCTTGGCCGACCAGGAAGGAAGGTATGGTCTGCGCTGTTCTGTGAGTGTCACATGAGCGTCTGTGCTTCATGTGTGTGCATGCACTCCTAGGGAGGGGGGAACAGCAATGCACTTCAGTGGTCACTGATACCCAGGTGGACAGTGATGGTGCTGCTGTCTCGATGGTGACAGTAGTAACCTTGCCCTTTCTGTCAACTTCTTTGTTCAGGAGCAGGAGCCTGCTACTGCCAGGCATTCAGACTTCTTCCGGGGGCTGCCAAGCCTGGCCAAATTCCACCCCTCTCACTTCCCGCCCCAACCCCAGACCATCTCACTCTGCTACCCATCAGAGAAACCCTTCATAGCTCCAACCAGTGACATTGAATGACTGTCACTCTCTGTTTGATTAAATTTGAATAAAGTGCCAGAGCAGACAGAAACAAATGGCTTTTGCTTTTTGGCTCAGCTGAAATAAATGGAGGTTACTTAAGGTCACGGTGACTCTGCGTGAACCAAACACATGTTATCAAGGCTCTCATTAGTGTCAGGAGGGAGTAAATCAGCTGCCTATTATATTTGCTGAGGTCAGTGGATACTGGCACTGAATTTCTAGGTCTTGGTTATAGACAAGCGTGCAAAACTTTGGCCAAGAAAGATGTCCATGGCTCTAAATATAAATTACTATATTTATTGTTAAATGGTTTATTAAATGGTTTCATGGTCCACAAGATCCTTAAACAGACTTTTGCAAGACAAAGTTACAACTCTTTAGGGCACAGATGAAAACTATAGCCAAGGCACAGTGGCTGTCTGAAGTGCTGGGGTGGTCTCCATGGCAATGGTCAAAGGATATTCTGCTGTGGTGTCCATGCTCAGGCCTAACAAGGACCATGATTGATTAGTGATGTCGCCATGGATGTGGGAGGCAACAGTAGAAACCAGTACACGTGCCAGGATTTGGTATATCTGGTTTAGGGGCTGAGCCCTTCACATCTCTAGCTAATTGCGAAATTAGCTAATGGGCACAAGGTCAAGATAGGCCCTTAGCACCTGCACCCACTCTCTCTTGCAGGGCTTGCTCTTCCATAGCCCTGGCTTAGGCAGAGACACAGGTGACATGTACCCTGTGCAAGTGAATACATTATTATGGGACCACTCTCGGGAGGAACCTGTAGGGAGAATGGGAGAAGCCAGGCAAAGGTGTGGTATCAGGTGAAGTCGAGCTTTAGCAGTCTGATATCTAGGGGGAGCTTGAGAGTGTCAACTGCCCAAAGGTAAGGGAGCTGGACTATTGGCTGCAGGAAGGAGAGTTACATAAATTACTGGGCAGCTCCAATTGCTCAAGGGCAAACCGCAGTTACAGGTAGCAGAAATGAGCTGTTAGCAGCAAGGAAGGTAGCCTCTGGGCGATGGGCACTCTGAGCAGGTCAAAAAGACCTTGAAAGAGTGCTGACAGCATCTGCTACTGCTCCCCAAATGTAATCCTATCTCATTCCATAGCACATCCTTGGAAAGAACCCATTGGAACGCAGGGGACTTTTGGGTGGGGGTGGGTAGAAGTGACAAAAATTAAAAAACCAAGAAGTTTAGAGTCCCTTTCTCACCACCCTCCATTTCTTGAGAAGAATAAGGTCTTATTTGATGATACAGTGTGACACCAAGGGCTTGTCAGGCCATCAGTCTTCGGAGAGTGGGGATGAGGGTCATAGTAGCCATGCCTAGAGAACCCACTGTCTCCTCTGGGCCCCAGAGACAAAACATATTTATTAGAAGTAAAGAAACAAACCCAGTTGCCCTGACTTTTGTTCTTGGTCTTTGAAGGGTAGACCTGGCCCCCCAGGTGTTCCTGGCATGCCTGGGCCCATCGGTTGGCCAGGCCCTGAAGGACCCAGGGTAAGTGTGGCATGCTCTCAGGGCTCATGCGGTGTCAAAACAAGAGGGGGGAAGATGGCAGCTTTCCTGGCTCCTGGCACATAGTCAGGGAATCCCTTCTTCAAGAGGGGGAAGAAGAAGAGAGCTTAAGGACTGGCCACAGGGCCCCAGATACTTCCTCCTTCACTTGGCCTGCAAGACCTTGATCAGTGCAACAGCTCTGTTCCTGTGGGAGGAGAAATAGGGGGCTGGTACCCTCTTCTACAGGGGCCGTGGTTCTCCTTTGTCCTAGGAACTAGCACCCCACTCTGGTTTCCCTGAGATGACCTAAGAGGGGCTTGCGTCTGGGAAGCTCTTGCCTGTCATGCTGACCTGGCAGGGAATGGAGAGTTGAGAAGGTGGTGTTGGCTGGCTGAAGGATGGAAATCCTACATTCAGAGAGGGATTGTCGAGTGCTGATGAAATCTCCTTCCTCAGTCAGGCTATGGAAAGCAAGCACATCCCCATCTGTGCCTCTGTTTTTCCCACTAGTAGTCATAGACTAGAGGGTTCAGAGGCGTGACTCAGAGTTTTATCTGCAGAAGTCAGAGCTGGGCAGGTGGATCTCACCATCTGCTCTGATTTGTTTACTGGCTATATTATAGCAGTGGAAAACTGTGTGTCCAGTCCTCTTAGGAAAAGTCCCAAAAGGATATTTTAAAAATCCTCTGCATACAGCTGAGCTGTCCTGCACAGCAGCCAGTAGCCACATGTGACCCTCAAGCCCGTGGAATGTTGCTAGTGCTACTGAGGAACTGAATTTTTAAATTTTAACTATTTGAATTAACCTTTACTAAATTCAGTTATTTGAAAATGTTAAAGTATGTTTGGAGCAACTTGAATGCATGAATCTGCTTTTTCAACTATAAATTTTATGATCTCTAAGTACAGATTAAATATTTTGGATGAAAATTTAGCACCTGAATGGAGATGTGTAAATGTAAATTACATAGCAGATTTCAAGTACTTATTATGAAAAGCACAATGTAAAATATCTCAATAATTTTTGTATAGATTACAAGTTGGGATGATTAATTAGATTAAAGGAGATCTATTAAAATTAACTTCATTCGTTTAGTTTTACTTTAAGGTGACTTCTTTTAAAAGTTTAAAATTAAGTATGTGGCTCACCTTATATTTCTATTGGTTAGTGCTGGTATAGAGTATTTTTAGTACAGAGGGTGGGTGCTGGAAGTCCCAACCACAAATCATTCTGAGGACCCTTCCTATGCAAAGAGCAAAGCAGGCAATGTTTTTTGCGTGTATTGACACCTTGTTTTCTGGGGCCCCAGTTCCGTCATGCCCCCTCCACTACTCTCTCACTATCCTCGCTAGGAAAATACCAAGTATTACCATATACAACATCTTAGTGAGCAGTTGGTGTGGGGATCTGCTTCACTTTGGGCGTTTTCATTTTATATTTAATCTTAAACACAAGAATGAAATGTGGAGTACGGAGTTTTGGGACCTCAGGAGGGAGAAAGTGGGTGCATCTGGGGTCCTCAGATTTACAAGCCAGCCCTGATATCCCCAGTTCCTTCCCAATCTTGCCTGTGACTTCCTGGTTCAGTTTCTCTAAAAAATATCACCGTGGGTCTTTTCTTCTTCTAATTCCCACAGGGTGAAAAAGGTGACCTGGGTATGATGGGCTTGCCAGGGTCAAGAGGACCAATGGGCTCCAAGGTCAGTGTGGGGTCCAAATGGACGTTCCCAGATCTCTGTCAGGCTCTGGAGCAGCTGCTGTCTACAAACATAGGGACTGGGTGGGGCTGCAGTCCCGGACTAGGGAATGTCGCGGATATTGGAGAGCCTGCCTTTACCAGCCCTTTGGAGAACATCATGCCCTGGGATGCAGGGGCATAGGGATGCCATTCCTGCTGTTCTCTTGGGCAGGAAGAACCAAGCTTCTGGACATCAGAGCAGATGGAAACCTTTGATCAGGACTTTGCAGAGTGATAAAAGCAATGTTCCTTTTAGGCCTGGTATAACCACAACCCTCTGGGACATCTTTGTGTTTGGTGCTGCAACCCCACTAAAACTCACAGTGCAATGTGGAGACATACCTTACCACCACATTCAGGGATTCCTTCTATTCTTCCACCAAACTCAGAAGTCCTACAGGGCTGATTGTAAATGTACCTTCTGCTTTCTTTTAGGGCTACCCTGGATCCAGAGGGGAAAAGGTTAGTGCTTTTCTTGGATGGTGTCCTAGAGCCTGGTCTGGGCTACTGGCTCTGGAATCAGAGACATGCAGAGAATGGGTCCAGGTCTCTCTTTAGTCTGCAACTGAAGCCACCATCCCTAGCTATTCCCCACCCTTTGTCAGTGGACTGAGAGAGAAGTGAGGGACCTCCTGAAGCAGGGCAAGCTGGTAAGAGAAGGGCTCCCCATAGAGGCAGAGGCCCCTCGTGTGGAGCACATAAGCAAATGAAGGCCGTGCCAGGTAGAGAATAAGCACAGTTTGCACAGAGTGCTGGAGGAAATTGGTGATGCATGTCTTTAGGCCAAGCTTTCACCACCACACAACCTTCTGACCTGGCCAAAAACCAAATCAAAACAGCATCAACCTGTGGACAAATTTCCTACAGGATGAGAGAGGATTTGGGGCCCAGAATTTTCCGTGAGTTGTCCTTTATGAATGCAAGAGGTCTTTGGGGTTCAACAAGAAGTAGATCACAAAGCATTCCTTCCCTGGAGAAGTCACCTGACATATCTGAGCCTATTTCTTCACTTGTAAAATGAGGGTTTTGGTTTAGGGAGCTTTTCAGTTTGAAATGCTTGAATTTCCCTCCCAGGATATTAACTCATTGACTTTCTCCTATGGTTTCTTCCTAGGGATCCAGAGGTGAAAAGGGTGACCTGGGTCCCAAAGGAGAAAAGGTAATGGAGAAAACCTTTCCATAGAAATGATAAATGTCAGTGCAAGTAGCAGCCCCCACCCACCCCCATCCGTGGACTGATGATGGACTGATGGACAGGCCTCCATCTTGAAAATGACCAACAAAGCCTGTCCACAGCCATTTCAGGTGTTATTTCAGAGGTGATCACAATTATTTGTTGCTCTTTTCACAGGGTTTCCCAGGATTTCCTGGAATGTTGGGGCAGAAAGTAAGTAACCTTGAGGTAGTGAAAATAGGCCTCAATAAAAATATCAGGTCCTCCAAGCACAACAAAAAGAACTCTGCCTCCTTGTCTATCAGGCAGGGATGGTGGGTTTAACCATGGAAACTTCTATTTTGGGACGGGAAGCAAGTTGCTTTTCACCCTGGGGAGAGGGTGGCAGGATGGTCTGGAGCCTCCCTCTAGCTCAATGGGAAGGAAAGGACAACCCATCTGGGTTTTGGGTTTTTGTTTGTTTGTTTGTTTTTTTGCTTTTTTGCTTTTCCTACCTCTTAGAGGGCTGTGGTCCTATTCAAATGCAGAAACCTTTCTCACAGGGGACTCAGATCTGAGCCACAACGGTCAAAGCCCCTGTCAGCACACAGGCCTCAGTGTAAGGCACAGGTGTCTTTAGCTTAAGGTCACTGTGCCTTATTGCAGTCCTTCTTCAAGGGCGGTGCACATACTGCCAGAAGGACACAAAAGTATTTGAACTGAAGACTGCTAACATTGTTTAAGAGTTAAATTTTGTATTTAAATAGTTAAATATTGGCCAGGCATGGTGCCTCATGCCTGTAATCCCAGCACTTTGGGAGGCCGAGGTGGGCAGATGGCTTGAACCCAGGAGTTCGAGACTAGCCTGGGCAACATGGTGAAATCCCATTTCTACCAAGAAAAATATACAAAACATTAGCTGGGCATGGTAGTTCGCACCTGTAGTGCCAGATACTTAGGAAGGTGAGGCGGGAGGGTGGCCTGAGCCCAGGAGTCAAAGCTGCGGTAAGCCATGATTGCACCACTGCACTCCAGCCTGGGCCACAGAGGCAGACCCTGTCTCAATAAATAAATAAATAGTTAAATATTTAATGGATATCTTGCTTGGGACAAGGCTTAATAAAAAAGGGTCCATTTCAGGTAACTTAAAGAAAAAAATACTCAGCTTGGGCAATATAGTACTATCTCATCTCTAAAAAAAAAAAAATTAGCAGGTCATGGTGGCACATGCCTATAGTCCCAGCGACTCAGGAGGCTGAGGTGGGAGAATTGCTTGAGCCCAGGTGATTGAGGCTGCAGTGAGCCGAGATTATGCCACTGCTCTCCAGCCTGGGCACAGAGAAAGACCATGTCTCTGAAAAAAAAGAAAAGAAAAGAAAAGAAGAAAGAAGTGAAGAAAGAGAGAGAGAGAAAGAAAGAAAAATATTCAGTAAATAGCAAAACAGTGGTATATAGAGATGACAAAAATTGTGAAGGTGACTGTTGACCAACATATGTTTTGAAACTTTTACCGAGGGTTAGGGTTGGGGAAGAAGAACAAGGGTAGTTGAGGGGGAATGTCAGAGAATAAAGAGAGAAAAGGGCATACATGGCCATTTGGAACAGCTCCTAAGCTAACATCATTTTGGCTCCTCATGCCATAAGACATTGACATTGGAAATTGTTATTTTAACATAGTTCTCAAACCATCATATTCTTCAAACATGCAAAGGGGATGCTTTGTTAGTATTTTTCATTTTTAAAAGTTCACCTTAAAGTTTTATTTACCAAACTAAAACAATTTTTATCTTACCTTTTCTAGTCAGTGGAAAGTGTTTAAATATTTTCAATCAACATGCATTAATTTATTATATCACTACCTTAAGCTGTCAGAAACTACACTCTGCTACCCTAGGTAGGGTGTTGGGTTAAAAGAATAGATTAATTATATAAGCAAATTAAAGGAAGTGTTAAAAGAGAAAAAACAGTTTTACTTAAAAATATTTAGATTAGCTTTTCATTCAGGGCAACAGTGAACGTCAAAGAATAATAAATTACTGTAAAATTAAGTATGGCAGCTTCTCTGTCCTCTGCACCATTTACTAGACTTCCCATCTGAAGAGTTGTCTTCCCCTTTTATGACAGGCTGTTTTAAGACAGAGCTGATATGATGACCATAATTAGGTCTTGGGAGAGAAATTAGATCAAGAAATTCCTGACTGCTTCAAGCTAATGTAGAGAAGGGCCACACTTCCTTCTGACAATCCCTGAAAAAAAAAAAAAAATGCTGCTTGTGCTGCTGTTTTCTCCCAGCCATAAAGACATCCCCGAGCCTCTCTAAAACAGCCAGGGAAAAACTGCAAGCATCTCCATGGCATGCGGCATCCATCCTATCCTCTCACACGCTCCCATTCCCTAGAGAATGTTGAAGGATGTATGGGTTGGAAAGAAATAACAGATTTAAGGACAATTCTTGGTGAAACAAGACATTGGTGGCTTGGGTAGGGACACATTGGCTGAGCTGACAGATAATTTCAGAGCTTTATGTTTGATCCTTTCCATATACAGGTGTTCCCTGGAATTTTCCATTGTGTTATACCTCCTCTGACTGCCATGTGAAAAAGTGCCTGGGTGTTTTTTGTTCTCTCTGAGTGTCTGGGCAGCTCTTCATGGGCACTGGCTGCTGATTAACACTCATGGTTGCTATTGCTAAATTTTTCTTGTTGGCTGTGCATTCTGGGCTGTTGGGGGATTACTGGAGATAGGAATGAAGCGCCCTGTGGGCTGACCCAAAGAAATAGTAAGTGGGGCTGGAATCCATGTAGAAGAAAATGGGGAAGAAGGAGAGAAACTAAGATGGAGAAATGAGTTTTGTGAAATATTGGCCTTAAACTATGAAATTCTGCAATGGGTACATTGGGTTTTGATAGTTCAACATAGAGCTTTACAAACAGGAATATTGTTTCCATTGTTCTCCATGCCTTTTTCAATAATTATATTGAAGATGTGAACATATGTTTGGAACATCTCTCCCACAAAAGAACTTTCATCTAAATCAAATGGAAGTGAGCTGGAACTCAAACCAATGCTTACTAAGAGTGGGCAAGCACATAATCCTAAGCAAGAGTCATTAAATGAGTAGAAACTTCCCAAAGATGACAGCTGGCAAAACAGTGTCCAATCATTTAAAAACCTCCAGATTTGAATTTGTGCTAAAAACAGCACGTAAGAAAACACAACATAAAATTCCAACTAGAAGGAAAGCGTTTTCCCAGACAGCTTGTAGTAATTAGCACAGGCATGCTGTGCTGGATGCCCCAGCCTCTCACTGCCTGTTCTGGGTGATGATTTGTCTCTTCTATTTGGCCATCAAAATGTGTGCTGCTCCACACCTGTCCCTCTCAGGTAACAGATAACCCACTCAGAATTACCTTCTTCCTTCCCTCCTCTTCCATGAAAGACATGTCTGCCTTTCTCATGACTTCCTCACTCTGCTAACCTTGCAGGGCAGCCCAGTTGGCATAGATTCGGAATGATCAAGTAGACTGCCCTCGTAGCCAATGACTGGCTAGACCTGTGTAGATGTGCCCACTCCACATGCCCTAAGTCCTCTCTTGCTTCTCTTTCCTTCTTTCCAGGGTGAAATGGGTCCAAAAGGTGAACCTGGGATAGCAGGACACCGAGGACCCACAGGAAGACCAGGAAAACGAGGCAAGCAGGTAAGGATCCCAGGGCTTACCACCCGCCTGAGGTCAGAACTTCCTGACCTGGCAGTGTGTGGAGTGGCAGGCAGGTGGCGTTAATCAGAGATATTCTGTAGACCTTGACTCCAGCATCCTCTGGGCTAGCAGACGGGAGCAGCACCACTTCCAGAAGCTGCTGGCATCTCTAGGCTAGCCGTAGTTTGAAGTGGATGGGATAGGATGCTCCATGTGAACTGTGCCAAGGCCAGAAGCAAGAGTGGATATTTGGTTCATAAAAATAAGTCTGTCTTAACCAAAGCAGCTAGGAATGGAAGGCAGATATGGTCATTTACCCAGAAAACCTATTTTATGCTTCAATGTCCCAGACACAAATGAAGTTTTAAAAATGAGCCTAGATATTTTCCTGCTGTTGAGAGGTCTTCTGGGTCTCAACAATAGGGTGGTTTTTCCCTACTCAGGCCTCCAATTTGTAAGTGACCTTTTTTCTTGGGTTGATTAACATGCTTAAGGCAGTTGTTCATTCTGAACTCCCCCTGGTCAGCAGGCTCTTGTGTTAAGCCATGTGATGTGACATGACTGCTCTAGAGACAGCCTTAGCTGTCTCATATATAATCCTGAGAGGTAAACATCTTTGGATGGAAGCTTTTTCCATTCTTTTACTTATTTCCTTAGGCTATATCTGTGGCCCACAAACTTAATCTTACATCAAGATCACCTGGGGGTGGGGCCGGTGATTAAATACAGATGTACAGATCCCCCACATCAGGTGCAATGGTTGTAGTTCCAAGCTTGCCACTCCTCATCCCCAGTGCCTAGGCCTTATTTTCCAAAGACCATAATATAATTGACCTGGAATGAGCTTTCAGCATGGGTTTGGTTATTTTTTTTTAAGCTCCATATGATTTTAATGTGCAGCCAGGTTTCAGAACCATAATAACACTATGAAGCCAATTCTGGTCTTTTCCCAATCAATTTAGAAAGAACACAGGCTCCAACCTGGAAAATTTAGACTGTGCAGTAACTTTCGAAGTTACAATCATCCAGTCCAGTTTTCAAACTTTGATCATGGGTAGCATGGTCATGGTTTCACAATGATGCCACAGATACCAATTTCTTAAAAGTAGGCTCAGATAAAAAAGGAAAAATATGGGGGAGAAATCTTTTCTTATATCACTTTATCCCCTCCTAATGATTTCCATTCATAATATTTTAAGCTTGGGGTTCCAGAAGCTTCCTGGCTTCCTTCTGTCTTGGGCAGTGTTTGCCTTTTCCTAGTTCCTGGCGATAACCAAAGCCAGGAAGGCCATTTCTTGAGCCTGCTGAGACTAATTCCGTTGGAATCATAAAAGCTACACCAAAACCACATCTGGGAGCTCAGAGAAGTTAGAGAAAAGAGCCCAAGCTTTCGACAAGACATTGTGAACAACCCGAGGGTGCTGCAAACCCTCGGTGTTGGGGTCGTTCCAGTTGGGAGATAACGAATTGTTAGCCTTAGAAGCCTGATGTGGTATTTATTTTTATCATGAATTAATCTCCCAGCATAGTCTTACATACTCTTTGTTTGTTGGCCAGCAGTGCTGAGAGTCTCTGAAAGTTATTGTTAAGTCAATCCAAAGCCAAAAATCAGAAATTCAGAAGGAATTTCAGATAGTAATTTCTGTGCCAGAAGGATTACAGAGACCACTTAATCCAGTCTCCTCAGGTTATTCTCAAGGAAGCTGAGGGCCAGGGAGGTGGAGTTGCTTGCCCAAGACCCCTCCATGAAGTCAGCTTCAAAGCCAGGATTAGAATCCAGAGAGTTGAGTTGAGACCAACTTTCCCCACATGACTTCTTCTCTCAGCTACCTTCATGCTTCAGGACTTGCCTTCAGGCAAGCCCAGGAAAGCAGCTGTTGACTTTATTATAAAAATCTTCTCAGCCGGGAGTGGCGACTCATGCCTATAATCCCAGCACTTTGGGAGGCCAAGGCAGGCAGATCACCTGAGGTCAGGAGTTCGAGACCAGCCTGGCCAACATACAGTGACATCCCACCTCTACTAAAAAATACAAAAATTAGCTGGGCATGGTGGCACACACCTCTAGTCCCAGCTGCTTGGGAAACTGAGGCAGGAGTTGCTTGAACGCAGGAGGCAGATGTTGCAGTGAGCTAAGATCACGCCACTGCACTCCAGCCTGGGCGACAGAGCAAGACTCCGTCTCTCAAAAAAAAAAAAAAAAAAAAAAAAAAACTTCAGTAACTGAGAAACAATTTCCTTGAGAGAGATCACCCAACTTTGTGGCAAATAAGGAATAAAGAATGCCTTTCCTGGAAAGCTCTACTCAGTGAGTCCTGCTGATAGAGACGTGGCTCATTCTGAGCGATGGCCGATAAGCGGAATATTCCATTACTGCTGGTGTCAGAATGAAGGAGCATTTCCAGCTCCTTCAAGCTTTGGCACTTCCTTTGCTCAGAGCCAGCTGACATGGCCGTTAGAAAAACAAGACTGAACTGTGGCTATATTAAGATGTGTGACTTCCTTTGCCATCCTGAGACCCAGCTTGGTTACTGCAGGGAATGCTTCAGCTAGGCTGAGGCTTAAGAACTCCCTCCATAAACATGGAATCAGAAATAAACTCTGACCTCACGGATCCCATATTCAGAGTTCAAGAACTCCTTGCACATTACCAAGACGGCCCCCAGTGCCATGTGGACAAGGCAGCCGGTCACCTGTCACCGTTGTGGCTGGAAAGGAGTCCCAAGCCTGCCTGCTCCCCAGATTTGAGGAAGATTACATTTCATCAGGTGGGCAAGCCTGCCAAGGCGCAAGTGTAGTAAGAAGAACCAGGTCAAAAATGGCAAGTGTCAATCACTGCTCTGATTAGGCCTGAGGCAAGAGCAGACAATTAGCAAATTGCTCAGGGGAAGAGTCAATAGCATGCACCAGCCTTGGTTTCGGGGTGACTCCTAAGAGCAACCCTGAGGGAGAACAAAGAGCCCAGTCTTTGCTCTTGATACTCCCAGAATAGGCAGAAAAGAGGACACTCCATGTGGAACGGCTGTAGCCACAGATGTGCCCTTTTTAATAAACCAAGACTTAACTACGTGAAACAGATGGAACCAAGCCAGTTGCTGTGATAATTGGCTTGCCCCACATAGCTCTTCGTTCTGTACAAACCACATTTTCACATCTGAGATCTTTGTTAGTTTCACAGACCTATGTGGGTGTAAATTTACTGGCCTCATTTTAAAGATGACAAAACTGAGGTACAAAGCAATGACATGAGTTACCTGGAGTCTCAAGGTCAAGGTGAAACCTCTGGATTTACAGATCAGCAAAGCTGCCTACCATTGTGTTTCTAGCATCTTTGTCCTCCCTCATTTCATCTGGGGAAAGGAGGTGAGCTAGACAGATTCCAGCCCATAGGGAGTGTATGTCTCATGGGGAGACATCAATGAAATGACCACACAAATAATCCATATGCTATGATCTGGGATAAATGCCATGAAGGAAACAGGCTGAGTTATGAGAGCTTATGGTGGGGTGAACTGACTCCATCCAGGAAGGTCAGGGAAGGCTTTGCCATAGGGCATTTGAGCTGAGAGCCAAAGGGTGAGTGACAGTTAACTAGGCTAGGGGGAAGGAAGAGATTTTGGGGCAGAGAGAAGGGTCTTGAGAAGGGGGATAATAGACATGGTGCCCTTGAAGACCAAAAAGGCCAAAAGGCTGGAATGAAGCTGGAAAGCCTAGCCATGCAAGGCTTCGCAGGCTGCAGTAAAGAGCTAAGTCTTTATCCTGAGTGCAACGGGAAGCCAATGAGTGAAAATAGCTCATTTCTAGGCCTCCATTTCCTCATCTGCCCAGGGCCTAGAGTAGATTTGACTGGTTCCTTTCAGCTGCCATGTGCCACATTTGTAGAGCAAGAACTAAGGTCTACAAATTTGTAGCCATCACTATCTCAAATGTCACTTGCCCTAAGCTTATTAAGAGCTCGATGGTCAAGACCTCTGGAGCTGCATCCCCCACTGGGCTCTTGCTCCTTAAGTGCAAGGTGATCTCTGATTTGGTGATAAATGGGGCGGGAAGCTTGCTATGTCATGCTTTCATAACAGGCTCTGCCTTTCTCTCTGTCAGGGACAGAAAGGGGATAGTGGAGTTATGGGCCCACCAGGCAAGCCTGGGCCTTCTGGTCAACCTGGCCGTCCGGGGCCCCCAGGCCCCCCACCTGCAGGTAAGAGCTACACTGCTTCACTTGATCCACTGTTGGAGTACTGGCCAGCCTCCCAGAGAGGGCACAAGGAGATGCCAGCAGAGATGCCTTGTGTTTCAAGTTAGAAACTACCAGAGACACTCCAATATCTTTGTAATTTCTCCACGATTTAGCTCATTCAACTTTTATGCAAGAGAGATAAATGCCATTCTGAATTTGTTTTAGCATTCTGGAGAACAAATAGAGGACAGAAAAAAAGCACATTAATGATGTCATTTATACCTTAAGTGAAAAATAACAGGAACATATTTCATCAACTAATACCTTTTTCTAGATAAAAGTGTCATGGCTCCAAGCAATTCTCTTAAACCTAGAAGTAAAGGTGACATTGCAGGTTTTTTCCAATTTACAGTGTTATAAAAGAGTCCTTATTTGTTTGCAATAGCTAGAGAAAGAGGCTGGGCATGGGTGGCTCACGCCTGTTATTTCAGCACTTTGGGAGGCCGAGACGGGCAGATCACTTGAGGTCAGGAGTTTGAAACCAGCCTGGTCAACCATGGCAAAAACCGTTCTGTTTTTGCTAAAATACAAAAATACAAAAATTAGCCTGGCATGGTGGCACGCGGCTGTAATCCCAGCTACTCTGAGGCTGAGGCAGAAGAATCACTTGAACCTGGGAGGCGGAGGTTGCAGTGAGCTGAAATTGTGCCATCTCGAAACTCTGTCTCCAAAAAAAAAAAAAAAAAAAAAAGATGTAGAAAGAAATTACTAAAATAAAATAAAAAAATAAAAAGTTGGCTGGGCGCGGTGGGTCACGCCTGTAATCCCAGCACTTTGGGAGGCCGAGGTGGGCAGATCACGAGATCAGGAGATTGAGACCATCCTGGCTAACACGGTGAAACCCCATCTCTACTAAAAATACAAAAAATTAGCCGGGCGTGGTGGCGGGCGCCTATAGTCCCAGCTACTTGGGAGGCTGAGGCAGGAGAACGGCATGAACCTGGGAGGCGGAGCTTGCAGTGAGTCGAGATCGCGCAACTGCACTCCAGCCTGGGTGACAGAGCGAGACTCCATCTCAAAATAAATAAATAAATAAATAAATAAATAAATAAATAAATAAATAAATCAAAATATAAAGTCTGTTATTGAGAAGGGCATAGATACACTGCTTCCTTGTATGTTGTTTTCAAGACGGAGCCTTGCTCTGTCGCCCAGGTTGGAGTGCAGTGGTGCGATCTTGGCTCACTGCAACCTCCACCTCCCGGGTTCAAGTGATTCCCCTGCCTCAGCCTCCTGAGTAGATGGGATTACAGGTGCCTTCCACCACGCCTGGCTAATTCTTGTATTTTTAGTAGAGATGGGGTTTCACCATTTTGTTCAGGCTGGTCTGGAACTCCGGACCTCGTGATCCGCCCACCTCGGCCTCCCAAAGTGCTGGGAATACAGGCGTGAGCCACCACACCCAGCTGCTGCTTCCTCTTTTACCTCATTCAATTTTATTAGCTAAGCCCTTTATTTCGTTCCCTTGTCAGCTCATGGTAGGGGCTTTCACAGCACATCAACTGTATAAAGACAGTATCAAGAAGATCATTTGTTGACTGCAACATTTTCTGTCTTCAGTTATACAAAAGGAATCCAAACAATTTTTATTCCAACTTTTTTCTTAAGAAAATGAAGACATTTACAATTCCACAGTGTATTCCCCCTCCTCCTGTGTTTATGGAACTATATTTGCAACCACATCATGGGATGGGCAAGAAATGTCATATTTTGTTAGATCCTTTAAACTAAGTTAAATCTGGCTCTGAGAGTCCAACCTACTAGGATGCCAAATAAATTAATTCAGGCATTATTAGGATTTTCACTACTCCTCCAACAACCACAAATAGGTTGGGCAAAGATCCTGGTGAATTATGGCAGAAAAATGTCAGGGAAGGTCCCTCCAACCTTTGGTCTACTCCATTCACCTCTGAAATAGAGTAGAAATAGAAATAGACTTGTTGTCCAAGTCCCTGTGGTCCACAGATACCTGGTGGCTGCTGTTCTCATGCCATACGTGGGTATCAGAACATTTTCAAGGCTGGGAGTCCTGGTCCCCACAGTTCAACTTTCCAAGGAGCACCCCACAACCATTCTTTCTGAGACCTGTCTCTTTCTCAGGATACAAGGGGTCCCTCTCCTGTCCATGTCTAGGGAGGTCTCTCCTCTTCCATCCCTGACCCCTCCTTCCTCATACTCCTCATATACCAGCACCCCAATTAGGAGCTTTGTCCTTCAGAGAACAGAAGGCAGAAAGAAAAGTTTGTTTCCAATAGTACCTGCTTTTAGCAAGGGCAAGAAAGCACAAACTCTTGCTACCTCCTTGAAATAGGGAGAGGAGGAAGGAAATACTGGGAGAACAAACACTGATTAGTATGGGTAATAACTTATGTTTGCTGCGCCTGTTTCCATGTTGTTAGGGGAATCAGATTTGAGATGCAGCCCAGGCCATGTGCCCACACTCCATAATTCATTTCTGGAATTGGCTGGATGATCTGAATGGGGGTCCTTTCAACTAGTCCTCTTCCTCCTTGGTTCTGGAAGGCATGATGTCCCCCTGGAGCCCCATAACTATGAGCTACCAACCGCAGAGACTGAGAGCTTGGCCTGAGTTGTGCCTTCAGAAGGGACTCTCTTGGCCCCTGGGGTACCTAGGGGCTCACAAAACTGAGGAGTAGGCCAGGCGCGGTGGCTCACACCTGTAATCCCAGCACTTTGGAAGGCCGAGGTGGGCAGATCATGAGGTCAGGAGATCGAGACCATCCTGGCTAACACAGTGAAACCCCATCTCTACTAAAAATACAAAAAATTAGCCGGGCGTAGTGGCGGGCGCCTGTAGTCCCAGCTACATGGGAGGCTGAGGCAGGAGAATGGCATGAACCCGGGAGGCGGAGCTTGCAGTAAGCCAAGATCGAGTCACTGCACTCCAGCCTGGGTGACAGAGCAAGACTCCATCTCAAAAAAAACAAAAAACAAAAAACAACAAAAACAACAAAAAAAAACAAAACCAAAACCAAAAAAAACTGAGGAGTAGTCCAGGGGCAATGGGATTGGTGGATGTGGGATGTGTAGGAGATCCTTAGCGGACTGGGATCTTAATGGTCTCACTGTGTTTATCTCTTTGTAAAGGCCAGCCCTCACCTGACTTGTCTGGTTCCCTCCTGGGGCTAGGGGATGGATGAGAAGGGCTAGGCTGGAGCTGTCAGCAGCTTCTTGGTGCCTGCTGTTTCTCTTGTCTTGTCTGTCTTCGGTGTATTGCAATCCTGTCCTCTTAGCAGGCCCCGCAGAGTCATACTTTTTCTCCCTGGCCTTCCAGCTCCCTCTCTTCCACCCAGTATGCCCACCTCCCTCTCCCTTGACTACCCCAGCCTCTGCCCAATCACGCCCTGCCCTCTACCCTTCAGAGGACACCTTGCCGTCTGTGGAGCTGGAGCTATTCCTATGGTCTCTCTGGGTCCACATGACCTTACATGGCACTCCTCTCACCTTCTGTCCATCCAACAAAATTCTCTGTTCCTTTGAAGCTCTCTTTTCAGTAAGGCCTTCCTTGGCCCCTAACAGGATGGATCACCCTCCCCTGAGCCCTGGTCATTGCCTCTCTGTTATGGCCTCTCCATTGGTAACGTTTCTGCAGATGTGTTTCATCTTCCCACTAGATCCTTGAGGGCGAGGTAGGCGGCTGAGTCAGCTTCACATCCCCAGTGGCACCTGGTATGTGGGTGGACAGGGCTGCTTCCTGCAGGGGCTCCCAGGCAGGGGTTCTGTGGGTTCACAGTTCATCTCCTTAGGAGCCAAGCAGGGTGGGACCATCTCTTTGGATTGATGCCCCCGCCCCCCATTCCGTCCTTTGAGCCACTTCCTTTCTGAGGAGGCTTCCTGAGTGAGCGGGCTGAAGAAGGTAAAGAGAAGATGGGGCAATAAATAATCCTGCTCTTTGGAAAATATTGGAGGGGTGGGGAGAGAGGGCAAGGAAGGAGTTAAAAAGAGATATTCAGCCGGGCGCGGTGGCTTACGCCTGTAATCCTAGCACTTGGGGAGGCTGAGGTGGACGGATCACTTGAGGTCAGAAGTTTGAGACCAGCCTGGCCAACATGGTGAAACCCCCATCTCTACTAAAAATACAAAAATTAGCCGGGCATGGTAGCGGGCACCTGTAATCCCAGCTACTCAGGAGGCTGAGACAGGAGAATCACTTGAACCCGGGAGGCGGAGGTTACAGTGAGCCGAGATCTCGCTACTGCACTCCCGCCTGGGCGACAGAGTAAGACTCCATCTCAAAAATAAATAAATAAATAAATAAATAAATAAATAAATAAATAAATAAGTTATCCCTGTGCCTGGGACCAGTTGGATAATCATCCAGAGTTGGACTAGGCCCCCCAAATTGGTTCCTGACACTACCTTTGACAGTCTGATGAAAGTCCCAAACCCATTCTCGGGGGGGAAAAAACTGTATATACCTACATCCAAGGTTTTGCACCCTGTTTCCCAGGGTTCCAGAACCCCTGTCCCAGCGCCATCGTGAGATAGCCTTGGCCTCTGTAGACCACAGGTTAAAACTCCCCTGGTCTAGTCCTACCCTCCCCTTAGAGAAAAGAATCTTGAACCTCAAAGAGAAGTGATGCCTGCAAGGTCACAGCAGTGACTGGGGGCCACCCTGGTCCAGAATGGGTGAGTGTCAGCCAGGCGGCCCTAGAGGTTGTTGTGCTGGTTCCTCTGCCCTCTCCTAGATTCCCCTTTCCTGATCCTTTCCCACTGAGGCAGCCAATGGAAGCGGGAGCCTGCCTGGGAAAAGATGGAGAGCCAGGTCCTCTGGCTGCAGGGGGTGGCGATGAAACCCAGCTGAGACATGATCTCCCAGAGGTCAGGGTGGGGAAGTTCAGGTTGCTGAGTCCTTTAGTATAGCCTGGCAGAAAACAGGCAGGGGTAACAGATGCCCTGCAGCAACTGGGAGGAAGCTGCAGGGAAACTGCAGTGGTGGCAGCAGGCTCCCTGCCACATCCTGTTGGGAGGTGACCTCGGTTTCTGGTGCCCAGCTCTGTGGGACCAGATGGTGCTGGGGGAGGTGGAAAGGGTGAGAGCTTTGTACTTATCTGAGTTAGAGGGTAAGAGGGGCTAAGAGGTCGGGGGGGGAATAAAGGCAAAATGCCTTTAGGATGTAATTTGCAATAATCAAATTACAAATTTGGCTGAGTCCTTCCTGTACCCAGACAGAGTATAAGTGAATCAACGTGGTACCTGGGAATTGCCAGCTTCCTGAGAGCATCAGTATTCTTGGACATTTGTCTTTTGAACAGCATAGTGTTAAGTAAAACATGAATTCAAATCTCAGCCTCACCATTCATCAGCAGCTAATGGGACAAACTCCTGACTGTCTCTCAGGCCATGGTTCTGGAGGAGTTGTTGGGGTCACAGAGCCTTCTGGAAGGCTGTTCCAATGCCACCCTCATATTCTTGGTCACAGAGCTTTTCCACTTCAATTTCCCCAAGTGCTTAATTACCCAGAATATTCCTAGCCTGGTGGATTCCCTGTCTCTCTGGGCTCTTCTGAAAATATCAGAACACAGACTGGAGCTCTTCCTACAGAATTATATTTGTATTTCTTGTTAGAACAAACAACCATAACTTAGGATAAGATATTGGCACAGTGCCCTTCCCCTCATGCTGTCAGCATTCTGATTGTACGAATACCTGTCAACTCGCTCAGGAAAGTTCAGTCTCCTCCGACTGCAGTGTTTTCCCTGGGGTCCTGGCCAGATCTCTCCCCTGGGGTCATTTTATTTCCTGCCCTTCTGGATCTGTGAACTGTGTTCCCAGCCCCTGGCTGCCCCAGATGTCATACTGCCTGACACCAATGACTGGCTGGCCTCCAAACCCACCCCTCGCTATTTTCCCAGAAGAAGGGATCCTTACCTATTTCTCTTCTCAGTCCCCATCTTTTTTTCTCTTTCCTCACTTCCTGTTAGATGGCTTTTGTTCTGGTGCTTTTCTGCCAGCCAGAATGTGACTTTTACCCTCTTCTGAAGACTTTTTCTCTCCAATTAGTCGGCATTCATTCATTCGATCATCAAACACTTTCCATGCCCCTACTTTGTGTAAGCCCTGGTGGATGAAAACAGGCACTAGCCCTGTCCTTGTGGAGCGACATTCTACTGGAGATCAACCTTGATGGAATAATCTCACAATATATAGAATCACAAAGAGAAGTGCTGTGAAGAAAGGCATAGGAAACCATGAAATTGTATCCCAGGTATACATGACAGAGTCTGAGGATTCAAAAAGTCTTCCTTCAAGAAGTGATGTTTGAACCCAGATCAGAAGGGAGTTGAGAGGCAGCTGGGGAGGGATGGAGGATGAAGGGAGGATGATCTGGCAGGGGAATGGCCCAGTTCTCAACCTTGGGGCAAATTGGAATCATCTTGAGAGCTTTTAAAAATATGGATGCCTAGCACATGTATACATATGTAACTAACCTGCACATTGTGCACATGTACCCTAAAACTTAAAGTATAATAATAATAATAATAATAAAATATGGGTGCCTGACCAGGCGCGGCAGCTCACACCTGTAATCCCAGCACTTTGGGAGGCCAAGGGAGATGGATCACTTGAGGTCAGGAGTTCGAGACCAGCCTGGCCAACAGAGTGAAACCCTGTCTCTACTAAAAACACAAAAATTAGCCAAACCTGATGGCACGTGCCTGTAGTCCCAGCTACTCAGGAGGTTGAGGCAGGAGAATCACTTGAACCTGAGAGGCGGAGGTTGCAGTGAGCTGAGATTACACCACTGCACTTCACCCTGGGCGACAGAGTGAGGCTCCGTCTCCAAAAAAAAAAAAAAAAAGGATGCCTTATGCTAAAGTGGTAAAAAAATTTTTTTTAATAAATAAATAAAAGTGTGGATGCTGCCTAGGTTCAGTTCAGTTTTCAGAAGTCTTGATGGAATTGGTCTGAGGTGTATCCTGGGTATCAGAGCCTTTAAAAACCAAGGTACTACCCTCACAGTTCTTCCACATTGCTAGGGAGTACACTTTCTGATCATATCTTTTCAAGACATGTCCTCACTTCTTCAGCACCAGGGGAGGGTAAATGGGCAGAGCATATACTAATGTTCTATTTTCTTCCAGAAGAAATGAAAGAAACCCACATCCAGAAATTCCTCTGTAAAGATCCTACATTGGCTGGGTATGGTGGCTCACGCCTGTAATCCCAGCACTTTGGGAGGCTGAGGTGGGCGGATTACTTGAGGTCAGGAGATCGAGACCAGCCTGGCCAACATGGCAAAACCCCGTCTCTACTAAAAATACAAAAATTAGCCTGGTGTGGTGGCACACACCCGTAATCCCAGCTACACAGGAGGCTGAGGCAGGAGACTCACTTGAACCTGGGAGGCAAAGGTTGTAGTGAGCCAAGATCGTGCCACTGCACTCCAGCCTGGGCAACAGAGCAAGACTCCATCTCAAAAAAAAAAAAAAATTCTATATATAAGAAAAACAAAAGTTTTTTAAAACAATAAAAGTTAACAGTCAATAATGTGTTTGTCGGCAAGAAGCCCTCTGTTAATAATGGTCTAAACAAATAAGACATTGTTTTTCTCCAATAAAGAAATCCAGAGGCAGGCAGTAGCTGGCTTTGATTCAGCCTCTGACTGTCACTGTCAGGGCCCCAGGCCCCATGAGCCTTTCGTCTTTCCTGCATGTTGGCTTATCTTCTCATGCTTGTGACTTCCTGGTTGCAACACGGCTGCTGCAACACCAGACATCTTGCCTGTCTTCAAGGCAGGAAGGAGGGGGAAACTATCGCCTACCAGCTATTTTTCTTACCTTAGCTCCTCCATGTCTTGGATCAAAAGCATCTCTTTGAACCTCTCCCTCAGGCATACCCTGAAATGCTGTGGACTTTAACCTTTTTTCTGTTGCAAAGGTCGCTCACATCTCCCTGGTTGTTTGGTCTTCTCTTCCTTGGCTCTAGTAACACAGCAGTCTGTTGCTTCCTAGGACAACTTATAATGGGACCCAAAGGGGAAAGAGGATTTCCCGGGCCTCCAGGAAGATGTCTTTGTGGACCCACTATGAATGTGAATAACCCTTCCTACGGGGAATCTGTGTATGGGCCCAGTTCCCCGCGAGTTCCTGTGGTAAGGCTTTCTGGGAGAAGTCTGGGGTGGTTATCCGTGAGGACCTCTCACCTGATCCTTATGGGGCTTTGTAAAATCCTTTCAGTAAAACTAACTTTTTTTCACGACTCTGAGTACACCCTCATTATAGGAAATTGGAAAATATGAGAAAATCAAGAGGAAAACCAAATTGTCCATTTGATTGTGAGTCCATTTTGGGGTATTTTCTTTGTCTTATTAAAATCTAACTTTTATATGGTTGAGATTATATTGTATAAAAATGTACTTTTGGCCGGGCATGGTGGCTTATGCCTGTAATCCCAGCACTTTGGGAGGCCAAGGTGGGTGGATTATAAGGTCAGGAGTTCGAGATCAGCCTGGCCGATACAGTGAAACCCCATCTCTACTAAAAAATATATTTAAAAAATTAGCCGGGCGCGGTGGTGCACGCCTGTTGTCTCAGCTACTTGGGAGGCTGAGGTGGGAGAATCGCTTGAACCCAGGAGGCGGAGATTGCAGTGAGCTGAGATAGCACCACTGCACTCCAGCCTGGGCAACAGAGCGAGACTCCGTCTCAAAAAAAGTTATACTTTGTTATCTTAGTTGAAATCCTGCCATGTTTCCACACTCTATAAATAACATTTTAAACTTTTTATTAGGGAAAATTTCAAATACATATAAAAGCAGAACAAATAGTGTAATGAACCCCTGTGTACCCTTCACCCAACTTTAATAATGATCAACTCATGGCGAGCCTGTGTCCTTGTTTTCTCTTTATGCCTACTCACTCCTGCCCATTCTCTGTTGTATTATTTTGAAGTAAACCTTGGACATCTGTTCATCATAATCATCCATCTAGTGTGGCTGTGCTACAATTTACTTAACCAGTGTTGGTGTTTAACCAACCTATTGCTTATTGGCCACCCCCAAGCTTTTTACTAATGTAAATAATGCTGTAAAGAATATCTTTGAGTAGGATAATTTTAAGAATCACTTCCAGATGTCAAATTACTTGACTATATGACATTGCCTTTTAACTTAAGTCTTGGGAACGTTTTAAATATTTAAAAATGTTAAATCCGAGGCCGGGCGCGGTGGCTCATGCCTGTAATCCCAGAACTTTGGGAGGCCGAGGTGGGTGGATCACCTTGAGGTCAGGAGCTCGCAACCAGCCTGGCCAACATGGCGAAACCCTATCTCTACTAAAAATACAAAAGTTAGCCAGGCATTGTGGTGCACACCTGTAATCCCACCTACTCGAGAGGCTGAGGCAGGAGAATTGCTTGAACCCGGGAGGCAGAGGTTGCAATGAGCCGAGATCACGCTACTTCACTCCAGCCTGGGCAACCGCGTGAGACTCCATCTCAAAAACAAAAGAAAAAAAGAAAAAAAAGTTAAATCCGAGTGAATATTTTAGTTTCAAACTCAGACATTAGGAACTCGATTGAGAAGATGAGGGAATCAAGACACTCCTCTCACTTCAGAAGGAATGCTAGAGTGTAGTGTGCAAACCCCTCTTCCCACTGTTGAGCAGCCCAAGGATAGAGATTCTGTTTCCTCCTCCAGCTTTTTTCCTGCCCCCTGCAGAAGTGTTTTCTGGAATCCTCACCAGTGTGTTCTCTGGCAGATTTTTGTGGTCAACAACCAGGAGGAGCTTGAGAGGCTGAACACCCAAAACGCCATTGCCTTCCGCAGAGACCAGAGATCTCTGTACTTCAAGGACAGCCTTGGCTGGCTCCCCATCCAGGTACCCCCAGGCCATTACCTCAGGACATACTCCCTGCCCAGGAGAGAGATGCATCCATTAAAGGAAGGGAAGGCCACCCCACTGGGCCTGGGGAGGGCTTTCTACAGTCTGTCTGCATGGGAGGGCTGAGCATCCTCCCTCAAACTCTCTCTGAGCAGCCCTCCATTCCCCCACCCTGACTCCCAAATAGAAGCCCCTCTCTGAGCCAGGGTTCCAGATGGTCTCCACATCCCTGCGTGCCAGGTTGCTGTCTTGATCTGACCCAACATTTAACCAGCTACAGAGCTCTGGGCAACAGGAAAGGAGTACCTTTCCCACCCCTGGGAGGAAGTCAAGGCATGCCCCCCAGCAGTGCCTTTGGACCAAAACCAATGACCTCCCTGCCTGCGGCTGCCTGGGTATGCCATGCTCCAGTTAATGCTGTGTGCTTCTTTGGCCAGCTGACCCCTTTCTACCCTGTGGATTACACTGCAGACCAGCACGGCACCTGTGGGGATGGGCTCCTGCAGCCTGGGGAGGAGTGTGACGACGGTAACAGCGATGTGGGTGACGACTGCATCCGTGAGTGAGGCCCAGACCAGGAGGACCTGAGGCCTGAACAGCAGGGGGGTGGGACTCAGGGCCAGCCCTGGACACCAGCTGTGGTGCTTTGGGACCTTTCTAGAGCCAGAGAAGGGTATACCCAGGCCACCTTGTGCCACCCACCCCAGTCCCTGCTGCCCCAGTTTCAGCCCAAATATTAACTCTTCCACCACCCAAGCACCTCACCAGGGGCGGATGTCAAGGATCCTGCCCCCAGTTAGGCCTTCTTTATCTCAAAATGTAGCCACCAGGTCCTCCCAGTCCTACATCTTAGCAAAACCCATGTTACAGGTGCAGAAGATAAAGGTGATGGGCTCTCACTTTGCATGGAGTAGTGAAAGGCAAAAGGGAGAGGCCAAGAATCTGAATGAGGGCTCATTTACCAGGTAGAGCTCTAGTAGCAAAGCCCTCCGTAGGGGAAACTGGGCCAGCCAGAGCTGCTGTCAGCCTCGTGGGCTGCTGCCTTAACTGGTAGGCAGCAGGCTCTGGAGGGCTTGCTTTTGTTTGTTTTTGTTTTTGTTTTTAATCAAGTAACAAAACCAGGAGGTGTGATGGAAAGCAGGAGCTTTAGAGTCAACAGAGGTTGAATGCAGGCCCTGAGAAACACCAACCACCCTCAGGCTCAAGGCAGAGGCCACATGGTGGGTGGGGTAATGGGGGGCAATTTACAGCTCTGAGCCTCACTTTCCTTGCCTGTAAAATGGGTATGATGTGCTGGCTGCTCAAGTCCCTAGAGATCCTGTGAGCTAACATGTGCAGAGATTATCTGGATATAGTAAGGGTTCAACCACCATTCACTGAATTCATTTAGGGCTTGTGGTTTAAGCCCCTGCTCTAAAGATCCAGGCTGGGGCTCAGGGCTGGATGTGTGGATGCAAAGTCATGGTCCTTGCTCTCAAGAAGCTCAGGGGAGGCTGGGCACAGTGGCTCATGCCTGTAATCTCAACACTTTGGGAAGCTGAGGTTGGAGGATCACTTGAGCCCAGGAGTTCAAGACCAGCCTGGGCAACAGAGCAAGACCCAATCTCTACAAAAAAAAATAAAAATTAAAAAAATTAGCCAGGCCTGGTGGTGCGCACTTGTAGTCCCAGCTGCTTAGGAGGGTGAGGTGGGAGGATGATTTGAGCCCAGGGGTTCAAGGCTGCAGTGAACTGCGATTGCACCACTGCACTCCAGGCTGGGAAACAGAGCGAGACCCTGTCTCAAAAAAAAAAAAAAAAAAAAAACAGTTCAGGGGAAGGATGACAGGGCAGAGTGGGTGGCGGGAGATGCTGCTGACTGTCTCAGTGTGGCCGAACTGTCTCCCGACAGCTCCAGGGATGGCATCCCCTAGAAGGCTGGCCCTGCCCAGAGTCCCTTCTGCCTCTGGTGCACAGTGTCAAATAGGAGCTCTCACAGTAGGAAGGAACTAATGGACTGTCCCTGCCCTGTGAAAACAACGCTGGGATCCATACTCCAACACCCTCCCATCGTGTGAGAGCAGAGGTCTTTGCTGAAGATCATGTGGCTCCCCAGGGACACAAGGCTGGGCTCACCAGTGTCACACAGAAGCTCTCTGTTGACAGATGAGAGTCACCATGCACCCTCACTGGGGCTCAGCAGTCTTCCAACCCTCACTCCCGGGACCCCCACACTGGCTTTATGAGGTGGAGGTCATGTCAGTGTCCCAGTTTTGCAGATAACAACCTGGAGTCTCCCCACCCCTCAGCTAGTAAGTTGTGAGGCGGGGCTGGAGCCAGGATCTCCTTCTTCTTGTCCCATGGCACATCGCTGTGGGACCAGAGCCTGTGGGCAGTCCCTGGAGGAGTGTGAAGCTTAATGGAGGTCAGTTCTTTAAGGGGTGCAGCACTTAGGTTGGATCCCTTGGGCCGCATGGTCCTTACAAGCTGAGGCAAGCCTATCGCCTCTGCTCCTTCTCAAGACTGCACCTCCTTATGTCCCCTCAGGCTGTCACCGTGCCTACTGTGGAGATGGTCACCGGCATGAGGGTGTGGAGGACTGTGACGGCTCTGACTTTGGCTACCTGACATGCGAGACCTATCTCCCTGGGTAGGGATGACTCCCCTCCCTCCCTCTCCCCCTTCTTTCTCCCTCCCTCCTCTTTGCTTTCCTTCTTTCCTTCACAAATATTTTGAGTGCCTCTCCACTTTGTGGTGCCTTCTAGACACTGAGGTATGGTGATGAATGACACAACACGTGCTCCCTGCCTACCACGTGCCCTCTTGGTCAGCACTGCCTGCGTGCCACTGAGACTGAGCCACGGCACCCACAGCCACCTGCTCCATCCAAGGCCCAGAGGGGAGCTGCGGTCTCTGAGCTCAGCTGCTGCCCTGCATGAGCAGCCCCCAAACCCAGTGGTCACCATGACTACATAGTCTCCTGGGCTGTGGGCCTAGGTGGGAAGCCCAGTGGAGAGTAAAGGTCTCAGGGCATTTCCAAGAATCGACATGTCTACCTAACCTGACTTCCCTGGAACACCCTGCCCATCCCTCAGGCATGCCTGTGACTGCAAGTGAGATCAAATCAGCCTTAATATCTAATTTTGCAAGCTCATGGCCCCTCCAAGAAAATACTCCCTCCAAGGACCCCTCTAGTTATTTCTGAGAGTCCTCAGTGGCTATTTATGTTGTTCAGGACAAGTATTCTAGTGTCCTGGCTCCACACTGGCGCCTGCCAAGCCAACTGAGGGCCACCGCCCCATGAGGTGCTGATTCCATGCCCAGATTGTAACCACTGGGCTCCTTCCAAGGTGCAGAAGGTACATGTCTCCCCAGTCCTTACAGAACCAGAGTTGTACAACGTTCTCAGGAAAATGGGGAGGCCGTTCCTTTTTACCTAGGCCATGCCCTGCTCTTCACTGGGTTCCAGAGTGGATCTACTGGTGCTTCCGATCTCTTCTGTCCTTGAGTCCAGTCCCTTCAGCTTTTGCTCCCATCCCATTTTCTCTTGTAGACTCGGACCTGGGCCCTTGGCAGGGCTGGGGAGCCATGCCTGTCTCTCCATTGCCTTCTCTGTGCTCTCTCTTCCAAGGGGGTCTCCCTAACACTCAGATATTAGCATGTTCAACCAGGCTGGGAGAACTACAGACCTGTAGTCTCCCCCAGTCTCCCCCAGACTCTAAGCCCATTTAGGCTTGGCCAGGACCCCACTCCATGTATGTGTCTGTGTGCAGTGCCCCTCTCCCTGAAGGAAGGAAGACCCCTGACAGGCCTCTGCCAGAGAGTTGGCTCTTCATGGCTCCACAGAGACAAATCAATGTAGACGATCAGATATGGAGTACAGGATCGAGTAGAGCCCAGGGCTCCCCCACGCTCACTGTGGTTACACAGCTATTCCCCAGAAGCCTCAGAGGGACGCCTGTGACTGTGCCTGTAAGGTTTAACGCCCTGTCTCGGATGATCATCCGGGCCTACAGAGGTATAAACTGCACTGTCCAATATGGTAGCCCCCATTCACAGGCTGCTGTTCAAATGTAAAGTCATTATAAGTAAACTTAAAATGCAGTTACTCAGGCCAGGCACTGTGACTCACGCCTGTAATTCCAGAACTTTGGGAGGCCAAGGCGGGCAGGTCACCTGAGGTTCAGAGTTCGGCACCACCCTGGCCAACATGGTGAAATCCCACCTCTACTAAAAATACAAAAATTAGCTGAGCTTGGTGGCACGTGCCTGTAATCCCAGGTACTCAGGAAGCTGAGGCAGGACAATCGCTTGAACCTGGGAGGCAGAGGCTGCAGTGAGCCGAGATCACACCACTGCACTCCAGCCTGGGGGACAGAGCGAAACTCTGTCTCAAAAAAAAAAAAAAAATGCAGTTATTCAGTCACAGTAACTACATTTCAAGAGCTCAATAGCCACATCTGGCCAGTGGCTTCACAGATACAGGACATTTTTGTTGGTAGGCTGCATCGTAGCAAGGGGGATTCCCTCACAGATGCTGTGCTAAGAGCAGGGCAACCACCTCCTTCCACCCAGGCCCCGAGCTAGACCTCAAGGCAAAAATCCCAGAGACATGATTCAACTCCCCCAGGCCTCTCACTCCAAATGAGAATGGGAAAAAGTTCTTGTAGAGCCATTGGCCCTTGGCCGCTGTTTGATAAGGTTTGACCGGAAGTCACCAGCATATAAGAGGTGGCCTTTTAGAACGTGTCTTTGCCTCCCTCAGGTCATATGGAGACCTGCAATGCACCCAGTACTGCTACATCGACTCCACGCCCTGCCGCTACTTCACCTGAGGGCCGTGAGGAGAAGGTGGGCTGCGCCCCACAGAACTGGCAGCAGCTTCTCCACTGTCATCAAACTGGCCATGTCCTGGCCCCGTCTCCACCAACCTTTGTGTGACAAAAACAAGGACAAATTCCTGCTACTAAGACATGCTGTTAACTCAGTCTGACTGGAAGAATTTAGGACCACTGCATCCTGTCTTAATCCAAGGTACTGGAAAACCTTCCACATGCCCAACCTGAGACCTGTTCCCCATCGCTACCATTTGGCCAAACAACCGGCTACAATGCTCTTCCTCTTCTGGAATGTTGCTGACCCAGGCCGTGGACTTGGCTGAGCACTGTTAGACACACACAGACCTGCAGGCTGTTTTAGAATGTTTTGATCTCTTTGGGGAATCTGGAGTACAGGCCTCTCCGCCCCTGACCACCGAAACGTGCAGGCATTCTCACTCACACTGGGCAGCCCGCTGTCGGGTCTCTCTAGGCCTATGAACCACAAAGCAGGGAAGTGGGCACGTTCTCTCGGGGTGGCTCACAGCTTTGAACCTGCCAAAGGACCCCTCGACTGGCCACAGCCCAGCCCAGCCTGACGTGGATGTGGCTGCCCAGGAAAAGACTTAACTGTGAAAAAGTACTGAGAACCCACCTGACCCAGGCTTGCCCCAAGCAGAGGCTAGAGAAGAGGCTCCTCTTCTCAGTGTTTCCCAAAGGGGCGGCTCTTGTGGTTTCAAAATCTCTGGCACCATCTTGACCTCTTGGCTCTCTCTGCACTTTGCCCCCTGTCTCAAAAATGTCCCTCATGTCCATTTCCTGTCCAGGAGACTCATGAGGACTGTGTGACCTGCACAAGCCCACACCTGGGCAGGCTGTTGGTGTCTCCTTGGTCCTTAGGCAGATACTCCCCTGAGTCCCCGATCTAGGGCCAGCTGCAGAGGGCTCTCTCTAGGCAGAGCGTTCCTGGCCAGAGCTCTACCTCTTTGCCTCCTGCTGACCCCTGACAGCGTCCCGTGGCATTTCTTTCATGTCTGCATATTGCATAGCCTTGTCCTCCTGTGTGCCTGAGCTCCTCCCTTTTCAATAAGATTATTAGTCGTGCATGTCTGTGAGCTGCCTTTCATCACCATTTTTCCTGAGTAGGGCTTAGTTTTATTCTGGAAAGACATCTCCAAGGTGAGGTCCACCCCCACAGCAGACCTCAAGTAGAAATTGCCCAATTTTTACCAGCTGGAGGGACACCCTTGGGTTTTTGTACGAAGCTATTTAATGAGCCTGTGTCTTGGGGACTCAGCAGGCTGGAGCTTGGGGCCTGGTGGACCATCACCTGGTGTCTGTAGGTGGACCCGGTCTCCCACAGGTGACATCAACCTGAGGGTGGCGTCTTTAGAGACAGGCACATGGGCAGCCCTGTTCCCTTCGCCTCTACTGCGAGGCCTGGGGAGATGTTGTTTTCATGCTGCTTCCACCATCACACTGGGGTTTCTGGATGGGAAATAAAAAAATAAAGGCAGTTCATTTCCCCACTGTGGCTCTCTCTTCCGTTGGTGGTGGGGGTGGGGCCGGTGTCTCAGCATTGCCAGATGGAGGGAGGAGTCTAAATTCAAATCTGCTTCCCAAACTCTGTGGAGGGTTCTACAATGTGGAAGCATTCCAGTTCCCTCAGGCACAAGGGAGGAAACAGATCCAGAGATGTCATGGACTTGCCCAAGGTCAAAAAACCCAGTCTTGCTAGGCCAGCCCTGTCCTCAGCCCTAGTTTTAGGACCTTGTTTAGGATGGAATGGAGGTCTAGTACTACTCCTGGATCTGGCCAAGAGAGGCCCTGTCCTGGGTCCCAAGGCTGGAGGGCCCTACCCTGGCCCTCCTCTGGCCATTACCCTCCCCACAGGGTGAGGTCTCTATGTGGCCAAAGTAACATACCCGCTGGAGCTTGCAAGCCCCACTCCTAGACCATGCTCCAGGTACCTGGGAAACCACAGTTCCCCACCCAAGTGGTCTTGAGCCTGCTTCCTAGACCTGCAGGCCTCTTGCCCATGTCTGTCCTCCTGAGTGTGACCTGAAACACATGCAGGCCTGGGGGTGGCCAGCAAAAAGTTGTTTGTAGGAATTATAGATGGGGCTTGGAATGTGGGCTGGGATTTCCTCATGGACACACATGAAGCCCTTCTTAGTGTGGGATGGGCCAGGGGTAAAAACAGAAGGGGATCTGGCAAGGGGCTGGACCCTCCTCTCCTCTTGCTACCACAGGACTTTGTGGAATCTAAAATTCCAAATTCAAACCTGGCCTTCCATTCTTTATGAAAGTATCCTTTTTGAGGGAAGCAGATAGAACATATTGAATCATTTAATTGGGAGTGGTGGCATGTGCCTATAGTCCCAGCTATTTGGGAAGCTGTGGTGAGAGATCACTTAAGTCCAGGAATTTGTATTTATCCATTTTCATGCTGCTGACAAAGACGTACTTGAGACCGGGCAATTTACAAAAGAAAGAGGTTTAATTGGACTTACAGTTCCACGTGGCTGGGGAAGCCTCACAATCATGGCAGAAGTCACATCTTACGTGGATGGCAGCAGGGAAAGAGAGAGAATGAGAAAGAGCTTTTGCAGGGGAACTCCTCCTTTTAAAACCGTCAGATCTCATGAGACTTATTCACTATCACAAGAACGGCACGGGAAAGACTTGCCCCCATGATTCAGTTACCTCCCACTGGGTCCCTCCCACAACATGTGGGAATTCAAGATGAGATTTGAGTGGGGACACAGCCAAACCAGATCAGGTGGCATGTGCCTGTAGTCCCAGCTACTTGGGAGGCTGTGGAGAGAGGATCACTTGAGTCCAGGAACTCAAGGCCAGCCTGGGCAACACAGTGAGACCGCCCTCCCCGCCCGCCACCTCTAAAAAACAAAAAGCAAAACAACAAAAATAGTCTGTTCTTTGATTATAATGTAAATACCTAAACATTTGGTATGTGAGTGTCCATATATGCTCTTTCCTGGTCCCCGAAATATTAGGGATGGGCCTATCTGGAGCTATTTCAAGGGACGGTTCTGAAAGGCTCAGGACATGAAAGGATTCAAAGTCACATGTTTTAAGAATATGTGTAATAGTAGTAATTCTGGCCCTTTGGCATTTTGAAATTGAAAGATGAGAGATCGGGGAAGGTGGGCAGCTCCCAGCCCTTCCTGAAATCCTAACTGTGATGTAGGGAGCTGGTTCCCCATGAAGAAAAGTGGCTGTGCTGCCCAGGGAGCCACATAATTGGTATCCAAGAGCTCATCTATGCCAAGTAGATGTTTCCTGAGATAATCTGCTGGTCCTGGAGGAAGTTGGGGTGCTACAATGAATGTGGAGGGAAGAACACTGAACAGGGGGTGCAGGTACCTGGATTCAGACTGGGTTCATCACTTCTCATGGTCTCAATTTCCTCACCTGAAAAAGACTTTCAATAAGGGCTGATTTTTCTTGCAGCTCTAACAGATTGTGGGTGTGGCGCCTGCCCTTCACCTCTGACAACATACCCTAGGAACAGGAACGGATTCCCTTAGCTGCTCCTGAGGCTGTCACATGGGGTGGCTTAGAATAAGACAGGGTCTCAGAGATGCAGTTGGTCACCAAAGAAGGCTATGCCAGTCCATATGCTTTTGTTGGCAAGAACAGAAAATCCAGTCTGAATACCACATATTTATTGGTTCATATAACTTTAAAAGTCCACTGGGGTGGGGTGATCAGGCATGATTCAGTCAAGGTCCCCACTCTATTCCTCTACTATCCTCTCAACTATTTGAACCTTTCCATTAATTTGATCCTTAGGGTGGATCCTTAGGGTGTTGACTGCTGCAGTTTCAAGCTTACATCTGCACCCTGCAGAATCCAGAGGAAGAGACAATGCCTGTTCCAGTGGCTCTCAAGAAATTCTTTTCCAGCCAGGCATGGTGGCTCATGCCTGTAATCCCAGCACTTTGGTAGGCTAAGGTGGGTGAATTGCTTGAGCTCAGGAGTTCGAGATCAGCCTGTATAACATGGCGAAACCCCATCTCTATAAAAAATACAAAAATCAGCTGGGTGGAGTGGCGTACACCTTCACTCTCAGCTACTTGGGAGGCCGAGGCAGGAGGATCGCTTGGGCCCAGCAGGTTCAGGCTGCAGTGAGCCATAATCACACCACAGGACTCCAGCCTGGGTGACAGGGTGAGACCCTTTCTCAAAAAAAAAAAAAAAAAAGAAAAAAAAGAAAGAAAATTTATTTTCTGGAAATCCCCAGCAAACCAAGGAGGCAGTGAGCCTCCTTGGTCTGCTTTGGGTCACACGCCTGTTACTGAACCAATTTCTATTGGTCAGGAGAATGGCACTTGCTGACGAATGAAGGCTGGGTTCCTGAACCCATGGAGACAAAGGTTATAAGAATTTAGGACCACTGCATCCTGTCTTAATCCAAAGTACCGGAAAACCTTCTGCATGCCCAACCTGGGAACTGTTCCCCATCACTACCATCCAGCCAAACAATCGGCTACAATGCTCTTCCTCTTCTAGAATGTTGCTGACCCAGGCCATGGGCTTAGCTTAGCACTGTTAGACACGTTATTCTTAGCCTATCCCCTGGAGATTCTGCAGAAGCACAGAGGCTACATGGGGGTGACTTCTGGACCAAATATTGGGGAGCATGAATTGGGGGAATGGGTACAGGGCACACATAATGTCCATTCCACTGGTTATCTGGTTTTGCTTCTCCTTTTGGCAGGAATAGGTGCTGAGTTGCTTGAGGCAAACCTTTGGGAAGACTGCTCACACCATACCCAGAAAGCTACTGGTTGATTCTTTTTTTTTTTTTTTTTTTTTTGAGATGGAGTCTCGCTCTGTTGCCCAGGCTGGAGTGCAGTGGCACAATCTTAGCTCACTGCAACCTCTGCCTCCCGGGTTCAAGTGATTCTCCTGCCTCAGCCTCCTGAGTAGGTGGGATTATAGGTACAAGCCACCATGTCTGGCTAATTTTTGTATTTTTTTTTTTTTTTGAGACAGTGTCTCACTCTGCTGCCCAGGCTGGAGTGCAGTGGTGTGATCTCAGCTCACTGCAAGCTCCACCTCCCGGGTTCACACCATTCTCCTGCCTCAGCCTCCTGAGTAGCTGGGACTACAGGCGCCCGCCACCACACCTGGCTAATTTTTTGTATTTTTAGTAGAGACGGGGTTTCACCATGTTAGCCAGGATGGTCTCAATCTCCTGACCTCGTGATCCGCCTGCCTCGGCCTCCCAAAGTGCTGGGATTACAGGTGTGAGTCACCGCACCCGGCCTGTACTTTTAGTAGAGATGGGGTTTCATCATGTTGGCTGGGCTGGTCTCGAACTCCTGACCTCAAGTGATCTGCCTGCCTTGGCCTCCCAAAGTGCTGGGATTATAGACAGATGTGAGCCACCGTGCCCGGCCTGCTGTTCGAGTCTTTTAATTTTTTTTTTTTTGGTAGAGATTGAGTCTCACTATGTTGTCCAGGGTGGTCTCAAACTCTTGGCCTCAAGCGATCTTCCCACCTCCACACCCTGAAGTACTGGGATTGCAGGCCTGGTTGATTTTGACAGGTCCACTCACAGAGACTGACTTCTCACAGAGTGCCATAGGTCAAGAAAGATGTGGTGTAGTTTGTGAAAAAAGCAGAAGATTGGATTCACACATCTGGATTTGAAGCCTGGCTCTGCCACAAACTCGCTGTTTAATTAACCCGCTTAATTTACTTCACTTCTCTGAGTCTCTGTTTTCTTACCTCTAAATGGGGAATAATAGTACCTTATTTCAAGGTTGTGGTGAATTTTAGTGATAACATGGTTTAAGGCCGGGTGTGGTGGCTCACGCCTGTAATCCCAGCACTTTGAGAGGCCACGGTGGGCAGATCACCTGAGGTCAGGAGTTCAAGATCAGCCTGGCCAATATGGTGAAACACCCAACTCTGCTAAAACTACAAAAATTAGCCAGGTGTAGTGGTGCACACCTATAATCCCAGCTACTGGGGAGGCTGAAGCATGAGAATCGTTTGAACCTGGGAGTCAGAAGTTGCAGTGAGCTGAGATCGTGCCACTGCACTCCAGCCTGGGTGACAGAGTGAGACTGTCTCCAAAAAAAAAAAAAAAAAAAAAATGTTTTGGAAGTGTTGGATTTTATTTGTTGTTATCATTATTTAGTGGCTCAGGCCAAATCAATCACCTCTTTGGGGATCTAGGGGTATTCACAAAGTTTCACAGTGATTTTTTTCAGGTGGCGGGAGTAACAAAGCAAGGCTAGAGATGTCATTGGAAAGAAAGCAGTAGTCACTCAAAATAAGGAATGGTTGGCCGGATGCAGTGGCTCTTGCCTGTAATCCCAGCACTTTGGGAGGCCAAGGTGGGTGGATCACCTGAGGTCAGGAGTTTGAGACTAGCCTGGCCAACATGGTGAAACCTCATCTCTACTAAAAATACAAAAAACGTGGCTGGGCATGGTGGCAGGCACCTGTAATCCCAGCTACTTGGGAGGCTGAGGCAGGAGAATCTTTTGAACCTGCGAGGCAGAGATTGTAGTGAGCATCATGCATTGCACTCCAGCCTGGGCAACAGAGCAAGACTCCCTCTGAAGGAAAAAAAAAAAAAAGGAATGGTTATGACACTTTTCAATTGCAGCAGTGTGGGAGAAATATTTCTCCTGTTAACGTTGCAACTGGCTTTCTGGTGTCGGCTATGACAGTCTGAGGCATGGTAGGGGCACAGAGCTGACTTACTCTCTCTACCCAGACTGATTTTTTTACTCTTTCAGTACTGGACTGGTTCTGATGCTTTCACCAGTAACAGAAGCTCAAGCTGTGCTCAACTGACCCCCAAGGATCCAGCCTGTCTCTGGGATTCTCTAGGCCGTCCCGGAACTCCTACCATGACCAGGGAAGTGTAGGGTTGGGGTTTGGCCCTAGACCTCTTATCTGTCCACCTGCAAAGCCGTTTTAGTAACAGATTTGGAAGCAAAGTAAGGTTTTTGATGGCAGCTTGGTCACCAGCACTTCACTTAGGAACCAGTGCTGGGGAAGCGGATGGGACAATTTCTGAGTGTCTCCTGGGACAGACACATAGGCCATCGCTCCGCTAGGGGCATGGAGGGTATGTGTGGGTCAAATTGCTAAATAATCTCCAAAGCTCATTACAATTAATGGGCCGACCTATTCCCCAATGCCTGCTTTACTGGAATTGTTCGGCCCCATCCTTCCCCCACAGTAGAGTGAGCCAATTTAAATTTTCAATGCAGTTCTTCAGCACTTGTGTGATGATAATCAGCTTACAGGTCAAGGACCTTGGCAATTCACCAAGGAGATTGTTACATTTGAGCAATTCACCATTACAATCCATGGGCCCAGAGGTTCCAGGAGCCTGCTTCCAGCCACCTCCACCAGGATGCCAGGCATGTGAGTGAAGCTAGCTTGGACCCTGCAGTCCAGCCCATCTGCCAGCTAAGTACCACAGTTAAAGCCACAAGAAGCTGACCTGCCTAGCCAAGCTCTGTCCCAATTTGTAACCAACAAATTCCATGATGTAAAATAGTGATTGTTTTAAACCACCAAGTTCTGGGAAGTAGCTTGTTACTTAGCAACAGATAACTGGAATAGTGCTCTTGGTAAGAAATGGCAGGAGGGGAGCAAACTATACACAGTGAATGAAGGAGGGAGGGCCAAGCCAAGAGAAGCCATTGGGTGGCTTTTGGTGCCCTCTGCATGAATCATGAATAGAAATATCTTAACTCTTACTGGAACTTTCGTTTATCTGGCCAGGAACAATGCCAGAATTGGGAGGGGACTTAGCGATCATGTGGCCCAGTGGTCTCAAACATGGCAGTCACAGGGCATGTGAATGTAATAGATGGCATTAATAGCCACAATTCTTCCCACCTCCCTGTATCTACACCCTTTCCAATCTCTTTTTCAACTCCTCCCATCAATTTTGGGGAATGGATTTCCCCACCCCTTCATTCTGAACTTAGCTCTCTAACTTGGTTTGGCCAATGATGTCTTAGCAATTGTGACAGAAGTATTTTGGTTCCTCTCTTACTCTTACACCTCTCTGCCTTTGCCATGACAACATGCCCAGGCTAGGCTGGTGGAGATGACATGGAGCAGAGCTGTTGCCCCCACTCTGCTGGCCAAAGCCATCCTAGATCAGCTGAACCTCAGTCAACTGCCAGGCCTATGAGGGAGCCAATCAAGACCAGAACTGTCCAGCTAAGGCCAGTCTAAAGCCAACTCAGACTTGTGAGCAAAATAAATGCTTATTAGTCATTGAGTTTTGGGATGGTTTGTTACAGAACATTACAGTGGCAATAGTTAACTGAAGATAAAACTCCCTTCAGTGATGGACACCACCACTTCCCCACTGAGATGGTTCAAGTCTAACTCCTATTACCATCTGAGGGAACAAGCACATTGCAGAATTAAGTAGCAGAGGATTTCTAGACTTAACACGTAATTTAATTCAATCCAAATATATTGAGCACCCATTAGAGACACTACAGCGAATTAAAAAGGAATATGGCCACTGCCTACCTAGAAGTTTATACAGTCTAGCAGAGGAGCCAAGACCACAGGTAAATGTGAGCACTGCTGAAGCAGAAGTGGAGAATGGAAGCAGGAGGTCAGGATTTCTAGCCAAATGTCAGCTGGGAGTCAGAGGTGTGTGTGGCATAGCATTCCAGGCAGAAGGAATCTGGTAAACTAAAATGACAATAGGATATGTCTAGGGATTCAGTTTAACTGTTGCATGGTTCTCAGACCCAAACTAAGCCCTCCTTCTCAGACCAAGTAAAATGGCCTCAGATGTAATTCAGTTTTGAACTTCATACCTTTTAAAAACTGAAGTTCGTCCTTCAGTTTTGAATGTCACACCTTTTAAAAGCTGAGGTATACTTCCTAATGATTATAAACACCAAATTAAAAAGGAATCCATTTAGTTAGCTATTTAGGCTTAAGCACAGAAGGTTCTTAAAAGAACCCTATATTGCTCATTGATTTCTAAAAGAAAATGAAACCCACCAAGACAAGAAATGTGTTGCTGACCTTCACTTTTATTTAAATATAGTGATCTTTTAAGAGAATAAACAAAAAATACTTTACACAGCAAATATTTTACATAAATGTAAACATGCATGTCTACTTCATAATTAAGCAAAAAAACTTTTAGGCACAAGATTTTAAAAATAAAGAATGAGACAATGAAACCAAGACTGGAATAACAGAAGTAACAAAAACTCACATTTCCTAACTCTTCAATTGGTCTTGTCTTCCAACCTATTGGTTAAGGCCTGAGTTTCAGAAATCCTACCTTCCTTGCCAAATAGAAACATCCACTTTGGCTGTATATAACATTATCCACATAACACACTAATTCTCTTTCAAAATAATGTAATAAATATACCATTCATACACACACACACACACACACACACACACCCTGCTGAACCAGCCTCTCAAATAGGAAAATAAGGATTTTGGAATTTTCAAGTTTTCCTACAACCAAAGCACATACACACACATTAACACCTTACATAGAAAAAATGATTCTGCTACAGAAATAAAATCGTTAGTGAGTGGCATGATTACAAACCTCTAGTTCATTTGTATTAAGTTTCTTCAATCACAACTTTACTAAGGCTTACTAAGCGCCTCTGACACTTCAGATTTAATTAAGTTTTTCATCTCATCTAAATGACCCACAGTACAGTAGACATTGTACAGCACAAAAAAAAGGCAATTTTAATAATTCAGTTAAAGACTTCTAAATCATGAAAGTCAGCATGGATACTTTCAGCTGTCTCCAAATGCCTGGAATGTTTTCCTATGTCTATCCTCTGCACTTCACTGGCTGGGTAGTCTTCTCTGCCTTCTACCCCACCAGGCTACAACCATTTGAATGTCCATTCCTGTGGATACCCCAGGGAGGAGATGAGAATGACAGTCCCTGCTTTTTTTTTCCCTTTTTCTTTTTGTAGAAACAGGGTCTCGCCATGTTGCCCAGGCTGGTCTCAAACTCCTGGACTCAAGCAATCCTCCCACCTCAGCCTCCCAAAGTGCTGGGATTACAGGCATGAGTCACCACAGCCAGCCCAGTACCTGCTTTTAAGGAGCTCATACCGACCAGAGTTCAAGCAAAAAAAAAAAAAAAAAAAAAAGGTCAGTATGTACACACAGGGCACTCCATGTGGGTTGAAAAAAAAGACAAGAGTCCACAAAGATGGTACCCACAGAACCTCAAAAGTGGGGTATGGAGGGAGAGAAGGAGAATGAGAGAAGGCACAGAGGCAGGAAGAACAAGTCCGGTTTGGCTGGCAGGAGGGCATCTGTGAGAAGCCATCTGTGAAGCCAAATTCTTGATTTCTAAAAAGAAAAGATTGCTTACTCTGGTGGGTAAAGCTGGAGGGCAGAGGGCAGAACCACCAAAGGCTTTGTGCAGAGAACAAAATTGAAGCCGTGCTAGAGAAAAACCATACAGTGTTGGGCAGGACAGATGACAGGACAAACGGTCTGAAGCTCAGGAAGCTTGACTCACCAAGCCAGTGCCACGTGCAAGCATTTCCTATAGAAACACGTCTTGACCCAACATGCCAAAAACCATAGTTCTGTCTACAGAAATCAAGGCTTTCAGAAAAAAGTTGGGGAGGAGAGAAAGAGAGAGAGGCTTAAATAGATATTTTTAGTTCAAGTTCCTGGAACCTGCCCCAGTTTGAGCAAGTTAAGAGCAGTGAAACAATTCCTACATCCAGTAACAATTCAAGTCTCCTGATCATGACCTTGTGAAACCTTCCCTGAGCTGTCATTACCAAGGAATTATAAAGCAATTATCAATCCACTATAAATAAGTTCCTACCTGCCATTAAATCCACCAAAATCTCATGATGGGCTGAGAGCCCAGCACGGGGTCCTAGCGTAGACCTATTACCTACACTAGGGTAGGTGGTGTGAGCATGCTGCTGGGCAGTGGCTCTCTGGGCTCACTATGATGATGAAACAGTTGACTCTATGAAGTTTAACTCTAATGAAAGCCCCTATGACAGACCACCTATTTCCTTTCTAAGTCCAGACTGCTTCCCCTCCACTAGCTGGGGAGGGAGAGGCCATATGAGTGGAGGGACCTGTGGAGGAAAAATTATTATTACTACCTTGATGTCCGCTGAACCAAAGTGGATGGAAATTTCTCAGGACATATTCATCCAAACTACAAAAACAGGTTACTCCATACTGATTACAGGATGATTTATCACACATTCATTAAATATAGAACATTGACTAGCAACCAGTTTCCTCCAACAACAGATCCATTTGGAAATGGCACACTGTAGAAGGCAATCTTGTGACTTCCTTCTAGTTGTATATAAAAAATACAAATCGGTCAGGGAGTCAGGTACAAAACAGTGGTACAAAAGCATGAATAGATACGCCTTATCAAAGAATGTGCTCATTTCATATTGCAGAACTTCTATCTAGATTCTGATTTTTAGAAACTTACTGCTGGTTCATTTGTTCGGAGAGGTTTCTTCACACCTCTCTTCCACTCCTACCTCCCCTTGCTAAAATCCACTGACTGAAGAATACTTAGTATGGATCCACATGGAACCAAAATCCCCAACTGAATGGAGTCACATGCATCAGCACAGTGGCTACCGGTTTCATCTGCTCACCCAGCCTCATGTATTTAGGGACTGAATTCAAGCTAGAAGCACCCAACACTTTTGTCTTTTGGAATCTAATCCAAGTGCCAATGTACATCTAAAAGTCCCATGTATAGGAATCTCTTGATTCCTACAAATGAGATTCAAGGGAGAGAACAGTGAGGAAAGCCCAGAGAGGGGGCAGGAGACTGGCCACAAGCCAGGTGTGTACTTCCCTTTCTTAGTCTGTAAATGACAGGTTGAGCTGGCAGGACTCCATGGTCCTCACCAACTGACACTCAAGGACTCCATTCTGTATTCTGAGGTCCATTTCTATCCAGGCTTGTCAGGCTGAGTCAGACAAAACTTCCTTACCACTTTGTGTCAACAATTTAAAGTGGTTTTAACATACTTCTATGATGTAGTTTGAGGTTTTCCCTCTCTCTCCTACCCATCAAAGACTTCATTCCACTGGTACCAACCACTTGGCCAAACTGATGGCTGCTGAGGTTTAAAACTGAATCTCTGGCCTGGTGAAGATATGGCCTTTGAGTAACTTAGACCAGGGCACATTTATCTGTTTTTCATTAACAATTTTAACTAAATAGAAATATAATTCTGTTAGCTCTTCTACAGGTCTACTTAAACTTTGAAAGATGAGATTGTTCAAAAATGACACGAGAAAATCACCCATCACCACTAAGTTAAAGACTTGAATATGTGAGAGTTCCAGAGCCTCAAACTCCTACTACAGTCACTGATCCATAACATTTTCCTCTTGCAATGGACTCCACGCCAAAGTAGCTCAGTCTTGCGGCATGTTTGTGCACCAAAAAGTAGGTTTCGAAAGATCCAGCACTAGTCATCACTGTCACTGCCAGACTCACTCAACTGCAAGTCATTTCCTATTTAAAAAAAAAAATAAAGTAAAATCATAGAATCAAACAAAAGTACAGAATTTAAAAATGACTTCCTCATAATTTTTTGTTAATTGCCTTGGCTATCACACTACAGTAAAACCTTGTTAATTCAACTTAGGGAAGAAAATCAAATTGGCTCACTGAAACAAAATGGTGCTTTTGGTTATCTACAAAGCACAACAATACTGCATATTAGGGTAGAGCAAAGGAGAAGTAAGCTGGATAACTTTTAAATGGTTTAATAAATAGCAAGAAAATATTTAAAATATGTCTGGGCGCAGTGGCTCACGCCTGTAATCCCAACACTTTGGGAGGCCAAGGCAGGGAGATCATTTGAGGCCAGCAGTTGGAGACCAGCCTGGCCAACGTGGCGAAACCCCATCTCTACTAAAAATATAAAAATCAGCCACGTGTAGTGGGACATGCTTGTAATCCCAGGTACTTGGGAGGCTGAAGCAGGAGAATCGCTTGAACCCAAGAGGTGGAGGTTGCAGTAAGCCAAGATTGCACCACTGCACTCCAGCCTGGGCGATAGAGTGAGACTGTCTCAAGGAAAAAAAGAAAAAAGAAAAAAAAAAAAAAAGAAAATATTTAAAATAACTGATCACCATTCGGAAGAACTGATCACATTAAGTTGCTTTATAAAGGCAACTTAAGAAAATATCCGGTAGGCTTCCCATTAAGAAAGGTGAATACTGTTAACACCAGTAATATGCTAATGCAGTATCTGCTCTGGCACACCTCTGTCCAGGATAGTCACGTTATCTTAAATTTCAAATCTGAACTAACGTGCTTTACAAAACCCCAGATTCCTGTTTACTAGGCAGAATTTAGAAGAATATAATTACTTAACATTTCAATCTAATACAATAGGAATACATATAACAGAACCCCAGTTGATACCACTTGTAGCAAAAGTGATTTTCTTTATTTCCAAATTGCTAATCTCTAGGCCAGTTCTCCTCAAAGTCTATTCTGAGGACTCGGGGTTCCATGAAACCCTTTCAGGGGGGTCTGATCCTGAGGTCACCCCTTTTCTAACTACCTAGAATGCCAGATTTTCTTCATATACTTCAGTCTCTATGTTAAAGATGGGGCATATAATGGCAATGTCTTGAGATATTTTTGGTTGTCATGGGGCTGGGGAGGTGGGAAGAGACTGGTACTGGCATCTAGTGGGTAGACGTCAGGGATGCTCTTAAACATCCTACAATGTGCAGGACAACCTCCCACAAAGAAGACTTATCTTGCCCAAACTGCCCATAGTGCTGAGGTTGAGATTATCTCTGCCTGGTCCACAATAGTTGGATTAACTAGGTTAACTTCCCCACTGTTACCTCTAGACCTTCCAACTTCCTTAAAGGAAGGTGTACCAAGAGAGAACATTCATCAGGGTTCCAAAAAGAGAAAAGCATAGAAAATTAGCCCTCTGTTCACCTTCAAAACAAATAAATTTTTGTTCTTGTTTTCCTGTTTTACTTTAGTATCAACTGCATTAAAACACACCGAGGCCAGGCATGGTGGTTCATGCTTTTAATCACAGCACTTCGGCAGTTGGGGAAATTACTTGTACCCAGGAGGAGTTCAAGACCAGCCTGGGCAAAACAGTGAGACCTTGTCTCTACAGAAAATTTTAAAAATGGCTGGGTATGGTGGCTCATGCCTATAATCTCGGCACTTTGGGAAGCCGAGGTGGGTGGATCACTTGAGTCTAGGAGTTTGAGACCAGCCTGGGCAATGTGGCGAAACCCTGTCTCTACCAAAAAAAAAAAAAAGGATCATGCCGCTGCACTCCAGCCTGGACAACAGATCAAGACTCTGTCTGAAGGAAAAAAAAAAAAAAAAAAGCCACCACACTGTCTGGGGACAGTGGATTCTTTTTTATAAAAGTTCAAGATAGGCAGGCATGGTGGTTCACACCCATAATCCCAGCACTTTGGGAGGCCGAGGCAGGCAGATCATTTGAGGCCAGGAGTTGGAGACCAGCCTGGCCAACATGGCAAAACCCCATCTCTACTAAAAATACAAAAATTAGCCAGGTGTGGTGGGACATGCTTGTAATCCCAGGTACTTGGGAGGCTGAAGCAGGAGAATCGCTTGAACCCGAGAGGTGGAGGTTGCAGTAAGCCGAGATTGCACCATTGCACTCCAGCCTGGGCGACAGAGTGAGACTCTGTCTCCAGAAAAAAGACCAATGGGCAGAGAGCAGTATGGTGGCAGGTAGCTCCCCGAAAGTCTGGTATAAAAGCAAAAACAGCCTATCTGTTCATGTTTTAGTGTTTTCTAGAATTCACAAACACCGGTATGAGCCAGTGGGGAATAGAAATAGAAAGAACAGATTTTTCATCTCATTTCCCTTTTTTACTGTTTAGTAACTCACACCTTTCTGCTCCAAACTATTTTTAACAAGATCCTCTCCCATGCCTTAAACATCTTTAGGTTTGTAAGTTCTGGCACAGGATAAATAGAAGCTGCACCTATGGCCCTCTCTCAGCCATAAAAAGGAGTACACACTTACTGAGGGTGTTCATGAGCTGGTTGCTTCCTTGTGGCCGGCTGGTTCCATTGGCAACGGCAGGCCTACTGTTGTAGGGCTGCTGGTGTGAAGGCTGCGGAGGAGAGGCTGGGCCATTGTCCTCGCCTCCACTGCTGGAGCTATCGTCATCACTTCCCGAAGAGCTCTCAGAGTCTGAAGAGCTGCTCCCACTGCTGCTGCTCATTTGTTCAATAATGTCAACTTCAGCCCTCAGCTCTGGAATAAAGGATATGACATGGATCAGCACAGCAGCCCTTTTCAAGGCAGTGCATTGGAGCTTCTATAAATAGTAAATCAGCAAAACCAACAGCAATAAGAAATAATTTAAAACAAAGTCCTACTTCTCAATACCTTAAAAAATGTACAAACAAAATTACCAAAACAAAAACACAGCCTGTTTCCAGAGACACAATGGAAACATTAAATTCACTCAAAATAAATAAAAAGCAAGACTGTTTCAGAATAATGGCTGTTCTGTGTAAGAAATGAATTAAGTCCATTTGCCTTTATCTACTAAAAGAAAAATTATGAATATTATGAACTATGGGATAAAACCATAATTCCCACATAAGAGAAGACAAATATTATGTAAAGTGGTTGAAAAATATTTGACTAGGAGTTGGGAGGTCTGAGTGCTTGTTTTGGATTTACCTCTAACCAGCAGTGACACCTAGGTAGAAGTCAATGAATTTTCCAAGCCACTCTGGAAAAATGAAAACCAGACAGCCTCTAAGGTCCTTTCCAGCTCTCATGTCCCATAAATAAATGGAGGTTTGCAGGAAGAACCATGGTGACTAAATAAAAATGGTAAAACAATATTCTTCCTCTTCACTCTTTACATATTTGACTGACAGCCATGCCTGTCAGGTACTGCATTTTTTACAGATATAAAATATCAATGTTAACTAACCATTTCAAGAAAGGCGCCAGATTTTCCTGTCTAGGCATACCATGTGGCCTTAAATGGCTATGGCTCCTTTAAGCATAATTGGCAACAACTAACCACTCATGCTCTGATTCCTATTCAACCTAAGTGAAAACTTCCATAACAGCATTCCAGTATCCATGAGGAAAAAAAAAAAGGGACAAAACAACTGTACACAGTGCAGAGTGATGTCTGCAGCCGTTCTACAGGGTGGAAAAGGCAAATTTCCCAGGGACAACTCTTTATGTTTCCCTACTATTATTATGGATTTAGTTATTTTATAAAACTTATAAATATGAAATATGACCTCACAACTTCTAAAGAGTCTGGAGGACTAAAACCATTCATCGTGTGAAGGAGAAAGCCAAGGTAAGCTTTTTTGTCTCAGGTTTGCAGTGGAGAGAACCAAACTGGACCTTTAACTCTTTCTAGGCCAGTATCTGTTTCTATTGGTCCTCATGGCCTCTTTCATATTTACACACTTTGTGTTAGCACAGGACATTTGCTTATGGTATTTTAAAAGGCATTTTAATCCTTTTTTTCCCCCCAAAAAAGAGATGTTATTGCCCAGGCTGGAGTTCAGTAGCTACCAACAGGCACGATCATAGCACACTGTAGCCTCAAACTCCCAACTTCAAGCGATCCTCCTGCCTCACAGTAGCTGAAACTACAAGTGTGCAGCACCATGGTCAGCTCCTCCAGCCTATATACTAATGTAGAGCTCAGAAAGGTTGCCACCTACGCTTAGTTTTCACCTCCAACACCTAGAATCCTTTCTTTCTCCGAAGCCTTAGAGGTGTGCCATATGGAGCTTAGATGGAAGTCATGCTTGTTTAAATCCTAGGCCTCTAAGCAGAATGGCTACAAAGATAGCCACAAACTCAAGTCACTATTCCAGGACTCACCCTTGTCAAATGAGGTAAGTGGCAGAAGCCCCCACCCTCCCCATCTCTGAACAGTGAGCTCTGCAGACATTTTTTTGATGGCATTGAATGCCCCAGCCACTGTATCAATACAGCAGCCATGTGATCTCCACAAGAAAATTCAGCACTCTACTCCAAGTTGCTATCATGGATCCAGAAAATGTTCTCTACCTCTTTTGATGTCATCCAACTGAGGTTCAGGTGAGGGGTTATCTTTCAAGGGAGAAGTTTTGGGTCCAACTGGAGGCTTCGTTGGAGCTCTGAATGGCATAGGTGGTGGAGGTGGTGGTGGCTGTGACGTCTGTGGAGGACGAGTGGGCTGCTGTTCCATTCGGGCCTGGATTTTACTGCTGCCCTCAGCTCTGAAAGGAGATACAGACATTAAATTAGCAGGGCAAAAATAGTGGTTCTCAAATTTGTCCAGGTGACTGAAAACTCAGAAGTCTCTGTAGAACCCCATGTTCTTTCCAGACCACTTCAAAATACTGATACTTGTAATTTTGTCATGTGAGCTATTCATTCAACATTTGAGTGTCTACTGTAATCCAGTACTATATTATGTATCAGGGATACAGACATGAATAGAATATTTACTGCCCTCGATGAGCTCAAATGTATAGCAAACAAATGTAGGATATAATGAAACTATGAAAATCCATTTTACTAGTAGAAAATACATTCATGCATCCCTTAACAATGAGGGTAAGTCCTGAGAACTGCATCATGAGGTGATTTCATCATGCAAACAGCAGAATGTACTTATGCAAACCAATATAGCATATAATTTTTTCACATGAAAACCCAAATGTCCCACCACCATAATTGAATATCAGTCATTCCCCCTACTTGATCTGCAATGCCAATATCAAGTGCCGTATATCAGGTTTCCATACATGCTCCATTAGAATCTTAAGGGACCACTGTCATATATGTAGGTCACTACTGACCAAAACATCATTATGTAATTATAATCATGAGTGCATGAGTTCCTAAATAAAGTAGCTCCTAAAATATTGCCCAGCTTGAAAATTTTTTCCATTATCTATATACTGCTTGTTCATTTCATCACATGCCAGCTCTTGCTGGCAGACAAGCAGAATTCCATCCCAAGCTGAGAATATTCTATCAGTTAACAATTTCTTTTGTAAATGGACTAGCCTAGTGCTTCTAAAACTTTTGCTTATGCACAAATCACCTGGTGATCTCTGCAGATTCAGATCTCATAGGTGTTGAGATTCTGCATATCATCTAGGTAATATGATACTGTTAGTTCCCATATCACACTGAGTAGTAAGGGAATATACCACAACCATCAGATATTGGAGGAATATCGGTAGCACCTGGTTCACTGTAGGTAATGAATACAAATAAATAGAGTGGCAGGACAGGAGCAAGGACTCTGCAGCACACTCTCCGGGGTAGGTCAAGCTCTCTAACCCTCAGTCTCCGTACCTTTTTTTTTTTTTTTTTTTTTTTAGATAATAGCACCTTTCGTACTCACTTCGGCAGCACATATACTAAAATTGGAATGATACAGAGAAGATTAGCATGGCCCCTGTGCAAGGATGACACACAAACTCATGAACAATTCCATATTTTTAACAAAAGAAGTAAAAAATAATAATAACACCTTTCTAAAAATTACTTGTTAGATAAAACAATGCATATAAAGCATCTAGCAGAGTGCCTGGGACATGATACCCCCTCAATAAATGGTACCTATTTTTATTTTCTGTGGAATGAATGAATGAAAAAAAAATGGCTTAACGAAGCATAAAAAACATCAGGTTGTGACAATCTTTACAATTTAATTACTGTATTATAATAATTACTGTATTATAAGTGAGCTATGATTATGCCACTGCACTCCAGCCTGGGTGACACAGCAAGAGACCTCGACTCTTTAAAAAAAAAAAAATACTGTATTATATGGTAACAAATAGAACCACTAGGTTATTTCTATTTATAGAATGAATTTTTATTTTCAAATAAACTCTAACTGGCTTCATTTTAGACATGTAGCAACTGTTGAATTAAAGAGTTCACTATATTAAAAAATAGGCAAAGTTTTATTTTGGTATTATAGTAATCTCAAATGTATCTTGTAAAAAAATTAATGTTTTCACTCCAGTTAAGTATAGTATATATTGCTCCTTCATAATTATAAGTCTATAAGTTATCTTATCCCTTAGGTGGTACTGTAGCAATCATGAGATTAACAAAATAGGCTTAATTATAAAGTATATCCCCCTTTCCCTAATGGTTCCCATGTTTTAGGTCTTAAAAAACATTATTTCTTTTTATTGCATTTGAGGAAGACATATTTTACTCTGAGCACATATTTACATATTTTGTCTGAGCACAGGTAGTGTTAAGATTATTGATAGAACACTATGAGCAAGCAGATGTTCACAACCTTATAAAAACTGAATAGATAACAGAGGTTTGGAAACATGATATAAACCTGCATCTGGCTATTCACATACCTTGTTTTCTTCACCTGAATGCTGCTACTGAGTTTTTCCAGCACATATTCACCAGTGTCATGATTAATAATAAGCACACAGTCTTTCTGGTAAGGCCGTTTGTTCCCCTTGAACACAGTCATGGGTGGTGTGGATCCCTATTTGCCACAAAAGTATAAGATGATCAAACTAAACATACCAGTTATGAATATCAACTGAATTTATAGATGACTCCACCTGATGAAATCTTTTATCAGAGCTATTCAAAAAGAACAGGTTGAACTGATTTCTATTTTATCTCCTTCTGGTTTCCGAGGCAAAAATAAAGGAGAAATAATATAGCAAGAATTTGTGAATGTGCAACGCGTTCTAAGTAATCAAAAAGGTAGTATAAAAGTTTTAATTACTATATACGTTCCAAGAGAGAAAAATTAACCATTACTTTCATTATACTAAGCAGAGTTATCACTCTGTATAGTAAAACTGTGAGTGATCTCTATTTCTTTGTCATTAGAGAGACCAGGGTTTCCCCTTCTCATGTCAAGCAACCAACAGAGCATTTTCCAAGAGAAGGTCATTATCCTGGTTGGCTCAGAATAAATAAATCATGTCACTCATCTGCCTAAGCCTTTCAATCACTCCTCAATTGCTCTCAGGCCAAAGGATAAAATCTTTAAACTAGCCACTTGGCCTTGCACTACCGGGCCCTTCCCTGGCTCTCCACCTCACCCTGCAGCATACTCCCCTGCGCATGTGCTTCAGAGCAGAAGGCAACTGGCTTCCCTCCTATCCTCAAGCTCTCTCCTGCCTCTGGGCTTTAACAAGGCTTCTGCCAGCTTTAACAAGGCTTCTGCCAGCTATATCCTGCCCCCTCTCTTTAAATGACCCAACCTCCAGATCTGCTCACAGATACTTCCTTAAGGAAGCTGTCCCTGATTTTGTAGAATAACTGCTATATTTTCTTGTATTAATTTAAACTCCAGACCATAAGCTCCACCAGGGCAAGAAATGTGCTTGTTTTGTTCAAGGTTATATACTTCATGCCTAGTAATGGGCCAATGTGTGGGAGGCATTTGATTAATATTTGTTGAATATCATATTTAATGCCTTGCTTAGAATAAAAAACTGCTTGGCTCTTTGACTCCTTATTTATATAGTAAAAATATAGAGCTAGAAAGAACTTTAGGGACCATTTTTCTAAACCTTTCATTTTACATATGGGAAACTAAGGTCCAAAGGGAGATGATGTAACTTGCCAAAGGTAACAAGTAATCAAACAGCAGTTTGAATGGGCAATTTTTCCTCACCACAAAGCTTTCCAGATCTCCCTGTCCAGAGACTTTTCATTCTGTCTCCAGCTACCGAGAACTTATGTTCCAGGACAGGGGTGTGACATGCAATAACACATGTTCACTAAGAGCATCATGTGACCCTTTGGTGCTTTGTCATTAGTGCTGCCTTGGGCAGAGCTTCACAAAAGTCTTTCTCTGCAAGGGTTCTTAATCCAGCTTTCAATTTAGTTCTTCATCCCTAAATCAGCTGAATGTGCCACACCTGTGGTTCCTGCCTGCCTTAACTCCTGGCTTGGTTGCCTCACACTCCTGAGCTGTTGTGGCCATATAATCAGCAGGGCACCTAGGGCTTTTCTGTCTGGAGTTGCTTGGGAGAAAAGCTATATCTAAAAGAGGGGCTAGGTGTCCAGACAGGAACCTTGTCTACTCAGTAGCAGATGGGGGAAAAGGAAGATTGGGGAAAACGACGAATAATCTTTTTTTTTTTTTTTTTGAGGGGGAGTCTCACTCTGTCGCCCAGGCTGGAGTGCAGTGGCGTGATCTTGGTTTACTGCAACCTCTACCTCCCAGGCTCAAGCGATCCTCCCAGCTCCGCTTCCCAAGCAGCTGCAACCACAGACATGTGCCATCACCCCCAGCTAATTTTTTGTATTTTTGGTACAGACGGGGTTTCACCATGTTGCCCAGGCTGGTCTTTAACTCCTGAACTCAAGCTATCCACCCACTTCCACCTCCCAAAATGCTAGGATTACAAGAATTATTTTTAATCAAGCACCTGCCTAGCATGAAGTCCACCCCACCCCACTCCCCAAAATTACTTTTTTCCTTAAGTTGCCACTTTAGAAATCTAAACATTTTTAAAAGTAGGAAGTTTAAATTGCAATAATATAAAAGACAAAGATTCATTGTGATCTTACATTAAAAAAAAAAATGAAATAAACTCACAGGGATATGTGGCAGTGTAATTGTGACTTCATCTCCTTTGCCAACTTGAAGCTCTCCTTCACAGGAAGTGTCTATAGATGCTGGTTTAAAATCATCTAAAGGGAAAGGAAAAAAAGCACTTACCCACCAGGTTACTTATAATAAGGGTTTCCTGGGCATCTCCATTTAAGAATTAAAATTATTACTCAGATGAATGGAAAATAAAAATAATTTAGAATTCTTAAAAAACTGTTTCGTTATGGAAAACTTCAGATACACAAAAGTAGAGAGAATCGTACAATGAGACCTGGTATACCATTATCCAGTTTCAATTATTACCAACTCAGGGACAATCTTGTTTCATCTACACCTCCACATACTTTTCCTCTGACCCCCTTTTGATTATTCTAGAGGGAAAAAAGAATTTACAGGCCATTTTATTAAACAAAGATATTCCCTTCTCCCAAGGGAGAGAGGAAAATTGTCTCATCATCCATAATAAGTTGCTTTTTTAGGGTTGTGAGGATCAAAAGTAACAGCATATGAAACAGATTCTGTGACTGTAAACTCTATATGAAATATGAAAGGCCACAGCATCATCAAAAGCTGATTTCATTCCGCATAGAAACTGTCAAAATTAGGATTTGCCATACTCAAGTTCCATAGCTGTTTTTTGTTTTTTTTTTTTTTTAATAGTGATGGGGTCTCACTATGCTGCCCAGGCTGGTCTCAAACTCCTGGGCTCAAGCTATCTGTCGACCTCGGCCTCCCAAAGTACTGGGATTATAGTGTCAGCCACCACTCTCAGCCAGTTCCACAGCTTTAACAAAGACACTTCGTAGATGTTCATAGCAGACAACTGAACTGTATCTCCGCAAGTTATCCTGCTCGTGTTTCTAAACTGCAGTTAGAATACAACATAATAGCCATCTTAATTCACATTCACACCTGCCTCAAACTGCAGGACAGGTGCACACATGAACTATATGATTTAAATTCCACATTGCCCTTCACCAAAAGAAAACATCAACTTAGTAAACTCTTCAGGAAATGATGTTCTTATCTTATTCCCATCTCTTCTCTCTGAAAGAGCTGGATCTGCTGTCAGTAGGAAGCATAGCAATGGCATGGCAAGTGACTACACAAAGATGGGATTTCATTATCTAAAACGCCCTCTTCACATGTGTTGAGTCACATCTATTAGGTCCTCTGACAAAAACAAGTCTTAACAACAGCGTTAGCACCACGGAAACCAGAAGTTCATGAATCACGGAGGGATGCTCTGTCAGCCAATTCCTAACTGCCAAACCTTCACCCAGGACATAGGGTGGAAGTGCACTCTCTCAACAGCGTCTATAATTATGTAGAAAAAGGTCCGGCATAATGACTATTTGGACATTCCTTACGCCTGCTCTCTTCTGCTTCCAAACGTAGACCAATCTTTAACCTATCCCAGGCTCACGAACTCTGATTTGACTCTTTACCCACAAGGAACTTGGTCTGGAGGAAAAGCCCGGGTGGTATAGGTGACCTCAAAAGACATCCAAGTCAAATGAAGCACAGAAAGGAGATGGAAGAAGACTCTGATGAGGCGCAGAGAGGATGCCAATTCTTTGGCTGTAGAGGGGACAAAGCACAGTATTTGGGAGTCCAGGACCAAGTCGGAGGAGAAAAGCAGGGAAGAGAATGGGTTCTAAGGCAGTGGATGAGGCTCATAACAAACAAGAAGCGTCTTTTAAATGTGGAGAACCCTGATGGGAGCATCGGAAAGGAGGGGAGGGGTTTCGAGGGAGAAGTGGACCCGGATAAGAGGGGGGAGGTTTGCCTTGGGGGAGGGAGGTTTGCCTTAGGGGCGAGGTTGGGGGCGGGGAGGGATGGAAATGGAAAGAGGCCAAAGACCTTTGGAACTAGTGTTTGAGACTGTGAGGTAGAAGAATAGTAGGGAGTGACGAAGATTTGGGAGAAATAATCTGGGTAAAAGAAGGGACAAATCGATGTCCCAAAGGATTTGGGGTTCGAGAGAAAGTAACTGACGCTGGCAGGGGGTTCCCTGGAATCTGAAGGGCCGAGGGAAGAAAGGAAGGAGTCAAGGTTGATATGTGGCGGCTGGAGCGGCCGAAGGGAACCGTGGGGAGCGCTGACTTACAACGAATAGTGTGGAAGGAGGCCCGCGGCCGCTTCTCGAAGCTCTCCCCGAGCCTCAGGCAATGTTCCTCGCGGTCCAGCAGCGGGTTTGCGGTCCCATTCATGGCCCCGCACCTGCCTCGCACCCAGATCGGCGCTCTCCCGGTGCAGCCGCGATCCGAGCTTCTGGCGCTGGCGTCTGGGAGGACTGTGCTTCCGGGCCACCGCTCTGGAAGACAAGGAGAGCCGAGCCGGCACCCACCCGGGTCCAGAAGCAAGTTCTCTCCTCTGCGTGGGGGTGAGAGAGGAATCTGAGGAGGCAAGGCCGTGGGACTTCCGGCGTCGGGTAGGAACTTCCGGGTTCCTAGCGGAAGTGGCGGGGGCGGTGCCATGGCAAAAGAACTCCCGGATAATCCGAATTCGTGGTCCTCAGAATTGGTTTAGGGTTGTTTCGCGGTTCTTCCCGTATTCTGCCTCCGAGGCCCAGTGGGGCTGGCTGTGGGGTGAGTGCGCCTGGCCCTAGCCCTGCAGGTGAATTTAGGAACTGATGACGGTGAGCCCTGAGCGTGGCTGACTAAATTAACGCGGGTCGGCTAGCCATCATGGACGCCCTCCTCAGGGTCTAGGGGCCCATGCAGCCTAGTCTATCCTGAGGGTCCTGAGATGGATCCTCGGGACCTCAGCCACGCGTCATTGGGTCTCTTTCTCCACTTTGCCCGGTGATGGCGGTGCGAGGGTCTCAGTCCCTGCAAAGTGACGCTCCCTCTGGTTCCTATGACAGCCTCTTGTGAGTGTGATCAGGAAATGAGCCCACCCAGGCTTAGCTTCATTTCCCCCGAAAAAACGGAGGTCCGACCCTTGGGAAACGATGACCTCACTTGTATCTGACAATTGACCACCCGCTTCCAGCTAAGGCCATTGTGGTTTTTAAGTCACCCCTTTCGCGGGCACCGAAAATTGAGGAATATTTTCTTCGCAAGGTTTCCCAGTCAGTTCTTGAGAGCGTCCTTTTTCGTAAACTAAATCGATTTATTGTAATAGTTGACTCATCTGGTTTGAATAAAAGTATGGTGCATGAGATAGTCTGGCCACTGAAATGAATGTAAGCCCACTGAAGGTAGGGACTGTGTGTTTGTCTTCTTTGTGACCTCTCATATAGCGGGAAGGATTTTTTTTTGTACAGTCTGCATCTCATAAACATTTGGTGAATTGAACCTGGCGTCTTGAACTGTAACCACTAACCAGAATCTAATTCTTTTCTCTGCGAAGCCCCCTGTGCTGTTTGAGGCGTGAAACTCACCTCAGGAAATGTATCTGATCCATTAGCGTGGATTCATATTATTTGGTGATGGAGAATCTTCAGCTGTGTTAAGTGTTACCGTCAGTTTCAGAGATGGCTTCTTTGCAAAGGAAAGGGCTGCAGGCAAGGATTCTCACCTCTGAAGAAGAGGAGAAACTGAAAAGAGACCAAACTTTGGTGTCTGATTTTAAACAGCAGAAATTGGAACAAGAGGCTCAGAAAAATTGGGATCTTTTTTACAAAAGAAATAGCACTAATTTCTTCAAAGACAGACACTGGACCACCAGAGAGTTTGAGGAGCTAAGATCATGTAGAGAGGTAAGCTAATATTACGCCTTATCTGAGCTGTTCTTCATTTAAAATGTGAAGAGGGTGCCATGGCTCATGCCTGTAATCCCAGTACTTGGGGAGGCCAAGGCAGGCGGATCACGAAGTCAAGAGATCGAGACCATCCTGGCCAACATGATGAAACCCCGTCTTTACTAAAAATACAAAAATTAGCTGGGTGTGGTGGTGCTCGCCTGTAGTCCCAGCTACTTGGAAGGCTGAGGCAGGAGAATCGCTTGAACCCGGGAGGCGGAGATAGCAGTGAGCCGAGATTGTGCCACTGCACTCCAGCCTGGTGACAGAACGAGACTCTGTCTCAAAAGAAAAAAAAATGTGAAGAGGTGTGCTGTATTGCATTCCTAGGGAGAGTGCGAAGTAGAGAATTTAAGAAGCCTATCAAAATGCTTTGCGTTTTAGGAGAGAAATATACTGTTTGGTCTTAACACCAAAGTTTTAGCAGTTTCTGGTTTGGTTAACATATAGGAGAGAGAACTTTAGTGGGTGTTTTCTATTTCTTTAAGCTGATCTGATAGTTGTAAACATTATATATTAAATTCAAGAGCCAGGTCTGGTGGCTATTGCCAGCTACTCCAGAGGCTGAGGCAGGCGGCTTGTGCCTGTGAATAGTCAACATGAATTAGCCAAGCCTAGGCAGCATAGTGAGACCCTATGTTCTGAATTTTAAAATTTTAAACATTAAAAATTTTAAAAACAAAAATATAAATTCATGCTAAGTGACTTCAGTGACAGATTCAGAATAATATAATAGTTAATGTTAGTAACTATTTACCATGGCTGTTTTCTACATGGCCTATCATTTGACCCTTATACCGGCTCTGTGAAGTGTAAGTATTAGTATTGTACTCATTTGTCCCCAAGGTAAAATTGAGGCACAGAGCTGTTTAAGTGATTTACCCAAGGATAGAATGCAGGGGAGGAGTTGAGATTTGGGTGCTGGCAGTTTAACTCCAGAGCCGAGTTAGCCATTGTGCTGTTTTTTTCCTCCACACCAAATTGTTAATGTTGGATGACAAATGAAGTACCAGTATTAGCTTTTGCTTATTAGTTCTCTTGTTGATCGTCTGCTCCATGGGGTCGGAGACCTCTCATATTCTGGACCTTTTAGTTTGGTTTATTTCTTCATTATGCAAATGTGATATACTATAACTTTGAGCTGTCTTTCCCCAGTTTGAAGATCAAAAGTTAACAATGCTTGAAGCTGGCTGTGGGGTTGGAAACTGTTTATTCCCACTTTTAGAAGAAGATCCGAATATCTTTGCCTATGCCTGTGATTTTTCTCCAAGAGCCATTGAATATGTTAAGGTTGGTGCACCATCTATGTATTCTGCTGTGTTTCTGTTTTCTTGCCGATCTTGTTTGATCTGCCTTTTTTATTCATTTGCCCAATTCTAGTCTTCCCTGGAGCTAACCAGCTATAGTCACCATACATGTAGTTGTCCTGCTTACATACATATACAGTGCATGTAGAAACACAGCTTTATTCAAGAAAAGCAGGAAAAAATACCATAATAACATCCATATAATTAACATCTTTTGCTTTACAATTTTTCTTTGCTGAACTATTTTAAAGTATATTACAAATGTCAAGACATTTCACTCCTAAATGTTTGCATACATCTCCCCTTAAAAAAGGCCTTTTTCTACACAACCACAATAAGTTTATCATATTTCACAAAAATAACTATAATCTGGCCTGCCATGTTGGTTCGCACTTGTAATCCCATCAGTTTGGGAGCCTGAGGCTGGTGGATAGCTTGCACCCAGTAGTTCAAGACCAGCCTGGGCAACATGGTGAAACCTTGTCTCTACCAAAAATACAAAAATTAGCTGGGCATGGTGGTGCTTACCTGTAATCCCAGCTAATTGGGAGGCTGAGGTGGGAAGATCACTTGAGTCAGGGAAGTGGAGGTTGCAGTGAGCCAAGATTGCAGCACTGCACTCCAGCCTAGGTGACAGAGCAAGACTGTCTTTAAATAAACAAATAAAATAACATAATCCCCCAATGTTATTAACATCCATTCCAAATTCAGATTTCCCCAAATAGTTCCCGGTGTCTTTTAGTTTTATTTTTTACTTTTTTTAGAGATGGGTTCTTTGTCACCCAGTTGAAATGCAGTGGCATGAACATGGCTCACCACAGCCTCAACCTCCTGGGCTTAAGCGATTCTTTCACCTCAGCCTCTCAAGTAGCAGAGACAATTTTTTAATTGTTTGTAGAGATGGGGTCTCACTATGTTGCCCAGGATGGTCTCAAACTCCTGGGCTCAGGTGATCAACCTGCCTCAGCCTCCCAAAATGCTGGGATTACAGGTATGAGCCACTGTACCTGGCTTCCAGGTGTCTTTTATAGCTGGTTTTTGTTTTTGTTTTTGTTTGAGACATGGTTTCACTCTCACCCAGGCTAGAGTGCAGTGGCCCAATCACAACTCACTGCAGCCTTGACCCCCCTGGCTCAAGCAGATCCTCCCACCTCAGTCTCCCAAGTAGCTGGGACTACAGGCATGTGCCACCGTGCCCAGCTAGTGTTTATTTGTTTATTTATTTATTTTAGAGATAAGGTCTCACTGCGTTGCCCAGGCTGGTCTCGAACTTCTGGGCTCAAACAATCCTCCCACCTCAGCCTCCCAAAGTGCTGAGATTACAGGCGTGAGCCATGGCAGCTGACCCTGGCTAGTTTTTAAATTTTTGTAGAGATGAGGTTTCCCTATGTTGCCTAGGCTGGTCTCAAACTCCTGAGCTCAAGCAATCCTCCCTCCTCAGACTCCCAGAGTGTGGGATTACACCCTGCCTATAGCTGTTTATAATCCAGTCAAGCACTACCTCTTACACTTATGTCCTTTATTTTTTATTTTAGTTTATTTTTTGAGACGGAGTCTCGCTCTGTCGCCTAGACTGGAGTGCAGTGGTGCAATCTCAGCTTACTGCAACCTCCACCTCCTGGGTTCAAGTGATTCTCCTGCCTCAGCCTTCCAAGTAGCTGGGATTACAAGTGCCCACCACTCCTGGCTAATTTTTGTATTTTTAGTAGAGATGGGGTTTCGCCATGTTAGCCACGCTGGTCTCAAACTCCTGGCCTCAGGTAATCCACCCGCCTTGGCCTCCCAAAGTGCTGGGATTACAGGCGTGAGCCACCACGCCTGGCTCACTTATGTCCTTTAAATCTCCTTAACCTAAAATACCCTTGCCCTACCCCATACCTCTTTCCACATTGATGACAGATGAAGCCAATTTTCTATAGTAAATTTCCAAATTGGTCTAATTGTTTATTTGCATTACTGTTTAATTTATTCCTCTATGTTCTATATTATCTGTGAACTAGAAGTTAAATTTAAATCAGGTAAAATATTTTTGGCAAAAATGCTTTAATAGGTAATGTTGTGTCTTGCATATTACATCCTGTCATGAGGCAATAATATCTGGAGATCTTACTGGTTTTGATCACAGGGTTAAGATAGTAACTACCTAATTCCTCCATTGTAAAATTCCCTTTGCCATTAACCAATATGTGGGGAACACTTTGGTGACATTGCAAGTATCTCGTTCCCCATCAACCTTTCACAGTTTTAGCATTCGTTAGACTTTTTAAAATTTAAACTTTTTTTTTAAGTTAATCTTATTATTATTATTTTAATTGACATGGTCTTGCTTTGTCACCCAGGCTGGAGTGCAGTGGTGTGTATTAGAGCTCACTGCAGCCTCAAACTCCTGAGCTGAAATGATCCTCCTGCCTCTGCCTCTCAAGCAGCTGGGTCTACACGCACATACTACCACCCCTGGCTAATTTTTGTATTTTTTTGTAGAGACAGGGTTTCTCCATTTTGCCCAGCCTGGTCTTTCTGAACTCAAGTGATCTGCCTGCCTTGGCCTCCCAAAGTGCTGGGATTACAGGCATCAGCCACCGCATCCAGCCTATTTTTATTTTTTATTTTTTGAGATAGGGTCTCACTCTGTCACCCAGGATGGAGTGCAGTTGCACAGTCATGACTCACTGCAGCCTTGACTTCCCAGGCTCAAGTGATCCTCCCACCTCAGCCTCTTGAGTAGCTGGGGTTACAGATGCACACCACCACACCCAACTAATTGTTTTATTTTTTTGTAGAGACGGGTCTCACTACGTTGCCTAGGCTGTTCTCAAACTCCTGGGCTCAAGAGATCCTCCCATCTCTGCCTCCCAGAGTGCTGGGATTAACTCCCACCTCTGCCTCCCAAAGTGCTGGGATTAAAAGCGTGAGCCACCACACTCAGCCACATTAGACTTTTGAAAATAGTAACCTTACCAGCCTAGGCAACAAAGTATGACTCTGTCTCTACAAAAAAAAATTATTTTATTTTATTTTTTAATTTGAGATGGAGTTTCACTCTTATTGCCCAGGCTGGAGTGCAGTGGCACGATCTCGGCTCACTGCAACCTCCACCTCCCGGGTTCAAGCAATTCTCCTGCCTCAGCCTCCCAAGTAGCTGGGATTACAGGCACTTGCCACCACGCCTGGCTAATTTTTTTGTATTTTTAGTACAGACAGGGTTTCACTATGTTGGACAGGCTGGTCTTGAACTCCTGACCTCAGGTGATCCACTGGCCTCCCAAAGTGTTGGGATTACAGGCATAAGCCACCGCACCTGGCCAAAAAGATTTTTTTAATTAGCCAGGTGTGGTGGCGTGTGCAGCTGTTTGGGAGACTGAGGTGGGAAAATCACTTGAGCCCGGAGTTTGAGGCTGCATGAGCTATGATCATGCCATTGTACTCCAGCCTGGGTGACAAAGCAGGACCCTATCTCAAAATAACAAAACCCAAACCCTTTATTTTTAAAAAGTTAATATGTTTACTGTAGGAAACTGAGAAACACAAGAAGCAAAGAACAGTCATCCACAATCACAAGCAGTTTACAGTTTGACTTGTCCTTCTAGGTCCTGTGTGTACATAGACACAGTATCCAATTTTATGGGATTAAGATCACGCAGTATGTATCGTGTTTTATCACACATTATGGATATTTACTAATTATATTATTATATGTTGTCACATCAAGACATCTATGAAGCTTAGGTGTTGCAAAATAATAAACTCTGTCCACAATAAACACAAGTACTTTACTAAAAATGCACCTATAGACCTGTGGTTTTTCATCTAAAACCATCTTCTAGATATGGAGATTCTGACTAAGAGCCCTTCCTTCCACCCGTTCTTCTTTATCCTGTTCTGTCATTCCAGTGACTAAGTACAGGACTATGTCTAGTTCTAAGAGGTCAATTAACAAAGGTCACTCCCAGAGGATAGTCCTTCTTAAGAACTGAAAACGTGAATAAATGTTACACGTACATAATAAGCTGCCATTTGAAAGTGTCATCTAAATAGGAACGAACATTCTGGCATAGAACCCTTCCCACCTGTCAACTCAGTGGATAGATATAAGCATTTGTAGTGCTTAGAGGGGACTTTAACAATTTCACTTCCCTAAGTGTTTTTAAGAACAGTCTTTCCTATGAATTTGAACACAAAATGTACTCAGTGTATTAGGTTACTGACTCTACGTTGGTCATACGCTGTCAACCTCTTTAACATCTAGAACTAGATGTTGTAAATTAGGGCTCATTTGTCCTTCATATACACTATATACATAGCAAAGTAAAATAAAATGCATGGACATAAGGTACAGTGGTCAATCTTGCCTCACTGTAAACACATTGGTATAAAGCCCTTTGCACTTTATTCTCCTCCTTTTCTCCTGACGCAGTACAAATGTAATGATGTGTACTGCTTAGAGAAGTGGTTTGATCATTACATTTCCAAAAGGTAATATTTCAGTGAATTTTAACAAAAGGATATCTACAAAATGTGTTACTTACTACCCTACTTTTAACATACTTTGTGCACTTCTAAACATCTAGAAAGTCTCGATGTTTTAAATAAGGACTTAAGTCTGTCCACTTTATACACAGTAGATTTTTAAAAATAGTTGTGGTATCATATTTACCATAACATGCTTTCCTCATTCTACATTATTATATTTTGCAGAGTTTTTCATGTTAGTACATGTAGATTTTATTTACCTGTTATAATATTCCATGGAATGGATATAGCATACTTTAACAGTTACCTGGCTGGTGCAGTGGCTCACACCTGTAATCTGAGCACTTTGAGAGGCCGAGGTGGGCAGATCACGAGGTCAGGAGATCGAGACCATCCTGGTTAATATGGTGAAACCCCATCTCTACTAAAAATACAAAAATTAGCCGGGCATGGTGGCGGGCGCCTGTAGTCCCAGCTACTCGGGAGGCTGAGGCAGGAGAACGGCATGAACCTGGGAGGCGGAGCTTGCAGTGAGCTGAGATCATGCCACTGCACTCCAGCCTGGGTGATAGAGCGAGACTCTGTCTCAAAAAAAAAAAAAAAAAAGAAAAACAGTTACCCTATTTATATTTATTTGAATTGTTTCTATTTTTTTGCTCTTACAAATAGGGTTAATGTGATCAGCATCATATATATGTTCCCAAAATGTCTGTACACATTTGTCTGTGATGAATAATGGAAGAAGCAGAATTCCTTGGAAGAAGAGCATGCTCATTTATATTTTAATAGACAATGCCAAGTTTCCTTCCAAAAAGCTCATACTAATTTATAATTTCACCAATAATGTAAAGGTACCTTTTTCTGTATTGCCTCAACTCTTGATATCAGTCTTTTTTATATTTACCAATCTTTTGGACAAAAAATAATGCCTCCATATTTTAATTTGTTTTTTCCTTATTACCAGAGAGGTTGAAGGCCTTGTGGAAGGTTGATAGCAATAGTTAGCTGTGAGTTTATTTAGTCCACATTTGTTTATTGAGAGCTTAATGTGTGCCAGTCACTGTTCTAAGCACTGGAGTTAAACAGTGAACAGACAGGCAAAAATTCCCACCCACATGAAGTTTGTAGTAGGAGTTGTCCATTCATAACCTCTGCCCATTTTTCTATTGGTTTGTCATTTTCTTTCTTATTTTCAGGATATATTCTAGATATTTTGGTATGTATGTTGCAAACATTTCTTCTAGTTTATTCAGCATCGCTTTACAGTATCTCTTTTTTTTTTACACAAGGATTTATTTTATTTTATTTTTGGACAAGGTCTCACTGTGTCACCTAGGCTGGAGTATAGTGGTGCAAATTGCAGCTCACTGCAGCCTCGACCTTGTGGACTCAAGTGATCCTCAGCATCCTGAGCTGGGACCATGGGCATGCACCACCATGCCTGGCTAATTTTTAAAAATTTTTTGTAGAGATGAGGTCCTGCTGTGTTGCCCAGGCTACACAGGATTTAAATTATCATGGCAAAATATTAATCTTTTCCTTTTGAAGTTCTATTTTATGTCTTGTTTAGGAGTCCTTTACTCCTAGGATTTACTTTATTTTTCTTAGAGATCAGGTCTCACTATCCCAGGCTGCTCTCGAACTCTTGGGTTCAAGCGATCCTCCTGTCTCAGCCTCCCAAAGTGCTGGGATTACAGGTGTGAGCCACTGCGCCCAGCTATTCCTAGGATTTAGACATAATCACCTATATATTGCTCTTACTAATTTTTGGTTATATAGTTATTTTATAATTTTGGTTATGTTTTTTAATCTGGAAAAATTAGGGTCATTATTTCTTTGAATTCTTTCTTTAGCTCTTGTTCTCTCTTCTCCCTCTGGGATTCCAGTTATGTGTGTAACATTTTCTATTGCCCCACAGCCCTTAGATGCTGTTGTTATAGGGTTTATTCCCCCACTTTTTTCCTTTTTGCATTTTCAGTTTGTGTAATTTCTATTATCCTATCATCAAGTTCACTGACTGTTTCCTAGGCAGTACCTGTTTTGTTGAGAAACCTATTGAAAGTGTTCATTTCTTTTACCATATTTTTGGTTTTTAGCATTTCTCTTAGAGTCTTTTTATAGTTTCCATCCCTGAAATTATGTATCTGATTTTGCATGTTGTCTGTCTTTTCCATTAGAGTCTTTAGCATTTTAATCATAATTATTTTAAATGCCCAAGCTTTTGGATCCAGCATCTGTCATATTTGAGTCTGGCTCTGGTGATGGCTTATTCTCTTCACACTATGTTTTTTGCCTTCTGGGATGTTTTCTACTTTTTGGTTAAAGCTAGACATATTATAAGGGCCAGTAGATACTGAGGGATAGGGATTTGTAACAATCTAGTCAGGAATTGGGCTGTTGTTTGAAGTCTGTTGTTGCTGTCTGTGAGGTTTGTTGTTGCTGTGGGCACCAGAGACTTCAAACCCCTCTAGCAACTTGTTTTTGTCTCCTCTCTTGGATTTGGGTCTTCCCTTTGTACCGTTTCCCAAAGAGTCTATCTGTTGTGGCTCTCCCAGCTGCAATTTCCTGTTATTCTTGGAGATTCGATGGTGGGGTGTGGGAGAGGGGGTCGTTCTCTAATGTTCTGCTTCTCCAAATTTGAACTGGTACCGTGGGCCTGTGTCTCAAGGGTAGTCATTTGTCTCAAGGGTAGCCAGTTCTTCTAAACACAGTAAATTGAATGAGAAATTTTTTCCTCACTCATAATTGTCATCTTTATTATCTACCTTTTTGTCTAATTGTCACCTTTGTCTATCTTTTATCATATAATATACAAAATTCCTGTTTATATATACAGTATATACAGGTCTGTTTTGGGACTCTGTTTTGTCTCAGTGATACATTTGTCTCCATTCTCAAACCATGTTGTTTTATTACTACGTTTTGTAATATATTTTGATATCCAGTAGTGTATCTTCTCCTTTATTATTCTTCATTCTATTTTATTTATTTATTTATTTATTTATTTATTTATTTTTGAGACAGAGTCTCTATCATGCAGGCTGGCGTGCAGTGGCATGATCTCGGCTCACTACAACCTCCGCCTCCCAGGTTCAAGCGATTCTTCTGCCTCAGTCTTCCCAGTAACTGGGACTACAGGTGCGGGTCACCACGCCCAGCTAATTTTTGTATTTTTAGTAGAGATGGGGTTTCACCATATTGGCCAGGCTGGTCTCAAACTCCTGACCTCATGATCCACCTGCCTTGGCCTCCCAAAGTGCTGGGATTACAGGCGTGAGCCACCGCACCTGGCCTATTTTTTTAAAGATGAGATCTTGCTCTGTTTTCCAGGCTAGCTTGCAGTGGCATGGATCATAGCTCACTGCAGCTTTGAACTCAAGCGATCCTTTCACTTCAGTCTCCCAGGTTGCTGGGATTACAGGCATGAGCCACCATACCTACCTCATTGTTCATCATTTTAAAAATTGACTTGGCTATTCTTAAAGATTTTTACTTTATGATGAATTAGATTCACCCTGTCTAGTTTCTAGAAATCTGTTGGGAATCAGTTTAGATTGCATTGGATTTACAAATGGAATTATGAATAGAATTGACATCTTTTTAATTTTGCATTTAATTTTCCCATCCAGTAACTTTGTATATCTATTTATTCAGGTCCTCATTTACATGAAATAGAAGTTTAATGTTTTTCTTCATAATACTCCTATACATGTGTTGAAGCCTACCAACCAAAATGTACCAGGAACACATTTGTAGTCAAAAAAAGGTTAAGTTTATTTAGCTTGCTGCATAAAGAGAAAATATACCCCAGAAGAACTGCGGGAGCATCTCATCAAGGGGAATTAGAAGGGCTTCTCATAGGGTTTAGGCTTTAAGCAGATGATTCAAAGGAGGATTAAGGAAGCCAGAGGCCAGCAGGACATAGTGGCTCATGCCTGTAATCCCAGCACTTTGGAAGGCTGAAGTGGGAGGATCACTTGAGGCCAGGAGTTCAAGACTAGCCTGTACAACATAGCAAGATCCCATCTTTACAAAAATAAAAATAAAAATTTAGCCAGATGCAGTGGTGCACACCTGTAGTTCCAGCTACTTAGGAGGCTGAAGTGGGAGGATAACTTGGGCTCAGGAGGTGAAGGCTGCAGTGAACCATGATCATGCCACTGCACTCTAGCCCAGCAGACAGAGTGAGACCCTGTCTCTTTAAAAAACAAAAAGAAGCAGAGGCCAGTTTTGGATCATCATCCCTCTGGAAATAATATGCTTCTAAAATGCTCAGTTTTGAGTACGTGATACTCTTATTGTCTCCTCAGTTAAAAATGATTTATTAAAATGAAGTCTTGCTCCTGTAGCAGTAGTGAATATTACATGCTTTATAGTGAGTGATTTATTAATCAGTTTTATCTGGTAACAGTGATAATTTCTATGTATACAAGTGGAAATTGGATCGCCTTTTGATGTTGTATTTTTCTATATGTATCAGCCTAGTGGTTGCATTAAAATTCATTTGTATTTCTTCCCCCTGTAGCAAAATCCTTTATATGATACAGAAAGATGCAAGGTATTCCAGTGTGATCTGACTAAAGATGATCTTCTGGATCATGTACCGCCAGAGTCTGTGGATGTTGTTATGTTGATATTTGTGCTGTCAGCTGTTCATCCTGATAAGATGCACCTTGTCTTACAAAACATTTACAAGGTTAGTGATTTGGGGCCTGCACTTGAGGGTTGGACAGTCTGGATTCTTTTACTTACCTTCCCTCATGAGGCTCATGTACTGTCTAGATTCACATAGTCTCTCCATTCTCACTAGGTAGGCTGTGTAGTGAGTGTATAGAAAGGGGTCCTCTGGCATAAAACATCCACCCTAAATTCTGATTTGTGCAGTGCCATGGCTGCTCTTCAGAGCTTCGCCAGCCCTGGGACAAGGATGATTTTGCAGTTACCTGGGATCCATGGAGTCCTGCTATAAGGTGAGAGGAGTTATGGTTTAGTGGTCAAGAGTACACAGTTTGGCCAGGTGTGGTGTTTCATGCCTGTAATCCCAACACTTTGGGATGCCAAGGCAGGTGAATCACTTGAGGTCAGGAGTTTGAAACCAGCCTGGCCAACATAGCAAGACCTTGTCTAAAAAAAGCTAATGTATGATCATTGGCAGATCACTTAACCCTGTTGAGTATTGGTTTCCGTGTCTCATGTGAGAATAATAATCACATTCCTTTGTCCCACAGTTGGGTGAAGATACAATGAGAAAATGTATGGTTAAGCAGTCAAATGCTAGGCATGTATCAGTCATTAGCACCGTGATTGAGCTATACATTGTGGCACAATGAAATGAGAGCTGAGGCTCAGAATGAGGAAAACCAACCTGAATCAGTAAAGAGCCAAAACGACATTCTGGTTTTTTGTTTGTTTGTTTGTTTGTTTTTTTAAGAGACAGTTGAATACAGTTTGAGTACTAGGAGATGGTGAATAAAATGTTGCAAGAAAGTGCTTCAATGAGGATAACACTTTCATTTATTGTCTCTAACACTTATTTATTTATTTTTGAGACAGGGTCTTGCTGTGTCACTCAGGCTGGAGTGCAGTGGCATGGACGTGGCTCACTGCAGCCTCAACTTCCTGGGCTCAAGCAGTTCTCCCACCTCAGCCTCTGAAGTAGTTGGGACTACAGGACGCACTACCAGATCCAGCTAATTTTTAATTTTTGTGTAGAGATGGGGTCTCACTATATTGCCCAGGTTGGTCTCTAACATTTTAATCCTGTGACACTGGACATTCCAGGGTGCTCTTGGAGGTACTCAAGAATTGTCTTCAGGGACGAGCGAGGTGGCTCACGCCTGTAATCCCAACTTTGGGAGACTGAGGTGGGCAAATTACTTGAGGTCAGGAGTTCGAGACTAGCCTGGCCAACATGGTGAAACCTCATCTCTACTAAAATACAAAAATTAGCCGGGCATGGTGGCGGGCACCTATAATCCCAGCTACTCGGGAGGCTGAGACACGAGAATCACTTGAACGTGGGAGACGGAGGTTGCAGTGAGCTGAGATTATGCCACTGCACTCCAGCCTGGGCGACAGAGCAAGACTCCATCTCAAAAAAAAAAAAAAAAGAAGTGTCTTAGTGTTATGGAGCCCTGCCTGGTCTTACTATCTTTTTAAGTAGTAGGCCATTTTGGTTCCGTATTATGGGCATTTCAGTCTGTCCCCTTAGTAACTATCACAAATTTATTTTAAGTCCTAACTTAATCAGGTTTTATTTTGACAGGGTTCTCCAAAGTCATGTTCAGCCTGCTTTTGTTTCATAGGTATTAAAACCAGGCAAAAGTGTCTTGTTTCGTGACTACGGACTGTATGATCATGCCATGCTTAGGTTTAAAGCCAGCAGCAAACTTGGAGAAAACTTTTATGTTAGACAAGATGGGACCAGATCATATTTTTTTACTGATGGTAAGATGAATGGAATCCAGTCTTTAAATGTTTTATTCTTTGTTTCTGTTTATTTGATTGCATTATCACTGCAAGGCTGCTTGGAGAAGGCTTGCGACATGTGCACGAGACCCTGAAACAAGCCCTCTACTGCACAATATTTACCCAGCACCTGGAAGGCACAGACCTGGCCCCTGCCCTTGAAGAGCTCACAAGCCTTCTCTGGTGTCAGTGACTCCCCTAATGAGCTTGGGTTAATGGACAGCCTCTGACATGCCATGTGGATTCCCTACTAGGAATTGTGCTGGAATAAGAGGGAGGGCAAGTCAGAAACTTCTTGTCCAGTTAAAAATAAAGCAAATTTGACAGTATAATGCCTTGAGATTACTTTCCCATGGCACAAAGTCAGGAAACCTTTTTCTGTAGAATTGATTGGATCTGTTTTGGGGTTTGGTTTTTTTGTTGTTTTTGAGACAGAGTCTAATTCTGTCACCCAGGCTGGAGTGCAGTGGTGTGATCTTGGCTCACTGCAGCCTCCACCTTCCAGACTCAAGTGATCCACCGAAGCCTCCTGAGTAGCTGGGACCACAGACACATGCCACCATGGCTGGCTAATTTCTTGTATTTTTGGTAGAATGGGGGTTTCACCATATTGCCCATGCTGGTCTCGAACTTCTGAGCTCAAGTGATCCATCTGTCTCAGCCTCCAAAAGTGGTGGGATTACAGGTGTTAGTCACCATGCCTGTCCTGGATCTGTTTTTAAATAAATATGCAAATTTGCTGTAAAGAGGCATTTATTTATTTTTGAGACAGAGTCTTACAGGCTGGAGTGCAGTGGCATGATCTTGGCTCACTGCAACCCCCACCACCCAGGCTCAAGTGATTCTCATGCCTCAGCCTCCCAAGTAGCAAGGATTACAAGTGTGTGCCACCACACCCAACTAATTTTTGTATTTTTAGTAGAGATGCGGTTTTGCCATGTTGGCCAGGCTGGTCTCAATCTCCTGGTCTCAAGTGATCTGCCCACTTCAGCCTCCCAAAATTCTGGGACTGCAGGTATGAGCCACCATGCCCAGCCTAAAGAGGTATTTAAAAAGTCATTTTTGATAAGAAAATGTGGAACATTATTTTGGTCTTTTAGGTGTCTTGAACATAGTCTACCTAATCATCTAGACAGGAAGATAATTAACCTCTATTTTAACAAACATTTTTCTTCTTGAAATGAAATATTCTTTTAGATACCAAAATGAATTAAAATTGAGTGATTACTATTAAAGCTGCAAAATTATTTGGGAGACTGAGATAGAAGGATCACTTGAGCTCAGGAGTTCGAGACCAGCCTGGGCAACCGTGAAACTTTGTCTCTACTAAAAATAAAAAAAAAAAAATATTAGCCAGGAGTGGTGGCATGCACTTGTGGTCCTGCTGCTTAGGAGGCTGAGGCAAGAGGATCATTTGGCCCCAGAAGATGGAGGCTGCAGTGAGCTATGATCATACCACTGCCCTCCAGCCTGGGCGACAGGGCGAGAAGCCTATCTCAAAAAAACAAAACAAAACAAAACAAAATGCAAAATTATCAAAATAGGTTAAAATTCAAAAGATGTTTTAATTCATAAAATTTAAACCAATTGTAAATATTGAGAAGATTCAGTGATATCTGCAGAGTGCTTCAGAGCACGTTCTCTGGAGCAATGCTCTTAGTACGAGTCTTTATTTTTGCTGCCTCACCATTTATTCTGTTTGTTTCATTTAATGTGTAGTGATGTATTATTTGGGTTAGATTTTCCTGGAGCTAGGTCACCACTGGGTGTTTTTCTCCACTCTGATCACAAATTTTCCTCCTTCGTGTTAGGATGAATAAGATGTTTGATGTAAACAAATTGAGCACATGCAGACCTTGTAGGAGTATAGCCAATTTTTATGTTTTTGTTCGGAGATGGGAAACAATAAGATAATTTTTAAAAAGGAATATAATCGGCCGGGCCCAGTGGCTCATGCGTGTTATCTCAGCACTTTGGGAGGCCAAGATTGGGGGATCATTTGAGGTCAGGGGTTTGAGACCAGCCTGGCCAACATGGCGAAACCCTGTCTCTACTAAAAATACAAAAAAATTAACCAGGCATGGTAGTGTGTGCCTGTAGTCCCAGCTACTTAAGAGGCTGAGGCAGGAGAATCACTTAAGCCCAGGAATCGGAGGTTGCAGTGAGCCGAGATCGTGCTCCTGATCTAGCCTGGGTGACAGAGTGACATTGTGTCTCAAAAAAAAATTTTTTTTTAATTAAAAAAAAAAAGGAATATAACCAATTTGGAATTGTTTCTTTTTACTCGGGCTTTTGTATTTGAGAATTCATAATAAGGCAAGATGCGAACACCAGGTTGTCCTTCACCTTGTTCTGATTTAATTGTTTAATTGGAGGTTTCTGTTTGGGTAGAAGAGGAGAAGGAGTGTATTAGTTCCCAAATCAAAACCTTTAAATTTTAGCATTGAGGTTTTCATTTAAAAAAATATTAAAATAGCCTCAGCCCTCTATCCCTCCTCAAGGACTGCAAAGCAAATGTAATGTTATGAAGACTGTTGAGCATTGTTGATGCTTGTCTTACAGACTTCCTGGCTCAGCTCTTTATGGACACAGGTTATGAAGAAGTGGTAAACGAGTATGTGTTTCGAGAGACGGTGAATAAAAAAGAAGGCCTGTGTGTGCCAAGAGTTTTCCTTCAGAGCAAATTTCTAAAGCCTCCTAAGAACCCATCTCCTGTGGTCCTGGGCCTGGATCCTAAGTCCTGACCTTTCATGAGGTTGGCATTTATACCTTCCCTTGAAGAGGAAAATTTAAAATCACTCTTTCGTCTGGGTGCGGTGGCTCATGCCTGTAATCCCAGCACTTCGGGAGGCCGAGGTTGGGGGATCATCTGAGGTCAGGAGTTTGAGACCAGCCTGGCCAACATGGTGAGACCCCATCTCTACTAAAAATACAAAAAAATTAGCTGGGCATAGTGGCGAGTGCCTGTAATCCCAGCTACTCAGGAGGCTGAGGCAAGAGAATCGCTTGAACCCAAGAGGCGGAGACTGCAGTGAGCCAAGATCATGCCATTGCACTCCAGCCTGGGCGACAGAGTGAGACCCTGTTTCATAAATAAATAAAATCACTCTTTTTACTTTATATATTTTTTGAGACAGGATCTTGTGGTACGCAGGCTGGAGTGCAGTGGTGTGTGATCACAGCTCATTGTAGCCTCGACCTCCCCTGGGCTCAAGCAGTCTTCCTGCCTCAGCCTCCTGAGTAGCTAGGACTACAGGTGTAAGCCACCATGCCTGGCCCTTAATTTTTTTTAATGAGCATGTACAGTAGTCCCGCTTTATCCATGGTTTCACTTACCACAATTTCAATTACCTGTTTTCAACTGCAGTCAGTTACTTTTCTTAAGATATTTTGAGGGTTATAGGCTCATGCCTATAACCCCAGCACTTTGAGAGGCCAAGGCCAGCAGATCCCTTGAGCCCAGGAGTTCAAGACCAGTGTGGGCAACATGGTGAAACTCTGTCTCTACAGAAAATACAAAAATTAGCCAAATGTGGTGGCATGTGCCTGTAGTCCCAGCTGGGGTGGGAGGTTAGCTTGAGCCTGGAAGGTGGAGGTTGCAGTAAGTCGAGATCACGCTACTGCACTCCAGCCTGGGCGACAGAGCAAAAGTCTGTCTCAAAAAAAACAAAAAAAATTTGAAAGATCACATTCACATAACTTTTATTACGGTATATTGTTAAAGTTGTTCTTTTTTTTTTAGAGTTTGGTACCATCTTGGTTTCAGGCAACCACTGGGGGTCTTGAAACATACCACCCGCAGATACGGGGGGCTACTATGTACTTTTTGTATTAAAAAATAGGAAGTGTATGTGTGTGTGTTAGAGACATGTAAATAAAATTTCAAGGCCTGAAAAGTAGTCAAAGTTTTATAGAATAACATAATTTAGCCATATTGTTCACTGTAAAATTCCACAAAGAAAAGCCTAAGGACCCTGTAGCACGTAAAGAGATTCTTGTCATTACTCATGTGACTGTAAGTGTTCCCCCAGGCAACATGTCAGACAACCATGGGGAAAAATGAGGCCAAGTAGACTAAAATAAGACACTCATATATATTTCTAGCCTAAAGGAGTGTTCTGTTTTCTTCTTTTTCGAGTGTCATATTTGCCCATTGGTCTCCCCTTTAGTTCAGTTATGTATTTCTTCAAAACCAGTGTTCCACAAATACCACTTTTGCTCTGTCTGTGCTCAAGAACCCTCCATGGCTCCATATCTGATTGTTGAGACCCCTTATCACTGGGCCAGTTCCTTGCCACATTGTTTGCCCTGGGGGGGAGAGAGGGAATGGCCATCACCTGTCCTCCCCTCTGCCCCATTTGTCCAGTGCTGTTTCTCGGAGAAGATGACTGGTGTCTAGTTTAGAGTTAGAATTTCAGAGTTGAGAGGGGCTTTAGAATGGACATTCCAACTCCCTATTGGGAAATGAGGAAGCAGTAGCAAGGGGTAAATGATGAGTCCAAAATCACGTAGCTAGTGTTGCAGAATATGGGGAAATCCCTAAATTGGTCTGCTGACCTCTTTCCCAATCATTGCCTTTTAATGACTTTTCCTTTATGAAGTAAAATCCAGGTTATTTTGTTCTGCTCACGAGTTGAGCCTGTAAGCCTTTCTGTTTGCCTTTCTGCAGAAAGCTGTTTGTGAGAACCCTGTCTTGAGTACATGACTGGACTGCACATGCAGCAGGCCTGGGCCCTTCAACTCCAACTACATCTGGAGGAGGGGTCCCAGTGTGAAGGGGTTGGATAATAGTCATAGTGGTTCTGTACAATCAGAATAAATCCTGGCTCCTGAAGAGAAGAGGGGCAGGCAGCAGGGCTCACACTGTGCGTGCTGGGTGTTGTGATTCTGCCATCTGTCCTCAACTTCTTGGGAGGGGCTGATGGAACTTGTAGAGATGGTGGACCTTTAGGGGGCTTCATGGGCCTTCTCACAGTGAGAATCCAGCCCTGTCCAGAAGCAGCCTCAAGCTCCGCACTTTCAGTCCAGTGCTGTCTCCCAAAGCCCCCTCCGCCAAATGAATCCCACAGCCAGCTTCAGCCTCAGATGCTGCCCACTGCCCCCTCCGTAGAAGTCCTTTCACCTGTGTCTCTACTAGGTCTGACCAATGTTTCTTGGATTTTATTGGCTAAGCTGGATAAAGACAGGCCATTTAAAGTAGGAAAGTGGGATCCTGGGTGATGTAGCAAGACCCCATCTCTATGAAAAAAATAAGAAAATTAGCCAGGTATGGTGGTATATGCCTGTAGTCCCACCTACTTGGGAGACTGAGGTTGAAGGATCCCATGAGCCCAGGAGTTGGAGGCTGTAGCGATGGAGTGAGCCATTATCACACCACTGCACTACAGCATGGGTGCAGAGCGAGACCCCGTGTCCAATTGAAAAAAAAAAAAAAAAAGAGCAAGGAGCAGTGTAGTGTAGTAGGATAAGCCTGTGCTTTTGTTATCAGAAGTCATTTGGAATTTTGGCCTCATTCCTTAACCTGTTTGAACCTCACATTCCTCGTTTTTATAATGGGGATAACTACTAACTTAAAAGTGTTCAGAGGATTAAAGGAAGTACATATATATGGCACGTGAGTATCATTTCCCTCAGTCCTCATTTTTTGAACATAGAAGCTTAACATACATACAGAAAAGTGCACAAATCATAAGTATTTAGCTCACTGACATCACAGAGTGAACATACCTGTATGACGCGTCCAGCATGACTGGCACCCCAGAACCCACGCCACCCCTGTGTCTCGTTCCAGTCACTGTCCCCACAAGGATATCCTCTATTCTGAAGTCTAACACCAGAGAGTAGTTTTTCTTCTATTTTTAAAATTCTCCCCAAAAAAGTTTAAGGACAACTTACAAAAATACAAAAATTACACGATTTTAAGTAGGGAAATTGGGCTAAAGGAAAATAAAAGTTGAGGCCAGGAAAATAATCTTATCCACACAAACTGCATTACAGCAGGTCTTATACACTTAAGGATAAATAACAGATTTTGCTTCCTAGTTGTCAGTGTAAAGAAGGAAACAAGATCAAGTTCAGACTCCATGCGATAAACCTGAGGCAGCTACCCCTAATCTGGAGATCTAAGGAACCTTTCCCTCTAGTTCCCATAAAGAGAACACTACAACATGGCAAACTTAACAGTTTTACCAATAATAAACACAAGTATCAAAGCATTGTTTCTGATAATATAGCTTAACATAGATATAACCCCCAAAGGACTAGTCAAATAAGTGGATGAAGAGGACTGAAAGGGGCTGGTCTAGATGGGTTTAGAATCCCTAGAAGACTAACGGGCTGTTGGTCCTTCGGTCAGTTTTCCATCAATAGTGTTCTCAGTGGAGGGTTTGATGTGAATCTAGGAACCAGGAGGTCTAGGTTATTGTCCCTTAGAAGGGTAGCTATTGGGCAGACCATCCGGCCAAGAGACAAGTAAGAATGACTTCAGAGAAAGCAAAACAGGTTGATGAAGTCGTCTTCCTTTGCCAGTGGTTGGCTGGGCATATACCTGTGAATGGGGCCAACAGTTTCCTCCAAACACAACCTGGAGTTGTCTCTACCCACAGGAGTAATTATGCCCCAAATTCTAACCCCCATAAAGCCAGGCTGCAAAAGTTTTCATTTAGAATATTTAAAGGTGAAGCTGGGCATGGTGGCTCATGCTTGTAATCCCAGCACTTTGGGAGGCTGGGGTGGGCAGATCACATGAGGCCAAAAGTTGGAGACCAGCCTGGCCAACATGTTAAAACCCTGTCTCTGCTAAAAATACAAAAATTAGCTGGGCGTGGTGGTGCATGTCTGTAGTCCACTGTAGTCCCAGCTAATTGAGAGGCCGAGGCTCACTTGAACCCGGGAGGTGGAGGTTGCAGTGAGCCCAGGTTGTGCCACTGCACTCCAGCTTGGGTGACAGAGTAAGAGTCTGTCTCAAAAAATAAACAATAAAAACAATATTTAAAGCTGGTTTAATGACATGCCGACCTCTGACACTGAGCAAGTGGCCTCTCATATATTTAAGATACATTAAGATTAACTGCTGGTCGTGGTGGCTCATGCCTGTAATCCCAGCATTTTGGGAGGTTGAGGCAGGTGGATCATCTGAAGTCAGGAGTTCGAGACTAGCTTGGCCAACATGGCAAAATCTTGTCTCTACTAAAAATACAAAAAATTAGCTAGGCATGGTGCCTTTAGTCTCAGCTACTCGAGAAGCTGAGGCAGGAACCTGGGAGGTGGCGGTTGCAGTGAGCCAAGATCATGCCATTGCACTGTAGCCTGGGCAACAGAGTGAGACTCCATCTCTCTCTCTCTCTCTCTCTCTCTCTCTCTCTCTCTCTATATATATATATATATATATATATATATATATATATATATATAACTGTTTGTTTTTTTTTTTTCATGGCTGGGTCAGGGTTGGAAGTGGGCCCAGGCAGCTGCCAACTTTAAGATATGTTGATTGTAAAATGTACTTCTTGTTAAATTAATGAGGTGACCCAGTCCATCAGTATTTTAACTATGAGCCAGTAGATTGGTTCACAAGCATATTAAAGGCCAAACCTAAAAATGGCTTCAGTCTCATTGCCTCTAGGTTCTTGTGTTCATTCTCGCTGGACACATTTCCATCAGTGCACCCTAAATTAATACAACAGAGGATCAGGTTCTCCCACGTTTGGGTGCTTAGGGACTAGGAAAGCAAGACCATGGTTGGTTTAGTAGCAAACTGTGTGGAATCATATAGACTACAAAGAGTCAACCAATATTGCCTTGTCTTCACAGCCAGAAAACAGTCGCCGGAAACGTAGTGAGTACTGGCTAACAGTACTATAAAAAATAGTATAAATACTATATTATATTAAAATATCCTATATAGTACTATATGTTTCTTTTGAACTTTTCACATATATTAATACATATAGTATAGTGATGTGTGTGTGCGTGTGTATATATATATACACATACACACACACATACTCCATACAATAGTGCTAATACAATTTTATTACAGGATTTGGAATATGAATAAATGGGTTCAAGTGCAGGACTTACCCAGTACAAACTACCAACTTCTTTGAACTTCAGACTCCACATGTCTAAGACTGAGATCTTAGTACCTAGTACCTGGCAGGGCTGCTGCCAGGATTAAGTGAGATCATTCAGATGGGAGTGCTTGGTTTACTATAAAGTACCAGTCAAGTGTTAGTTATTTCTATTATTTTGTATTTCTCCAGAAAGTATATTGTTAGGTCGAAATGGTAGAGCAGCTCATGAACCAAGTCTTTTTCAAGAAGGTTTAATCTTGGGGTCCTTGTAAGGGCTCGGGATTTGAATGTTGTACCACAAGGTGGTGCTAGACATTAGATGTTTTTATTGGCCTTCTACTCCCATCTTAATTAGTTACATAGTGTTCTTTTTTTATTGTTACTGAAGAGCATGGATTATTACAAATGTTTTCTAGATTAACTTAAAAGCTCATAAGATCAATCCCATCTTAGTTATATAGTGTCCATTTTTTAATTGTCATTGAAGAGCATAGAAAATATTTATTACAAATGTGTTTTCTAGATCAACTTATGAGCTCATAAGATCAATTTTGGCCTCACTGGAGATTAGAAAGCAAGGGTGCTTTTACCTAATGTTCAGTCTACTTTCCCTTCTGAAGGTGTTTACTTTCAGTTAAATCTGGGAAGCATTTTAAGGTAATGTCTGTGATGGGCTCGAAAGGCGTCTGCAAGGCCCCCAGGACACTGGGGAGCATAAATACGTGCTGGACACCAATGAAGGGTCCTAATTTTTTTTTCCTGTGAGTAAATACCCCTTTGTACTTTCCTATCCCCAAATGGTTTTGTGGATTTGCTTTTACTGTTGTTTGGAATTAAGGCCAAAGCAGAGAAGGGTCTGCAGCACAGATAATTGTCTGCCTCACGCAGATATTATTTGTAGCTATCTTTGATAGCATTTGGTTCCCTATTTCACAGTTGTCAACTGAGGAAGGGAAAATTGTGAAATGAGTAAACCAAGACTGTTTTGCAGGGCCATGTTCTCTATTGGGGAGCAGACATTTCTCACAAATTTAAGTAAGTTCTGCTACTGAAACCAAATGTTCTATTAAAAAGAAAATTAGTAGGGCACAGTAGCATATGCCTGTAGTCCCAGCTACTTGGGAAGCTGAGGCAGGAGAATCACTTGAGGCCAGGTGTTCAAGGCTACAGTGCACTATGATCTCACCTGTGAATAAACCAGCCACTGCACTCCAGCCTGAGCAACATAGCAGGACCCTGTCTTTAAAATAAATAAATAAAAATTTAAAAATAAGGGCAGGGCAAGGTGGCTTACACCTGTAATCCCAGCACTTTGGGAGGCCGAGGCAGGCGGATCACCTGAAGTCAGGAGTTCGAGACCAGCCTAGCCAACATGGTGAGGCCCTGTCTCTACTTAAAAAAAAAAAAAAAAAAAATTAGCTGGGCATGATGGTGCGCATCTGTAATCCCAGGTACTCGGGAGGCTGAGGCAGATGAATTGCTTGAACCTGGGAGGCAGAGGTTGCAGTGAGCCTAGATCGCATCACTGTACTCCAGCCTGTGTGACAAGAGCAAAACTCCGTCTCAAATAAATAAGTAAAATAAATCAGATGTTTTTCACTTTTCCTTCCTGTCCTCCTCAAATGTGTGGTATTTCATTAAATTGTGTTCAATGGGTACCAGCTGGATGCAGGGCACTCTGGGGTCACTATGGCTGGAGTGCAGGGTAGGGGTGAAGGGATAGTGGGTGTCAGAGGCATTTGAACCAGAGTAACTCCATTTTGAATAGGGGCTGAGTAGAATGAGGCTGAGACCTGCTGGGCTGCATTCCCAGGAGGTTAAGGCATTCTTAGTCATAGGACGAGATAGGAGGTCAGCATAAGATATAGGTCATAAAAACCATGCTTATAAAGCAGGTTGTAATAAAGAAGCCAGCCAAATCCCAGCAAAACCAAGATGGCGACGAGAGTGACCTCTTGTCATCCTCACTGCTACAGTCCACCAGCCCCATCACAGTTTACAAATGCCATGGCAATGTCAGGAAGTTGCCCTTTATGATCTAAAAAGGGGAGGCATGAATAATCCACCCCTTGTTTAGCATATAATCAAGAAATAACCACAAAAATGGGCAACCAGCAGCCCTTGGGGCTACTCTGTTGAGTGACCATTCTTTATTCATTTACTTTCCTATAAATTTGCTTTCACTTTATGGACTCTGAATTATTTATTTTGCTAGATCCAAGAACCCTCTCTTGGGGTCTGGATTGGGATCCCTTCCCAGTAACATGCGCATGTGCTAGAAGGTAGGGAAACAGCTCCAGTCATATGTTCACTCAGCCAGAGTAAGATAAACTAGGAAAACAAATACACTCAGAAAACCAGGAGAAGGAAAAAGAGGAAGAAACGCTGTGGAAATCGTGAGTGCCATAACTGTCACTGTCATTTGGAAAGAATATTTTCACAGTGGAGGCATTATATTCTCTGGTCTGGGGCATGGCCACGGAGATGAGAACATGACACGTAGCTCCTTGGAGCATGTTGCCAAACATGTCTAGATCTATAAGAAAAATATCAGGACTGGCAAAATGAGACAACTCCTGAAAGAAAGAAACTGCTGACAAAATGGGCAAAATGGTCAATTCTAATTAGAAATAATTATAAATTAAATGAGGCCCAGCATGGTGGCTCATACCTATAATCCCAGCACTTTGGGAGGCTGAAGACAAGAAGATCACTTGAGACCAGGAGTTGGGAGACCAATCTGGGATACATAATGAGACCCCTACAAAAAAATTTTAAAAGCCAGTCATGGTGGCATATTCCTGAAGTCCTGGAACCACCTTTGCAAAATGTAACAGTGAGAAAATTACAACAGTGAAATAAATCTGACCTAACAGACTATATCTTGCTTCTAACCTCCAAGCTATCCTTGTTCATTCCTGAACTAACTTTAGGCTGAACTAACTTTGGGAGGAATTTAGTTTATAGTTTAACTTTGAAATGATGATAACAGCTCTTTCCTGAAATAAACCCTCTTCTTGCCTGGTGCCAGAGTGTCTTTTTAGGACGAATAAATTAGCCACAAGATTCGCAATTCCCCAATTACTCCTGCAATAACATCACTATTGTAGAACCTAAGATTGGCCTTTTGAGGTGTCTTTTCAGGTTTTTGCATTTCTTTTTTTTTTTCTTTTTCTTTTTTTTTTTTTTGAGATGGAATCTCACTCTGTTTCCCAGGCTGGAGTACAGTGGCACCCCATCTCGGCTCACTGCAACCTCCGCCTCCTCGGTTCAAGTGATTCTCCTGTCTCAGACTCCCAAGTAGCTGGGATTACAGGTGTGTGCCACCACGCCTGCTTAATTTTTGTATTTTTAGTGGAGAGGGGGTTTCACCATGTTGGCCAGGCCAATCTCAAACTCCTGACCTCAGGTGATCTGCCCGCCTCAGCTTCCCAGAGTGCTGGGATTACTGGTGTAAGCCACCATGCCCGGCCAGGTTTTTGCATTTCTGACGACTGCCACTCAGACCTGCCAGCTGTTCCTGTGGTCCCCACCCAGGAATCACTTCAGCCCAAGAGGATAGCTTCAACTCCATAAGATCTCATCTCTGACCCAACTAATGGGCACTCCCCATTCCCTAGCCCTGCTGCCCACCAAACTATCCTTGAAAAACCCTAGTCTGAATTTTTGGAGAGACTGTTTTGAGTAATAAAACTCTGGTCTCTCATTCAGCCGTGAATGAAAGTCTCTCCCCAGTGCAGTTTCTCTTGTCTTGACAGATTGGCTCTATCTGGGCAGCAAGCAAAATGAACCATTGTGTTACTGGAAAGAGGTCCCGATCTGGCTCTATCTGGGCAGCAAGCAAAATGAACCCATTGTGTTACTGGAAAGGGGTTCCAATCCAGACCCCAAGAGAGGGTTCTTGGACCTTGTGCAAGAAAGAATTCGGGGCGAGTTCATAGAGTAAAGTGAAAGCAAGTTTATTAGAGAAGTAAAGAAACAAAAGAATGGCTGGCTACTCCATAGGCACAGTAGTGGCATGGGCTGCCCCACTGAGTATACTTATAGTTATTTCTTGATCATATGCTAAATAAGGGGTAGGTTATTCATGAACGTTCTGGAAAAGGGGCGGGCAATTCCTAGAACTAAGGGTTTCTCCCCACTTAAGACCATATAGGGTAACTTCTAGGCATTTGTAAACTCATGGCACTGGTGGGCATGTGTTTTACCATGCTAATACATTATAATTAGTGTATTTTGAGCAGTGAGGATGACCAGAGATCACTTTTATTGCCATCTTGGTTTTGGTGGGTTTTGGCTGGCTTCTTTACCGCAACCAGTCTTATTAGCAGGGACTTTGTGACCTGTTTCTTTTTTTTCTTTCTTTCTTTTTTTTTTTTTTTTTTTTTGGCGTGAACATGGCTCACTGTATCCTTCACCTTTGAGGCTTTGTACATAACATTGTAAAACTGGGCCAGACACAATGGCTCATGCCTGTATTCCCAGCACTTTGGGAGGCTGAGATGGGTGGATCAGCTGAGCCCAGGAATTCGAGACCAGGCTGGACAATATGGTGAAACCCCATTTCTACAGAAAATACAAAACTGGGCTGGGCACGGTGGCTCACGCCTGTAATCCCAGCACTTTGGGAGGCCGAGGCGGGCGGATCACAAGGTCAGGAGATCGAGACCATCCTGGCTAACATGGTAAAACCCCATCTCTACTAAAAATATAAAAAATTAGCCAGGCGTGGTGGTGGGCGCCTGTAGTCCCAGCTACTCAGGAGGCTGAGGCAGGAGAATGGCGTGAACCCGGAAGGTGGAGCTTGCAGTGAGCCAAGATTGCGCCACTGCACTCCAGCCTGGGCGACAGAGTGAGACTCCATCTCAAAAAAAAAAAAGAAGAAAATACAAAACTGATCTGGGTGTGGTGGTGTGTGACTGTAGTCCCAGCTATTCAGGAAGCTGAGGTGGGAGGATCACCTGAGCCTGGGTAGGTTGAGGCTGCAGTGAGCTGATATCCAGCCATTGCACTCCATCACTCCAAAACTGTTCACAAGTATAGTTTCAGTTATGTTTAATGATAAATATTATTAAAGGATATGGAGATGCTATATGGGGGAAAAAACTTCACGCACAAGAAGGAAGCAATCCAAAACAGTTACAGTATTTATTTCAGGGTTGTTCAATTATAGCTGTTGCTTTTCTTCTTTATACTTTTCTGAAATTCATGTTTTCTGTAATGACCCTTTATTACTTTTACATTACCAAAAAAAGGTAGTCTAGCATCGTTAGAACTTCTTTATGAACTTCTTAAGTGTACTAAAATCCTTGTGACAATTCTACTAGAAATGCTATTTCAACCTGTGAGATTCCTACCCACCATGAGCTAAATGATACCTTCCAGAAATAAGAGAATGGGTTCTTTAAGGATATTTTCTTTTTTCTGTAGGGGAAAGGGGAACTTTTCGTTCACCCTCTGAAAGTTCAATAATTTGTCTCTGGAATAAACTTGACAGTAGACAGATTAACAAGAGGAAAGACACACAAATTTATTATGTGCACATATGCATGGAGGCCTCACAAAATATGAAACTCCCAGAAGAGCCAGTGTGTGTACCATCTTGAGGCCATGGAAAGGAATAGGGGACCTGGGGCTTGGTGGGGGTGCAGAGAGGGTGTGGAGAGGGTACATCTGGTGCTGCACTTGGTGGGGGTGCGGAGAGGAGGTCACGGCACAAATTCTAGAAGGGAGAGGGGAGGAAATGCACAGCCCACAAAGGTTGCCTTATGCAGATAAAATCTCTCAGGTAGCACCCTTCAGAAGGGTGGCCGCCTGTGGTAATCTCTATCTGGGACGTGTCGACCCACAATCTCCTCTTCCTGTGATATGATTTTTCCTAGTTCCATCTCTAGGCAGATAAGGGGGGCTCAGAGAAAGCCTCTGCTTGCATCTGCTGTTTGCTAATGTAGATTTCCTTTTACAAAATTCTTTCATAAATTTCTTTCACAAAAGGAGATCTTTTCAGAGCTATTCCTGTGTCTTTAGTTTCTTGGAATAGCCATCTCAAAATATGCCAAAGTATATTTTGAGGTGACATTAATTCTCGTCTTCCACAGTCATATTTTGGGGTGGTGTTCTGAGCCCCAACATTCCAGTCCCCTGGTCCCTGAATGTCATGGTGAGGTACCTTGGATGGGGATATTTTCACCTTTTGGGCTGCACTCTCCATGGCTGCTATGATTTTGGAAATGTTTATTCTTTAGTTTGGGGAAATTTACTTACTTGAACTATTTATTTAATGATTCCCTAACATCTAACACTTCTAGGACTACCCCCCAACCGCCCCCCGCCCCAGCCTCCAACACACACACACACACACACACACACACACACACACAATTTCTCCTGGAACTCTCTCTCTCTCTTTTTCTTTCTGTGAGACACCATCTCACTCCCGTCACCCAGGCTGGAGTGCAGTGGCACAATTGTTACCGGAAAGGGATCCCAATCCAGACCCCAAGAGGATTCTTGGACCTTGAGTAAGAAAGAATTCAGGTAAAGAAAGAATTTGAGTAAAGGGAAAGCAAGCTAAGAAAGTAAAGGAATAAAAGAATGGCTACTCTGTAGGCATAGTGGCCCTGAGGGCTGCTAGTTGGCTATTTTTATAGTTATTTCTTGAGTATATGCTAAACAAGGGGTGGATTATTCATGAGTTTTTTGGGGGCGAGGGGTTGGGGGGGCAGGGGAAGGAAAGGATAGGCAATTCCTGGAACTGAGGGTTCCTCCCCCTTTTAGACCATATAGGGTAACTTCCTAACATTGCCATGGCATTTGTAAACTGTCATGGCACTGGTGGGCATGTCTTTTTGCATGCTAATATATTTAATTATCATGTAATGCGCAGTAGGACCACCAGAGGTCACTTTCCTCACCTTCTTGGTTTTGGTGGGTTTTGGCCAGCTTCTTTACCACATCCTTTTATCAGCAAGGTCTTTGTGACCTGTACATTGTGCTGACCTATCTCATCCTGTGACTTAGAATACCTAACCTCCTGGGAATGCAGCCCAGTAGGTCTTGGCCTTATTTTACCCAGCGCCTATTCAAGATGGAGTCGCTGTGGTTCAAACACCTCTGACATGATCATGGCTCCCTGCAGCCTCAACTTCCCAGGCTCAGATGATCCTCCCACCTCAGCCTCCTGAGTAGCTAGGACTACAGGTACATGGGACCATGCCTGGCTAATTTTTTGTACTTTTTAATAGAGATGTGGTTTCACCATGTTGCCCAGGCTGGTCTGCAACTTCTGGGCTCAAGTGATCAGCCCACCTTGGCCTTTCAAAGTGTTGGGATTACAGGTGTGAGCCATGGTGGCTGGCCTGGAACTCTTATTGTAACTGCCTGACAGGTTCTTCCTGCCCACTGAACGAAGAAAATCAATTCTCAGCATTGGGCCAGCTGCAGTGGCTCATGCCTGTAATCCCAGCACTTTGGGAGGCTGAGACAGGCAGATCACTTGAGGTCACGAGCTCGAGGCCAGCCTGGCCAACATGGTGAAACCCTGTCTCTACTAAATAAACAAAAATTAGCCCAGTGTGGTGGTGTGCGCCTGTAATCCCAGCTACTTGGGAGGCTGAGGCAGGAGAATCACTTGAACCCAGGAGGCAAAGATTGCAGTGAGCCAAGATCACTCCACTGCACTCCAGCCTGCGCAACAGAGCAAGACTCTGTCTCAAAAAAAAAAAAAATCTCAGCATTGCAGTGGAGAGTTCAACTGACGCCAGGCCAGCCATGCCATGTGGGAGATGGAGTTATCACTCAAATCAGTCTCATCAAAGGCTTAAAGGTTAGGAGTTTTTCAAAGGTAGTTTGGGGGAAAGGGTGGGGGTGGCTAGACAGTGGGTGCTTGCTGCCGATTGGTTGGGGTGCAATCATAGGGATGTGGGAAATGATCTTCTTGCATGCTGAATCACTCCTGGGTGAGGCCACAGGAGCTGTTGATCAGTAGGTCCAGGTAAAGCATGGGTGTCAGACATGCAAGAAACCTGAGAAAGTATCCCAAAAGGTCAATCTTAGGTTCTACAGTAGTGATGTTATCTGAAGGAATAATTGGGGAAGTTGCATATCTTATGACCTCCAGAATTATGGCTGGCAATCGTTTATGTTTACACCTTAGCAGAATTCAGGCTCCTCTCTGCCCCCTAGCCCAGTGGTCTCTAATTAGCTTTACAAAGGTGATTGAGTTTGGGGGAAGGGCTATTATAATTTAAACTATAAACTAAATGTCTCCTAAAGTTAGCTTGGCAGCTTGAAGGCTAAAAGTGAAGATGGCCGAATAGGAACAGCTCCAGTCTACAGCTCCCAGCGTGAGCGACACAGAAGACGAATGATTTCTGCATTTCCAACTGAGGTACCGGGTGCATCTCACTGGGGATTGTCAGACAGTGGGTGCAGGACAGTGTGTGCCGTGCATTGAGCCCGAGCCGAAGCAGGGTGAGGCATCGCCTCCCCGGGGAAGCACAAGGGGTCAGGGGAATTCCCTTTCCTAGCCAAGGAAAGGGGTGACGGACGACACCTGGAAAATCGGGTCACTCCCACCCTACTACTGCGCTTTTCCGACAGTCTTAGCAAACGGCACACCAGGAGATTATATCCCGTGCCTGGCTCGGAGGGTCCTACGCCCACGGAGCCTCGCTCATTGCTAGCACAGCAGTCTGAGATCGAACTGCAAGGCAGCAGTGAGGCTGGGGGAGGGGCGCCCGCCATTGCTGAGGCTTGAGTAGGTAAACAAAGCGGTTGGGAAGCTCAAACTGGGTGGAGCCCACCACAGCTCAAGGAGGCCTGCCTGCCTCTGTAGACTCCACTTCTGGGGGCGGGCATAGCCAAACAAAAGGCAGCAGAAACCTCTGCAGACTTAAATGTCCCTGTCTGACAGCTTTGAAGAGAGTAGTGGTTCTTCCAGCACGCAGCTGGAGATCTGAGAACGGACAGACTGCCTCCTCAAGTGGGTCCCTGACCCCTGAGTAGCCTAACTGGGAGGCACCCCAATTAGGGGCAGACTGACACCTCACATGGCCAGGTACTTCTCTGAGACAAAACTCCCAGAGGAATGATCAAGTAGCAACATTTTCTGTTCACCAATATCCACTGTTCTGCAGCCTCTGCTGCTGATACCCAGGCAAACAGGGTCTGGAATGGACCTCCGGCAAACTCCAACAGACCTGTAGCTGAGGGTCCTGACTGTTAGAAGGAAAAGAAACAGAAAGGACATCCACACCAAAACCCCATCTGTACATCACCATCATCAAAGACCAAAGGTAGATAAAACCACAAAGATGGGGAAAAAACAGAGCAGAAAAACTGAAAATTCTAAAAATCAGAGCGCCTCTCCTCCTCCAAAGGAACGCAGCTCCTCACCAGCAATGGAACAAAGCTGGACGGAGAATGACTTTGATGAGTTGAGAGAAGAAGGCTTCAGACAATCAAACTACTCTGAGCTAAAGGAGGAAGTTCGAACCCATGGCAAAGAAGTTAAAAACCTTGAAAAAAGATTAGACGAATGGCTAACTAGAATAACCAGCGTAGAGAAGCCCTTAAATGACCTGATGGAGCTGAAAACCATGGCACAAGAACTACGTGACAAATGCACAAGCCTCAGTAGCCGATTCAATCAACTGGAAGAAAGGGTATCAGTGATGGAAGATCAAATGAATGAAATGAAATGAGAAGTTTAGAGAAAAAAGAAGAAAAAGAAATGAACAAAGCCTCTAAGAAATATGGGACTCTGGGAAAAGACCAAATCTACGTTTGATTGGTGTACCTGCAAGTGACGGGGAGAATGGAACCAAGTTGGAAAACACTCTGCAGGATATTATCCAGGAGAACTTCCCCAATCTAGCAAGGCAGGCCAACATTCAAATTCAGGAAATACAGAGAACACCACAAAGATACTCCTCGAGAAGAGCAACTCCAAGACACATAATTGTCAGATTCACCAAAGTTGAAATGAAGGAAAAAATGTTAAGGGCAGCCAGAGAGAAAGATCGGATTACTCACAAAGGGAAGCCCATCAGACTAACAGCTGATCTCTCAGCAGAAACTCTACAAGCCAGAAGAGAGTGGGGGCCAATATTCAACATTCTTAAAGAAAAGAATTTTCAACCCAGAATTTCATATCCAGCCAAACTAAACTTCATAAGTGAAGGAGAAATAAAATACAGACAAGCAAATGCTGAGAGATTTTGTCACCACCAGGCCTGCCCTAAAAGAACTCCTGAAGGAAGCACTAAACATGGAAAGGAACAACCGGTACCAGCCACTGCAAAAACATGCCAAATTGTAAAGACCATCGAGACTAGGAAGAAACTTCATCAACTAACAAGCAAAATAACCAGCTAACATCATAATGACAGGATCAAATTCACACATAACCATATTAACCTTAAATGTAAATGGACTAAATGTTCCAATTAAAAGACCCAGAGTGGCAAATTGGATAAAGAGTCAAGACCCATCAGTCTGCTGTATTCAGGAAACCCATCTCACATGCAAAGATGCACATAGGCTCAAAGTAAAGGGATGGAGGAAGATCTACCAAGAAAATGGAAAACAAAAAAAGGCAGGGGTTGCAATCCTAGTCTCTGATAAAACAAACTTTAAACCAACAAAGATCAAAAGAGACAAAGAAGGCCATTACATAATGGTAAAGGGATCAATTCAGCAAGAAGAGCTAACTATCCTAAATATATATGCACCCAATACAGGAGCACCCAGATGCATAAAGCAAGTCCTTAGAGACCTACAAAGAGACTTAGACTCCCACACAATAATAAGGGGAGACTTTAACACCCCACTGTCACATTAGACAGATCAACGAGACAGAAAGTTAACAAGGATATCCAGGACTTGAACTCAGCTCTGCACCAAGTGGACCTAATAGACATCTACAGAACTCTCCACCCCAAATCAACAGAATATACATTCTTTTCAGCACCACACCACACCTATTCCAAAATTGACCACATAGTTGGAAGTAAAGCACTCCTCAGCAAATGTAGAAGAATAGAAATTATAACAAACTGTCTCTCAGACCACAGTGCAATCAAACTAGAACTCAGGATTAAGAAACTCACTCTCAAAACCACTCAACTACATGGAAACTGAACAACTTGCTCCTGAATGACTACTGGGTACATAACGAAATGAAGGCAGAAATAAAGATGTTCTTTGAAACCAACGAGAACAAAGACACAACATACCAGAATCTCTGGGACACATTCAAAGCAGTGTGTACAGGGAAATTTATAGCACTAAATGCCCACAAGAGAAAGCAGGAAAGATCTAAAATTGACACCCTAACGTCACAATTAAAAGAACTAGAGAAGCAAGAGCAAACATATTCAAAAGCTAGCAGAAGACAAGAAATAACTAAGATCAGAGCAGAACTGAAGGAAATAGAGACACAAAAAACCCTTCAAAAAATCAATGAATCCAGGAGCTGGTTTTTTGAAAAGATCAACAAAATTGATAGACCGCTAGCAAGACTAATAAAGTAGAAAAGAGAGAAGAATCAAATAGATGCAATAAAAAATGATAAAGGGGATATCACCACTGATCCCACAGAAATACAAACTACCATCAGAGAATACTATAAACACCTCTATGCAAATAAACTAGAAAATCTGGAAGAAATGGATAAATTCCTTGACACATACACTCTCCCAAGACTAAACCAGGAAGAAGTTGAATCTCTGAATAGACCAATAACAGGATCTGAAATTGAGGCAATAATTAATAGCTTACCAACCAAAAAAAGTCCAGGACCAGATGGATTCACAGCCGAATTCTACCAGAGGTTCAAGGAGGAGCTGGTACCATTCCTTCTGAAACTATTCCAATCAATAGAAAAAGAGGGAATCCTCCCTAACTCATTTTATGAGGCCAGCATCATCCTGATACCAAAGCCTGGCAGAGACACAACAAAAGAAGAGAATTTTAGACCAATATCCCTGATGAACATCGATGCAAAAATCCTCAATAAAATACTGGGAAACTGAATCCAGCAGCATATCAAAAAGCTTATCCACCATGATCAAGTGGGCTTCATCCCTGGGATGCAAGGCTGGTTCAACATATGCAAATCAATAAATGTAATCCAGCATATAAACAGAACCAATGACAAAAACCACATGATTATCTCAATAGATGCAGAAAAGGCCTTTGACAAAATTCAGCAGCCCTTCATGCTAAAAACTCTCAATAAATTAGGTACTGATGGGACGTATCTCAAAATAATAAGAGCTATTTATGACAAACCCACAGCCAATATCATACTGAATGAGCAAAAACTGGAAGCATTCCCTTTGAAAAGTGGCACAAGACAGGGATGCCCTCTCTCACCACTCCTATTCAACATAGTGTTGGAAGTTCTGGCCAGGGAAATCAGGCAGGAGAAAGAAATAAAGGGTATTCAATCATGAAAAGAGGAAGTCAAATTGTCGCTGTCTGCAGATGACATGATTGTATATCTAGAAAACCCCATCATCTCAGCTCAAAATCTCCTTAAGCTCATAAGCAACTTCAGCAAAGTCTCAGGATACAAAATCGATGTGCAAAAATCACAAGCATTCTTATACACCAATAACAGACAAACAGAGAGCCAAATCATGAGTGAACTCCCATTCACAATTGCTTCAAAGAGAATGAAATACCTAGGAATCCAACTTACAAGGGACGTGAAGGACCTCTTCAAGGAGAACTACAACCACTGCTCAATGTAATAGAAGAGGATACAAACAAATGGAAGAACATTCCATGTTCATGGGTAGGAAGAATCAATATCGTGAAAATGGCCATACTGCCCAAGGTAATTTATAGATTCAATGCCATCCCTCTCAAGCTACCAATGACTTTCTTCACAGAATTGGAAAAAAATACTTTAAAGTTCATATGGAACTAAAAAAGAGCCCGCATTGCCAAGTCAATCCTAAGCCAAAAGAACAAAGCTGGAGGCATCACGCTACCTGACTTCAAACTATACTACAAGGCTACAGTAAGCAAAACAGCATGGTACTGGTACCAAAACAGAGATATAGACCAATGGAACAGAACAGAGCCCTCAGAAATAATGCCACATATCTACAACTATCTGATCTTTGACAAACCTGACAAAAACAAGAAATGGGATAAGGATTCCCTATTTAATAAATGGTGCTGGGAAAACTGGCTAGCCATATGTAGAAAGCTGAAACTGGATCCCTTCCTTATTCCTTATACTAAAATTAATTCAAGATGGATTAAAGATTTAAATGTTAGACCTAAAACCATAAAAACCCTAGAAGGAAACCTAGGCAATACCATTCAGGACATAGGCACGGGCAAGGACTTCATGTCTAAAACACCAAAAGGAATGGCAACGAAAGCCAAAATTGACAAATGGGATCTAATTAATCTAAAGAGCTTCTGCACAGCAAAAGAAACCACCATCAGAGTGAACAGGCAACCTACAGAATGGGAGAAAATTTTTGCAACCTACTCATCTGACAAAGGGCTAATATCCAGAATCTACAATGAACTCAAACAAATTTACAAGAAAAAAAACAACCCCATCAACAAGTGGGCAAAGGATATGAACAGACACTTCTCAAAAGAAGACATTTATGCAGCCAAAAGACACATGAAAAAATGCTCATCATCACTGGCCATCAGAGAAATGCAAATCAAAACCACAATGAGATACCATCTCACACCAGTTAGAATGGCGGTCATTAAAAAGTCGGGAAACAACATATGCTGGAGAGGATGTGGAGAAATAGGATCACTTTTACACTGTTGGTGGGACTGTAAACTAGTTCAACCATTGTGGAAGTCAGTGTGGTGATTCCTCAGAGATCTAGAACTAGAAATACCATCTGACCCAGCCATCCCATTACTGGGTATATACCCAAAGGATTATAAATCATGCTGCTATAAAGACACATGCACATGTATGTTTATTGCAGCACTATTCACAATAGCAAAGACTTGGAACCAACCCAAATGTCCAACAATGATAGACTGGATTAAGAAAATGTGGTGCATATACACTATGGAATACTATGCAGCCATAAAAAATGGTGAGTTCATGTCCTTTGTAGGGACATAGATGAAGCTGGAAACCATCATTCTCAGCAAACTATCACAAGGACAAAAAACCAAACACCGCATGTTCTCACTCATAGGTGGGAATTGAACAGTGAGAACACATGGACACAGGAAGGGGAACATCACACACCGGGGCCTATTGTGGGGTGGGGGGAGGGGGGAGGGATAGCATTAGGAGATATACCTAATGTTAAATGACGAGTTATTGGGTGCGACACACCAACATGGCGCATGTATATATATGTAATAAACCTGCACGTTTTGTTCCCTAAAACTTAAAGTATAATAAAAATAAATACTGTCAACATACAGGACCTAAGTTACAGGATCTGGAATTGTTCTGCAATGTAACATTTTAGTAGAGTGGAGCACAAAAATGTGCATGGAGGATTAAAAAAAAAGAAGGCTAAAAGCAAGATGGAGATTGGCTAGATCACATCTCCCCCGCTGCCATTGATACAGAAGGGCTGGGCTCCTGGGTAAACCCCACCCTTAAGCCTGGAACCTCAGCTCTAAGTGAAAACAGGAGCCCCATTTTTCCACCCACGTGTTGCCTTTTTGGCCTGCCATTTCCCCATCCTGTGCTCATAAAAAGATTTCAGCTGGCAGAGCAACACAGCAGCTGAGCATTGGGGATACAAACGGCTGATTGTCAAGGATACAAGTGGCTGAGCAGTAAGCAGAGAAGCAACTGAATGTTGGAGACTATGGGTAGATGTGGCTAACTTCAGATGATGCGGCTTTGGAGAGGGGCCTGCCCTCAGACTGCTCGGCTTCAGGGAAAGATCACCTTCTTCCCGCATCATCCCCTTTTCAACTCCCCATCCCGCTGAGAGCCACTTTGATCGCCCAGTAAAATCCTCTGCATACACTACCCTTCAATCTGTTCATGTGACTTGATTCTTCCTGGATGCTGAGAGCCGCTGAGAGCCACTTTCATCGCCCAGTAAAATCCTCTGCATACACTACCCTTCAATCTGTTCGTGTGACATGATTCTTCCTGGATGCTGGACAAGAACCTGGGTGTTGAGAGGGCAGGGGCTGCCACCCTGACCCTCCACTGAGCTGGTTGGCACTTAGCTGTCCTCGGACTGAAGAGCTGAAACAGCATTGGTTTCAACATGTTTGGATGCTGTTATGGGGCCTGCACCGAGCCTGCTCCTGCCAGAGAGGAGCAACTGGCCAATTCCAGCATTCGTTTTTTCCAGTTCCTGCACTCACTCACTCTCACAAGGGGTTTGAGCACGAGGTGGCCGAGTAAACAAGCCACACCCCAGTTGCAAGTACTGCAAGGAGGTCAAGGGAATTATCCTGTCTCATAATTTTCTGTTACAATTTTTGCAAAGGTGGTTTCATTATTATTATTATTCTTTTTTGAGACAGAGTCTTGCTCTGTCACCCAGGCTGGAGTGCAGTGGCATGATCTTGGCTCACTGCAACCTCTGCTTCCCAGGTTCAAGCGATTCTCCTGCCTCAGCCTTTCAAGTAGCTGGGACTACAGGTGCGTACCAACACACCCAGCTAACTTTTGTATTTTTAGTAGAGATGGGGTTTCACCATGTTGGCGAGGCTGGTCTCAAACTCCTGGCCTCAAGTGATCCACCCACCTCGGCCTCCTGAAGTGCTGGGATTACAGGCGTGACCCATTGTGTCCCCTAGCCTCCTTATTAAAATGTTGAAACTACTGAACTGATGCTATAAATTTACAATCTGTTCTCTTCTTTTTTCACTATCTGACAAGTGTTTGGCTTTCTAGGAGATTTAACTTACAATCTTTTTTTTTTCCCTTGAGATGGAGTCTTACTGTGTCACCCAGTAAGGCAGTACTGTGCCTCCCTTGGGAGGATCCCTTGAGCCCAAGAGTTCAGGGATGCACTGAGCTATAATTTCACTGCTCTCTAGCCTGGGTGACAGAGTAAGATTCTTTCTCTTTAAAAAAAAAAAAAAAAAAAAATTGGCCGGGCGCGGTGGCGTATGCCTGTAATCCCAGCACTTTGGGAGGCCGAGGTGGGTGGACCACTGAGGTCGGGAGTTTGAGACCAGCCTGACCAACATGGAGAAACCCCATCTCTACTAAAAATACAAAATTAGCCGGGCGTGGTGGCGCATGCCTGTAATCCCAGCTACTCAGGAGACTGAGGCAGGAGAATCTCTTGAACCCAGGAGGTGGAGGTTGTGGTGAGCCGAGATTGCGCCATTGCGCTCCAGCCTGGACAATAAGAGTGAAATTCCGTCTCAAAAAAAAAAATTAAAATTAAAAAATAAATTCTGGAGGAGTACAGGCAAGGCAACCTCACCCCAATATATGGCTCCCTGGTATAATGAGTATTTTGAATTAAAGGTCCTTAAAGATCAATAGATGCTAGAAGAGACTTTTTCTCTATCTACATAAAGGGCTGAAGGACCCACCAAGGAAAACGATCGTTTTTCCTTCTGCTTCATGCTTTCTCATCTATTGCAGAAAAGAAGAGCAAGGAATTAACCACACCTAAACAGACTTATTCACAAGATAATATTCTTCTCTCAGGCTCAATTTCCAAAGAGCACTTTGGGGAGCCAAAGTGGGAGGATTGCTTGAGGGCAGGAGTTCGAGACCAGCCTGGGAAATGTAGCACAACCTACAACAAAAAACTTAGAAAAAAAAAAAAGGCCAGGTGTGGTGCCTCATGCGTGTAATCCCAGCACTTTGGGAGGCTGAGCAGGAAGGATTGTTTGAGCCCAAGAGTTTGAGACAAGCCTGGGCAACACCGTGAGACTCCATCTCTATAAAAAAAAAATTAGCTGGGCATGGTGGCATATGCCTATAGTCACAGCTACTTAGGAGGCTGAGGCAGGAGTGAAACCACCACTGCAAAATTATAACTGAGACAGTGAAAGAGATCTGACTGAACCAACTCTATCTTCCTTCTAACCTCCGAGCTGTATTTGTTCATTCCTGAGTGTAGGCTGAACTAACTTTGGGAGAAAAGTAGTTTATAATTTAAAACTTAGTTTATAGTTTAAAACAAAGATGGCAACAGCCCTTTCCCAAAACAAACGCCCTTCTTGCCTGGGGACTAGACAGCCTTTGTAGGACTAAGAAACTAGCCACAAGATTAGAAATTATGGTTTAGGAGTCATACAGCTGGATGCTACAAGATTTTGGGCCTCCTTAAACTGCTCCTAAGATCAGTGCTCAGATGTTCTGCAGACCCTGCACTTGATGGATCAACTGGCACCACCCAGATGGATAAACTGGCTCATCTGATCTTGTGGCTCCCACCCAGGAACTGACTTAGTGCAAGAAGACAGCTTCAGCTTCTTATGATTTTATCTCTGACCTGATCAATCAGCACTCCTGGTTCACTGGCTTTCCCCTACTCACCAAGTTGTCCTTAAAAACTCTCATTTCCTGGCCAGGTGCAGTGGCTCACACTTGTAATCCCAGCACTTTGGGAGGCCGAGGCGGGCGAATCACTTGAGGCCAGGAGTTTGAGACCAGCCTGGACAACATGGCAAAATCCCGTCTCTGCTAAAAATACAAAAATTTGCTGGGCATGGTGGCATGTGCCTGTAATCCCAGCTACTCAGTAGGCTGAGGCAGGAGAATCACTTGAACCCAGGAGGCGGAGGTTGCAGTGAGTGGAGATTGCGCCATTGCACTCCAGCCTGGGCGACAAGAGCGAAACTCCATCTCAAAAACAACAACAACAACAACAACAACAACAACAACAAAACTCTTATTTCCAAATACTGAGGGAGACTTTTTTGAGTAATCATAAAACTCTGGTCTCCCGCACAGCTGGTCTGTGTGAATTACTCTTTGTCTACTGCAGTTCCCCTGTCTTGATAAATTGGCTCTGTCTAGGCAGCAGGCAAGGTGAACCCATGGGTGGTTACAAGAGGATCACATGAGCCCAGTAGGTCAAGGCTGCAGTGAGCTGTGACCACACCATTGCACTCCAGCCTTTGGGACAGAGCAAGATCCTGTCTCAAAAAAAAAAAAAATCTTTTTTTCAAAGAGAACGATTTACAAGCTAATCTCTGTTCCCTGATCCATTCATTCTCCCTAGCAATCGTTTATTGTACCTCAACAGAATTACCTATATTCCCCATCTCCTCACTCCCCTCTCAAATAAGGCTATATAAGTATTTGGGCCCCACTGGGATATTGAGTGATCACTCTGATTCTCCCCTGTGTACACATTAATAAGTTTTGATGCCTTTTTCCTACTAATCTGCATTTTGTGAGTTGATTTTTCAGTAAACCTTCAGAGGACAAAGGGGAAGTTTTTCCCTTGGCCCCTACTGTCAGAGGCATTTGAACCAAAGTGAATAGGAGCTGGGTAAAATAAAGCTGAGACCTACTGGGCTGCATTCCCAGGCAGTTAGGCATTCTTAGTCACAGGATGAGATAGGAGGTTGGCACAAGATACAGGTCACAAAGACCTTACTGATAAAACAGGATACAGTAAAGAAGCTGGCCAAAACCTGCCAAATCCAAGATGGTAATGAAAGTGACCTCTGGTCATCCTCACTGTTCATTATGTTAGAATCGGTAGTTAGGCAGACATGAGCAGGGCAGGGGAGGGCCCTGTCTCCAGGAATGTCAGGTGATCATCAGATGATGGTCAGGCAGTTGTTAAACTGTCTCTCTAAAATAACAATTGGTTGTAGCCAGTGCCAGAGAAAGACAATCTCCCAATAGATAGAAAACACCTGAAACTAACTGGGCACCATGGCTCATGCTTGTAATCCCAGCACTTTGGGAGGCTGAGGCAGGTGGATCACCTGAGGTCAGGAGTTCAAGACCAGCCTGGGCAACATGGTGAGAACCACCCCCCATCTCTGCTAAAAATACAAAATTAGCCGGGCGTAGTGGTGCATGCCTGTAATCCCAGCTACTCAGGAGGCAAGGCTGGAGAATCGCTTGAACCTGGGAGGCAGAGGTTTCAGTGAGCTGAGATTGCACCATTGTACTCCAGCCTGAGTGACAAGAGTGAAACTCTGTCTCAAAAAAAAAAAGAAAAGGAAACACCGAAAACTGGTAATCAGCAGCTTCCTGGTAAGATCTTTGGAGTTGGGCAAGTGGACTAAGGCACGTTCACTAAGAGGCAAAACAGCAGAGTTTAATGGGTGTATGACCTTCCTCTGGGAACACTTGACTGGTAATGGAAACACACCTCAACTTAGCATGTGTACAACTTCAGTAAACATACTGCACATACACACAGCCCACCCCAAGGGGACAATTAAGGGAAGAGAAGCAGAAACCCTGGAACCATGCCCATGTATAAAACCTCAAGTCAAGGGCTGAAAAGGGCACTTGGATCTCTCAAGTCACCCACTTGGCCCTCTTCCAAGTGGACTTTGCTTCCTTTCATTCCTGCTCTAAAACTTTTTAATAAACTCTCATTCCTGCTCTAAAAGTTGTCTCAATCTCTCCCTCTGCCTTAAACCTGCTTCTGCCCCTTGGCTGAATTCTGTCCTCCAAGGAAGCAGGCATCTAGTTGCTGCAGCCCCATGTGGCTTTGCTGCTGGTAACAATTATATGCTAGCTATAATGCATTAGCATGCTAAAAGACACTCCCACCAGCACCATGACAATTTACAAATGCCATGGCAGTGCCTGGAAGTTACCCTACATATTCTAAAAAGGGGAGGAACCCTCAGTTCTGGAAATTGCCCACCCTTTGCCAGAAAACTCATGAATAATCCACCCCATATGTAGCATATAAGCAAGAAATAACCATAAGTTTACTCATAGAGCAGCCCATGCCTCTGCTCTGCCTATGGAGGAGCCATTCTTTTGTTTCTTTTCTTCTCTAATAAACTTGCTTTCACTTTGCAGACTTGTCCCAAATTCTTTTCTCGTGCAAGGTCCAAGAACCCTCTCCTGGGGTCTGGATTGGGATCCCTTTCTGGTAACACTACAATTCTAAGAGCTCTTTTTTATTGGTTCACCTACAGGAATAAACTGAGGCAAAATTAATGTAAGCAGAGAGTTTATTTGGGCCAAATTTGAGGGCTACAGCCCAGGAGACACAGATTCAAGTTAAGTTGCCCTGAATATATGCTGTGATTAGCAGCACTTACAAGTGGATTTTTTGGTTTTTGTTTTTGTTTTTTTGGAGACAGGGTCTTGTTATGTTGACCAGGCTGGTCTTGAACTCTTGGCTTCAAGCAGTCAACAAGTGGGGTTTTTTTGTTCGTTCGTTTGTTTGTTTTAGATGGAATCTTGCTCTGTCACCCAGGCTGGAGTGCAGTGGCACAATCTTGGCTCACTGCAACCTCTGCCTCCCGAGTTCAAGCAATTCTCCTGCCTCAGCCTCCCTAGTAGCTGGAATTACAGGCGTGCACCACCACGCGCAGCTATGTTTTGTATTTTTAGTAGAGACAGGTTTTCCCCATGTTGGCCAGGCTGGTCTCAAACTCCTGACCTCAGATGATCCGCCCACCTCGGCCTCCCAAAGCGCTGAGATTACAGGTGTGAGCCACTGCGCCTGGCCAACAAGTGGGTTTTTAAAGGAAAAAAGAAGGGGCAGTTCCTAAATTGAACATAAGCTACTAATTGGCATATGTTGTTCTTTGTATCACAAATTCCAGGAACATGAAGATAATGGGTGAGGGTCATATTGTGCAACTTGTGATAGCATTTTGGGTAATTTATCAGCCAGTCTGGAAACTACATGGAAGGAAAGAAAGAACAAAATGCCTTTAAACAATTGTTCCTAGGCATGATTCTCTGGGGAGGGGTGGGTGTGACTGAAGATTCATTCTCTGAAGATTGTGTCTCTCTGGACCTGATAAATTTTGCATACCACACATTTTTCAGACTTCTCTGAGCTACTTCTCTTTCTCACTTCAGTGTTCATTTTAAAAATAGTAACCCATTATTTCACAGATGCAATGTGTTATTTCTCTAAAGCATGCATTTCAGTAGAGAAGGGGTCTCTAAGAGGGGCAGTAATTGTCCCCCAAGGGGGCAAAAATTGGTTCTTTGGGGATTGACAAGAGAATGTTTTATATAACAGTGATCTGTGGCCTTCAAAAACTCAACCCTATCCAACAAAATCATATTCATTCTTCTAGAGTTGAAGTGTCTTTGCCTGGGCTGGAGTGCAGTGGCGTGATCACAGCTCACCTCAGCCTGGAACTCCTGGGCTCAAGTGATCCTCCTACCTCAGTCTCCCGAGTAGCTGAGGCTACAGGTGTGTGCCATCACACCCAACTAATTTTTTTTTCTTACAGAGAGATGGTCTCGCTATGTTGCCCAGGCTGGTCCTGAACTCCTGGCCTAAAGCGATCCTCCTGCCTCGGCCCCCCAAAGTGCTGAAATTACAGGTGTGAGCAACTGCACCCAACTTCTTGTCCATTAATATTTAATTTCTCTCTGCATAGTCTCGTTTTCTCTATTTTTTTCTTTATTTCCTGTTTTGGTCTCTATCTTTATTAGGAGCTTTTCTCAGATGTGTGGTGACCCTTGGTTTTCCATTCATATTTTTTTTTAATGCGGAGCTTAAAAGCTGCTTGGAAGCTCTGAGCACATGAGGTGGAGTTGTCAACATGGGCTTCATTTTATTTATTGGTTTTTACTTATTTTGTTTTCTTTTATCTCTTTTTTGTTTCTTTTTCAGGTCTCAAACAAAAGTCTGGAACCTGGGATTCTTTGTAGGATATCTGGCTGTGCTTTTGTATTATATGAACCACAGAAAATAATCTTCCAGTATGATATTGTTTTCAGTATAGTACCTCAACCCTAATTTTGCCTGGTAACCCTTTATCCAGAGACCTTTTGTTTTCAACTTACAGTCTTATTCTGGGGTGGGGGATGTACAGTCTGGCTGTGTGGACTTGCAGGAGAGATTTAGGGTTCTAACTTCTTCTTACTGACTTCCAACCAATTCTCCTGTATTCAGTCTTATACACACCCCCACTTATACTAGACGTAGCTGGTACTACCAAAGCCTGGTCACAAAACTCTATGGGAGTCTCAATGCAAGTTGAGTTGCTTCTTGACTTTCATCCCTGCTGGCTTAAGACTCAGCTTCACAAGCCTGCTAAGTCAGTTGCTATTTATCCTGTTTTCTAGCCCTTCAAAATTTTAAATGAAAATTTACATTTTTAATTGACAAATAATATATATATGGGATAAATATGATGTTTTGATAGTAATAGATGTATACATTGTGGAATGATTATATGAAGCTAATTAGCATATCACACTCCTCACATACTTCTTTTTCTTTGTATTGAGAACATGTAAAATCTATTCTTGGCCAAGCATGGTGGCTCACACCTGTAATTCCAACACTTTGAGAGGCCAAGGCAGGAAGATTGCTTGAGCCCAGGAATTCAGGGGTTCCAGACACCAGCCTGGGCAACATAGCAATACCCTGTCTCTAATAAAAAAAAAAAAAAGTAAAAATAAATGTGTAATTTAAAAAATTCATTATTGTTATTATTTTTACAATTTTGAAACTGTAGGGGCCAGGAACAAACTTCCCCTTTGCCCTCTGAAGAATAACTAAAAAATCACTCACCAAATGCAGATTAATAGGAGAAATGGAATAAAAACTTAGTAATTGTTTTCCTTGGTGGATCCCTTAGGTCTTTATGTAGATAGGGAAAAGGTTTCTTCTAGCATCTGTTGATTGCTAAGGACATTTAATTCAAAATACTCATTATACCAGGGAGCCATATCTGGGGGTAAAATTCCAGATGCTCCTTCAAAGTATACATTATTATTGACTATGGTCACCATGTACAGTAGATCTCAAAAACGTATTCCCCCTGGCTAACTGAAATGTGTGCCCTTTGGTCAACATCTCCCCTACTCCTCTCCTCCCCCAGCCTCTGGTAACCACCATTCTACTTTCTGCTGCTGTGAGTTCAACTTTTTAAAATTCCACGTATAAGTGAAATCATGTGGTATTTGTCTTTCTGAATCTGGCTTATTTCACTTAGCATAATATCTTCCAGGTTCACCCATGTTGTTGCAAATGATAGAATGTCCTTGTTTCTAATGTTCTCCCAAATTTAATCAGTTGTATGGGGTTTATGTGATAAAAATATCCTTTTGCTGTCATTTTCGTGGGGTTTCCAGAAGGATCCTAACTAGGTACACATGCTTAGTCTGTCTTTTTTTTTTTTTTTTTTTTGAAGCAAGTCTCCCTCTGTTGCCAGGCTGGAGTGCAGTGGCCTGATCATGACTCATTGCAACCTCTGCCTCCCAGGCCCAAGCAATCCTCCTACCTCAGCCTCCAAGTAGCTGGGACTGAAGGTGTGTGCCAGCATGTGTGGCTAATTTTATTTTTGTAAAGACAGAGTCTCCTTATATTGCCCAGGCTGGTCTCAAACTCCTGGGTTCGAGATCCTCCTGCCTCTGCCTCCCAAAGTGCTGGGATTACAGGCATGAGCCATGGTGCCTGGTCTAGTCTGTCATCTTTAAACAATTGGGTTGGGAAGGAAAAGGTAGCACATAGATAGATGATTTAAGCAGAAATAGATAAGCATAATTGTCCACTGTAAAGGGGCTGAATGATCTGGAGAATGGAGGCATCTCAGGAAAACTGAACTTGGTGGTGTGTGCTTAGGACTAATGAAAAGTGGCCGGGCACAGATGCTCATGCCTATAATCCCAGCACTTCGGGAGGGTGAGAGGGAGTATAATTTGAGGCCAGGAATTCAAGGTTGCAGTGAGCCATGATTGTGCCACTGTTCTCCAGCCTGGGCAGCAGAGTGAGACCCCGACTCTTAAAAAAAAAAAAAAAAGAACCAAAGAAATGTTAGTTCCAGGGATTCCCAGGGACATGGGCAGGGTCCAAGAATGATGCTGAGTTAAGGTTAGGTGGCTATTCAGAAAGCTACTTCGACTTGTATCCCATATTATGGATCAAGGACCTTAAAAATAGCCATACTTTTTTTTTGTTCTAGTAACTCAATTTGTAGGATTGTTTCCTAAGAGATAATCTGACATATTCAAGGACTTCTTCACAAAGATATTCATTAGCTGCATTATTTATAGTACCAAACATTATAAATAGTCTAAACCAGAGATCCACAAGCTATGGCTATAACAGTGACAAGGAGGCCTAGCGTGACTAACTCCATTTTGCTCCTAACCCCCCTGCAGCGATAACCTGTATCTTTTAGGTTAACTGCTTTTGCTTATCTCTGCACATAGGCCAAGCTAACTATAGAAGGAATTTAGTTTATAGTTTAGAGCAAGGATGGTAATAGTGCCTCCCCCAAAACTAACCCCTGAGGAGATAAGGAGGATGTATGCAAGTAATAATGTTATGTTAAAGATTTATAAGAGCACTGTGACCTGACCAAGGACAAAGTTTCACCACCTCCTTGGACCCTTGCCACCACCCAGATGTGATCACTGGCCACTTCTTGACCTCAACTCCCTCCCTCTTCCCCCTTCCTCTCACGTAAAAGGAGCCTGAAATTTGTATTGACTTAAAAATGGTTCTTCAGGACACTACTCTTCCATTTTCTTGGTTTGCTGGCTCTCTGAATAAAAGTCACTTTCCTTGCCTCAACCCCTTGTCTCTTGACTTATTAAATGTCATGCAGTGAGTAGTACACTCTTTGGACTCTGTTACATGACCCAGAGAATCATCTAGTCCTCCTTTTATTCTGGTAAAGTTGTGTTAAATACAGCCACACCCGTATATGTATTGTTTATGGCTTATGGCTCCTTTCATGCTACAAGGGCAGAGACTATCTGGCCAATAAAGCCTAAAATATTTACTATCTGGATCTTGTTTTTGTTTTCTTTTTTTTTTTTTTTTTTTTTAGAGAAACGGGGTGTTGCTATGTTGCCCAGGCTCGTCTCAAACTCCTGGACTCAAAGTGATCATCCTGCGTCGGTCTCCCAAAGTGCTGGGATTACAGGTGTGAGCCACCGCGCCTGGCTATCTGGACCTTTAAGGAAAAGTTTGTTGCCCCAGTCTAGATGACTGGTAGGGGGGTCAAGCTAAGATATAGCCATATGATGGAACAGAATATAGTCAATGAACATTGTGTCTAAGAAAAAAAGTTTTCAACATTTTAATAGAATGTTCACATTATAATGTTAAGTTTAAAAAAGCTAGATATAAAATTATACAATCTGTTCTGAACTATATAAAAATATGTACAGAAAAATACACTGGCAAGAAATTCAGTACCATAAAATATTTTCTTTTTTTTTTTTCCAAGACAGAGTCTCACTGTGTCCCCCAGGCTGGAATGCGGTGGCGTGATCTCGGCTCATTGCAACCTCTGCCCCGCCGGGTTCAAGCGATTCTCCTGCCTCAGCCTCCCGAGTAGCTGGGACTACAGGCACGCATCGCCACGCCCAGCTAATTTTTGTATTTTTAGTAGAGACGGGGATCTCACCATACTGGCGAGGTCTTGAACTCCTGATCTCACGTGATCCACTCCCCCTCGGCCTCCCAAAGTGCTGGGATTACATGGGTGAGCCACCGCGCCTGGCCTAAAATATTTTCATTTAGTTTTTTGTTGTTGTTGTTACAGAGACAGGGTCTTGCTCTAGCACTCAGGCTGGATTTCAGTGGTGCAATCATAGCACACTGCAGCCTTGACTGCTGGGCTCAAGAAATTGTCCCACCTCAGTCTCCTGAGTAGCTAGGGCTACAAGCACACACCAGCTAATTTTTACTACTTTTTGTAAGATGGGGTCTCATTATGTTGCCCAGGCTGGTTGGGCATGGTGGCTTCCGCCTGTAATCCCAGCACTTTGGGAGGCCGATGCAGGTTGATCACCTGAGTTCAGGAGTTCCAGACCAACATGTCAAAACCCCGTCTCTACTAAAAATACAAAAATTAGCCAGGCATGGTGGCCCATCCCTCTAGTCCCAGCTACTTGGGAGGCTGAGGCAGGAGAATCACTTGACCAGGAGGTGGAGGTTGCAGTGAGCCAAGATTGTGCCACTGTACTCCACTGGGTGACAGAATGAGACTGTCTCAAAAAAAAAAAAAAAAAAAAAAGAACTCTTGGCTTCAAGTGAGCCACCTGCCTCAGCCTCCCAAAGTGCTGGGATTAAAAGCATGAGCTGCCACACCTGGCCATAAAATATGAGTACTTTTCTGTATAACAACCAGAAGGTCAGAGATAGAAGTTTGTATGGGGAGAATTCCTCCTGCTGCGACATGGTCTGTGCCCTACAAACGTAAGTGTCAGCACAAGGCAAGGGAACAACAGGGGAAGGGAAAGGGCAACACCAATAATTCAGTCCTTTCTGTAGTGACAGTCAAAAGCTGCCCAAACTTGAGGGAGCTCCAAGAGTAAGATGACCAACCATCTGGGTTTGCTGACACTGTCTTGACTTTAGCATAGCAGCCACACATGGCAGGGAACTCCTCAGTGTGGGGTTCCCACAGTTGGCCACCCTACAACCATGCTGTACCCCACACACACCATTACATAGCCTTGGTTGGCCTTTGCGAAGTACCTGAGAATGGATTTGTCTCTTGTTAGATACTTCTCCAGTGGACAGTTGGGTGGAACACCATTAATCAATGAGTGCTTTTGTGCAAAACAGAAAAAGGGCCTGCTCTGGGCAAATGCAGGCCTCATAGCTTGGTGTAACACCTTTGGTAGAAGGCAGCCTTCTGTTAGGCCCTAGCTGGAGCACACAGCTTGTCAAGCAGAGCCACGGCTGGAATTCAGGACCCTGTCCTCTTAGCAGGCACCTTCGTATGGTGCACAGACCACACATTTGCAGGCAGCAGACCTGCCACTCAGACTCCAGAGAGATCTGCTCCCTGTCCCAGGTGCCTCTAACATGCACAGCACCAGGAAACACAAAACTCTTTCTTGAGCACTGAGTTATGTATTTTTGTCTAGGGACTGTGCCTGCTGTGTCTGTGAAATCCAAAATAAACACCGGATTTTTAATTTTTTCACACAGAATAAGGACCTACTGGAAATAGATGAAAAAGACATAAAAAGACATCTGGAGGGGAAATATCGAAGCCAAGAATGAGACTGGAGGTGGAATTCGGCCCTTTTATTTTGATTCTCTGATTCCAAAAAGGAACCCACTGGGCTGCAGGAGCATGGCGACCACCTCTGTCTCTTTACAGCAGCCCCTTACTCGTGGGTGGTGCTGTGAAGGTCCTCTTTCCAGCCACTCCATCTTCAATTTTGTCACTGCCCATTCTCTCACTCCTCCTTCTGGGTGTCTGACAACATGTTCATTAGATGTTTAAAATATGTTTTCTAAGTCTTTTTTCTATTCCGCTGCACATCCTATCTTTTTGTCTCTTGGAAATGAGGTAGGAGACTGGCAGGACTTGTCTTCTGGTCACAGTCCTGCTGACCAAAAGATGGTCCACACAGGATGAAGTGAAGAAACCGGTGGAAACCAGCAGATGGCGACAAAAGCAATCCCTAGCCGCCCTCATTGCTCATTAGCATAGGACACGCCCGCCAGCGCCATGACAGTTTACAAATGCCATGGCAACGACCCGGAAGTTACTGCCTCTTTCCATGACGACAAATTTTGTGGGTCATTGCCATGGAAAGGAGTAGTAACTTACTAGATCTTTCTAAATAACTTGGCCCTCAATTTGCATCAGCTTGCCCCTTAATATACAAGTAATTGAAAGTGGGTACAAGTAGATAGAGTTGCCAACAGCCCATACGTTGCAGACTCTGGGTTCATTGCCTGTGAGTTACCCCTGCTCTGTAGGGAGAGGTGCTATTCAAATAAGATTGCTATTTAACACCACAGGCTTGTCCTTGAATTCTTTCCTGGATGAAGCTGAGAACTCTTCAGGGCTAAGCCCCAATTGTGGGGCTCGCCGTCCAGCAGCAGAATCACGTTCTCCAGTCCTGTCTCCCAATTCCCTACTTCCCTCTTCAGTTTTATAGTTTTTGTCATTAAACCTATCTGCTGAACTTAGCATGTAGGCATTTATATATATATTTACACATGCATATATGTTTGTTATTACATTTTTCCCTAGAAGTTCTATTTGGTTCTTTTAAAAATAGACTACATAGGCTGGTGCGGTGGCTCACGCCTGTAATCCCAGCACTTTGGGATGCTGAGGCGGGCAGATTACGAGGTCAGGAGTTTGAGACCAGCCTGACCAATATGGTGAAACCCTGTCTCTACTAAAAATACAAAAATTAGCCAGGCATGGTGGCATGTGCCTGTAATCCCAGATACTCAGCAGGCTGAGGCAGGAGAATCACTTGAACTCGAGAGGCAGAGGTTGCAGTGAGCCAAGATCGCGCCACTGCATTCCAGCCAGAGTGACAGAGCGAGACTCTGTCTCAGATAAAAAAAAAAAAAAAAAAAAATTGACTACATTGATTTTCGTAGTTTCCAATTCATTGAATATATCAACAAGTTTGCCTTAAAAAAAATTCAGGCTGACTGTGTGTGTACTGCCTATGAGTTATCTCTGCTCCACAAGGTTAATCCTAATCTAAAAAGAAAAATAAAATGAAATAAAATAAATTCAGCTATTTGTTTAAAAAGTCTACATCTGATAATTCAATATTTGAACTCTTTGCAGATCTGTTTCTATTATTTGTCTTTTTTTCCTGCCAATTGCCAGTCTTGTACTCTATGAGTTATCTACGACTGTGTGCTGGACACTGCTTTTGGGTTTTTTTGTTTTGTTTTGTTTGAAAGTCTCCTTTTGTCACCCAGACTAGAGTGCAATGGCATGATCTCAGCTCACTGCAAACTCTGCCTCCTGGGTTCAAGCTATTCTCCCACCTCAGCCTCCTGAGTAGCTGGAACTACAGACGCCCACCACCACACCTGGCTAATTTTTTGTATTTTTAGTAGAGATGGGGTTTCACCATGTTGGCCAGGCTGGTCTCAAACTCCTGACCTCAGGTGATCCACTTCAGCCTACCAAAGTGCTGGGATTATAGGCGTGAGCCACTGTGCCCAGCCTGGACACTGCATTTGAAAAACTATGTGTAGAAATGATATGAGGCCTATGTTGAAGGCCCTTTCCTTCAGAAAGTCTCTACATTTGCTTCTGTGAGGTGTCTAGGGGTGTAAGGGTCTCAAAGCACCTTAAACCAGGCTCAAGGCTTGATATTCCCTGACCCAAACAATTAGCAATGTCTGCCATTTAAGTAAATAAATGAAGAATATAAAAGACACCCACAAAGCAGCCCAAACGCTCCCAAATCAGAAACAGTGTCAATAGAGGTCCGTTTTTGGGGCCCCCATGTTCTCACCTGATCAGTGAGAGCTAATAATGAGTCCTCTAGGCATAGCCAAAGGGCTTGTTGGTAGAAAGATCTGGCATCATAATGTGATGTGAAAGTTGTAGGTGGACTGGGAAATGTGTCAATCCATCGGACTGAAGGGGAGTGTTGAATTTAGATTTAAGACTTTTCTTTCTTTCCTGTTAATGCTGTGTTATCTGTATTATCTTAAAAGAATCACTTGTTCTCTGGGTCTTGGTTTGTCCATCTGTGAAGCAATGGGATTGCACCGCATCAGTGTTTCCCAAATTTTAATGTTCACCTGTGCCCTGGGGAGCTTGTTAAACTGTAGCTTTTGATTCAGTAAGCCTGGGATGGACTCTGAGAGTGAGTCTATCTGAGAAGCTCCCAGCTGATTCCAGTACTCCTGATCTGTGGGCCACACCTGGAGTAGAAAAGTTTTATATAAACTCTACCTTCCTCTCCTGTACAAGTCTAGGCAAATAGGGACCCACTGATTAAACAAATCCACTCCCCAACCAGATAATTCTGCCTTGTATTTCAGAACTGGGTTCCCATCGCATGTCCTCTAGAAAGCCTTGTCTGGTGTCTTTGCTTGCAGGGCATCCCACCAACAGCCTGACCATAAGCGCTGTGAGCATGCCTCTGTCATATGGCACTGCAGTCACCTGTCCAATGTCAACATCCATGTCCCCAGTACTGATATAGTGCCGGGCACATAATTGGAACTCAATAAATACTTGTGATATAAGTAAATGGAAGAACAAACCAATGTAAGTTACAACTAGAGGTGGGAGTCAGGGGTGACTCAGCATATTCCTGACCAGGGCTTTAAAAAGTCAGATATCGGAGCAGTATGAAGAAGAGGTGAGAACGACCCCCGGACCGACCAAAGCCCGTGCGCCGCTGTGTCCCGCGTCCAGCACCTACGTCCCGCCGCCGTCGCCATCGCCGCGGCCACCATGCCCAAGAGAAAGGCTGAAGGAGATGCTAAAGGAGATAAAGCCAAGGTGAAGGACGAACCGCAGAGAAGATCCGCTAGGTTGTCTGCTAAACCTGCTCCTCCAAAGCCAGAGCCCAAGCCTAAAAAGGCCTCTGCAAAGAAGGGAGAGAAGGTACCCAAAGGGAAAAAGGGAAAGGCTGATGCTGGCAAGGAGGGGAATAACCCTGCAGAAAATGGAGATGCCAAAACAGACCAGTCACAGAAAGCTGAAGGTGCTGGAGATGCCAAGTGAAGTGTGTGCATTTTTGATAGCTGTGTACTTCTGGTGACTGTACAGTTTGAAATACAATTTTTTTTTTTTTTTTTTTGAGACGGAGTCTCGCTCTGTCGCCCAGGCTGGAGTGCAGTGGCGCGATCTCGGCTCACTGCAAGCTCCGCCTCCCGGGTTCACGCCATTCTCCTGCCTCAGCCTCCGGAGTAGCTGGGACCACAGGCGCCCGCCACCATGCCCGGCTAATTTTTTGTATTTTTAGTAGAGACAGGGTTTCACCGTGTTAGCCAGGATGGTCTCCATCTCCTGACCTCGCGATCTGCTCCGCTCGGCCTCCCAAAGTGCTGGGATTACAGGCGTGAGCCACTGCAACCGGCCTTGAAATACTATTTTTTATCAAGTTTTATAAAGATGCAGAATTTTGTTTTACTTTTTTTTTTTTAAAGGTATGTTGTTAGCACACAGAACACTTCATTGTTTTGGGGGGAAGGGGCATATGTCACTAATAGAATGTCTCCAAAGCTGGATCGATGTGGAGAAAACACCTTTCCCTTCTAGTTTTGAGAGACTTCCTCTTGGCTCCCAGGAGGAGGGATTCCCTGACTTTGACACACATGGCCACCTTGGCACAAAAGCCTTGTGGTATGGAAAAACAAATTTGTTTTTATTTCTTCTTCTCCCTTTCCATCTTTCAGCATAGACTTAACTCCCTTAAGCCCAGACATCTGTTGGGACCTGACCCCTAGTCGTTGGTTACCAGTGTGTCAGGCAATCTGGACTTTCCAGTGATGCCACTGAGATGGCACCTGTCAAAAGAGCAGTGGTTCCATTTCTAGATTGTGGATCTTCAGATAAATTCTGCCATTTTCACTTACTGAAAGTCAGGGTCGGCTTGTGAAAAGTTGTTAAACAACATGCTAAATGTGAAATGTCAACCCTCACTCTAAACTTTCCCTGTTCAGAGCACCAGATGAAGACTTCATTGGGTTTATAGTGGCTTTCTGATTTTTGGTAGTCCATTGCAGAAGGGAGTTTGAAAGTTGTTGTATACTGTTAACGATTGTCTGCCCACGTCCTGCCTGAAATACCATGATTGTTTATGGAAAGTATCTTTAATAAAGCTGGATACAGTTTGGCTTGGGAAAAAAAAAAAAAAGTCAGGTCTCTGGACCAGGCGCAGTGGCTCACGCCTGTAGTCCCAACACTTTGGGGGGCCGAGGCAGGCAGATCACTTGAGGTCAGGAGTTCAAAATCAGACTGGCCAACACAGTGAAACCCCATCTCTACTAAAAATAAAATATAAAAATTAGCCAGGCTTGGTGGCAGGTGCCTGTAATCCCAGCTACTCCGGAGGCTGAGGCAGGAGAATCTCTTAAATCCGAGAGGCAGAGGTTGCAGTGAACCGAGATCATGTCATTGCACTCCAGCCTAGGCAACACAGCAAGACTCTCAAAAAAAAAAAAAAAAAAGGCCTCTGTTTACTCTCAGAGTTGGAGATATCAACTGGGCTCCTGTTATGGACTGAATTGTATCCCTTGTTCATAAATTGAAGCCTTAACCTCCCATCCCCCATGACTCTATTTGGAGATGAGCCCTTTAAAGAGGTAATTAAGATTAAATGAGTGCATAAGGGTGGAGTCCTAATCCTCCACGACTGGCATTCTTATAAAAGAGGAAGATGCACTGGGATGCACATGCACAGGGAAAAGGCCAAACGAGGACAAAGCCAGAAGGAGACTGTGTGCAGGTCATGGAGAGGGCCTCAGGAGAAGCCAAACCTGCCTTCCTCTTGGATTTCCAGCCTCCAGAAGTGTGAGAAAACAAATTTCTGTTGTTAAAGCCACCTAGGCCATGGCATTTTGTTATGGCAGCTCCAGCTGACTAATACAGCTCCTGACCTGAGAGTGGAATGGGAGCCTCTGGTTTCTAGGCTTCTCTGCCTGAACAGAAGACTTTCTGACCTCCCAGAGGGGGTGCTCAGCTTCGTTCAGCTGTTCCTCTGAGGCAGGAGATGAGATTCTCCTCTGGGCTAGTTTTGTTGGGAAGACCAGAGAAAAAGGGCTCCTCCAGATGGAATTTGTGACACCCCCCCAGCACTGCTGATTATTGTTGGTGGGACATGTCTGAATTCTAAAACTTGACCTTCAGGTACCACATTCTTGCCTGTTCACTTCCTCCTAATAACTATACCCGGATATTGTCTATGGCTATTCCTGCCTTTCCACATTCTGTTATTTTTTTTGGAGATGGGGTCTCACTGTGTTGGCCTGGCTGGTCTCAAACTCCTAGGCTCAAGGCGATCCTCCCACCTTGGCCTCCCAAAGTGCTAAGATTACAGACGTGAGTCATCACACCTGGCCCACATTCTCCCCTATATCTCAGGGGCTAGAAGCCTGGAAACTGCATTTCCCGAACTTCCTTGTCAGCTGGGTTCCTTGCCAGGTAGGTTCTGCTAGTGGGAGGCATTTATGTGAAGTTGGTTGGAAGGTGGGAGGGAGAGGCCATTTTTTTCTGTTTATGACATTTATCAGTAGGTATAGTAGGCAATTGTGGGCCTTGCAATGGTAGGGTACTGGGGCGAGGGCAGCAGGGGTGGCTCTGGGTAAGTAAGGGCCCCAATGGCTCTGGTGGCTGTTTCAATAGCATGAACAGGTGGGCTCTTGGCTGCCTGCCCAATGAGAAAGGCAGTGATTGTCGTGGTAGTGGCAGCATCAGCAACACTACAGATGCATTCGTTGTGAGTAAGCTCATGCTCATGGGCTCTGGGTAAAAACTATTCTCTCCTTTTTGTCCCTCCAGCCCAGTGGGGGTTCCAGAAGCTTCCTACAATCATTGGTTTTTTAATAGCATCACTTTCCCCCAGGGTCACGGAGAAAAGCTGTGAACATCACAAAATGATCTGAATATAGAAAACCTTGAGTGCCAGGTAAGCACCACGTCTGCACATCGTTCACATCCAGTGACTGTGCTTGAATTATTGTAGTGCAGGAGGTGTGGTAGTAACAAAGGGATGACATACCTTCTATTCCTGATTGGATGCCCAGACACCCTGGTTCTAATCTTAACCTTTCCACTCTGCATAGGTGAATGATGTGCCTCTCTGGGCCTCAGTTTCTCCATGTGTAAAATACTGTGATTGAATCACATAGTTGTTAAGCATAGTCCAGCTCTGAAACTATTCTGGGATTAGCTCTTCAGTGACATAGTTTAACAGAATCTTCTGGAGTCAGCAACAACTCAAAATAGGTGAAATAATTGGAGTAATTGAAACTTATTGACTGAATGTTTGTCACCCCTCTGCACCTCCCCGCCAAATTTACATGGTGAAGCCCTAACCATGTGGCTGTATCTGGAAATAAGGCTTTGAAAGAGGTGATTAAGGTTAAATGAAGAGAGTTCACAAGGATGGGCCCTGATCTGATAGTAGTAGTGTCCCTATAAAAAGTGGAAGAGGCCAGGCATGGTGGCTCATGCCTGTAATCCCAGCACTTTGGGAGGCCAAGGCGAGCAGATCACTTGAAGTCAGAAGTTTGAAACCAGCCTGGCTGATATGGCAAAACCCTGTCTCTACTAAAAATATAAAAATTAGGCAGTCGTGGTGGTGGGCATGGTAGCGGGCACCTGTAGTCCCAGCTATTTGGGAGGCTGAGGCAGGAATCGCTTGAACCTGGGAGGCAGAGGTTGCAGTGAGCCGAGATTGCACCACTGCACTCCAGCCTGGGCAACAGAGTGAGACTCCATCTCAAACAAAAACAAAAAGTGGAAGAGACACGAGATCTCTCTCTCCTTGCATGTGCATTCAGAAGAAATACCATGTGAGGAAACAGGGAGAAGGTGGCCATCTGCAAGCCAGGAAGGGAGTCTTCACCAGAAACTGAACACTGCTGGAACCTTGAGCCAGTAGAAAATAAATGTCTATTGTTTAAGCCTACTCAGTCTGTGGTCTTTTGTTATGGCAGTCCTAGCAAACAGGGGTCTTTGGCAAGACCGCAAACTGGAAGCTTGAAGGACAGTCAGCCACAGATGTTTGGTTTGGTTGACTTAATTTCTTTTTCTTTTTTTTTTGAAATGGAGTTTCGCTCTTGCTGTCCAGGCTGGTGTCCCCATCTCAGCTCACCGCAACCTCCATCTCCTGGGTTCAAGCGATTATCCTGCCTCAGCCTCCTGAGTAGCTGGGATGACAGGCATGCGCCACCACACCTGGCTAATTTTGTATTTTTAGTAGAGATGGGATTTCTCCATGTTGGTCAGGCTGGTCTCGAACTCCCGACCTCAGGCAATCCGCCTGCCTTGGCCTTCCAAAGTGCTGGGATTACAGGCATGAGCCACCATGCCCAGCCGATTTCTTCTTTTTTTTTTTTTTAAGACACAGAGTCTCACTGTCACTCAGGGTGGAGTGCAGTGGTGTGATCTTGGCTCACTGCAACTTGACCTTCTGGGCTCAAGCAATCCTCCCATCTCAGCCTCCCAAGTGACTGGGACTACTGGCAAACAGGTGCCACTGCACCTGGCTAATTTTTTGTATTTGTTTTGTAGAGATGAGGTTTTGCCATGTTGTCCAGGCTGGTCTCCAACTCCTGGGCTCAAGCAATCTGCCTGCCTCAGCCTCCCAAAGTATTGGCATTACAGATATGAGCCACTGCACTTGACAAATATTTTTTAAACTTTGAATTTGAATGCTTAATAATTGCAGATGTGAGATAATTTAAAAAATAGTAAGAGGTTATTCAGCGTCACTCTGACAGCATATTTGAAAACCAAGAGAAACAGATTTCTCACAAAACATGTAATACCAAAATTGACAGAGGAAAAAGTGGAAAATTTAAATGGACTAAGTTCTACAGAAGAGATGGAAAGGTAATAAGATTGGATGTTGAAGAAAGTACCAGGATGAAATGGCTGAATAGCTGAATTTTATGTAACCTTTAAAGCATGGATAATTACAATGTTAATTCAAATCCTTGCTACTTAAATTGTGGTCTACGGACCAGCAGCCGTGGCATCGCTGCGAACTTGTTGGAAATGCAGAATCTCAGGCTCACCCCAGACCTGCTAAATTAGACTTTGCATATTAACAGGATCCCTAGATGATCTGTATGCACATTAATGTTTGACAAGCACTGGACTAGGCCACTAGTTCTCAACCTTGGCTGTACATTGGAATCATCTATGGAGTTTTTAAAAAGTACTAGTATTTGTGTTTCACCCTCAGATTCTGATTATCGATCAGGTGCATGGACTAGCATCTGCATTTTATGATACTCCCTAGGTAATTAAGAATCAGAGATTTAAACTGGACCATACAAAAATATGAAAGGTTTTAAGAAATAAAGCTGACAAAGAATGTGACATACTAATTACAGTAACACATTACTGTAAAATACAGTAATGACAAAAATAATACAACAAGATCAAGCACAGTTTATTCCAGGAATACAAGCAGTAGCATGCTGGATTCACAACTAGCTATCTGAGAAAGAAGAAAACCGCCCCAATTTATAGCATTTGCCAATTCCCATGGTGTAAATACTCCCATCACGGCCAATTTTAAGCTACCAGCATGACCTCAACAACTTTAAACAAATTCCTGAAAATTTAATAATTGGCTGTCACCTGGTAAGAGCCAGCTACAGCACACCGCTAGAGGTTGATTCAAAATTAGGAAATCCACCAATGAATCCACTCTGTTAATACATTAAAGAAGTAAAACCAGGCCAGGCATGGTGGGTCACGCCTGTAATCCCAACGCTTTGGGAGGCTAAGTGGGAGGATCACTTGAGCCCAGGAGTTTGACACCAGCCTAGGCAAGGGAGACCTCGCCTCTACAAAAAATAAAATAAAATAAATTAGCCAGGTGTAATAGCGCATGCCTGTGGTCCCAGCTTCTCAGGAGGCTGTGGCAGAGGGATGCTTGAGCCTGGGTGTTTGAGGCTGCAGTGAGCTGTGATTGTGCCATTGTACTCCAGGCTGGGTGACAGAGCAAGACCTTGTCTCCAAAAAAATAAATAAATAAAATAAAAGGGAAGTAAAACCACATTATCATATCAAAAATGTTTAGGATTTGAGGCCTTCTGTAGGTTTGATCTCCACTTTGGCACAGACATCATCATGCTGTATCGTCTCTCACCCAGCTGGCTGCACCTATTCCCTGACTCGCTGGTCCCTATGGCATGTGAGTTTGTGATACCTGCTTTACTGCCAAGTCAAGTCTAACCTAGTCTTATCCCCCCGTATTCCAGGCAAGGCCTAGACTTGATCATGTCCTTTGTAGGTAGATGATGAAGATGTTATTGTCACCTCCTCATCTTTCAGCAGGCAGAGCTGGCAAAGGAAACGGTACTTCCTTAATCCATGGATACACTGCTTCAGACAAGTTTGCCCTTTCTCAACTCTGAAAGGAACGGAAGAGAGAAGGCAGGGGCCCACCTAGTGTGCCTGGGAAACACAGGGATGGGTTTCCTGTTCCTGCAAATGTTCTTGGCGTGCCTTTAGATCCCCCATGATTCACCCACTCTGCCCTGCATTTCCTTACTTCTTTGGCTTAATCATGCCAGTTTCTCCTTCTAGAATGCCGAGCCTCTAATATCTTTCCCGTAAGTTCCCATTTTGTTTAGATATCCAATGTCAATTTTAATTGCTACTGAACTGGACTGTGATGGGGCAACTGTGGAAGCAGGGGTCTGGCTGGAGGCTGCTGCTGAGGCCAGAGGCAGTGGACCACAGCAAACCATCTGGTGATGCCAGGCTGTGCTTAATCATTGAAGTCATTCCTCAAAGATATCTCCACAGTCAGAACCTATCGCTGCAACCCAGATACATAGCAATTACTTGCCAGAAAAAAAATTTATGCTGAAACAATAGTAATTACAGGGCAATCCCTCTCATGCCTTCCTTGCTAACTCCTGATTGCCTTAACAATTAACTCCTACAAGCAAGTGATCTGCTCAGCCCACCTGCTCTTGCATTACGGGATGCTTGAATTTCTCAAGGCCAATGCTGCTCTTATGCATGACCCCCTCTGCCAGTATTGTAGACTTTCATTACCAACTTGTTATTATACAGTATCAGAGGCGTGGGGATCAGATAGATTCTTGGAGGTAAGTTTCACCTACTACAACCTATTTGATTTCCTTCACATAACTTATCTCAAATCCTTTACTAGTCTAGAGAAATGTTTTCACTCACTCATGGATCCATTTATTTATCCAATAGACAGTTGTTGAATTCCCACTTTGTGCCACATCCCATGATGGGTAGGAGCTGGAGATACTGAGGCAAAAGTCAAGACCATACCCTCCAGTGGGGAGTGGCTATCTGCAGATTTCCTCATGAATGGCTCTTTAGTGGGCACCAATGCCACACTTAGTTTGTAGACCACAGAACTCTACTTCCTTTCTCTTAGAAGGAAGGAAGCAAAAATTTACATTGATTATTTATTCTGTGTCAGGTACTAATTAAGATGCTTCTACATACCTTACCTCCTTCAGTTTTCACGGCAGCCTGGGAAGTGGTGATGACGGTTCTGATTTTCATCGATGAGTATGTTAAGACTGGGAGAGGTTACACTGTTTGCCTAGTATTATCTGGTCAGTAACAGAGCTAGGACTGAAAGCAGCCTGCTTCACTCAAAATTCCATGCTTTTTGCCCAGCACCATAGTTTAAATTTACAGAGGCAGATCAAACTCAAACAGAACAGAAGGCAGGGTGCAGTGGCTCATGCCTGTAATCCCAACACGTAGGGAGGCAGAGGCAGGAGGTTTGCTTGAGCCCAGGAGTTTGAGACCAGCCTGGGCAACATGGCAAAACCCTGTCTCTACAAAAAATACAAAAATTGGCCGAGCATGGAGGCACGTGCCTGTAGTCCCAGCTACCTGGGAGGCTGAGGTGGGAGGATCAGTTAAGCCCAGGAGGTGAAGGTTGCAGTGAGACCCTGTTCTCCACAAAAAGGAAAAAGACAAAAACTAACAGAAGGGAAGAGCTTGGACACTTGCTCAGCCCCTCTTTGGGCAAAGAAGAGAGAGGTCTGTCCTGTAAGGACAAGAAGAAAAGCATATGTCAGGGAAGATAAAGTCTCAACAACAATGAACAAATTATGAAAATAATAAACACGAAGGGACATGATGGAAAACCCCCAACAAGCTCACTTCACAGAATGAGTCATCCCCAAAAGAATTTGGAGTAAGATTAGAAAATGGATAGGCTTTACATGATGATAAAGTGTGTCTGAGGGGGAAAAAAAATGGATAGGTGTTGGAATCCTTGCTCATCTGAACTCTTTACTGGAAGGCAGAGCCCTGCCAGAGGCTTTGTATTTAGCATCCAGCTGCCTGGGGGAGGTAGGAGGGTTCTTTTTTTTTCTTCAAATTTTACATTTGTTGATTTTTTTAAAATTTGTTGTTTGTTTGAGACAGAGTCTCACTCTGATGCCCAGGCTGGAGTGCAGTGTTGGGATCACAGCTTACTGCAGCCTCAACCTCCTGGACTCAAGCCATCCTCCCGCCTCAGCCTTCTGAGTAGCTAGGACTATAGGCACGTGCCATTATGCCTGGCTAATTTTTTTTAAAAATTATTTTATAGGTTGGACGTGGTGGCTCATGCCTATAATCCCAGCACTTTGAGAGGCCGAGATGGGTGGATCGCTTGAGGCCAGGAGTTTGAGACCAGCCTGGTCAATATAGTGAGATGCCATCTCTATTTTTAAAAAAAATTTTATAAAAAATAATTTTTCTTTTGGTAGAGATAGAGTCTCACTATGTTGCTCAGGCTGATCTCGAACTCCTGGGCTCAAGCAATCAGGAGGGTTCTCCTGGGACTCTTAGTTAAAGCCAACCAAATGATGCCCTTAGCTCCAGGGTCAGGAAGAGGAACACTCTAGTTCCCTGCATCTCAGCCTGGGTACCTCTACCACGGGATTATTGGCAGGCCAGAGGGCATAAGAAGCCACAGAAAAAAGAAGATAGGTTTTTAAGGCATATCCATTTTACTTAAAAATTTGGGCAAAGCCAATAACATTATTTCATTAACATTAATGCATTATGAGAGAGACAGCAGCTATACATGACATTTTAAAATAAACACAAGTCTTCCATTTTGATGAAGACTGTTACCAGACTCCCAAAGACCTGGGGTAACTATTGAGACACTCCATACAGCTAATTTCATACTTGTGTCAAATGAACTACTCGCTTCCACACCCCAATCAAGGGCTAGTTTTGTTTTTGTTTTTGTTTTTGTTTTTTGAGAGTCTTGCTCTGTTGTCTAGACTGGAGTGCAGTGGTGTGATCTCAGCTCACTGCAACCTCTGCCTTCCAGGCTCAAGTGATCCTCCCACCTCAGCCTCCTGAGTAGGTGGGACCACAGACACGTGCCACCACACCCGGATAATTTTTGGATTTTTGGTAGAGATGGGGTTTCACCATGTTGCCCAGGCTGGTCTCAAACTCCTGAGCTCAAGTGATTTGCCCGCCTTGGCCTCCCAGTACTGGGATTACAGGCGTGAGCCACCGTGCCCCGCCAAGTCTTGGGCTAGGTATTCTGCCCTATCCTATTTAAGATGAATAAAATATTGCTCATGTCGTAGGCCCTAATATATGTTCACAATAACTATACTAGAATGTATACACTAGAGTAGAGGCGTGTGGGAAGAGTTATGGGAGCTCAGAGGAGGAGTGATTAATTCTGTCTGGGATAGGGGCTCTCGGGGAACTTTGAAAACCATTTCAGCTGAAGGAAGGACTTTGCCATGGAGGCCTCACTCACTGCAGGCAGAGGGGGCAGAGAGCCGCTGAAATGCAAAGTGCATGGTACATGCAGGGAAGCAGGACTTTTGCTGTGACTGGAATGTAGGGAACATGGGAGGCACTGCTCAGAGGTTAGTAAGTGCATGGTAAACTCACCTGATGGCAATAACGTCAGCAAACCCTGAGAATGACTCTGTATAGCAGATGCACCTGAATGCAGTTTGGAGTTCTGAGCCAAGGAATCCAGGGGTGGCCAACCTGAAGATTCATTCCTTATCTCTAAGGAACATCTGAGCCCTGGCCTATCCCATGGATCTGGGATGTACAGGGGTCAAAGCCCTTTGTTTTGGGAATATGTGAAGGTTGCCAGGTGGAGGTTGTTGAGGGAGGGTGCCGAGTGAAAATGATACATAAGCCATGTGCTTTCCGTAAGTGATTGATGGTTCTCCTGTCCAGCCCACCACCACTGGGCTCTCTTCCCTGTATGTAAGGCCCCAGTAAAGCCCCATGTCTCATTTGCTGGCTCGAGGTCTCTTCTTTGGTCTCTTGAGCCTGGGGCTATCCCCATTGGAGTGGATAGGAGTTCGGCACAACGGTAAGGTAAATTATTGGGTTCAAGTCACATGGGCCTTGAATGTCATCTTGGACACCCTACACTTCCTATCAGGGACAATGGCTGGCAGGCATAGACAGACTTAGAATTGGTGAGAAACACAAAGTTGTTTTAGAAACTTAATGAAGGTGAGGCTGGGCGCAGTGGCTCATGCCTGTAATCCCAGCACTTTGGGAGGCTGAGGTGGGCGGATCACTTGAGGTCAGGAATTCGAGATCAGCCTGGCCAACATGGCAAAACCCTGTCTCTACTAAAAATGCAAAAATTAGCCATGTGTTTTGGCAGGTGCCTGTTATCCCAGCTACTTGGGAGGCTGAGGCAAGAGAATCACTTGAACCCGGGAGGCGGAGGTTGCAGTGAGCCCAGATGGCGCCACTGCACTCCAGCCTGGGCAACAGAGCAAGTGTTGGGGTGATCAGACCCAACACCAGTTCGTGGGGGTGACAAAGTCCGGTGGAGTCAAAGGATTGAGAAAAGACAGTTTGAGAGAGATGAGTGGGACCAGGGGACCATCGCGATTGTGGAGGCTGCAAAGGCCCCATGCTCTGGGAGCCCACACTATTTATTGGTAATCCAACAAAGAAACAGGTGGTGAGAATGTGGAGGTCAAAAGGGTGCGTTGCATTAAGCACATGATTTACAGCTGTGATGGTTTAGCATTTGCTCTGCTACTTGAGATAATGGAGAGCAGGTTCTTTTAACTCAAGATACAATCGATCCTGGGAGAGCAACGAGCAAGGAGCCAGCAAGTCTAGACACATTCCAGAGCCACGAGCCCTGGAGTCTATCCAAGCCATGAGGGATTTTATGCCCTGGGCTTAGATTATGTTGTGCCAGGGCAGCCTTCCACCCTTTAGCACAGAGCTTGGTGTTCCAAAGGCCACAAGGAGTTTTAGACCATGGACCCTGGACACGTTCCAAGACTCTTTTACATTATGTCAGACGTGCAAGCCCTGCCTCAGCTTCTCCCAACACTCAGCTTTTCCCAACAGCAAGACTCCATCTCAAAAGAAAAAAAAAGAAACAGAAAGTTAATGAAGGTGGAGGTTGCCTCTGATGTCTATCTTGAAAGCATCCAGCCATTTGGTCAACTCAGCCTATTCCTGTCAGTGTCTAATGACAGAGAATTGACACTTTTATGGAGCCCATTCTCACGTGTAATCACTCCCATAGAATGGATGCATATACAGTTGGATATTTGGATAACAGCTCTGAATTGCACAGATCTACTTAACCGTGGAGTTTTTACCACCCATTGTGGATGGAAAATACAGCGTTCATGAGATGCAAACCCCTGTAAATGGAGGCCTGTTTGTATACGCAGGTTCTGCAGATCTGACTGCAGAGCTTGAGTATGCCCAGATTTAGGTATTTTGGTGTACTCAGGGGTCCTGGAACCAGTTCCCTGTGTATACCAAAGGAGCACTGTATTGCTGTGTCACAGTTTGGGGGAACATTTTGATAAGTGCATTTCAGTATAATTGGTTTCCTTTGTAATCCTATGTGTTTTCTTTTATGCACTTAAAAATACTATTCTGGCTGGGCATGGTGGTTCATGCCTGTAATCCCAACACTTTAAGGGGCCAAAGCAGGAGGACTGCCTGAGTCCGGGAGTTTGAGACTAGCCTGGGCAACACAGTAAGACCTTGTCTCTACTAAAAATAATAATAATGAAAAAATTAGCTGGTTGTGGTGGTGCGTGCCTGTGATCCCAGCTACTCAGGAGTCTGCGGTGGGAGGACTGTTTGAGCTCGGGAGGTCGAGGCTGCACTGAGCTGTGTTTGTACCACTGCACTCCAGCCTGGGTGACAGAGCCAAGAAGTTGTCTCAAAAAAAAAAAAAAAAAAGTACTATTCTGGGAAAGAATCCACTCATTATAGAATTCTTCACCCAACCACCAAGGAGGTTCATTGCTCAAAGCCTTCAAGCATTTGAAGATGTTACATAGACCATCTTCTTTCCTTTCTCTACACATGGTAACCCCCAAATCAAGCAGGCAGCTCTCAGATACCCTCACATGCTCAGGGCTGTGTCCTTGAATCTGGAACCAGGCTGCCTGGGCTGGAATCCCAATTCCAGCATTCTAGCCCTTGGATTAGAAAGGGCTAGAAAGCACTGGGATGTTCTTAAACACCACCTTTCTAGCCCTATGCCCTTGGTCAAATTAGTTTAAATGCTCGGTTTCTCCTCTGTAAAATGAGGACAGTAACAGCACTCATCTCACGTGGTTGTTGTGAGAATGAAATCAGTTACCGCATGTAAACCTTCAGCAGTGCCCTGCTCTCTGCCATGGCGTGTTTATGGAATGTTAATAGCATGAGGCGGGAGGCGGACAACCTCAGGCGAACCTGCTAGAGGGCACCCCCTTGTGTATGACTCTGATCACTGTGGTTTCTTTTCTCTGGGTCTGAGTCAGACACAGAGATTTCTGTTAAAAAGTAGCAATAGGAGGCTGGGCACAGCGGCTCACACCTGTAATCCCAGCACTTTGGGAGGCCAAGGCGGGCGGATCACCTGAGGTCAGGAGTTCAAGACCAACCTGGCCAACATGGAGAAACCCTGTCTCTACTAAAAATACAAAAATTAGTCAGGTGTGATGTCAGGCGTGTGGAATCTCAGCTACTCGGGAGGCTGAGGCAGGAGAATTGCTTGAACCTGGGAGGCGGAGGTTACAGTGAGCTAAGATCACGCCACCGCATTCCAGCCTAGGTGACAGAGTGAGATGCTGTTTCAAAAAAAAAAAGTCAAAGGATCCCTTTAAAGTCTATTCCTATCTAAAATTTTGTAGATGTCTTAGTTCGGTTAGCCCAAAAGTGGACCCTGAGGCAAAGGATTTTGGGCAAATCATCTATTTAAGAAATGATTCTAGGAGGCAGAGTAAGGAAGTGAGACAGGGAAGAGAGAAAAGCCACATAGGGCACATTGCCGAGCAGGATACCTCAGAGGACAACTGGGCCGCAGTCCTGTGAAGGCCCCTCTGAGAGACTGTGCAGCGGTGAGGAGGCTGGCGGGTGGACTCACCAGCTCCTAGCCCTCATCTGTTGAGGCTGTCCTGGGGTGTTACCTCCCAGCAATTCTGGCCAGTCCTGTGTGTGGGCTCAGAGGAGCCCTCAGGCATTGAAACACAGGCACGTGAGGGAAGAAGCCAGCAGGGACAGCAATTGTCTTCCAAAGCTGCATCTGACAGTGCACTGACACAGTTCGCTTCAGTGGGGGATGGCTGAGCTAAACACGGCTGTCAATAATAAGCAAAAGAGACATGAAACGTTAGTTTTGACTTAATTTGATTAAAAACGTAACTGAAAGAGGTTTGACCCCAGCCTGGGTCTTTCAACTTCTCCTTCCTCCCCATACCTACTAATCACAGTCTGACTTTCACCGGGTGATTCCTTTAGCAATTTATATGTGGTTTCATCTTTAAGGATGTGCTTATGAGAAGCTCCAGCCACCCACGCTTCAAAGTTCACATATGATTAATGGGTAAACTTTTCAGTGGTTTGAGGAAGGTAGTCAGAAGATACTCATTATTTTAGTATCTGCTCATTAGCAAGGAAAATTGGCTTCCTAAAGTGTTTCTGTCTTTTTTTTTTTCCTGTTATTTAAACAAATAGCATGACTTGTAATGCAAAATCTTAGGACCGTGGGATGTTAGATTCATCTGGTTAGAGTTCAGTATAAAGTAGAGCTGTAAGAGCTTGCATTTTGTTAAATAAATGAATGACTGTCTTGTTAAATTCCATAAAAAGCAGTTACCTCTGTTCAGTTTTCCAGGTGAGAGTGTGCATGCTGGTCAGCAAGTTTATGATCATTACTTTTAAAAACATTTTATGGTAAAGAAAATGAAATACAGAATGCCACATTTGTATCTACACTATGAGTACATAATGTATAAATTATGTAAGTTTATAGACAAGAACAGGAAGGTAAAATGAGGAAATGAGTACTTTTGCCAACACAGTCAATTTTCTTTTAAAAACAAGGAGGAAAGAGAGATGAGCAGTATCCTTAAAATCAATCCCAGTGTGACATGGAACTTTCAGGGTGTTTTTTATTAACCTTGGCAACTTTTCTAGGCTCAGATCAAGTTACTGAGGAATTTCCCCAGATTTTCTACCACTCATTTTTGTTTTCTCTAAAAGTAGGCTGAAAAATTGAGACTGCCAAGAAAAGCACAGTGCATAAGAATGAACCTCAAAAACAATATGCTAAAGTGAAAGAAGCCACAAAAGACCACATATTGTATGATCTAATTTATATGAAATTTCTAGAAAAGACAAAACTATAGATATAGAAAGCAGATCAGGAGTTACCTAGTGGTGGCTGAGAGCAGGGATAGAATACAAATGGCACAAGGAAAGTTTTTAGGGCAATGAAATTGTCTTAAACAGAAATGTGGTGATGGTTGCATGACAATAAATTTAGTAAAACTCACCAAACTGGATTTTATGATATATACATTATACAATAAATCTGTTTAAAAGAGAGACTGAGGCTGCGTGTGGTGGCTGACACCTGTAATCCCAGCACTTTGGGAGGCTGAGGCAGGCGGATCACTTGAGATTAGGAGTTTGAGACCAGCCTGGCCAACATGGTGAAACCCTATCTCTACTAAAATACAAAAATTAGCTGGGCATGGTGTTGTGTACCTGTAACCCCAGCTACTCAGGAGGCTGAGGCACGAGAATTGCTTGAACCAAGGAGGCGGAGGTTGCAGTGAGCTGAGATCACACCATTGCACTCCAGCCTGGTGACAGAGTGAGACTCCATCTAAAAAAAAAAAAAAAAAAGGGCCGAGCACGGTGACTCATGCCTGTAATCCCAGCACTTTGGGATTACAAAAAAAAAAATGGCCTCCTGATGTTTCTTCCAACAAATTGTCTTCCTGAGTACTTACTATATAGACAAATAGCAGCAGCACTGTCCAACAGAAATACAATGGGAGCCACAGATACACTTTTTTCTTTCCAGAGATGAGGTCTTGCTCTATTGCCCAGGCTGGAGTGCAGTGGTGTGATCATAGCTTACCATAACCTCAAACTCCTGGGCTTAAGGGGTCTTCCCACTTTAGCCTCCTAAGTAACTGGGACTCAGGTGCATGCCATCATGCCCCTAAATTTTTTATTTATTTTTATTTTGTAGAGACAGGGTCTTGCTGTGTTGCCCAGGCTGAAGTGCAGCTTGCACCATCATGGCTCATTGCAGTGTTGACCTCCCAGGATCAAGTGATCCTTCTGGCTCAGCCTCCCGAAGTGCTCATATTACAGGTGGCCACTGTGCCCAGCCAAAACAAATTTTTTTTAATTAAAAAAATTGTAGACCAGGTGTGTGGCTCACGCCTGTAATCTCAGCACTTTGGGAGGCTGAGGCAGGTGGATCACTTGAGGTCAGGAGTTTGAGACCAGCCTGGCCATTGTGGTGAAACCCCATCTCTACTAAAAATACAGATATTAGGCAGGTGTGGTGGCATGCGCCTGTAATCCCAGCACTTTGGGAGGCTGAGGCTTGAGGATCACTTGAGGCCAGGAATTCTGAGACCCACCTGGCCAATGTGGTGAAACCCTGTCTCTACCAAAAAATACAAAAATTAGCTGAGCGTGGTGGCATGCGCCTGTAGTCCCAGCTGCTCGAGAGGCTGAGGCAGGAGAATCACTTGAACTTGGAGGTTGCAGTGAGCTGAGATCGCGCCACTGCACTCCAGCCTGGGTGAGAGAGTGAGACTCTCTCAAAAAAAAAAAGAAAGAAAGAAAAAGAAAAAAAGAAACAAAGGTATCTGTTGAATTCTGTTCTGTAAATGCACACTCAACGCTGATCCTTACCTTTTTTAAGAATTAATTTTTCACGGCTGGGCGTGGTGGCTCATGCTTGTAATTGCAGCGCTTTGGGCGGCAGGCGGATCACTTGAGCCCAGGAGTTTGAGACCAGCCTGGGCAACATGGCGAAACTTCGTCTCTGTAAAATTTTTAAAAAAAAAATTAGCTTGGTGTGGTGGGACATTCCTGTAGTCTCAGCTACTTGGGAGGCTGAGGCGGGAGGATACCTGAGCCTGGGAGGCCGAGGCTGCAGTGAGCCATGATTGTGTCACTGCACTCCAGTCTGGATGATAGAGTGATAGCGTGAGACTGTGTCTCAAAAAAAAAAAAAAAAAATTAGTTTTTCACATGATCCTGATAATTTTTTTTTAATGTACTCAGTGAGTTTCATTTTCAGGTCTTGGGAGTTAAATTGCTATGGTCGGCTCATAAAGCAGGTGTTGGAAATTAACATTGCAGAAAAGCATTTTGAGACTCAGAATTATGAAGAAAGGATTTTAACTAAGATGAAAGGTTATATCCTTTATCAGGAAACTGCATCCCATCCTTGCAAAAAGACAGCTGTGATAGTCTACAGTAGTTGACCTGATTATTATTTTTTGAGACGGAGTCTTACTCTGTTGGTCAGGCTGGAGTGCAGTAGCGTGATCTCAGCTCACTACAACCTCTGCCTCCCGGGTTCGAGCAATCCTCCCACCTCAGCCTCCCCAGCAGCTGAGATTGCAGTCACCCACCATCATGCCCAGCTGATTTTTGTATTTTTGTAGATATGGGGTTTCACCACGTTGGCCAGGCTTGAACTCCTGACCTCAGTTGATTTGCCCTCCTTGGCCTCCCAAAGTGCTGGGATTACAGGTGTGAGCCAGCATGCCCAGCCTGATCTGATTATTATAATTATTGAACTAAAGCTACTAGTATTAGATGGTAGAAATTACAATGTCACAGATAAAGACCTACAATTTGGGAAAATCTTGGGGTCTTTGATGGGCTTTTTTGATTTGGTTTGCTTGGGAGTGGGATAGAGGTTGTCCACTTTTGGATAATGCGACCATTTGAAGTACAGTCAGGATTCTTTTTTTAAAATTATTTTTATGTTGAGACAGGGTCTTACTCTGTCACCCAGGCTGAAGTATAGGTGTGTGTGTCATCATAGCTTTCTGAAACCTCCAACTCCTGGGCTCACATGATCCTCTTTCCTCGGCCTCCCAAGTAGCTGGGACTGCAGACACGCACCACCACACGTGGCTAATTTTTGTATTTTTTGTAAAGATGGGGTCTCTGTATGTTGCCCAAGCTAGTCTTGAACTCCTGGGCTCAAGTGATCGTCCCACCTCAGCCTCCCAAAATGTTGGAATTGCAGACGTGAGCCACCACACCCAGTCCCAGTCAGGATTCTTATTCTGCAGCTATATTGGTGGGTTCCAATCTGCTATCAATTCCAGGAGAGTCTGATATATGCTAAAAATTATTTACCATCCAATTTTGACAATTGTACTTGTAGCTGACCGCCCAGCTTTCTTGTGGAATTAAAATTACTCTGCAGGAGAACAGAGGATTTTTAAAGTGGCGAAACTATTCTGTATGACACTATAATGGTGGATATGTAACAGTCATTTGTCAAAACCCATAGAACATACAGCACCAGGAGTGACCTCTAAGGTACTATGGACTTCAGGTGATAGTGATGTGTCAGTGTAGGTGCATGGATTGTAACAAAGGCACCAGTGTGCTGCAGGATGTTGATGGAGTGGAGGCTGTCCATGTTTGGGGACAGGGGTACATCTCTATACCCTAAGCCTCTATACTTGGAATGCTCTATGCTTTCCACTCAAGTTTGCTGTGAACCTAAAACTGCTCCATAAAATAAAGTTTATTATAAAAATTGGTCTGTGGCTGTAGCATCTGGAAAAATATTACTTCCCCAGAAACACTATAACTACACCTCCTCTGTAGACCCACATATCTAAGTAAAATGGTAAAAAAACAGCCTTATAAAATCAGCAGGAGGCTGGGCGCGGTGGCTCACGCCTGTAATCCCAGCACTTTGGGAAGCCAAGGTGGGCAGATCACCTGAGGTTGGGAGTTCGAGACCAGCCTGACTGACATGGAGAAACCTTGTCTCTACTAAAAATACAAAATTAGCTGGGCATGGTGGTACATGCCTGTAATCCCAGCTACTTGGGAGGCTGAGGCAGGAGAATCACTTGAACCTGAGAGGCAGAGTTTGCAGTGAGCTGAGATCGCGCCATTGCACTCCAGCCTGGGCAACAAGAGCAAAACTCCGTCTCAAAAAAAAAAAAAACAAAAGTCAGCAGGAAGGAAGGCAAGTGATTGATTTCTCAGTTATTGTTGGTTGTTTTTGTTCTTGGAAATCCCCTTTGGTAACGGTGAGTCTTTGTTTTATTGTTCCTTTCCCTGGGTTACAATTATGCCCTTGGAAAGCAGGTGTTCTTACTGGGCGCAAATGCTTGTTTTCCCTATCTCCCTATCTCCTCCTCTTCATCCCCTTGTTTTCCTTCTCTCATGCAAATAGATCCACAGTTGGGGGAAGTGTTGTTATTAGGTCTACTGGGATTATTAGGGGCATTGTTCCATGGCAGGACCCTCGCACAAATGTCAGGAAGGGGGAGAAGGCCTTCCCTTGGCCTTCACCCTTGGTCCCTGAAATGATTCCAGACCACCTCCCACTCCATAAGCCTGTCTTGCCTGTTTTTTTCTCTTACTCTGTAACCTCAGTTCAGGTTTCCCAGGTCTCTATGATCTGTTTTCAACATTTGTCTCAGTCTCAACCCACAGCCTTTTCCCATTACACATTCCACCTCCAGCCTCCAGCGCTAGGACCGGGAAGAAGAAATACCTCCACACCACAATCAGCCAGGCTGCTCCTCTCCAGCCCAGGCCCTGGCCTAGATTAACAGTCAGCCTGAAGGCTTAACTTTGTTACCAATAGTCAGAACTGAATTCCCACTTCTTCCACATGAAGGACAGCTCTTCTTAATAGTGACAGGTTCCCTTTTCCAGGAGCAACTTTATTTCTGAATGTTAAAAAAAAACCCCAAACACTTCCTTTTTAATTCAGAAACAAAGACTCCAGTGAGTCTCCCATGGTTGAAAAAGAAAAAAAAAAAGAGGAAAAAAGTAAAAAAAAGAAAAAAAATTTTTTAAAACTCACCTCCTAACATGTGCATTGATGCATATCTTAGCTTAGGTTATCCCAAAGACGAAATCTCAGAAAGACCTGGGTCTTGGGTATAGATAGCTTTTTGAAAGGGGACCCTAGGAAGTAGGAGTTAAGGAGTAGGGAGAGTAAGAGGAGGAGTAGGGAGAGTAAGAGGAGAAATAGGCCAGGCAAGGATGTAGGATTCCACTGGTTCCTGTTGCGGGCAGCCAGGGCTCACTGTTGCTGGAGACCTGTGGAGAATACACCTCAGAATTGTGCCTCTGAAGGGCCAGAGGCTGGGGCCTTCCCCCACTGGTTTCTTATTCCTCCAATGATTGGGAGTGTTGACATGCCCGGGCACTTAGGGCTGCTCTGTGTATGGACTAAGTGAACTACTGAAGCTTCCAATAAAACCTGAGTTGGAAAAGTTGAGGGACTCCACAGCTGCCTGAGGTGGGCGCTGCCAGCGTGCATGGAGAATGTCCACTCTGGCTGCAGCTGAAACCCTAGTCAGGCTGAGGGGAAGTGGTCTACACTCCAAACAGCATCTGCTGCTATTCATGAATAGGAATTTAAAGCTATCTTCTTTACCCAACTCAAAAAAACCTCAAACATTTAAAAATGGAAACAGCCCCTTGACCTGATAGAGCTTCTGCTGCTGTTTCTTCACATCAAGAAGATGGGATGCTCAAAGCCAGCTTGTGCATCATCAGGGCCAATGGAAAGACCCTTTCCACTGGAGTTCCTCCTCTTCCAGCTCTTGCATTTCTATGTACAGTGAATTTCACCAGCTAAAGTCAGACCAAAAAGATGGTCATTCCTAGCCCTGTTGTCACTCTTCGTCAGAGTCTTTAAGGAAGTTGAGGTGGGCAAGGCTTGGAGACAGAATTTTTTCCTCTTGTCTAAGCTGAGGTTTTGAAAACATTCAAAGCCAAGCTGCAAACTGGTCCAAATTGGGACTGTAGTTATTTCTACAGTAGAGCAGTTCCCAATGTCTTCAAAGATAGAGAAGAGGAGAGTAGAAGTTCTTCCTAATCAGAAATAACTCATTGGGAAGGACTTATAGGGCAACCAAAGCAAGTCTGGATGACTGCTGCGAGGTTTGGGACTGGGTAGAGGAGAGGTTGGGGTTGCTTAGCCAGAAGGCCTTGTGATCCCATTTATGGGAGACACTTTACTATGCCGACAGATGACCTTCTGAAGCCTGTGACTCTCAGCTGGGCGTGGTGATTCGCACCTGGTCATCCTAGTACTTTGAAAGGCCAAGGCAGAAGGATTGCTTGAAGCCAGGGATTTGAGATCAGCCTGGGTAACATAGTGAAACTCTGTCTCTACAAAAAATTTTTTAAATGGCTGGACACGGTGGTATGTGCCTGTAATGCCAACTACTTAAGAGGCTGAGGTGGAAGGATTGCTTAATCCGTAAGTTCAAAGCTGCAGTGAGCTATGATCACACCACTGCGGTCCAGCCTGGGCGACAGAGCAAGATCCTTTCTTAACAATAAATAAATAACAAAATAACTAAAGTCTGTGACCTTCAAGGGTACTTGCTTAAAATTATACTGCCTACTGTAGGATTCCCCAGACAGCAAGATCATTTTTTCTTTTTTTTGAAATAGGATTTTGTTCTGTAACCCAGGCTAGAGTGCAGCGGCGTGATCATAGCTCACTTCAGCCTCGATCTCCTAGGCTCAAGTGATCCTCCCACCTCAGCCTCCCAAGTAGCTGGGACTGCAGGTATGTGCCACCATGCCTGGCTTTTTTTTTTTTTTTTTTTTTGAGACGGAGTCTTGCTCTGTCACCCAGGCTGGAAGTGCAGTGGCATGATCTCTGCTCACTGCAAGCTCCGCCTCCTGGGTTCATGCCAGTCTCCTGCCTCAGCCTCCCGCGTAGCTAGGACTACAGTCGCCCACCACCACACCTGGCTAATTTTTTGTATTTTTAGTAGAGACGGGGTTTCACCGTGTTAGTCAGGATGGTCTCGATCTCCTGACCTCGTGATCTGCCCACCTCAGCCTCCCAAAGTGCTGGGATTACAGGCGTGAGCCACTACTCCCGGCGCTATTTTTTTATTAAAGTTTTTAGCAAGAAATGAGGTCTTGCTATATTGCCCAGGCTGGTCTTGAACTCCTGAACTCAAGTGATCCTCCCATCTTAGCCTCCCAAACTGCTGGGATTACAGACATAAACGGCTACACCCAGCCAAGATTATTCTTTTGTTTTGTTTTTTTGAGAGGGAGTCTCACTCTGTCACCCAGGCTGGAGTGCAGTGGTGCAATCTTCGCTCACTGCAACCGCCGCCTCCTGGGTTCAAGCAATTCTCCTGCCTCAGCCTCCCGAGTAGCTGGGACTACAGGCACCTGCCACCACACTTGGCTAATTTTTGTATTTTTAGTAGAGATGGGGTTTCACCATATTGGCCAGGCTGATCTCAAACTCCTGACCTTGTTATCTGCCCACCTCGGCCTCCCAAAGTGCTGGGATTACAGGTGTGAGCCACTGCACCCAGCCAAGATTATTCTTAAAATGGATAGACAGGCAATCCTGACTATGAGGTAGGATAACTCAGGAGATCTGGGACCCTTCTTGTTTTTCTTTCTTTTTTTTTTTTGAGACCCTTCTTAACAGTAGATAACATAGCTTTATCTTTTTGAGAAAGGCTGGGTGTACTCATAGATATTGTTCTTTATGATAACTATCATGTATTGTACTCAGAGCATGAACACAGACCTTTATCTACATTTGCTAATTTAATACACAAATGTAAAGTAGATCTATTATCACTGGTTGACAAATGAAGCAACTGTGGCTCACTCAGATTAAGTGATTTAGAGTCATATAGCTTCATAAAGAGCAGAGCTGGTGTATTAGGCCATTCTTGCATCCCTATAAAGAAATACCTGGCCAGGTGACATGGCTCACGCCTGTGATCTCAGCACTTTGGAAGGCTGAGGTGGGCGGATCATGAGGTCAGGAGTTCGAGACCAGCCTGGCCAACATGATGAAACTCCGTCTCTACTAAAAATACAAAAATTAGCTAGGCGTGGTGGTGCACACCTGTAATCCCAGCTACTCAGAAGGCTGAGGCAGGACAATCGCTTGAACCCAGGAGGCAGAGGTTGCAGTGACCTGAGGTCACGCCATTGCACTCTAGCTTGGGTGACAGAGCGAGACTCTATCTCAAAAAAAAAAAAAAAAAAAAAATACCGGAGACTGGGTAATTTATATTTTTTTTAAAAAGAGGTTTAATTGGCTCGTGGTTCTGTAGGCTGCACAGTGAGCATAGAGGCATCTGCTTTGGGGGTGGCCTCAGGGAGCTTTCAATCATGGTAGAAGGCAAAGGGGTAGCAGGTGTCACATGGTGAAAGCAGGAGCAAGAGAGAGAGAGAATTGGGGAGGCGGGGGTGCCATACACTTTTAAATGACCAGATTTCACAAGCACTCACTATCACAAAGACAGCACCAAGCCATTAGGGATCTGTCTCCATGATCCAAACACTTCCCACCAGGTCTTACCTTCAGCATTGGAGATTACAATTCAACATGAGATTTGGGTGGGGACAAATATCCAAACTATATCATTCTGCCCTTGGTTCCTCCCAAATCTCATATCCTTCTCACATTGCAAAATATAATCATGCCTTCCCAGCAGTCCCCCAAAGTCTTAACTCATTCTAGCATTAACTCAAAAGTCCAAAGTCTCATCTGAGACAAGGCAAATCCCTCCCACCTATAAGCCTGTAAAATAAAAAACAAGTTAGTTACTTGCAAGATATAGTGGGGGTATTGGGTAAGCCTTCCTGTTCCAAAAGGGAGAAATTGGCCAAAAGAAAGGGGCTACAGTTTTCACACAAGTTGGAAACCCAGCAGGGCAGTCATTAAATCATAAAGCTCCAAAATAATCTCCTTTGACTCCATGTTCACCATCCAGGGCATACTGGTATGAGGAGTGGGCTGCCAAGGCTTTGGGCAGCTCTGCCCCCATGGCTTTGCAGCGTGCAACCTCTGAGACTGCTCTCGTGGGCTGGAGTTGAGTACCTGTGGCTTTTCCAGGTACAGGGTGCAAGCTGCCAGTGCATCCACCATTCTGGGGTCTGGAGGATGGTGGCCTCTTCTCACAGCTCCACTAGGCAGTGTCCTGGCTGGAACTCTGTTTGGGGCCTGCAACCCCACATTTTCTCTCCAAATTGCCCTAGCAGAAGTTCTCTGTGAGGGCTCTGCCCCTGCAGCAGGCTTTAGCCTGGACATCCAACCTTTTCCCATACATTCTCTGAAATCTAGGCAGAGGCTGCCAAGAAACCACCATTCTTGCACTCTGTGCACCTGCAGGCTTAACAACACATGAAAGCCACCAAGGCTTAGAGTTTGCATTCTCTGGAGCAGTGGCCTGAGCTGTATGTGGGCCACTTTGAACCACAGCTGGAGCTGGAGCACCTGGATGTGGAAAGAGTGTCCCAAGGCTGTGCAGGGCAGTGGGGCCCAGACCCATGACACTATTCTTCTCAGGCCTCTGGACTCTGGGCCTGTGATGGGAGGGGCTGCCAAGAAGGTCTCTGAAATACCTTTGAGGCCTTTTCCCCACTGTCTTGGATATTAGCACTTGGCTCCCTTTTAGTTATGCAGATTTCTCTAGCAAGCAGTTGTTCCAAAGGCTGCTTGAATTCCTTTTCTGAAAAAGCTTTTTCTTTCTCTGCCACATGGCCAGGCTGCAAATTTTCCAAACTTTTACACTCCATTTCCTGTTTAAATATAAATTCCAACTTTAGGTCATTTATTTGCTCCCTCATCTGAGCCTAGGTTGTTAGAAGCAGCCAAGCCACTTCTTGAATACTTTGCTGCTTAGAAATTTCTTCTGCCAGATGCCCTAGGTCATTACTCTTTTTTTTTTTGTTTTTTTTTTTTTGTTTTTTTTTGAGACAGAGTCTCGCTCTGTTGCCCAGGCTGGAGTGCAGTGGAGTGATCTTGGCTTACTGCAACCTCTGCATCCCAGGTTCAAGCTATTCTCCTGCCTCAGCCTCCCCAGTAGCTGAGATTACAGGCACCCACTACTACACCCAGCTAATTTTTTGTATTTTTAGCAGATACAGGGTTTCACCATGTTGGCCAGGCTGGTCTCGAACTCCTGACCTTGTGATTCGCCTGCCTCAGCCTCCCAAAGTGCTGGGATTACAGGCGTGAGCCACCGCACCCAGCTTCGGTCATCACTCTTTAGTTCAAACTTCCACAGATCCCTAGGACATGAACAGACTGCAGCCACACTCATTGCTAAGGCATAACACATGTGACCTTTGCTCCAGTTCCCAATAAGTTCCTCATTTCCATCTGAGACCTTGTCAGCCTGGTCTCCACGGTCCATATCCCTATCGGCATTTTGGTTACAACTATTTAACCAGTCTCTAAGAAATTCCAAAATTTCTCTATTTTTCTGTTTTCTTCTGAGCACTCCAAACTCTTCCAACCTCTGCCTGTTAGCCAGTTCCAAAGTCTCTTCCACATTTTCAGGTACCTATATAGCAATCACTCACTCTTCAGTACTAATTTTCTGTATTAGGCCATTCTTTCATTGCTATGAAGAAATACCTGAGACTCGGTAATTTATTTTAAAAATAGAAGAGGTTGAATTGGCTCATGGTTCTGCAGGTTCTACAGGAAGCATAGTGGCATCTGCTTCTGGGGAGGCCTTGTGGAGCTTCGAATCATGGTGGAAAGCAAAGAGGGAGCAGGCATGTCACATGGTGAAAGCAGGAGCAAGAGAGAGAAAGCATGTGTGGGGGAGGTGCCATGCACTTTTAAATGACTAGATCTTGTGAGAAGTCACTGTCATGAAGACAACACCAAGCCATGAAACATCTGCCCCTATGATCCAAACGCCTCCCATCAGGCCCCATCTCCAGCACTGGGTGTTATCATTCAACATATGATTTGTGCAGGGACAAATATCTAAACCATATTAGCTGGGATTCTAAATAAATTCATGGGCAAAGACAGAAATATGGCTCCTGTTATGATTCCATATATGCCTTTTTTTAAAAAAAAGTTGGCTGCTCTATGGAGTAGTCATTCTTCTGTTTCTTTACTTCTCTGAAAAAGTTAAAAAAAAACTTTTATTTTACATTCAGAGGTACGTGTGCAGGTTTGTTACATATGTAAATTTCCTGTCGCAGGGGTTTGGTGTACATATTATTTCATCAGGTAGTAAACACAGTACCTGATAGGTACTTTTTCGAGTCTCACCTTCCTCCCAACTTCCACCCTCAAGTAGGCTCCGGTGTCTGTTGTTGCGTTTTTTGTGTTCATGTGTACTCAGTGTTTAGCTCCTACATATAAGTGAGAATATGTGATATTTGGTTTTCTGTCCCTGTGTTAGTTCACTTAGGATAATGGCCTCCAGCTCCAACCATGTTGCTGCAAAGGACATGATCTCATTCTTTTTCATGGCTGCATAGAATTCCATGGTGTATATGTACAACATTTTCTTTTCTTTCTCTTTTTTTTTTTTTTGGAGACAGAGTCTGACTCTGTCACCCAGGCTGGAGTGCAATGGTGCGATCTCGGCTCACTGCCTCCTGGGTTCAAGTGATTCTTGTGCCTCAGCCTCCTGAGTAGCTGGGATTACAGGCGTCCACCACCATGCCTGGCTAATTTTTGTATTTTTAGTAGACACAGGATTTCACTACATTGGCCAGGCTGCTCTCAAACTCCTGACCTCAGGTGATCCACCCGCCTCATCCTCCCAAACTGTTGGGATTACAGGCATGAGCCACCGAACCTGGACATTTTCTTTATCCACTCTACTGTTGATGGGCATTTAGGCTGATTCCATGTCTTTGCTGATTACATATTTTATAGACCCAGGAAGACAGGCAACATAATGAGTCAGCTTGCACCTCTATAAAATAGTATAGCCAATGGTTCAGAGCTCAGACTTTAGGGTCAGGTGATCTCTTTTTTTTTTTTTAATTTTAATTTTTTGAGACAGGGTCTCACTCTGTTGCCCAGCCTGGAGTGCAGTGGCATGATCTCAGCTCCCTGCAGCCTTGACCTCCCGGGATTAGATGATCCTCTCACCACAGCCTTCCAAGTAGCTGGGACCACAGGCATGCACCACCATACCCGCCTAATTTTTGTATTTTTTATAGAGACAGGGTTTCACCATGTTGCCCAGGCTGGTCTCAAACTCCTGGGCTCAATCGATCTGCCTGCCTAGGCCTCCCAAGGTGTGATAATCTCCACCCGAAGATTATAGGTAGAGATTCAGATTCAGATCACCTGAATCTTCCTGAAGATTACCAGGAAGTGAAATTAGATACAAAATTGTCTCCATGTCTTTCTTACAGTCTGTACTTATTCTGTGTGTATGAGTGTGTGCTTTTGTCCTGGAAGTTTGTCAGGAGAAACTAAATGTTTTCCAGAAACAAATAACAAAATGTTAAAGCAAAAATAATACTTTGTATCCTTCTACAAGATGCATTTTGTTCTGATTACAAAAATCTGCTTATTCATTGGGTTGCACATTTATATTTGGTAGCAAATTTCAGAAGTTTGCTTGAACAAGCTTCCTTGAGAAAGTGTGGAAGGAAGAGCTTGAGTGCATACCCAGCAGAAACGAAACTGCTGGTTTTATGGGTTTGCAGGTCTCCCTACAATGTGGAGAAACCTGTTTGAAAATCTTCACTTGCCTTTCAAGGGCTGAAATTTTCTTCTCTTTTTTTTTTTTTTTTTTGGAAGCTATAGGTATGTATTTCTGTTGTGTTTCATCCAATTTCCCAATAAGCCATTAGAAAGAAATTCCTCTTTGGGATCCTTGACAAGCAATGTGCTGGTACATAGTAGGTGCTCCATGGAGTCAATGCTCTTTAGTAGTGAAAGAGACTTTAAAGCTCATGAGCCTGCAGTGAACATCTGTGATTCTGACCTGTTCATTTTATAGCAAAACTTCTCAGAATAGGTCTCTCTATATTTGCTGCCTCCATTTGTCCACATTTCATGGTTTTCTTAAACTCCGTCAATCAGGGTGTGGTCCTGTCCTCTGAAATCGCTCTGGTCAAGGTTTCAGAAAGGCCTGTGTCACAGAGTTCTGTGGTCACTTCTCTGTCCACCCGTTCTTCCACTACCCAGTAGCATTAGACACAGTGGACCACTCCCTCCAGCTTGAAATGTTTTTTCCAGGACTTTCATGAAACCACAGTCTCCTGGTTCTCTCCTCTCCACTACTACTGCTTCTCTTTTGCTGACTTTCTGCTGCTGTTGGCTTCTAATTTTCCCAGGTCTTAGGCTATCTCCATTTTTTTCTCTGGAAATATTCCTTCCAGGTGTCTGGCTTTCAATACTGTTTACTGATGATTCTCAAACTTATGCCTTGATCTCCAGTCTCAAGTGTTCAGCTGCTTTTGAACATATTAACTTTGAGGTTTTTGTCAGGTCTCTTGGATATCTGACAAAAACTTCAAAGTTGGTATGTTCGAAAAAGAACTCTTGGCTGGGTGTGGTAGCTCACACCTGTAACCACAGCACTTTGGCAGGCAGAGGTGAGGGGATCACTTGAGGCCAGGAGTTTGAGACCAGTCTGGCCAACATGGTGAAACCTGGTCTCTACTAAAAATACAAAAATTAACTGAGTGTGGTGGCACATACCTGTAATCCCAGCTACTCGGGAGGCTGTGGCATGAGAATTGCTTGAACCCGGGAGACAGAGGCTTCAATGAGCCAAGATCGCACCACTGCACGCCAGCCTGGATGACAAAGTGAGACTCGGTCTTCAAAAAAAAAAACTCTTGGTGCTTTTTCTCCCAATAAGCTCCTCCCCTGATCGTCATCTTCTTAGTTAATAATACCACCCTTTACCCAGTTGCTCAAGCCAAAAATGTAAGTCATCCTTGCTTCCTCTCTTTTTCTCATCCCCATATCCAATGGCTCAGTAAGTCCTGCAGGCTGCTTCTCCTGAATACATGTGCAAAATTCACACACTTGTGTTTTTGACTCTATCATCTCTCATCTGGATTATTGTCATAGTCTGCTAACTGGTTTCCCGGCTTTCATGTTTATCCTCCAGTAATCCATTCCCAGAGAGGATCTTTTAAATATGTAGGTGGGATATTGTGGCTCACTGGTTTAAAACCCTCTGGTGGCTTCCCATCACACTTAGAATAAAATTCAAACTCCTCAACAATTCTTATAAGGCACTCCATGACTTAGCCCAGGCATCAGTAGATTTTTCTGTAAAGGACCAGATAGAACATATTTCAGGCTTTGTGAGCCATATGGTCTCTGTTGCAACTGCTCGATTCTGCTATTAGATTCTACCATAGACAATATAGTAAACAAATGAATGTGGCTACTTTCCAATAAAACTTTATTTACAAAAACAGGCAGTGGGCTGGGTTTGGCCTCTGGATTATAGTTTCCATACCCCTGATCCAGCCCCTTCCTACCTTTCCAATTCCATTGCATACCACTCTGCCCTTCACTATGGCCCAGCCTCCTACTCCCCAAGGCTGGAGCCAAGATGGTGGCCACCAGTTTCTTTCCTTCCTATACGCTAATGTAATGGCCTTTGAATATGCTGGCTCCATGATTGTGTGTGATTAAATTAATGTTTCAGGACTTCTGAGCTGAAGCTTTAAGATTAGCAGCTTCTGCCGGGCGCGGTAGCTCACGCCTGTAATCCCAGCACTTTGGGAGGCTGAGGCGGGCAGATCACGAGTTCAGGAGATCGAGACCATCCTGGCTAACACAGTGAAACCCTGTCTCTACTAAAAATAAAAAAATTAGCTGGGCTTGGTGGTGGGCGCCCATAGTCCAGCTACTCAGGAGACTGAGGCAGGAGAATCGCGTGAACCCGGGAGGCAGAGCTTGCAGTGAGCCAAGAGCATGCCACTGCAATCCAGCCTGGGCGACAGAGCAAGACATTGTCTCAAAAAAAAAAAAAAAAAAAAAAAAAGATTAGCAGCTTTTGCTATCTTTCTTGGAATCTAGCTACCATGCTGTAAGAAACCAAAAGCTTCACAGAGAAGACACATGGAGGAGAACTGAGGAGCCCTGGGCCATACATAACCCCAGGTGAGCCCCCAGCCAGCAGCATTGACTGCTGGCCATGTGACTAAGCCATCTTGGATGTTCCAGCCTAGTCAACCTTCCACGTGACGGCAGCCAGCTAGCATCACATGGAGCAGAACTTTCTAGCTGAGTCTAGTCATTTTACAGAATTGAAGAGATAAAACAGTTATTACTTTTAGCCATTAAGTTTATGACGTTTTGTTTTGCAGCAACAGATAATGGAACACTGACCTTGTTTCTGTTCCTCAAACCTACCTAGCTCATTCCCCCATGAGCACCAGCTGCTCTCTCTGCTTAGAACACATTTTCACCCGGTGATTCACTTGGTTGGTTCACTTCATCTTTCTATTACTTATTTATTTTTCAAATAGATTCAGAACCAACACACCATTTCATTTTCAGGTCAACCTGTAGCACCTCAGTTTTCCATTGGAAAGCCACCCTCTCTTTACTTTCAGCCCATGTGGCTGAACATCCTCTTTTCTCACCCCACTCTCCTCTGGACTCCAGGGCAACTTGTAATTGAGGCGAAGCCAATTAGTAATTTTACTCCCTGCCCCTGAGTCAATAACTGAGGGCTTAGTTATTGATTCAGAGAGGAGTGTATGAGCCAACTCAGTTCAATAAGAGTTAGTCCCAGGAATTATTGGTGAGGAGAGACTCTTAGCTGGGGTTGTTAAGCTGCTTTAACATAAGCCTGGAGCCGCTAGTGCCCAGCTGCTTAGCACAAGGGGCAGGTGTGTCTGGGAAGGGAGCCAACACAGAGGAGGACAGGGCAGAGACAGAGAGAGACTGCTGGATGTAACCATACCCGAAGCTAAATTTACTTGAGCTTTTCAGTTACACGAGCCAATATGCTTTCCACTCCACTAATAAATACCTCTCCTTCCCTTTGGTGAAGTCAGTTTGAGATGTGCTTCTGTCACTTGCTCTTAAAATATCAATTGCTTGACTCATCCTCTACCTTTTCCACCAAATATTAGGTTGAACCATATGAAATTGCCATTCTTGTAGATTAAAATGACTGAATAACAGTAATTTTATATGCAAATTTATTCAAACACTTCCAGAGATGGGGCATTCACTGCTTATTGAGGCAGCCCAATTAACAATTGAACAGATTTACCCAATAGAATGTTTTAAAAAATTTGTCCAGGTGCAGTGGCTCACGTCTGTAAGCCCAATGCTTTGGGAGGCTGAAACAGGAGGATCATTTGAAGCCAAGAGTTCAAGACCAGTCTAGGCAACATAGGAAGACCCTTGTCACTACAAAAAAAATTGGTGGCACATTCCCGTAGTCCTACCTACTCAGGAGGCCGAGGCAGGAGGATCGCTTGAGTCCAAGAATTAGAGTTTACAGTGAATTGTGATCACATCACTGGACTCCAGCCTGAGTAACAGAGTAAGACCCTGTCTCTATTAAAACACACAGACATACACACACACACACACACATACACACACACACACACACACCCCAAATCCATCTTCCTGAGGCTTCTCAGTTCTGAGCACTCTCCTCTGAGCACATTTCATGTATTGTGTAGCATTTGACAACAAAATATCAAGAGGGAGGTCCCCCCTCACAGGCAGAAAAACACGAGATTATCACCTTTTTATTATAGGCACAATGCTTGTAGAAATGCGTTCTAAAATGTCTAACTTTTAAAAAATGTGCTGCTTTAAGCCATGTCTTCTCTATCTTGTTCTAATTTATTTCAAACTAAGCTCAGGACCTTACAGTTTACTCCAGTGATCTTTACCATCTTCAGTTTTGTGCACCACCTTTCCCTTTTTTTTTGAGACGGAGTCTTGCTCTGTCGCCCAGGCTGGAGTGCAGTGGCGCAATCACCTTTCCCTTTTAAAGCCAAGCTTCTGTCCCCTGCCCATTGGGTCAAAGTTTTTATTCATTATTCTCTCCATAGTTGTTAGGATACAACAACACAATGCAAATAAAACGCCAAGATATTTGTGAATCACGATTGTCCAATCCAGGGTGGATTTTGCAAGCTTGGGAAGTGAGCATTCTTTATATTCATCCAAGTCATTACTACAAATGTTGAAAAGGACAGAACTGATAATAAAGCCCAAAGGAATATATATGGTTGGACAGTGATTCATTAACCTTTAGGTTTGGTTTTTCAGTCAGTACTACTTCTCTGACCTAGGTCAGCAACCATCCTTGTTTCTCAGCCTTGTCTACACAAAGTAATAGTGTAGTCTACATGAAGTAATAAATATCTTGCTGAAATATATAAGGGGCTCCTCATTATTGAGTATTCATTATCCCGTTCCTGAAGTTAAGTAGAGCAGTGTGTCCTTTAGGATAGACCGAGCCACCGTAACAAATAGACTCAAATGTTTAATGACTCTAATGATGGAATGTTATTTCTCGCACAGGTAACAAGAAATCAGGGTACTCAAGTTGGTGGGGGTGCTATCCTCCATGCAGTCACTCAGGGATCCAGGTTGTCTCCATCTTGTAAATCTGTCATTCTCCAGGGCCCTCACTGTCATCTGCATCCAGTCAAAGAAGAGGAAAACACACAAAGGAGCACATGTAGGCAATTTTTGTCAGACAGGCATGAAAGTGGCATGTCACTGCTGTTCACTTTGTCACAAAGCCACACCTAGCCAAATGGTAGGTAGGGAAATGCTGTTGATTTTATTGCTTAAGGAAGGGGAGAATGGATTTGGTGGACAGCTAGTTATCTCCACTATAGACAGCTAACATCATTGTGACACAAAATTAATCACTCATAAACTGACTACATATCCATTCCTTTCAAAACCAAGCTTCCACCGCTGCCCATTGTGTCACAGTCTTTGTCCATTATTTCCTCTATAGTTGTCAGGTTACAACAGCACAATGCCAACATAAATTACATAAAAATTGATGGCAAAGTGAAACTGTCAGTCTTGCAAAATAAGGTTTTAAAAAGATTAGGAAAGCAATTTTGGGGAACTGCCCTAATCATTTGCTAAGCCATTGACATATGAGGAAACAGCAGCATTAGATGAGAGAAAAATCTATGAGGATAAGGACCAAAAAGATACTTCAAATGAGAATGATTTGAATATCAAAGAGGTAAGAGAGACACCTGGGAAAATTAACAAAGACCTCAGCTATTTTTGCCAAAATTACACTGTTAATGATTGTGCTGTGAAAGTCAAATCTGAATCGACCAATTTTTTATTATATGATCATATAATTTTACCAGAAAAACATATGCAAAAAATTCCTCAACAGTTGATTGATTCATTTTTGTGATTATTGTTATTTTAAGAATCAGCTGGCTGGTGTCCTCTTGCCTGGCTTCCCCTCCAAGTCTCAATCTCTAAATGTTGGGACGCCCCAGAGCTGTGTCCTGGTCCTCTTTTCCTCCACATCTCCCCTATTCTAAGTGATTTCAGTCCCTTGATCTCATTCAGTCCCTTGGCTTTAAATATCATCTACATGCAGTCGACTCTTAAATTTATATCTGCAGTCTTGGCCTGTCCCCTGAGCTTCAGACGTCTATCCTACTGTCTACTTCACATCTCCACTTGAGTGTTTAATAGCCTGTCAGACTTGGGTGCCTGAAAACAGGCTTCTTGATTGCAAAACTGTTTCTTAAGTCTCCCATACCTCACTCTGTAAATGGCAGCTTCAGTCAGCTGCTTGCTCAAGTCAAAATTTTGAGTTATTCTTGATGTCTCTGCCTCTGCCCCCTCTGCCCCCACATCGGATGGAATTGCAAGTTTTGTTGGAGCTAATTTCCAAATATAACCTAAATCAACTCCAGTCCATCTCCCCACTACCATCGGACCCCAAGCCCAGGCAGCCACGTCTCTCACTAGGGCCCCTGGGACAGCCTGCTGACCTGTATCCCTACTCCTGCTCTTGCCTTCATGGCCATTTCATGTCCACACAGCAGCCCCAGTGATCACTGAAGCAAATATACTGACTGTGTCATTCTTTGAATTCAGTCCCTTCAGTGCTTCCCATCACTTTTATAATAACTGTAAAAACTTATTATAAAACCTATTATAAAGGCTGGACATGGTGGCTCATGCCTATAATCCCAGCACGTTGGGAGGCCAAGGTGGGTGGATCACTTGAGCCCAGGAGTTCAAGACCAGTCTGGGCAAGGTAGTAAGACCCCATCTCTATTTTTTAAAAATAAAAAATAAAAATTAAAAAGCAAAATAGACTAGCTAGTGATAAAGATAATTGCTATGAAGAAAACAAAACAGGGTAATGAGATAGAGAGGAATATTAATCCATTCTCACACTGTTATGAAGAAATACCTGAACCTGGGTAATTAAAGGAAAGAAGTTGAATTGACTGACAGTTCTGCATTGCTGGGGAGGCCTCAGGAGACTTACAATCATGCTGGAAGGCAAAGGAGAAGCAGGCACCTTCTTCACAGGGTGGCAGGACAGAGTGAGTGCAAGCAGGGGAAATGCCAGACACTTATGAACTATCAGATCTTGTGAGAACTCATTCATTATCACGAGAACAGGATGGAGGAAACTGCCCCCATGATCCAATCACTTCCCACCAGGTCCCTCCCATGACACAATTCAAGATGAGATTTGGGTGGGGATACAGCCAAACTATATAGAGAGGGCTGGAGGACAAACTGTTCCAGATGGGAGTTGGAGAAAGCCTTGCTATGGATGTGACATTTGGGCTGAGATGTGGATGATGAGAAGGAGTCAGGCAGCCGTGCCCTGGAGGAGATAGCGATGCAGACAGCAGAAGCCCTGAGGACAGAGCCAGCTGACAGCCCATGTGGTGCCAGAGGGTGAGCGAGGAGGAGGGGCGGTGAGAGGAGGTGTGAGATGTGGGCACAAGTCAGATGAGGTGGGGCCTGGGAGGCCCCAGGGAAGAGTTTAGGTTTATAAAAGTGCTTTTATAGCAGCCTTTTTATAATAGGTTTTATTTTATTGTTTATTTATTTATTTATTATTTTTTGAGGCGGACTTTCACTCTTGTTGCCCAGGCTGGAGCACAGTGGTGTGCTCTCGGCTCATCACAACCTCCGCCTCCCGGGTTCCAGTGATTCTCCTGCCTCAGCCTCCCGAATAGCTGGGATTACAGACATGCACCACCATGCCCAGCTGATTTTGTATTTTTAGTAAAGACGAGGTTTCTCCATGTTGGCCAGGCTGGTTTTGAACTCCCAACCTCAGGTGATCCGCCCGCCTCAGCTTCCCAAAGTGCTAGGATTACAGGTGTGAGCCACTGCACCTGGCCTAATTTTTTTTTATTTTTTGAGACAGGGTTTCTCTCCTGTCACCCAGGCTGCAGTACAGTGGCGCGATCTTGGCTTACTGCAACCTCCGCCTATGGAGTTCAAGTGATTCTCCCAATTCGGCCTCCTGAGTAGCTGGGATTACAGGTGCCTGCCACCACGCCTGGCTAATTTTTGTATTTTTAGTAGAGACGGGGTTTCGCCATGTTGGCCAGGTTGGTCTCAAACTCCTGATCTCAGGTGATCCCAAAGTGTTGGGATTACAGGTGTGAGCCACCATGCCGGCCTATGTTGCTTTTTTATGTATTTAACCATTTGTCTGTCTTCCCTTGGACTATAAGCTCCACTAGAGCAGATGCTTTGTCTCCTTTGTTCACTGTCATATTTTCACTTGCCAGAGGCTGTCACATAATAGATGGCCAATAAATACTTGTCAGATAAATAAATATTTCTTGTATTTTTAAAATACAAGAAAAATTTCTTAACATTATTTTAAGTTTTATCTTCCAGAGTAAAGTCCTAATAAATACCTTTCTTCACCATTTTAATATGGAATTTTGGCTTCCTTTATAAGTGGATTTATTTAAGTGGCCTTTTCCTGTACCATTTATCTTTGTCTATCTTGCCTATTTCCTTCCTTAGATTTCCTAGACTAATAAGCCATGGATAAGGAAGTGAGGGCTGTGCTGAGATGATTTGTTCTTGGTTAACCCAAGCTGGGTCATGGTGATGAGTCATTTTTCTTCTCGGGACACAGAAGTATTCTCTCCTCCTTAAAATCCCATTCTAGAATAGTGTCTGCAAAATGTTATGCTCATTGATTTGCAGGGTATAGAACTTTCTTTCTTCTTTTTCCCCCCTTTTTTTAGCAAAGGCCGTCACTTCAATAGGATCTTTCTTCTTCTTTTTTTTTTTAATTTTTTATGGAACACTTCACAAATTTGCATGTCATGGTTGTGCAGGGGCCGTGCTAGTCTTCTCTGTATCATTCCAATTTTAGTATATGTGCTGCCGAAGCAAGCACTCTTTCTTCTTTTTATTATTTATTTATTTATTTATTTTTGAGATAGAGTCTTGCTCTGTCACCCAGGCTGGAGTGCAGTGGCGCCGTCTTGGCTCACTGCAACCTCCGCCTCCTGGGTTCAAGCAATTCTCCTGTCTCAGCCTCCCTGGTAGCTGGGACTACAGTCGCATGCCACAGTGCCAGGCTAATTTTTGTATTTTTAGTAGAGATGGTTTTACCATATTGGTCAGGCTGGTCTCAAACTCCTGACCTCAGGTGATCCACCTGCCTCAGCCTCCCAAAGTGCTGGGATTACAGGTGTGAGCCACCGCACCTGGGCTCTTCTTTTTAGTAGAACACTTTTTCCATCTCCAGGATTCCAGCACCATCCTAAATATCTGTAGGTCCTGTAAGACTACAGATATACACTGAAAATCTCTTTCCTGGATTCTCTAGGTGCTGTGGCCTGTAATTCATCTGGGTCAAGAGACAAGTTTAATTCAATTTAGACACAAATAAAGGTTCTCCTTAGAGGGGAGTGGCCACATTGGAAGACAATTTGGCAACACACTGATGTCACTGAATCGCTAAATTAAACAGATGCCTCTTTAATGTGGAGGCTCTGATCCCTTTCAAAGAACTGGCTTCTATAGACTCTTGAATTCTTAGAACCAGTCATTTGGGGTTAAAAAATATTGTTGAAGGGTTTATGGTCTACCTTAAAATTCTCTTCCACCTTGCTATGTGCCATGATCCTTAGGGGTCGCTGGGAAGAGAAGAGAGATTTGGCAGGAAGACCTACGAGCCAGCTTTCCTGCAACACCTTACCATGAGGGCTCTGGGGAGAGGTCAGACATTTACCTGTGTGTGGCCTGCCAGGTGTAAGTGGTCTGCCAATAGGGTTCTGAGGTTAATTTGAGACTACATGCCATCCTAAAGGGGCCAGCCAGCCACTCCTCACATCTTCTCCACACTCTTGCCAATCAGAGATGTCTGCATTTTCATATTAGGTCACTGTTTTCATGTTTAGGTTTTTTTTTTTTCGGGGGACCTTGCTAGTGCAAGGGATGGGGGTGGGGTGTGGTGGCTGCGCACCCATGCATGAGTCCCTCCCCACCCCACACTGCTGCAAGCCTCCTTCATGTTAGTTTTAACTGTTGGCTCAAATTTATAAAGGCTATGTCAGCCAGGCAGCACATACCCCAGGCCTGATCCCACCAGTCGCTTCCAGTTTGCAGCCTCTGACCTAAAGTGCCACGTAAATATCACTGGTGGAGAAAGAGGGGATGCTAGTTATCAGTTTCTTCCGATATTGACACCAGAGTGTGATGTGAATGCAGATTCATTCTTAGTCCAGACAGCAGTTTCTGTTCTAGGAGTTAACAGGTAGTTACGAAGCATTTAATTTAATTTAATGTATTTATTTAGAAACAGGGTCCCTATCTGTTGTCCAGGCTGGAATGCAGTAGTGTAGTCTTGGTTCACTTCAGCCTCAACCTCCTGGGTGCAAGCAATCCTCCCATCTCAGCCTCTGGAGTAGTTAGGACTACAGGTGCACACCACCACACCTAGCTAGTTTTTGTATTTTTTGGTAGACATGGGGTCTTGCTATGTTGCCCAGGCTGGTGTTGAACTCCTGGCTTCAAGCAGTCCTCCCACATTGGCCTCCCAAAGTGCTGGGATTACAGATGTGGGCCAGCACGCCTAGCTCACAAAGCATTAAAAAAAAAAATTGGCATTGCAAGGAATCTTAATTTAAATGGCATTGAAATTTGACAGAAAGGGTCTTAACTTCACAATGAGGGATTGACTTGGCTGCTGCTTTGGGGCACTTTTTTTTTTTTTTTTTTTTTTTGAGTCAGGGTCTCACTCTGTCACCCAGGCTATAGTGCCATGGCACTTCCTTAGTTCACTGCAGCCTCGAGCTCCTGGGCTCAGGGGATCCTCCTGCCTCACCCTCCTGGGTAGTTAGGACTATAGGTACACACCACCACACTCCGCTAATTAAAAATTTTTTTTTGGTAGAGATGTGGGGAGGCTCTTACTATGTTGCCCAGGCTGGTCTTGAACTCCTGGCCTCAAGCGATCCTCCTCCCTTGGCCTCTCAAAGTGCTGGGATTACAGGTGTGAGACCTGGCCTGGGGCCCAGGTTTCATGAGGGCCTGTCTCCCCAAGTAAAGGACTAGGAATTTGTCATCTACATGTTTGGGACCCTCAAACTGGCCCCAGAAATAGTGTATGCATATAGTAGGGGCTGAAAAGTGTACTGAATTAATGTTGCTTTCTGCAGATCTAGATCTAAAAACAAAAAACAGAACAAAAATACAAATGAATTAATGTTGTTGATCACTTTCACTTGCAAACTTCAGTTTAAAAACATTAAATAAAAACTCTTGGCCGGGCACGGTGGCTCTCGCCTGTAATCCCAGCACTTTGGGAGGCTGAGGTGGGTGGATCAGGAGTTCAAGACCAGCCTGGCCAACATGGTGAAACTTCATCTCTACTAAAAATATAAATATTAGCTGGGTGTGGTGGCAGGCGCCTATAATCCCAGCTACACAGGAGGCTGAGGCAGGAGAATAGCTTGAACCCAGGAGGCGGAGGTTGCAGTGAGCTAACACCACCGCACTCCAGCCTGGGTGACATAGCGCGACTCTGTCCCAAAAAAAAAAAAAAAAAAAAAAACTAAACTAAAAAAAACCCCAACTCTTTGGCTGAGTGTGGTGGCTCACGCCTATAATTCCAGCACTTTAGCTTAGCTACTAAGTACAGGTAAAAAGTAGTAAGACTGTGGGATTGAACCAGGGTTGGGATTATGCCAAGTGCTTACAGTGGTCGGGGAGAAGCGTGAGGGAGTTGTGGTTGACTGTAGTGTGGTGATTTTAATGATGGACAATGGAATCTAAGCTAGATCAAATGGGAAGTGTGGACATAAGAGGGTGAGGGACTGTAAAAGAGTCTAGGGAGCCATGATGAAGCCCTGAATCAAGGGTTAGAAAGATGGGAATGATTTGGAGACTATACTATAGGAAAATCCACTCGTCCTTGCTGACTGGGTTCACTGGGACTCTCAAACCATAGGTGGGTCCTTAGCGCAACCTGGCGATTATAATATATTCCCATGGTCAACTCAGTCACCAACTGTCCCTGCAAGCTCTTTCACAAAGCCTCTCTCCTCCAACCTCCATTGCCCTCTGCCCCACATCCCCTCATTCTCAGCTGATGATGTGGCTCATTACTTTGCTGAAAAAACAGAAGCAATCAGAAGAGGCTGATCATCAGGCTAATGGATCTCCTTTGTCTCCTCTGACCCTAGCTCCTCAATGTCCACCGAGTCAATTTCTCATACACTAGCCAGAGTTATTACAGGAGCACTCACTCAGAACAAAATCCAAATTCCTTACCATGACCTAAAGCATCTCCGTGGCCTACCCACATGCTTGCCTCTGATTTCATCTCCCTCCCTCTCTCCCTGGCTGTCTCTGTCCTACCCACATGGATCTCCTTGCTTTTTTGCCAACACCCAAGGCATATTCCCACCTCAGGACCTTTGCACATGCTGCTGCAGTCTCTGGAGTGCTTTTCCCCCAAAAGTATATGTGGTACGCTTTCTCATTTCTTTCTTTCTTTTTTTTGAGACGGAGTTTCACTCTTATCGCCCACGCTGGAGTGCAATGGTGCCATCTCGGCTCACTACAACCTCTGCCTCCTGGGTCCAGGTGATTCTCCTGCCTCAGCCTCCAGAGTAGCTGGGATTACAGGCATAAGCCACCATACCTGACCAGTATGCATTATTTTAAATTTATCTTTAAATTCCACAAAACAATCATAAACATATCTTCCTTGTGAAAAATAAAAACATTACTGAGAAACTAACATTCCTTTGATCCCCTGCCCCCATCCCAGACAATCCTAGGCCACGCCCTGCTCCCTTTTTCCCAGAGGTAGCCACTCTTTACTGGGTATAAATCCTTCCAGGCCTTTTGCTATGCATTTATGTGCACTACATATGTGCCAATAGGGAATATATACAGTTGTCCCTTGATATCCCTGGGGGATTGGTTTCTGGACCCCTGCAATGCTAAAATCTGAGATGCTTATGTCCCCTGTAGAAAATGGCAGTGTTTACATATAACCTACATACAACCTCCTGTATACTTTATTTAATTTATTTTTTCATTAAAAACATTTTTTTTTTGAGATAGGGTCTCCCTCTGTCACCCAGGCTGGAGTACAGTGGCATGATCGGGGTCACTGCAGCTTTGACTTCCTGGGCTCAAGTGATCTACCTCAGCCTCCAGAGTAGCTGGAACTACAGGCATGTGCTACCATGCCTTGCTAATTTAAAACAATTTTTATTAGAGATGAGGTGTTTCTTTTTTCTTTTTTTTTGAGAGAAAGTCCTACTCTGTCGTTCAGGCTGGAATGCAGTGGTATCATCTCGGTTCACTGCAACCTCTGCCTCCTGGGTTCAAGCGATTCTTCTGCCTCAGCCTCTCGAGTAGCTGGGATTACAGGCATGTGCCACCATGCCCAGCTAATTTTTGTATTTTTACCATGTTGTCCTGGCTGGTCTCAAACTCCTGACCTCAGGTGATCCACCTGCCTCGGCCTCCCAAAGTGCTAGGATTACAGATGTGAGCCACCATGCCTGGCCTAGAGACCAGGTCTTGCTTTGTTGTCCAGGCTGGTCTCAAACGCCTGGCCTCAAGCGATCGTCTCTCCTGCCTCGGCCTCCCAAAGGACTGAGATTACAGGCATGAGCCACCACATCTGGCCCCTCCTGTATACTTTATTATTTATATATATATATTTATTTTGAGACAGGGTCTTGCTGTCACCTAAGCTGGGGGGCAGTGGTGCAATCTCAGCTCACTGCAACCTCTACCTCCTGGGCTTAAGCAATCTTCCCATCTCAGCCTCCCAAATAGCTGTGACTACAGGCATGAGCCACCACACTTGGCGAATTTTTTGTATTTTTTGTAGAGATGGTGTTTCACCATGTTGTCCAGGCTGGTCTTGAACTCCTGAGCTCAAGCAACCCACCCACCTTGGCTTTCCAAAGTATTGAGATTACAGGCATGAACCACCATGAGCAGCCCCTCCTGTATACTTTAAGTCAGCTCTAGATTTCTTACCTGCAATACCTAATACAATGCAAATATGTACATAGTTGTCATATACTGTATTTTTTTTTTTTCTAGAGAGCAAGGCAGTCTCGCTTTGTTGCCCAGGCTGGTCTGGAACTCCCGGCCTCCAGTGATCCTCCTTGCCTCAGCCTCCCAAAATGCTAGGATTACAGGTGTTAGCCACCACTCCTGGCCATGTATTTTTAAATATGCATTTTTTTAATTGTTGTGTTTTTTTCCCCCAAATATTTTCTATCTGTGGTTAGTTGAATTTACACATGTGGAACCTGAGAGGCTATGGAGGGTTGACTGTATATAGTACTGCCTGTGGTTTATTTATTTTTCTCATTTTATCTTTAGAAAGACTATTAGGATTAACACTATAGCTGGCCCAGATCTCCAAAAAATAAGACAACAAAAGTCTGAACTGATGTTCTTGAGCAGTTGGCCTATGTCTCATAGATGTATTTTGCTCTTGACCTAAGCTTAAGCAGGAATGTAGTTTGGAGTTTGCCATTTAGAATGGAGAGGATAGGGTTCTGCTAGCTGAGAAGCATTTATCATAGTCAGGGCTGACCCCAGAGTTCTGTTTATTTCAAACTCTGTCTCTCAGTTCATTCAGAGCTAGGATGTACCTGCAAAGTTGGAGGCTCAATTCCAAGCCACCAGAGAAGGTTGGTGGCTCCTGTGTTCCAAAGTGACCCCTATGGCTATCTTGTTCCTGGCTTCATCTATCATTGGAAAACCAAAAGCAACTATGTCTTTAGCAAGGAGCTTTGAAGCACCTCTCACAGAATTGCTGACTCATCCTTGATTTAAAGAGCAATGAACAGGTCTGACCTTTTTAGAAACAAACCATGGCACTACCTCCAGGAGACAGGACAAATTTCCTTTGACAGTGGACTACAGTGCCAGCGTGTATGGGGTGGTGCCTTGCCCAAGGAGTAACCCTCTAGCCTAGTTTCTGATAAAACCACCAGGAGCAGGACTATTTATTCATTTGAGAAGGGGTCTGGCTGTATTGTCCAGGCTGGTGTTGAACTCCTGGCCTCAAGTGATCCTTGTGTCCTGGCATCTCAAAGAGCTGGGATTACAGATACGAGCCACCACGTTGTGCCAGACCCAGGTTTTGTAAGGTGGCTTTGATGATAGGTTCTCAGAAAGAAGCTCCTTTCTCAAGCAAATTTGTCCTCCAAACTCAGAGCCGATGGGCTACAGGCCTCCGTGTAGGACATGTGCACGTTCTGCATTTCTCAAGGCAAGGAGACGTGAGCAGCCATGTGCTCATCTGCTTTGCCAAGGTCATCCTTTGCGTTCCCCTGACATCACAGTGGCCCTGACATTTCATAAAAGCACACACACGTGCCTCTTCAGTTTGGCCTTTTCGGATGCTGTGTCTGCCAGGCCAACTCTGTCTCCCTACTTGTTGATGGTGGGCAGAAAGTCTCACTAATTCATAAATTCTTGGCCAGAGTGTGCCCATCAACAGGGGTTACACTTGCCACCTCCTTAAATCCCAGCTCAATGCATTCTCCATGCTCCTGGCTATTCAGGTAGGACCGCCGCACCTCTGTGTTTCGGTATGGGGCTCGCCCAGAGAGGCCGCAGCCTTCGGCAATGCATCAGTGCACGGAACCTCCGCCATTCCCAAGGTTCGCTCAAGAGGATGAGTGTGCTTTGGGTATAGGGTTTCGGCAAGTCTTGGTCCTGAGGGCCAGGGTCACTGAGCGTAGGCTTCAGAAGGCGACTTCAGTGTGAAAACACCCACGCCTCCCTACCACACAAACAACGAGCCTCGGAGGAGGGCTGGAGGAGGGGACTCCCGAAAGCGGGAGGCTTGCGTTACGTAGTTGAGATATATCCGAGCTGCTAAGTTACAAGGGGGTGGGGGCTGTCCTATTTTGCCACCTTGGAGATGTGGAGGGAGCTGGGGTTTTGCGACGGAGACCTGGATAGCTGGGACTGGCGGCGGAACGCGAGGCCGGGGCGGGACGGGGGCGGAGCGGGCGCTGCGCTGACTGCCGCGGCAGAAAGGGGGCGGCCGCGCCCATTTCCTCTGCTCCGCCGCGGCCGGAGGTATCCGCATCGGCGAGCTGCGTCTCCCGGGTGTCGGCCCCGGCGGCTCCCCGACCGTGCCCGGCTGTGGCGAGGCGGCTCCAGCCCAGCCTGTGGCAGCCGCGACCCCCGGGGCGCTCCGGAGCCCACTGCGCGGCGCGCGTGCCGGCTGCCTGCATGGACGCGGCACTGAAGCGGAGCCGCTCGGAGGAGCCAGCCGAAATCCTGCCGCCTGCCCGGGACGAGGAGGAGGAGGAGGAAGAGGGGATGGAGCAGGGGCTGGAGGAGGAAGAAGAGGTGGATCCCCGGATCCAGGTAGGGCGCGCGGGGTCGCCCCGCATCCGGGCTTCGCGAGGGCTGCTACGGAGGTCGGTGTCTACGCGTACAGCCACTTCGCAGCCCCCAGTAACTGTGGTCCGGGGACTGGCGGCCACATAGGGTGGCAGGAGACGGTCTGTATGCTCCGTTTCATCGTCTCCACAATGAGGAGGCTACAGTGCCCGCGTGGATGCGGCCTGACTCTATTGCGGGGAGTCCCCCGCCGACCCGTAGCAGGATCGGGGTCGGTGCAGCGTGCCTGGTGGTTCGGGTGGATGTGCAACAAAGGGAAAAAGGGGGCGGGGGCGCCATGGTATCCTCGGGGGTACCCCTGCCCGGCCGCGGCACCGCGGGCATGGCACGGCGTCCAGGCTCTGCGAGGAGGTGTCGCCCGCGTGGGCGCCGGGCACCGTGGGCGGGTGGGCGTTGCCCTGCAGCGCGGGCTGGCACCGGTGCCCCGGGTGCAGAGTCCTCACTTGCCAAGGTGCCCGGCCTGAGCCGTTTTCCTTCTCTGATTGATTGTTAGCGAACTGAGCGGCTTATTGTCATCACTGGCTCAACGTTCTGCCTGGCTTGAAATTGCTTAAAACCCTGCTTTTCCTTGTTGTGAGGTTGGGCATGAAAAGAAATCGGGGACAACTGATGCGCAAAGCTGACGCGTGGAGGCGGCGAGGGGATTGGGCTGGCTGGCTGTGCCTCCATTTCCAAGAGAGATGATTAAAAAACAATTTCCAAGCCGAGATCTAGGAGTGACAGTTTCACCTCTTCACCCCTAAGCAAAAAGCAGAGCAAATCCCTTTCTAAGGCCCGTTTTTTTTCTACCTTTTCAATAAATCATTTTTTTAAAAAAATTGCTTTTAAGCATGCTCTGTAATTTCTGGATACCTAATTGGTTTTTTAGTGCACAGATCAATTTAAAAGCTCACTTAACTCAGTGGTTGGGGTTTAAATGAATTGTTTTGTCAGCTTAGCAAGATAAAGATCAGGTGGAAAAAAAATCCTTGCATTAGGAATGCTATTAATTAAAGTAATTGGTTTGGAATAAATCGTGTGTTACTGGTATGGGATTATGTTAGCAAGATCCTTTGTTTGCATAGTAATGATGAGTTAAGTTCATGTTGGATACTTTTTTTACAAAATGTCAGTTTGTAAATGTTTATTGAAAGGAATGGGATTAAAGCTAGTTTAAAACGTCCAGCTAAGTAGGTTGAATAATTGGCAGTGTGAAAAGATTTTCACCCTTTACAGAAAAATAATTCTGGTGAGTTAATACCAGAATTCTGCCCTTGATGATTTCACTGGGTTTATATTTTTGGCTTGGCCTTGCTTATTGTCTTTTATTGTTTTCTAAGCAAAGTTCTTGCTCAAGGCAGATGGTACTGTTTTGATTAGGCCATTAAACCATTTGTAACAGGTGGGGTTTACCTGAAGGCATGTACCTGGAATAGTTGACCTCTGACAAATTCCAAATGTCTCTGAAGACATTGTCAAAAGGGACACCCTCAAGAAAATGGTTTCAGAAATGCCGACATTCATTTGCTTTTCTAGTCAAGCCTCAACTGTTTGCCGTAAGAATTAATTCTGATTCTTCCCTTTTCCTGCAAATTGGGCTGGGGTAATTTTTCAGGTTATGGACTGAGTTATATTGGAAACAAAAGACGGATCCCTTAAGTCTTTTTTTCTCCCTCTTTTCTTCACCAGGGAGAACTGGAGAAGTTAAATCAGTCCACGGATGATATCAACAGACGGGAGACTGAACTTGAGGTACAGAGAGCTGAGTTCCTGTTCTTGGTGAAGTGATGTCACTCACACCGGCACAAGGCTGGTTAATTTTGTCTTCATAGCTGGAGTGTTATTGCTGGACCCCCCTCCTTGGGAGTTGAGCAACAGCTCCCTGACAGAATAAAATACACCACTGAGCTCAACCTGTGGGCGGAACGCATGTGGATCCAATTGCACATGTTGTTTTTCATTATGGAAGCTCCATGGGGCCTAAACCAAGTCTGTGCAGAGCGTTACACAACGCTTAAGCCCCAAGTTTTAATGTGACTGAAAGGACAGGGGAAAATTAGCCGAACTCTTTAATGGAGAATAATGAATGAGCTCACAAAATCTCTTACATATTCAGGGCAGTTCCTGCCATTTGTCCTGGAGAGTGTTGTGTTGTTTCCTCTGACTTCGACCATTTCTTGACTTTCCTGTCCTAATAACTCACCCCCCGCCTCCTTCTGCTTCCCTGCTCATTTCTTTATTGTCTGCTAGTGCATAGAATATAATTATAATGGTAACAAAAAGCTGTTTAGACTGGGAAGGCCTTTCCTGCTGGGAAAAATCTTGGGAGACTAAAACTTGATTTGGGTTTCATGTGCATTTTCCAATGGGAGTGTAAACAAGTTAGCATTCATCACAGCCTCCGATTAGTTCCCACCCCTTTCCAGTAGTGGTTGCTTTTACCACCCATCAGCAAATTTGAACAACCACTATATGTATTCAGGAGACTGTGAATTGACTGTCAGAACCCCAAAGGGACTCTCAGCGCAGTTTCCCAATGCAGGGAGCTGTTGGCAAAGTCTGTTTCTGTAGCAGGAGAAATAGCAAACGTCAGTGGAAGGGACAAGAAGCACATGGTCCCTAAGAGTGAGAGTGTGGGAGATAGGAATATAATCTACCAGGATTCACTGGCAGCCTTGATTTCTGCTGCGTGCGTAGGCCCTGGAGTTACCAAATCTGGATGCAGCAATGTGGATGAAAAAGCCTGTTGCTCTGAGTTGCGTGAAGGGTTATCGCTAACCACCTCCATTTCCATCGTAGGTATACAAGAGCATGGGCTGTCCTTCTCCCCAAGTAAAGTAAAATCTGTGTTTGTTTACATTTCTTTCACTTATGAATTGAGTCTGTCTGTGATGTGGGGTAACTGAAACCTCTCAGGATCTCAGATTTCTAATGCATTAAACAACAAAACTCTTACCATTCCTATAGGGCTTTAGCATTTCCAGAGTGTTTTTTACACGTTTTAGCTCATTCCATCCTGTCACACCAGCCTAGAGCTATGCTGTCCCATATGGTAGCCATGTGCAACGTATGGCTATTTGAATTTAATTAAAATTTTTTTTTTTTTGAGACAGAGTCTTACTCTGTCGCCCAGGCTGGGGTGCAGTGGTGTGATGTCTGCTCACTGCAACTTCCACCTCCTGGGCTCAAGTGATTCTCATTCCTCAGCTTCCTGAGTAGCTGGGATTACAGGTGTGCACCACCATGCCTGGCTAATGAGTTTAATTAAAATTAAGTAAGACTAAAAATTCCATTTCTCAGTCACAATAGCCACGTTTCAAGAGCCCAGTTGCCACTATATTAAACAGTCCAGTTGCCACTGTATTAAACTGCTGTCATCATAGAATGTTCTGGCCTGGAGAGCTAGGAGGGTAGGGACTATTTACTTTCCAGATCAGGACTCAGAGGCTCAGCATCTTCTGGTACTATGACGCCTCAGAGGCAGGGCTCCCATCTTATACTCCCAGGCATTTTCCAGATCTCCTCCAGTTCCTGCATTCTATTATCCCAGTGCAGTGGTGCAATCACAGCTCACTGCAACCTCAAACTCCTGGGTTCAGGCAACCCTCCTGCATCATCCTCCCCAGTAGCTGAGACTACAGGTGCATGCCACCATACCTGGCTAATTTTTCATATCTTTAAGCTTTTTTGTAAAGATGGGATCTAGCTCTGTTGACCAGGCTGGTCTTGAACTCCAGGCCTCAAAGTGATCCTCCCACCTTGGCCTCCCAAAGTGCTGGGATCACAGGCATGAGTTGCCATACCCATCCTGGAAATAGTCTTTTTTTTTTTTTTTTAAAAGCATTGATTGATTCTAGTTGCTCGCCTACTATGTGCCGGCCACTGTTCTGGGTAATGAACAAGATGGCCCACATCTCAGCCCCAAGTGTGCTTACTTTCTTGGGGTGAAATTGGTTAATCTGTTAAACTCTTTTTAGCCCTTACTTCTGAATCCCATTTCTGAATACACTTAGGTATTTGTGTGTCACAGGAAGCCACCAGACAGGTGTTTCCTGCCTGGCTCTGGAGAGCATTTGGAACCGTGTGAGAGGCGAACTGGAGGGTGTGAGGGGGGTGGCCAGGGCTGGGCTGGGTTGCTGGCTGGCCTTTTCACGGTATTATAACCAAGACTGACTCATAGAAATATAATACAGGCTACATAAGCAATTAAAAACTCCCTAGTAGACGCATTAAAAACGAAAAAGAAACAGCTGAAATGAATTTAAATATTTTGTTTAACCCGGAATATCCAAGACAGTACAATTTCAACGTGGACTTGCTATTAAAAAATTACTGATATTTTACATATATTTTTGTACTAAGTCTTTAAGATCTTTGGCATATTTTACACTTAGGGCACATTTCAGTTGAGACTAGACACGTTTCAAGTGTTAGCTACATTTGGCACTGGGAGGCATAGGTTTAATAGGTGTTTTCTGTCACAAAGGAGCCAGGTGGGATTTCACCCTTCATGCTGGGCACCAACTGCTTGTCAGACACTGTTGGCCACTGCATTTATGTGGGTGAACAAGACAAAGACCTTGCCCTCCAGGAGTTTACGTTTTTGGTTGGGGTGAGTAGCAGAGCGGGGGTAATAATTACTGGTGGTAATAGCTACAGTAAGAAGTGTGACAGAGACACTGGAGGGGCGCTGCTGGAGGACACCTGAGCAGATGCCTGCAGGGGAGCCTCTGTTTGCAGAAGAACAGGTGGAGTGAGCCACTGGGGTGGTCAAGGGGAGTATGCCCAAGGATGGGGGCAGGAAAATGAGCCATTTTAATATACAGTCAAGTGTTTTGTTTTGTTTTTTTTTTCCTGAGACGGAGTCTCACGCTGTCGCCCAGGCTGGAGTGCAATGGCGTGATCTCGGCTCACTGCAACCTCTGCCTCCCGGGTTCAAGCCAGTCTCCTGCCTCAGCCTCCCGAGTAGCTGGGATTACAGGCGTGCGCCACCATGCCTGGCTAATTTTTGTATTTTTAGTAGAGATGGGGTTTCACCATGTTGGCCAGGCTGGTCTCGAACTGGCTGGTCTTGAACTCCGGATCTCGTGTCGTCGCTACCCCCCTCCCCACCGCCACTGCTGTCTCAGCCTCCCAAAGTGCTGGGATTACAGGTGTGAGCCACCGTGCCCAGTCTTGTTTTTGTGGTACTTGTATTCCATAAAGTTGTGAACACTGAATTAGTGAATACGGAACCATTGTTGTAGGGAAAATGCAGGGCTTGGAGCAAGCCTGTGGTCACATTTTCATCAACTGATCAATATTAATCTTTTCAGTTTCCATTAAAAGACACTTTATTTACTATATACTATTGATTCATTAGCATTGAACTCAGGGCCACTCACCTAACATGTATTTGCTCTGTAAGCCACATCACAGCCTGCTCGTGCTCAGGAAAGCTCACTAGACAGCACTTCTGCACTTCCCTTATGGGCCATTTTAACAGCAAAATCACCAAAGAAAGCACAAAAGTGTGAAAGACATGGCACTAAGTAGACCATGAAAAGGACACTTGTTTACAGGATGGGCACTGAAAGCAGGAGGCAGAACGTCGCTCCTGTGTATGTCGGTGAATGAACCTGAAAGGGCTGCGTGTATTGATTTTGGGGTTACATATAAATTTTAGCGAGTAGACGAATTCACAAGTATGGAATTGGCAAATAATGAGATAGTCTACTTTCAGGGCCCCCAGGGGAAGGTATTCTGCTGTCCACATTTCCTTTCCCATTGCCTTTTGATTGCGATCTGGGGCGTTCGGCACCTCTCGTGATTTTTGTCTGATGAACCTGAATTGGTGACCAGGCTTCTGGTAGCTGCTAACGTGCTCTCACGCTGTGGTGCAGTTGTCTGTGGGTAGCTGGAGACTGAGGTGTTGCTCCTGAGGCCCACATTTAACATCCCATTTCTTGTCTTGGCCATTTAAATTCCAGATTGCAAAAGGGCCTCTGGATGCCAGCCATCTGCCGTGTCACTTGGATGTCTGTCTCTTCCTGCAACCTGGGTTTGCCTCTGACCTTATTTGAACAGTGCTGGGTCCCCTTTGCATGCTGATTTATATCAGCAAAAGCCAACCTTTTCAAGCTGTAAAAGGAGGAACCTTTTAACCAGAGAGCCCTTGGATATAAGCCTGATGTTTTAAGTTAGGAAAATAAGCATTTTCCCACAGATCCATTGATCAGTCAGCTTTATTTATTTATTGAGACAGGGTCTTGCTCTGTCACTCAGGCTGGAGTGCAGTGTCACAATCTCGGCTCACTGCAGCCTCAGCCTCCCGGGTTCAAGCGATTCTCCAGCTTCAGCCTCCCAAGTAGCCAGGACCAAAGGCTCACACCACCACGCTGGCTAATTTTTGTATTTTTAGGAAAGATGGGTTTTGCAATGTTGGCCAGGCCGGTTTCAAACTCTGGAGCTGAGAGCGATCTGCCTCCCTTGGCCTCACAAAATGCTGGGATTACAGGTGTGAGCCACTGCGCCTGACCAGCTTTTTAATTCACTAAGTATTTATTGAGCACCTACTACGTGATGGGGGCAATTTTCGGTGATGGGGACAGAGCAGTGAAGAGAATGGACAGAAGTCCCTGCTTTTCTGAGGCTTACATTGCAGAGGGGGTGGAAAACGCAATAAAAAGTTAAAATACACATGGTAGGTTATCTGATGTATACAAAGGAGGCAAAGAGCTGGAAGGGGACTCAGCTGGTGGGTGTTTGGAGGCAAGGGGAGGGAGAGGAATGCAGTATTGTCTGGAGAGAGTGAGCAAGCCTCAGGCCATGTGGGGGAAGAACATTCCAGCTGGAGGGCGCATCAGGGCTAAGCCTGGCTTAGCTGAGGGCCAGCAAGGGGGCCTTGTGCCAGGCATGGGCGAGTAATGGATGGAAGAGGAGGCAGTGAGTCAGAGATAAATGGGTCATTCAGGTGTGCGACAGCCCTGCTAGGTGAGATAGTAAAACTCAATATGCTGATGTAATTTTTAAATGCCTATTTTATAGGTCTGTCTCTTTTCAAATGTTTGTTAAAACAGAAGCCACACTGAGAATTTCTAAGTCTAATCAGAATAAAGATTTGTAATATTTTATGCCCATGTTTATGTGGTTTTAAGCACAATTTGTAATGTTTTCATCATTTCCCGTGCTTGCTCTGAAAGTGGGCTGTTCCAGGGCTGTGAAGGGGTCCGTCCTTTTCCTCATTGCTCAGGTCAGGTGGGAATAGTTTCTGCTTATACTTGCAGGGTGGTTTGAAAAATCTTTGTTTCTGAGTATCTGTGTTCCTCAAACATGCTTAAGCCAGCACTCATTATCTCTGCCTTTCCTCCCTCTGAAAACCAGCAAATGTTTTCTCTTAAAACTTTTTTTTTTTTTTTTTGGACCCAAGGAGCAATGGTACAAACAAAAACTCTGTTTTGAGCTTAGAAACTTGGAGGTGAGAGTAAACTGGAAGCTGCCCGGCCCCTCCCTCATGAATTATTAGCACAAATCAGGAGAAAAATTCCTCTATCAAAGGACAGTGATACGTCCCAGCACTTTCTCCATTAAAACGTGTGGGTGGAATGCACTAGGGACTAGGTCCTGTAAGACTCAGTTGTGCTTCGAAGAAACTGCTAGGGAATGTTTGAAGCATAGATAGACCGGGGGAGGGAGGAGTAACTGTTTCTTGAAGCTGCACCAGATTCCAGGCCTGGTGGCAGGCTGCCCGGTCTAAGCTGGCAGAGCCCCTACACCCCTGACCTTCTTGTACACAGGTGAGATCTGGTTGAAGTAAACATTGGCCTGGAGGCCTTCCTGCAGCAAATCCTGTGTGGGGCACTGGGGACCAGGGTGGTCAACAAATAATCAGGCACGTCCCTGCCTCATGGAGCTTGCCGTCTCCTGGATTCAAGCAAGCAATTGTAGTGGGGTGAGGGGGATTCTAGGAGAGTCACTCAGGGCCCTTTGAGAGGCCAAAGCTTTGTTGAAATAGGGGGCATCAGAGTTGAGGCCTGCAGACCCCAGATAGTCTGAAGAGATAACATCAGCCTTAAAGTGGAGGAGGAAGAGAGCTGACGGTACAGACATTGTCTGCAGGTTGAGGAAGGTTGGGGTGGGGAGAGGTGGAGTGTTAACAGGACCTTTGGTGATTGGTTGATTATAAAGAAAAAACACATGTGTGGTCTTTGCGTCTCTTCAGGGTAGCCTGAGCCAGGGCTGCTGCACTGCCCCCATAGCTCTGACTTGAAGTTTGGCCATCAGAATGGTGGTACTGAAGGCCTTGGGCTTCAGTGGTCCCCCCATACTGCTTATTTCCCTTTGGGGAAGTAGGTGAGTGGAGAAACATTTGAAACTTGTAGAGTGACTTAGCTATAGGACAGCCGGCAAAGCTTGGCCTCTGGAGCCAGACCGCCTGGCATTGAATCCCAGCTCCCTCTTCATAGCTGTGGGACCTCTGGCAGATTATGTAATTTCTGTGCCTCAATTTCTTCTTCTTTAAAATGGGATTGTGTCTCAGTTTTTGCTGTGAAATAACCAAAACCCAAAGCCGTGGGGAAGGGCAGGTGGAGGGAAGACAGCTGTCTTGACATCAGGTGATACAGGCTGAAATCAGAGGTCTGCTGACTTCTAGGGATACTTGGCACATGGAAGCCTCAGTCTCTTTGTCTTTGAATCTGGGGGCTGCAATTCTTGCCTACATCCCTGGGTAGCCTGGAGGATGGTAAGGGATGCTGTGTGAGAGAGTGCTTTGAGAGCTGCCCAGCCTGAGTGGACAAGAGGGCCCCCTGTGTGCTTGGCTGGCAGGGAGGGCTGAGACCCGCTGGGCGCTGCAAACAGAGAAGGTTCCAATGAGATGTCCACTGGGGCCAAACTGGCCATGGGGCCTGGCAGTGGCTCTGTTGTTCTCTTCCCCCAGGTCCTGCCATGACCTTTCTTTGTCAGATTGGCACTGGGAAGGGGGTCAGAGGGAGGGCTCATACAGGCCAGGATTACAGCGGGATGGACTTTGTAGTCACTGGATCAGCAGGGCGTTGCGCTGTGGCCTGCCTGCTGTAATGTGAAAATTAGTTTCCCTGAGTGAGCCCTGCTTTATTTATTTATTTATTTATTTATTTATTTATTTATTTGAGACAGGGTCTCAAAAACCGGAGTGCAATGATGTGATCTCTGCCACTGCAACCACTGCCTCCCAGGTTCAAGCGATTTTCGTGCCTTAGCCTCCCGAGTAGCTGGGATTACAGGCATGTGCCACCACACCCGGCTAATTTTTGTGTTTTTGGTAGAGACCGGGTTTTGCCATGTTGGTCAGGCTGGTCAACTCCTGACCTCAAATGATTCGCCTACTGCAGCCTCCCAAAGTGCTAGTATTACAGGCGTGAGCTACTGCGCCCGGCCTCCCGCTTTGTTTTTGTTTTTTCCTGAGACAGTGTTGGTCTCTGTTGCCCAGGGTAGGGTGCAGTGGCACAATCATAGCTCCCTGGAGCCTCGAACTCCTGGGCTCAAGTGATCCTCCCACCTCAGTCTCCCAAGTAGCTGGGACTACAGGAGTGCGCCACCACGCCTGGCTAATTTTTGTTTTTGTAGAGATGGGGTCTCTCCTTGTTGCCCAGGCTGGTCTCAAACTCCTGGGCTCAAGCAGTCCTCCTGCCTCGGCTTCCCAAAGTGTTGGGATTACAGGCATGAGCCGCCACACCCGGCCTCCCAGGCTGTTCTTGGACAGACTGACCGTGAGGACAGTTGTGACACTGGTAAAACACAACCTTGTGTTCTCCTTTCCCTCCCCAGAACCTGTCCACTTAGGCACATGTTGGCTCATGAACATGTAAGATTCTGCCTTGCTTGGGGGCGTTAGCATTTTAAGAGTGGCCTTTCACTTTAAAAAAAGATGATGTGTGGATATGGACAAATGGCCATGGTCTACTTAGTGGGGGAAAAAAAACTATACATAAAATATATATAAAACTATATAGAGCATATCTAGAACCATATATATAGTAAAAGAATATATGCATATGAGAAGACAGGCCTAACATAGTTATTATTTTTTTTTTTGAGATGGAGTCTCACTGTGTTGCCCAGGCTGGACTGCAGTGGCATGATCTTGGCTCATTGCAACCTCCACCTCCCAGGTTCAAGCGATTCTCCTGCCTCAGCCTCCCAAGTAGCTGGATTACAGGAGCCCACCACCATGCCTGGCTAATTTTTGTATTTTAGTAGAGACGGGGTTTCACTATGTAGGTCAAGCTGATCTCGAACTCCCGACCTCAAATGATCCACCTGCCTTGGCCTCCCAAAGTACTGGGATTATAGGCATGAGCCACCGTGCCTGGCCCTAACATAGTTATTCTTGTGTGGGCCAAAGAATGTGAACTGCTTGTTACCAGTTATGGTGAAGTAAATACAGAAATTGAGAGTAAGACTTTAGATTTTTTTTTTTTTTTTGGCAATTTGATGTTGTGACATCCAGGTGGCATTTTACTTTCCTAGTTTGTTTTTATTCTACAGAAATATTGATTTACGGTGGATTGGATGGGAGAAGATCCATCACCACATTGTTTGAGAAGCCTGGCTCTAGAAAAATGTACCCTCAGATGTTACCAGTTGTTGCTAGCTGCTGAGGATGCTGGTGATTTTTAGTTTTCATTTCTTGGTGTTTTCTGAAATATTTACAATGACCATCTGTTATAATTTTCATGGGATGGGGGTGGGGAATGAAGTCTGTTGTAAAAAAAAAAAAAAGTCTTTATAAGCCAAATAAATGAATTTCTCTGGAAGGAATTTTAGGAACTATGAAGGCTGATGGGAAAAACCTTGGATTGGTTGTTCCTGCCTTAATTGTAGATAAAACCTGATGTTGTGGGTTTGCTTGATGAATTAGTGTATTGTTAAGCTACTCTAGTTGTAATTCATGGAAGGATGAAAAGTGCTATAAAGGCACTTTAGGATCTTCTACAGCCAAGAAACCGTCATATATATGCTTATTTAGAAAATACAATAAATCAAGATATAATGGAAAACATTCCAAATATTAAGAATATTTAGATATTTGAACTTAGTTACTCTGTGTATTTGACTGTTAGCATCATTTCTAAATCAATAAATGTGGGCACGTATAGGTTCTTGCACAACTTCATTCATGGTAACCACATTAGCAAAATGCTATTAGTGGCCAAAACATGTTCTGGCCATTGGCTAGAACATAGAAATAGCTGTCTAATATTGACATGGACTGTATTGCCTTAAAAAATCCTAGGCGTTTCTTCCTTTTAAGCTACAAATATCAACAAGATAATATACAAACTCTTCTGGCCCCTCAGCTGAAACCCATGGCAGGATCATAAGTGCTTGCTATTGCAGTACACGCCGACTTTCCTACAAATCATGTGACTGTATCCCCAGCTGTATTCAAGGTGCCTACCCTGTGACTCTGAGGTGTCATCTCAAAAGAAGACAGGCTATGGGGGTTGATGGATTCATTGCTATCCCTGTGGTTAATGAGAATCTTCAAATCCCCAGGTTGACAGAGATGTGGTCCCTGTGGACTGTAGCCTTTTAATTTTGAGCTGTTATTTTTCTTTGTCAGCATTTGTTGTAGGGACTTTAACGTAGTGGGGTGTGTGTGTGTGTGTGTGTGTGTGTGTGTGTGTGTTTTGGCTGGATGAATTAAACCTCTATTGAACCTCATCCTTTGGCAGGCAGCCCAGGTAACTTTGCCCAGCCCTTCTCTTTGAGAGTTACTTAGTCTGCCGATTGCCACATAGATGTTTCCAACATTAAAGACTATACTGCTTTTTTGTAGTGCATTTTAACCAAGAGTATCACAGAATTTGCAAAGCAGCTCTTGGAGAGCTCAGCAAGTCAGCCTCTTTCATTTCCTTAAAGGAAGATGGAAAAAATTTTGTTCTATTCTTGCCTGATTTTTTTTTCCTTTGCTGTGTTTTGCTGGATTATCTAAGAGATGTTAATGTTTGCTCTAACAGAAAGAAACTGCTATCAGGGAGACAATGAGAGGAATATCCGCTGTTTATTATAACTGCAGCCCAGCCCTCTTAATATAAATCTTTTATTGTTTGGCATTAAACCCAACCAAAGCATGATGAATGGGATTTGGTTGTCTTCATTCACCACACCCTTTTGTTTCCAGCATGCAAAGGGATTCAGCTTCATTTTGCTAGATTTGAAGTGCACAGATTTAATGTTCTCTTACTTGATTTTTGGCTTTATTGGAAGAAGAAAGGGGGTGTTTTTCTTCTTCATTGTTCTGGTTACTGTTTCTCCCTAACAAATTATCCCAAGCCGTAATAGCTTAAAACAACTGTTCTATTTTGCCTATGATTTGTGGGTCAGGAATTTGGAGAGGGTTTTGAGAGGGCTCAGCTGGGCGGTCCTTGCTTGAGGAGTTTTATGCAGTCAGATGTCAGCCTGGTTGTAGTCCTTGAGGGCTTGGTTGGACGTCAGAGATGGCCTACTCTTGTGTCTGACAGAGGATGCTGGCTCTGAAAGCTTATGCTGGGAGCTCAGCTGGAGTTGCAACCAGAGTGCCTACGTGTGACCTTTCTAGTGTGGTACTTTTGCTTCCTTTTGGTTTCTGGCTCCTTCCAGAGTGAGTGTCCTAAGATGACCAGGTGGAAGCTTCCTGGCTTTTTCTGACTAAGCCTTGAAACCTTCAGAGCAGCTCTTCTATTATAATCTGTTGGTCCAAGCAGTCATGAGCCCACCTGCATTCTAATTCTTCTTGATCCTGGGGCAGTGCCAAAGAATTGTAGGCCATATTTGAAAACTGCAACCCTCATGGTGATGTAGAGACAGTGGCTTATTTTGAGGCCCATAGGACATATACTTTCTTCCTTTCCTCCCTTCCTTTCTGTGGGGAGACTTCATAAACAACCACATTTTAGTGTCTTCTTGAGGTGCTTTAATGGTTAACCAGCCAGCAAAGCAAGGACTTTGGTTAGTATTCCCAGTGACCTTAAATAAACCAGCAACGATAAAGGCAAGATGGACAGTTTTTAGCAATGCTGTGGGCCTTGCCATAGGGAATTCTTCGCCACTTTGCCCATTTCTTAAAAATTTTGTCTGAGAAAAAAATTATGGCATGGCTTCAATACCTATTAGAAAAAATTAGTGGAGCCTAGAGCCAGAGGTACTACAATAATTAGACTGTTGCTTTGTAATTCAGGGTGGTAGGGTTCTAAAGCCCCTTGGGCTATTCCAGATAGATGTGCTGTTTTCTTTCCCTGCCACTGGTTTTGCTGGGTCTTCTCTGGGGAAAGAGAGTCCCGGTATTGCATTTATTTGATAGAAATTAAATCTGCTTCCCCACTTGGAACTTGTTAAAACCACACTTCAATGTTATGAAACTTCGGGTCAAAAAAGCATAGGAGGCTGGGCGCAGTGGCTCACGCCCATAATCCCAGTAGTTTGGGAGGCCGAGGCCAGCAGATGGCTTGAGGCTACGAATTTGGGACCAGCTTGGCTAACATGGCGAAACCCTATCTCTACTAAAATACAAAAAAGAAAAAGTAGTAACCAGGTATTGCAGTGCATGCCTGTAATCCCAGCTACTTGGGAGGCTGAGGCACAAGAATCGTTTGAACCTGGGAGGTGGAGGTTGTAGTGAGCCAAGGTCATGCCACTGCACTCCAGCCTGGGTGACAAAGCGAGACTCTTGTCTTAAAAAAAACAAAAACAAAAACATAGGAAAGCTTTTTTTTTTTTTTTTTTGGAGCTGACAGAAACTAAACTACATAGCTGCATAGCATATGATGGTGGAAAGTGTGGGCTTTGGAGCTCAGAGCTGGATTTGAATTCTCTCTCTGCCTCTTAATGTGCCGTACAGTCTTGGTAAGTTATATCAGCTTATCTAGGTTTAATTTCCTTCTAAAATGTGAAGGGCAATACCTGTCTTACCAGGGCTGTTAAGGGTTAAATATGGTGATGTTCGTTAAGTGTCTGGCATGGTACCTGGCATATATGTCCAACAAATGTTGATCCTTTCCTCCTCCAGCCCCTTAGCCAGTTATTAAATAATGGCACCTAAGTAAAAATAACCACTATTTTGTGAAAGGTTATTATATGCTAAGTTTTGTGCTAAGTGGCTACTATAGTTTATCCTATTCATTCTCACAACAGTCCTTCAGAATGTTGATGAGAAAGGGAGACACTGAGTGAATAAGTCAATTCTCTCAGGTCACACAGCCAGGGAGTGGTAGAGCCAGGATGTATAATGAATCCAGAAATCTGAGGCTGGAGCCCATACCCTTAAATAGTTTGTGTTTGGAGGCATAGCAGATGCATATTCTGAGACCCCCACTGAGGCTGCTTAGATGAAAGAATGCTGTCTAGGACTTGGGGGACCAGGTTTTCAATCTTTGCCCTGATATTAATCAGGTATAGCTCCTTGGGAGAGGATCTTTATCTCCCGAGATTTCAGTCACTTCATCAGTGAAATGGGAGCATCTAAACTAAAAGATGGGCACACTTTTTTCCAGCCCTGATATTGTTTGACTGGGATCTGCATTCTGATCTAGCCACATGTTGAATAAATTTTGAACCACCTTTGTTCTTGACAGCTGGAGAAATACAAAAGCTCTGTAGTCAATCTATGCTGTAATAGACTTAAAATTTTATTTTTGTTGAAACAATACTTGAATATAGCTTTTTTAAAAGAGCCCCTGATAAGTTATAATGAAAAATGAAAGTCCTCTACCTCACTCCCCCGCACCCCTAGTTCTATTCCAATGAAATGATGTTTTTAGTTGTTCCTTCTGGTCATATCTCCTGTGTCTCTAAAGTTACAGCCATTGACTTTGACTTTGGCTCTTTTGCATCCTGTGCTCTCCTTTCTTAACATTTTGATTAGCTGAAGGCAGGAGGGAGGTTATCCAAAAGCCAGAAGAAGTCAGCCAGCCAGCCTGCCTGGAATGCTGTGGTGGGTGGATGTGTGATTCCTGTGCAGGCTACACTAACTGATCTCTAGAGCTTTCTGAGGCTGGGCCATGAACTCGCCATATCGCCCTGATTCTAAGACTTGTGCTAATTATAAAGTGGACCTTATATTTCATAACAGCTTGGGTGGTGGTTGAAACATCAGCCCAAATAAACATGCACATCAGTGGTGTAATCTGTCTGAAATCTAATGATTGTGAATTTTTGAAGAAAATCGTAGGTCTTGCAGTTGAGGACATATGTGAAGCCTCCTGGCGTAAACATGGAAATAGTGCTTTTGTGGTTGAATTCAGTAAAACACGGCTGTTTCAGCATTTCTATATCCTCTTACACAAAGAATCCTGTGGATTTAAGAACATGTGTTTGGCCATAAATGAAAAAGCACTGGGTCCCCCAGTCTTTCTAGCTGTGTGCATGAGCACGTTCTTGCTTATGTGCATGCAGGGTTGTTATGTAACTTCAGTCCATCCTCTCGGGCCTTGTAGGACTGACCCCTGTGCTTGCTGTCACGTTTAAAGGGCTCATGAGGTTTTTCTTTTGTTCATGGTGCTTTGTATCTTGGGCTTTTTTTTTTTTCCATTTCATAGCAGATGAGTAATGTGCCCACATCATATCATAAAAAAATTCGAGGATGGCCTATCTCACACATGAATACCCAGTCATCACACTTACGAACTACAAAAGAATCTACCTTGGGCTATTTTAAACATTTTTTTGTAATTGGTTCAATTCCATTCTGTTGCCTATGTAACATCAACAAAAAAGATGAACTGAAAGCAAGTCTTGGCTGGGTATGTGGTTCACACCTGTAATCCCAGCACTTTGGGAGGCCGAGGCCAGCGGATCACGAGGTCAGGAGTTCGAGACCAGCCTGACCAACATGGTGAAACCCCGTCTCTGCTAAAAATACAAAAATTAGCTGAGTGTGGTCGTGGGCACCTGTAATCCCAGCTACTCAGGAGGCTGAGGCAGGAGAATCACTTGAACCCGGGAGGCGGAGGTTGCAGTGAGCCAAGATCGTGCCACTGTACTCCAGCCTGGGTGACAAAGCGAGACTCCGTCTCAAAAAAAAAAAAAAAAAAAAAAAGCGAGTCTTTTCCAAATAACATTCTACAAAATAACTGGCTCATATTGTTTAAAAATTGAGGCTATGAAAGACAAAGACAAAGTTCCAGGTGAAAGAGTGTTAGATAACAAAATGCCAAGTGTGACTCTTAGATTGGATCTTGGACCAGGAAAACCATTTTTGCCCTTTATTATAAAAGAATTTAGTGGGACAATTGATGCAATTTGGAGAAAGTTGTAGACCAGATTAATAGCGTTGTACCAATGTTAATTTTCTGACTTTGATTATTATACTCTGGTTATATAAGTGGATGGCCTCATCTTTAGGAAATATGCACCTGAAATATTTCAGGGTAAAGGGGCATGGTGTCTGCATCTTTCCCTCATTTTTTCCAAGTTTGAAATTATTTTAAACTAAAAAGTTAAAGAGCCTTTTGCCCTAACTCAGCCTCCAAATAGCAGCACTTCCCTTTGGTTATGGAATCTTGACACAGGCCAAGGATTGAAAGGAGGGCTGCAATGTTCTAGGAGGTGGAACTGGGTGCTCACCTGCTTGTTTGGAAACCCTTCATAGTTAGATCAGAGTTCTAAACCAGACCCTTTCTGTCTAGGAGGGAATTGGTTCTACTTAGGCCTTAAAAGGGTCCAAGACCCTTGTTAACCTCAGAGGAGGGAAACTTGAAGGAGAAAACCATGATGACCCTTATATTTTCTTACCTTGTCTCTGTCCTCTTAGTGAAAGGAACCTCTTGGTGGTTCAGATAAGGACAGGCAGTGTGATGCCTTGGAAAGGGTTGGAGTGAAGAAATAGGATGTGGCCTAAAAGCTGTTGAATGCACAGGGCTTGCCCAGAGGGTCTGGAGCTGCGCGATGCCCAAGCTGGGATTAGACTATTCTGCATTTTGTCCCACAACCCACTCAAATAGCTTAAATTAAAGGGAGGATTTTCTGAAAGGTTGTAGGAGTCTCATGGAACTCAAGGGAGGGGAAGTGTCACTGGCTCTGATGCGTAGGGAAACCACATGTTTCAGTTGGCCCTGGGCAGTCTTGGTGGATGCTTGTGGTCCCAGCACAGTTATTAATAGTGCCTCTCCTTATTCTCAAAAGTGTCCTGTTTGATTGATACATCATATGACTGTGTTGTCACAGGATTAGAATCAGGAACCCGGGCCATCTCTCACTGCCCCTCCCATGCCACCTCATGGTTCTCTGCACATTTGCTTTTTTCTGTCTCTCACCTCTGTTTTTGTCTGTCTCTCCCTCCTCTGGTTTCCTCTGTTCTGATTCCTAAGAGAGGGAGTCTTGTATTGGAAACACGGTGGCAAGTCCTCACAGAAGGAAGTAGCAGGTCTGGCTGACACTCTGAGGGGCCCCTACTCCTGAAGTTGGTCAGGGACTGAGATGGGAAAAGAAAAGGACTCAGGGGAAGGGGAATTAGGTCCCTGGTTTCCAGCAGTGATCTTGAAGTTCTCCCCAACTTGAAGATCCTAGTATATTCTTCCTATTCCATTCCTTTCCATTTGTATTTGTCACCTTGGGGCTGTTTCACCTGGGTCTTCTAGTTGGATGACACAAACTGCTGTGGAATTGGGCCTATGCCATGAGCAGGAGTGTTGTGGCTGGCTCCAGCTCCCTGGTGGTCTTCATCCATACCCCTGCTCTCTACCTCTGCTTCTTCCTGGCTCCTACACCCTCCTGCCTTGGCCTTTCTGGTTTGGCTCCCTTGCTCCCCCACTCTGCCCTGGTGTACTCTTTGTGCTTCTATCTCTGCTGCAGAATTCTTAAGGTAGAATCAGCTTGCTCTGGCCCTCAGGGCTATGAAAGCCCCTCCCAGCAGGAGCTGGGACTGAGAAGAAAAACCAGACAGAGGCGGGAGGGAAGGCATCCTGAGGCCCCCAAAAAGCATGGCAGGATCTCTCAAAGCAGAAAAGGATCTAGGGCTAGGCCTGTGCTGTGCAATAGGGCAGCCACTAGCCACACGCAGCTATTTAAATTATCATTAAGTCTTTTGAACCTGGGAGGCAGAGGTTGCAGTGAGCCGAGATCGCGCCACTGCACTCCAGCCCTGGCGACAGAGTGAGACTCCATCCCAAAAAACAATTAAAAAAAAATCACTAAGTTAATTAAGTTTTAATTTTTTGAGACAGAGTCTCGCTCTGTCACCCAGGCTGGAGTGCAGTGGGACGATCCTGGCTCACTGCAGCCTTGACCGCCTAGGCTCAAGCAATCCCCCTGCCTCAGCCTCCCATGTAGTTGGGACTATAGGCATGCAGTGCCACACCAGGTTAATTTTTGTGTTTTTAGTAGAGATGGGGTTTCATTATGTTGCCCAGCCTGGTCTCAAACTCTTGAACTCAGGAGATCCTCCCACCGTGGCCTCCCAAAGTGCTGGGATTACAGGTGTAAGCCACCGTGCCTGGCCCCTTGAAGTTAAGTAAAATACAAAACTCAGTTGCACCAGCCACATTTCAAGTGTTTGCTTGGCCACAAGTGGCTGTGGCTTCTGTGTTGGATGGCACAGATGTAGCACATGTCATCGTCACAGAAGTTCCGTCAGCCAGCACTGGAGAGCACTTGCTCCCTTTTCACCCAAGCGCTATTTAAAGTGGTTTCTTTGTGTGTTCTAGTAGCTGCCACAAGTGCTCTTAGAGAATAGATTGGATGGGTGAAAAGAAAGCATGATTTGTATTAGGTTGGTGCAAAAGTAATTGTGGTTTTTGCCATTAAAAGTGATAGTGAATGGAACATTTCAGTTGCCTTTACCACTGGCCAGTAAGTCAGGATGTTTTCATAGTGCCTTTTATCATAGAATTCTAGTATGTTCCTGCTAATGGAGACTTTCCTATCATTCTAGGGCTGGATTTCCCTAACTCCAGTTATTCTGCTGCTGCCGCCATCATTTTTGCCACATCCTAGGACTGCATGTGCTATTTATTCCACGTTGTCTTTTAAATTGGTTCATGTTTTTACTTCAGAATTTTTTTGAGACATTTCGCTCTTGTTGCCCAAGCTGGAGTGCAATGGCATGATCTCGGCTTATGCAACCTCTGCCTCCCAGGTTCAAACGATTCTCCTGCTTCAGCCTCACAAGTAGCTGGGATTACAGGTGCCTGCTACCATGCCCGGCTATTTTTTTATTTTTTTATTTTTTTTATTTTTTAGTAGAGACTGGGTTTCACCATGTTGGCCAGCCTGGTCTTAAACTCCTGACCTCAGGTGATCCACCCGCCTTGGCCTCCCAAAGTGCTGGGATTACAGGCGTGAGCCACTGTGCCCAGCCTTACTTCAGTTTGAAAAGGAAATAGCCTTATTATAAATGGAAAACCATCAAAGGAAAATACATTTTTTAAGCAGGTGTTTTTTTTAAAGAATAATATATATATAGGAAGTGCCCACCTTGTCAGGGTACAACTTATGACTTTCAGAGTAATGTTATGTTGTTTCTGGTGGATTGTTTTCCTTATCAAATTCTAGCAGATTCCCCTCTTTACGGAAGGCTCTGAGCCTGGATTAGCTTCCCTTTTCTTTAAGAAAGAGATTAACAAACGTATACAGGTGCTGAAGACATTGTGGTACCAAATGGAGTCTTTCTCCCTGACAAAATCAGAAGCATTTAAAAAAGATCTGAGAAGCAACAACTGCTTCATTCTTATTGAAAGTACACTCTTGTCTTTGGTTCAAGAGGGGTTTATGTAGAGCAGGCCTGAGGGCAGGTGGCGTGCAGCACACTGGAGATTTTTTGGCTGCAGGTCCCCCTTCACATTCTTGGTAATCATTGAGTACCCCAGAGAGCTTTGTTTTTGTGGATAATATTAATATTTGCCATATAAAAATCAAAAGACATTTATTTCTAAGGTCTATATTCATTAAGATGACAATCAGCCTATTACATGTTAACAAAAATAATACATTTTATGGAAAAGGACTATTTTTCCAAACAGAAAATTCAATGAAAGAGTAATTGTTGTACATGCTTTCGCAAGTCTTTTTAATGTCTGGCTTAATAGAAGAGCTGGATTCTCTCACCTACTTCTGCATTTCATGTCATTTCTTGCCATGTCACCTGTCAGGTAGCTTCTGGAAAACTCTACTGAACGCTCAGAATGACAGTGAAAATGGCAAGTCTTTATTAATGAAAATGGCTTCCATCTTGCAGACTCCTTGAAAAGGTTTCCAGGTGCCCCACCCCCACCCCCACCAGTGGTTTCGCCAGACCACGCTCTGAGAACCACTGGTGAAGTGACTGGCACACTGGACTACAAGACTGAAGATGGCTGGTTGCAGTGGCTCACGCCTGTAATCACAACAGTTTGGGAGGCCGAGGCAGGAGAATCGCTTGAGCCCAGGAGTTTGAGACCAGCCTGGACAACACAGACCTCATCTCTACAAAAAATTTAAAAATTAGCCGGGTGTGGTCATACGTGCCTCTAGTCCCGGCTACTTGGGAGGCTGAGGTAGGGGCATTGCTTGAGCCCAGGAGGTGGAGGCTGCAGTGAGCCATGATTGCGACACTGCATCCAGCTTGGGTAACAGAGAGAGATCCTGTCTCAAAAAACAAAAAACAAAAAATACTGAAGATGTCTGCTTACATCTAACGCTTGACACTTGATAGTCCTGTGACTTTATGCAAAGACATTAGGTCACCTGGAACTCCAAGGCTCCAGTTTTCTTTGTTTTTCTTTTTTTGAGACAGAATGTCTGTCACCCAGGCTGGAGTGCAGTGGCGTGATCTCAGCTCACTGCAACCTCCACTTCCTGGGTTCAGGCAATTCTCCTGCCTCAGCCTCCCGAGTAGCTGGGATTACAGGCACCTACCATGCCCGACTAATTTTTGTGTTTTTAGTAGAGATGGGGTTTTGCCATGTTGGCCAGGCTGGTCTCGAACTCCTGACCTCAGGTGATGTGCCTGCAGCCTCCCAAAGTGCTGGGATTACAGGAGTGAGCCACCGCACCTGGCCTCCAGTTTTCTTATCTGTAAACTCGGGATGGAAATTCTGGCTGAGCCTGTTTTACAGGGTTGTTGTGTGTCTCAGATAATGCCTGGGAAACCTCTTTCTGCCAACTGAAAGTGGTATACTTGTAAATGGCATTAGTAAGGATCTTTTGAAGTTTGGTGTCGTCTCTAACATGTAGGACAGTTATTTTTAAAACATCACCATCCCATCTTTATCTCACTTAATTCTGGGGACACCTGTGAAGAGGAAAAGCCAGGATTCTCAGTTTCCAGGCAAGGTAATTGAGGTGAGCAGGTGAGCGATTGGCCAGAAAACACTGACTCATCCTGTGTGCTTCATGTTCAACCTGCATGCTGCTTCCACTGTATACTGGTGCTGGCTGGTGTGGTTTAGCTTGAGCTCTTATCTGACACAAGGCTGTTTGTCTGACACACTGACACAGTCAAACAGGGAGACTCTACCACCCCCAGCAATTCTTTGCTTGAATAAATTACCTTCAGTCTGAGTCACCTAATGGATGAAACACAATTTTCACATTTGAAGAGCTGAGGCCTCCTCCAAGCAGAGGGAACTGTTTAAGAACTCTTTCAAGTGCTGATCTAAAAACTCCCTTGGTAAACAGCCCTGGGATGGTAAACGGATTCTTTTTCTTGACTGGTGGAAGATCTGCTTGCTCTCTCAGATAAGTTTGTACTTTTGAGCCACTCCCCTCCATGGCTCATTTTCTGCAGGGAAAGCAGTCAGCTTACTCTCCTCCCTGGACATTCCTGAAGCCACCCCCACTCTGATCTTGGAAAACACATTTGCTTGTAATTGCAGGAGACAAAGGATCACAGTCAAGTCTTTTCTTTAAGAAACAAGACAGAAAGTCTAAGTTCAATTGTGGCAAGGTGGTTTTAAGATGTATTGAAAGAAATGCTTTATAAAAGCTAGGTTGAACTAAATTCCACAGACTCTGCTCCTTATACACATGGCTTTATTGTTAGGCTCTCCCCTCATGATGCCAGGATGGCTGCTATCTGCTGCAGGCTTTCATTCCATCCTCTTAAACATCTCAAGTGGAAGAAATTTCCTCTAACAGTTGCAGAAAGGTCCCGAAATGAAGTCTCATTGGTTATGATGGGTCATGTCTATCGCCCCTGCTCATCGAACAATCACTGTGGCTAGGAGTATGACTGTGGCCAGGCCCTGTCACATCACTAGGGACTGAGAGGTGGGGGTGAGGACCAAGGAATATTACGGCTGTAACACTGGGGAGACAGGAAAGATTTTGGTTTGTGGCCTCTCATACCTCAATACTTCTGGGAACTGTTACCCAAGTAGCTGTGATCCTCAGTGGAATGGAAACAACTGGGTGGGCTTTTTCTTATGGGGGGGGGGTGGAGCGGGGAAGACTGGCTTTGTGTTCAGTTTCAATGCATCTTTGATGAATAGGCTTGTTGGTGGTTGGAAGTCAGCCAGTCATGCATCATTCCTGGCAGCACAGCCTCATTTATAGAAGGAAACGCTGATGTCAAATCAAGTCTTCTGGGTTTAATACCCTTTGATGGTCACACACTTAGTACAGATAGTCACAAAAAGGGCATCAAGTCAGACTGGCAGGCCCTGAACCTGCCCATCAGAATCACCTGAGGAGTCTTTTAACATACTCTGCACCCAGGTAACAATTTTGTAAAACCTAAATTTGATCAGGTCATGCCCCTGCTTAGAAAAATCTATGATATTTTACAGTTGAAAACAAAAAAGCAGGCATGGTGTTGTACACCTGTAGTCCCAGCTACTTGGAAAGGGCAGGAGGATCCCTTGAGCCCAGGAGTTTGAGGCCACAGTGTGATATGATCATGCCTGTGAATAGCCACCATACTCCAGCCTGGGCATCATAGCAAGACTCTGTCTCTTAAGAAGACAAAAACCCCATCGATTCTCGGCCTTTTGGCTAAGATCAAGTGAAAACAAAAACCCAAAAAACCCCCAAAAACAAAAACACAAAATCAAACAAAAAGCCCTATACTATCCCATTCTCCCACCCTACCCCTGTTTTTTTCTCCCCTAGCCAGTTAACTATATTAGTTTAATGTATTTTAGCTGATGGAGGTATTTATTTCTATGACCAAGTAGTATGTATTGTGTGACTACTTCTTGATTTTTTTCATTTGAGTGACTATCTGTGGACATCCTGCTATGGAAGATGAGGTTTTGTCTCTTTTCACCCTCTGTCCTGTACTTTTCCCATCTGCTGTCTTCTCAGCAGAATCCATTGTGGTCAGTATTTGATTACTTTATTGCAGCTAGGTAAGTGCTATTCACAGTTGAGCCATCTAGTAAACTATGATTATGTTTCCTTTTTGTGGTAGAATGCATTCTTTAATTATTTCTGACAAAGGGTGCATTGGAAATAAATTACTTGAGACTTAAGTAACCCTATGGGAAGAAAACCCATCACATAGAACTAGGTTAAAAGGTTTGATTTTGAGATGTGATTTATGGCCAAAGGAAGAGAAATGGCAAGTAGAGAATAGCAGAGGGAGACAGAATTTCAGTGATGAACTAGCACCAGAAAATCTTCTGCAAAGAAAGAAACAAGAAGTAATCTCCCCTTCTCCCCACTGTGCCATGCCCTCCCATTGTTCATGGGATTGAGTTCAGATGCCTTTATAATGGCCAGGAGGCGTCCTTGCTCCAGCCCCTACCAGGCCAGCCCGTCCGTCCGTGCTGGAGGGTCGAATGTCCCCCTTCTCTGTCTGGTGGAATCCTCTTTCTTCATGTCTGACTTGGGTTGGGTGGCCTTCTCAGCCGTGTGTCTGTTGCTCAACGTGTGTAAGTAGTCTTAGCACTGCTTGAGTTTAATTGTTCACTCTGCCATTTCCCAGCTCTGTGACCATGGGCAAGTTACCTTTCTTTTCCTTGCCTCTATTTCCTCCTTTATAAAATGTGAATAACAACAATAGCACCTACCTGTTAGGATTGTTAGCGATTGCACAAATTGGTGGGGTTAAAGCACTGACAGTAGTGCCTGCCACATAGCAGTCAGTCAGTCTGTGCCCTGTATCCATCCTTCTTTCTCCACAAAGGCAGCGTTGGTGGGTTGTATTCACCAGTGCCCCAGAGAGCTCTCAGCAAATCAGATATCTTTAGCGGCTGGGCAGGGAACCTGAATGAGTGATTCAGACACCAGAGTGATAGGGACTGGAGAGGAGGGTAACCCCTGCCTAAGGGGGCACCTTCTGCTCTGCTTCTAGCTATTTTTTTTCTTTAAATGAAAAGTTTGAGAATTCATTTTTTTTTTAAATGTGAATTTTCCCTGACGTTTACTACACAGCATATCAGCCAAATGTACTAAGCTTATTGGCCCGTAGGCCACTGCTTTGGGGCTCAATTCTCATTTAACAGAGTAGGCCTGGGGGTTGATGTGACCGGCTGTAGGCCACACGCTAACCGATCTGGCCCTCCGTTTTCTCACTGGTGTGAATGTGGACAGCACTGGCACTGGCCACCACCAGGGAGGTGACCGTGAGGATGCGGTCATGCATGCGAGTGCATCTTGCAGAGCGGCTGCCTGCACAGTGGAACAGGTTATTATGTCCACCGTGTCAGCTGCCCTCGCCTCTGGGAAACTCCCTGGGTGGTTTTTAATAGGGTCTCAGGGTCTCTTTTTATACCAGGAGGAAAAAAATTGTATGCATTTATTGAGCACTGACTGTGTGCCCAGAAATTGTTAAATGTTTTACATTTGTATTCTCCTTGATTCCTTCTAAGAGCCCTCCCTATGGGATGGAAAGTAACAATTTTATAGGTAATACAAATGGTTCATAGAGACGGCCCTGATTAGGGCCTTGCAGAAAGAGCTTTAGTCAGCAGTGAATCTGTGTTTCTGATTAAAATCCTGGGCTTTGACAGCATGCTGCTTCCCTCTTATTGGAAGCCAAGTCCTGTAGAAGCTCTGTGGGGCTTCTCTATTCCTTGGGCCCTTCCCCTGGAGAACAAGTCTAGTCTTGTCTTCTGCCTGTAGAAGCTGCAGCGGATGACCCTAAGCCTGGTCTGATAAGGGAGAAGGCAGAGGAAATCAGGATGATGATGATGGCACAGAACCAGGGGAAAGGGGGCAAAGCCTGTGTTGGACATGGGATCCAGGCTCGGGAGCTGAGGTGCTCCCATGGGAGGTAAAGCTTTTATCCTCATATTTTGGAATGCCGGCGGCGTTTTCAAACCCACTAGCAAGCCAACAGCTTGGGATGATGGAATGAATTAGAACTGATCAGAGCCTCCTTTGCCCCCATGAAACCCCTGCAATTGCATGTTTAGAAATAAAATGTCGGCTGGGTGCCGTGGCTCACACCTGTAATCCCAGCGCTTTGGGAGGCCTAGGCGGGTAGATTACTTGAGGCCAGGAGTTTGAGACCAGGCTGGACAACATGCGAAACCCCATCTCTACTGAAAATACGAAAAAAAAATTAGCTTGGCGTGGTGGTGCACACCTGTAGTTCCTGCTACTTGGGAGGCTGAGGGACGAGAATTGCTTGAACCCGGGAGGCAGAGGTTACAGTGAGCTGAGGTCATGCCACTGCACTCCAGCCTGGGTGACAGAGTGAGACTCTGTCTCAAAATAACATAAAATTTTTCTGATAGTTACTTGTGAGGCAGGCCCCTCTAGCCAATGAAACACATGTTTTACCAGCAGGTGGGTGTTGAGTCTCCAGGCCCATAGCTCATGATCATGTGTTGTTCTTTTGGAGTATCCACTTCCCCTTTCTTTTCTTTTCTTTTCTTTTGTTTTTGTTTTGAGACAGGGCAGGGTCTGTCGTCCAGGCTGGAGTGCAGTGGTGTGATCTTGGCTCACTGCGGCCTCAACCTTCTGGGCTTAAGCGATCTTTCCGCCCTGGCCATAGGCACACGGCACCATGCCCAGCTAGTTTTTTGTTTGTTTGTTTGAGACGGAGTCTCGCTCTGTCTCCCAGGCTGGAGTGCAGTGGCGCGATCTTAGCTCACTGCAAGCTCCGCCTCCCGGGTTCACGCCATTCTCCTGCCTCAGCCTCCCAAGTAGCTGGGACTACAGGTGCCCACCACCATACCTGGCTAATTTTTTTTTGTATTTTTAGTAGAGATGGGGTTTCACCTTGTTAGCCAGGATGGTCTCGATCTCCTGACCTCATGATCCACCCGTCTCGGCCTCCCAAAGTGCTGGGATTACAGGCATGAGCCATGGTGCCCGGCTGCCATTTCTCTTTTTTTTTTAAACTCATGCATGTGTCCTTCCTTCCCCTAGGTGTGGCTTTGTCAGGCAGATGCCTGAGGGAGAGGTAGAGGGGATGTGGGGTTTGAATCACTGACCTGATCCCTTCCAATAGGTCCTCCTAGACCTGGGACTAACTTATTTAATTTTTTTTTTCTCTCCTTATACCTCTTGGATCTGGTTTCTTGACTTTTACAACATGATTAAGCCTTGCACAGTCCTTCTTTGCCTTCCTAACTCCTATCAAGGTCCAAGTTGCTAGTTGCTGTCGCCAGGATGGATGGCCACCCTTATCTCTTGCCATTCTCCACATTCCAGACCTCCGGCCTCCTTCAGTTTCTTGCAGACACCATGCTGTTCCCATTCCCCTCTTATCTGGACACAGGCTCTGCTGCCTGCTTGGGACTCAGTATTTTCCTCCCCTCCCCCAATTTCCTATTCATGCTTTGGACTTCTGTTTAGATAGTACTCCTCTGGAAGTTTCCTGTGACTCTCCCTCTAATACATGGTCTGGCGCCATTCTTCCCTGCTGAGTTCCATGGCGACTGGACCATTCCCACCCTGGCACTGACTTTTCTGGAACGGGCTGTAATACCTACCTCACCCACCAGGCTGTAAGTGCCCTGGAGACAGGGCCACGCCCAAGGCCCAGCACCAGGTCTGGCATGTGGTAAATAAATAAATAAATTTGCACTCAGTGTTTAACATTGACAGCATCATTTGGACTGAAGCTGTCAGAGATGGCTGGACATTCTTCCCCAGATAGAGGTTTGGTCAGTGTTGAATCTATGTCTCTGATTAAAGTCCTGAGCTTTGACAACATGCTGTCCAGAGGTCCTGGACAAAGCTTTTTAATCTATACCGTGCTATGCAATATAGTAGTTGCTAGCCATGTTAATTAAAAAATTTTAAATATAATGAATTAATTTTTTTTTTTTTTGAGACAGTGTCTCACTCTGTCACCCAGGCTGCAGTGCAGTGGCACGATCTCGGCTCACTGCAACCTCTGCCTCCTGATTCAAATGATTGTCCTGCCTCAGCCTCCTGAGTAGCTGGGATTACAGGTGTCCCCCACTATGCCCGGCTAATTTTTGTATTTTTAGTAGAGACGGGCTTAATTTCCAAAGGGTCCATCCTACCGATATCTCCCCCACAGTGCACAGCATGTTGTGCACATACACAGTAGGTGCTCAGAAACTTTGCGTTGTTGTTGCTTACTAAGCTTTTTTTTTTTTTTTTTTTGAGACAGAGTCGTGCTCTGTCACCCAGGCTGGAGTGCAGTGGCATGATCTTGGCTCACCACAAGCTCTGTCTCCTGGGTTCAAGAGATTCTTGTGCCCCAGCCTCCTGAGTGGCTGGGACAGCAGGTACCTGCTACCACGCCTGGCTAATTTTTGTATTTTTAGTAGAGATGGGGTTTTGCCATGTTGGCCAGGCTGGTCTCCAACTCCTGACCTCAAGTGATGGGCCTGCCTCGGCCTCCCAAAGTGCTGGGATTACAGGCGTGAGCTACCACACCCGAGATGATTAAAATTAAATAAACTAAAAACTCCTTTCCTCAGTCACACCGGCCAGTTTTAAGTGCTCAGTAGCCACACGTGGCTGGTGGCCGCCACACTGCACTGTGCAGAGCACAGGACGTTTCCGCCGTGGCAGGAAGCTGTTTTGGGCGGTGCTGCTCTAGACACTGTCTTGTAAAGGTGCTACTTTAGGGGTCTGTACGTTGGGTAAAGTCCTTTGTTGATGTTTCTGTCTAGGTCCAGTAGGTGTTTGCAGATCCCTTCTTAAGCCTCAACTGTGTTTCCTCGGTTTCCCCTGGCTGCAGGATGCTCGTCAGAAGTTCCGCTCTGTTCTGGTTGAAGCAACGGTGAAACTGGATGAACTGGTGAAGAAAATTGGCAAAGCTGTGGAAGACTCCAAGCCCTACTGGGAGGCACGGAGGGTGGCGAGGCAGGTAAGATAGCCCCATAGATGTCTCCCCTACCTCGAGCCTCACTACCCCTCAGTTTTAAGGGTGCCTTTGACTGTATCACCTGCTGAAGGTTAGAAGCTCGAGTCCAATATGTCTTAAATGCAGTGACCCACCGCCCCGCAATCTGCTTCATTCCAGTGCTCGACACTATTAATAGGGTGTGAGTGCTGGCATTTGGATGACCCTGCAAGTGGGTGCTCTCCCTGAGTTGGTGCTGAGTGCACTTAAGGGGACGTGTCCAGAGGGTGTTCCTCCTCCGCTCCTAATGACAACCTGTCAGACAGCAGTAGGAAGATTCGCTTACTGCCTCGCGTTCGCCTCACTCTTGGGAGTGTTTAGCCTTCTGCTTCTCTTGAAACATCGGTTCTTCTTCTTTTTCTTTTTTTTTTTTTCCTTTTTAAGATTTGGCAGGTGAGTTGTTATACACTCCTTAGCGGATTCTGACTTCCGTGGCCATCGTCCTGCTGAAACTTTGGTTCTTTGTCCTGAGAGCCCAAATAAGAAGCAGTGAAACGGAGACCAGAAGGGGAGTGGCGGAGGGGACTGTGATCAGGCGATTGCTGGGGGCTGCGTGGAAATGGGTTCTGGTTTAGGAGTTGGTCTTCCTTTGGCTGCTGTGTGACGCGATGTGCCACTTGTGTCACCTGCAGCCTCTGATAGCCAGGCCCTGTGAATGGGGAAGGTAAAGAGCCCTCAACAGTTACTAGTACCTGCTGTGTGGCAGGCTCTGGGCTGGGGGCTTTATTCACCTTCCTCAGCCTGCTTCGGCTTCCCGATTAGAGAGCTAATGTGAATCACCAACCCTGTGATGCCTCTTGAGATGAGAGTTCAGATTTCCCAAGAAGATCTAAGCAGTTGGTCCAAATTGTAGTTCACTAGCAAATGACCCAGTGCTGTCCCTGTGGTGTGTTTATGACATGATGGAAGATGCTGCCTTCAAAAGTGTCCACTTGTAAGAAGATGTTTAGTGAGGCTGGGCATGGTGGCTCACACCTGTAATCCCAGCACTCTGGGAGGCCGATCACTTGGTGGGCAGATCACTTGAGGTCAGGAGTTCGAGACCAGCCTGGCCAACATGTTGAAACCCCTCTCTTCTAAACATACAAAAATTAGCCGGGTATGGTGGTGGGCGCCTGTAATCCCAGTCACTAGGGAGGCAGAGGCATGAGAATCGCTTGAACCTGGGAGGTGGAGGTTGCAGTGAGCCGAGATCGTGCCACTGCACTCCAGCCTGGGCGACAGAGCACAAATGTGTCTCAGAAAAAAAAAAAAGAAAGAAAAAATGAGAGAGCAACAACAATGCAAAGTTTCTGAGCACCTACTGTGTATGTGCACAGTGTGTTGTGCACTGTGGGGGAGATATCAGTAGGATGGACCCTTTGGAAATTAAGTCCCAGAAATCTAGGAATATATTAAGATAGACCCATAGAGAATGAGGGCCAGGACTTAACCATTCCTCTTCTTTTTCCTATTTCCATGCACCTCTCATTTCTCTTCAAGGGAGCCCCTTGCTGCTTTGGGAGTTCTACCAAGATCGTACCTGTGTGTTTGGGTTTTATGCTCTGAACCCTGAGCTGAAGTTCCTGGTTGGACCTTGCCAGATATGTTGCCTTTATTCCTAGACAGAGTGGCTGCCTGAAACCCTTCTTTCTTCCCTGGCCTGGTGCATTGGGCTGTATACTTCAAAGTTCTGATTGCTCGTTGGTCTGCACAAGCCCTGAGCAGCAGCCACTCCCTTTTTCCATCTCCAGCTGGGCCCTGCCCAGGCCTCTAGAATTCCCGGGAGAAGAAACCCTTCTCCAAAAAGCACTTTCCAATTCCCACAGATTCCAGCACCCTGAGGCATTCCCCCTCCAAAGTGTCCACGTTGGATTAATCTTTGAGATGCCCCCCAAGTTGAGGATGTGTCCTACCCACTGTAGGCCAAGGTTGTATCATTCTTGACCTGAAACGGAAGTATGGAGGGTTCAGGTTAGGTTTGAGGAGAAGCTTCTGAGGATTTAATTTAAACATTGGATAAATATCGAGGAATTCAGAAAACCTCCTTTCCTGAAAGTCTTTAACACTGGGATTTATGGTTCTGTGATGCCATTTAGCCCACGCGTATCTATTAAAAGCAGCCCACGTGCCCATGCTGCAGAGTGATTGAAGGATGGTCTGTTGAAGCATCCCACTGGAGTCGCGGCAGTGGCTTCTCTACCTGAAGTTTTCCTTGTCTGGTCCCTGAGCTCAGGTTTGGGGGCAGAGATGGCTCTAGGGGGCTTTGTGTTGGGGTTTCTCAAGGCTGGTCCTCTGATTCAGGTCACTCCCTTGGCTGTGCTGATGTGAAACGTGCTCCTGCCTCAGGTCTTTGGACTTGCCTTTCCCTCTGTTTGGTGGTGTCCCTCTGTTTGGCGATGTCCTGGTATTTTCATAGCCCGATTTCCTCATCTTCAGGTTTCTGCTCAAATGTCTATCCCTTTATCCATGAGGCCTTCTCAGGCTAACATTTAAAATGGTTAACTCCCAGCCCACCATCCCTGCCAGCCCCAGCCCCCATGCCTTGCTTTCCTTTTTCCCTGTGGGGCTTCTCCCCATATGACCTGTTATAATTTACTTGTTTACAGTAAGTGAAGCTCAGCAAGGGCAGAGAGTTTCATTCGTTTGGCTCCTTGCTGGATCTGCAATGCCAGCATACAGAAGGTGCTCAAATATTGTATAAATCAATAAATGAACAAACTAGTGAATGATGTTGGGGAGCCACCAACAGACCAGAGGTTCCTCCCCTGCCCTCCCTTGAAGTCATGAGCATTTCCTCTCCGTTGCTCCTTTACTCACAGCCTCTTTCCCACCTGGTAGCTAGGTAAGCAGATGGAGAGTGGCATGACTGGCAAATCCAGCCTCGTCTGGGTTGAGTTCATTCAAATCCCGTTTAGCAGTTGGGTCCCCAGCTGGCTGTGACACATCCTGGAGCAGATTTCACACCACTCCCTGCTCTTCTGCACCCCAAATCTTCTTTGTTGGGAAAAGAGGTAGGAGGGAGCTGGCTGGGAGGCTCCTAGTCTGTTGGGAAGCAGTGGATGGTGGCTCCTCTCCATCTCTTCATCCCTTCTCTTGGCTAGTGAGGACAATAGGGCAATTACTGAGTCCTGTGGGCAAGGCACTGAGTCATCGGTCGAATCAGATGATGCCCAGGTCCTGGGGATGAGTGAGTCACTCTTAATGGGCAGCTCCCAAGATGAATGTTGAGAGCATCCTGCCTGGCTTTATGCCTGCAAGCCCTCCCCGTAATCTCCTTCCTTCTTGCAGGTGGGCAGGAAGAAGCAGGGTAGAAAAGGTTAGATTCCTAATCTAACTCCTACCCCTCAACCCCAAGGGACCTTGTTGGTCAATAGCGAAGGAACTGGAAGGATGTTCAAAGGCTGAGGCAGGGCACAGATGTCACATTTCATCTCTGTGGAGGGTGGGCTGCTCAGGCCAGATGGATGAGCTTGTTTGTGTGTGAATGTTCCTCTCACCTTCCTGATGGTGAGGGGGGCGATGTCCACTTCCAGATGCTGCCAAGTAGGACTTCCTGTTTTCTTCCTCTTGTCCCCCCGCCCCCGCTTCCTTTTTATATTTACAAAGCTCTCTGGTTATGTACAGCAGGGAAATGGTGCCTGAGAGACTCCTTCAGATAGCAGTTCCTTCTAGTTTGAGTCAGGAGGCACTGCGTCCCCAGAGTCCCTGCATCCTCATTCATGAAATGCTGGCAGTCAAGGGAACAGCCCTGGCTATCTCATGAGGTTGGCCTTAGGATTTAAGTGAGATAATGTGTTTGACAATGGAATCCCAGCATGAGCTTGGGTTTCGGCTTCATTAAAAAATTAGAATTTATTGTAGAAAATTTAGAAAATAGACAGAAGAAAATAATCCTAGTACCTTCTCTTACTATTTGATGTATATCCCATATTTTTTTCAAAAAAAAGAAATAATGATAATTACATGATAGTCATGTATCAATGCATTTTCCACTTTTGATGGTTACATTATTATTATGTGAGAGAAGGTCCTTATTTGTAGGAAATAACAACTACAAAAAGTATTTGGGGGGGTGATGGAGCATCAGGTACTCACTCAAATGGTTGAGAGCAAAAAGTTATTTGTACTGTACTTTTTCTTAACTTTGTGAATATTTTGAAATAAAAGTACGTATGCCATTTGGAGAAAAAGAAGATAGCATAGTGGTGGTTTTTTATGTCTGGAATATCCATGTCTGTCTATTCCAGTGTCTGGAATATCCATGTCTATCTATCCACTGGAATATCCAGTGTCTCAGTTGAGGGTACTTAAAAGGGAAAAACCTCCCACACTTGATTTTCTTTGAAGAGTTTACAAAGATTTGTAATTTCAGCCTGGGCAACATGGTGAGATCTTGTCTCTATATGAAATAAAAAAAATTTAAAATTAGCTGGATGTAGTGATATGTGCCTGTGGTCCTAGCCCTTAGGAGGCTGAAGCAGGAGGATTGCTTGAGCACAGAAGTTCAAGGCTGCAGTGAGCCATGATGTCTCTCTTGTATTCCAGCCTGGGTGACAGAGCAAGACCCTGACTCAAAAAAAAAAAAAAAAAAAAAAAAAAAATCTAATTGTTGAGCTGGTGGAAATTGTATTGGTTCATTAAAAATTTGCATCGATTTTATTTTTCCTGATATGAGCTCATTTTTCAGCCAATGAGTCAGATCCAGTTCTGTGATCTTGAAAACCAAGTCCAATTTCTGCCAAGCAGAGGTAGAACATGATGTGTGTTTTCTGTGCCAGGTTGGGGGCAGGGCACTGGCTTTGATTTGAGAGTTTTTGTCCTTGAGCCCAAGCTTGTTTTTAAGGCTGCTTTGACATATCTGCCAGTCCATCTGGCCTTCAGCATATGGTAGGGGAGCAGTCTGATGAGGGCGGAGCCCATGTGAATCAATGACGCTGAAAAGCAGGGTGTATCTTGCTTACCTGGCTCCCTGGGTGCTGACTGGTCTAACAGTGGCTTTGGACCTGTCATTTTATCACTATCAGTCCCAACCCTTCTTTTTCTCCTCTTTAAGAAAATTGTGGTAAGGTACATACAACACAAAATGTACCATTTTTACCATTCTTTTTTTTCTTTTTTGCCTCTCCCCCATTTTAACCATTCTTTAAGGATGGCATTAAGGCATTCACATTGTGAATGCACATTCACTTGCTGTGCAACTCTTACCACCATCCATCTCTAGAACCCTTGCATCTTCCCAGACTGAAACTGTACCCATTCAACACTAACTCCCCAATCCTCCCCTCTCCCAAGCTCAGGCAACCATCACTTCTGTTTTCTATTTCTATGAATTTGACTACCCTAGGTACCTCATATAAGTACTGAGGAATCATACAATATTTGTCATTTCGTTACTGGCTTATTTCACTTAGCATAATGTCCTCAACATTCATCCATGTTATAGCATGTGTCAGAATTTCCTTTCACTGAATGTATATACCACGTTTTATTTATCCATTCATCCATGGACATTGGGCAACCCTTGTTATTTTTGAATGGTTGGAATGCGTCAGAAGAGAGCAGAGCACTTTGCAAACTTGATGGGCAGCACAAATGCAAAATAGTGCGGATTATTTAGTGCTGAAAGTTGCCTGTTTTGTGTCTGTGGGGCTATATAAGGCCATGTCTTACATATAACCTCCTTTAGGAAAGGAGATGAGTGGGAAAACATTTGAAACTTGTAGAGTGACTTGTAGGCTCACCTCTTAAAAGCTGTGGGACCTTTGGCAGGTTACCTAATCTCTGTGCCTCATTTTTTTTCATCCATAAAATGGAGTTGGCTAATTGAGGGATCTCAGGCCTGTAATCCCAGCACTTTGGGAGGCCAAGGCGGGAGGACTGCTTGAAGCCAAGAGTTCGAGGCCAGCCTAGGCAATGTAGTGAGACCCAGTCTCTACAAAAAGTAGCCAGGCATGATGGTGCATGCCTGTGGTCCCAGCTACTCAGGAGGCAGAGGCAGGAGGATTGCTTGAGCCCAGGAGTTCCAGAGTGCAGTGAGTTATGATTGTGCTACTGCATTCCATCCTGGAGGACAGGGTGAGACCTTGGCTCTTTAAAAAAAAAAAAAAAAAAGAAAAAGAAAAGTTGTATATCAGTTAGCTTTTGCTATGAAGCCAACCACCCTAAAACTTAATGGCTTAAAACATTTATTTAGCTCATGGTTTTGTTGGCCAGTTTTTCTGATCTCAGGCTTAGAGCTGATCTCTCACATATACAGTCAGTTGATGGATTAGCTGGGGGCTGGCTGACCTTGGCCTTATCTGTCAAGCAGTTGGTTGGTGGTCAGCTAGGGTAGCAGGGGTGACTAGGCCACGTGTATCTTTCATTCACCAGGCTAGCCTGGTCATTTTCATACAGTGTTGAGATTCCAGCAACAAAAAGGGTGAGCCCTTTTCAAGCCTCTGCTTGTTTCATGTTTATTAACATCTTACGGGCTAAAGTCAGTCATGGGGCCAGTCCAAATTCAAGAATTGGGAACGATAAAGTCTACCTGCAACTTATTCTAGCTACTTTTGCAATTTACTACAGCGATTGAATTAGTACATGTAAAGCATTTGGATCCAATAAATGTAAGATTATCCTAGATGTATTTTTCTATCAAATGTTGAGTATCTGGTGAATCTGCTGCCTTGTAATAAAAAAAAGATCACCACCACAAAGAACCTGTGGGTAGAAGAGGAAACAGGCCTCTCCTGGCTGGGAGGGGGCTATGGAAGATAGAGAGATTGTGCCAGGTGGAAGAGTGAGCCCAGGTAGGTTGAGTACATAGTGAGTTATTTGTGAGGGCAGAATGTGCTGGAGGATCGAAAATGATGAGGGAGGGAGTAGCTGACTTACCTTTTGACTGATCAAAAGCACTCTGTGCCCAAAGGGATAGTGTGGCATGGGCCTTGAATGGATGGAGAATCGTGTTTTGAATGAAATGAAATGGGTCGAGCATATCAATTAATCTCCTGAACTATTATGTTAATCCTAGAGGAACAGAGTATTATAGTGATCCTTTGTTGGGAAATTCTAGGCATTGATTTTGTTTGTAGAAAGCCTGCCATGGCCAGGAGTGGTGGCTCATGCCTCTAATCCTGGCATTTTGGGAGATTGAGGTGGGAGGATTGCTTGAGCCCAGGAGTTCAATACCACCCTGGGCAACATGGTGAGACACCATTTCTTTTTTTTTTTTTTTTTTAAGAAGCCAGACATGGTGGTGCTTGCTTATGGTCCTAGCTACTTAGGAGGCTGAGGTAGAAGGATTGCGTGAGCCTGAGAAGTCAAGGCTGCGTGGAGCTGTGATCGCACCACTGCGCTCTAGTCTGGGTGAAAGAGTGAGACCCTGTCTCAAAAAAAAAAAAAAAAAGGAAAAACACTTCGTAAGTGGAGGATGAGAGGCTGATGTTCTGCAAAGGTAGGATATAAACTCAAGGATATGTCAAATGTAGGTTATTACTTTACATGTCTGTGTGGGGATTTAAAAAAATTTATTATTTTCTTTTCTTCGGTAGCTATTGACTGAGCACCTACCATATGCCAGGTATTGTTCTAGCCACTTGTTGACCTATCAAACATAGAACAGAGATCCTGTCCTTGTGGAGCTGACATTCCCCTCATGGCAGTCTTATAAAAGGGTGTGGGATGGGCTGTTTTGAGCAAAAGTAGAATCTTTGTTACTGACCTGGATAGGGGTGTGTGTGTGTGTGTGTGTGTGTGTGTATATGATTTCCCCATTTGAGGTATGGAGTGAGACTGTGGGAGGATTATAGCAGGTCAGGGGATTGGCAAAGAAAAGCATCTCCCCTTTGTCTGCAGTGGCCACTGTGGAGTATACAGTTGGTCTGTATCCTCCAGGAGCCCCATCTTCTTGAAGGTGGTGTTATGGCAGAGGTAAATACAATCAGTTCTCATTATCTGTGGTAGTCATATTCTATAAAGTTGCCACAGACACTGAATTAGCAAGTACCAAGGCTTTGCTCCTAGGGGAAATAGAGGTTAGGTTCCTGAGAGCCTCTGGTCACAACATTTTTGTCAGCTGATCAATACATAACCTTGTTATATGTGTGTTTCTGTTTAAAGACCCCTTATTTAGTGTGTTTCTTACAATCAATTATATGCAATATTTCTTGATAATAAAACACTAGCTGCAAAGGGTTGAATGTTCTCCTGACTCTGGGTGATGTGACTATAAACTTCTTTGGCTCTTAGCCTCATGATGATGCTGTCCACTCTGCTTTTTTAATCTGTCATGACCTCTCAGGCTTAGTGCCAGATAATCCACAAATCCAGCCATGTTTTCATCTTTTCCATAGCTTCGTCATGCACAGCGGATGTTACTTTAGCACTTACTTGAGTGAACTCATGTTCAGATTGGCAAATTTCCTCTTCCTTTTTCTGCATGTGTCGTTTTGTTGACTCATTAACACTGAACTCACAGCCAACAGTGGTATAACTTCTGCCTGAACGAAGCTCATCTAACGCAAGCATTTTCTCCATAAGGCGCATCACAGCCTTCTTGTACTTAGGAGCACTAGAAAGCACTTAATTGCTATACTTGGAGGCCAATTTATAGAGAAAAATCATCAACAAAAAGCACAAAAATGTCAAAAACACAGCACTAAAAGGACCGAGGAAAGGACACTTGTGTACAGTATGAGAGCCAAAACAAGAAGGCAGGGTGGCTTCTTGTTGGACATCAGCTAGAAACGTATGTATCAGGTAGCTCATTTTTTCACCACTCTGTGCATGTCGATGGATGGCCCCAAGAACACTGCAAGTGTTGATTTTGGGGTTACAAATAAAGCTTAGTAAGTAGGCAAATTCACAAATACGGAAGCTGTGAATAATGAGGACTGACTGTATTTGCCAAGAGCCACATGGAGAGGCTTATTTGTTAGTGCGCTGAACCATGTGGCTCTGATGTAGATGGCAAAGGGAAGAAGCTAGGGAGTGTGTCACTGTGTGTGTGTGTGTTGGCGGGAGATGCTGCCCATCAGGAAGGCTTGAGGGGAAAGGCTTGAGGGGAAGGACACACTGTGCACACTCCGAAGCACAAGAGGAAGGGTGGCTGGTAAAGACAGAAGAGCAGAGATCTGAGGGGAGGGGTCAGTGCAGATATGAACTTGGGTAAGGAAGCCAGAGCCTTGGAAAGAGAGGCTTAGGGGAGCTAAAGGACCAGTCAGGAAAGGAACAGCATGGACAGCTGAGGGTGCCTTACGCCTCAGCCTACCCTTCAGACTTGGTTGAGAAGCTGCAAAGTAGCCATGGTAGGCTCTTGAGTTAGGGGGCTTAGGTTGTGTTTGAGAAATTGATGTCCTTACATTAATGGCAGCTCCATTTTTTGCCATTTTTTGAGCGCTAATGATGTATTAGGTGCCACACACACTGCTCTGTGCGGGGGCTGTCATTGTTTCCCTTTTGGCCTTATAGTACGAATGAGGAAACTAGTCTTGGAGCCCAAAGACTGGGCCTTTACATAAACCTTTCCGGTGTTGTGGCCTAATCTAAGAGAATGTGAAGGGAGACTGTAACAGACTTGGTTAATTATCTATCCAGAATGCAGGGAAAATGGGAGTCAGTGGTATGGCGGTGACAGTTTACTGGATGGAAGGGAGGAAGAAAGGAGGATGGAAGGGAGGAGGAAGAAGAGTAATTTCAACACTCTTTGTATACCAGGCACTTTCTAAGTGTTTTACATGCATGAGGGGGAGTTACGTAAACATGCGCGCGCACACACACACACACACACACACACACACACACACACACACTTACTTTTGCAGAAGAAGAAACTGGGGCTTAGAGTCTGTGTTCTCTTAAGGGGCTATCTGCAGCCCTGATTTGTTGAGGCTGTGCTAGGGGCCTGGGTTTGTGGTCATAGGTCTTTTATGTACATTATCTCATTTAATCCTTACAGCGAGTACTTTTTGCAAAGTGGTACTCTTTTCTTTTTCTTGTTTCTTTTCTTTTTTTTTTTTTTTTTTGAGATGGAGACTTGCTCTATCGCCCAGGCTGGAGTGCAGTGGCGTAATCTCGGCTCACTGCAACCTCTGCCTCCCAGGTTGAAGCGATTCTTCTGTCTCAGCCTCCCGAGTAGCTGAGACTACAGGTGCACACCACCACACCAGGCTAATTTTTGTATTTTTAGTAGAGACAGGATTTCGTCATGTTGGCCAGGCTGGTCTCTAACTCCTGACCTCAGATGATCCGCCTGCCTCGGCCTCCCAAAGTGCTGGGATTACAGGTGTGAGCCACTGCGTCCGGCCTGCAAGACGATATTATTTTCATCATACTGAGGGGGAATAATCACTGAGGCTTGGGGACTTTAACATCACAGACCTTGCGAGGACAGGAGTGAAGGTTTAAACCAAGTCTACCTGGTTCTGGCTGGTGCCTGGCACATAGGAGGCATTTATGACTATTTGCAAATCTGAAAGACACTCTGGCACATCTGAGGAGAATGGGCTTTTAGGACTAAAGGCAGTTTTTGAGCTCATTGGTGCAGTTATTTCCCTGCACACCCCTGCCTCTTCTTGGCTAGGGTAACTGAGAAGCTCTTGTTCCGAGAAGCTCTTGTTCCAAGAATCTGGAGTCCTTGGGAACTTTCCCCTCATGGTGCCCTGTTCCTGCTAGGACTTCAGTGTGGCTTTGTCATGCCTTCCTTCTTCCCCGTCACTTTATCTCTGCAGAGCCACTTGCCTGCCTGGGGGCAGTTCTTGCCACGGGACTTTGGGTGAGGAGGTCTGGCTCAGTGACGTTCTTCCCTGTGGCCCTGGTCACATTCCCCCTGGGTGGCCACAGGCCAGTTCCTGGGAACTGCGTCATTCCTGCTGCCCAAAGTAAGGGCACGTAGTGGAATGACAGGGCATCTGTCTCAAAGCAGAGTTCCTGGAGATTTATGGCAAGAACTGAGCATGGACTCTTAACTCTCCTTCGCCTGAAAGATCACATCCTGCCTGACAGTCTTGGCTGAAGATTCTGGGAAAGAAGCAGCTGCACTTTGGAAACTTGGAATCTTGAATTAGGATGGGGTCAGGAAGGAGATGTGTTGCAGCTTTTGACCCAGGTCAAAGGCTCCTGACACACACAAGTAGATTTTTGGGCTTCTGCCAGAAGGGTTGCACCTCCTGCTTGGCTGGCTCTGCCTCGGGCGTCTGGGGCTGGAGCAGGGAGAGTGTTGCTGATCTTGAGGTTTTCTTTTCTTTTTTCTTTTTAGATGGAATTTCGCTTTTGTTGCCCAGGCTGGGGTGCAATGGTGTGATCTCGGCTCACCACAACCTCCGCCTCCCGGATTCAAGCAATTCTCCTGCTTCAGCCTCCCGAGTAGCTGCGATTACAGGCATGCGCCACCACGCCCAGCTAATTTTGTATTTTTAGTAGAGATGGGGTTTCTCCATGTTGGTCAGGCTGGTCTCAAACTCTTGACCTCAGGTGATCCACCCACCTTGGCCTCCCAAAGTGCTGGGATTACAGGCATGAGCCACCGCGCCTGGCTTAGGTTTTCTTTTCTGGTGATGCCATGAACCATTTGCATTCAACCCCATTCTGTCTGGCAGGTGGCAGGAAGTCCGCGTGGGGGACTGGTTGCAGGCAGGTCTTAGCCAGGAAGCACTGGGCTGGAGGAGCTGCCCTCCATCACCTTGTTAGTTGGGAGGTTTGTCATGGGCAACTCCCTTTTTCTTATCTCCTTTGCTATTCACAGAGGCATGGCTGAGCCCCCCTTGGTGCTGCTGGGCAGGCAGTGTTCTCTGTGAAGCTAACAGGTGTGGTTTGTCACCACAGCATAGTGGTTAGAGGGGAAACAGGGTGTGGAGTTTGGTTCCCTGAAACCATGATGCTCTTCAGATGTTTCCTTCCTTCTTCTCAACTGTACTCTGCTTTCAGTAAAGTGATTGCATGGACATGGATAGCCCCTTCCCCTCTGTAAACCACAGGCATTCCCTGGCAAGAGTGGCAGAGTGATTAATTTTTCAGTGAAAGGAAATCAGAGCATAGGTTGTGTTTCTGCTACGAGTTTTGTCGACACAGGCTGGCCTTTTTATGTTGCCTGGTGACGAGGTTTGGGCCCCGGCTGTGCACTCTTGGTGCACCTTCTGTTCCTTTCCTGACTCAGAGGATGCCCCTGCTTTCCTTCCTTTCTTTTCTACTTCTTCCCCAGCCCTTCCAGTTGTGACTTCTATGAAAATCTACCCTGAAGAATCTGATGAAATTATTCATGCTGAGAAGTAAATGACTGATAAGACTTAGAGATTTATGGTCTCTGGGGCTTCAAGTGGTTCTGACTTACAAACATTCCCATAGCTTGGAATACCCTGCTTCCAACCTGGTGGGACTGCATATTCCCAACTCAGGGTTCATCATGCTGTGGGAACCTCTGCACATGTGAGAGACAGAACTACACCCTTTACACTAAGTGGGAAATGCTTAGAAGTGCAGGCTGTAGGTAGACTTTTCATTTCTACCCAGTGGGATGTCCTTGTGGAGTTTAAGCCAGAAGTAAGATTGGCGGATAGAACATGGGAATACAGAACACCCAGTTAAATTTCAGATTTTTTTTTTTAGGTATAAATTTGTTCTATGCCATATTTGGTACATAAGCTAAAAAAATTGTTTACCTGAAATTCAGATTTAACTGGAAGGCCTATATTTTTATTTGCTAAATCTGGCAGCCCTACCAAAAGGGAATTTGTAGTGTTGATCAGCCAGAGAGAGAAAGTAGTTTTGGGGTCAGCTGCCCTGTCTTGGGGTTCCTGAATCCACAGCATGTGGAGCTGTGGAGGAACCCTGGCTCCCACTTTGTCATTCCTTAGCCTGTAGCCTTGAGTGGGCACAAGTGAACACAGACAGGAGAGTTGAGTGATACTAAAAAGCATGCGAATGCTCATGCTGCTGTTCTAGCTACTCCCAAGCCTGGTGTTTCTGGGACGAAATTGAGTTTCTAAGATAAGGAGCTGGGTCTAGTATTTTTTTCTGTCCACCCCAACCCTCACTAGCTTGGTTTTGCTGAGAGCTGGTCAGCTCCCGGTAGAATTCCGAAGGGCTTCATGGGAGGCCACATCAACTGGGTCTCTTCTGAAGAATCTTCTGGAATGTGGGTTCCTCAGCTGTGTCTTCCCCTGTCTTCTCCAGCCACTTCCTGTTTCTGCCTCCCACCAGTTCTTTCCCCTTCTCCATTCTCGATGGCCTTTATTAGTTTGATATTTATTAGTTTCTTCCATTTAAAACTTTCATGGGCATGGGGGGAGTTTACCTTCTCATGGAGGATGGAGCACCTGTTTGCTTCAGTTAAGGCAATGATGGGCTCTGGTTAGGAAGCCTCACTTTGTAGGTTTCATTTTGGGTAAGTGGTTTATTTTTATTTTTGAGACGGAGTCTTGCTCTGTCACCCAGGCTGGAGCGCAGTGGCACGATCTCAGTTCACTGCAAGCTCCACCTCCTAGGTTCAAGTGATTCTCCTGCCTCAGCCTCCCAAGTAGCTGGGATTATGAGTGTGTGCCACCATACCCGGCTAATTTTTTTTTTTTTTTTTTTTTTTTGGGACAGAGTCTCACTCTGTTGCCCAGGCTGTAGTGCAGTGGCGCAATCTCGGCTCACTGCAACCTCCATCTCCCAGGTTTAAGCAATTCTCCTGCCTCAGCCTCCCAAGTAGCTGGGATTACAGACGTGAGCCACCATGCCCAGCTAATTTTTTGTATTTTTAGTAGAGATGGGATTTCACTGTTAGCCAGGGTGGTCTCCATCTCCTGACCTCGTGATCTGCCCGCCTTGGCCTCTCAAAGTGCTGGGATTACAGACGTGAGCCACCGCGCCCAGCCTAATTTTTGTATTTTTAGAAGAGACGGGGTTTTGTCATGTTGGCCAGGCTGGTCTCAAACTCCTGACCTCAACTGCCTTGACCTCCCAAAGTGCTGGGATTACAGGTGTGAGCCACCGTGCCCGGCCTGAGGAAGTGGTTTAAATGGAAGTAAAAAAAGATGCCCTGTGCTCATCAATTCACTGTCAGCCCCAAGTGTATGCCCCAGCCCTTTGTCAAAGCACCACACCCCAGAGAAAGTGCTTGGTGTTATTTCTAAAAGCAGTGGCATATCAAAATCTTCTGAGGTTTTTGCATTCTTTAAGTCTCTTGATCTCAGGGTAAGGCCAGCTTAGTGAAGGTTCTCCTTATGTAGAGAAGGGGGGGTGTCTGTTTTCACACTGACCTGGGCACTCATCCAAGGTGGTAGAAGGTATCTACAGTGGGCCCTTTATTGAGAGCAGCTGTTGGAAGGAAATCATGAGGTGTAAGATGCCGTATTAGTTTATGTAGGCTCCTCTTCTGCCTAGCCCCATATCAACACCCAAGGCCATAGGAAAATATATGGGTGAAGGTATGTGGCCTGAAATTTTGAAATCTACATTGTTTGTGCACAAAATAATAGCTGTATCATCTATCAGTTAGGAATTATGTTTGATCGTAAGCAACAGAACTCAAAAATATGGCCTAAACACACAAGGATTCCGTCTCTCAACTAACAGAGGACCTAAATTAGGCAGTCCGGAATTAGTGCTGTGATTTCATGGTCACTGAAACCGAGTGTTCTGTTTGCTGCTCACATCCTAATATTTGAGTCCAATCTTCCACGTCACCTTGTGGTTGAAGATGGCTCCAGGAACTCCAGCCATCACATCTGCATTTCAGGACAGAAGGAGGAAATGAGGAAGGGATATATGTCCCTTCTATTTTAAAGAGTCTACTTGGGAGTCCCAGACAACACATTTTCCATTCATTGCTAGAACTTGGTCAGGTAGTCACAGGTAGCTGCAAGGGAGGCTTGACTTGGAGTCTTTTAGCTAGCCAGGCAAGGTTGTTTTAAGGATGAAGCGGGGAATGGATATTGGGAGCAGCTAACAGACTGCCACGTTGGTACTATAGTTTATCTTCTAGAAAGGCTGTGAGTTAGAAGGAGTTAAAGGTGGGCTTAAGTTACCCACAGAGCAGGCATAAGACTCTTTTGAGCATGGAAATATAGTAACTGCCTGTATCTCTGTATCTACCTGTATCTCCGTATCTATGGTAACTACCTGTATCTCTCTGCTACATCACTTCCCTCCCTTTATGTTGTATGGAAAACCTCCTTTCCCATTCTACATTGTGTTGGAGATTTGTGAGGAAATGCTAGCTTCTCATAAAGTGAGTGTTTTGTAAAGTCACAGAATCCATTCATTCATACTTTAACAAATACTAAATGAGTCATTTCTCATTGTCACTTTTTTGGTGCAATCCCTCATGTCTTACCCAGAGCATTGAAATAGCCTTTTTTTGTTTGTTTGTTTTGTTTTTGAGACAGGGTCTCTCATTCTGTCACCCAGGCTGGAGTGCAGTGGTGCAATCCCGGCTCACTGCAACCTCTGCCTCCCAGACTCAAACAGTCCTCCCACCTCACCTTACAGGTGCATACCACCATGTCTGGCTAATTTTGTATTTTTAGTAGAGACGGGTTTTCACCATGTTCCACAGGCTGGTCTTGAACTCCGGAGCTGAAGCGATCCACTCACTTCAGCCTCCCAAAGTGTTGGGATTACAGGCGTTAGCCACCGCCCCCGGCCTGAAATAGCCTTTCAACCGGTCTTCCTGCCTCCTGAAACCTCCATCCCTCCCTACTGCCTCCCGGCTGAATTATCTTACCAAAGTGAGTTCTACTGATAGTCTTGCTCAAAAACTTTAGTACATGTGATGGTTAATTTTATGTGTCAGCTTGACTGGGCTGCAGTGTCCAGATATGTGGTCAAATATAATTCTGGTTGTTACTGCGAGGGTGTTTTTGGATGACATTAACGTTTAAATCAGTGGACTTAGAGTAAAGCCGATTGCCCTCCCCAGTGTGGGTGGTCCTCATCCAATCAGTTAAAGGTCTGAATAGAGCAAAAGAGGGACCTCCCATGAGCAAGAGGGAATTCTGCAGCAGACGGCCTTTGGTCTTGAACTGCAATGTAAGTTCTTTCCTGGGTCTCCAGCCTACTTGGAGATTTTGAGCTCTGCAGATTTTGAACTTGCCAGCCTCCATAATTGCACGAGCCAGTTCCTTATAATAAATGCTTATATAAACATCCTATCAGTTCTGTTTCTTTGGAGAACCCTGGCTAGTACAGAACATTTCTTCTGTCTCCAGTGTCAAGCCCAAATCTGACCACAGCGCACAAAGCTTTTCACGGCCTGGCCTGGCCCCTCTTGTCTTTCGGCATCTGGACTTCTCTGTGCTGTGGTTCAGTGTACACGCACGTCACTACTCACAATTGCAGGGTACGTCGTGGTGTTCTACTCATGATTTCTGATTACATCAGGGAATGTTTTGCATCATTGCGTAATCCAGTCTTTGCCTGTGACTTCTTTCTTCCCAGACTGACTAGCTCTGTGATGTTCAAAATAGTAGCCATTAGCCACACATAGCTGCTTAAATGTAAATTAATTAAAATTAAACCAAAAATTCATTGATTCACCCTGGCTGGCCATATTTCAAGTGCTCAGTAGCCACACGTGGAGGCTGGCTACTATTTTGGGACGGTGCAGATAGAGAACATTTCCATTATTGCAGAAAGTTCTGTTGGACAGCACTGCTTAGCTTTTACCCTTTGCTGGATTAAAATGAAGGCACAAGTCAATGTAACTTTCATGAACCCTTCCTTTAGCCCCGCTCCCTCGGCTTTTTGTCAGCTCTGCTTCTTTGAGAACTTGAGCGTTATGGTTGTCATCCTCTGAAAACAGACATGTGCATGGGTGCATAAATTATAACTTCATGGTATATGTTGCGTCCCTTTAAATATCATGCATGTCATGTGGGTTAATACCCACAAGCTAATGCTACATAATGCTTGCTTATATGACAGCTGACACTCTGTACTGCTTACTGCGTGCCTTTTCTCTGCACTTTATATGTATTAACTCACTTATTCCTTGCAGCAACTCTATGAGCTACGTTCTGTTATTATCTGTGTTTTGCAGGTGAGGTAACTGAGGCACAGAGAAGTAAGAAAGTACTCAGGGTCACACAGCTAATGAGTCTAGAAGCCTGAGTCTTGATCTGTGTTCCCAACCTCTAAACCATGGGTCAAGAAGCCTGCCCTGGAACCGTGAGCTCCTTGAGAGCAGAAATTGCATCTTATCCTTTCCGCATCTTCATGTTGCGTGGTGCAAAGTAAAGATGAAAAATGAGTACTTGCTTTAAAGAGGAATGCTTGCAGCCCGGCATGGTGGCTCATGCCTGTGATCTCAGCACTTTGGGAAGCTGAGGCGGGTGGATCGCTTGAGCCTAGGAGTTCAAGACCAGCCTGGGCAACGTGGCAAAACCCCATCTATACAAAAAATTAACTGGGCATGTTGGTGTGCTCCTGTAGTCCCAGCTACCTAGGAGGCTAAGGTGGTGGGATCTCTGGAGCCCAGGAGGTTGAGGCTGCACTGAGCCGTGATTGTGCCACTGCCACTGCACTGTAGCCTGGGCGACAGAGTGAGACCTTGTCTCAAAAACAAAAGAAATAAAAAAGGAGTGTTTGGAATTGACAGAATTACAAAGGCTTAAGGTGTAGTCATTTCAACCCTGAGACATTTGGATTTCTCTGTGTGGATATCTTATCCTTTTTCATTCTCAGTTCCATTGGCTGAAGTTTGTTCCCAGCCATTTAGAGCTGGGAGAAGGCCCCTGAGTTCCTCAGACCTGCTTTGCTTGGCAATACCAGGTGGAAATGAGATCTGCCAGGAACCCGGGCTCACATGGAGAGCCCCTGCCACACCAGTTTGTGCCGATTCTGCCTCCCCAGGCAGGGGCGGAGCTGCTACCCTGGCCCTGTCACTAGGCCATTCCCATCCTTCCACAGGCCCACAGGTGGCCTGAAGTGGTATGGCCTCCGGCAGCCAGAGGGGCCACTAGCTGTGTATGCCCTTGTGCTCTGATGCTGTTTCTGATAGCCTGCTCTGGCCAGGGCCCGCCGGCTGCAGCCATGCCGAGCGTCTTCCCACTTACATGATAATAGATCCCTCAGATTTTTCATATGCTGTGCTTACCAGAAAGGTATGTTTTGCTAATTCATGTTTATATTAGGCCCTCATTTTCATCTGTGTCCCTCTGACCTTGAATTCCTTTGCAGATCTTCTTGCAGGTGATAGTTAAAATTAAGCCAAGTTATGCTGATCCAGAAGCAAAGTTAGATTGGAGGTAGGGGTTTGACGTTTCAGTGAACCAGTTGCTCCTTTGGCTGTGTTTAAGTGTACCAGGCAACAAACAGTGCTGAGTGACCCAGGGAAGTCTGAAACGTGGAGGAGGTGGGAAGAGAAGAGCCAATGTTCCTGGCTACTGGAGGGCTTGGCGGAGCACCTGTTTCTAAGTGCAGCTTCTCTACCATGTTAGTGGTGAGGACTCACGGTGCCTTCAAAGAGTTTGCAGTCTTGTTGAGAAGACCAAGTGAATGGTGAAATAATTCGTGAGATGTATTCCTGATATGTTCATGGCGTTGGGCAGTTTTCAAAGTATTTTTTCACATATACTATTTTATAACGTGGCAAACTGACAAAAGAAGTACAGAAACTTGGTCCTATGAAGTCAGAGAGGGTAAATTCTTTTCCCAGGCTTAATTTCCTGAAGCCCCATTGGGATCTGGGTTATGTATCGCCCAGCTTGGAAGGGGTGAGGTTGAGCGGAGCGGGGAATGAGTTAGATCTTGAGAGAATGGCGTTCATATGACATGACTTTCTGTATACAGTTTGATTATTCAGGTGAGCTTTTACATCACCCTAAGTGGCCATTTTCAAGGATAAACCTGTCCAGATAGACATTTATCTAATTGCAGGAGTCACAGGAGAAAAAAATCGCAAATGCATGAATAACGATTGATCATAAGGGAGTTGTTTGTGGATTATCATTTCTACCATAGCTAGGTACCTTAATTATACAAATATTTCTTAAACATTTGCAGTGTACCAGCCACTGTGCTAGAATATGGGAATTAAATTCAGTAACACAGTTTTGGCTCTCATAAGACTTTCCAGGACACAAGGGGCAATACTGCTGTGACGAGATCCTAGAAATCCTATGTACTATGCATAAAGGAGAGGGCTGTGGGTTGCCAGACTTTTTTGCTGTAGCATCTTAACTCCAAAGGTCCTGGGTCTGGGGCACTCACCAGGCATTCGGTCGTCCAGTGTGTGCTGGTGTCCCTGGGTTTGAGTTGTCCTTCTCTCCTCTCCCTTCACATACCTTTTATGGGTCTCTCCCAGGCTCATAGGCCAAGAGTAGAAAGCTCTGGGCTTCTGAGTTGCAGAGTGAGTTGGTGTTAACTGAAGTCACTTTGTCTAGAGTGGGTGTGTCCTCTGCCTCTGTTAAATGGCATCCCCTGGGACTGAGGCCAAGCTGTTGTGTGAGGTACTGGCTGGCAAAAGACCAATCCTGGCCAATATGGAGAAGCTCTCCAATTGAGAGGCTCCTTTTGTTGATCCCAGCTGGCAGGGAAGGGGCCATTGACAGATAACTCCCCTCCATCATTTATTTTGAGTATTTTCATCTGAGGCACGAGGAATGTTAACGACTTTGAACCCATTTATTTCAAGTGTGTTGGAAAGCAGTCGCCAAATAGAGACTAGTAGCACCCAGGATTAGCTTATGAAAGTTTGACATTGGCGCTTCCAGCCAAGTGGGCAGGTGGTGAGAAAGCTTTACAAATAATCCAGGAAAGAACCCATGCTGGATACATGTGCAGAGGCTTCCAGAACTAGGCAGTAAGGAGGGGTTGAACAGGGATTGTGAGGCCTTTGGATGCCCTGTAGAGAGAGGGCTTGGCAAAATGGGTGTGCAGATGGTGGCATGGAGAGAGTTTATCAAACTGTGGGTTCCCATCAGGATCTACAGTCTAGAGAGTCAGTCTTGTAAGCTTCAGTGAAGCTTACTTAAGCACGGCCAGAGGAGCAGCTGGTTCACTGAAACGTCAAACTTAATAGATAATATACCACTGGAGAGGGGGGATAATATGGGGCCCTGCATTGGTGCTTCTTCTCTCCAGGTGGTCAGAGTCGGAGACCTGGGTATGAGTCCCAGTCTCCTTCCTTTCTAGCCCTGTGACCTTGGACCAGTGCCTTCACCAGTTTCTTTGGGTGTAAAATGGGTCTGACAATACTTCTAAGCAGGGCTATGGGCTGGACTCTGTGGCTTCACACCTGGCATATAGTAGAGGTTTCATAAACACCCCTGTCCTGGCTCCTTTATCCTCCCTCCATCAGGGCAGTAGAGGTGGAGTTGTGGGGAGGGACAGGGCTTATCCAGGTGCCTGCAGTTTGGTTTTGGCTCTCCTTGAAAGTGCTCTATCCTGATTTAGTGCTTTGTAATTATAAGTGGGCATGTTTTGTTGTTTTTCTGTCTCTGCTAGGGACAGAGAAAGAGCTGAGAGCTTTAAATCATCGCAGAAGAGACTGAAGTTAGAGATGAGAACTTTTGGACAACTGGAGTGGTGTGGCCACTAACAGGCTATTGGGGCCATTGCTGGGCCCCTTCATTTCCCGTACATCTTAAAAGATTGCATGTGGGTAATATGGGCTTTAAGGGACCATGAGCAGCTCAGCCTTGTAAACCTGTCTCTTGTTTGGGTAACATTTTGACTGTTTACCTCCCCTCATTGGCAATCTTAGATATTTCTTTTCCTTTTTTTGAGACAGGGTCTCGCTCTGTTGCTCAGGCTGGAGTGCAGTGGTGCAATCTCGGCTTACTGCAGCCTCCCTTTCCTGGGTTCAAGGATTGTCGTGCCTCAGTCACCTGAGTAGCTCGGACTACAGGCGCCTGCCACCACACTCAGCTAATTTTTGTACTTTTAGTAGAGACGGGGTTTTGCCATGTTGGCCGGGCTGGTCTTGAACTTCTGGCCTCATGTGATCCACCCGCCTTGGCCTCCCAAAGTGCTGAGATTACAGGCGTGAGCCACCGCACCTGGTCTTGTTTTACTTTTGTTTGCTCATTTATTTGAAATGTTGCCTTTAATGAGGACAACCATTGACAAATATTTTTGGTTTTCCCTATTCTTTTAGTAAGCGTTTTCTTGAGTTTTGTGATTATGTGGAAGGTAAAGAACAAAAGTGATAACTGATGAACCAACGCCTTCAAAAAATATTTCTTTACAACTTTTTATTATGGAATTTCTGCAAAAGTAGAATAATCAGTGGACCACATGTGCCCATCACCAGCGTCAACAATTGTTAACCTCTTGCCAATCAGGTTTCGTCCACCCTCCCCCTCTAGCTTTTTCCTTGATTATTTTAAAGCTGTTCATAGATTTATCACTGCACACCTAAGTATTTAGATATGTATCTCTAACAGGTAAGAACCTTTAAAAGGTCACATTTTTACACCTAACAAAATTAGTTTTTAAATATCATCTAGTATCCAGGCCTTTTTCAAATTTCCCCAGCTGTTTAAAAAAAGTTTTATTGTGATTGGTTTAAAACATTTGACTAGAAACCGTGGTTATTTTTTGTCTTGATAAATAGTATGGATCTCCCTTTTCCCCTCAAATTATGCTATTGCTTAAGCCAGTGACATAATTTCGAGTTTAAAGAAAGAACTGTGTGGTAGGTAAATAGCAAAGCAACAGCTGATTAAGAAATGTATTGAGAAGCAATTTTGTAAACTTTTTTATTATGGAAAATTTGCAAACTTGCACAGCAATAAATAAGATAGCAAAAGCAACATAGCTTGTGGTTAACTAGTCTGCTGCTCACAATTTGCGTATGTTGTTTAAGCCAGATACTGCATTACAGAACTTTCCTCATGGGTCCCTGCTGTAATTATGTATAATTATGTATTTTCAGTACTGTAACTGAGGCTTCCTTGGAGTTAGCAGAGGCCTTGGCATTCCAATCTGAAAAGTTTAGTGACTTGTTCAAGGTTGTAGACCCAAGACAATGGTTATTGTTGGTGCTAGGGATATACTCTGTTCTTCCTGGTTCTCTTGACACAGAATACGGCCTCATAGTGGCTCAATTGTCCTGGTCAAATCAATGCCAGTTTTGTGCAAGGCATCAAAATGTGCTTTTTTTGGGGGAGGGGACCGTGTTTCGCTCTTGTCACCTCATGCTGGAGTGCAGTGGCGCAATCTCGGCTCATCACTGCAACCTCCGCCTCCCAGGTTCAAGCAATTCTCCTGCCTCAGCCTCCTGAGTAGCTGGGATTATAGGCATGCACCACCGCGCCCGGCTAATTTTTTGCATTTTTAGTAGAAAAAGGGTTTCACCATGTTGGCCAGGCTGATCTCGACCTCCTGATCTCATGTAATCCACCTGCCTCAGCCTCCCAAGGTGCTGGGATTACAGGCGTGAGCCACTGCACCTGGCCCAAAATGTTTCTTTTGTTGCCATTATGGTGTGTTAAGATTGGAGAGCTACAGGGGGCTTGTTTGTCCACATGGTGCAGGTGGAACCATGCACTTGGGGAGCAGTTACTGGAGGAGTGGGTGTTATGCTCGCAACCCCCAGGCAGAGAAGTGTGTACCTGTAGAGAGGCAGGACTGGGGGAGGGAGCAACTGGCCACCTGGTTCTTCTGCTGGAGAGGAAGGAGAGAGGTAGGAGTCGGGAGATCAGAGCTCTGCCAAGGGAATCTGATGCCTTCAGGTCCTTGTTCAAGGTTGTAGACCCAAGATAATGGTTATTGTTGGTGCCAGGGATATACTCTGCTCTTCCTGGTTCTCTTGACACAGACCATGGCCTCATAGTGGCCCAGTTGTCACTGGTCCAATTGTCCTGGTCAAATCAATGCCAGTTTTGTGCACGGCATCAAAATGTGTTCTTGTTGGGGGACCGTGTTTCACTCTTGACCAGCCTGGCCAACATGGTGAAACCCTGTTTCTACTAAAAATACAAAAATTAGCTATAGCTATAGCTTAGGGGAGGGAGATGCTCTTTCCTCTTCTGGCATCCCAGTTCTTTATACATCCACCTCTCCACTCCTATGCTCCACCCTTGTGACTGGAAACCGGCAGCTACTCATTAACTGCAAAGGAATGTCATGAGGCATAATTACAGAACACATGGACTTTCCCGGCGTGCAATATTCCAGTTCTCTGCCACCGTGCGGCATAAAGCAGGGCTCTCCACTCCCTCACAATGTCAGGCAATGACCAGGTTCGTGGCCTGGGTCTGCATCGTGCATCCCAGTGGAGGATGAAATAGCTTCCCTGATTGGTGTGTGTGTGTCTTAAGAGATGCTGGTGTTTTGTGGGTCCTGGGAATGACAGTGTAGGTGGGGGACAAAGGCAGAGATGGAAGAGAATTGTGAGTGGACGTGCAGGGAGGAAGATACAGCCCTGCTGAGCTCAGGGAAACCCACCGCAGTGGAGGAGCTCTGTGAGTTTGCACACATTTGAAGAATTAAGAGGTGGGGCATGTTGCGTGTGTGTTTTGGGGACAGAGAGAGTGCGAGAGTGTGATGTCGGGGATGGCTGTGTGGCTGGCTGGCAGGGAAGGCAGCTTGGATTGGGGCTGATAGAATACCCAGGCTTGATGCTTTGAGCAGGCCAATTTATTTGTTAGGCTCTGAAGTTTTCTCCTAGAAAATAAAACAATTGGTCTACATTGTCTCCGTCTCCCTGAGCGCAAAGACCCTGTTATTTGGTTCTGTGGGTGAGGAGTCTAGGTTTGGTGGTGGTACCCTGGGGTGCTGTTGTGGGGTTTTTTTCCTTTTGGGTACTGCTGTCTACCCCCAGCTCAGGCCCCTGCCTTGCACCTGGCCAGTCGATTCTCTAGCCGGTGGCACACTGCTAGAGCATGAAGGTGAGAGCGGGAGGAGGATGAGGAGGAATGTGGGCGCACCCTTCTGGCTAGGGTGGGCAGGAAGAGCCTGGCATCTATGGGGTTGCTGCAGCAACAGGAAGGATTTGATTTGGGATGCGTCGTTCCCGGAGGCCTGCTGTGTGTAGCTGGCAGGCCCTGTAAGCTGCTTGTAATTGTGAAAGGATGGAAGTGTGGGGACAGGTCATAGACATCAGTCGGCTAACTAGCCGAGGCACACTGACTCAGGCTAAGTAGTGCCCTGTGAAAACATAAGGCCCAAGACCATCCTCCTGCCAGCTTTTACATGAATTAGGGAGATTCTGTAGGGTGACAAATAGTGCCAGCTTAAGGCAGAGGAACCGGTGCTTCCTGAGTGCAATGGGAAGCCCTCTGGGTGCTGTGTCTGAACATGCGGTGTCCAGAGGTGAACTGCAGGCTGGTGTCTAGTACTGAAGATAAGCAGAGGTGGGCTCAGTGCTTGATGAACCTTCCCTGATGCCCCCAACCGAAACCCTTGAGTCAGACTCACCCCTGGTTAGTCTGGATGACTGTTGGCAGTAGGGATTGTCTTGCCAGAAACTGGGGTCAAAACTTTCAAATATATGCAAAATAGACAACAGTGTAATGGAACCTTGGATGTTTGTCATCCAGCTTCTATTACCAACCTTGGGGCAATCCTGTTTCATCTTTACCCCCACCCCCAGCTCTCCCTTCTTACTCCTAGCTGTATTTTGAAGCAAGTAGTAGCTTTTACATTTTTATTTTTTAAAAGTTCCCCTTTAAGCTCAGGCTGGAACAAAACCGTTTGACCTTGATATTTCTAACCCTGCAAAGCTCTCTTGCTGCTCCGACATATTAAAGGGCTCTGTAGTCTGTCTATGGTACAGCTGCAGGTGCTGTCTCTCTTAAGACTGCCCGTGGTTTTCTCATTTCTCTAAGGGTAGATACATACCATAGATTTCTTGTTTACTTTGTAATATACATTGTTGGGAGAAATAACACTATTAAACTGATAATGGCTCAGACTGTACATGGTAACCTTTGGGACCGAGAAAAAATGATGTCCCCTATGTTTGACAAATTTTTAGATCTTTTTTTTTGTTTGTTTCTTTTCCCGAGACAGAGTTTCGCTCTTGTTGCCTAGGCTGGAATGCAGTGGTGCGATCTCGGCTCACTGCAACCTCCACCTCCCAGGTTCCAATGATTCTACTGCCTCAGCCCCCTGAGTAGCTGGGATTATAGGTGCCTGCCACCAGGCCCAGCTAATTTTTGTATTTTTATTAGAGATGGGGTTTCGCCATGTTGGCCAAGCTGGTCTTGAACTCCTGACCTCAGGTGATCTGCCCGCCTCAGCCTCCCAAAGTGCTAGGATTACAGGCATGAGTTACCACGCCTCACCAAATTTTTAGATCTTTAAGAAACTGATTCAGGAAAATTTTGATAGAAATAATGAAAAACTCCGTGCCACAAGCTACATTTAGTAAAATTTGATATGGATGAAACTGTTCATTCAATCAAATCTATTTGAAATAGAAAGGAATCAATCCTCAGGAGAATAATTTTGACTAAATAAAAATGAAAAATTAGAAGCACCTCGGTGTGAAAAATAATCAAGGAACTAAATGGGCTTAATGGAATTCTCTCCAGAAGATGTTTTCAAAGGAAACTTTGTTCTGAGATAATTTGGATTAAAATATATGCCAGACATCCTCAGGGGTGAAACGGTGCTATCAGAATGGCCAGTTTCTATCTCTGGTCCTCTTCAATGAAGCATCATTCAGGAGTTGAAGGGGGAGTGCAGGATGGGCAGCTTGCAGGTTGGAAGGACTCAGGCAGTCCATGAACTGCCGGTCCCTGGGATTCCTCAGAATATAGGCAGAAAACCACGGCTTTAATAAAGTTGAGAACAGACATCCTTGTCTCTTGTCCATTTTGATGTTTGTCCTGCCCATCCCTCCCTCACTGAGACCCCCCAGGGGTTATTGACCATGTTTTCAAAGGTTTTTGATCTTCCTCGGTTGGGTTGGAAAGGCCTCTGATGCTTTTCTTCATGAGCTTCTAGCCGGGGGAGGGGTTCTTTCCAGCAGTGCCTGTGACATTCACTGTAAAGAGGCAAGGACAAAACAGTATCAAGTTAAAAAGGACAGAGGCTTCCTACCAAGTGGTTGCCCCCATCGAGCAGGGGCCTTGCCCCGGGCCCTGTGGGGGTGAGATTCCTCCAGCGAAGCACGAGGGGTAGAAGCTGGCCGACCTGTCATTTGGCTGGGGCTTCTCTTTCCTCCGGGTCCTGCCACCCCGTGCCTGCAGGGTCACTGCTCACCTCACGCAGAGCCTGCTTCGCCCTGGGCTGGTATCTTTCCAACTTTCTCTAGAAGAAAGTGGGGCATTCCTTCCTCCCAATCCATGTCCAGGCATCCAGGGGGTTCTGGAAGCTTCTTTTGCTCCATCATTGCTTTGGCCAAGTGCTGGGGGGGTGTATGCATACTGAGCCCAACCATTCCCAAGTAAACCCCAGAGTCCTTTTGGATTTTAAGTACTAAGACATTTAGAAAGGGGAGTGGGGAAGGCAGTAGGAGGCCTGTGCCTCTAGGTGGGGAAATTTTGCCTGCCCCGTGCCTCTCTGCATCTCATTCATGCTCCTGGCTCCCCTGTGAATGGGGTCCAAGTTGTTCCTCAGAGCAGGTGAGACTGTGTGGTGGGGGGTAGGAGGCTAAGCTCAGGCAGGCATGAGGGCTTTCAGGATCAGCCTCTCTAGACCCCATTTTCGGGACTCTGGTTGGGGATGAGCTCAGCTCCTACAGCAGCAGGCCTTCTCCCCACTTCTCCTCTGCTCCTCGTTGGCGGTCTCTGCAAATCTTATACCCTCCAAACCTCCCTGCCCATCCCGACCTGTGTGACGGTGGCCACTGTGTCCTTGATTTGTGTGGAGAGCTAAGGCTGCGCTGCCTTGACTGGTACTTCTTTGTCAGGAGTTTGCAGCACCGGCAAGTGGTGTTTAATAGAAGTTTAGAATGAGGCTGGGTGTGGTGGCTCACCCCTGTAATCCCAGCACTTTGGGAGGCTGAGGCAGGCGGATCACCTAAGGTCAGGAGTTCAGCCTGGCCAACATGGTGAAACCCCGTTGTATCTACTAAAAAACCCTGTTTCGTATCTACTAAAAATACAAAAATTAGCTGGGCATGGTGGCGGGCACCTGTAATCCCAGCTACTTGGGAGGCTGAGGCAGGAGAATCATTTGAACCCAGGAGGTGGAGATTGCAGTGAGCCGAGATCGCACCATTGCACTCCAGCCTGGGTGGCAAGAGCAAAACTCCATCTCAAGAAAAAAAAAAAATTTAGAATGAAAGCTCTGGGTTAGGCCTGTCGGGTTATTTTGAGACTTAAATGATGTACTATATCTATATACTATATAGTATAAATGTACTATATTCAGAACACTTTATACACATTATCTGAAACAGAATAAATGCTAAAGCAGTAACTGCTATGATTATTTTCTCCTTTGTAATCATCTGTATCCAGACCTGTAGGTTTGTGAGTAGTCAGATACTAGGTTGGTCTGGTCTTGAGAGCTCTCTTCCTGACTTGGAGCTACCACCTGCTAGAGTATGACTTTGGGCAGCCACCTCCTTTGCAGTTGCTGGAGCTAACCACGGGCCTGTCAGCTGGACCCGCGTAAGGCTTCAGGACGGGAGCCGCAGGCAGGAGGTAGCAATCCTGTGCATAGTGGGGTTTCCATCTTGTCTTTGGTGCCCTAGCAGCTGTTCTTGCCATGTATTGCTGGCGGGGAGACCGTCCAATTGTCTGGTGACTGTGTTAATGAGTTACTCCGGGGGGTACACACTGCATGGTTGAACTGAAATAGCTCCAGACTAGGGGTCAGGGGCTGTGGCTTCCTGGCTCTGGGGGGCCACTAAACAGCTATGTGACATCACCTATTCTGGGCTCTCCTTTGAAAAATGAGGGGCTTGAACTGGGAGGTCTGTAAACTCCCTCCTGTCTTGGACCTTTGTTGTAGCCAATGCAAATGTGCAGATGCTCTTGTTCCTCCCCAAGAGCCATTGTGGGCAACAGTGGAAGTTGAGTCAGAGGGGCATGACTGCAGCCTCAACAATGCCAGGCTTCTCTACCCGCCACCTCCTTTGCCGATGACCCTTCGTGGAATGCTCTACATTTCCACATTTCTAAGGGCTTCATAGTCACAGTGTCTAATGAAGGTCACATCACATTCATTTATGAGCAGGCTTTTTTTTTTTTTTTTTTTTTTGAGACAGAGTCTCACTTTGTTGCCCAGGCTGGAGTGCAGTGGCACGATCTTGGCTTGCTGCAACCTCCACCTCCTGGATTCAAGTGATTCTCCTGCCTCAGCCTCCCGAGTAGCTGGGAGTACAGGCTCCCACAACCATGCCCAGCTAATTTTTGTATTTAGGTAGAGGCGGGGTTTCACCATGTTGGCCAAGCTGGTCTTGAACTCCTGGCCTCAAGTGATCCACCCGCCTTGGCCTTCCATAGTGCTGGGATTACAGGTGTGTTACTGCGCCCAGCCCATAAGCTGCCTTTTAAAATTTTCTCCATGGAGCTCTTCCCATGAAAGCTGTTAGTGTCTGTAAGTCATGAAGGTATTTAACATTTTTTCTGTATTGCATCTTATACCTCAAACCAAGCTCTGCTAACATTTTCCTCTTTAGTACTATTATAAGCAGGGCCTCACTTCTTCCGCTGGCTCATTGGGTTTCTCTGCTGTGAGTGAATCACTGCATGACTTGTGCACACCACAGGACCTGAGAGCATAGAGCCCTATTCAAATAATGTATTAAATACCAGGGCCTGGGGCCTTTATTACGATGTGAAGGTAAAATGTTATCGGTTGTACCAAAGATTTCTAGGTGTCATCTTTCATATGATGGTGAGAACCAGATAGCCAGCTCTCTCCGGGATTGTGAAATTGATTGGTTTCTGACTTTGGAAGTCCTGTGTTTTGTGATGACACTGAGAAGCAATGTCGCAGTTAAACTTTCCTCAGTTAGATAAGTGTGTAAACTCTTTGGTGCTTCCTGTCTTGGCCTGGCCTGCTGCCTGATACACTCCTGCTTTGCAGAATCTTCCCTAGGAGACCTTTTGACAGCATGGTGCTTCCTCAGTGCACCAGAGGGAGAGATCTCCCTCTCTTCCCCTTCTTACAAGGGCACTGATCTCCTCATGAGGGTCCCACCCTCAGGACCTCATCTAACCCTAATTACTTCCTGATAAGGTTTGGGTCTGTGCTCCCTCCCAAATCTCCTGTCGAATTGTAATCAGCGATGTTGGAGGTGGGGCTTGGCGGGAGATGATTTAATCATGGAGGCTGTTGCTCATGAATGGTATAGCACCACCTCCCAAGCACTGTTGTTTGGACAATGAGTTCTCATGAGATCTGGTTTAAAAGTGTGTAGCGACTGGGTGTGGCGGCTCACACCTGCAACCCTGTAATCCCAGCACTTTGGGAGGCCGAGGCAGGTAGATCATCTGAGGTCAGGAGTTTGAGACCGGCTTGGCCAACATGGCGAAACCCTGTCTCTACTAAAAATACAAAAATTATTATTGGTGTCTTAGCAGCTACTCTTGCCATGTATTGCTGGCAGGGAGACTGTCCAGTGGTGGTGGCATGGACCTGTAGTCCCAGCTACTCAGGAGGCTGAGGCAGGAGAATTACTTGAACCCGGGAGGCAGAGGTTGCATTGAGCCAAGATCGCACCACTATACTCCAGCCTGGGCGATAGAGTGAGATTCAGTCTCAGACAACCAACCAACCAACAAAAAAAAAGTGTGTAGCACTTTCCCCGCACCCAGGATCCAAGTCCAGGCACTTTGTGAGATGCCCTGTTCCCCCTTTGCCTTCTGCCATGATTGTAAGTATCCTGAGGCCTCCCCAGAAGCTGAGCAGATACCAGAATCAGGCTTCTTGTACAGCCTGCTGAACTGTGAGCCGATTAAGCCTCTTTTCTTTATAAATTACGCAGTCTCAGGTATTTCTTTCTTTCTTTCTTTCTTTTTTTTTTGTTGAGCTAGAGTCTTGCTCTGTCACCCAGGCTAGAGTGCAATGGTGTGATCTTAGCTCACTGCAACCTCCGCCTCCTGGGTTCAGGTGATTCTCCTGCCTCAGCCTCCCGAGTAGCTGGGACTATAGACTTCTGCCACCACACCCAGCTAATTTTTTTGTATTTTTAGTAGAGACGGTGTTTCACCATGTTGGGCAGGCTAGTCTTGAATTCCTGGCCTCAAGTGATCCACCTGCCTTGGCCTCCCCAAAGTGCTGGGATTCCAGGCGTGAGCCACCATGCCCGGCCCATAGGTATTTCTTTATAGCAGTACAAGAATGGACTAATATGGCTCCCAAAGGCCCCACTTCCTAATATAATCACATTAGGGATTAGGGCTTCAATATGTAAATTTGGGTGGGCACAAACATTCAGTCCATAACAGGAGCCTTCCTGGAAATCTCACTCAGTGTTCATTTACCTCTCATTAGCTGTCACTTACCAGAGGGACCAGTTGTAGTGAGGGCTGGGAAGTGAGGGTCTTTAGCTGAGATATTGCCTCCCTTTGAGACCACAACGAATAGAGAGAATAGACAGTGGGGCATGACAGGTGCCCAGTGCTTACTTGAGTGAATGAACCGGTAAGTGCATGAATTATGGAGAGATGGCATCTGGTTTCTGTGGGTTAAATGTGGAATGAGGCCTCACATTAGTTGTACCTGTGATATGGCAAGGCAAACATGTATCCTATGTCACTGTACAGGAGAAGGAATCTCGCAGAAACTTCAGACGCTTGTCCGGAATTTGACAGCACATGTTCTTCTCAAAGGCAGCTTCACATGGGCTTCCTCTTTTCCTTTGTAGAGATCTGGTTCTCTTATTTGGAACTCATCAGATACATGGCAGAGGGTGTGAAGAGGTGCTGGGCCCGTGGTACAGCAGCCACCTTTCAGAAGGCCGTCAAAAGAGCATCTTTTCTTGCTTGAAGAAATAAGGGATTCATAACTGAAGCAGAGAGAACTGGGAGAAGAGAGTTTACCCTTAAATGTTGCTGAATTGAAATACTAAAAAATTCCTAAAAAGGCAAATACAAATCCCATTTTAGGATCCTGTGGGATTCATCCTGTCTCCTGGAGTTGGTGTGAAGCATATAGGTAGGAGAGGCCACCTATGGGTAGGGGGTGGAGTGGCTTTTAAGGTGACAGGTTCCCTCTGCTTCCTCTCGTTCCCAGCAGCTTGGCCTGCGGAGGCCCTGCAGGGCTGTCCTCACATGAAAGAACTAAGAACCACTAATGGGCCTGGAGGCACGAGGTGGGGCAGGGGTTGGGGGGGTGAGTTGGTCAGCTCTAGGGAGGGTGGGCATCCTTGTTCTCCTTGTGTAGCTGAGGCACACCTGAGTGGAAGTGGGCGACTGGTCCCAGGGCCACATGGTGAGTCCACAGCAGGGGCAGGTCCCTGGGCCACTTTGGTTGAAGGTTTAGCCTGGCATTCATTCAAGGTCTTCACTGGAGTCCTTTTTAAAAATTTGATCTGAGGTATCATCGAATCTCCTACAGGCACTCTGTTTTGTAATGTCTTTATCCTACAGGCACTCTGTTTTGTAATGTCTTTATCCTACAGGCACTCTGTTTTGTAATATGTCTTTATCCTACGGGCACTCTGTTTTGTAATGTCTTTATCCTACAGGCACTCTGTTTTGTAATGTCTTTATCCTACAGGCACTCTGTTTTGTAATGTCTTTAGAGTCTCAAATCCTTCCTTCTGTCCCCCACCTCATCAGCCCATGTTTTCAAATCATTTGTGTCCTTAGTCCTGAGTTCGGGATCCTCCTCCTTTAAGAGGCCTTCCTTGGTTCTTTGTACTGGAAATAATTTCTCCTTCACATTCCCTGCCATTCCTCCCTTCCTGCTGTGGCACTGTCACATACAGCGTTGTATTACAGACTTCTGAGTGTCCACTCCATGCTTGGTTCGGGTCTCCATCTGATTGTCATCGTCGCCTGGAGGGCTGGGTCTGGGTCTGGTATGCAGTACACAATCACAGAGTGCTCGGGAAAAGCTGTTCTTTGCCTTGGGGGCTGGCGTGCTCTGAGTCTCTGATTTTTTTGTTCCCCCTTCTTTAACCTTCTTCACAAAGCGTCCTCAGCCTGTGGTTTCTGAAGACTTCCTCGAAGTCATGCAAGAATTGCTTGGGGAAGGGTGGGGTCCCTGTAGTTCCCCTCTTCCCGAGTCCCAGGGGCTGCCTTAGGGACGTCCCACCAGGGCTTATGTAACTGACTTGGGGATGTGGTTAACCGAGGGAGGGTGGTGGGACGAGGGAGGGTGGTGGGACGCTGCAGAGGCGGGTTTGTGGCTTCTACCCTGCTGGGGAATTCAAGGTGAGCCTGTAGAGTGGTGACTGTGATGTTTCAGTGCTGATTTCTCATGCAGTCACACAGCTGCCATCACATGGCCCATCTTGGGGTAAAGGTATCTACTGTCCACAAGAAATAGAATTGGAATCGCCTGTATAATTGTAAGTTTCCCTGTGGTCACAGTAAAAAAGGAAAGATGGGGAGAGATGAAATGGTGAAATTAATTTTTTTTTTTTTTGAGACAGAATTTCGCTCTTGTCATCCAGGCTGGAGTGCAATGGCGTGATCTCGGCTCACTGCAACCTCCACCTCCCAGGTTCAAACGATTCTTCTGCCTCAACCTTCCGAGTAGCTGGGACTACAGGCGTATGCCACCACACCCGGCTAATTTTTGTATTTTTAGTAGAGATAGGGTTTCGCCATGTTGGCCAGACTGGTCTCAAACTCCTGACCTTGTGATCCACCTGCCTCAGCCTCCCAAAGTGCTGGGATTACAGGTTTGAGCCACCGTGCCCAGCCTCTGTGAATTTAATCTTTAAATTTTATTTATTTAAGAAGCAGGGGCTCATTGTGTTACCCAGGTTGGAGTGCAGCGGCATAATTGTATTTCACTGTAACCTCAAGCGGTCTCCTGCCTCAAGCTCCCAAGGAGTGGGGAATACAGCCATGTGCCACCATGCTCGGATAATTTTTTAATTTTTTCCAGAAGTAGGGTCTTGCTATGTTTCCCAGGCTGGTCTTGAATACCTGGCCTCAAGTGGTCCTCCTGCCTTGGCCCCCCAAAGTGCTGGAATAGAGGTGGGATCCATTGCACCCAGCTGAAATTAATTTTAATAATATATTTAATTTAATTTAATATATCCAAAATATTATTTCATCATATAATAAAAATTATTGAGATATTTAACATTCTTTTTTTTTTGTACTAAGTCTTTAAGATTAGGGATGTCTTACATTCAATTGGGATTAATCACTTTTTTTTTTTTTTTTTGAGATGGAGTCTCACTCTGTCACCCAGGCTGGAGTGCAGTGGTGCAATCTCGGCTCACTGCAGCCTCTGCCTCTTGAGTTCAAGTGATTCTTCTGCCTCAGCCTCCCAAGTAGCTGGGATTATAGGTGCCCACCACCATGCCTGGCTAATTTTTGTGTTTTTAGTAGAGATGGGGTTTCACCATGTTGACCAGGCTGGTCTTTAATTCCTGACCTCAAGTGATCCGCCTGCCTCCCATAGTGCTGGGATTACAGGTGTGAGCCACTGCACCTGGCTGGGATTAATCACATTTTGAACAATCAGTAGACACATGTAGTGGGGGCAGCTCTAGACGTGGTGGTCAGCTACAGTTGGTATTGGTTCTCCCACCTGATGCTCCTTGAAAGCAGGGACCGTGTTGTGTTAATTAATTAGGTCCTTCTCTTTGCCTGCCTGGTGCCATACTTGGCCTGTCGCTGGTGTCAGTGGGTGTGAGTTGAGTGGGAGACTGTCTGGCAGAGTGACAGTGCTGGGCTGGAACTCATACTGGCTGGAGTCTGGCACAGCTCTGCATCTAGTCAGCTGTGTGATCTCAGGAAAGGCTGTGTCCTCTCAGCTAAGGTCCCCCTTCTATAGAGTGAAGTCTTTGGACCATGATCTCTGGGGGCCTTCCTGGTTCTGACTTGCCATGAATTGAGCCACAGATCTGGGCAGGGAAGGTGACAGGCCTCGAGTGAGGCAGAGCTTCTGAGAAAGGCTGTGGGGTTGGCTGTACCTGTCCCACGATGGGCTGGTTTGCCATGTCAGGTTCTGGCCAAGGGCTGATGTGTTTATCTCATCCATTGGGCCCAGAACTGTGGAAATTGTTCGCTCACTGATTTGTTGCTCACTCCCCCATCAGGGGTCCATTGCCCTGTCTGGCATCTATGAGGACCTGTGGGTGCCAGGAGTGAAGAGGCAGAGATGAGCTTGTCCTGGTCCTTGGGATGCTTATTTTTTGAAAGGTAAAATGGACCATGGGGAGCCCCTGCCATTTTCTGAGGCCTCATGAGGATTCTTTCTCACACAGGCTCAGCTGGAAGCTCAGAAAGCCACGCAGGACTTCCAGAGGGCCACAGAGGTGCTCCGTGCCGCCAAGGAGACCATCTCCCTGGCCGAGCAGCGGCTGCTGGAGGATGACAAGCGGCAGTTCGACTCCGCCTGGCAGGAGATGCTGAATCACGCCACTCAGAGGGTATGAGTCATGGCCGGGTGTGCTGTGGGGGTGTGCGCGTGCATGCGCGCTGGCTTCCCCTGAGCGGAGGTAACAGACTCGACTCCCAGGCATGTTGCCTGAAAACACCCTGAAAATCACAGGTTGTCATCTCCGTATGATCTCTTGGCTGCGCTTGGTACGAAGCCAGTGCTCCAGAATGAGTCACAGTGTCTCTCCGTGACAGCGAGAGCTGCTCCTTCCCTTATGTTGCTTGAGGTTTGTCTGGTTTGGGTCATCCCCAGGGGGTCTTGACTGGACTCAGGCTTCCAGAGGGACGAGGTTTTCCAGGGTTTGCTCCCATGGAACCCCAGCAATACTGGCTGGGTTTCGAATCTGTGATGGGGAGACCTTGATGAACAGCCCTAAATGGGGGCTGCACTTCGGGTATGTGCTGTCGGAGGAAGGCAGGGGTCATGGCGGATTAGACCAGAATCAGGTGTGTACTTACGACAGGCCTTCTGGGCTGGGATTCAGGGAGTTGACAGGCACAGAGGAAGCGGACTGTGTGTGATCCTTACTCACAGCTTGGCTTGCTGGGTTTTATGTCATTATATTGGGTTCTTTACTGGCTCTCATGACCACCTCTCTGACTGCGTTACTCAGAGCCAGAAATGGTGTGCCTTAGTCTGTACAGGCCAAGACAAAATACTAAACAAAATACCATAAACAGGGTAGTTGGTAAACAATAGAAATTTATTTTTCACAGCTCTGGAGGATGAGAAGTGCATTGGTAGGTAGGACATTGGTAGATTCAGTGTCTCATGAGGGCCTGTTTCTTGGTTCACAGATGACCATCTTTTCCATGTCCTAACACGGTGGAAGGGGTACATGAGCTTATAAGGTCACTAATCTCATTCATGATGGTTCTACCCTCATTACCTCATCACTTCCCAAAGGCCCTATCTCCAGATACCCTCACACTGGGGATCAGTTTCAACATAAGAATTTTGGGAGGACACAAATGTTCAGACCATAGCAGCTAGGGACAGTTCTTGGCTCAGCAGTACTTGGTTACCCCTGCCTAACTCTATCGGGTTTCTTAGAAGTCACGCAGAATGTTCCTGGATACCTCTTCCCCCTTCCAGGCTTGGCTCCTGGGCTGCCCAGGCTCATGTTCCTGGTATCCCCCCACACCAGCCTGGGTCCATTGTGCCCCTCTGCATTCTCTGTCTAGATTCCCAGCGCCTGGAAAACGAGTGTAGGGCTGGTTTGCTGCAGGGTGGGTGGGTGAGCTGACCTGTGGCTTCAGCAGCTCCAATAAGACCCTGGACGGCGCGGGTACGGGGTTGCAAGAGGTCTTGGTGACTCCTTGAGAAAGCCGTCTGGGGGACTGGATTAGAAAAGTCAGCAGGTTAATGCCAATAGGATTTCCCTTTTAAATGTCACCTGCCACAGTGGCTCAAGTCCTGGGGGATCTGATAATTAAAGATGGCCTTGTGCTTCCTTAAATAGAAAGCTTGGCACACAAATGACTTCAAGAGTCAAATCCGCGTTGACTTTACGCACCTCTCCCTGCAGCCTGAGACTCTCGGCTGAGCTTGGCTTTGTGTGGCCTTGCGCCTCCTGCCCCCTAGTGGGCGTGATGCTCACAGAGCTAGACGTGGGCTAGAAACAACTTTTCTGGGTCATCTCGAGAAAAATGGAAGGGGTGGCTGGAAATCTTGGAAGTTCACAAGCCAAAGCCCGATAGATATGAAAAGGACAAAATGTAAGGTAGCTTCTTCCAAGAAATTAGCTGAAGGGCCACTTTTCCTTTTTGCCCTTCTTCCACCCCAGCTGGAGACCCATGTCAGCCTATAAGCAAGCATTTCAGAAGTCATTTAATCTGTTGTTTAAAGATAAACAAACCATGCTTCTGCTTTGTGTATCTCTCATTTTTAAGTCCCAGGGCCCCAGTGGATAGTGGGTGGCCTCCCAAGGAGTGGCATCCCCAGACCTCCACACTGTATAACTCAGGGCACCGTTCATACCACAGACTTTGGGAATAGCGCTTTTTGGAGTTGTGCAGTGCAAGACCTGTGGGGCTATACAAGATGGCCCTGTACTCCTGAGGTCATGAGGGCTTCATAGGGCCCTGGGAGGGCCAGCTGATATGTGCCTTCTCTGTGGCCACTGAAGGGAAGGGCCCATTTGGTTTTCTTGGGCTTGGGGGCAACCTCTGCAGATTGGCAGGTGTTCCGGGTCACATGCCAGGATTTCCACCTTTGAGCTGATATTCCTCTTCCCAGATCCCTTCACAGTTGCATAGGCTGGAAATGCCCCTCATTGAACAGATGAGTTAAAAACAGACACCAGCAAGAGACAAAAGCCTGTGGCAAAGCTTTCCCCCATCACGTCCCTGTGCCACTCAGAATTTCAGCGTGCAGAGCAGGCTCTCCGAATGTAATGGATGATGCAGAACATAATTCTTTCTCCAGGACACACACTTGCATGGTTGGCTTTGAAACAGTGTCGAGTAACTGGGAACTCTCTGGACTTAGCGTTTCCCCCAGTGGTGCTCATGTTGACCCCTCCTAGAGCCTCACGGGCCTGGCATGCTCAGCCAGCTGAAAGCTGTGTGATCAAAGGGCTAGAGAATGTCTCCTCCCTTGTCTGCCTTCTGGGTACTCTAGGATGCTTGTTTCTGTAGAACAAGGGAGCTTCATCTCACCCTCTTCTTCCAAAGTATTACTTAAGGGTCTAATAAAAGAAAATTCCGTGCTCAGAAAGGCCCAGGGCTGTCTTGAAGAAATGGCAGTGGCTTGGACTACACGATCCCTCCAGGCACAGCGGGACACTGGGGTTCCCACGTAACGTGCCCAAGATTATCTATGCGGCCCCTCACACTTCCTGTGGTGACATCAGGCAGCCACACTTGGAGCCATGGCTGAAGCCGATATACTAGGAGGTGGCAGCAGCCCTGGTGTGCTCTGTTAGGCCACATGCAGTGGCACAGACAGGGACAAAGGATCAGTTTTCTGCTTAGTGCTGGGGTTGATGAGGACTCTGGAAAATACAAGTAGCTTGTGGCAGAGCTGCCAACCTTGTAGTTGAGCAGCCTTCCTTGGGGCACAGGGCCTGGGGTCCCTGCTGCTCTCCAGCTGGGGAGCTTGGGCAGCATAGGACCCCTTCAGCCTCAGCTGTTTTGGCACTGAAGTAGCCTTTATGGGAAGGTGATAGCTTTTCATCCTCTGAGAGAGGAGGGCTGGCATCCTGGGAGGGAGAAATTGGCTTTTCTGATGTCTGCTGAAAGAGCTCAGACAGAGGAAGAGGGAAATGTGACTTGGAAATGAGAGGCACGAACTGTTTCTGAACTAGCCCCAGGTGGCTGCTGGAGAGGACACGACGCAGGGCCAGCCCTTCTCCTGGTTCACAGTGGATATGAGCCTGGGATGGCAGGTGAGGAGCTGCTCACGACAGCCTCCCTGACGTTGGTGGGTGTGAACCGCCTCCCTTCCACACAGTGGGAAGAAGCGCCTTCTTAGGTCTCATTGCCCAAGGACGCAGTAAGAATCAGGAAACAGTCTGAAACAGTCAGAATGGAGGTTCTCAGCAGACAGTGAGATTGCCTCCCTGGGCAAAGAGGCTCCTGACCGCCCCTCTGTGATGTTGGAAGAGATGTTGGGAGTGTAACTGAGGGTGCAAAGGCCCTGGAGATTGGAGAGTCGAGAAAGCTGTAACAGGAGGCTGAGGAGCTGTGCCTGGTGGATGTCTACTAAGCCGGTTGGGCCATTCTGCTGGTGTGGGACCCCGCGAAGAGGCTGGCCAAGCCAGATTGAAACACCCAATCAGTGCCCAGTGGTGCCCATGCGGGAAGGTGCCGGGTGTTTGCTATTTTCTGTGGGCTGATATGAGCAGGGTCCGGGGCTGAGCAGTATCTCTGTGGTCCCTGGATCTTCAGCATCTCCGGAGTATGCTGCTCCGGAGTATGGGGTGCAGTTTGCCACACCTACCCCTGAGCCGCTCTCCTCCTTACTTATCCCACCACACCTGACCCACATCACTGCACACAGCTCATGCCTGATGCTAGGCTGTAGATAGAGGAGCTCCTTGATTACCTAGGAGACATAACCAAGGCGACATGCTTAGTGACCTTCTTCCTCAAGGCAGGAAGCTGAGTTGTGTGGAGGTCTCTTCCAGGAGCTGGAGGGTTGTGTGTGTGTGTGTGTGTGTGTGTGTGTGTGTGTGTGTGTGTGTGTGACGGAGTCTCGCCCTGTAGCTCAGGCTGGAGTGCAGCGGCGCGATCTTGGCTCATTGCAACCTCCACCTCCCAGGTTCAAGCTTTTCTCCTGCCTCAGCCTCCTGAGGAGCTGGGACTACAGGCACCAACCACCACACCCAGCTAATTTTTGTATTTTTAGTAGAGACGTGGTTTCACCATGTTGGCCAGGTTGGTCTTGAACTCCTGACCTCAAGTGATCTGCCCGCCTTGGCCTCCCAAAGTGCTGGGATTACAGGCATGAGCCCCATCGCACCTGGCTGCCCTGGAGGTTTTGTATATATATGAGAAGTGGGGAGATAGGGACAGGATGTGGTAGACGTGGCCTGGTGGGGCGAAGCAGGGGACAGTGATGTGCTGGCCACTTCTTCAGTTTTCACTGCCAGTATTGCCATGGGCTCGGAGCTTTCCAAGTGTTTTATTGTAGAAAGCCTGTGCTTCTGCTTGCAGCCTAGAGGCCAAGATAGAATGAGGGCCTGTGTGCAGATGGTGAGAATCCTGCTTCTTACAGGGGACTCTTTCTGTACAGGACCCTCAAATTACAGGTTCTACAAGTCTGTTGAAAATGCATTCTGACAGCTCCTTAAAGGTAAACCTTTAATTGGATCTTTTTGTAATAAAACAATCACCCCCAACATGTTGTCTTTGATGAACCTGAAGGTTTGAGTTTTCATAAAGGTTATACCAGTAAATCCTTAAAGCTTAAGATTTACTGCTGTTTCCCCAAGTATCAAGCATGAGATATTTTTAGTGCATTTTGTTTCCTTGTGAAATATCTGGTTTTGGAAGCAAAGGGAAAGGATTCTCTTAGCCCTTTGGTCTTGGTTGAGAAGTCATGTGAGCAAGCATGTCTCCTCGTGCCAGCTTAGCTCAGTTCTCTCCTATTTTTCTTCTCTGATTTTGTTGTTTTTCTGTTTTTAAAAATTATCTGAAGCACTGAAGCCTTTGTTAAAAGATATTTTTAAGAAGGTAAAAGCATAATTGGGATACAAATATAAAATTTTCTCGTGTCAAATATTTTATTTCTCTCATTAAATAAGGAGGGATCTAACAGTGATGTTACAATTCTTGAATTCAAAAAATACAAACTCATAGAAAACCAAGAGTGCCTCAATGAATTACCAACAGATGCAAAATGGACTATTACAAGGGCAGTCAGTAATCCACTGCATCTGTGACACAGTTCATCTTCATTTCTCTGGAAAAAAAAAAAAACCATTTGTATTACTGTCAGTTTTCTACAACTTACAGGGTTGTAAAACAGCTTCAAGACAAAGTCAGAGATAGCCTGGAAGGGTGCCCTAGACAGGACACCCTGTAATTTTTAATGCCCATATAAAAGTCTTTCATAATTTTTCATGGTACCTTTAAAAATCCTTATCGTAAGTAATAAGTAAACTATCCTAGGGCTGATTGTGGCTGTTGACTGGAGGAGATGGTAGAACATTGGCAACCTTCCTCTGTGGCCTTCTTTTTTAACTGTGAACTAAAGACATGGTGGTACCTCCCTAAAATTGTTCTACGGGGTCTGAGAGAGCTGACTAGTGACCATGAGCCCTCTGGGCTCCTCTCGGATGCTCCCCAGAGAATACAGAATTAGAGAATAACCCTTTAGCCTAACCTCTACTGTCTCTCCGGTTTATTTTATAACACTGAGTGGTAGGCAGAAGACAGGGAAAGAAATCGCAAGCTGCTTATGTGGCCTGAACTGCGGTTTGTTTCCCTCCTCTTTCTTCAAGGCAGGCCTTGTTCTGATGCTTTTCTGTAGGTAAGCAAGGAGAGAATTAACATTGCCCATGTCTCTGGGACTGGGCCTGTGAGCTGCTTTTGTTTTTTGGCCATTGAGGGCCCTTGAGTATTGGTTTTGTAACTCATTTTTTTCAACAGACTTAACAAAGTGTTCCCACCAGAATTTCCCACCAGAACTTTGACTTGTCTTCTGCTCACAAATGTTTGTGTACCTCAAAATCTGATGTGAATGACTGGGTTTTAATTTAATTGCTTAAATGTAAAGTTTGCCCTTTCTGGATCCTGAGTTCTTCTGTGCACAGCCAACTAGTTCAGAATATTTGGGAAAGGACCAAACAATGGAAGTCATGGCTGCTTTGCTGGCTTGACTGCCATCGTGCCTGGCACGATGCCTAGTTCTTGGTTTTGGTGGTCTCCCCATTAGGTTCCCCATCTCTTAGGTTCCCACTGCTGCTATTTGGCCATTTGCCTGCCCATCAGGCCCCTGCCCCAAGGTGTGAACGGGAGGAGGTCTAGGTGGCTACTTAGATCGAGGAACCTGAGAAGAAAGTGGACAGCTGTTGAATCAGAAAATAGTTCAAAATTTTCTGGTTTTTGTTTTTCCATTTTCTTTCTCAGTCATTGCCACAGCCAATTTAGCTATTTAATCTTTCCTCACAAGGCTTTTTCAAAATAGATAAATAGGAAAAGAAAACCACTGTTGGGAAGTTGGTTTATTCTTAGTCTGACCACTAATTTGCTCAAATATATATCTAGATATAGATATCTATATATACATATATATTTTGAGATGGAGTCTTGCTGTGCTGCCCAGGATGGAGTGCAGTGGCGTGATCTCGGCTTACTGCAACCTTCATCTCCTGGGTTCAGGTGATTCTCCTGCCTCAGCCTTTCAAGTAGCTGGGACTACAGGCATGTGCCACCATGCCTGGCAAATGTTTATATTTTTAGTAGAGACGGGGTTTTGCCATGTTGGCCAGGCTGGTCTCAAACTCCTGACCTTAGGCGATCCACCCACCTCAGCCTCCCAAAGGACTGTGATTACAGGTGTGAGCCACCGTGCCTGGCCCAAAGAGTATTTTTATTTTTGAGACAGAGTCTCACTCTGTCGCCCAGGCTGGAGTGCAGTGGCACGATCTTGGCTCACTGCAACCTCTGCCTCCGGGTTCAAGTGATTCTCCTGCCTTAGCCTCCTGAGTAGCTGGGACTACAGGAGCACACCACCAGGCCCGGCTGATTTTTGTATTTTTAGCAGTGACGGGTTTCACCATGTTGGCTAGGATGGTCCCGATCTCCTGACCTCGTGATCCACCCACCTTGGCCTCCCAAAGTGCTGGGATTACACATGTGTCACCATGCCCGGGCAAAGAATATTTTTTGAAAAATAATATAAGTAATATTCCAAGCCTGGGCTGTTCTGGGCTGGACTGGGCTGAACTCTGCTGTCATTTTAAGGTCATGGAGGCGGAGCAGACCAAGACCAGGAGCGAGCTGGTGCATAAGGAGACGGCAGCCAGGTACAATGCCGCCATGGGCCGCATGCGACAGCTGGAGAAGAAACTCAAGAGAGCCATCAACAAGTCCAAGTAAGTCTGGACAGGGCCTTCCCTGGGGCCGTGCGGCTGTCCTAGTCTGCATCTTCTCAGCCTTTTGTATGTCACACACTCAAGGACCACCCTGAGTAGTCCTTTGATGTAGACCCTGGGGCCTCACCAGAGCCCCCCTGCTCAGGCTCTCTTTCCCCCTAATATTCTATGACCCCCAGAAGCAGAGGATGCTAAGGGGTGGGCTGCTCTAGATATGACTAAGTTAGGAAACACAGAAAAAGGAATTTCAAAGGCACATTATTAAATGGCCCATTGGCTGGGATTTGGTAAATTCACGCTGTACTCTGGGATCTGTGGTTGACAGTGTTGTCAAGGCCCTATCCCTCAATTTATCTGTCAGTGTAATAGGGATGAGTTGTGTTCACAATACATGTTTCCTGTGATCAAGAGCTGATAAAATGCTGTAAGACTGGCTTTAGTAGAGTTTTTTTTTTTTTCTCCAATCTCTTCTCACTACAGCCCTGTATATTTTTATACAACATTGATAATGGTGGGCAGGCACAACTGTGTACCCTCTCTTGGGGACAAGCCCCCTGCTTCATTCCCAATTGCTAGGCCTCCTAGCAAAAGGAGGAGGACTTATGATGACCTAGACTTAACAGCCAAAGATAGACCCAGAGCAGGCTGTGCAGGGCTACTGAATGCCTGTTCTCCAGGTGTGGTCACAGCCCCAGCCAGGAGGGGCTGGGCAGTTGGAAGCTTGGCAGATGCCCAGTCCTCATGCAAGTGAGGGAAAGGTGACAATTCAGTGAGGAAGAGGATCTGCAAGGAAGAGTTTGGTCCTCCTAGGCTCTGTACTACCCCCCAGTACCTTCACCCAGGCTTGACTTTTCTTTAGTTTCTGCTCACACTCTTCCAACATACATATGTACACATACATGCAGAGGAACACCATTTAACCATTTACTATTGCACTTAATTGACTAGTGTATTTTTGTTTTGGTTTGGTTTTTGGTGTGTCAGGGGCTGATCTCCTGAGAGCTAAGTAGTAGACGTGTATATGGCATTTTTCTGCAGGGGAGGCAGGAGGTGGCGAGGGTTGTTGTAGGACCTGTGCCTGCTCTGGGCAAGCCCAGGCATCATCCACATGCCAACACCCAAGGAGGCCGAGGAGCAGCCTTTGATGCTGCTTCCTTTGGTGTGAATATGGTGGGTCTTTTCTCAAAAGACCCCGAATTCACACTGCACACACATCACATACTCATCCATTAACCTGTTTAAGAAAATAAATCTTGTGATTGTACTTTGCCAACCTTTTCAGACTCCGAGAAGAGTACAGGGATAGATCGTAGTCTTGGGTGGCTCCTGTCTGCCCAAAGGTTAAAATGTACATCTGTGCATTCCACAGAGTGGCTTCCAGGCCACCTCCATGCCCACCCTGCCTCTCCAGCCACACTCCCTTGCATGGATGCTCATGTTCCTTTTGCTGGGACATCTTCCCTGTGCCCTCCGATGCCCATTCACACACATACTCTTCACCTTGTGCTCCTTTTGGTCACACGAGAGAGCTTATACACCTCTCTCTCCCCCCAAATTTCAGGATTTTCATACCCACCAATGGCAGTCCTGTGTCCTTGTCATCCATCTGGATCCTCAGGATGCAGGACTTGAGAGCTTCATGGAGGGTGAACAGCTCAAGAATAAAGCAGTGATCTACTCTTAATGTTCAGGCACCAAAGTTCCTAAAAAAGAGCCAAGCTCTTTCAGCTGACCCAGAACCAAGGGAACTGCTAGGACGCTGGCATTTCTTGGGCCCATTATGTGGCTGAGTCAGCCAACTAATAACTCCAGTCTTTGGACAAGGTTTGGGAGGACCAACCTGAGACCCCCTCCTAGTGGTGGCCTTGCTGTGCTGTGAGGGAGGAGTGGTGCTTCTCTCTCTTCCCCAGTTGACTTCAGTAGAGGAGGAGGTTTAAGCAGCCCCTTCTCCAGCCTCAGCTGCTCTTCATCCCTGGGGAGCCAACTTCATTAGGAGAGCAGATCCAGGCCACCCTTACTGCTGGGTATAACCTGTGAGGCTCTGAACAGCCTTCCCACAGAGGAGGAACATGAGCTAAGTTGCAGAGTCCCCAAGATATGTGTGTGTGGGTTCCCCGTGTCTTGAGATGGGCCTCCTGTTAATATAGCCCTGGGTGAGCCCAGTCGTTCCATCTGGTGTCTGTCAGTCTCCAGAGCTAGGAGCATCACTGACATGTCACGGCCTTGTTAAGAGTTTACTAAATATTGGAAGGACGACCTGGCCAGTGGTAGCTGATGCCTCTTGTTCATCTTGTGGAGTTGACTGTGGTCACTGTATTATATTACTCTGATGGCTTTCCTTCCTGTCTTCTGCAGGCCTTATTTTGAACTCAAGGCAAAGTACTATGTGCAGCTCGAGGTATGTGTAGCTTTGGGCTTCGTCACTGATGAGATTTTTCTGCACTCAAAGCTTCACTTTTCTGGGGTAGCAGAGTATCACATGGGCCACTTGCTATAAGGGGAAAGTGGAGAGACAGGCTTTACTGAGTTTTCAGACCTCAAAATTGTCTCGGTTGGGTCTTCAGTGGTCTCTGAACCTCTGTAACTGCCATTCAGTCACCTTCTCTGTTGTACTAGGCCAGTGGTTCTCACAGCATGCTCTTAGGACCAGCAGCATCAGCATCACCTGGAGACCTGATAGACCAGGTCCCACTCTAGACCGACTGAATTAGAAACTCTGAGGTTGGAGTCTAGTGAGCTGAGTCTTAACACCCAAGGGGATTTTGATGCAAGCTCAACTTTGAGAACCACTGTACTGGGAACCAGATGTCTAGACTGTGGGACTTTGGTGTGTCTGATGCCCATTTTTGCTTCCCTGATGGGGTTTGTTCCACCAGTGAGAGTTTTTGGATATTAGAGGTTGTCACCTGGATGGGATCTGGGGATGGTGGTGGCTGATTTTGTCTGGTGAATGAATAGCAGTTACAATGGTAATTAGGTCTTCAGTCATGTCTTGGAAAATTCCTTGAAGTAGAATGATGGGCAGAAAATGTACTTGAACCTGTCATTCAGAAAGCATCTTAAGGCTAGCAGGGTAGTCTTCACTTAGTCTCCTGTTCTCTTGATCAGCAACTGAAAAAGACTGTGGATGACCTGCAGGCCAAACTGACCCTGGCAAAAGGCGAGTACAAGATGGCCCTGAAGAACCTGGAGATGATCTCAGATGAGATCCACGAGCGGCGGCGCTCCAGTGCCATGGGGCCTCGGGGATGCGGTGTTGGTGCTGAGGGCAGCAGCACATCTGTGGAGGATCTGCCAGGGAGCAAACCTGAGCCTGATGCCATTTCTGGTAAGTCAGGGGCTCCACTGGGTATGTGGGGAGATATCAGACTGTGTGATTTGTTTCCCAAGGTCCTCACTTTCTCTGGCCATCAGTGAAAGGTCTCAGAGTTGGGCAGGCCTGAGGGCTATTTCTGGTGGGTTCCCATGTTTTATGGAACACTGTGTTCATTAAGAAGGTACTAAGTGTTCCTCAAAGTCAGGATTCTGTGGTCAAATAAATTGGGAAAATGTTACACCTTCACTCCTCTTTGAGAGTCAAAGTATACATTTGAACATTCAAGGCTGAGAAGTCCTGCAGGAAAGAAGAGCTGTAATCAGATTTGATTCAAAGCTACCTTTACATCATTACTAAGGCATGATGTGGGCAAGGGCCTAACTTTGTATTTCAGTTTCTTCACCTGTAAAATGGGGAGTATGACGCTATCTACTGTATACTATCCGTTGTGTAGGGTGGTGGTTCAGCTTACATGAATCAACCCCTGACACCCAAGAAGCACTCAGCAAATGGTGGCTCTTACTGACATCTGACCATAGAGACCTCTTTTCCCAGGGCCTCCCCCTGGAAAACTGATAGAAGTTTGACTTGGTTTCTGTCATGCTCATCAAGAAAACCCACCCAACGCTGTCTTTGCATACTTCCTTTCTTTTCCTTACCTGTGCAATAATCCCTGTCGGCTCTTTCCCAAGCTCCTTCCTCAGGAGTTAATTCCTTCAACAAATATTTAAGTACTAGGTTCAAGGTAAAGGAAAAGGAAACTATCATTTGAACAACTACTATGTATGAGGTACTTTAATATATACATCATCTCAAACCCTGCATGGAGAGGATCATGAAGCTTACAGAGGTAAAGTAACTTGACCAAGGTCACACAGCAAGTAGTGGAGTTAGGGATTCAATTCAGGTCTGAGCCCATTTTCTGTCCCCAACATTACAGTATTTATCATTTATAAGAAACCTTTATGGAATGCTACAAGGCTGTTTTTAAAGAGAAAGGGGGGGAAAAATGGAGTAGGAAAGTTCTAATAAGGAGTGGGATTGTGGGCAGGCTGAGGGAAAACCGCTAAAGGCCAAAGAGGCTTTGAAACCATGGGAATAACATGTGTCTGGGCCTTGTTACTTTGGTCTACCAAATAATGTGGCTACAGAGCATTGTAAAGGATTTCTGTTCTTTTGCAGCAAATGGTGATGTGGGTAGCCTTTGAGTGTGTTCTTTATGAGATCAGAAGTTACCTGGAGATAACAAAGGTCCCAACAGATGTTCCATGCTGGCCTGTTTCTTCTAGCAGCTCTTGCTTCTATTGCCCTAAGAAAGAAGCCTGAGTCCAGCTGGCTTTGTTTGGGATATGTTACAGAGGACTAGAACCTCTTCCTGTGCACATGAGGATGTATTTGGGGGACTGAGGTGGAGTAAAGGTCCTAATTTGTGGCTGAATTAATCTTCCATTTTTAGGTGGTGTCTGGTGACACTGATTTCTTGGCAGGGTTATAAGGTTATTGGAAGGGCGCTTAATATCCATGGGATCCTGCTGCCAGCTGCTTCCCTTCCAGCTGCTTTAGAGGCTGGTCATTCAGGCTTGGGAAGTCACATTCCTTCATTAGGCACTCACAGAGGTAGAGACTCTTTAGTCCCCCATGCTGTGTCTAGCTGCCTGCCAGCAGCAAGCACTTGTGGTGTTTGAGGAGGTGACAGAACCCATGTGACTGGTGTTCTCTCTCAACTTAGTGGCCTCGGAGGCCTTTGAAGATGACAGCTGTAGCAACTTTGTGTCTGAAGATGACTCGGAAACCCAGTCCGTGTCCAGCTTTAGTTCAGGACCAACAAGCCCGTCTGAGATGCCTGACCAGTTCCCTGCGGTTGTGAGGCCTGGCAGCCTGGATCTGCCCAGCCCTGTGTCCCTGTCAGAGTTTGGGATGATGTTCCCAGTGTTGGGCCCTCGAAGTGAATGCAGCGGGGCCTCCTCCCCTGAATGTGAAGTAGAACGAGGTGAGTAGCAGCCTTCTCACCCCGTCCCAGATGCCACACTGCCTCTGTAGCCTGACTGTTGTGCCATTCCATACCTCTGCCAGGTCTCAGGGCCCCCATGCTGCATTACCAGGTCTCTGTGGTTGTGCTGTCAGTATTGATCACTGAGGTTGTTTCCAAGTGCTGTTCTGGGGGGGCTCCTGGCTCCACTCAGCTTCTATAAAGTAGAGCTTAGGTCCTATGTCTCACATCAGAACAGTCTCCTTGGCAAGCACATAGTAGAGAGGTTTGTTTCTCAGCAATAAAGTGAATATGGCAAATTTCATCTCTATAGCTAAGGAATATATAAAACATCACAAGGAATAAAAGCAGTAAATGATTATGTACTGAGAACCTCTCTGATAGGCACGGTAGGTAACAGTGGGACTTCTACAGGGCTGAGTTAGCTGACTGGTTTGAGCTCAAGTGACTTAGAATTGTCAATACTCACTTTTGATAATCTTTGTATTTCTATAGGAGACAGGGCAGAATTGTCAATACTCACTTTTGATAATCCTTGTATTTCTATAGGAGACAGGGCAGAAGGGGCAGAGAATAAAACAAGTGACAAAGCCAACAACAACCGGGGCCTCAGCAGTAGCAGTGGCAGTGGTGGCAGCAGTAAGAGCCAAAGCAGCACCTCCCCTGAGGGCCAGGCCTTGGAGAACCGGATGAAGCAGCTCTCCCTACAGTGCTCAAAGGGAAGAGATGGAATTATTGCTGACATAAAAATGGTGCAGATTGGCTGATTCATCCTGGGCCCTGGCCGATGTGCATATCAACATTTATACATGGAACTGGAGAACATTGTGCCAATAATCATTTAATATATGCCAAATCTTACACGTCTACTCTAAACTGCTCTAATGAAGTTTCAGTGACCTTGAGGGCTAAAGATTGTTCTTCTGGGTAAGAGCTCTTGGGCTGGTTTTTCAGAGCAGAGTTCTTGTTGTGGGTAGACTGTGACTAGGTTCACAGCCTTTGTGGAACATTCCGTATAACGGCATTGTGGAAGCAATAACTAGTTCCTATGAAAGAACCAGAGCTGGGAAGATGGCTGGGAAGCCAGGCCAAAGTGGGGGCAACAGCTTGCTTCTCTTTCTCTTCTCACCCTCAGTTTGTATGGGAAAATGGAGATGTCCTCTCCACTTTATCCCACGATATCTAAATGAAAAAGAAAGAAAACCCACACACAAAGCAAAAACTCAAGTATTAAGAGCACATATTTTTGACCCAGTGGAGGCTTAAAAAAAAAAAAATCCAAGAACACAATTCATTTTCACCACCTCTGGTGTTCAGAGGGGGCTTTTAAAAAAGCGTGTATGCTGGGATACCCATTAAAACCATTTTCTAGAAGGCTACCATGAGCTGCACTTTTTGGGGTGGGAAAGGTGAATGCCAGTGGGGATGCGGGGGGATGAGGGTAGGAGGGACTTATAGAAGGGGATTTGTGGCTGTGGGGGAGAAGGTTCTACAGCATAAGCCTTATCCTGCCAGCCAAGGGGATTTATTCTAAGAGAAGTGCATGTGAAGAATGGTTGCCACTGTTATTAGATTGACAAGATGTTAATTTCTCTGTAGGTTGTAACTTTAAAAATAAATGAAATTATTTAAGGGTTATGCTGCACTAGTATTCCTTAGAGGAAACAGTTCTTTAAAGTTAGGAAAGGGAGTAGGCAGGCATGTGTTGGCAAAGGCTGTTAATAGTAGTTAAGTGTTAAGACTGCTTTTCTTTAACGTTTTCATGGTAATGCATATTTAGAGCACTGTATTTTTGTCTTGTTAAGAAAATTTAGCATTTCTAAAAGAAAAAAGCAACCCTCTTTCAAACTGTTAATTCTGTCACAGCCTGTATATTTTAGTCATTTGTAAATCTCTTCATACAATAGTGACTTCTTTTTTGACTGATACAGTATCTTAATTACAAGGTTATTTTGTACTTGTCTTAATACACTAAGTGTAATAAAAACGGCTTGAGAAAAGTTTCTCCTTTCTGTGACTTCAAATAAGAACTCCCAGTATTGCCTAAATCTTCTAGGCAACCCTTTTTCCATAAGGAAGAGCATGGAGTGCTGTGGTCACCAGTAATCATTTTCAATTAATTAAGGTCATGAACAGTAATAATTTAAGCCTTGTTTACCAAGGTTTGAATTCTACTTTTGCTGTTGCTAAAGCTGTGGGCAATGAGGAGACACAGTGGCAGATAAAGACGAGGTGGTGACGCTGGAGGAGTGGGCCTCGGCTGCACACTGCAGTCTCGAAGCTTAAGTGTTGCTGTCAGTCAGTTCTCATCCCCAGAGAATTATTTAATTAATTAACTGGGGGGGGTACACTGGGGCATTAGACTTTTAAAAGCTCCCCGAGGGAATTCAAATGTGCATTCAGAGTTGAGAATCAGATGGATTCTTTCTTTTGTGGAAATGTTTTATAATATTGGACTCTTAATCCGCATTTCATTATTAAAGCATGCTGTGGAGAAAAAGTTCTTGGTTGGCCAATCATGAGGTTTAAGTTTCAGAAATAACCCTTTGCAGTATCAAACAAGTGTTTTACCTAGTAGTTAATAAATATTTCATCTAGGAAAGTTCATAGAAGTCCCTTGTGCTATTTAAGAACATTAAACAGCCGGCTGGGCCCAAGGGCTCATGCCTGTAATCCCAGCACTTTGGGAGGCCAAGGCTGGTGGATCACTTGAGCCCAGGAGTTCGAGACCAGCCTGGGCAACATAGTGAAACCCAGTCTTTACCAAAAATACAAAAATTGGCCAGTCTTGTAATTTGGGTCTCAAGCAAGAACACTTAACAGCATACCTGAATTTGACTAGTGACCTTCAGGGTTCATTCAGTTCTCATAAAATCTCCTTACACCCTTTTACCTGTAGTAAAGACACTGAGACTTGCTTGACTTACCATTAGCAAAAACTTCCCTGCAATTGAGGCAATTCTTTTTCCTCCTAGAAGAAACACCATCTGGAAAATAGCCCAAGCTAGGATAAAGTTTTTACAGCAGAGTCAAGTTATACAGTCTAATAACTAGAAATTTCTAGGTACTTCTCGCAGAGAATGAAAGTGGGAAGGAGTTTTCTAACACTGGGGCTTTCTTTCCCTTGTCTTTACAAAAGACAAAGCCTAGGCAGTCAGTCAGTAGCACTAGAGTATTCCTTATGGGCATTAAGAATTTCTCTTGTTTCCTGCCTCAATCCCCCTTTCCCATCAGCCTACCACTTGCTTGTCTCCTACACCAGAAAAGGATGCAGACCACCTTTTGACCAGGGCTCCCTTCTCACACTATCACCTAGTCAAATTTCTAGTTTTACGTAGTCTGCCCCTACTGCTGTCACTGTGGCCTCTTTATCTCCACCACATCTGACATTTAATTATACTCTTCTGGGAATTCTGTTCACTGGGCTTCTTAATCCTCCCCCAACCCTCGTTTTCTTGTATCTCCTGTTAGTCTATGTATTTTTTTCTAAATTAGAAATACTTTCTAAAAAACTTCCCCCAAATCAGTTCTTAACCATCTTTAGTTCACGTGACTCTTGACTTTTTGGGTGATCTCACTTACTATACCACGTTGATTCCAGATCTGGATTTTCTGGGCAATTTAATGTGTCAAAACTTACCTTTCACTGAAGCTATGAGCATCTGTCCATGTGCTGAATTAGAAACTTGAGTCATCCTCTCTAACAATTCAACTGGTCTGTCTGTTATTTAGAACCTCCAAAAGGCCTGGATTGTTTTTCCTCCCTCTACAATGGGTCTAGATCTTGTCCCTCCCTCGACTAGACGGCCGTGACTGTGGGTGCCATTAGACACACACAGCAGCTCAATCAGGGCTCAGGGAAGAAGGCTTGTGAACCCTGGGCAAAATCTTTTAATCTCTTAGGCTTATTTCCTCAATTGTAAGAAGTACAAATAATAGTATCTATACTTTATTCAGCTATTGGGAAGATTAAAAAGAAAAATATACACATTGGGTACATAGTAAACACTCAATGGTCAGTAACCTGTCTTTTGAAGCTTTACCTTCAAGGTCCAAGTTAAAGTATCAATTCTTCAAATACAATTTTTTATATTGGTCCAGCCAAAATTAATCTTTCCCTTATTCATACACTGGTGGCATGTTTTTAGAGCTCTATTATAGAAATCAGTGCCTTTAAGTTGTTCATATATAGGTCTCTTCTAATAAATTTGATGGCAGGGATTAGGTTTTTAGTTTGCATCCTGTACAAGATCTTTACCACAACAGGTTCAAATCATGTGTTCATAATATAGTTCTTATGTTCTGGATTTTTTCTTTTTAAAAAGTAACAGAAAACTTGTTAAATTTGTCCACCTAAAATTAATAGGCTAAAACTGAAAGCATGAAGTATTTACCAAAGTGAAATCTCATTAGTGTAATAATCTACCACTACTCTGTTAAAGAACAGATTTTTGTTGAAGTATATATTTTCATGCAAATAATCTGTTCTCATTTACATGAAACACGACAGATGAAATCTTTCAATAAATCTAACTTAAACTATGCAATATCCGTAAGTATAAACATTTTATTTCAATTTAAGGTAGTAGCAATACAAAATAAGTTTTGATAATTATAAAGTAGAGACAATGAAAAATCCCACCCTATTTTTAGAATTTTAAAATATTGAGCATCATTCTGTCCTGATGGGTTTTTATGTAAAGTGGGAATTTACATGACACCAGTATCTTGGCAATTCACTTTTTTTGAATGCTACATATCCCAATCACCATATATTAAATTCTCTATTTTCTTCAAAGTGCTATTGCCACAAGAGACTGAACGATACAGCAATTTAAAAAAAGACCACACAAACTAAATTGTAATGTCTTCAATATCTCAATTACTGTTTTTTAAAAATAAAAACTGCAGTAGTGAATTTCTTTAAGTTCTTGCTACATGATTGAATGGGAGATAACCTCAACAATTTTCATTCTTAGGCATGAGCATCTTCATGCTAAGGTAGTCTATACTTAAAAGCTTTATTCTTTCATAACACCTGGGCAACAAATATTTTAAAATCATAAATAATGCAAAATTAAAATCAGTTATGGTGGCACAATTCATTTGGTAACTAGTTGCCCAAGATGTATAGTAGAATCAAGCAGGTTTAACTTCCACATGCTCTGCAAAAAAGGGAAACAATGGAAATATTTCGGTATATTAATCTAGCCCACTATTCCACTCAAGGAATCTATATCCTTTCTTTTTCTCATCTGGTCTCAGTTCCTTTATCCTCTTAGCAAAGGCATCTCACAGTGATGACTGAGTCTAATTTTAATCATATGCACTTTTTATACAAAATGGCCCCTAAAATGCAAGCCAACTCTATATACACAAAACCATGTAAACGGTACCTCTAGGTGATTTAGGTAATTCTGACTATATACAGTTCTTACCAAACACCCTGACAAGCACCAGATTCCACTGTAACACGTTTTTAGAGATTTAATTCCATTCTGATTGTTCTGCTTACTGTCCTGAAGATTTGCGTCCTTATTTGAAGAACTGATGTTTGGTAAGTATAAAAGCCAGTAACTTGAGATTTCTCCATCACTGAAGTTGTGTGATCTTGATGGGGATAATACTATTAAAGTCCAAGAAAAAAGGTCCTTCTTGTTTAGGCAAAAAGGTACTAGGAATGATATTGAAGATCCCAGAAGGTATATTTTCTAATTCCAGGTAGCAAAACCCACACCTATATTTAGAGAAAATGAGAATAAGGTTTATAGAAGATGATGCCACAAAAAGTAAAGTATAAAATAGATACAATAAAAATGCCAACATTACCTATAGTCACCACTAGATTTCCTCAGAAAGCCATGGGGACCAGGATCTCCTAGAGTAGAAACTGTTACAACCTCAAATCCAACGCTATATTGCCTAGCATTTAAAATGAACAGAATTACTGTATTAATATATATTCTCAAACGTGATTTAAAATAACTTTATCTGAAGTGCAGATGTCATACTAAGTTTATGTTTCTGAAGTTTCAGTAGAAACATACACACTCTATTTTTGATCATAACACACCATTTATATTTTTCAGTTGAAGCCTTAAAGATTAACACCAGATTAAACTTACTTTAAGAGAGACTGTATTTTTACCATGGGCTCCCCGGGAAATATTTTATTTTTTTTGAGACAGAGTCTCACTCTGCTGCCCAGGTTAGAGTGCAGAGGCACGATCTTGGCTCACTGCAACCTCCGCCTCCTGGGTTCAAGTGATTATCCTGCCTCAGCCTTCTGAATAGTTGGGACTACAGGGGTATGCCACTGTGCCTGGCTAAATTTTTTTGTATTTTTAGTAGTGACGGGGTTTCATCATGTTGGAGAGGCTGGTCTCGAACTCTTGACCTCAGGTGATCTGCCAGCCTCGGCCTTCCAAAGTGCTGGGATTACAGGTGTGAGCCACTGCGCCCGACCTCTTTTTTATTTTTGAGACAGGGTCTCACTGTCACCCAGGCTGGAGTACAGTGGAGCAATCATGGCTCACTGCAGCCTTGCCCTCCTGGACTCGGGATTCTCCCACCTTAGCCTCCTCAGGACCTGGGACTATGGGTATGTACCACCATATCTGTCTAATTTCTTAAATTTTTTTTTATGGACAGGGGGTCTCACTATGCTGCCCAGGCTGGTCTGGAACTTCTGGGCTCAAGCTATCCTCCTACATTGGCCTCCCAAAGTGCTGGGATTACAGCCTTGAGCCACCACGCCTGGCCACAGGGTATAATTAAAAATATTGTCATTGGCCAGGCGCGGTGGCTCACGCCTGTAATCCCAGCACTTTGGGAGGCAGAGGTGGGTGGATCACAAGGTCAAGAGATCAAGAGCATCCTGGCCAACATGTTGAAATCCCGTCTCTACCAAAAATACAAAAATTAGCTGCGCATGGTGGTGTGCACCTGTAGCCTCAGCTACTTGGGAGGCTGAGGCAGGAGAATCGCTTGAACCCAGGAGGCGGAGGTTGCAGTGAGCCGAGATCACACACTGCACTCCAGCCTGGTGACAGAGCAAGACTCTGTCTCAAAAAAAAAAGAAAAAAAAAATTGTTATTGTAACAAATGGAAAGGCCTATGGGACAGGAAAGAAAGCCCTGAAACAAACTCTGAATTTACAGAAGTACTTAGCATATTATAAACGTGGCATTCCAAATCAGTAAGGAAAGATTCATTTAGATGGTGATGAGGTAACAAAAAATTTAGAAAAAAACTCTTAAATTGTATTTCATACCAAATATAAAAATATATTCATATGAATTTTTTAAATGCAAAAAATTGAACCATAAAATAATCAGAATATGGTGAAAATTAATTTGGTAATGTGGTGAGAGTTCCTGTCCACAGCAAAATGAAACCAGAAGACAGATTCATTATTTTAAAATGAAATGTTTTTCTATGTGGGAGAAAAATGACAATCTGAGAAAAATATCCACAAATATGTGAAGGAGTTAATACCCTTACCTTTTTCATGCTTATAATTAAAAAAAATGACAACTCTATGGGCAAGAAACATGAATAGGGAATAAACAATATTGTAATGAACATTATTACATGTTCAATCTATCTAGAAATTAAGTACAAAAGAGCAAATAGGTTTATTTACCTATTTCACCTATCAAACTGGTAGAGGTTTTAAAAATGACTTTCTTGTGGAAAAATAGTTTAATCAAATCTTCGTATCTAATGGGTTATTAACTGCTGCTGCTGGATTAGTTTGTAAGAAAAGCAAAATTAAGCCCAATCTTATTTAGAAGGTAGTTCTGTTTTTATTTGTATTCTGTTTTTGTTTTTTTTTTTTTTTTTTGGTTGTTGTATGAGACAGGGTCTCGCTCTGTCAACCAGGCTGGAGTGCAGTGGCATCATCTGGGATCACTGCAACCTCTGCCTCCCGGGCTCAAGTCATCCTCCCACCTCAGCCTCCCAAGTGGCTGGGACTATACAAAGCACATGCCACCATGCCTGGCTAAATTTTTAAAAAAATTTTTGCAGAGATGAGGTTTTGCCATGTTGCTCAGGCGGGTCTTGAACTCCTGAACTCGATCCTCCTGTCTTGGCCTTCCAAAGTGCTGGGATTACAGGTGTTAGCCACCATGCCCAGGCTGTATTCTCTATATTTTTTAAACCTTTTAAAACTATGAAATATAACACTTAAGTAAAACATATATACAACTTAATCATTTGCAAAGTGAATAAACACCTGGGTAACCATCACCCAGATCAACAAATCCTCTCAGCACCACAGAATTCCCTGTATATTCCTAATTGCAACTCCTGTCCCTCGACAGAGCTTTTATAGTAATAACTCTCTTGCTCTGCTTTATAGTTTTACTACCTTAGTGTGCATCCTTACATGAGTATTTCAGTTTTGTCTGTTCTTGACTTCACAGAAGTAGAATCACATGGTATGTATTCTGTACATGTGGCTTTTTAAGACTTATCCATTATGTTGTGTGTAGCTGTAATTTATTTCCATTGTTATATCAGGACTATTATATGACTATATTATAATCTTAAATGTTGTCAATGAATATATGTTTCCAATTTCTGGCTATTACAATGGTTTACTGGCCATCTGGATTGCCCCCTTTATAATGTGTTTTTATTTTTTTATTTTTATTTATTTATTTATTTTTTTATTATACTTTAAGTTTTAGGGTACATGTGCACATTGTGCAGGTTAGTTACATATGTATACATGTGCCATGCTGGTGCGCTGCACCCACTAACTCGTCATCTAGCATTAGGTATATCTCCCAGTGCTATCCCTCTCCCCTCCCCTCACCCCACAACAGTCCCCAGAGTGTGATATTCCCCTTCCTGTGTCCATGTGATCTCATTGTTCAATTCCCACCTATGAGTGAGAATATGTGGTGTTTGGTTTTTTGTTCTTGCGATAGTTTACTGAGAATGATGATTTCCAATTTCATCCATGTCCCTACAAAGGACATGAATGTGTTTTTATTTTTTAAAAACTGCAGATTTTTTTCTTATCAATGCAGCATATTTACAAACATTTTAATATGCTCTTTGTCTTAAGAAATCTTTCCTCTCTTGAGGTTAAAACATTTCCTGCATTATCATCTAGAAGCTGTATTGTTTTGCCTTTCACATTTAGGTTTGTAATCCACCTGGAATTTGATGTGAAACAGGGTTCTAATTACCCTTTTTACACATGGATACTCAATTATTCCATACCATTTATTGAAAAGATTGTCCTTTCCTCACTCCACTATAATGCCATTGTTATAAATCCAATGTCCATATATGCTTAGGTCTGTTTCTAAACTTTTTTGTTATACTATGTTCATTTGTAATAGAACATCATTAATTTAAGAAAGTTACTCATCACAAACCTTGGTCCTCGTAGCTCAATCAGTAACGGCCCAGTCTTTTCTATATGGAATTGGTAGATGGGGTTATTTTTGTGAGTCTCTTGGAAATTTCCACATCCTCCAGCACTCTGACCACTCCACTTTCCATTAATCTAATAAAAACAAAAGTTTTAGTATTAACAAAATTTCATTTCCAATTCCACTTAAAGACAAAACTCCTTTCCATCTCAAAAAAAAAAAAAAGGCAATTTTCCACTCTGTGTCTCCAACCCCTCTCTCCCATCTTTATTTGCTGCTGACAGCCAGGCTGCTTTGCTCCACTAACCCCTATTTCCATCTCTTAGCCTCTAATCAAGTTGTTCTTTCTACCAGGAATTTTCCATAGAATCTTCCTCTATACATGTAGCCCACCCTGCAGTTAGTCTCAAATGCTACTTTTAAGGTTCATCCACATTGCCTTCTCTAACAACCAAAGTTTGCATTCATCTTCTTTCTCTGAATTTTCTTTTCACAGATGTTGCTCACTGAAGATCTTGTATTCCAACCCAAATTGAGGCCATTTACGTTTCCCTTATATTCCTGTGAAGCCTTTGCTAAATATAAACAATAAAATGAGAGAAATGGGAAAGGGAATTTAAAAATTCTAAAAGAATGCTGAGATTACAACCAAATGAATTTTCTCACCCGTTTTGATAAGGTGTATGGTGAAGGAATCTTTGAAAAAGTAAAGCTGCATGCTGAATATACCTAGATTTAAAAAAAGACTGTATTGATAAATTTTACACTTACAAGAACATCAAAGTGATACATGAATATATTGGAAGACTAAAAAAATCAGTTGGCATACACAAGTCATTATAGGCAGCCTAGTATCAGGTCAGGTTTAATGAGCTGGGAACTGAGAAGCTAGGGGTCTGGTCTTGGCTTTCTCTGCTAGTAACTGTATGCCTCAGGACAAATCACAATTTTTCCAGGCTGTGGCTTCTGCATCTGAAAAAGGAATGGGTGGCAGCAGCTCCCAATGTCCCTTTCATCACTAAAAATCTATTCAAATTGAGCCGCTTATCTAGAGCAAACAAATCTATATAGAAGAAAATTACAATGACCTTCCCAGCTAGATGAGAGCAGTACATTTCTAGGTGACTGATTCTCTTTCACTAAGTTCAAAGTCTTTTTAAAGTCAATAAAAATATTAAACAGCGAAATAAGTTTTTATTGCTTGCTTTAAAATGAAATATATTGGCTGGGTGCAGTGGCTGACACCAGTAATCCCAGCACTTTGGGAGGCTGAGGTGGGTGAATCACTTGAGGTTAGGAGTTTGAGACCAGCCTGGCCAACATGGTGATACCCCATCTCTACAAAAAATACAAAAATTAGCTGGGCATGGTGGCAGCACCTGTAGTCCCAGCTACCCAGGAGGCTGAGGCAGAATTACTTGAGCCCGGGAAGTGGAGGCTGCAGTGAGCCGAGATTGCACTAATGCACTCACTCCAGCCTGGGTGACAGAGCAAGACTCTGTCTCAAAAAGAAAAAAAGAAATGTATTATTAGTCCAACATACTATATTACCACGGGGCTAAACTATTACTATGAAAATAAAAATGCTCTTTCAAAATAAAGACATTTCTTTTCAAATGTATTATTTTCTACAGAAAGTATAATTTACTATTAAAATGATAAGCACAAAAAAAGAGAGCAATACATTTTCAGAAATAAACTTTTTCTCCAGATAATACCACTTACAAAGCAGAGCATATTACATACTTTATATTACTGTGTTTTGTCATTGTGTGTTGGTTTTACTTACCCGAACCGTGTAATGGATTGTGTTCTGTTTTTCATATTGAGAAACCACTAATGTAAAGGTATGGGTGCCAGGTGTGGTCAGCTTTATCTTAGTCAAATAATGAGGGCTGTTAATTCGAATTCCATCAATGTATGGAGGTGGGTCAGCTGCAAACAAACAAGTAGGCTTAGAGAAAAGGAGACTTTTCTTTCTTTAATTTTATGGTTGATGTAGGAAAAATAATTACTTGGATGGACATCTCCTTAACTGATTCTCTCCTTAAAATATAATGATATTAGTGAATTATAATTTCAGTTGAAAACTTTAAAATTAAACAGTTCCTAATAAACAAAAATAATCTTTTTGAATACTTTCAATGAAGTATAATAGTACTTGCTATTTGCTCTGTGTTGCATTTCAGTAATTCCTACTATTTGTTCTGTGTTGCATTTTTCTCCCGTAGAGGATCTTAAAGTCAGGATTAGTTTTTTTTTTGAGATGAAATTTAAAAAAATAAAAAGAAGTATATAAAAATATATATTCCCCACCACTCAGGTTTAAATTAACTTTTTTTTTTTTTTGGTCATTCTAGCCTTTTCATAAAACAATGTCTCTTTTAACCACTACACTTATCTTATTCCCTTCTATTGATGGATTTAGTCAGCATCTTTTTAGACTTGAATACAAACGTACCCACTCCTAAAAATGAATGAAAAAAATAACTGTTTCTGGTATAAGTGTATATATTAAAAAAAATAGTGCATGTCTTATATCTTTCATTTTTCACTCAACATTTTAAAAAGAGCTATGTTGTTCTATACAGATAAGTTTATTTCTTATAACTGCCTGTATAATATTCCATCATACAAATATGACATTTTATCTACACCCCCAATTGCTTATTTAGAAAATCTGGATATTCAGATTATTTTCAATATTTTGTTATTACAAAGAATGCTGCCTAATATATTATTTGATAGTCCCATCAGTCAAGCCTGATACAATAAAATTTTATGCATGACAATTACTATATGTTAAGATCGATGGTCTCACTTAGCTTATTTAGGAACGCTGAATATTTATAATGGGACCTATCAGAAAAACTAAGTATTTTGGTATCTCAAACAAATCATAAGTCTCTAATGATTAGGGGTGGTGTGGTCTAGTGAGAAGAGTAAAGAATTGGCATATCTGTGGATCTTGAACAAGGTTTTTAACCTTTCCATGTTTCAGTTTACTCTTCTGTCAAACAGGGAACAAGGCCTGTCCTATTTACTGCAGAGTGTTGTAATTAAAATAAAATTATAAACATGAAAGTATTCTGAAAAGGCAAAATCACTATACATAAGATGGAGCATTGTTTTAAAAAAAGGAAAGCTTGGCTAGTTTAACTCGATATTTGTCACTGGACCTACTATGTGCCATGCCCATTCCAGAACGCAGGGATATTGACTAGCAAGACTCAGTGCCTGCCATCAACACATTGTAATAGGGAAGAATGCCATACTTCCCTATGATTAAACAAAGTAAGACTTAAACCACTTCTGATCACATCTTCCCATCACTGCCCATTTCTTTGCACAGCTTTCTTGCAAGAACTGTCAACAGTTGCTTCCTTACATCATAGTCTCTTTTAAAACCAATCCAACTGGGCTTCTAGCCCCACCTCTCCACTATGCCTGTTCTTATCAAGGTCAACAATGACTGACTGCCACGATGCTAAGTCCAATAGTTTCTTCCCTTTAATTTTTATTTTAGGTTTGGGGGTACATGTGAATGTTTGTTACAAAAGTAAATACGTGTCATGGGGGTTTGTTGTGCATATTATTTCATCACCCACGTATTAAGCCAGGACCCAATAGTTATCTTTTCTATTCCTCTCCCTCCTCCCACCCTCCCCCCACTTCAAGTAGACCTCAGTATGTGTTGTTTCCTTCTTTGTGTTCGTAAGTTCTTATCATTTAGTTCCCACAATAGTTTCTTCTCTCACCTAATCTCATTTGATTTCTCAAACATCAATAGATGGAACTGTCCTTTCTTTTTCTCTTGAAAAATGTTCTTTGCTTGGGTTATGTGAAACCTCACTGTTTCATCAGGCCCTCTGTTCAAATTCTTTTGTGGTACCTTTTTCCTCTGCTGAACCTCAAGGTGTCTGAGAGTCCAAGGGTCAGATCCTGGGTGTTAATCTCTGTACCCACAACTCTCTTCACAGGTGATTTATGCAGTCCTATCTTCAAACTCCATCTATATGCTCCTGACTCCCCTATCTGTATCTCTACCCTTACCCCAGAACTCTATTCAAAAATCCAACAGCCTAGCTGCATCTTCATTTGGAGCCAGGACATGTCATTTTCCTGATTATGACAAGCCAAAGACTCTCCGAACCCTTCCTGTGGTGTACAGAACCTCATGTGATCTGACCTCTGCAAATCTTTCTGACCTCTTTTGATACCACACCTACCCAGGCAATTGGCCTGTTCTCTGTCCCAAAAATACACCATCTTTTCTCACTGTAAGGTCCTTGTACTTGCTGTTCCCTCTGCCTGTAATGCTTTTCCCTTGATTTCTTTGCATGACTGGTTCCTTTTTGTTATTCATAGCTCTTCTCATCCCTGCTCAAAGAGGTCTTCTATGACCACCCACCAAAAGCAACCAGTCACTCACACATAACCCTTTTTTTTACACGTGTATCAGTACTTGATATTTTGCTTATTAACTGTCTCCCCAACTAGAACATAAACTCTATGAAAGCAGAATCCTGTTTTGTTCATCACTATTCTCCAGAGCCTTAAGATAGTTTCTCTCACTAAGTGATACACATTTTTTAAAAATGTGAAAGCAAAGTGGTTTCAACACAATGTGTTAAATATCTCAGGTGCCCAGTGGAAGGAATGGTATTTAGGCTGGACCTTAACTATGTGCATTAAGCAGAATAGGGAGAAAGGAATAAGGCAGGAGGAGAGATTCTTGAGAGAAGAAACCATGTGAAAGAAGGCAACAAGGGCATGGTGTATTCTGGAGTAGCAACTATGTCAACTGTGAGAAGCTGGGGCATGAAATAAAGGGGGGCAGGTAGATTAAGGTGGGAATAAAAAGCCTTATATATCATGCTAAAGAGCTTAGATTTTATCCAGAAGTTCAAGGAAAACCACAGAATACATTTGATTAGAGTAAAAGACATCATTTAAGTTTCAGAAATAAAATTCTGACAGCCATGTGCGAGAATATGGAAATCCCCCCTTGGAGTCTCCAAATTAAAACAAATCAAAACAAAACACAGAACAGCATGAATACCCATCTGCTTGAGTGGTTTCTATTAGTCTATCAACATAATTATTTCTCTATATTATCTACATAAAATGTGTCATTTTTCAACTTAATCATATAAATAAAATCTTATGTATGTTTATTTTAATGTTTGCTGGGCTACTAAACATACCTGGGTAATAAACTTTTTTCCCATCAGTCTTGTATACAACCATTGTGATAAATTCTCGATTATTCGCAAAATCATCCTAAAATCACAAAGAATCCAATGTGGTTAGAAAATGGGTTCAAAATGCTATTTATTTTCTTTTTAAATCTCTCCAAAAAAATGCTCTAAATCTCTCCACAAAAAATCTCTAATTTTAAGAGCATTGTTTTCAGCTATTTAGTGCTATAAGAAACATTGTTTTTCTGAATTAAATTGTCATTTTAATAGATGACCACAATGTATGAATGTATATTAAGATTCGGAGGCTATTAAGATTATGGTTAACCTTTACAGAATCAAGACTAATGATTCAACATTTCCAAATTCCCTTCAGCATATTTCAATGTTAATATTAAGATCTAAACTATACACGATCAACCCCCAAACCCTCACTGAAAAGCACAAACTCCCTCATACTTTTCTTCAGAGATGACTTTTGAACAAGATTTTAAGTGTATAATTATAAAATACAAATTTCCTTAGAGGAAAATATTCATTTATCTGAGAAAACACTATTCTCAGGGCACCTATGTAAATTAAACAGGCTGGTGTTTACGTATGTCTTTCACAATGTTCTAACTATATTAAAAAAATTTCTGTATGGGATATCATTAGAAGGGTATCAGTACCTTGTCTGTTATGTGTCTACTAAGCAAAACCCAAACTGCAGCACCCCCCTGTGGACACTGCACCTCCAGTTTGTACTGGGGGTTGTTGGCCAGGCTATAGGCATCTTTCACAGGTCCTTGCTTAGCATCCCAAGTACTAAAAGATAAAGTCAACAAAGAAGGTTGTAATTAAATTTCTCATAGAGCTAAAATATAACACTATTTCAAAAAGTGAATTAAGCTATCCAAGTTTTTGGTTTTGTTTTACTGTTTTTAAATTTTTTTGGCATAACTAGGAAGCATGGAAAGAAAACAACTATTAACAAGATAGTCACTGTGGGCGTGACAAAAAGATGGAATGCTAGTCTTCCTAAATTAACCATTCCGTTATTTATTTATTTTTTTGAGACAGAGTCTTGCTCTGTTGTCCGGGCTGGAGTGCAGTGGCATGATCTTGGCTCACTGCAACCTCCACCTCCCAGGCTTGAGCGATCTGCTGACCTCAGCCTCCCGAGTAGCTGGGACTACAAGTGTGCGCCACAATGCCTGGCTAACTTTTGTATTTTTTGTAGAGACAAGGTTTTGCCATGTTGCCCAACCTGGTCTAGAACTCCTGAGGTCAACTGATCCACCCACCTCGGCCTCCCAAAGTGCTGGGATTACAGGCATGAGCCACTGCGCCTGGCACCATTATGTTTTTAAGTGAGGAAAGTGGATGCTATTATAAAGCATACTCTGCAATGTGCAAAAAGTTACCTGTGAATACATGTTGATTCTTTAAAAAGACCTGGATTCCAACTCAAATAAATCACATCATAATACTGGCAGAGATCATCCCAGGAAATCCAAAATATTCCTGAAAATTAATATCTTTGTTAATCTAAAAAAATCTTAATGCTAAATGATTTAAGTCAGTTACACATGTTTTGTCTTGTTAAAACATGTTTTTTTTTGAAGAATAAATGGTATTAAAATTAAAAAGATATATTTACCGTTGTCTATTTTCTGAGCTGTTCGGGGATCAAAGTTTAAATACTTTTGCAACTCTGGAGTCCAGTTTTTTACATCATTTTCACTGTATCTTCCTTTCCAACGTAAATGACTCCAAGGATTTTTCAACTGGATAAATCGCAGCCCCTATATAAAAAAGAAACAGGAGATAACATTAAGTTGTAAAACAGTTTTTACCATATTAGTTCTCTTATTAGAGGATGAACTGAGTACTTATCAATTCTTTTCCCCTCAAATCAACTTGAAATTAATATTTTTAACACTTTCACCAGGTCATACATCGATCAAAAACTGTAAATGGCTGCCTACTCCCTAGAGCTAATAGTGCAGTCTTTCACCGCATGTAGTTAAGTTAAAATTATATAAAATTCAAAAATCAGTTCCTTAGTCACAGCAGCCACATTTCAAATGTTAAATGACCACAGGTAGCTAGTAGCTATAGTGGCTAATGCATTGGGCAGCCCAGATACAGAACATTTCCATCATTGCAGGAGTTCTATTAGACAGTACTGCCTTAGAGCATGAAGTATTTTCTGCCTTTTCAAAGCTCACTCTACTCTGGCTCCACTTTATTTTCCAGTATTTATACTCCATGTACCTTTGGCTCTAATCTAGTTTTTCCTTTCAGAGTGCAATAAAATCCTTATTCAATTTTGCCTCTAAAGGCAATTGATCATGCTGTTCCCTTTTTCTGAAAGGCCCTCTTTGATCCCTTTAGCTACCCTTTCTTCTCAGTGCAGACAGACATAGTGAAGAAAAGAGAAAGGAACATGGACTTTGGGGTCAGAATAAAATGGGACCAAATTCCAGTTCTTTGGGTGGGTCATTTACCCTCTCTGAACATTCATTTACTCATATGTAAAATGAAGATTATGATGTGTCCCTAGAAGATGGCTGTGAAGATCAAATGGAATTAACATAAAGTATCTAGCATTTAGTAATTTCTTTCTTTTAATTACTTTGAATTCTCCAACCTTCATAGTGCTAGCAATCTGTATTACATTAGTTTAAAACAAATAGTATCCTATCTTATACTGTTTCCTACAAATGTAGTCATCTTGTCTCCCCAATGTAATCATCAACTCCTTGAAATGGTAACACTATCATCCCTTTTCAGATTTTCCACTCATTTATGGAACAGAATGTAAAGGTAAATGCTTAGTAAATACCAGGCATGTCTACAGAATTGATTACATTGATTCGGGAAAATAAAAGAGGTGGTAAATCCAAAATAATATTTGTCTTACTGCAAGCAGTCACCTTAGGAAATTGTGTACTTTTTCTAATGATATCATAAATCAAACTGTTTGGAAGACATCTAAACAACCACAACAACACATTCCTTTGCTATTTTAAATGGTGACAAATTGTGGCTGGGGGTAGATGTATGTGATTTCTGGACATAAGACTCATTCCTCTTAGGCTATATTCCCTAGAAGCTTCATTAATACAGTTTCTTTCATCAGTATCTTCTACACTGTATGTGTCTCACCACACATAAGTCAACCGACATTTAACTCTAATTCCTTTCTTTTCAAAAAATTTAACTCATTTCAGGACTCTCAACACTTCCTAAAAGAGGAGCACAAAGGAGAGCAAATTGTTGCTAAGCTTTTCAGAGACAGACCCCCAGCATCAGTGATATTCAAGGACACCAAGATATGGATGTAGATTTTGTTTGGATGGGTAGAGAACCAGCTCTAAAAAGAAGGAATGCTAGAGAACAAAAAAAAAAAAAAAAAAAAAAAATTTGATTTTGCTGAAGCATCCAATTTCTAAAGTTATTTCCAAGTAGCAGCAAAGGAAAAGCCTTGGACAGCTTCAGAAATTCTATGATAACACCTGTCTGAACTGAAGTCAGCACCCTGATCTGGAGATGTAACTCCATAGTAGACTATGAAACATCACCTCAAAAACACAAAAATGACCCAAAGAGAGAATCGCTGAGACTAAAATGAAGACCTTGGAATATGCAAGCAGATTAGAGGTAGTCAAACAAAAATGATAGCACTTTTATGCAAATATTAATAAATATTGAAAATCTCTTTAAGTGAAGAAAGTCACCAATGATGTAATACTGAGCAGAGCTGTCAGAGTCTAAGATTAGGTCTTTCTGCAAAAAAGAGGTCCTAGAGATAAATGCTTGAATCAAATATGGAAATATTTTAAAACAGAAGTCAGAATTGGCCAGGCGTGGGGGCTCACGCCTGTAATCCCAGCACTTTGGGAGGCCAAGGTGGGTGGATCATGAGGTCAGGAGATCGAGACCATCCTGGCTAACGTGGAGAAACCCTGTCTCTACTAAAAATATAAAAAATTGGCCGGGCGTGGTGGTGGGGCGCCTGTAGTCTCAGCTACTTGGGGGGCTGAGGCAGGAGAATGGCATGAACCTGGGAGGCGGAGCTTGCAATGAGCTGAGACCGCGCCACTGCACTCCAGCCTGGGCGACACAGTGAGACTGTCTCAAAAAAAAAAAAAAAAAAAAAAAAAGAAGTCAGAATTAAATAAACACTTCAAAATATAAGTAGCAAAAAATAAAAAATAAAAATAATGCACCTAGGAAACTCCTTGAATATATACCCAATAAAAGAGTACTGGAGAAAACCTTTATATATAAATATACATTTTTTGAGGCAGGGTGTCACTGTGTCAACTAGGCTGGAGTGCAGTGGTGTGATCTCAGCTCACTGCAACATTGGGCTCAAGTGATCCTCCTACCTCAGCCTCCCAATTAGCTGGGACTACAGGCACGTGCCACCATGCCCAGCTAATTTTTTAAAAAATTATTTATTGTAGAGATGGGGTCTTGCTATGTTGCTCAGGCTGGTCTTGAACTCGTGGCCTCAAGCATTCCTCCTGCCTCAGCCTCCCAAAGTGCTAGGATTATAGGGGTGACCCACGGTGCCCAGCCACTTAAAATGTTTTGACTGGCATTTGTGGCAAATTATAATTTTAAAAAACCCCAAACTTATTGGCGTACTTAATTTCACATAATTTTTATATTTTTTGCTTTAAGTGGGCAATTTTTATGCCACTTTTAAAGAAGCAATTCTATAGAGCATGGCTGGGGGGTTCAACACTGACCAGCTAATTTAGAAAGTTCCAAGACTATAAATTTTAAAATGGTGCAATAGGTCCCTACTGTCCTCATTAACTTCATATACAGTCATGCACCATATAATGAAATGTTAAGACAGCGATGAACTACATATATCATAGTGGTTCCATAAGATTATAATGGAGCTGGAAAAGTTCTATTGCCAATTGACATCCTGATAATCCTGCCCCCATGTGGGCCTAGGCTAATGTGTGTGTTTATGTTTCGGATTTTAAGAAAACAGCCTAAAAAAAAATTAACAGAAAAAAGCTCAGGTAAAGTACTTGTGTACAGCTCTACAATGTGTTTGTGTTTTCAGCTAGTTGTTATTACAGAGCCAGAAAGTTAAAAAAAATTTAAAGTTTATAAAGTAAAAAATTACAGTAAGCCAAGGTTAATTTATTATTGGGCTGCTCCGATGGTAATGGGTTAATCAGAACTTATTAATAACATATCACTAAAGTTGGTATACAACCACCACTGATGATTTGACTGGCTTAGAACAATTCATTATTGAAGAAAAAAATATTTTTATAAAGTCTACATGTCTAGCATTCATAAAGTCTACAGTAGTGTACAGCAATGTCCTAGGCTTTCCCATTCACTCACCACTCACTCACTCACCCAAAGCAACTTCCAGTCCTGCAAGCTCCAACCATGTAAGTGCCCTATACAGGTGTACCATTTAACAAAATCTTTTATACTGTATTTTTACTGTGTTTTTCTATGTTCAGATATACAAATACCAAGTTGTTATAACTGCCTACAGTATTCAATACAATAACATGCTGTACAGGTTTGTAGTCTAGGAGCACTAGGCTATACCACAGAGCTTGGGTGTATAGTAGGCTGTACCATCTAGGTTTGTGTAAGTACATTTTATGATGTTCATGCCACAACAAAATCACCTAACAATGCATTTCTTAGAATGTACACTCATCATTAAGCAACACGTGACTGTAAATCCATGTGCCACACATAAGAAAACCAGTCTAATTAACACACAGTAGTGCTCTGTTATTGCTGACTGATCACTACTTCTATTCGTTCTGTTATCAAGGGTCCTTCATTAAGAAATAGTACTTGTTTAATAATCTTTTTATTTTTGAATCCATAGAACAAATCCATTTTTCAGTTAAAAATAACAACAACCTCAGAAGTAATGAAGTCAAATATTCTAACCAGATATTGCAGAAACAGGGTCTGTCTGAAAGGCCTGACAGCATGCAAGGGCTTCTAGGAAGAAAAATACTTGCTTACACAAAACACACTGGCATGTATCTTATGCCCAGCTATCTTCCTATTTTCTTCCCCTTTCACAATTTTTTATTTTTTCAGACAGGGTCTCTATCACTCAGGCTGAAGCACAGTGGTGTGATCATGGCTCAATGCAGCCTTGATCTTCTGTGCTCAAGCAATCTTCCCACCTCAGCCTCTTGAGTAGCTGGAATTATAGATATATGGCACCATGCCCAGCTAATTTTTTTTTATTTTTTGTAGCGGTGGGGTCTTACTATGTTGCCCAGGCTGGTTTTGAACTCCTGGCCTCGAACTCCTGGCCTCAAGAGATCCTTCTGCATCAGCTTCCCAAAGTATCGGGATTATAAATGTGAGCCACCATGCCTGGCCCACTTTCATAAGTATTTATTCAGTGTCTACTATGCTTTAGAGCAGGGGTCCCCAACCCCCGGGCCACAGACAGGTACTGGTCCATGGCCTGTTAGGAACTGGGCCGCATAGCAGGAGGTGAGCAGTGGGCAAGTGAGCATTACAGCCTGAGCTCTGCCCCCTGTCAGATCAGTGGTGGCATTAGATTCTCATAGGAGTGTGAACCCTATTGTGAACTGTGCATGCAAAAGATCTAAGCTGTGTTCCCCTTATGAGAATCTAATGCCTGATGATCTGAGGTAAAACAGTTTTATCCTGAAACCATGCTCCCACCCACCCCCCAGTCTGTGGAAAAACTGTCTTCCACAAAACGGATCCCTGATGCCAAAAAGGTTGGCGACCACTGCTTTAGAGCTTAACACTGTGATTGATCCAAACACGAAGAAGAAGCTTGGAATCTTGGAAGCTATGTATTCCGCCTCAAAACTGCTGGTTTTATGGAAAAGACAAAGAGGTGTAACAGCATTTCTGTTCTGTCATCAGTATCTGTGCCATCCCTATGATTTCCTTTCCCACCTTTTAATTTCATAATTTTCAACGGTAGAGATCAAGTTAATGTAGGTGAAATGGTTTATAAACTCCACTTAAACCTTGATTTGTCAGTATTCAGAAGTCTGATAAATTATCTGGGATCCCTGAAATGTCTTATCCAACAAGAAAAATAAAAGAAAAAGATTTAAGGCAAAACCTTGAACTCTCTAATATCCAAAACAGCATATGCGTGTGTGGGAACCAGACCCCACTTCTCTCCTTCAGCTTCTGTCATCATTCCAGTTGACGCAGTGATGAGGACATCTCCTTTGTGAAATCTGGAATGAACCCCAAAGACAATTAATTAAAGTAAAACACATTTGTAATCTAAGATCACACCATTTTATCTTTTAGTCTAATGGCTTACATGAAAATGGGCTGTTCCTACCCCTGAAGAATTTTCAAAAAGAAGTACATTTCTAATGCACAGTATATAAAATAAATTATCACATTTCTCTTTTTTTAAGTTTCTGGCAACTTAATTCTAAACCAGAAACCTACCAAAGAAGGAAAACAAACGCTAAATTTCAAGTGGTTTACAAATAAAAATAAAGACGTGAAATACCACAGGCATTTCCCAAACAGGCATATCATTTTATTTATCAAATCACTGAGCTTTCTAGTTTTGCAACCGAATGTGTATCACTGTTTAGACAAACTTCCAGTCCCTTAAATGGATATGGATTATCCATTTAAGGCTTAACTTCTCAGACTTCTCTTTTCCCACTTTCCCTCAACTTGGTAACTAATTAGTAAATCTAAAATAATTTTTCTATATTACATATTCTAATATTTTGGATTATCTACAATTTGGATTAACTGTAACTATTAAGGGAAGATAACTGAGGACTGGCTATAGGAAGTACATAATGTGAAGTCTATTTTAAAAACAATTTCCTTAATAACTAAAAACGACAACTTCTGCAATCTCTATTCTAAATCAGGCATGATGTTTTTATTTTTTAAATTTTTATTTATTTATTTTTGAGATGGAGTTTTGCTCTTGTTGCCCAGGCTGGAGTGCAATGGTGCAATCTCGGCTCACCACAACCTCTGCCTCCTGCGTTCAAGCGATTCTCCTGCCTCAGCCTCCTGAGTAGCTGGGATTACAGGTGCCTGCCACCACATCCGGCTAATTTTGTATTTTTAGTAGAGATGGGGTTTCTCCATGTTGGTCAGGCTGGTCCTCCAACTCCCAAACTCAGGTCATCTGCCTGCCTTGGCCTCCCATAGTGCTGGGATTACAGGCATGACCCACCACGCCCAGCCAGCATGATGTTTTTAAACGGCCACATTTACCACACACATAAAACAAAGAAAAATGTTTACCTTTGATAAAGCATTCTGAAAGAATTATCCTTACTGAAAGTTTGGCTATCTGAATGCATAGCAATTCTTTCTGGTATCCAGCCAGTCAGTGCATGAAGATCAATATTCTGCAACAGAAACACATTTCAGGACTGCCAGTGTCATTTTCAAGTTCTTAAATCCCCAGAGCAGCTATTACATCTCACTGATTTGGCATAATGATTTTGGTAGAAATAAATCAGAAGGTAGTTGTTTTCAACTAGTAATATATTTCTTATTTAACTCAAATTCCTAACTGAATTTGAACATGCATATTTTTCCCTACAATCTTTGTTGCTTTTCCTGAATAAAAAACTATTTTTTACAGGTGAATATGATAAAAAGACATGTAACAGAAAAAACTGCTTCAACGATGCAGTCACAAGTCCTTTAGTGAGTTCTTGCAATGATGTTCCTCATGTTTTACATACATTCCCATTCTTTCTCTCTCTAAACTCCACTGAGTAAATTAACAAGCAACAATTAGAAAGCTAAACTAAAAGTATGTGAAGGATAGAGCAATTGAAAGTATAGGCTGGGAAAAGAAAAACTGTAACATCCTATTGCATTTAATTATGACCTATATATTCTTTGCCTAGCATTAGAACTGGGCATAAAACTGGAAAAGTCAAGGACACCTGGTTTGGCAGGGAAACTAATCACTTATGAATGATGGGTGATTTGCATATGTCACTTCATTTTATTATTGGAATAAAGATGCAATTTTCATCTTTACGACTTTAAGACAAGAGGTGGATATTATCCTTATATTATGGATACATGAAGAGGCTAAGAAAGGTTAAACACATTTTCTAAGGCCACAGGCTGGTTATTGTAAGAATTTAAAGTCATGCCAATCTGACTAATTTCTTTCTGGCTCAAGTCTAGTTTACCTCATGCAACAAAAGGTCACTGGAAGACACCTCAATCTTATAGGTTAAGTTCTGTTAAGACTGGATAAAACAAGTAACTCCTTGAACCTGAATTACAAATAAAAAAATACATGACAATATGACACATCCATTTGATCTAAACAGACTGCTCTGGAAATGTACACTGTATTTATAATTGGCCTTGTATCCCAACAAAAGCAGACACAGTTTAGGCTTTCCCGGATACACAAGAAAATATATATATCCCCATAATACGGGGACTGGTCATCCTGTTTCAGGGGTTGATAATCTGCTCTCTTTCCCTATAAACAAAAAGACTATCTAGAATTTTTCAAATTTAAAACAGTTATATTAGATAGCTTAAATCTGTGTCTGGATCGTCTTATCTATTACTTACGGAGTTGGATCCTGGAAAATCATATCCTCCCATGACTTTCATGTATGCTTTTTCTATGAGAGAAACCCATAATTCACTTTTGTTGTTGGAATAAGAACAGAGCAATTCTCCCTTGTGATCAACAGGTAACTGGTCATCAATTATCACCTGGAGAAAGAGAACATTAACCTTCTTAGGTGCACAAAATATCTTAAAATCCTTTCTATCAAGAAATAAAAACATACCTTTCATACTGATAAAATATAACGCACAATATGCTGACGGCTATTAAGGTAATGTTTCTAGAATCATACCAATTACAAAATGTTGTTCTTTTTAATATGATGTCTTTATTCAATTTTACAAGCTAATCTGTCAGATGATAACCTTCAATCAATTGATTAAATGTCATGTAACTATCACTGAAATTAAAAGGCTGAGCATCTGAAATAAAAAATCTAAAATTTGAAATGCTCCAAAATCCAAGACTTCTTGATCACTGACATGATGCTCAAAGGAAATACTTACTGGAGTGTTTTGGATTTTCAGATTAGAGATGTTCAACTTGTAGGTATTCTGCAAATATTAAAAAATCTGTTAAAATCCAAAATCCAAAACACTTCTGGTCCCAAGTATTTCGGATAAGGGATACTCAACCTATATTATTCTAGAAATGTACATTTAAAATAATTACAAAAGGGCCTCACTTTTAAATGCAGTATTATTGTCATTTTATTCTAAACCTATAAAAAGACTCATGTATAGTTGTAAGAGTAGAACATTATGGCTAGAAAATACATATAAATAACAGAGGAAGTCATCAGATACAGTATCTAATTCATATTAAAAAGTGATCTGAGGCTGGGCGCGGTGGCTCACGCCTGTAATCCCAGCACTTTAGGAGGCCGAGGCGGGAGGATCATGAGGTCAGGAGATCGAGACCATCCTGGCTAACACGGTGAAACTCTGTCTCCACTAAAAATACAAAAATTAGCCGGGCGTGGTGGTGGGTGCCTGTAATCCCAGCTACTCGGGAGGCTGAGGCAGGAGACCCACTTGCACCCAGGAGGCGGAGGTTGCAGTGAGCCGAGATTGTGCCATTGCACTCCAGCCTGGGTGACAGAGTGAGACTCCATCTCAAAAAAAAAAAAAGTGTTCTCAGAGATATGAGGATAAGAATTTTGATTTAACACCAATAGGAAGATTATGCCATACATCTTTAAAGATTCTTTAAACAAGAGGTCAAGAATTATAGTTCAGTAAAATTATTCTCAATAATTTTCTTTACTTTTTAAGTAAATCAGGTAAAATGGCTCTCAGAGAGTATTCTAGACAACAACATCAGCATCACCTGGAATCTTGTTAGAAATGCAAATTTTGATCTCATCTCAGACCTCCAGAATCAGAAACTCTGGGCGTGAGGTCCAGAAACCTGTGTTTTAATAACAGATAATCACCTGCCAGGTGATTCTGTGCATACTAAAATTTGAGTATTACTGAACTACAGAGCAATGATTTTCAGGCTGGATCACAGGGGATCTAGGTGAAACGCAGATTCTGATTCAGCAGGTCTAGGGTGAAGCCTGAAATTCTGCAAAACTAACAAACTTCCAGGTGATGCTGATGTTGCTGCATGGATCTCAACATGGACAGGTGGTGGAGAACCTTAACAATGCAAGGCCCTTATAACAGAGTTCAGAGTCTTTCCTTAAAGAAATTTGTGTGAATTAAAATTATGCATATATATTTAAAAGGAAATAATTTCAAAGGCTTCTTACACTTAAGTTATGACTACATATACACTCTTCTGACCTAACAGATTTAGTTTGTCTGATTTCCTTTTAATCAAAACAATCAGATGAACTATCAGATGAAAATTTATTTTAAGCATTAGCAATCCTTAGTTGAACGTTACTTTTTGAAACTGTATACATTTTCTCAAAACCATTTAAAAAACAAGTTTATACTTGCCATGGTTTTAATTAATTTTTAATGATTAACACATGATGCTACTGGTAGTAATATATAATATCACAGACTCTAACTTTTAAAATGTTCAAACAGATGACATTTCTTAATGATTTCACTCAAGATTCAAAGGTAGGGAACGGAGAGAGACAAGGGATGGGAGTGGGGAGAGACATTATTCACCTTTCTTGGGACACCATTGAGGTGAAGTTTTACCATATACTTCCCACATGGATTGTATTCTGGTTCACCATCCTTGTTTTGAGGGTAAATTATGCTTTTGTAAGAAAAATAAATATTAAAATACCAACATTAGTATTCAATATCAACTACTATACAGCACATTTCATTCAGGTATATACTACCGTCTTGGCAATTTCATAAAAACAAACAGGAGAATATTTTCCTACAATAGGCCTAGAAAATGAACTACACCCTAATCAAAGTGCTTATTTACTATTAGTAAGTAATTTTCTGAGATCACAAAGTGGACATAAATTTCAAAATACTCTGAAAAGTGCTCAATGTTAACTTACATACCCTAATAAACCATCTATTAAGTGTATATATTTTAAGCCAGTTAAAATAATCTTTTACCACTGGCCCTAAGAAGTAAAGACCAATTAACCACAACTAAGGCAAGTAGATACAACTTTGACATATAGTTGCATGAAATTATACAGTAACATACTTCAACAACTATCAGTATCAATTTTCTTTTAAAATACATTTGGACCACTTATATGGCAAATAGTTGAAACTAAGGACTGCGTCTAATTCATCTTTATACTCTTAGGACTTAACACACAAAAACCGCTCAGGAAAAGTTGAAAAAATTATAATGCTTAGTTTTTGCAATGAATGATTTTAAGCTAATGTATCTTTTAAAAACTGAAAAAGTATTTCAGAAACATTTTAATACATTCTAAAGCAGTTCAAGCCAACAGAAATATGTTATATTTCCCAGTAACCACATTAAAAGTTAAAAAGGTAAAACTGCCTGTAATCCCAGCTACTTCAGAGGCTGAGGCAGGAGAATCGCTTGAACCCAGGAGGCAGAGGTTGTGGTGAGCCGAGATCACGCCATTGCACTCCAGCCTGGGCAACAAGAGCGAAATTCTTTGTCTCCAAAAAAAAAAAAAAAAAAAAAAAAAAAAGAAAAAAAGTAAAACCAATTTTGATGTTTTAATCACAAATCGAAATATGATTTTAACATATAATCAACACAAAAATGAGATATTTTGCAATTTTGCATTTTTTATGTTCTAAGTTTTCAAAATCTCATGCATTTTACACTTGCAGTGCATCTCCTCTTAATTCAGACTAATCCATTTCAAGTGTCTATAGCCACATGTGGCTAGTGACTACCTCACTTAACAGTCCAATCATAAAGTATTATCAATATGACATGATTTTACTTTGATCAATTTCATTTATTTCAAAACACATTAATTTCATATATATTAACTACGTGTATAGGTTCTTAAGACTGTTTTAGCGTATCTTTCCACATTCATAAATCATCTGCTTAATTTCTACAGAAGGGCCATATTCTGAATGATATGCCCTCTCCACTTTCTATACAGATAAGGCTTAAGTTTTAAATTTCTAGTTAAGGGACAATTACACAAAAAGAGGTAAAGAGAGACACATTTTTACCCGGTAATTAACTTCTTATTAAAACGTCTTTCATAAGCTGCACTGATGGCCAGTGATGCCACAAAGGAGCAATCCGATACTATTGTCTGTTAATAAGAATAATTAACATATTCATATTCATTCACGTAATTTCAACATTACCGCAATATACGTACATTGCCCCAAGTACCTACTTTTTATACTAAATATCTTTTCTTAAAACTTCTATTTTAGGTTCGGGGGTACATGTGGAAGGTAACATAGGTGAACTCGTGTCACAGGTGTTTGTTGTACATATTATTTCAACACCCAGCTATTAGCCCAGTACCCAATAGTTATTTTTTCCGCTCCTCTCCCTCCTCCTATCCTCCACGCTCAAGTAGAACCCAGTGTCTGCTGTTCCTTTCTTTTAAGCTGTTCTCATCATTTAGCTCCCACTTATCAGTGAGAACATGCAGTATTTGGTTTTCTGTTCTGCGTCAGTTTGCTAAGGATAATGGCCTCCAGCTCCATCCATGTTCCTACAAAAGACATCTCGTTCTCTTATGGCTGCATAGTATTCCAAGGTGTTTATGTACCACATTTTCTTCATCCAATCTGTCACTGATGGGCATTTAGGTTGATTCCATGTCTTTGTTATTTTGAATAGTGCTACAATGTATACTAAATATTTTCCTGGTTATTATTTGAATAGGAAAGTAACAAATAGAAACACCATACTGCTGACTCACACATTTTATTCTAATAAATCCTAGAAAATTAAATAATGTATTTCAAAAAAATTGATTTTGAATAATTACTCAAATAATTAAATATCCTTCTATTGCTGATATCTATTCCTTTATCAAAGGTGAAATTCAGATTCTCAAGTTTTACATTTACAGGTACATAATGATAAACAGGGCCCACATAAAAATCTGTAATCACTCAAAACAGTGATTTATACTTATATTATCTCAGTATGTTTCAGTCAAAATGTGTAGAATGAACAATTTTTCCAATTACACTTCTGTACCTGAATATATAATAAAAAATCTAAGAAAAAACTCAAATCTATACACAAATTACTTTAAAATGCTGACTTTTCTATAAAATCATACAAAATAAATGCTCACCTGCTTTATGCTAAAACTGGACACAGTATATATCATTGTAGGATTGTTGGTGAGGTCTTCTGGTCGTACCCACTTGGAAAATGTAGTTTTTTGTTTAGGTGATAATGGTAGCTTGCCCCATCTATCACTGAGGTAATAATAAAAATTAAAATAAAAAAATTAATCTTAAAAGATGACTCAAAGCCAAAATTAAATTTCCTAGAGATTTTTTTTTTGGTCTAGTGATTATAGCAGTACTGTATTATCTTAAAATAACCTTCTGGTCAAATCTGGCTCTTTATAGAGTCCAGTCAACCTGATCATCCCCTCCAATTAAAAAATATACCTAAATAATTGAAAACAGAAGAACAACTTAAATTCATTTATATTTAAGAATATAATTTTTTAAATTTAGCATAACTGTATTCAAGAAATTCAGCAATAAAATGAAACCATTAACAATAGTACAAGCTGATTCATTCAAAAGGACCTAGGAAGCTAAAGATTCAAAGCTGGTTTTTTACAAACTCCACTTGGCAAGGCTAATAATGAGTGTAGCTAATTTAGTGAATACTAACCATGTGCCAGGCATCATGCTAAAGTGCTTTACATACATAATCCACTTAATTCTTAAAACAACTCTATTAAAGGAATTATTTTTGGAAATAGCTTAAAGTGATTAATGACTTACCAAGGTCAGACACCTAAGAAACAGCAGAACTGGCATCTGAATCCAGGTCTCTGGTGCCAAATCCACCATTCTTATCCATTACCCTCTACTCACTGTGTGTAACAATGTTTCTCTAAAATTGATGTGTACACCAAGGGGAAACATCTACCTTTCCCCCTTTCCCTAAACTTTTTTTTTTTTTTTTTTAACAGTTGAGGTCTCCATATGTTGCCCAGGCTGCTCTAGAACCTCTGTGCTTAAACGATCCTCCAGCCAAGGCTGATACCAGCCTTCCTGAAGTAAATACCAGAGTGCTGGTATTACAGACACAAGCCACCAGGCCCAACCATCCCCAAACCCTTTCTAGAGCAGAAGCAACAAATCCTTGGTTTTCAAAAGATTTCCTAGTAATAGAAAGTATATAATATGCAAACTGGCACAAACATAACTTTTTTTTTTTTCAAAGAATGCTGACAGATACTGGGAGAAGAGAGGATTTTGTGGTCAAGTATGATCTACAAACTCCTGGTTAAAGTATTAGTTTTTTCATTGAAGGACACCTCTAGACTTTAAATAAGCCAATGTTTATTGCAATCTCTTAAAATAGAATATGGCATATAACATATCTCAAACATTTTTTATTATCATCTCACAGAACCACTAGTATTCCAGGTAGCATTTTGGTACCTGTATAATACCAGGAGCTAACTGTAAACAGAAAGTGAGCTAATTGAATTCAGAAGAGTTTAAAGACAGCTCTCAAAAATTTTGAGGAGAAAAAATTAATGCAAATTCAAATTCGTAATCTATTATTAACCTGTCATATGAACCATATTTCAGCATAAATCCAAGATTCCATAATATTTGTTCTCTCAAGTCACTAGAGGATTATTAAATTCAAGGTTTTTTCCCTCAGAACTTAAATATATTAAAAATATTTTACAGCCAGGCGCGGTGGCTCATGCCTGTAATCCCAGCACTTTGGGAGGCTGAGGCGGGCGGATCACTTGAGGTCAGGAGTTTGAGACCAGCCTAGACAACATGGTGAAACCCAGTCTCTACCCAAAATACAAAATTAGTCGGGCGTGTGGTGGGCGCCTGTAATCCCAGTTCCTTGGGAGGCTGAGGCAGAAGAATCTCTTGAATCTGGGAGACGGAGGTTGCAGTGAGCTGAGATCGCACCACTGCACTCTAGCCTGAGTGACAGAGTGAGACTCCATCTCAAAAAATAAAAAATAAAAAAACTTACAATTATAATATTTATTCAATAATGCTTATTTTATTATTTTAAAAGTAATACACGACCGAATAGAAACAATTTTAAAAAATAATTCAATCTCTCTAGCGAAAGATAAATTCTGGAGCCTTTTCCTGATGATCTGTTAACCCAACTTAAAAACATTTACTGTTGCTTTTTCTTCTGATTGTTCCTAAAGTAAAATAATTTAAAAAATAAGAAAATACCGTGCCACTTAGAATAGTAACTTTAGTATTTATTCTTGTTTTTCTCCCAATTTAACTACTTCAAGAAATATTTATTGAATACCTACTATACACCAGATACTGTGGTAGGCACTGGGGTGCAACTTAATTAAAACAGACATGGTCTCTGTCCTTATGAAGTTTATATGCTAGAGTAGCAGACAAGCATTAAGCAAGTAATCACCTTAAAGAGAAAAAAAAGAAAAATTCCAACTGTGACAAGTGCTATGCCTAAATTAAGGGAGTCTGCATGGCTACGTATTTTACTTTTCCAATTATATTATGAGCATTTTCCCATGTTATTACATTCCTTGAAAACTTGATTGTTTATGGCTATATAACATTTTTCTTATGGACACTGTGTCGTATAAGCATAACAAATATGATTTACATTAATTTGTTGCAAAAAGATAGAAATGATAAGTTTACATCTCTATTTGAATATTGTCAAGAAAATACCAGAATAACTGATTCATTTTCACAATTATAACAACAATGATAAATCGCTTTCGTACGAATTTTTGAGTATATCTCTAAATAGTTCCTTACAACTGGATTCCTGAAGTAAAATCATTAGTCAAAGAGGTATAAAAAATGTTAAAGTATTTGGAATATACAGCCAAATTGTTATATAACTTAGTAACTAACAAAATGATGATTTTTCTAGCAGGTAACCTTTATTATATAGTGCTTGCTATATAACAGCACCATTCTCAGGGTTTTACATTTTATTAACTCACAGTAACATTATGAGGTAGTTTCTATTATTATCCCCATTTTACAGACAAGAAACTGAGACAGATTTAACAACTTGCCCGGTGTTACACAAGGTTTGAGACCAGAAAGTCTGGCTCTAGAATCTTTCCCTGAACATTAATGCTATAAAGTTTCTCAGATATAAAAATTCCTTTGGTCCCAATCAGTTACTAGCATCACACAGCTACCTGAGTGAAAAAAATATGTTAACTGGCTTTGTGATACCTAACCCTTGGCAAAAGAACAGCAAAACACTAGAAAATAAAAAGCAGCCCTTTTGTTCTTTACAGAGCCTTCATATTCTATATAGTAAGCATCCAGCTTTTTTTTTCTAATAATAAATATAACATGCTCATTGGAGAAATTTTGAAAAATAAAAAAGTACTGAAAGAGGTTAAATCACAAAATTTTGTTACCTAGACATAACCACTGTAAATATTCGGGTATATTTCTCCACATCATTTTTTTTTTCTATGCATCTATAAATACATGAAAAGAAAAAGAAGGGTCAGGCACAGTGGCTCACATCTGTAATCCCAGCACTTCGGGAGGCTGAGGCAGATGGATCACTTGAAGTCAGGAGTGCAAGACCAGCCTGGCCAAAATGGTAAAATCTCGTCTCTACCAAAAATACAAAAATTAGCTGGGCGTGATGGTGCATGCCTGCGGTCCCAGCTATACAAGAGGCTGAGGTGGGAGAATCACCTGAGCCTGAGAAGTCAAGGCTGCAGTGAGTCATGATCACATCATTGCACTCCAGCCTAGGCAATGGGAGTGAGACCCTATCTCAAAAAAAAAGAAAAAAAAAAAAAATTTGGGACATCATAATTTTCTTTTTGATTTCTGTAATGGGAACATTTTTTTTCCTACAGTTTTAAATACTTATTTTGAGTAGCATAATATTTGACTGTATAGATGTACTATTATTTAATCATTCCCATATTGCCAGTTTGTTTCAATAATTTTTTGCTGCAACAGATGCTTTGATGAGTGTCCTTATTATGTACATCTTTGACTGTTGATTTCCTTACGATGACTACAAGCTCGGACTCCTGAACCAAACAATATTTTTAAAGCTCTTGACATAAGCTGCCATTGTCCTGGAAGGCTGTGCTAACTAATTCTCTCATAAATAGTCCTTGCTTGAATTGGTCTTCTTAGTAAACAATGACATCATTCCATTCCCCTTTTCCATTCAGTTTCTTTACTGTGTGTTAGAATTTCTGTTGTGATTCAATCACTGCTTGGACAAATATTTACGGAGTACTTACTTTACACCAGGTACTGTGCTAGACACTACAGAAATAATATTAGGCAAAAGGAGATCCTCATGTCCTCATGACTGGGCAAATAACAAAAGTGCTCTTGCTATGTTGCCCTATCCCTTTCCCACAGCCACCCCTCTATTCCAACAAATTTTTTTATTACAAATTTTAATTTCAAGGCTATTAAATTGAACTTCAGAGTACTGAAAAGTTAAAATATTGGAGTTAAAAATTGCAACAGTGCTTACTTACCAGAAAGGCATTGGATAGGCAAAACGTTCTCTCAGGTCAACATTCATGAAAGGAACATATTCTATACCATTTATTTTTGATGTTGTCCTATCAAACACGAGAAAAAAACCTAAATGTTCAAGTTTACCTTAATTGCCAATCTTATTTCAACTCTTTAAAATTTAAATGACAAGGTATGATACTGTATTAAAATTAAACTGACAACCTCATGTTGTTGATATATCTTTGGACAATATTTTCATAAAATAATTGAAAATCAGAAAATAACTGAATCAATTCAAACCAATAAGAATATTCTTTAAAGGCTAACACCCACAAGAAGACAAGACTATTCAAGAGGTAATGAAAGTGTCCTTGACACCAAGACACAAAACCAATTCTATGCTAAGCCTAAAGGGAGAAATCAATTGCTTAAGTTATTTTGGAATTAAAAAAACACATTAACAATTCTGAAATACATGCTCTTCACGTTTTCTGGTTATGAGGACATGAAATGGGTAGTGGAAGAAGGAAGTGTCATAGATATCAGCTATGGTCTACTGACAAATTAAAGAAATAAGGTTTGTAGTAGCTTTGCATTCTCCTTGTTTTGTGTATATGCTTATTTATCTATATTAACTATTTCCTTCTTGTATCTGTTTCTCTCCCTTATTCTATTTATGAGATGTTGCAGAGTAACTTCAGAATTTAGTCTTTAGGTAACAATAGCCTGGAAATCTGAGGACTACTTAATATAGTCAGGAATAGATGAAATGATTGTTGGGACTATGTACAGCCTTATTTTGGAAAGATAATGAAAACTTTTCACTCGCATGAAGGATAGCTGCATTTTGTTAGGTGGAATATAGAGTTGTTCTGGTGTAGTACAGAATTTCAAACATGTGAAGGTAGCATATGGAAAAGTGTTGGACTGTTATTAGTCTTTTAGCTTCAAAACTACCCTTCTTTGTCCTGTATTGTGCTGTGTTGGTGCACATGCAATTTTTCCTAGACAAAGGGAGCCAGATTAGCAGGAGTACAATTACAATCTTCAGCAGGAAAGGAAAGAAAAATGCTCTCAGATGGCTGCTACCTAGGCAGAAGCCCTTTCAGCTCAATTTTAGAAAATAAAAAGATGAACACCTACATGACTTACACAGCTCTAAGCAGACTGAACTTTCTGCAGTGCTCAACTTTAAAAAAGCCACCCTGTCTGGCTCAGGGACTTATCCTAGCTACACTGGTTCAGAGGGCAATCAAGAATTTCCACATTATTGTGTTTCACATTTCATTTTTTTTTGGTACAGCTCCTTGTGGAACAGGGCTACTCCATAGGCAGTGTGCCCAGAGTAGCCGTGTTTTACATTTTTAATATCCTCTGAGACTGCTTTCAGACACGCTATAACCCCCGCTAGACAGGGGGTCGGCAAATGTTTTCTGTAAAGAGCCATATGGTATATAGCTTAGGCTTTGCAATGAGGTTTCTGTCATATATTCTTTTTTTTTTTTTTTGATGCATGTAAAACCTTTCAAAGAAAAACTTTACATATATATATACGTATACGTATACTATATACGTATATGTATACGTATGTATATACACGTGTATACACACATATTTTTTTTTTTGAGACGGGATCTCCCTCTGTTGCCCAAGCTGGAGAGCAGTGGCGTGATCTCGGCTTTGCAACCTCCACCTCCTGGGCTCAAGTGATCCTCCCAAGTAGCTGGGATTACAGTGCACATCATCATACCCAGCTATTTTTTGTATTTGTAGTAGAGATGGGGTTTTGGCATGTTGCCCAGGCTGGTCTCAAACTCCTGAGCTCAAGTGATCTGCCCCCCTCTGCCTCCCAAAATGCTGGGATTGCAGGGGTGAGCTGCCAGCACACCACCTACACTCCTATTTCAAAGTAACATTTTTTCTCCCATTAGGGCTCTGGTTACAAAGTTGCATAGATTAAGAGTGGTCTGCTACAGCTCATTTTGCTCCTTAACCTTTAGTGGCTCAGTTTCACAGAATGCTAGGATTTTCAGCAAAGTGTATTATGTCTAGCAAAAACGCTAATATTAAAATATACTGGAACTAAAGCCGGGCACAGTGGCTCATGCCTGTAATCCCAATACTTTGGGAGGCCGAGGTGGGCGAATCACCTGAGGTCAGGAGCTCGAGACCAGCCTGGCCAACATTATGAAACCCTGTCTCTACTAAAAAAAAAAAAAAAAAAAAAAAAAATTAGTCAGATGTGGTGGCACACACCTGTAGTCCCAGCTACTTGGGAGGCTGAGGCAGGAAAATCGCTTGAGCCCAGGAGGCAGAGGTTGCAGTGAGCCAAGATCACACCACTGCACTCCAGCCTGAACAACAGAGTGACACTCTGTCTCAAAAAATACAAATGAAAATAATAAAATAAAATAAAATATATCAGAACTAAAATTTTAACTATTTCAAGTTGTGACTACATGATGATATAATTACATAATAACAGCACAATACACTATAGGAGAAATCTGAATACAATTCAGCAAACCTAATGAAAATAAAATTCTGCATTCATGTTAACAAAATTCTTCATTACAATTAATTGTAAACTTATTTACCTGAGTACTTCTATTTCTTCTGCTGTGTATCTCTGTCCTTGTGCATCACATGACTGAGGACTTATAAATGACTGAGGTCTTTCAAGGAAGGGATTAGCGCCCAGTGGAAAATGTGCTCTCACTGGAGGTGGCTTTGGCTTAACACTTGTTGAACTGATTTTGCCAACTGGCTTGGTCAAAGGCTCACTCAGCGCTTCTGCTCTATAACAGAGAGGAACAAACAACTGTTCTAGTTTTTCTACTCACATTTAAGCTTTTCAGGAAACAAAATTTACTTGAAGAACCAGTCAAGCATCCCTAATGTAAAATTAGTATATAAAATTCTTACATACTAATCAACATTTCACTACTTCAGCTACTTCCAAAGATAAGCATCTTTTACAAACAATATTCTATTGACAACATTAATTAAGCACTTACATAATCAGACACCATACAAGGTAAGGTAAGTGGTATAAAAGAACGTATAAAACAATCCCTACCCTTAAGGTACTCATAGTTTTGTAGGGAAAGACAGACAACTGCATCAAAAATAACAGATACTAGGATGAAAGTATTACATGCAAATGAATGTACAACAGAAGTTATTCACTTAATGAATTGCCAAGTGGGGATGAGTTGGAGAAGGGTGCTCTGAACTGATGCTTGAGCTGCAGAGTTGTTCACCTGGGCAGTGAGGAAGCATTCTAAGTAGACAGAAGAACATGTACAAACGTGCAGAAGTATGAAACAGCACAATGAATTAAGGTAATTTCTTTTTTAAATTTTTTATTTTTTTTTTTGAGACGGCGTTTCACTCTGTTGCCCAAGCTAGAGCGTAGTGGCGCAATCTTGGCTCACTGCAACCTCTGCCTTCCGAGTCAAGCGATTCTCCTGCCTCAGCCTTCTGAGTAGCTGGGATTATAGGTGCCTACCACCACGCCTGGCTAATTTTTGTATTTTTAGTAGAGACAGGGTTTCGCCACGTTGGCCAGGCTGGTCTCGAACTCCTGACCTCAGGTGATTCGTCCACCTCAGTCTCCCAAAGTGTTGGGATTACAGGCGTGAGCCACCGTGCCCGGCCAGGTAATTGCAAAAGAATGAATGTTGCCCCTGTGAGAAGTGCAAACGAGAGGCAGCAGGAGATGAGACTAGAGAGGAAAGCAGGGGCTGGATCACAGACAGCCTCACATGATATGCAACAGAATTTTAACTTTGTTCTGTCAAAGAACTAACGAGCTAAAAAATAGAAGTTCTTAACCTGAGGTGCATATATGAGCTTCAGGATTCTTGTGAAAACTCTGAAATTATATGCAAAAAAATTTCATGTACATTTTCCTAGAGAATGGATCCATAAGTTTCAAAAGATCCTCATAGGAGCCCATGGCTATCTCACCCACCCTTTGCTTAGGGTGCACTTGAGAATATTGGATGGGTTAGCCACAGACGTAATAAAGTCACTTATAATTCTGACAGGTGAAAGAAGTCAAGATAGAGAAGACAACTGTATGTCAAGGACTCGTATCTTTGTGAATCTGAGGAAACAAACTAAAGTTAGTAGATGACAATGAAAAGGAGGGATGACTATTTTACTTCAGTTAAAAAAAGAAGGGCTTGGGGTGGTACAGTTATCTATCAGGTCAGAGCCTCAAAAGGAGATAATTCATGATGTAGGTATAAAAGCAATTTCCACCCTTTCATTTTTTGTGTGTCTACAACACTCTTTCAAGATATATAATTCGCTTATGCAAACTCATTCATTCTTTTAGCAAATATCTACTGAGCACATATTACATGTCAGGCACTCTGCTGGGTACTTGGTTACAGCACTAAATAAAATAGACAAAAATCTCTGCCCTCAGAGCTTACATCTGGGGGATGAAGGTTGGAGGGGACACAGACATTAACAACAAATATAATAAGCTAGTAAATCTCACAGACCTCAGAAAATAAGAGCTGTGGGAAAAATACCAGAATAATCAGGTTGCAACTGCTGGGGGAGATTCAATTTTAAACAATGGTTAGGGCAGGCTTCATTGAAAAGTTGACATTTCAGCTAAGAGGTGAAAGAGCTACACACTGTATAATCTGAGGTATGTACATGGCTGAAAGCAAGTTCATGCTCATGTTTTCTATTTTTAGCAGATCTGGAAGGCTCTCTGGAAGTTCTCTTTGAAAGTCTGATATTACATAACAGAAAGGAGGTCCTCCATTGCAAATATCACAGTCCTTTCTGTTCTAAACTAAAATTAAAAACATTTATTGATTTGCTATTTCTTGAGTTTAAAGCAGGGAACTAGAGAGAGGAGGTAAATTCACTAAGAAGTAGAAAGTAGATTTGTTTCAGATGACAGTTAAAAGATGGAGGTTTGTTACTGCAGCCTTTACAACACATTTAGATAAATTTGTTTAAATAACACTAAGTGCCATCCATGGATTAGAACTTGAGAGATCAAACTCACCTGTCTAGTGCCTGTCGAGCCAACTGTTTCAGTTTATTTTGCAGGACTTTATCAGCAGTTTCATAAGACTTAAGAGAAAGAAAGAGACAGACATTTTAAAGCATAATTATTTTTCAATTTGCTTGATCCATATTTCTAAGCAAAAAATTTACAATGCATATTACACTTGCTGAAATTGAGAACAAACAAAGATGACATTAATTCTCATCCTTAAAGGTATCATTTAAAATAGTGTTGAAAATTTGTCACTGAGGTGCACTTTAAAACCACTTATGTGGACAACTGATAACTGGACCAGAACTGTTTGACCATAGTGCTGTGGAACGCTGAGTGGCAGGAACCTCAGAACACTAGCACTCATTTAGTCTCAAGGCACCTACAGAAATCAGGCCAGATGGTCTCTCTGAGCAAAAGTCTCTGCCAAAAAGCCAGTCAGAAAGACATGGGGATACCAGTCTCAACTACTTTACCTCATCCTCCTGTCAAATACACTGCTCTCTTATGCACTAGATGTCCCTTGAAGCTAAGAGTCCCAACCAAGGCTCAGCAGGGAGCAGTAAAAGCCACTCAGCATACAGATTTTACACTGCAAATAAGTAAGGCTCATCCAAACCACTAGCTTATTTTTTAGTGCACGAAACTGAAAAAAGGGGAAGTTTATTCTAAATTAATAGATTTGTGATAATGAATTCTGTAAGTTTATTTTAGTTGTAAGAACAGAAATGTTAAAAATAGTTCTTGTAATTTAAGACTCAATACTTTCAAAATTTTAATAAGATGCAAAAACCCATTATTAGCTTTCTACTCATCATCTTATATTGAGGAGTAGTTGTTACATTTAAAATAATTTTTTTTATTCTGTTAAAATTCTTTTATTCAAGGTGTTATGTAAAATTCACTAGCAAGAGAAGAAATGGTTTGGCATAACTCATCAAACGTAATTTGTAGCTATACACACTGTTTTCAGACAGAGATCCACAGCTTCTGTGTACAATTCTATAGCATCTTCAACATTCTCTTTTTCATCTTCATCAAAAGCTTGTGTAACAAGGAAATGAGCACGCTCTAAGTCCAACTGATGTTTTGACTTCAAAGGATCAGCACTCTTTGACTGAACTAGGATAGAAAAAAAAATACGCAGAAGGAGTATTATCTAAATACAGCCAGAAAACACACTATTTTCACTATTTAAGACATTTTTTACCAAAACCCTGTATTCTTCATTTAAAAAACTTAGCAAGGTTAAAAAAATCCTTAAAAAAGGACAAATTTCCTCCCTTCTTTTTTTTTTTTTAGACAGGCTCTTGCTCTGTTACCCAGGCTAGAGTGCAGTGGCACAATCACAGCTGACTGCAGCCTCTACCTCCTCGGGCTCAAGAGATTCTCCCACCTCAGCCTCCTGAGTAGCTGGGACTACAGGAGTGTACCACCATGCCTGGCTAATTTTTCTCTCTTTTTTTTTTTTTGTAGAGATGGGGTTTTGCCATGTTGCCCAGGCTGGTCTTGAACTCCCAGGCTCAAGCAATCTGCCAGTTTCAGCCTCCCAAAGTGATGGGATTACAGGTGTGAGCCACCATGCCCAGCCTTCCTCCCTTCTCTTTTTAATCTTAAGGTCTAAGAAAAAAAATCTGCAATTATTTACCACACAATAGACATCAGAGATAAAGAATAGTAAAAAATACACTACTTATTTAAAAAATTCTTTCCCTGAATTTCTCTCTCCCACTGGCACTTTCTTCACTTAAAAATTGAAACACAGGCATTCTCCTCATATGCTCCTCTACCTCAAAAGACAAAACAAAAACTTGGAAATTGCTAAATATTAAGAAATCTATTTTAAGGCAATTAAAACTTTTTTTTCTGCACAGACAAAATTGTGTAATATACTAGGCTCTGATGATAAAGTTCCTGCTTTTTCTATTTACCCTGAGCCTAGAATATGTTATGTATTTTCATTGCTCTTTGAAATAATATTTTCATTTGATTTTAATAAAAAAATACGTATCTATAAGAAACATGTATCCAGAATATATAAAGATCTCTTAAAATTCAACAATAAAGACAACCCAGTTAAAAAATGGGCAAAGGATCTGAACAGACATTTCTCCAAAGATGGCATTCAAAAGGTCAAATGGCACATAAGAAATTGCTGAACGTTAGCCATCAAAAAATGCAAAACACAACCACAATGAGATGACACCTTATGCCCACTAGGATGGCTAAAATCAGAAAGACAATAACAAGTGTTAGGATGTGAAGGACTTGGAACCCAGATACACTGCTGATGGAACTGTGAAATGATGTAGCCACTCTGGAAAACAATTTGGCAGTTCCTCAAAAAGTTAAACATGGAGCTACATCCTATGACACAGCAGTTCCACTTCTGGGTGGAATTCCAAGAGAATTGAGAAAACATGTCTATGCAAAAATCTGTACATGAATTTTTTTTTTTTGAGACAGAATCTCACCCTGTCACCCAAGTTGGAGTGCAGTGGTGCGATCTCAGCTCACTGCAACCTCCACTTCCTGGGTTTTCAAGCAATTCTTGTGCCTCAGCCTCCCAAGTAGCTGGGACTACATGTGTGCACCATCACGCTTGGCTAATTTTTGTATTTTTAGTAGAGACGGGGTTTCACCCTGTTGGCCAGGCTAGTCTCAAACTGCTGGCCTCAAGTGATCTGTCTGCCTTGGCCTCCCAAAGTGCTGGGATTACAGGCATGAGCCACTGCGTGTACATGAATGTTCTTAACTGCATTATTTATAACAGCCAAAAGGTGTAAACAACCCAAATGTCTCCAAAAACTAATGAACGGATAAACAAAATGCAGCACATCAATACAATGAAATATTACTCAGCCATAAAAAGCAATGAAGTATTGATACAATCTACAACATGGAAAAATCTTGCAAACATTAAACTCAGTGAAAGAAGCCACATGGCAAAAGGGCCATGTTTTGGATGATTCCATTTGTATGAAATATCCACAATAGGCAAATCCATAGAAACAACAAGATTAGTGGTGGCTAGGGGGAGGGAGGAATGGGGATTGACTGCTAATGGGTAAGAGGTTTCTCTTGGGGTGATGAAAACTTTCTAAAATTAGATAGTGGGGATGACTGCACAACTCTGGGAATAGGCTAAAAACACCTGAATTATATACTTTAAGAGGGTGAATTTTATGATATGGAAATTGTATCTCGCTAAACTTGCTATTTAAGAAAAGTCTGAGATTTTGTTAGTTCTTTAAAGTTACGTGTTTTTGGTTTTTTTTTAAATACACGGTCTCACTAGGTTGCCCAGGCTGGCCTTAAACTCTTAAACTACTGGGCTCAAGTGACCCTTCTGCCTTAGCCTCCCAAGTGGCTGGAACTACAGGCACTCACCACTGTGCCCAGTTTGTGCTGATGTTTTCAAAACTTTAGCCTTCTTAAATGCCTCTCTGAAGTATATACTAATTCCATTGATGAAAAAGATACCAAAGCTCAAAAATGTTGAAATATCTAGCCCAGTGTTTCTCAGCCTGGCATTATTGACATTTTGGGCTGGATAATTCTTTGTTGTGGGAGACTTTTTAGCAACAGCCTTGGCCTCTACCCAGCTAAATCCCAGAAGCATATTCCTTGCCACCCAGCAGCGTGAAAACCAAAAACTTCTCCAGAAATTGCCAAATGTCCCCTGGGGGGCAAATTGCTTTCTACTGAGACCCATTGATCTAGTCTAAGATTTCACAGCTACAAGTGAAAGGGTAGAGACTCAACAGGGATCTTTTAATTCCAAGTCTTGAACTCTGTACTACGACGGTTAATTTTACTTTTTATTTTTCGAGACAGGGTCTTACTCTGTCATCCAGGCTGAGGGCAGTGGTGTAATCACGGGTCAGTGCAGCCTCAACCTCCTGGGCTCAAGCAATCTTCCTGCCTCAACCTCTGAGGAGCTGGGACTACAGGCACACACCACCATGCCCAGCAAATTTTTTCAATTTTTGTAGGGGTGAAGTCTATGTTGCCTAGGCTGATCTTGAACTCCTAGATTCAAGGGATTCTCCTGCCTCAGCTTCCCAAAGTGCTGGGATTACAGGCATGAGCCACTGTGCCGGCCTATACTGGTTAATTTTAAATTATGTTACCTTTCCCCACCCCAAAATCAACTCTCTCTCAGGATTCTCTTAACTGTCAGCAGACTATCTTGTTTTAAAACTTAGGGTTCCTAACAGGATTTTTATTTGAAAAAGGACTTTTCTGCTTAAAATAATAAATAAGAAAATCCTTTAAATTGTCTAGAGATTATACTCCATTTCTTCAACAAAAGCAGAAAGAAGTTGGTAAAACAAGCTATGTTATGCTTTAAAAATCCTTTTTAAGGCCAGGCATGGTGGCTCACGCCTGTAATCCCAGCACTTTGGGAGGCCGAGGCGGGTGGATCACGAGGTCAGGAGATCGAGACCATCCTGGCTAACATGGTGAAATCCTGTCTCTACTAAAAATATAAAAAATCAGCTGGGTGTGGTGGCAGGCGCCTGTAGTCTCAGCTACTGGGGAGGCTGACGCAGGAGAATGGCGTGAACCCCGGAGGCGGAACTTGGCAGTGAGCTGAGATCGCGCCACTGCACTCCAGCCTGGAAGACAGAACGAGACTCCACCTCAAAAAAAAAAAAAAAAAATCCTTTTTGAACTCTATTTCACTGGCAAGTCTTTATTCTTCAAGAGATTGGGGTGTCTCATTTGATGCTTGAATATCACATATATATCAATGTTTAGAATTTATTTCCCAAAAATCACATGTAAGTTTTTAGGCTTAGCTGTATTTAATATAAAGTAAGAATAATTTTTAAAATTCCTTAGAAAAAAATGATTCATATTTATTTTTTCCAATTGTCACAAGGATTTCAAGGGTTTAAAGAGCAATCTTACTGGAATCAAGACCCTAGGGCATAAATGTGCTTGACTGTGTGTACATATGGAAAAGAAAGATGGAAATATACCTTAGGCTGCCAGAGATTCTACTCCTGGAATAATATCACCATATAATCTCTCCTTTCTAGAGCATTCTGCTTTAACATTTAGTCTAGCATGCTTCAGAAAGGGGTTTCCATGATAGTGCAATGTTGACACTGTTCTCTCTCCACACCTGATGAAGTCCTCCTGAGGACATGGACTGTCACTCATCTATTACCCTGTACTTACCATAGAGCCCAAACATGTATTCAATACATAGTTATTGAAATGAAGAAAACTATCTATGAAAAAACAAGGAGATCATGGAAGTAAACATGAAAGACTACCTTCCCTACTTCAAAGATAATTTTATTTGAAAACACTGGTTATGAAACAAAGTTCCTAATATTGGGCAGTTAAATTTAAGAACTTCATTTACTTGGCTGGGAAAAGAAAGTTCCTTTGAATTTTATATGATATTTTGAATACATGAATCAATACTTTGTATCAAGTGAGGTTCCAATAACACAGGCAGTACACTTTTCAATACATGCAATTTCTGGGCACTGTATTAAAAGTAAACCGCCTTGTTTTTAAGGGAACTGTCATAACAAGGAATCCAATGATTAAATCTACTTTATCCCAACGATGTTCTTGTAATTGCTCGTATCTACTCAAAATGAGTGGTAGAAAGTTACACAAAGTCCATGAGAATAAATATTCTTCTGCTTGGCGCTTTATCATGCAGCAACAGAAAAAGAGGGTTAAAAAGAATCCCTACAGAAATCAATGTATTTGTAAATACAATGTCAACATCAGTTACCTCTAACAAAACTGTGACCATTAAGACTATATATTTCTATTATTGTACCTGTTGTGCTGTTTACAAAAATAAATACAAGTAGTTCCAAGTCTCTGTTTACATGTCACTTTCCCAAGATATGGTTTTAAAGAGTTTAGCAAAGGTCTGAAAGTAGAAGACACCGAAAGAGAAGACACTGTGAACCTACTGCTGAAGTCTGTAAACACTGAAGAGGAACAGTCACTTAATTTTATAAGGAAGAGACGTGACAGATATTTTAAAAGCAGACTTTAACTGAATCCTAATCCTAACTTTGCCAATGATAAATTGTTTGAACATAGGTAATTCACCATCTCTGCACTCTGGGAAATTAGGAAACTGGACTATATTGTCTATAAGGTTCCTCTTCAAAGATCTATGACTTATTTCTAAATGACTTTTAAAGAGGTGATTACCAAAAGTGGAATGAGCAGCAACAGAGTGAGCATCAAGATTCAAAGATAAAAATGAAGAAGAGAAACAAACATGGGGGAAAGACATGATGGGAGAAAAGAAAAAATAGAGTGACAAGTTTAGTAGTCCTTTACTAACCTGCTGAATGTAGAGCTTGAACTCTTTCCAGATACTCAGTTATTTTTTCTTGAATATTTTCTAGGCTTGATCCTGCCATCTCAGCATAAATTAAGGCTTGTGCAGCTTCCTAAAAATGAAAGAATTCAAAGGAATCCAATAGATGTATTACAACTTGAATTTTCTTTATCACATTCTCATTCAATATTGGTTTCCATGAATGACAAAACAAGAATGTCTTTAAATTATTATTAATAGTAATTTTTTTCATAAAGTAGTTATACAATCTTCCAATGTTTTCTTCAGTATTCAATGTTCTCAATTTTCTTTTACTTTTCTTTTTTGAGACAGAGTTTTGCTCTGTCACCCAGGCTGGAGTGCAGTGGTGTGATCTCAGCTCAGCTCAACCTCCCCAGGTTCAAGTGATTCTTGGGCCTCAGCCTCCCGAGTAGCTGGGACTATAGGTGTACACCACCATACCTGGTTAATTTTTGTATTTTTAGTAGAGATTGGGTTCTGCCATGTTGGCCAGGCTGGTCTTGAACTCCTGGCCTCAAGTGATCTGCCCACCTCGGCCTCCCAAAGTGCTGGGATTACAGGCATGAGCCACCACACCTGGCCCAAATCATACTTTTTTTTTTTTGGCTTTTTCAAAGATAGAGTCAGAATTAGGTGCTAAAAGCCACAGGACACGCCCAAACAGGAACTTGAACCCTGGACCCTCACATTAAAAGTCTGATGATGCTCTACCGAAGGAGCTATCCAGGCTCTCTCTCAATTTTAACATATCATTGAAAATTTATGAATTCACGCATAAGGAACTGATTATAAACACTTCTTTAGAATAGCTGCAGTTTACATGTTTCGTTTTCCTTTTTCCTTATGCAATAGATCAGATTTAAAATTATATACCTTGAAAATGTGAACTGATTGCAAGTAATTCACACGCAAAAAAATATGAATTGAGCCTTCAAAGCATTAAAACGAGTAATAATTGCTAAAATAAAATTATCAAGAAAAGATTACAGGAGATTACACAGGTTAAATATCTCACAGTAAAAGGAAAACAGTTTTCTCCACAGAAAATACTGACAAAGGATGACACATTTTAAAGCAGATTTTAGTTGTATAAATTACACTTATTTTAATTTTAAGAAAATCTGGATTCTTCTTCCAGTTATTCCATAACTTCCACGACCAGTTATGCTATGGCTAGAAGGTGGTGTTTCCATTCTCCTCATCACCATTCCAGGAAGGTTACCAATGCTACCACCTAGAAAAGCAAAGACAGATTTCTACAAGTAACAGCACCTTCTCTGCAGTAACCCAAGCGTGTACACTTCATGGGTCATCATGCCTGTTTCCAAAGATGCCATCTACTGAACATCACTTTTTGAATCCAGTTGTTTGAGCAGGAGTTGTTTCACTGAACCTAACAAAATTAAGAAAAGTGCAGTTTTCAGCCTGGGCAACATGGTGAAACCCTGTCTCTACAAAGTAGTCCCAGCTACTCAGGAGGCTGAGGCGGGAGGATCACCTGAGCCCTGGGAGGTGGAGGCTGCAGTGAGCTGTGATCGGGCCACTGCACTCCAGCCTGGGTGACAGAGTAAGATACTGTCCAAAAAAAAAAAAAAAAAGGAAGGAAGCAAGGAAGGAATGAAAAAGTACAGTTTTGACTACAATGAAAATTCAGCCTAAAGGCAGTGGGATAGAAAAGATATGACTTCCTTAGATTCTATAACTATTTCAGAGGAGGAAAGTATAACTTTACATGTAAACATTAAATATATCTTACATACCATCATTATCTAAATACATTGTAACTACACTTAAATCCAATAAACGGAATGTTTTTGATACATGTAAATTATATAAGTATATAATACACATATATTGCCCCTTCAGTTATCTTGTATGTGATTATTAATTTCCAAATAATTATTGTACTTTTTAAAAAAAGCTATTTTTTTTACTTAGGAGTCTGAGGCAGGAGGACTGCTTGAGGCCAGGAGTTCAAGACTAACTGGGCAACATAGTGAAATCCCCATTTCTGGAAAAAAAAAAAATTAGCCAGGTATTGTGGTGCACACCTGTAGTCCCAGCTACTCAGGAGGCTGAGGCTGGAAGATTGTTTTAGCCCAGGAGTTTGAGGCTGCAGTGAGTTATGATCTCACCACTGCCCGCCAGCCTGGGTGACAGAATGAGACCCTGTCTCTGAAAAATAAAATAAAGCCAATTTAAAAAACTGCTGGTGTCAATTTTATTTTACTCATTTCATTTATATTCAAAACTGACAAGAAATAAATAGCTTATAGAAAGGACTGGGCAGAAAACACTAAATACTAAACTGATGAAGCTTATATAAATAATTTCTAGAAGTACAACCACTTTTTTTGGCTTTCTCAAAGATAAAAAATTCTTCCTGACATGTATGTAAGTCTATAGGAAACAAGGGGCAGTGCATAGCAGTTTCTTTTGCTTTAATAAAATCTATTTTTATATAGCACTATTTTAACCTGTTGTCAAAGCTATTTCACAAAACACACACAATTTTTCTCTTAAACAATGCCTTGTGAAATTGTCAAAAAAGTCTAAAAGGATTCTGAAATGCACCAAAACTCTCTAAACATAAAGCAGATTATAATAGAATGAGACCTACTGTTAAGATAGATCACAGGGTGACCAGAGTTTATAATATTTGATTGTACATTTCAAAATAGCTAGATTAATTCAAATGTTCCTAGCATAAATATTAAGGGAATAATATTCAGTAATAAAAGCTGCACAGTTCAGCTGTGAAGTAGTTAAGGTGATGGCTATCCCAAGTATGCTGATTTATCTTTACAAATTATATTAATGTATTAAATTATCACATGTACCCTGAAACTATGTACATTACCTATCAATAAAAAAAGAAAAAAATAGGCTGGGGGCGGTGGCTCATGCCTATAATCCCAGCACTTTGGGAAGCCGAGGCAGGTGGATCACCTGAGGTCGGGAGTTTGAGACCAGCCTGACCAACATGGAGAAACCCGGTCTCTACTAAAAATACAAAATTAGCCGGGGGTGGTGGTGCATGCCTGTAATCCCAGCTACTCAGGAGGCTGAGGCAGGAGAATCACTTGAACCCACGAGGTGGAGGTTGCAGCGAGTCGAGATTGTGCTATTGCACTCCAGCCTGAGCAACAAGAACAAAACTCCGTCTCAAAAAAAAAGGAAAAAAGATTATAAAATGAAAGCAACAAAATATTAATCTGAAACAAACCACACTTTATTGACAGCACATACATTTGTGAAAAAAAGTACTACTATTGTACAGTATTATCAAAGTCTGATAATCTTTCTAAAAGAAAAGGTGACACTATCATGAGGACACAGCTCCCTCCAAATCTAGCTAGAGCTAGAGGGGTATATTTGCAAATCCTCAGAATTGGAGAGAAGAGAGTGGACCATGGAAGCTCATACCCTTTGATTTATCAATTCTGTCCCCGGTAATTTATCCCAAAGAAAATTCAGGCAAAAATTTGCACTAGTCATAAGAATTAGTTATAAAGATATGAACTACATCGTTACTTATGATGTTGAAAAAACAAAATCAACTGAATGCCCAAGAGTCTGTAAATTAATTATAGTACACTGGACAGGCACAGAGGCTCACGCCTGTAATTCCAGCATTTTGGGAGACTGAGGCAGGAAGATCGCTTGACCCAGGAGTTCGAAACCAGCCTGGGCAACACAGCGAGACTCCATTTCTACACAAAAAAAAAAAAAAAAAAAAAATTAGCCAAGTGTGGTTGTGTCTACCTGTAGTCCCACCAATTGGGAGACTGAGGCAGGAGGATTGCTTGAGCTTTGCAGTTTGAGGCTGCAATGAGCTATTATTAGTGGGCCACGGCACTCCAGGCTGAGTGACAGGGCAAGACGCTGTCTCTTAAAAAAAAAAATATGGTACACCCACATAATGAACTACTGTGCAGCTATTACTAAAAACAGTATAAACCAGTTTGTAAAAAAAAAAAAAAAGCATATACACATACGCATAAAAAAACACAAAAATATAGTCACACACCACATAACATTTCAGTCAACAACAGACTGAATATATGATAGTGGTCCCCTAAGATTATAATGGAGTTGAAAAATTCCTATTGCCTGGTCATGTCATAGCCATCATAATGTCATAGCACAACACTTTACTCGCATGTTTGTGGTGATGCTGATGTAAACAAACCTACTGGGGTGCCAGTGGTGTAAAAGTCTACCACACACAATAATGTAGAGTACATAATACTTGATAATCAACAACTATGTTACTGGTTTATGTATTTACTATGCTATACTATGTACTGTTAGTATACTCCTTTTATAAAAAAAAGTTAACTATAAAACAGTCTCTGACATGTCCTTCAGGAGATATTTCAAGAGACATTGTTATCATAGGAGACGACAGTTTCATTCCTGTTATTGCTCCTGAAGACCTCCCAGTGGGACAAGATTGGAGGTGGAAGACAGTAATATTGATGATCCTGACGAGGTGTAGGCCTAGGCTAACGTGTGCCTTAGTTTTTAACTAAAGAATAAAAAAAAAAAAAGAAACAAAAAAACTTACCAAATAAAGATATAAAGAAAATGTTTGTGTAACTGCACAATAAGTTCGTTTTAAGCTATTACAAAAGAGTTAAAAAGTTAAGAAAATTTAGAAGTTTATAAAGTAAAAGGGTTACCGTAAGCTAAGGTTAGTTTATTACTGAAGAAAGATTAAAAAAATTTAGCGTAGCCTAAGGGTACACTGCTTATAAAGTCTACAAGAGTAGAGCAGTGAATGTCCCAGGCCTTCACATTCACTCACCACTACTCACCAACTCAGAGCAACTTCCAGTCCTGCAAGCTCCTTTTGTGGGTAAGTGCCCCACACTGGTGTAGTATTTTTTTTTTATCTTTTATGCTGCATGTTTACTGTACCTTTTCTATGTTTAGATGCACAAATACTTACCACTGCATGTAACTGCACACACCACTGAGTACAGCAACACGCTGCGCAGGCCTGTAACCTAGGAGCAACAGGCCATGCCATACAGCTTAGGTGTGGAACAGGCTGTACCATTCAGGCTTGTGTAAGCGCTTTCTACGGTGTTCGCACAACAACAAAATGGCCTAAGAACACATTTCTCAGAAAATATCACATCGCTAAGGACGCATGACTGTATGTCAAATGCTATGACAGGAGATGGTTTTTATTCTTTTTAAGTTTATTTAACGAGCATGCATTATTTTGATATATATCACAGGCCATTTCCCGCTAGCTGTAAATCAGAGTCAAGTGACAGCAAGAATTGGCTACTAACTACCCATATCTAACACCTGCCCCCCAAAGCGGCTCAACGGTGGGCATTTGCCAGTCAGGACTACAGGTGGAGGAGCGGCGGCTGCAAGCCGCGACCCAGCCTCCCCGCAGCCTCAGCGTCGGCCTCTGCACTCGGGCTTGCCGCTCCCAACAAGAGGAGGGCCGGGAGGCGGACGAGGGAAAAGCAAAGCCGGGGCCGCTAGCCTCCGCACCCGGATCCCGCCCCTCGGCCGCAGGCCCGGGCCGCACTCCGACTGAGCAACTCCGACCGAAGCGCCGGGCCCGGCCCTACCTTGTAATAAAACACCGCCTCGGAGTAGCGGCCTTCGTGGTCGCGCTGAACCGCCAGACGGGCGAACTGCACAGCGTCCCGCTCCAGTGCTGTGGCGTCCATGGCGCAGTGGCCCCGCGCCGGGGCAGGGAAGGAGGCCCTGACGCAGGACGGCTCTTCGCGGACTGCGGCGGCCCGGCGGCGGCGAGGACTCGGGAGCGCCGCGGAAGGAGCGGCAAAGTTTACTTTGGACGGTGGAGGAGAGCTCGCCTTCCCGTTGCCGGGCTGGGGTCCACCGCGAAGCCGCGCCCCTCAGCCCAGACCCGGCTTGTAGCCCACCCGGCCGCCCCACTTCGCGGCCCCAGCGGCCCTCGCCCCGCCCACCAGCCGCCCGACGCAGGCGCAGCCTGGCCCTCACGAGCTCCTTAGAAGCTGGGGCCGCCGAGGCCAGGCTCGCGGGACTGCGCGGGCTGTGGGCGGGGCCGGGCCCACGCAGGAGCCGGGCCGCGGGGGCGGGGCAAAAAGGCCTGCCGCTGTGCACGTGACCGTCGCGGCGCCCGGGATTGAGCAGCTGAGGGCAGGTGCCACGTCCGAGCTGCCCACACACCGCCTTATGCGTGGCGGTGGCGGTGCAGGGCGAGGCTGTTTTCGTCGACAGTGGGCAGTAGAGGGGTACGCGCCTTACAGATCCTTTCCTCTGTTAAGTGTAAGGGATGGGAGTAAAGAGCTAAGGAAGAATGCCTCCCACCAGCATCTGACACATTAAAAAAATTACCGTGAGGACAGAGGTTCTTTAGAGTCACTCTTCGCTAACATTTATTTTCATTTGTTTTCCACAAGCTGAATCATGACCCTATAGCCCCCCACTGTACACCAAGGTCGTATTGATTGAATTGTTAACAAACAAGGTAATGTATTTCCACTTGTACTTACCCTTAGGTTAACTTGATGCTGTTGTAATTAAATACTTAATTAGGTGATTATTTGATTTATGTCTTCTCTCCCCTAAAGGTCTGAAGTCAGCAGTAATAAAAATGAATTAGTGATGGGCACCACCAAATTCATGCTGAGTCAAAGAAGTAAGAATTGAGTACATAATGTATAATTCCATCTATAAGAAACACTAGAAAACACTACGATGTTAGAAAGCAGATCAGTGGTTGGGAAGGGGATACAAAGGAATCTTTTCGGATGATGAGAATGTTTTATATCTCAATGGTGGTGTAAAAATATATACGTTTGTCAAAACTTATCAAACTACATTTTAAGTGTGTACTTTTAATTTTTTAATTATACTCTAAATTTTTTTTCAGTCATTTGGCCTGCATTTAAAATGGGACTCTAATTTCTTAGTTTAAGTGTATTTCTTCACATTTAGTGAAGTTCTTAATAACAACGGTCTCATCAGGCTGTTATAAAGACACACAGAATTTGATTTTGTGCCTGGCCCAAAGATGGCTCTCAAAGGTAGCAACTACAGTTTTATAGCTGAAGCAGGGATGCTTCCTGTCTTTACCACTTTGATCCCAGCGTTGAGCGCAAGCCTTGTTCCAGAGCAGGTGTTCAACAAATATTTTAAAATGTTGAATGAGTCAACTCCACTACTTAAATATATCTAATGTGAGAAAGTCCTTCAGTACATGAGTTCAGGCCATATGTGTTTCAGTCACTGTTTTGCACAAACTGACCCCCAAGCTACAGCAGATAAATATAGTTTTACTCCTCACAGGACTTCGGTTCCTGCTCCCATCACAGCTTATAGAATTCCTAGTGCATCTTGAAGGAAGCCTTTTATTGCACTCCCAGGTAGTTGAGATCTCTTCCTATATTTATTCCTATATTCTGTATAAGGAATTGAATCCTTATTCCTTGTTCATGTATTCAGTGAACACCAAACTATTTTGTGCCTGGCACAGAGCTAGACATTGACGATACAAAGCCAAATAGGAGACAGTGAGACAAGGCAGGGGTAAAGCAAATTGAAGCTTCAAAGTATTAATATTTGCAGTCTCAACAAAATTGAGTCTTCCAATCCATGAGCATCGTCAATTTCTCCATTTCTTCAGGACTTCTTCAATTTCTCTCAGCAGTTTTGTAGTTTTCACATGCATGGGCCTTGCATATCTTTTGACAGATTTATTTCTAAGCAGTTGATATTTTTGATGCTATTGTAAATGGTATCGCTTATTTAACTTTAATTTCCAACTGTTGCTAGTATATGCAAATAGCATTGACATTTATATATTGACCTTGTATTCTGTGATCATCAATTATCCAAAAAACTCTGAGAACTTGGTGGTGGAGACTCACGACATGTGCCTTTGTGGAATGCCTGCCAGAATGTCCAGTACCACCTCCACCTTAGGCCAGCTCTGTGACAGTGGAATTTGTCCAATGTTAAGCACTCAGAGCTGCATAGTCAACATGTCGTCATCCTGCAGCTTGGGAGCCCTCCCCCACCGAGAGCTGAGACAGACATAGAGAGGGATGAGACCTGGAGACAGACATTGAGAGGGCACTGGTCTGCACACACCCCTGCTCAGGAAGCTCCTTGTTGGTTTTTTTTTTCCCTTTGGTTAAATGGCTATTGCTATTGACTGTTGAATTCCTTGGCCTGTCCTACAAATGTCAGAAACAGCAGAGCATAGTTTTGAAATTTAGACTTGCAGGGAGCTTATAATCTGCATATAATTACATATGGAATCTATTAAGATTATATTTAATTCTATATATTTTAAATATGTATATAAAATTAAGTTAGGATATGTGTGTATATAAAATTCTACTGTAGGTGAAAAAGATGTTATTACCCTTTTTAAAGCTGCCAACCAAATGATGGTAGTTTATTATTTCATTAAATACATATGCAAAATTCTGTTGGCCAGGCACTGGAGGTAAAGACAGCTCACACTGTGGTGAGCAAGACATTCAGCAGCCAACAGTTAAAAGCATCATTTAATAATTGCTAAAAGAGAGAAGGCAGAGGCTGGGAGGAGCACTACCTAAATCAGCTTGGGGAGTCTAACACAGTGTTCCAGAAGAAAGGTGGCTTGAGTTGAGTCCCAAAGGCAGAATAAGAGCAAAGCAGGAGAGGAAGAGATGGATGTTTCAGTCTCAACTAGAGGCAGGAGTGTTGAGGTCCGTGTATTTTGAGGATTGGGATTCACTGGGTGTGGCTGTGGGAAGAGATGGAAAATGAGACTTTAGAGCTGTGCTTCTCACATTTAGCTGCTTTGGAACCACCCAGGGATCTGATTATATATAGGTTTCTGGGCTCCATCCTAGAATGCCTGGGTCAGTAGGGTTGGGCAGGGCCTGGGAATCTGCATTTCTGCAGATTCTGACAAGTGATGCTGCTGGTGCAGAGACCACACTTTGAGAACCACTGCTCTAGATTTAGAAGGGAGTCACTGAAAGCTTAAGGCCCGTTCCCAGTCAAGTCTCTTGACCATGGCTTCATGGCCTTGAAATTCAGCACTCAGGGGAAGAGTGGATCATGCTAAGGACAGCAAAGACAGGGGTGAGTTAAATTCCCTCCCTGCAGTCCCATCTCTGCTGTGCTGGATCCCTGGCCTTGAAGCTTCCTTCCTTCTTAGTTTTTTCCCCTGTGACCCTCTAGGACACATGCTATGTTGCTGTTGGTCTTTGGTAGTTGCCCTCTCTCACAGTTGGGTGGGACAAGTCATCCTATTTACTACAGATCCTCACCAACTGTGCTGGGTTTATGCAGATTCCTGAGAGCACACTGTCACCTTGTGTTCATATGTGGCACTGCAGCTAGGTGTTACCTCATAGGGGCTTGTGGTCACAACTTTATCCTTTCAACAAACATTTCATTAAAATATCTACCATGGCCGGGTGTGGTGGCTCACACCTGTAATCTCAGCACTTTGGGAGGCCGAGGTGGGTGGATCACCCGAGGTCAGGAGTTCGAGACCAGCCTGGCCAACATGGCAAAACTTCATCTCTACTAAAAATACAAAAAATTAGCCAGGTATGGTGGCAGGTGCCTGTAATCCCAGCTACTTGGGAGGCTGAGGCAGGAGAATTGCTTGAACCAGGGAGGCATAGGTTATAATCCCAGCACTTTGGGAGGCTGAGGCAGGTGGATCACCTGAAGTCAGGAGTTCGAGACCAGCCTGGCCAACATAGTGAAACCTTGTCTCTACTAAAAACACAAAAAATTAGCCAAGCATTTTGGTGGGCGCCTGTAATCCCAGCTACTCAGGAGTCTGACACAGGAGAATCGCTTGAACCCAGGAGGCGGAGGTTGCAGTGAGCCGAGATCACGCCATTGCACTCCAGCCTGGGCAACAAGAGCGAAACTCCATCTAAAATAAATAAATAAATATCTACCATAATCCCTGAAGAGCACAATAATTTTCAAGTCCAGGGCTCTCTGGGGCTCTTTAGAGATAACAGCACCATCCCTGAGGCAAGGTATGGAGCAAATTTGAGAAGCAAATTTTAGGAAGAAGTGAGTTGGGGCAGTTACTACTAGCTCTAGACAGTTCAAGGGAACGTAGGTCCAATATATTTTTTTAAATCAAGAGAAGCCAGAAATTTAAATCTTGGTGTAAAAAATACTGACTTTTAAGTAAAAATAAAGTGAAATGTTTTCCCCCTTTTTTTTTTTTTGACAGAGTTTTCACTCTTGTTGCCCAGGCTGGAGTGCAATGGTGCAATCTCAGCTCACTGAAACCTCCGCCTCCTGGGTTCAAGCAGTTCTCCTGCCTCAGCCTCCCAAGTAGCTTGAATTACAGGCATGCGGCACCACGCCCGGCTAGTTTTTTGTATTTAGTAGAGATGGGGTTTCACCATGTTGGTCAGGCTCGTCTCGAACTGCTGACCTCAGGTGATCCACCCGCCTCGGCCTCCCAAAGTGCTGGGATTACAATTGTGAGCCACCACTCCTGGCCAGTGAAATGTTTTTCTAAGTACTAAGAGACAACATTGCACATCTACAGGCTACACTGGGCTCATATCCTGTTATTTTGATCCTTTCTTGGTACTTTAATTCCTTTACATAATTTTAGAGCAGTCTCAAGAAGGAGAGAAGGTAAATGCTGACATTTGTGGATACAGTGGTGTGAAAACAGGCCCTCCTCTCATAGGGCTTTTGGCCTACTGGGAGGACACAGGCATTAATCAATCAATAAAGGCCATTAGTGAATGAATCATTACAAATGTAGACGAGTACTCCAAAGGTAATCAACAGTTTTGTAAGAGCTTATGAAAAGGAAACTGACCTGAACTAGGGGGTCAGCAAAGACTTTCCCTGAGATAGAAGGAACTGCTTGTGCAGTGGCCAGTGGCAAAACTGAACATGGAACAGAGGCCAGTGTAGCTGGAGCAGACACAGTGAAATGCAGGCAGAGGCTCAGAAGGTGAGGGTGTCAGGCATGAGACCATGTAGGGCCTTGTAGGCCCTGTTAAGAGTTTGGGTTTCTATCTTAATTCTCAGTACACCATTGTGGACTGCTACACTCAATTTTAATTTGAGTTTCTTTATAGAGGGGTTCTAAATATTTGTAAGGATTGATATTTCAATGACTTTTGTTCTTTATTAGAGATCTTCCAAAGAACCAAGATAAAATTTTAATTTATAAATTATATATATTTATAAATGAATTTATGTATTAAATGTATAAATAAATTTATAAATATACATTTATAAATATATATTATATATTTATAAATTTTCCTATATATATAATAAAGCTCATTCTATCTTACGATTACCATATGAGCCCATTGGATCCCTTTATAATCTAAGCTACCTTTTGGAATCTAAGCTACCTTTTGGGATCCTTCTGTACATGTTAAAATATTTTGATATTTTATCATTCTATGAATTATTTCATCATTACTCAATAATTACAAGCTATCATTTAAAAATACTAAAATAATAGGACAACAGAAGAAAGATGAAATGCCTAAATGGATAAAGTAATTGTGAAATAATAATTATTAAATTAGCCTTCAGTTTTCCTGTTGCATTGTCCAAAGTATTGCATTGTCCCTCAAAAAGGTATAAGAGAAGTCTGGAGATACTATCTTTGGAGCACAGTTTTAGTTTTCTTTCTAATTAAGCTTTCTATTTTGAGATAATTGTAACTTAACATGCTATTGTAAGAAATAACACAGAAATCTCATATACACTTTATCTAGTTTATCTCAGTAGTAATAGCTTGCATAACTCTAGTACAACATAATGACCAGGAAATTGACGTTGATACAGTTCACCAATTTTACACTTTCAGTTTTCATTGGACAAAGTAGATCAGGGGTCACCAACCCCTGAGCTGTAGACTGATATCATCTCTGTCCTGTTAGGAACAATGTTGCACAGCAGGAGGTGAGTGGTGGGCAAGTGAGCGAAGCTTCATTTCTATTTACAGCTGCTCCCCATCATTCATATTACTGCCTGAGCTCTGCCTCCGGTCAGATCAGCCACAGCATTAGATTCTCATAGTAGTTCAAAACCTGCTGTGAACTCTGCATGCGAAGGATCTAGGTTGCGTGCTCCTTATGAGAATCTAATGCCTGATGATCTGAGGTGGAGCTGAGGCAGTGATGCTAACGCTGGGGAGTGGCTGCAAATACAGATTAACACTAGCAGAGGTTTGACTGCACAGAGACCATAATAAATTGCTTGTGATCTCATATCAAAACCCTATCAGTGAGCGGCAAGTGACAATGAAGCTGCATCTGGTGGTAGGCTTTATAGTGGTAACTGAGTTGATGTACTTCAATTGTACAGCTGCATCTGGTGGCAGGCTTGAAGTTAGAATCCAACACTTATTTTAGTCCTCACGTGGAGTGCGTGGCCTGCAGTCCTCTTTCCCACGCTACCCACTTGTCTCAGTCAGTTTTGGTAAGCCCACAAGCTAACCCAAACCCAAATGAGTAAAAATCAGTTGTCACTGGAAAACTTATTTGAAAAGGGGAAAGACCCAATGATGACACAGCAGAAGACTCTACGACTGCCAACAGAAAGAAAGCTGCATTAAAAAAATACCAAGAGTCCTACTTAAATTATGGGTTCATTGCAACAGGTGATTCACGTTCTCCAAGCCCACGTTGTATAATGTGTGGCAACCGGCTATCCAATGAAGACATAAAACCTTCAAAACTGCTTTGCCATGTGGAGACCAAGCACCCTGCATTAAAACACAAGTCTTTGGAGTTTTCCCAAAGAAAAAAAGTGAGCATGAAGAACAGAAGCAATTACTGAAGGCCACCACTTCATCAAATGTGTCTGCACTGAGAGCATCATTCTTAGTGGCTAACCACATTGCTAAAGCTAAGAAGCCCTTTACTGTTGAAAAAGAGCTGATCCTGCCTGCTGCTGAGGACATTTGTCATGAACTTTTAGGAGGGGCTGCAGTTCAAAAGCTGGCACGTGTTCCTCTTTTGGTTGGTACCGTAACTAGAGGCATCGATGAAATAGCAGAGGATATTGAGGCACAATTGTTAGAGAGGATTAATGAGTCACTGGAGTACACAATCCAGGTTGACAAGTCTACTGATGTTGACAACAAGGCAACAATATTTGTTTTTGTGTGACATATTTTTCAAGAGGATGTGCATAAGGGTATGTTTTGGGTACTTTTGTTGCCAACCAATACCACAGCTGCAGAACTATTTAAGTCTTTGAATGATTACATGTCTGGAAACTGAATTGATCATTTTGTGTCAGTTTATGCAAGGACATAGTGGCTGCCATGACTAGATGGCTTTCTGGTTTCACTGCTTGGGTCAAAGAGGTCGCTTGTGAATGTGAGTCTATGCAGTGTGTCATCCATAGAAAAATGCTGGTTAGCTGAAAAATGTCACCTGAACTTAACGTTTTGCAGGATGTGATTAAAATTACCAACCACATTAAAGTACATACCCTTAACTAACATCTGTTCACGCAGCTCTGTGAGAAGATGGACGCAGAGCACACGTGTCTTCTCTTATACACAGAAGTGAGGTGGCTTTCTAAAGGTAGATCACTGGCCAGAGTTTCTGAGTTATGAGCCTCCAGAGATTTCTTTTAGAAAAACAGTCACCATTGGCAGCACATTTCAGTGACACAGAATGGGTCTCAAAACTTGCTTCCTTGTGTGACATATTCAACCTGCTCAATGAACTCAATCTATCACTTCAGAGGAGAACAACAACTGTGTTCAAGTCAGCAGATAAAGTGGCTGCATTCAAAGCCAAGCTGGAGTTATGGGGGTGACAAGGGAACACTGGGATTTTTGACATGTTTCAAACATTAGCAGAGATTTTGAAAGAGACTGAGCCAGGGCCTTCTTTCTTCCAGCCGGTGCATGATCACCCATCTCAGTTTTCAAAAGAGTTTGAGCATTACTTCCCAACCACAAAAGACCCCCAAACTAGGAAGGAATGGATCTGCAACCCATTTGTGAATAAGCCAGGTAAATCAACTTTGTGCTAGAAGAGGATCAACTGCTTGAGATTGCAAATGATGGTGGCCTTAAAAGTATGTTTGAGACAACTTCAAATCTTCGTATGTTCTGGACTAAAGTCAAAGTGGTAGCCTGAGATTGCCACAAAAGCACTGAAAAGCCTGCTTCCATTTCTAACATCCTATCTTTATGAAGCAGGGTTTTTTGTAGTGAGAGAAACCATAATGAGATTATGGAGTAGACTGGACATAAGCAACACATTTCAGGTGTCACTGTCTTCCATCACCCCCAGATGGGACCATCTAGTTGCAGGAAAACAAGCTCAGGGCTCCCACATATTCTGCATTATGTGAATTGTGTAATTATTTCATCATATATTACAATGTAATAATAGTAGTAACAAAGTGCACAATAAATGTAGTGTGCTCGAATCATCCCCTCCCCATCCCCGCAGTCTGTGGAAAAATGGTCTTTCATGGAACTGGTCCCTGACACCAAAAAGGTTGGGGACTGCTGATGTAGAGATTAAATTTTTTTCATGTCCACTCTAATGACGAAAACAAGCAAATTGATGGAGAAAGTCATTTCACAATTTTGTTACCATTTTCTAACTTTGCAAACCTTCAGCACACTGATTAATATCTCTAAGCCTCAATTTTTCTCATCTGTAAAATAGGTAGATTAGTAACTACCTCATAAAGTTTTAGAAGGATTGAATGAGATAATGCCAGTAAAGCCTTTAGCACAACACCTGGCACATATGAAGTATTTGACAAAGTTATGTCCTGCAACACTTGACTGTGCTCTTTACTCTTCATGACTGTGTTCTTTTGGGATAATCTGTCAGTGCAGGGGCAGAAGAAATGGTTACAGAACCATTTAACCCTTATCTCATTTACCTCTGAGCTGCTTGGAATTCCACTTCCTGAACTCTGATCATCTTGGGAAACAGAAGCAACAACAGCATCCTCTGAAGAGCTCAGTCATTGATAGGCAATGGGAGTGTTTATCACATCTTTTTCTTATAGTCTCTGAGTGCAGCTTCACAATCCTTTACTGCACCCTTAAGCCAGATGTGTTTTGGAATTTGAAATTCACAGAGAACTCCCAGACAGTAGGACTGAATCTTGATAAGGAACTGGAAGCATATACCAAACTGCATTTCAGAATTTTTCTAGATTATTGCAGTGTGCTTGCCTCTTCCTCCCTTTCGAGTAGGATTTTCCTATAGGGATCATCTTATGCCTCTTATCACTGTGCGTTGGGTGTGTGTGTGGGCGGGGGGGGGGGTGCAGATTGTCTCTTTAACAGAGCTCTAATCAAAAGGAGTGATATTTAAGGAGCTGCACCCAAATGAACCACACCAAGGCATCTCATCTTCACCTGAACCTGATTTAGATGACAAGCTCCTGGACTTCAAGCTGATGTTTTAATAGTTTGAGACTTGAGAATTCTAGGGGTGTGATTTGAATGTATTTTGCATGTGGGAGGCATGAGAAATATGGCCAGAAAGCAAACTGTGGCAGACTGTATTTTACAAATAGGCCAAAAGCTTTATCTTACATCCCACGTGATCTCCTTACAAGGGTATCTTCATGTCCCTTCTTTTAAGCGGTAGGATCTTTGTCCCCTACCATGCATCCTGGACATAACTTTGTGACTGCCTTGACTAATAGTGTATAGTGGAAGTGCTACCATCTAACTTATGAGGCTAAATCATAAAATGCCACTCACTTGTACCTTGCTCTTATCATCTAGACACCTTGGACTGGATGACATAATTTGCATTGTTTTAGTAGTTACAGCTTCTACGTGGCTGATGGCTAAAATAGTATTCACAGTCCTCTTCCAGAGCAGGAACTTGAAAGTGCTTCCACTTCACAAATTCCCAAAGGTTAAATGTATAATGGCATCAAATTAAGGAAGTTTATTCTTTTCAGATGATTGCAAGCTGGTTTATTCAGTAGAAATAGAAAATAAGATTGTTTTCTCCCTTTTCAAAAGAAATTTTGCTGTAGCAGATATTCCTATTACACAACAAGTGGAAATTGTGTTGGTTTATACACAGTTTTTCCCAGGCACAGGGAACCATATTAGTATGAGTAGAATTTAAAACATCAACAGGATGGCTACTACTCAAGCCGGAACCTTTTCAGCTCAAAATAAAACTACGCCTGTCTTGAGAGCAGTTCCACCAGCTCAGACTTCCATTCCATCTACACAGTCTCTGAATGCAATCCAGAATTTCCACGTTATGGTTTTTTTTTTTCATTGTTGTTGTTCTTAAGCTTTTTAAAATTTTTGTATGTGTACTTTTAAAAAAGTTTTCAGCTTTTATTTCAGATACAAGGGATGCATGTATAGGATTGTTACATGGGTACATTGGACCTAGGTAGTGAGCAGAGTAACCATCCATTATGATTTTTTGTGTTTTTATTATTTATTTATTTATTTATTTATTTATTTTATTATACTTTAAGTTCTGGGATATACATGTGCAGAATGTGCAGGTTTGCTACATAGGTATACATGTGCCATGGTGGTTGGGTGTACCCATCAACCCGTCGTCTACATTAGGTATTTCTCCTAATGCTCTCCTTCCCCTAGCCCCCCACCCCGCAACAGGCCCTGGTGTATGATGTTCCCCACCCTGTGTCCATGTATTCACATTATTCAACTCCACCTTATGAATGAGAACATGCAGTGTTTGGTTTTCTGTTCCTGTGTTAGTTTGCTGAGAATTATGGTTTCCAGCTTCATCCATGTCCTTGCAAAGGACATGAACTCATTCTTTTTATGGCTGCATAATATTCCATAGGGTATATGTGCCACAGTTTCTTTATCCAATCTATCATTAATGGTCATTTGGGTTGGTTCCAAGTCTTTGCTATTATGAATTGTGCTGCAATAAACATACATGTGCATGTGTCTTCATAGTAGAATGATTTATAATCCTTTGGGTATATACCCAGTAATGGGATTGCTGGGTCAAATGGTATTTCTGGTTCTAGATACTTGAGGAATTGTCACACTGTCTTCCACAGTGGTTGAAGTAATTTACACTCCCACCAACAGTGTAAAAGCATCCTTATTTCTCCACATCCTCTCCAGCATCTGTTGTTTCCTGACTTTTTAAGGATCGCCATTCTAACTGGCATGAGGTGGTATCTCATTGTGGTTTTGATTTGCATTCTCTAATGACCAGTGATGATAAGCTTTTTTTCATAGTTTCTTGGCCACATAAATGTCTTCTTTTGAGAAGTATCTTTTCATATCCTTTGCCTACTTTTTAATGGGTTTTTTTTTCATGTAAATGTGTTTAAGTTCCTTGTAGATTCTGGATAGTAGCTCTTTTTCAGATGGATAGATTGCAAAAATTTTCTTCCATTCTGTATGTTGCCTATTCATTTTGATGATAGTTTCTTTTGCTGTGCAGGAGCTCTTTAGTTTAATTAGGTCCTACTTGTCAATTTTGGGTTTTGTTGCCCTTGCTTTTGGTGTTTTAGTTATGAAGTCTTTGCCCATGCCTATGTCCTGAATGGCATTGCCTAGGTTTTCTTCTAGGGTTTTCGTGGTTTTAGGTCTTATGTTTAAGTCTTTAATCCATCTTGAGTTAATTTTTGTGTAAGGTGAAAGGAAGGGATCCAGTTTCAGCTTTCTACATATGGCTAGCCAGTTTTCCCAGCACCATTTATTAAATAGGGAATCCTTTCCCCATTGGCTGTTTTTGTTAGGTTTGTCAAAGATCAGGTGGTTGTGGATGTGTGGCGTTATTTCTGAGGACTCTGTTCTGTTCCATTGGTCTATATATCTGTTTTGGTACCAGTACCATGCTGTTTGGTTACTGTAGCCTTGTAGTATAGTTTGAAGTCAGGTAGCATGATGCCTCCAACTTTCTTCGTTTTGCTTAGGATTGTCTTGGCTATATGGGCTCTTTTTTGGTTCCATATGAAATTTAAAGTAGTTTTTTCTAATTCTGTGAAGAAAGTCAATGGTAGCTTGATGGGAATAGCATTGAATCTATATATTACTTTGGGCAGTATGGCCATTTTCACGATATTGAGTCTTCCTATCCATGAGCATGGACTGTTTTTCTGTTTGTTTGTGTCCTCTCTTATTTCCTTGAGCAGTGGTTTGTAGTTCTCCGTGAAGAGGTCCTTCATATCCCCTGTAAGTTGTATTCCTAGGTATATTATTCTCTTTGTAGTAATTGTGAGTGAGAGTTCACTCATGATTTGCCTCTGTTTGTCTATTATTGGTGTATAGGAATGCTTGTGAGTTTTGCACATTTATTTTGTATCCTGAGAATTTGCTGAAGTTGCTTATCTGCTTAAGGAGTTTTTGGGCTGAGACGATGGGGTTTTCTAAATATACAATCATGTCATCTGCAAACAGAGACAATTTGACTTTCTCTCTTCCTATTTGAATACCCTTTAGTTCTTTATTTTGCCTGATTGCCCTGGCCAGAACTTCCAATACTATGTTGAATAGGAGTGGTGAGAGAGGACATCCTTGTCTTGTGCTGGTTTTCAAAGGGAATGCTTCTAGCTTTTGCTCATTCAGTATGATATTGGTTGTGGGTTTGTCAAAAATAGCTCTTATTATTTTGAGATATGTTCCATTGATATGTAGTTTGAGTGTTTTTAGCATGAAGCGGTGTTGAATTTTATTGAGGGACTTTCCTGCATCTATTGAGATAATTATGTGGTTTTTGTCCTTGGTTCTGTTTATATGATGGATTACGTTTATTGATTTGCATATGTTGAACCAGCCTTGTATCCTAGGGATGAAGCTGACTCGATCGTGGTGGAGAAGCTTTTTGCTGCTGGATTCTGTTTGCCACTAGTTTATTGAGGATTTTTGCATCGACATTCATTGGGGATATTGGCCTGAAATTTTCTTTTTTTGTTGTGTCTCTGCCAGGTTTTGTAGCAGGATCATGCTGGCCTCATAAAATGAATTAGGGAGGAGTCCCTCTTTTTCTGCTGTTTTGAATAGTTTCAGAAGGAATGGTACCAGCTCCTCTTTGTATCTCTGGTAGAATTCAGCTGTAAATCCATCTGGACCTGGGCTTTTTTTGGTTGGTAGGCTATTAATTACTGCCTCAATTTCAGAACTTGTGATTGGTCTATCCACGGATTCGACTTCTTCCTGATTTAGTCTTGGGAGGGTGTATGTGTCCAGGAATTTATCCATTTCTTCTAGATTTTCTAGTTTATTTGTGTAGAGATGTTTATAGAATTCTTGATGGTAGTTTGTATTTCTGTGGGATCAGTGGTGATAACCCCTTTATTATTTTTTATTGTGTCTATTTGATTCTTCTCTCTTTTCTTCTTTATTAGTCTGGCTAATGGTCTATTTTGTGTGTGTGTGTGTGTTGAAGACAGTTTATTATAGTGCAGCTTTTCCAGTTTAGCTGATGTTCATATTGCTGTAAGAATAGGAACATTGTGTATCTCAGCTGTGTATTTCTCTAAGATAGCAGCAACTTTTTTTTTATTTTATTATTATTATACTTTAAGTTTCAGGGTACATGTGCACAATGTGCAGGTTAGTTACATATGTATACATGTGCCATGCTGGTGTGCTGCACCCATTAACTCGTCATTTAGCATTAGGTATATCTCCTAAAGCTATCCCTCCCCACTCCCCCTACCCCACAACAGTCCCTAGAGTGTGATGTTCCTCTTCCTGTGTCCATGTGTTCTCATTGTTCAATTCCCACCTATGAGTGAGAACATGCGGTGTTTGGTTTTTTGTTCTTGCGATAGTTTACTGAGAATGATGATTTCCAATTTCATCCATGTCCCTACAAAGGACATGAACTCATCATTTTTTATGGCTGCATAGTATTCCATGGTGTATATGTGCCACATTTTCTTAATCCAGTCTATCATTGTTGGACATTTGGGTTGGTTCCAAGTCTTTGCTATTGTGAATAGTGCCGCAATAAACATACGTGTGCATGTGTCTTTATAGCAGCATGATTTAGAGTCCTTTGGGTATATACCCAGTAATGGGATGGCTGGGTCAAATGGTATTTCTAGTTCTAGATCCCTGAGGAATTGCCACACTGACTTCCACAAGGGTTGAACTAGTTTACAGTCCCACCAACAGTGTAAAAGTGTTCCTATTTCTCCACATCCTCTCCAGCACCCGTTGGTTCCTGACTTTTTAATGATTGCCATTCTAACTGGTGTGAGATGGTATCTCATTGTGGTTTTGATTTGCATTTCTCTGATGGCCAGTGATGGTGAGCATTTTTTCATGTGTTTTTTGGCTGCATAAATGTCTTCTTTTGAGAAGTGTCTGTTCATGTCCTTCACCCACTTTTTGATGGGGTTGTTTGTTTTTTTCTTGTAAATTTGTTTGAGTTCATTGTAGATTCTGGATATTAGCCCTTTGTCAGATGAGTAGGTTGCGAAAATTTTCTCCCATTTTGTAGGTTGCCTGTTCACTCTGATGGTAGTTTCTTTTGCTGTGCAGAAGCTGTTCAGTTTAATTAGATCTCATTGGTCAATTTTGGCTTTTGTTGCCATTGCTTTTGGTGTTTTAGACATGAAGTCCTTGCCCATGCCTATGTCCTGAATGGTAATGCCTAGGTTTTCTTCTAGGGTTTTTATGGTTTTAGGTCTAACGTTTAAGTCTTTAATCCATCTTGAATTGAGAATTGATTTTTGTATAAGGTGTAAGGAAGGGATCCAGTTTCAGCTTTCTACATATGGCTAGCCAGTTTTCCCAGCACCATTTGTTAAACAGGGAATCCTTTCCCCATTTCTTGTTTTTGTCAGGTTTGTCAAAGATCAGATAGTTGTAGATATGTGGCGTTATTTCTGAGGGCTCTGTTCTGTTCCATTGATCTATATCTCTGTTTTGGTACCAGTACCATGCTGTTTTGGTTACTGTAGCCTTGTAGTATAGTTTGAAGTCAGGTAGTGTGATGCCTCCAGCTTTGTTCTTTTGGCTTAGGATTGACTTGGCGATGCGGGTTCTTTTTTGGTTCCATATGAACTTTAAAGTAGTTTTTTCCAATTCTGTGAAGAAAGTCATTGGTAGCTTGATGGGGATGGCATTGAATCTGTAAATTACCTTGGGCAGTATGGCCATTTTCACGATATTGATTCTTCCTACCCATGAGCATGGAATGTTCTTCCATTTGTTTGTATCCTCTTTTATTTCCTTGAGCAGTGGTTTGTAGTTCTCCTTGAAGAGGTCCTTCACATCCCTTGTAAATTGGATTCCTATGTATTTTATTCTCTTTGAAGCAATTGTGAATGGGAGTTCACTCGTGATTTGGCTCTCTGTTTGTCTGTTGTTGGTGTATAAGAATGCTTGTGATTTTTGTACATTGATTTTGTATCCTGAGACTTTGCTGAAGTTGCTTATCAGCTTAAGGAGATTTTGGGCTGAGACAATGGGGTTTTCTAGATATACAATCATGTCGTCTGCAAACAGGGACAATTTGACTTCCTCTTTTCCTAATTGAATACCCTTTATTTCCTTCTCCTGCCTGATTGCCCTGGCCAGAACTTCCAACACTATGTTGAATAGGAGTGGTGAGAGAGGGCATCCCTGTCTTGTGCCAGTTTTCAAAGGGAATGCTTCCAGTTTTTGCCCATTCAGTATGATATTGGCTGTGGGTTTGTCATAGATAGCTCTTATTATTTTGAAATACGTCCCATCAATACCTAATTTATTGAGAGTTTTTAGCATGAAGGGTTGTTGAATTTTGTCAAAGGCTTTTTCTGCATCTATTGAGATAATCGTGGTTTTTGTCTTTGGCTCTGTTTATATGCTGGATTACATTTATTGATTTGCGTATATTGAACCAGCCTCGCATCCCAGGGATGAAGCCCACTTGATCATGGTGGATAAGCTTTTTGATGTGCTGCTGGATTCGTTTTGCCAGGATTTTATTGAGGATTTTTGCATCAATGTTCATCAAGGATATTGGTCTAAAATTCTCTTTTTTTGTTGTGTCTCTGCCTGGCTTTGGTATCAGAATGATGCTGGCCTCATAAAATGAGTTAGGGAGGATTCCCTCTTTTTCTATTGATTGGAATAGTTTCAGAAGGAATGGTACCAGTTCCTCCTTGAACCTCTGGTAGAATTCGGCTGTGAATCCATCTGGTCCTGGACTCTTTTTGATTGGTAAGCTATTGATTATTGCCACAATTTCAGCTCCTGTTATTGGTCTATTCAGAGATTCAACTTCTTCCTGGTTTAGTCTTGGTAGAGTGTATGTGTCCAGGAATTTATCCATTTCTTCTAGATTTTCTAGTTTATTTGCATAGAGGTGTTTGTAGTATTCCCTGATGGTAGTTTGTATTTCTGTGGGATCGGTGGTGATATCTCCTTTATCATTTTTTATTGCGTCTATTTAATTCTTCTCTCTTTTTTTCTTTATTAGTCTTGCTAGCGGTCTATCAATTTTGTTGATCCTTTCAAAACACCAGCTCCTGGATTCATTAATTTTTTGAAGGGTTTTTTCTGTCTCTATTTCCTTCAGTTCTGCTCTGATCTTAGTTATTTCTTGCCTTCTGCTAGCTTTTGAATGTGTTTGCTCTTGCTTTTCTAGTTCTTTTAATTGTGATGTTAGGGTGTCAATTTTGGATCTTTCCTGCTTTCTCTTGTGGGCATTTAGTGCTATAAATTTCCCTCTACACACTGCTTTGAATGCATTCCAGAGATTCTGGTATGTTGTGTCTTTGTTCTCGTTGGTTTCAAAGAACATCTTTATTTCTGCCTTCATTTTGTTATGTACCCAGTAGTCATTCAGGAGCAGGTTGTTCAGTTTCCATGTAGTTGAGTGGTTTTGAGTGAGATTCTTAATCCTGAGTTCTAGTTTGATTGCACTGTGGTCTGAGAGATAGTTTGTTATAATTTCTGTTCTTTTACATTTGCTGAGGAGAGCTTTACTTCCCAGTATGTGGTCAATTTTGGAATAGGTGTGGTGTGGTGCTGAAAAGAATGTATATTCTGTTGATTTGGGGTGGAGAGTTCTGTAGATGTCTATTAGGTCCGCTTGGTGCAGAGCTGAGTTCAATTCCTGGGTATCCTTGTTGACTTTCCGTCTCGTTGATCTGTCTAATGTTGACAGTGGGGTGTTAAAGTCTCCCATTATTAATGTGTGGGAGTCTAAGTCTCTTTGTAGGTCACTCAGGACTTGCTTTATGAATCTTGGTGCTCCTGTATTGGGTGCATATATATTTAGGATAGTTAGCTCTTCTTGTTGAATTGATCCCTTTACCATTATGTAATGGCCTTCTTTGTCTCTTTTGATCTTTGTTGGTTTAAAGTCTGTTTTATCAGAGACTAGGATTGCAACCCCTGCCTTTTTTTGTTTTCCATTGGCTTGGTAGATCTTCCTCCATCCTTTTATTTTGAGCCTATGTGTGTCTCTGCACATGAGATGGGTTTCCTGAATACAGCACACTGATGGGTCTTGACTCTTTATCCAATTTGCCAGTCTGTGTCTTTTAATTGGAGCATTTAGTCCATTTACATTTAAAGTTAATATTGTTATGTGTGAATTTGATCCTGTCATTATGATGTTAGCTGGTTATTTTGCTTGTTAGTTGATGCAGTTTCTTCCTAGTCTCGATGGTCTTTACATTTTGGCATGATTTTGCAGTGGCTGGTACCGGTTGTTCCTTTCCATGTTTAGTGCTTCCTTCAGGAGCTCTTGTAAGGCAGGCCTGGTGGTGACAAAATCTCTCAGCATTTGCTTGTCTGTAAAGGATTTTATTTCTCCTTCACTTATGAAGCTTAGTTTGGCTGGATATGAAATTCTGGGTTGAAAATTCTTTTCTTTAAGAATGTTGAATATTGGCCCCCACTCTCTTCTGGCTTGTAGGGTTTCTGCTGAGAGATCCGCTGTTAGTCTGATGGGCTTCCCTTTGAGGGTAACCCGACCTTTCTCTCTGGCTGCCCTTAACATTTTTTCCTTCATTTCAACTTTGGTGAATCTGACAATTATGTGTCTTGGAGTTGCTCTTCTCGAGGAGTATCTTTGTGGCGTTCTCTGTATTTCCTGAATCTGAAGGTTGGCCTGCCTTGCTAGATTGGGGAAGTTCTCCTGGATGATATCCTGCAAAGTGTTTTCCAACTTGGTTCCATTCTCCCCATCACTTTCAGGTACACCAATCAGACGTAGATTTGGTCTTTTCACATAGTCCCATATTTCTTGGAGGCTTTGCTCATTTCTTTTTATTCTTTTTTCTCTAGACTTCCCTTCTCACTTCATTTCATTCATTTCATCTTCCATCGCTGATACCCTTTCTTCCAGTTGATCGCATCGGCTCCTGAGGCTTCTGCATTCTTCACGTAGTTCTCGAGCCTTGGTTTTCAGCTCCATCAGCTCCTTTAAGCACTTCTCTGTATTGGTTATTCTAGTTATACATTCTTCTAAATTTTTTTCAAAGTTTTCAACTTCTTTGCCTTTGGTTTGAATGTTCTCCCGTAGCTCAGAGTAATTTGATCGTCTGAAGCCTTCTTCTCTCAGCTCGTCAAAGTCATTCTCCATCCAGCTTTGTTCCGTTGCTGGTGAGGAACTGCATTCCTTTGGAGGAGGAGAGGCGCTCTGCTTTTTAGAGTTTCCAGTTATTCTGTTCTGTTTTTTCCCCATCTTTGTGGTTTTATCTACTTTTGGTCTTTGATGATGGTGATGTACAGATGGGTTTTTGGTGTGGATGTCCTTTCTGTTTGTTAGTTTTCCTTCTAACAGACAGGACCCTCAGCTGCAGGTCTGTTGGAGTACCCGACCGTGTGAGGTGTCAGTCTGCCCCTGCTGGGGAGTGCCTCCCAGTTAGGCTGCTCGGGGGTCAGGGGTCAGGGACCCACTTGAGGAGGCAGTCTGCCCGTTCTCAGATCTCCAGCTGCGTGCTAGGAGAACCACTGCTCTCTTCAAAGCTGTCAGACAGGGACATTTAAGTCTGCAGAGGTTACTGCTGTCTTTTTGTTTGTCTGTGCCCTGCCCCCAGAGGTGGAGCCTACAGAGGCAGGCAGGCCTCCTTGAGCTGTGGTGGGCTCCACCCAGTTCGAGCTTTCCGGCTGCTTTGTTTACCTAAGCAAGCCTGGGCAATGGCGGGCGCCCCTCCCCCAGCCTCGCTGCCGCCTTGCAGTTTGATCTCAGACTGCTGTGCTAGCAATCAGCGAGACTCCGTGGGCGTAGGACCCTCCGAGCCAGGTGCGGGATATAATCTCGTGGTGCGCCGTTTTTTAAGCCCGTCGGAAAAGCGCAGTATTCGGGTGGGAGTGACCCGATTTTCCAGGTGCCGTCCGTCACCCCTTTCTTTGACTCAGAAAAGGAACTCCCTGACCCCTTGCGCTTCCCAAGTGAGGCAATGCCTCGCCCTGCTTGGGCTCACGCATGGTGCGCACACCCACTGACCTGCGCCCACTGTCTGACACTCCTAGTGAGATAAACCCGGTACCTCAGATGGAAATGCAGAAATCACCCATCTTCTGCGTCGCTCACGCTGGGAGCTGTAGACCGGGGCTGTTCCTATTCGGCCATCTTGGCTCCTCCCTCCGTAAGTTGCATTTTTTTAGGCATTTATCCATTTCCTCTAGGTTATCCAATTTGTTGCCATATAATTATTCATAATAGTTCTTTTTCATTTTTTTCATTTCTGAAGCATCTCTTGTAATGTCACCACTTTCATTTCTCATTTTATTTATTTGGTCTTTTCTCTTATTTTCTTAGTGTAGTGTTCCAAAATTTTAAGTACCTCACAAATTAATTATGTACCAATCTACTAATTTCCACAGCTGATGGGAGTATCATAACCATCAACAGCCATTTATTGCTTTGCACAGAGCTCCGCTGAACTCTGGCATTTTAATCCTTACCCTTCTCTGGAGGAAAGCTCCAAGATTCTGCATCTTGTTATTTTTTTCTGAGACTACTGACACATTAATTGTCATTGAAATGTTTGACATAGCCTCCCTTAAATATTTTACAACAAAGTTATAGATTTATCTGAGCCATTGTAAGATTTGTGAATGAGCACAGAAAACAAATGTTAATGTTTATGCAATAAATTAAGGCTAAACTTTAGTTTTTTATTTTTATTTTTTTTACTGTCAAACATGTTATGTAGAGTTTAACGTGAAGTGTACAGAAGAATCTATTCACGTTTCTCAATTGTTTGCCTTCTGGAGCTTCCTGCCCAGATGTGGAACACTGTAAGACTATCTCATTAGAAAGCCAAAAATCCAGTTATTGTAATAACCCTGTTAAAGTGAACAGAAAGAAAAGAGAGAGCACAGCTCTGGATTTCAGAGAATAAATAGAAAGAAAATGGAAAAAATGTGTTAAATTAATTTTGCATATTTGCATTGAGTATTTCATCCAAATATTTTGAAGCTTCTGCTTACCTCAGTAATTTAAAAAACATTTTAAAATCAATAATCTCTTCTCTTTTCTCACTTACTTGAAAATAGACACTTGATTTTCTCCATAGGGAATTAAAGAGGCTATTGAAAGCAAGTGGGGCAGACACTCGCTTGAGCAGGAACCACTGCATGCTAAATGCATGGGAGACTAGTTTCTTTTCTTTTCCTTTTCTTTTCTTTTCTTTTCTTTTCTTTTCCTTTCCTTTCTTTCTCTCTCTCTTTCTCTCTTTCTCCCTTCCCCTTCCCCTTCCCCTTCCCTTCCCTCTCTGTCACCCAGGCTGGAGTGCAGTGGCATGATCATGGCTTGTTGCAGCCTCGACTTCTGGACTCAGTCAATTCTCCCACCTTTGCCTCCTGAGAAGCTGGGACAACAGGCACACACCACCACACCAGGCTAATTTTTATTTTTATTTTTGTAGAGACAGGGTCTCTTTATTTTTCCCAGGCTGGTTTCCAGCTCCTGGGCTCAGGCACTCCTCCTGCCTTGGTCTCCCAAAGTGCTAGGATTATAGTCATGAGCCACTATGCCCGGCCTAAAGAATGGTTTTTGAAATATGGTTCCTCGGACCAGCTCAGCAGGCAGATTCTAAGGGTTCACACTACACTTACAAAATCAGAAACTCTGGAGGTAGGGGCCAACAAACTGGGCTTTAACAGGTCCTCTGGGTAACTCTGATGCAATGCTGAAGTTTAAGAGTCACTGGCATAGGACATTAGAGATGGAATCTTCGTATTTTATAGTTGAGCATTCCACAGAGGAAGAACAAAAACCTTGAAGGAGACTGGTATATAAAGCATTGCTACTTTAATTAAATGAAGTTAAGGAGGTTTGTTTTTGAAGACTGAGGAATTCTGCTCGGGTCCCCTCTTCTATCCCACCTTTTAAGTTCAGTCATTTCAGAAAAGATCTCTATGAGACTTATCAAGCCTTAAGAGCTTGGACAGCACAGGTGCATGAGCTCTAATGAAGGCCTAACCACATCCCCAGCACTCCTAAACCTGAGCTCCTGAATCTGTGGGCAGGCTGTGTTTGGAGTGTCTAGTACCTCTCCAGTGTCCTTGCATGTACATGCTGTTCTTCTTCCTGGAACTCCCTTTCTTCACATTCTCACTTGCAAATTTCTACTCATCCTTCAAGTCTTCACTCTGGAATCATCTGCTCTGTAAACTCTTCACCCAGGTGAAGACAGGTGCTCACACACTGTGTTCCTCAGCACTTTGTATAGCTTTCTATTTTATTTTGCTTATCCCACAATATTACAATTTATCCATCTCTCTCTCCACTAGTTCTCTGAGAAAAAGAATGGTTTCTTTTAGTCTGTTATTTCTAGGGCCTGAAGTTTAGTCTGGCAAACAATAAACACTCAGTAAAAAGTTGCAAATGTATTGCAATGCTTTATTCCTCTCTCTATGAATCATTATAATTTTGCCAAGCATTTGAGAGTAAGTTGCTGATAGTAAGGTCCTTTGCTCCACAATGCATCAGTGTGTATTTTTAAATAAGAAGGCCATTCTCTTACATGACTACAACACAATAATCAAAGTTATTAAATTTAACATTGATACCGTATTTTCTTTTTTTGAGACAGGGTCTCACTCTGTTGCTCAGGCTGGAGTGCAGTGGCACGATTACTGCAGCCTCAACCTCCTGGGCTCAAGCGATTCTCTCACCTCAGCCTCCCGAGTAGCTGGGACTACAGGCGTGCACCATCATGGCTAGCTAATATTTTTTGTATTTTTTTGTAGAAACCGGGTTTCACCATGACCTTGATACAGTATTATTATATAATATTCTGTCCATATTAACATTTTGTCTACTGTCTCATTCAATGGCTTTTATAGCATTTTTCCCCCCAAACCAGGATCATGAATTGCCTTTATATGTTATGTCTCTTTGGACTCCTATAATCTGAATCAATTCCTTTGCTTTGTCTTTCATGATATGAATATTTTTGAGACGCACAGGCCAGTTATTTTTTAGACTGTCCTCAAGTTTTGGTTTATGTGATTGTTTTCTCGTTATCAGATTTAGGTCATGGATTTTAAGGAGAAATACTATATAAGTGATGTTAAGTTTTCTCATGCATAATATCAGGAGGTGATGATGTTGGTTTATCCTGTTATTATTGATGTAATTGATCACTTGGTTAAGTCATGTCCATCAGGCTTCTCCATCGTAATGGTACTTTTTTGCCCTTTGTAATTTCTAAGTAATTTTTCAGAAGATACTTTGAAAATATATTCATATTCTGTTGTGTAACAAACTTTTACCCAGTGGTTTTAGCAATCTCTGATGATTCTTCCTGAGTCAATTGTTACTATGGTAGTTGCAAAGTAATTTTTAAACTGAATAAATGAATCTAAAAAATAGACGGTTTTAGTTGGTTAACTATTTGAGCAATATATTTTTGAGAGAAATCTTTTCTATTGCAAAACTATTAAAGTTATTTGCAGAAAGAATCAGTATTCTATGCTATCCCTATCTAATTCCATTTCATTTAATGGCTTTATTTCTTGCCTCCATGAGGAGTCCCATGTGTTCAGATGCAAAATCTCTTCAGCAGCTTAAGATATAAACATCTTAATGAAATAGTACATATCACGTAGATATTAAATCTCTAATACATAGATACTTAACTCTTCATTGATATAACACAGACTTGCCCAGCTGTAAAATGTTTACAACCGTTTATAAATGTTTATCATTTTGACTTTCCCACTAGAGTTTCATAAACAGCTCTAGTGCTTTATTTACAATTAGCTAAAAATGCTCATTTTTTATGACTAATCGCATGAATAGTAATAATTGGGACATAATGGAAAATGAAAATGTAGACATAATATCTATATTTAGGTTTTATACAGTAAAACCTTTACTTAAAGGTTTTGTTTTTTCCAATAACTTTATTAACCCAAGTGTTTCAAAATTGGAAGTGTAATATTTTATTGCAATGATGATGATGAGGATCATGTTGATGATCCATTAATTTATTTTGGATCATTTTTCACACCTTCAGACTCTCAAGCTCTTTACCCTCATACAGTTATTAATTCACTAGGGCAATCTATTCTTTAAGATTCATGCATTTTTTTTTTTACCCTTAGGTAAAAGTTTATTGAAGGATAGGATATCTAAAGTCTTAAAGTACCTTTCCTTTAGTTACTTATACACCTCCGGGAGGAGGCACTAGTGGGAAGTTATGTAGAAACTGAGGAACAGAGAAATCTAATTATAGCACATCTATTTCCTGGAAAAACACTGGACCAATTCCCTAGGGCATGTTTGTAATACAGTGGTCAATACAGTAGTTGTCTCAAATCAGAGCTAAGACCTCTAGACTCATCACATAAAACCTGAAAGTTGAAACAGCTTGCTCAAGTCTGCAGAGCAAATAGCCAAGCTCAAACCAGAATCAAGGCCTATGGGCTTCCTTTAAAGTCAAGACTTCTCCCAGTATTTTCTGTTGGTGTAAATAATAAAGTAAATAAAATAAATATGGTTATCTCAAATTTTTGAATCCCTCTTAAGGAGTAAGTTGAGCATGAACAGTCAAGATGTGTTTTTAGGGAGTGGGGGGTGGTTTTCACTTAACACTTTCTGGAAAGAGAAACGCAGCTGTTGGGTGTCTGCTATTCCTGGGTGTTGTGATGATCACTTCCACACAATATTCTATTTAAAGAACCCAAGACTAGGAAGTGATTTAGACATGCTAGAGATTCTTGCTTAAACTCTTTGGTTTGTTTAAGAATGTGCTTTAACTATTCACAATGGCAAAGACATGGAAGAATTCTTTTGAATTCTTTTGAATTACATATTGGGGCTCCAAGAAGGTTTATTTTATTTAACAAACACCTAAAGAGTGCCTTCTGTGTGCCAGGAATGGGTAAAGTGTTTTATAATAATGAACTCAATCCTGATAACACTATAAGGTAGGTGCTATTATTGCCCCTATTTTACAAATGGGGAAACCAAGGCAGAGAAAAGTGAAGCAATTTGCCTAAGATCCACTATTAGATAGTGGATCGAAGACTCAAGCCCAGGCAGTCTATCTCCAAGAGTCCTTGCTTTTTAACCACATACATTCTGCTGAAGGCAGCTGTGAGATTGGCTGGCCAAGAATATAAAGATGAGGTATTCCCTGTTCCACTTGGAACCTCTCATTCAATGGGATTATTATGTTCTTATTTTTAAACAAATGGACTTTCTTAGAGTAAAAAAAATAGAAATGGAATTGAGAGTAGACAATTTCCATGGACCCCTTTGGAAATGGATCTAAGCTTTGGGGAGGGAGGTCTGATGTTCTGCTTTTTTTTTTTTTTGAGAATGTATGAGGTATTTTCAGACTAGGCTTATTTGACCAGGCAGATGTGCTCCTGAGATACTTGAATATTTTAGCATACCACAACTGTTTATCAGGTTATTCCACTCTTGCATAAATATACAAACAAAATCATTCAGAAATGTTTATGACCCACCAAATGAATGCAGTGTGTGAAATGGAAGTTCTATGCCATGTCCTGTATGCTTTCTCCTTTTATAGCCACATCTGGACAACTTTAAATAGTGAAGTCTGAGGTGTACACTCTGGGTGTTTACAAAATTCTTCCCGAGTTGGATCAGCAAGACCATTTTCCTTGCACAATTGAAACAATGTGGGAACATTTCCCTCTTTATTTTGATAAAGCCTATGTTGATGTGGGGAAAGACATCCTTATGCTTTAAAAAAATCAACTTCATGAGGCATAATTTATAGTCAATGTGTTGGACACATTTTAAGTGCATGAAGGCACATTTTTTAATTACAAGGTTTCTTCTTTTCTCTAGGTCCACATCTAGAATGGAGACTTGGAAGATATTTTGGGGGATCATCCTCCTTGAAGCTGGTTTTGGCTTCAAGTCACAGAGGATTGGTAATACCTGGGTTTCTTTAAGCTGAAAACCATCTAGTGGTAGTGACCATCTTAAAAGGAAATATTACAGAAGCTTCAGAATTAATAAGAGGCAATCGATTCATTGAAGGAGAATTTAGTCAGAATCTGGAAGCTTATAGTGAATGGTGGGCACTTGTTTTTTCAGTACTTAACCCCAAATGACAAAAAAATAGATATTAAAAACTTCCATACTCTGAAATGTATTACTAGGTTCTCAAACGCTTTTGTAAACAGGAGTCTGTTCTGCATTCTGCCTTTTCTCTTCGGCAGAGCTGTTCTGAGGAGTAATTATCATCACAAGACGGATCGCTTCACTGAGTGCTAGTGACACATCTGCAATTTTTTGCAGTTATTTTAATAGATTGTTGGGACTTTCCAAGATGAAAGTCTCATCAGAAGAAGATTATTTGAGTAGCCTGAAGTGCCAGTGAGACAATATTGAGGTTTAAATATTCAAATATAATTACACAGGCTGTTATTTGTTGGGGGAAAAAAAAACCATGAAGCTCTCTCAGTTTTCCTTTTGGCTCTGACTCCCTTCACTTGTGAACAGAAGCTGTGACAGTCTTTTCATGTTTCAAACACCTTCTAAAACATTCAAAGAACTAGTGGAGGGGTTAAGAAAGTGACAGTCTACGAAAATGTAATACATCTCTCAAGTTGCATATGATAGAACTGAAACTTACTTGCCTTGAAAATATTCTACAGCTGTGTGGTTTCCTCTGATTTGAAAGATCAGGGAAACACTTCGTGGTTTGCATTTGATCACCCCTGAAAGAGATGTTAAGGCGACAAGCCAGTCAGCCATCCCTGGAACAGTCATTGAATTCTCCCAGTAAGACTGCACTTTGGAGGGTTGAAGGGAAATAAAGCTTAAAGGACCTGAAGTTCATTTATTGTCTGCCTTTTCCATGATCAGATTCCACTTGGCTTTATGACCAATGTTATGCAAACTTCTGAGAGGTGGGACCCAGGACTCCAGAAGTGACAAGTGGATTAAGTGTCCCTGGATTATACCAACCTCCCCAAGCCCTCTCTGTCTAGACTCTCACTTGGTCTTTGCCTTTCTGTAATATGGATTTCTAATTTAATCTTCATGGCAGTTCAGGGTATGGACTAGATATCAGGAGACCTGGGTCCTAATTCTGGCTCTTTGAATGGATTTACATGAGTTACTTTGCCTTTCCAGGTCTTATTTTCCTTCTCTTTGAGATAGCTGAATTGGACTCCTTATTTTATACTTGTACTGTCCAATACAGGGGCCACCAGCTGCATGTGACTCTCTGAATTAAAATAAATCAAAATTCAGTAAAATATGAAGTTCAGTTTCTGTTATACTAGCTACATTTCACGTGCTCAGTTGCCACATGTCTAGCAGCTACAGTCTCATATAATTATTTCTAGCACTAAAATTTTAATTCCATTATTTGTTTTCATTAATGTTCAAGATTTCCATCCTTATAAGTGCTGTCTCTTTCCTTTCTCTCTTTTCCTCTATTCTTTCCTTCCTCAATATTTTTGGGTATCTGCTCTATGCTAGATGCTCATGTGGTGAACAAACAAACAAAATACATGGTTATCTGTTCTCATGGATCTCACAGTCTAGTTGGGGAAATTGCCATTAACTAAATAAGCACAATCATGAATGTTACATTACAAACAAAGATAAAAGAACATGATCCTATGAGAATTTACCAAAATTTGCTCCAGTCCTGCAGCCACTTGGTGTCTGATGTCTTCCATGCTGGAGGCCAGGATGGGCCCAGATGGGGTACCAATGGGCCTGGCCACTGTTGAGATGGTGGTTTCCAGGCTTGTAGCTGGGGCTGGGGAGAAGTAGCTGCATAGTGCAGCTTGAGCTCAGGGAGCCAAAAGACAAATGTGAGCCACAAGTATAGGAATGCCAACGATCAAACTAAAAGGGGCTGGTGGTGGCCAGGGAGTACAGAAGTCAAAGCTGGAAAGCTGATGTCTTAGGTCAGGTTCCCTGGAAGCAGAGTTTGGGACAGGGATTTGAGTGCATTATTTTGAGAAAGTACTCTTTAGGAAAAAAATCTGTAAGGGAGTAACAGAAGTGGGTTAGAGTAGGGGATGAAGACAATAGGTAAAGTCAAGCCTTGGCCTGAGTCATGAGAGGTGGTGATGGAGTCTAAATAACACTGCAGGGTTGTTTCACTGAAGGCAAGTGGGCCAGGCATTTGTATCTCCATGTTGATTAGACATTGGCCACCCAGGGTGGTGGTAGTGGTGTAACATCCCAGGCGTCTCCAATTGAGGCCACTCCCTTCAGCCAAGGTTAGGACTCTGGAGAAAGTCACAGGTAGTACTTAAAGCAGCTGGGGGATAGGTGTGCCAACCAGTAAAGGCGATCTAGGTGGGTACCAACAGCATCCACTACTGGTAGAAAACTGGGTTCTTTTATTTAGGTCAAGGGATGAATGGAAAGCAGGGTGGGTGATCTAACTGAAGGGCCAAATGTCTATTAGAATGGAACAGAGAGTGGTAGGTGAGCAGGGGAAGATGGTAGCCATGGGAATACAAGGGAAGATGATGGTGTGTCTAGGCTGCATGCTGTGCAGGCAGATCTGTGGGGAGTAAAGGCTCTGAGTCTGGAGAGATGGGATTCCAGCCAGTAACTGTCATTTGTTATGTTTTATCTGAAAGTGACTCTCTTTCCTAGTCTGCAGGGAAGCCTCTCTGGGAGATGTTGTGTTTCTGGTGGACACCAACATCAACCCCCAACATGCACGCAGTGTGCGGAACTTCTTGTACATTCTGGTAAACAGCTTCAACGTCAGCAGTGAGACCATCCGTGTGGGTCTGGCCAAGTATAGCGATGTGCCCCATTCAGAGTTCTTGCTTTCCACCTACCACCGCAAAGGTGATGTGTTGAGACACATTCGGCAGTTTCAATTTAAGCCTGGGGGCAAGAAGATGGGCCTGGCCCTGAAGTTCATTCTAGACCACCACTTCCAGGAAGCATCAGGGAGCCGGGCAAGCCAAGAGGTACCTCAGATCGCCGTGGTGATCAGCAGTGGGCCAGTTGAGGACCATGTCCATGGACCTGCGAAGGCATTGAGGAAGGCAGGCATCCTGCTTTATGCTATTGGCGTCAGAGATGCAGTTTGGGCAGAGCTCAGGGAAATTGCCAGTAGTCCTCAGGAGAATTTTACCTCCTTTGTTCCTAACTTCTCTGGTCTGAGCAATCTCGCCCAGAAGCTGCGGCAGGAACTCTGTGATACGTTGGCAAAGGCAGCTCCACATGTTGACCACGTCTCTCCAGGTACAAAGGCTTTTTATTCTTAATTTCTGATCTGGAAGTCATGAAACTCAAAGCTTGGTCTCTTATTCATCCCTCTGCCCATCCTTCTTATTTTTCATATGTGTGCATGTTTTAATTTTAAAATTAAAATTTCATGAAGCCAACCCTATGCTCCTCTTCAATCACTGACCAAAGCCTCATCAGCTCTTTTTATAAATCCTGTGGGCCTTATGCTGGTTCTATATACGATATAGTATAAGTCCATTTTTGAATGAAGATTTATTTGTTTCTAGAATGACATTATTATTCCTAGGTTAACTTACCCATGTTGCCTGGATGAAGGATGGGAAGGGAGAGGGGCAGTAGTTCCCCTAGGATGTTTGCTAATTTAACTGCAAGCCTGTTGGTTTAATATACTGGTTAAGATTATAGATTATTAATTTAGGGAAAATAAAGATCTGTGTTCAAATCTTACAAAGTAGAGAAAGGGTAATCTTAGACAAGTTACTTTACCTCTCTGAATCTAAATTTTCTTCCTAGGATGATAGTACCTGCCTCAGAGAGTTGTTAAAAACATTAAACAAAATTGTGCAAGTAAAGTGCTTGGCACTATACCTGGCCAACCAGAGGTACTCATAAACATTACCTGTTATTACTTGTCATAACCTGTGATGATGATATGCCTGTCATCAACTTTGTGCTTCTATTGGTGATAGGGCATAAAATGGTGAAAATTCTTTATAAATTAATTACTAACCTCCATAATAAAGCATACAACTTTGAGTAGAGAAAGAGAAGAATGCTTGTGGGCTCCATCAAAACCCACAAAAGGACAGACTCTTCATGATTTATTCATTATTTTGGTATTTCTGTATAGGGTATTTTAATTGGAAGAAGTGCTAAAACTTTTGACCCATTGATGCAGCAGGTGTGTGGTGGTAGTATTGCATTTGTATGGGCAAATAAATATTATATATCTTCCTTTTGTACAGCACTTCAAGGTTTACAAAGAAATTTTATATTCATAGTAATAATAGCTACTATTTGCCTGGCGTTGTATAGTTTTCAAAACTTATTTATATTGCTCATCTGACTGATCATCTCAACTTTGTTAGATACGTAGGGTAATTAGTATTATTGTTTGCATTTTTCAGATAAGAAAACTGAAGCCAAAGTTACCACAAGTGGATTGCAGAACTAGGGACTTGATCCCAGATCTTTTAGAGCAGAGCCATTCCACTAGAGCAGGGCTGTTAGGTTGTATTCCTGGGGAGCAGGGCCTGAAACAAGAATTTGGATACACATGATTTGCTAAGGAAGAGCTCCCGGGGCAATGGTCAGTAAGGATGTGGGGTATTCAGGACAGAGAAGTAGAGAAAAGTAAGGAAGGGTGTGATTTCAGGCAAAAATTCTGTAAGGGATTTTAGCCTGATCCTGCAGGGGAGTTTGGTGTACATTATGCCTCAAAGTTGTCTTGACCCTGAATCTGGGTCAAGCAAGGATCTGGGCTTTTAAATATTGTGAGAAAAGTAGCTTTACTAGCTGGAGGGTAGTTTTCCAAAGAGCAGTGCATAGAATGGTAAAAAAGAAATCCAAAAGGACTGAGCAGAACATGACATTGTCTGCTGCAGTAGATTATCTTATTTTATCCTCAAAACAACCTTGGGAGAGTATGAGGGTTGGTGTAAAGATTTCAGTGCTGCAGAGAGGAAAATTAAATCTCAAAGAAGTGAGTGTTAAATAGGTCACAGAGCTATTAAATGATAGAGCTGCAATAAGATGTGTCAAGGAACATGGGATATATTCCAGCTTTCTGACCAGCTGGTGCCAGCACACTCCTAGATATGAGGTTTCTTTGTCAAAAGATAGGAGGCTGATGGCTTTTTCTGACTGGAAAGAATACATTCCCTTTCTCAGCATGTTGCTTAATTTACAGAGTGCTTTTCTTCTTAATAAAATTTAAGGGATTATCTAAGTGGATTTCAAGGTTGGAAGTATCGGTAGAGCAGGTCTGAAATCTCAGAAGGTGATGGAGCAGAGAGAAGGAAAGGTACAGGGGGATGTTAATGTTATTGCTCTGAGCACATTGTCATTTGGGGTGAGGGTAGCGTCTGAGGACCACTAAGTATAGGCTGCCTGCCATTATTCTTCTTTTCTGCGTTGGTTCCAAGCAGCTTGAACCATTTGTTCAATGGTTCAAAGCATTTTGAGTGAAGATCCAGTAATCCAATCCCTTTTGCCGTCTCTCTTATAGCTTGCAGAGAAGCAGCCCTGGCAGACATTGTGTTTCTAGTAGACAGTTCAACTAGCATCGGACCCCAAAACTTCCAGAAAGTCAAGAACTTCCTTTACTCCGTCATCTTGGGGCTTGACATCAGCAGTGACCGTGTCCGAGTGGGACTTGCCCAGTATAATGACAACATCTACCCAGCCTTCCAGCTGAACCAGCACCCTCTGAAGAGCATGATCTTGGAGCAGATCCAGAATCTGCCATACCGCACAGGAGGCACAAACACAGGGAGCGCCCTGGAGTTTATCAGGACCAACTATTTGACTGAGGAGTCTGGCAGTCGGGCCAAGGACAGAGTTCCTCAGATAGTTATCCTGGTGACTGACGGGGAGTCAAATGATGAGGTCCAGGAGGTGGCTGACCGGTTGAAAGAAGATGGAGTTGTTGTGTTATGTGGTAGGGGTCAATGTCCAGGATGTCCAAGAGTTGCAAAAAATAACCAGTGAGCCATTTGAGAAGTTTCTCTTCAACACTGAAAACTTCAATATCCTGCAGGATTTTTCAGGAAGTATTCTTCAGACTCTGTGCTCAGCAGTGGAGGGTAAGATAAAAGGTAAGAAGCTGTGTTAGAACCCAAGATTCCAACCATGCCAGCTTACTAAAATATAACCCAGAATATGCTGGGTGTATGGGAGGGAAAGGAGTGCCCAGCATCACTGGAGAACCTGGGGAGGCTTCCTAGGGGAAAGGATTGAAGGCCGGATGGAGTTCTTGTGGGTAGAAAGGAACATCTTGCCATGTTGTTCAAAGGAAACAGCATGGGTTTTGAAAGCCAGAAGACCTGTTTTTTAATCCTGTCTTTGCCACTTTCTAGTTGTGTCAGCAAGGACAAGTGGCTTCACTTTTTCACTTCAATTTTCTCATCTTCACAAAGAAAATAATACTTGTCTAGAAGAAAGGCTTATGAGGATTAAATCAGATAAAATGTATAAAAAGCTCTAGCATAAAATGTATCCTCAGTTAACTTCCCTTGCCTCCTCTATTGTTTGAACAAGAGTAATTGAAAGGTAGGTTAGTATAATAAAACAGACAACAAGGCAGCAGGCTATAAGAGAGGAAAAGCCTTGTGATAGAGTCCCACATAGAGGAAGGGAAGTACAATATACAGAGAGTTGTATAAAGATAGGACTTCTACCTCTCACATTGGGCACACAAAACGATCCTTATATTCAATTTTCATGAGAGTTTGATTTGATTTACTTTCTCCTTTTGTCTTTTTCTGGCCCCCTGGTCTCCCTTTCCCTTTACTTCCAGAATTCATCAAAGCCTATGCAGACATGGTCTTTCTTGCTGACACATCACAAGACACATCACGGGCCAGTTTCCAGAGGATGCAGAATTTCCTCTCCAGAGTGGTTGGCATGCTGGAGGTTGGCAGGGACAAGTACCAAATTGGGCTGGCTCAGTATGGTGACCAAGGTCACACTGAGTTTTTGCTCAATACCTACAAGACCCAGAATGAGATGATAGCTCACATTCATGAGCATTTTGTGCCCCTGGGTTGCTCCAGGAGGACAGGCAAGGCACTGTGATACCTTCTTCAGACATTCTTCCAGGAGGAAGCAGGAAGCAGGTTTCTCCAGGGCATTCCCCAGTATGCAGTGGTCATTAATTCAGGCAAATCAGAGGATGAAGTCCAGGATGCTGCACAGAGACTAAGAGAGAAAGGTGTGAAAGTTATGTCTGTGGGTGTGCAGGACTTTGACAGGAGAGAACTGGAAGGGACGGGATCCCCAGACCTTGTCTATGATGTGCAGAGAGAAGATGAAGTCAGACACATAGTAGAAGATATGAATGTGGTGATCCAAGGGACTAGACAGCAGGAACACAGGATTACAGCCAACGAGGAGGCTGTAGGAGGTAAAGTTTGGTCCTAGAATATGTGAGCCACTGGGAGATCTCAGTGTAAGAGGAAGGTCTGGGGAAAGAGCAGAGAAGGTGGGTATTCTGGATTCCTCAGTACTGGGGCACTAGCACTAGCAGACAGGGAAGAGTAGGAAGCATGAGATGCCTCAGGCACAACCTTGTTTTAGTTAACTATGGTCACAATGATGCTGCATAACAAACTGGGTGAAAAGTCAGTGGCTGAAAAGAATCACTTATTCTCACAGATCGGTTGAGGAACAGCTGATCTTGGCTGGGCCCAAACAAACAGCTTTGCTGATATTGTCTGGGCCTCTTCACAGATTTGGGATTTGTCTGGGTGTTGGTTGATCTAGGTTTGGCTCTGCTCCACATATCTCTCTTCTTATTCCTGGGATCATCAGGCTAGTCTGGGCATATTCTTCTCCTGGTAATTGCAGAGGTACCAGAGAGAAAACCAATTGCATAAGCATTTCTCAAACCTCTGCTGCATCACCTGCTAACATTTCATTGGCTCAAGCCAGTCATATGGCTATGCTGAGATCAGTAGAGTAGAAAAGTATATCTTCCCATGGAAATAAGGAGTAAGGAGATAATATTTCTGAGTAAGAATCTAAATTACCATATACCTTTTCCAGGAGAAGGAGCACTCAGGCTTCTCCCCATAGATTAGATAAAGTACTTCCTTATGTTGGCATCCAAGACACTCAAGGGAGTTACTAATGGCATTTTGGTTAGGACAATTCATAGTGTAGAATTGTCCTGTGCATTGTCAGAGGTTTAATATCCCTAGTTTCTGCCAGTATCATCCCTGAATCATTATGGTAATCCAAAACATCCCCATACATTTCCAAAATGTCCTTTGTAGATAGGTACCACTCTTGGCTGAGAACCACTGAGCCTTATCTCCTGCTAAGTCTTTGTACACATTCTATTCACCGACCAAGCTGAACTACTCATAATTTGCTGTATGTATATCATCCTTTCCAACCTCTGTCTCTGCTCTTGAATACACTATAATATCAGCTTGTGATGCCCACAGTCAAAATTTACCCTTCAGTTCTTAAGTTACCCTCTTGATGAAGCATCCTTTGAGCCCCACAACTAGAAGTGGCCAATTTTTCCTTTCTCAGAATTGTCACACCTCTGCCCAGACCTATCAACAATTAGAGCTTGGGGTCCTTGGAAATTTATGGGCAGAAAAAAGACAAACACATATGTGACAAGAAGAGGAAAATCCAAACAGAGGTAATAAGGAACTAAGAAGCACCTTATGGAGATACTATATTAAGCAGAGATAGATAGTACAAAAGGAGGACATACTAGAGGATGTGGGCTGGAAGGAATTGTGCTGGTCCCTCTATAACAGGTATTATTTTAATATATAGGAGAAAGGAGGAGGGTACTCTGGGCAAGGGGAAGAACCATATAAGGGGTCTACACTCCTGGTAAGGGTATGGAAATGGGAATGGTCTGGATGAATGTGGAAGAAAGTTTAAAAATGGAGCCAATTTGGATCAGTGGAAGAGTATAGAAGTAGTGAGAGATGAGATTGGATTAGGTATGATAGACCCTGACTACAGGATCCCAAAGACACTAGAAGTAATTGGTGGGCAGCTTTTAAGCAAGAAGTATGACATGACCAAAGCAGTCTTTCAGGAAACCTTCAGAGGGCAGGTGGGGTTCCAAATGGCACCTCAGACTCAGAAAGACTTTAAGGCTGAGCTGTCATCTGGCCACATGGAGAGGATGTCTGGGCCCAGCCCAAGGGTGGCTTTGATAATGAGGAAAGGGAAGGAATCCTGAAGACAATTTGAAAGGAGAATAACAGCATTTGGTACAAGAAGGTGAAGGAAGGGAGCTGTCAAAGATGTCTGGAGTTTCTAGCGTTGGTGTTTTAGATTTGCTAAAATTGTGGACAACACCCTTTTTTAAAATCTAGGATTGAATTTTGATTCTTTATGAAAAAGGACCACAGGGGAAATTTCAGGACACCAGGAGACAAAAGAGAAAGTTAAAAGGTTATTCTATTGCCCCTAAACCTTGTTTCACAATATTCAGTTGTTTGCACAGTGGTTTCAAGCTTCTGCATGTATGGTTTTGGCTCTCTGCTAGGGAGATTTCCTTTTTCACAGATCAAAGCAGATACGGACCTTGAAACTATGTGGACACAGTGGGTTTCCCTGCAATAGGCACTGTCTCAAATAGAGAGAGTGGTGTTTGCATTCTTCTTGGCAGCGAGTTTATGTTTTATTCCTTCTGAGGTAAGTCGAAGGGAAAGTTCTTCTGTAGCAAAATGAAACAGCCAGCTGGCCTAATATTTGGATAAAGATTTTTCATAGAAACATGCAACATTTCAGGCTGCCTCTGTTAAAATGACATGATATTCATCAGAGAAGGGTTTAGAAATTAACAGCCACAGTTAATTTTCATCTTTTGGGAGGTTTCAGGCCTATAAATGAGAATTTGACCTAGAGTCTCTTGAAACTAGAAGAATGAAGAAAAATTAGTCAAGACTCAGATTCTTCTGATGGACTTAGATAAATTGAAAAGCAATCTTGAAGCACTTTACTGTCAATATTCATATATTTAAATATTTTGCAAGTGATGTGAATACTCTTCCACATGAGAATTTCTGAAATAGGTATGAACCCTGTGATGTTCTTTGACGATCATGCCAAATAAAGGCTTCTTTTAAATTATAAAATGTAGAAATATAAGTTCATATGATATATATTATTATAATTGTAATAATAAATATATTATGTAACATATAAAATACATCATAGTACAGCTTTTATATATTAATGTTGTCTTTATGTTATATTAATGCTGTTATGCTAAAGCCGTTCTTCCTGATTTTGTCTGTTTGCAGCGTGCGCAACTGCTGTCCCGGCTGACTTAATATTCCTCATTGAGGAATTTAGCAGGGTTAGGCAACCCAATTTCCAACAAGTTGTCAATTTCCTAAAGACCATTGTCAGTTCTCTAAACATTCGTCCTGATACTGTGAGACTTGGCTTGGTCTTCTACAGTGAGGAACCACGACTTGAATTTTCACTGGATGCATTTCAGAATCCAGCCAAAATCTTGGAGCATTTGGACAAATTAACCTACCGGGAAAGAAAAGGAAGGACGAAGACTGGTGCTGCATTAGATTTCCTGAGGAACGAGGTTTTCATTCAGGAGAAGGGTAGCCGGTCCAACCACGGTGTGCAGCAGATAGCTGTAGTCATCACGGAAGGCTTCTCCCAAGACAGAGTATCTAGACCCGCTTCCCACCTCCGAAGGGCAGGCGTCACCATCTATGCAGTGGGCACCCACAATGTCTCAGAGAGTAAGGACCTGGAGAAGATAGCATCATATCCTCCTTGGAAGAATTCAGTCCCCCTGGAATCCTTTTTGCAGCTCTCCATAGTAGGAAGCAAGCTTACACACCAGCTCTGCTCTGAGATGGTGGACAGTAAAGTTTCCATTAGTGGGACGAGCTATCCCCTACAAGAAGGTAGGAGGGTCTTTTCCAAATTTGATGTTTTTAAACAAAAAACTTTTCTTAGTTTTTTTAATTGCTCCATGTACCCATCTCGTCTATCCTCCAACAAAGAAAAGATTTTGAAGTCAATTCATTAAAAAACCAGAAACTGAAACTTTGTTTATCTTGATGCCAAACAATGCAGGAGAATATGAAGTAAAAAGGCAACATTTCTAGCACCTCCCATCTTATCCTTCATCCCTTTTAAAAATTATGTAAATTTTGATCTTGCACTGTCACTCAGACTGGAGTGCAGTGGCACAATCATAGCTCACTGTAACCTTGAACTTCTGGGGTTAAGTGATCCTCCAGCCTCACCGTCCTAAGTAGCTGAGACTACAGGCATGCACTCCCATGCCCAGCTAATTTTATAATCTTTTTTGCAGAGACAGGGTCTCATTATGTTGCCCAGGCAGGTCTCGAATTTCTGGCCTGAAGTGATCCTTGATACTTGGCCTCCCAAAGCTCTGGGATTACAGGTGTGAGCCACCATGTCTGGCCCCCTTCTGTTTTAACAGTTTGATGAAGAGTTGTGTATATTTACAGTAGAAGCCCTAAGGAACCGAGTGTGGACTGATCAAATCTTAAGTCACTGAAGCAGGCAACTACTTTAAAAAGGATACAAACATACTTGAATTTTTAAAATGTTATTTTCTTATTTATTTATTTTCTTCTCAGAAACTATTGTTTCTCACATGAAATTTAAAAAATTAACTTAATACATATAAATGAATGTTAATTTGCCAATCTTTTGGTATAGGGCCAAGGCTTCTTTGAGTATGAGCCCTGCTGATTGGATTTCATGTATTTTCTTTATAAACCATCCAATGTTATGTTATCAATAATTTCCAGTTTCAGTTTCTTTAAAGGAGAGTGACTTTTGAAACAATTCAAAACAGAAACAGAAATAGCTATTGATTTTTATAATCTTAAAAATGCAATCTTTTGTAATGCTATCTAGTACACTGGCAATTTTTTAAAAAATAACTCTTTTATTGAGTCTTTAAAGCAGTTAAGCTGGTTTTCATAGATGCAATAAATCTCTTTTACTCACACTCAAATCCTGCTGATTTGCACAATATTTGATTAATTATGTAATTATAACAACAAAACTGCCATAAACAAGCTGGGGACAAACCCGCCTTCATCTTGGTAAGCTTGTTCTTTCACTGGTTGAAGCGGAACTTCAGGCACTCATTGTTTTATGGGAGCATCACTCATGCTTTACAGAGGGAAGGGAGAACATTGATTTATCTGGGAGTCACTAAAGTGGAGGTTGGTCAGGAGAGTTCCTACTACATACCCAGTTAAACAAAAAAACACACACACCAGAAAAAACATAGTGGTTAAGTGTGTGCACTTTGGCATATGAATGCCCAAATTTTAAATCCTAGATTTGGCACTTACTGGCTGTTATGAAAATCTTTGTGTCTGTCTGTCTTCTAATCTATTTTTGTCTACCCATGCTAGTATTTCTTAGATTCAAATTAGAATCATAGATTTAAATTAGAATCGTTGAAATGTACATAATTGAGGTAAAAATTCAAGGCTGTAATTATGTTTTCAAGGGAAAATCACTGAGCTTTTTTTCTTGTTAAACACTGAGTGATCTGGTAATTTCTTGATTACTTGTGCTGAGGTCTAGAAATCTGAAATATCTAAATAAATTTCTATCTTTCTCTTTGACCTATATTTTTAGTTCCTTTCTCAGTTCTAGGAATGAGATACAAAATTGTTATAATGTGAATTTCATTTCCGTGTGCCTATCTGCCTATATTCTGTGGATGAGAAGGACAGAAGACGAGCACTACTAGTTCACAATATGAAGAGCTGAGAGTTGTTGTTGTTGTTGTTTTTTGATACTGCAGAGAAGCTAAAAAGAAACTTGCAATCAGAAAAAGTAGCCCAAAGTCTAGATGGGTTGGGGAAGGGAGTAGCCTAGAGGTAAATAGAAGCTATGATGATTTTACCAGAATTTTGTCTTGGATGATCACAATGATCATAATATCTACTATTTACTGGCCATTTGCCATGTGTCAGATACTCTGCTAAGCACTTTATGTGTATGATTGATGTGAATGCTCGGCAACCTCCAGACTGTAAGAAATATTCTCTTTCTCTTTTCCCCCAATCTGCTAAGACTGACAAGAATGTACAGTGCAGGCAATATTTAGGGTCCTCGGCTCCTCTTGACAATCCAAGGGCCCTGGATTATAGTGAAGCCTCCTTGGGCTGCTCCTATAGGGGCTAGCTGCAGAGATGCCCTTTCCTGCACGGTGGTCCTTTTCTCTGACGCTGGGTAGCCATGTATGTGTCACCAGTGGATGCTGGAGTCCAGCAAAGTTTGGGTTTTTGCCTTATTTTTCCATAATTTCGCCCCTACTCTCCAGAATTCAGCAAACACTTACCATGGGGTAAATGACTCCTTTCTCTACCCGCTTTAAGCTACATTCCTTTCCAATGAATGCCCCTTTAGGATAGCATTGCCAGATGAAATATAGGACACCCAATTACATTTGAATTTCATTCATATAAACAACAAGGGTTTTTTAAGTATGCCACACATATTGCATGGACCTAGGTCCTCCCACATGAAGACCTGAGCAGGGAGCCCAATTCCCACCTTAGACAACTTCCCTTTCAGCCGAGAAATGAAAAGGCTCTTCCTGGGGCCAAGGGAATCCAGAGATTAACAACTCAAGGCTGGGCTGCCCTTATTGAGAGGGAGTGGAGAAAATATATACATATATTTTTTAGAGGAATCTGCTAGATGACAAAAATAATAAAACACCAGCTACTTTTAACTCTACATCTTTAATACTGAGCTCTGCTCTGTTTACATGATATTACTGTCTTCTCACAATAAGCTTACTGAGTAGGTGTCAACATCCTCATTTTATAGATCAGGAAACTGAGATGCAAGGGGGCCAAGCTTGCTAGTAACCGAGGAGACAGGATTAAATTTAGAGCCACTTGCCCTGGAGGCTGGGCTTTAACACAAGGTGACTGATTTAATTCAGACTCTTTTTTAAAACAATTTCTTCTAAAAAAAAATGGGATACATGTGCAGAACGTGCAGGTTTGTTACGTAGGTATACGTGTGCCATGGTGGTTTGCTGCACCTATTGACTTGTCCTCTAAGTTCCCTCCCCTCAACCCACCACCCCCCGACAGGCCCTGGTGTGTGCTGTTTCCCTCTCAGTGTCCATCTATTCTCAATGTTCAACTCCCACTTATGAATGAGAACATGCGGTGTTTGGTTTTCTGCTACTGTGTTAGTTTGCTGAGAATGATGGCTTCCAGCTTCATCCATGTCCCTGCAAAGGACATTATCTCATTCCTTTTTATGGCTGCATAGTATTCCACGGTATATATGTACCACATTTTCTTTATCCAGTCTATCATTGATGGGCATTTTGGTTGGTTCCATGTCATTGCTATTGTAAATAATATGGCAATAAACAGATATGTGCATGTGTCTTTATAGTAGAATAATTTACATTCCTTTGGGTATATACTCAGTAATGGGATTGCTGGGTCAAATGGCATTTCTGGTTCTAGATCCTTGAGGAATTGCCATACCGTCTTCCACAGTTATTGAACTTATTTACATTCCCACCAACAGTATAAAAGCGTTCCTATTTCTCCACAGCCTCACTAGCATCTGTTGTTTCCTAATTCAGGCTCATTTAATAGAGAATGTTTTAAATTAACTTGTCAAATTATTAAATTAAATTAAATTTTAGGATGTACACACTTTTGCCCATGTACTTAAAAAGCACAACTTGGATGGGAGGCAGGGATAATGGAATATGAAACAATTCATAGCTTCAAATGTGCTCTGATTTTACTTTCATTTCCTTAACTTCCCCATTTGAGAAATGTCAAGTTACATTTCCTTCGTGTCTTAAGTGGGGTTGATCAGAAACAGACTCTGAGACAATGATTTGGATGCAAATTATTTATCTGGGTGGTGATGCCAGGGGATGCTTATAGGAGAGTGGAGATTTAAGAACCAATTCGGGATGAGGAGTAATCTACAGGTTACTGCTACAGGCAACTGGGGACTCAGGGAAACCATGCAGGACTTACCTTAGAGTGGTTCTATGCAATGAACAAGGGAGCTGGGGTCTTTATCCACCAACCTCTGCCAGTTATTGGGTGGTGGCTGCTTCTGGACTCACTCCCAGGCATTCTGGTCTTCCTAGTGTGCCAGCTGATCATGCTCTTGGCCAAAGAGTGCCTGTAGGCAGAGTCACAGGTGCTGTCAAGGGAACAAAGAGTACTGAGAGAATACGGTTGGAGATTGGGATCAATCGCTCTGGTTCTTCACCATCTCAGACTCTGTTATGATGGGTTCTTGCTTCTTTTTATTGCCTAGGTTGTGTGCACATCGAAAAGGCAGATATTTACTTCCTTATTGATGGGTCTGGCAGCATCTATCCAGAAGATTTTCTTGAGATGAAGGTGTTCATGAATGAAGTGATAAAGATGTTCCAGATCGGGCCCAACAGAGTACAGTTTGGAATCATTCAGTACTCAGACAAAATTAAAAGTAAATTTATCCTCAGCCAGTATCCCAGTGTGACAGAGCTGAAGGTAGCCATTGATAACATCCAGCAGGGGGGAGGTGGCACCAAAACCGGTGAGGCCTTGAACAACATGACTCAGGTTTTTGCAGACACCGGCCGAATCAATGTTGCTCGATATGTTATAGTCATCACTGATGGTAAATCTTCAGACTCGGTGGCTGAGGCTGCAGAGGGATTGAGGGCAAATGGAGTTAACATTTATGCCATTGGAATAAGAGAAGCTAACATTGATGAGCTTAAGGAAATAGCTAAAGACAAGATATTTTTTGTGTATGAGTTTGATTTACTGAAGGACATCCAAAAAGAAGTGGTACAGGACATCTGCTCCTCAGAGGGTAAGACTTTTTCTTTTTCAATCTCCTTTCCCACCTCTCCAAGAATATGTACCTGATTTATTTAAGTAAGCTTCATTCTTTTACGCATTTTTTCCCCAAGACTGGATCTTGCTGTGTTGTCCAGGCTGGTCTTGAACTCCTGGGCTCAAGCAATCCTTCTGCCTCAGCCTCCCAAAGTGCTAGGATTATAGGTGTGGGCCACCACACCTAGCCAGCTTCATTCTTTAATCATGGATTCACTGGTTGGCAGCTTAGTATCGGACACTCAAAGTGACCACAACCTAGAATGAAGCAAGATGGTCAAGTTTTATATATTTATCATACAGCTGTATCTTATTTTGAGACTACTCTGAATTGCAGAGCAACTCTGCTGGGTTGCAGAATATTTGTTTCATTGAATTCCTCTTCCACTCCCTTCTAAAATATTTTCATGTTGTATATATGCCATTCCAGACTGTCCCTGGGGACTTGTAATTAATTGGCTTCAGATTCTTTTTTTGTTTTTTGTTTTTTTTTGGTTTCAGATTTCTAATGAATGTTCTGTTCTGTTTCCTTTTTCCCCAGCCTGTAAGAATAGTAAAGCTGACATTATCTTCCTGATAGATGGTTCAGAATCTATCTCCCCAAAAGACTTTGAAAAGATGAAAAGATTTGTGGAGAGCATGGTGAACCAATCTAATATTGGTACTGATGGAATTCAAATTGGCCTTTTGGGAGCATGCTCTTCTCCCTTTAAGACCAGCCCTGCCTCTCCCTCTCCCTCTCCCCTCTCCCCTCTCCCCTCTCCCCTCTCCCCTCTTCCCTCTTCCCTCTCCCTTCTCCCCTCTCCCCTCTCCCTCTCGGTCTCCCTCTCCCTCTCTTTCCACGGTCTCCCTCTGATGCCGAGCCGAAGCTGGACTGTACTGCTGCCATCTCGGCTCACTGCAACCTCCCTGCCTGATTCTCCTGCCTCAGCCTGCCGAGTGCCTGCGGTTGCAGGCGCACGCCACCACGCCTGACTGGTTTTCGTACTTTTTTGGTGGAGACGGGGTTTCGCTGTGTTGGCAGGGCTGGTCTCCAGCTCCTAACCGCTAGTGATCCGCCAGCCTCGGCCTCCCGAGGTGCCGGGATTGCAGACAGAGTCTGGTTCACTCAGTGCTCAATGGTGCCCAGGCTGGAGTGCAATGGTGTGATCTCAGCTCGCTACAACCTCCATCTCCCAGCCGCCTGCCTTGGCCTCCCGAAGTGCCGAGATTGCAGCCTCTGCCCGGCCGCCACCCCGTCTAGGAAGTGAGGAGCGTCTCTGCCTGGCCGCCCATCGTCTGGGACGTGAGGAGCCCCTCTGCCTGGCTGCCCAGTCTGGAAAGTGAGGAGCGTCTCTGCCCGGCCGCCATCCCATCTAGGAAGTGAGGAGCGCCTCTTCCCGGCAGCCATCCCATCTGGGAAGTGAGGAGCGTCTCTGCCCGGCCGCCCATCGTCTGAGATGTGGGGAGCGCCTCTGCCCCGCCGCCCCGTCTGGGATGTGAGGAGCGCCTCTGCCCGGCTGCGACCCCGTCTGGGAGGTGAGGAGCGTCTCTGCCCAGCCGCCCCGTCTGAGAAGTGAGGAGACCCTCCGCCCAGCAACCGCCCCGTCTGAGAAGTGAGGAGCCCCTCCACCCAGCAACCACCCCGTCTGAGAAGTGAGGAGCCCCTCTGCCCGGCAGCCACCCCGTCTGGGAAGTGAGGAGCGTCTCCGCCCGGCAGCCGCCCCGTCCGGGAGGGAGGTGGGGGGGTCAGCCCCACTACGGCCAGCCGCCCCGTCCGGAGGTGAGGGGCGCCTCTGCCCAGCCGCCCCTACTGGGAAGTGAGGAGCCCCTCTGCCGGGCCAGCCACCCCGTCCAGGAGGGAGGTGGGGGGCTCAGCCCGCCGCCCGGCCAGCCGCCCCGTCCTGGAGAGAGGTTGGGGGGTCAGCACCCCGCCCGGCCAGCCGCCCCGTCCGGGAGGGAGGTGGGGGGGTCAGCCCCCCGCCCGGCCAGCCGCCCCGTCCTGGAGAGAGGTGGGGGGGTCAGCCCCCCACCCGGCCAGCCACCCCGTCCGGGAGGTGAGGGGCGCCTCTGCCCGGCCGCCCCTACTGGGAAGTGAGGAGCCCCTCTGCCCGGCCAGCCGCCCCGTCCAGGAGGGAGGTGGGGGGGTCAGCCCCCCGCCCGGCCAGCCGCCCCATCTGGGAGGGAGGTGGGGGGTCAGCCCCCCGCCCGGGCAGGGAGGTGGGGGGGTCAGCCCCCCGCCCGGCCAGCCGCCCCGTCCGGGAGGGAGGTGGGGGGGTCAGCCCCCCGCCTGGCCAGTCGCCCTGTCCGGGAGGGAGGTGGGGGGGTCAGCCCCCTGCCCGGCCAGCCGCCCCGTCCGGGAGGTGAGGGGCGCCTCTGCCCGGCCGCCCCTACTGGGAAGTGAGGAGCCCCTCTGCCCGGCCACCACCCCGTCTGGGAGGTGTACCCAACAGCTCATTGAGAATGGGCCATGATGACAATGGCGGTTTTGTGGAATAGAAAGGGGGGAAAGTTGGGGAAAAGATTGAGAAATCGGATGGTTGCCGTGTCTGTGTAGAAAGAGGTAGACATGGGAGACTTTTCATTTTGTTCTGTACTAAGATAAATTCTTCTGCCTTGGGATCCTGTTGATCGGTGACCTTACCCCCAACCCTGTGCTCTCTGAAACATGTGCTGTGTCCACTCAGGGTTAAATGGATTAAGGGCGGTGCAAGTTGTGCTTTGTTAAACAGATGCTTGAAGGCAGCATGCTCGTTAAGAGTCATCACCACTCCCTAATCTCAAGTACCCAGGGACACAAACACTGCGGAAGGCCGCAGGGTCCTCTGCCTAGGAAAACCAGAGACTTTTGTTCACTTGTTTATCTGCCGACCTTCCCTCCACTATTGTCCTATGACCCTGCCAAATCCCCCTCTGCGAGAAACACCCAAGAATGATCAATAAAAAAAATAAAAATTAAAAAAAAAAAAAACAAAAAAAAAACAAATTGGCCTTTTGCAGTTCAGCTCAATCCCCCAGGAAGAATTCAGGCTCAACCAATAATCCTCAAAGGTGGACATTTACAGGGCCATCTTTGATGTTCAGCAGATGAGGGATGGCACCCGCACTGGGAAAGCTCTGAATTTCACTCTGCCTTTTTTTGACAGTTCAAAAGGAGGGAGACCCAGTGTTCAACAATATTTGATTGTGATCACCGATGGGGTGGCCCAAGATAATGTAATCATACCAGCCAAAGCCCTCAGGGACAAAAACACAATTATTTTTGCCATTGGGGTGGGAGAAGCCAAAAAATCGCAGCTTTTGGAGATAACTAATGATGAGGACAAAGTGTACCATGATGTAAATTTTGAGGCCCTGCAGAACCTGGAGAAGGAAATTCTTTCTAAGGTCTGTGATCCACAAGGTGAGTGACAGAGAATTGTTATTTGATCCACAAGCTCATCATAGGTGTTAGAGATCCTGTTGGTTCTCTTAATAAAGTAAAACTCTGATCCTTCTAACTAGGCAAGAAGGGGAGCAGGAGATCACCCTGTAGGGCCTGAACTCCTGACACTGTTGTTCACCCTCCCCTGGGGATTCTTTTAATCATTCCCATGGTTGTCATCACTTTGGTTTCTGAAGGCCTGAAGCTTCTTAGAACTCTGTCTCTAGGAAGTCCTCACAACTCCTCCTTTAATTCCTTATAGCATAGGCAAAACCAGATTGGAATGTGTAAACACAACGTGCTGAAGGTTTGGCCATGTCAAGAGGGAAATAGAAGCAGAGAATAATGTCAGTTAGACAGTCTCTCTTATGAAATAGAATACAGTGTCTTCTCCATGAGGCTCTGTACAGGGGTCTGCCTACTTTGTTGCCAATCTTCTTCCATATGGCCAAGGTCATCCTTAATCCCATTCCGTCTCCTCAAGTTTTTATCCAAAGCTGCAAGGCGCAAAGACAGGGGTTGTTCCTTTTGACAGTTGGGGTCCGCTTTTCTTCCCCAAGACTTGCCTTTCAGTGGGTGATTGAAGGGCTCCCAAACTTAAGCATACATTTGAATCATCTAGGGATCTTGTTAAAATGCAGATTCTGAATTCAGCAGATCGGCATTCTGGATTTCTAACAAGCTCCCAGGTGACGCAGATTTTGCAGGCCTCATCATACATTGAGTAGTAGGATAGGATAGGAAAGGATAGGATAGGATAGGATAGGGTAGGGTAGGGTAGGGTAGGGTAGGGTAGGGTAGGATAGGATAGGATAGTGTAGTGTGGTATAGTATAGTACAGTACAATGAAGCACAATAAAGCATAGTATAGTGAAATACAATATGTATGGTATGGTATAGTACAGGATAGCACAGAATGTGATAGAATGGTATAACTTCGAGCATAGCAAGGAATTATGTCAAAGGATATATAATGGAACCCATAAAACTCAAAATTCCTTCAAGTGATCATGTGAATACAGGAAATCATTTTGTTATTATGTCCCTAAATAGATGTGCATTTAATTGGATCTAGAAGGTTTTTTTTTTTTTTTTTGTAGTTTTAGGCTGAAAAGAAGAGGCTACTCACCTCTATGTTCTTACTTAACTGTGTGCCTCTTGATGAGGTCCTGCCACCTTCAGCCTTCTGCTGGGAGGCAGAATATGGGCTCTTGACATTTATAGAGCACTTTCTCATCCTTTATTTTACTTGATTTCTCACAACAAGTCTGAGATAACAAGCAGTATTAAGAAAAATCCTCTTATCAGGTAGGATGTTTTTGCCTACAAGTAATAGAAAACTCAAGTAAGAAGGACACATTTTATTCCATCTAACTGGCATTCTAAAGGCAGGGCAGGCTCCAGGTGGGGCACAGTCTAGATTCTTACTTGTTTTTTTCCATTATGTATGTAGCACTATTTTTTTCCTTTTTTTTAAAACTCAAGGTTGAATGCAAAGCACTATTTCTAATGTGTTAGATGGTATACATTCATCTAACATTCACATCAAACCCATGTGAAGCACGTGCTATCATTATGATACTCAATTTCCAGACTGAAAAAAAAAAAACAAGAAGGGAGAGGTTAAGAAACATAGACAGGAAGTAATAGAGGCTGAGTTTGAATTCCCCAGCAGTTTGGTGTCAAAAGTCCAACCACTAAGCATTATGTATGCCTATGAAGCCTCTCTATGAGAAACTAGGGCCATACTTGGGTCAAGATTTTTGTTTGTTTGTTTTGTTTTGTTTTTAAATTTTTAGACAGGATTTCACTCTGTCACCCAGGCTGGAGTGCAGTGGTATGATCACAGCTCACTGCAGCCTCAAACTCCCAGGCTCAAGCGATCCTTTCACCTCTAGCTGGGACCACAGGCGAGTGGACATCGGCTCGTTTTTTTTTTTTTTTTAAGTTTATGTAGACACAGAGTCTCCCAGTGTTATCCAGGCTGGTCTTGAACTCCTAGACTCAAACAATCCTTCCTCTTTGTCCTCTCAAAGTGTTGGGATAACAGGTTTGAGCCACTGTGACTGGCCTGGGCTAGGTCTTATTTTGGAAACAGAGACTTAATTTTGGAGGACTAGGATGAGAACCCTGCATTCCACCAAAACTTTGAAGTCCAATTTTCTAGGACATTAAATTAATATCTTTGCTTATATTGACAAAAAAATATAACTACTTTGCAGTAGTCTAGCCAAATTTGAAAATCATCTGAAAAGAATGCACATGTACAATTATTTTTAAAAGAAGCATGAATTATGGCATGTCCTACATTAAGTAGTTCAGAGTTTTTTAGTCACCAAAGTCCTATTTTTTGTTTATACGCAGGTAGGTATTACACTGGGGAGAAGAGGAGATATAGGATTCAGCTTCTTTTTTCAGTTTATTTTGCCCCTTATAGTAAGTTAGGATTTATGTTTATCTTCAACTTTGTCTTTAAATTTTTTGATGAAATTAGCTAGACACTTTAATAAGGGCTAGACTCTAATTAATTATAGAATTCTAGAATCATAAACCTGAAAAAGACCTTAGAGATTACCTGGCAAGATTTAATCCTCTCCATTAAAAGGGAAAGAAATTGCTTCTTGCATTTGTCAATTATAGAACAGAGCCAGCTGGAAATGTTCCTGGTGAAAATGTGAATTAGAAATGTTGGAATAATATGCCATACTACAAAAAGGAAATTCCTTTTTTTCTGAAATTAGGTCCAATATAGAAATGGGATTTACATCTGTGAAGGCTCATTTTTATAAATTTGAATTACATATTTAAAAAACCAAACCAAACTAAGATATTTTATGTGAAAGGAGGAGATGAAGGCATTTTCTGTCTTGGCAGTTCCAGAAATATATCTTACCAGCTAGCATGGAGTATGACATTTAGGGGACTGAATGCTCATGGCTCAGCTCTGATCTCAGGTTTTTGGGAAACTTTAAGCTACTGTCCATGGTGAATGGTCTACTACATATTTATTTTCCCTCAAATTGTTCCTCCCCATTTGCAGTTCTGTTCTTGCAGATTCTGATACAGGTATATAGATTCTGTTATAGACACAGATCCTTACATCATCATATACTCTAGTGTGTGATGATCTAAGGAGAAAATGTTGGCATGTCCTGGATTGCCTTGGACAGTCCTAAGTTATGCTTGTTGTGCAGAAGTAATTAATAGGTGCCCTTTTAAGGTTGTTACATTTTAATTCATCCAACCAGATTCCAACTCAGATGTGTCTCTGACCATCAACTTTTGATCCTTAGTGGAATTTTGTGCAAAATTTTATTATATACTGGTAAGTGTATAGGTATAGCCTGAAATATTAATTGGCCTTCAAATTCCAGAGAAAAGCTACCCAAGAGGGCTTAACTATTTTTAGATATAAGAAACAGATAATTGGGAGTGATTTTTTCCTGACATTTTCTAATATGCTCCCATGCTGCTGAAACAAGGTATAGGCATGGGTGGTGAATGAGGAAAAACACTATCAGGGAAGAAGGAAATAATTCCAGTTATTGTTGAAAGAGACTTAAGGCTCATTTATATCCTTTTCTTCATTGATTTGTCAAACATTTAATGAACATCTGTATTAGGCAATTGGAAAATTAGACGGCATAGTCATTACCATCAAGGAATCCTTGTTTAGTCAGGAAGAAGGTCAAATAAAGTAACAATGAGCATGCACGGGCATTTAATAACTTAACATGAGGAGGTGAGGACAAAAACCAGAGAGTGCTTGGTGAGTGGGGTGGGGTGGGGCAGGCACTTGAACTACTACTTGAAGGACCAGACTGGGGTGGGAAGATGGGAAAAGACACTTTAGGCAAAGGGAGTAGGATCTGCAGAGGCATAAAGCTATGAAACAGGATGTATTGTATCAATTAGCTTTTGCTGTGTAACAAACAATCCCAAAACTTAAACTACCACTATTTAGCTTATGCTTCTGTGGGTTGGCTGGGGGTTTGTCTTTTAGGGCTGGATTGGCTGATATCTTCTGGGCTTAGTTATGCACCTGCAGATGACTAATTTTATTTTCTTCACCTTCAAAGGATGCAACCTGGATTTGTCTGTAGGAATTGATATCTCAACTCCTTCAAAGAAAATTCAGCAGAAGCTTCAAGGGTTACTGCCAGAGCTGATGCAACAGTTGGCTTTACTTTCTAACATCAGCCGTGGCATTTCTGATCAGATCGACCCAAGATTCCGCTACTTGGTGCCTGGCTCAAATGGCCAGCTTACCTTTGACTCAGGCTTTGAAAAATACAGTTATGAGATCATCCAGAAGTTCTTGGTTCATCAGGCTGCCAGGAATAACAATATGGATGTGAACTTTTTGCAGTCCTTGGGAGATAATGCTATTCATCTCTCTTCTGCTAATGTAAAGGTAATAAATGCTGAGAACCCTTGCTATGGAGCCATCAGGTAGGGTAGAATGGATAAGGCTTTGTGACTGAGGCCAACTAAATTGTTCTTAATTGGTGATCTTACACAGAGGAAAGCCATCCTGTTACACAATAAAACCAACAAGAGATGTGTTTTCATTCAACAACAAATATTTTTTAAGCCCTAGATGTTCTATGCTCAATAATGCTAGTAGGAATATAAGAATAAAGTCCCTGCTCTCAAATTGCCCACAGTTTAGTGATTCATATTCTTCCATAACATAAATTCATTTCCAAGACAACTTGGAAGGTGTTTTAAGACTCCTTAGCTTTTTATGGTCACTCATTACCATTTAGAGTAGGCTTGCTATTTTTCCAGTCAGCATCTTGAACTGTCTTTAGTGAGAGCTATTTAGTACAGCTCACCCCTCAAGCCTCTCCCTCCCTTCTGCTGTCTCTGAACTATATACTCACAAAAGCCCACAGAGATGGAAAGCTTTTAAGTGATGTTTATCACATCACATAATAGGAAATGACATCCCCAAACTTCATAACTTACATTTACGTTGTTATGCATCCAATGGATGTATTTTTTGACTAATATCATCCATGTTTTATTTTTTATTCCTGTTTTAAATTAAAAATTTCTTATGAGCAAATAAACACATTTCAATTGTAGAAAATACATTACAAAGTATAACAGAAATTAGCAACAACCACCCCCACATCTCCTCCCCTCCATCCCTGCCCACACTGCATACACCACACATGCACACACACCTCTCTGTTAATATTTTGGTATTTTTTGTTGATAAGGATAAATATTATAAGCATTTTTGGAAGGTATTTTTAAATAAGTTCAGCCGATTCAAATCCTCTTTTTTTTTCCCAGGGGGATGGGGAAGTTGAAATAAAGATGAATGCGTAATAAAAGAATAAGTAAAAAGGAACAGGGTGAAAGGCTAGGCATAACCAGAAAAACTCACTCTTGAATTTTAAGGAAATGTACAATTTATAATATCCATTTTATGCATTCCTTCTCCCCTTCCCCTCTGTTCCCTCCCTTCTTCCTGCCTCCTTCCCTTTCCTCCTTCCCTTCCCTCCTCTTCCCTCCTTTCCCTTTTCCTCCCCGCTCTCACTGTCTTATCACCTTCCTTTTCTCTTCCTTCCCCACCCTCCCTCCTTCCTACTTCTCTTTTCTCCCTCCCTCCCTGTCTGGTTCTGCCAACCCCCTTTCTCATAAACAACAGGTCCTTTTAGTGTTTACAGATGGACTGGATGATGATTTAAAAAGACTGAAAAAAACATCGGAGTTTCTCCACAGCAGAGGTAAGTGCATAGGGTTGCCCAGTGTGGGCCTCCCTCCCTCCTCCCACTGGAACTGAGGCACTCAGCTCTCCAGATGGCACTGGACTCTATGAAGCTTCCTGTGTGTTCACCCAGTGCGTGGGGCTCAGTGCTCATGAGGCTGATGCCCAGTCTCATTCTTTGTATGAGCCAGAGGATGTTTTGGGGCTGAAACTCCCTGCCTTCTTCAACAATGTCCCTGACACTGACCGGGGTCTTCTGACTCAGACAGGACTAGCTTTTGAGGGTTGGAGGTTGAAGGTACAACTCCTACTTAAATGGTGAGAGGGGCTGTTTGTTCTTTTAGCCCAATCTGGGGTCCATATGTCGTTTTCTCCTAAACTCTGGAGTCAGTCTAAAGCTGGGCTCTGCTCTTTGCATTGTAATTCTGCCCTCTTTGCTCTTAATTCTTCCTCCTTCTCCATCTTCAAAAGCTCCTGCTGCTAGTCTATATGGCATCTTTGTGCAATTAGAGAAGGACATCCAATACACTGCATGGATGCAAGTGTATTGGGCTCCTGGGTGGTGAGGGGTATGCTGGCTGGATTTGGCCGTGCATTAGCTCTCTCAGATGGGTGTTCTTGTGCAGCACAACTTGTTCAACTGTACACTATGACTCTCACCATTCCCACTTTGTGCCATGTAAAGGCTCAAAAGCAACCTGAGGATGCACAACCAGCAACTTGACTTGCTCAAGTTCCTTTCACCTCTTTTCCTCTTCAGTCGAGTCTATTCAACATATTTTGCTGGGGACAATGTTTTCCATTGGTTAATCATGTGCTAGAATATCTTTTTATGACACCTTACTCCCATCTTAATTCACTACATAGATCGCCACTGGAAGTTTAAATTCTTGCATGTTTTCTGGAGGGGATTTGAGAGTATGTAACAAGAGACTAAACTTGGCTTACATGCTATGCTAGATCAGAAATTCCATTTCAAAGAATTTAGTTTTAAGGAATAATTAAGAATATGTACACAACTTTTAACCACACAGTTCTCAAGCAGCTTGTTTACCATAGCAAAAAGCTGATTGGCATGTATGTGCCAAGAATTTACTGTTCAAACTATTAACAGTAATATTTGTTTTGAAATTCGACAAACAAGGTGATTTCTAGTTGAATTACCAAAATACCCTTGTTCATTTGTATTTTTGTTCTGTGGACAAATCCAGATGATCTCTTAATGCCTGCGTTGGTAGGATAGGCTAGATTATGCAGCAATAACAACCTCCAAACCTCAGTGACTTAAAGTAGCAAGAAGTGATTCATCTTTGCCTCCTGCTCACCATTCAAGAACCCAGGCTGAAGGAGGGTCTATCCCAACAGCTGTTTTTGTAATTGCTGTGGCAAGGGAAAGGAAATGGGGCAAATTGTGCACTACTCTTAAAATTTCTCCTGGGGATTAACACATGTCACTTCTGCTCACATTTAATTAGCTAGAGCAAGCCATATGGTCACTTCTAACTTTCATGAGATAGATAATACTTTACAGGTAAGGAATTGAGCCTCAATGAGTGTTTATAACCTGACTGAAGACATGCGATCCTATCATGTGCCCTTAAGAAGGGGAGCCAGAACATCTGTGAACAGCCACAGTGACTGCCACAATTCCTAAGTGTAAACCAAAAGTCAACTTCAGGGATAGGCTTAGAAGGATCTAATTTAATACAACGAGGGCTGAAAACCGTCTGTGAAATGACAAAATGGGGGCTATAAGAGAGCTATGAGAGTCCTTTGTGGTTCTGTTCAACTTTCAGCTGGTGGGATTGAAAGGTATCAGACAAATTCTTCAAGAAGGCATGCCACAAACTAGTTTTAATTGTAACAAAATGCAGTTTGAGACAAGACAGGTGAAGGCTATGGTAATGGTGGAATGATGGATGAATATGTGGGGCTGAGACAAAGACCATTCAAAAGACATGAAAGTAATCTCCCACCTGTTGAAATTGTGAAGGATTCTCTGGACTCCTAATCATTGGCCTGGAAGTTGTCCATAAATTAGAAGAGCTCCAGGAGCTGGAATTTGGCAGAGGGTTTGCATATAAGCAACCTCTGAGCATCAAACTGCGATCCCTCCCAAGCGTCTTACTGAAGCAACTTGTAAGTACTTTTTAAAAATGCCATCCTTTGCTGAGTTCTATTAATTATAATAATTTTAAAAACATTGAGAGAATTTTGTCTTCTTAGTGTGTAATGTGATATAGACTAACACAGATGAGAAAATCGTATGTGATATGGATCTGTTTTTCAGGATACAATTGTGGAAAGAACATGCTGCAATATATATGCAAAGTGTTTTGGAGAAGATGGGTACAGAGGTGATTATGGGAGTTCTGGGAGGAAGGTAAGAATTTGTCAGGTGTGGATAGGGGGAAGGAGAGAGACGATATTTCAGTACCCGCTACATACCAGACTGTGTTATGTATTTAACAGCATTTTCTAATTTTACCCCCCTAACAAACACTTTCTGTAGATGTTATTTTACATGTGTGAAATTGAGGCTCAGAGAGGTGACATCACTTTCCCAAAATTGCATCATTATGAAGATGCATTTGGGAGTTAAGCCCCTATGTCTCCCTAACTCTAAGTCCCACATGATTTCCACCATATTATGCTACCTTCTTGTGCTCATTTGACAAATAATGTCACAAATTCTGCCACTGCACAGAAGTTTTCACTTATCTACCGTATTTTCACTTGTCCAACATCTGCTTTCTTTATAGTAGTAAATGCCTCTCTCCCATCTAACATTCTTTTCTACAGCATCAAACTCTGAGAAAAGAGTTGCATCTCTGTTAATTCTAGGTTAACCAATAGGAAAATTACTACCTAACACTTCTAAGGGAGAGTATCTCATTAGAAATGGTCCTCAGATATTCAGGGCTGGCAAGGTTCCATTATCACAGGGATTGAAGCTTTATAATGAGGGTATAATCACAGACACACAGGTAAGGTTAAATTACACCCGCTGGCTTTGTGTCATCTTTTTACATGTTCTCTTTGGAAGATTTTCCATGAGGTTGTTGGAATGAGCTCTTCAGGGCTTTGCAGATCAATCTTTTAAATTTAGAATAGTATAAAGTTTATAATTACTGTTTGAAAAATAAATTGTAATCATGCCTTAGCATTAGACTTTTCCCTGTCATGTTGTTATTCATTAACAGATTGGAGAATCAGAAAATCAGGTTTAGGAGCTTCTTGATACGTTTCTTTGCAGCTTGTGCCGGTGCCTCTAAGGCCAAAGATGGGAGTATTTTAAATTTTTGACTTCTCTGCTGTTTCTGTTTGCAAGAATTCAGTAGATGGTCATAATGACTTTTATATCTTTGTTGATCACAAATAAAATATGCCTTCCAAGTCTTACTGACCAGCTTTTAGACTAAATAAACACATCTGACTATAACATGGCAAGCCAAACTTCCTTGAGAGGAAATGGTTTGTGTGTTTCGGTGTGTAAGAAGTAGTAAAAGGACAAAACAAAACTGGACAGTTGAGTCATACAGAAATAAACAACCATTTCTCATGAATAAGATAGGCAGGAAGAGCTTTGCTTACTGATGTTTTGTAAAACAAGGTTGAAAGCTTCTTTAAGAGTAACAGTTTTCCTTAAGCTTTTAACTAGAAACTAGTCTTGATTTGGATTTTTACAAGAGAATGACTTAAGAAGGTATTTTGGAAAATAAGAATAGTTTGATATACTATTAAGACAAACAGGTATGCATGTTTTCACTGTAACACTGGACAAGAATATTTGTTTCTGTACATCTCTGCACATTGTGCCTGATATTCAGTACATTCTCCATAAAATGACAACTCCGTGAGACAAGGGTATCTATTAGTAATAATTTTTATTTCATATAGATTTGAGAAATAAATAATTTAGAGGCCAAGTTATTTATTTTGATTTCTTGTCTTCTCAGGGAGAGAAGGGTTTTGATGGGTTACCCGGTCATCCTGGTGAGGAAGGCAGATATGTAAGTACTGAATGTTATTTCTTTACTTTAAAAGAACATGGCAAAATGGATCAAATGTTAGCAATATTTAATTGCACCTAAGTCATGAAAGTTTTTCTCATCTATGCCACTTAAAGTAGGTCAAAAATGTATATATAAAATAGACATTTATTATAATAAATGCCAGGCAGATCTGCTTTTTAAAGATACAGTTTCTGGAATGCATTAATGATTCATTATGGCTGTTTTATTTTTTAATCAGTGAATTTGAACTAACTGAAAATGTGGTCTGTGTCTAGTGTGCAGGGATGTCAAAGTAGTTGTTAATCATGAGCTAAATTGCAGACAATTTGTTACTATTACTAAGCTATCTATATTTGTAAATGGTTAACAAAATAACTGAAGAGAATCTAAGACTATTCTTACTACAGGTCATTCAGATGCTTCCCTATGTGGCTGAGAATGTGGGAGTTATAGTTAGCCACCAATGGCTTGCACATAACTCTGGACACACCCCTGGGGATATGCTGGGCAAACAGAAGTTATCTATTAGTCATGTCATTGTCTGTGGAGAAAATGTATATTATAGAGAGAATTGTGAGCTAGGGGACTGGGATGTGATAGGGACCATCTTTATTACATAATACAAATGCCAGAAGGATTTTTAAATCCCATGGTTTTTAGTTAATTTTAAATTATGGAAAACCACTTTGCCCCACTGGTGCCTATTTTAAGGTTGATTCATGTATATACCACTGGTTCTCAAACATTTTGGCCTAAGGATAACATTATATTCTTCCCCCCACCCCAACTTTATTGGGGTATAATTGACAAATAGAATTGTATAATTTGAGATGTACAATATAATGAGTTGATATATATGTATACATTGTGAAATGATACTAGAATCAAGTCAGTTAATATGTCCATCACCTCATATAGTTACCATTTTTTTGTATGTGGCGAGAACATTTAACATCTACTCTTTTAGCAAATTTCTAGTATATTATATAGTGCTATTAACTATAATTACCATCTTGTACATTAGAACTCCTGAACTTACTCACTTATAACTGAAAGATTGTACCTTTTAACCAAAATCTCTCAATTTCCTGCACCTCTCAACCTTTACACTCTTAAAAGATTATTGGGAACCTTGAAGAGCTTTTGTTTATGTGGTTTCCATGTATTATTATTTACCAAATTAGAAATTAGAACTAAGAATATTAAAAATTGTTTATCTTATTTCAAAATAACAACAATAAACTCACTAAAGTTAACATTCATGACATATTTCTTTATGAAAAATAACTGTATTTTCCCAAACAAAAAATATTAGTGAGAAAGTAGCATTGTTTAGCATATTTAGCTTACTGGAAGGCAGCTGGATTTCCAATCTGTCTCTGTATTCAGTCTGTGGTGATGTCACTTGCCATGTGGCTTCTTGATAACTTTACCACAACTTGGGAGAGAATAAGAATGAAAAAAAAAAAAAAAGACATTTTGGTGTAATTGGAAAAATAACTTTAACTTTGTGACCCTCCCAAAAGGATCTTGGAAACACGAGGGGCCCTTTGACCATGCTTTCTGAACCATTGGTATCTATGTTGTCATTGCTCCACTTAGAGTGGCACATTGTTTTATTATTCTGAACATTTAGGGTGTTGGAAAATAAGCAGAAATCAGAGGAAAATGTAGCTGCTGAGACCCATGTAAGCTCATCTATTTCTTGTTTTTTTGTTTTTTGTTTTGAGATGGAGTCACATTTCTTTACGTTTACAAGATAATTGCTCAACTTTTCTATTTATTTTTCCTCAGTAAGCACAGTCTTAGGTGTTAGAAATTCATTCAGGAACATGATTGATGGATTTTTGCTATTTTATTTAGAAATAATGAAAATATTCCTTCCCATTTTTATTATGTTTTAAAATGTCCTTTAAGTGTTATTTTATTTTTTCTGCCTGGTCTGTGGTTCAATGAGCCCAGTCAATGTTAGGAGAATGACATAAGGTCTATCCCACCCATTAGGACCATTGACTCCAATTTCAGACAAACAGGATAAAGCAAATTCTTGTCTGTCTGGAGTGAAAGATGGTTTTGTCCCCCTTCTTTACTGTGCCAACATTATAAAACCAAGATATTTTGTAAAGACCCTTTAGTACAGGGCTAGAAATATAGTGCAAGTGACATTTATAATTTTAAATTTTATAGCAGCTATCTTAAAGAAAGTAAAAAGAAACAGGTGAAGTTAATTTTAATAATATATTTTATTTATCTCAATATATCTAAAATATTATCATTTCATTAGTAATTAATATAAAAATTAATAAGACATCTTACTCTTTCTATACACTATCTTCTAAATGTTACTTTACACTGAAGGCACATCTCAGTTTGGACCAGACACATTTCAAGTGCTCAATAGCCCCTGTATTTGACAGAACAACTCTAGTAGGTCTTAGTTTCTTTTTAATGCATTTCTCACAAGAGAAGGCGACTTCACAATGTGTTGTCCTCTGAATGGCTTTTAATGTTGTTGGCTTGAAAAGCTGGTCAGATTGGTCTACTCAACAGCAGAGACATCTCTGTGCAGATGTAGACCAGTTTCAGAATGGGGCCCATAAATTTGGAAGTTCAAGTTGAAAGTGTACAAGAACAAATAACTAAATCATTGTTCCAGTTACCCATAACTTACAGTCCCACTGTCCCCCACAGCTCTCACAACTTAGTTGTGTAAAATAATCATTTTATTATGTTCACAGACTCCGTGGGTAGGGACACTGAAAAAGAAGCAAAAGAGGGGCCTCTTTCTTCCATGCCTGGGGTCTCAGCTGGGTTGACTAGTCTCAGACTAGACCGTCTGGGCTCTAGAAGCAGGAGTTGGAGGACCCACTGCCCCTTCTCACATGTCTGCTGCTCTGGCGTCTTAGCTGGAACTGCACAAGGACAGGTGGAGCTGGAACCGACAGGAAGTACTCCAGCAGGGAGGGTCTGTCCTGAGAGTGAGTGCTCCAAGAGGCCAAGGCTGAAGCTGCAAGGCTCATGACCCAGCCTCAGAAGTCAGGCTGTAACATGGCTTTCTCATGCTGTTGGTTGCAAGCCAGTCACTAAGTCCAGACCAGATTCAAGAGGAGGAGACTTTGACTCCTCCCCAGCATGGAGGAGGGGCATGGTCACAGAGCATGTGGAATGGGAGATATTGTTTTCTGGCTTTGGAAAATGCAATCTGTCAGACTCCCAAATTCTAGATATTTAAAAAATATATATGTTATGAATGTGTGGTTAAATAATAACTTACGCATTGGTTACACAGCAAAACCTTACTTATGGAACAAAGTCAGATTTTCTAAGGTCACAAAAAATATTTACATAACTTTATAGTAACAAAAACATCTAACATTTGTTGACAGTTTTATATATGCCAGACACAGGGCTAAACATTCTTAGTTTCCTCTCTCTCTCTATATATATATATGTAATAACATATATAAATATAATAATAACATATATACATATTATTATTATGTGTATATATGTATATATGTTATTATTATTATTCCCATTTGTCATAAAATAGCCAAGCATTTGAAAACCTTTTAGTGGTGTTAGTCTTTCCATTAAATCATAGCTATTATTTATAGCTTTAAGCAAATACTGTGAGTAGATGAGAGACCAATTTTTAAACATTATAGAGCTTAATATTTGAATTAGAAATACTGTTTTCCACAGCAGCTACACCATTTTACATTCCCACCAACAGTGGACAAAGGTTCCAATTTCTCCACATCCTTGCCAACACTTGCTATTTTCCTTTTTTTTTTTTTTAAATAGTAGTCATGCCGAGTGGGTTTATTTTTAGTTTTGTTAAAAAATAAAATTTTCCTTGATGTCTCTGCTTTTATCAAGAACATTTGTTTTGTATATATCAACTATTTTCTAATAAACACAACAACCAATTATTCACAACTGATAGCACTATATATTGCAATATAGTACAGTAGATATTTTAGGATCGCATTTTCCAGATGAAGCTTAAACACCACACATTGAAGCTAAAAATACAAATAGACTAGGAAGAACGGAGGAAAACAGACATTTATTTAGCATCTACTGTGTGTGAAGCCCTGCATTAGGCATTTTGTATGTATTATCACATTTAATCTTCATCACAACCCTGCTAGTATGTGTTAATACTTTCGTTCTATAGATGCAAAAGTAGAAACTCAGAGAGAGTAAGTGACTTGTTAAGGTTGGAGAGGGTTGGAGATGTGTCCAAAACTGTCTATCTGATGCCAGAACCTATGCTTTTCTTGTTATCTATTGCTAAGTATAAAACACCTCATTTGTTCAATCCATATACTTTGTGAATTATTTCCAATACAGCATCTTATACATTCAATACAACAATCCTATGAGATGACTAGAGTCAGTATTATCTAGATTCACATTTATAAATGGTGAAAATTGTGATTCATGGCATCTTGTGATCTTGTGCTTTTGTCTTAGCTCACACAACAGGCTGGAAGCAGAACTAGGACTCAAATACACGCCCTTTCATTCTAGATCCATAGTTCTTCTCATTTTCTCATGTCTTTTTACTGTCCTGAATAGCATATGTAGTTATCAACCTAATTAAGTCAAAGTTAGATGTTACAAATGTAGATTGTCTTTTGATTAAAGCTCATGTGACGTGCAGTACTTTCCAATTAATATTTAATCAACTTGGCAAAAGGCATGATATCTACCATTCCCTTCCTAATCTAACACCTAGATGAAAAGGTTATATTTATTAATATAATTCAGTAAGTCATTCTTCAAATCCTGGTTGGATGTCTATTGTATGATATCAGATGCTGTGTTTGGGGCTAGAAATGCAGCAATAAAGAAATGAGACATTGTCTTTGTCTCCATGAACCTCACAATATAGCAGGAGATTCTGATGTGTAAAACCACATTTCACTATGATATGTGCTGATTTGTATCCTCCAAATACTACAAGGAGACTGAAGGGACAGTTGGGTGGGGTCAACAGAAAAAGCTTCTCAGGAGAGGAGGTGACACAGGACTTATACCTTAGGAATGGGTAAGAATTCACCTGGAAGAGAAAGGGTCAAATAATGGTTTATTCCTTGAGGGACCACAACGAAACCTCCATCCAATTTCAGCTGACTGAAGAAAATGTTCAGACAGACCTTCTGTTTTACTTGAATTCTGAAGTTTTGCCCATAAGGCTTAACTGAATTGATTAAAAAATGCAGATAGTTTGGGTTTGTGTGGTTTGGAGTCATCTCTATGAGCAGTTGATGGATTAACAATCTGAGTGCCTTGCAGGTGACCTGAGCAGGATTTTGAGGTTGTAAAAGCAACGGTAAGGACCAAGTCATATTTTGGTCATTTTGAAGGTCCTTATTGCTGGCTTGAATTGGCTGTAGCTTTGCCCCAGCCACTTTGCCCCAACCACTTTGACCCAACCTGGAGCTCAAAAAACATGTGTTGTATGAAATCAAGGTTTAAGGGATGTAGGGCTGTGCAGGACGTGCCTTGTTAACAAAATGTTTGCAAGCAATATACTTGGTAAAAGTCATCCCCATTCTCTAGTCTCAATAAACCAGGGGCACAATGCACTGTGGAAAGCCGCAGGGAGTCCTGTCCTTGAAAGCTGGGTATTGTCCAAGGTTTCTCCCCATGTGATAGTCTGAAAAGTGGCCTCGTGGGATGAGAAAGACCTGACGGTCCCCCAGCCCGACACCCATAAAGGGTCTGTGCTGAGGTGGACTAGTCAAAGCGGAAAGCCTCTTGCAGTTGAGTTAGAGGAAGGCCACTGTCTCCTGCCTGCCCCTGGGAACTGAATGTCTCGGTATAAAACCCGATTGTACATTTGTTCAATTCTGAGATGGGAGAAAAACCGCCCTATGGTGGGAGGTGAGACATGTTTGCAGCAATGCTGCCTTGTTATTCTTTACTCCACTGAGATGTTTGAGTGGAGAGAAACATAAATCTGGCTTACGTGCACGTCCAGTCATAGTACCTTCCCTTGAACTTCATTATGACATAGATTCTATTAGTCACATGTTTGTTGCTGACCTTCTCCTTATTATCACCCTGCCCTCTTACTACGTTCCTTTTTGCTGAAGTAATGAAGATAATAATCAATAAAAACTGAGGGAACTCAGAGACCGGTGCCAGTGCAGGTCCTTGGTATGCTGAGCGCCGGTCCCCTGGGCTCACTGTTGTTTCTCTATACTTTGTGTCTTATTTCTTTTTTGTCTCTCATCCCACCTGACTAGAAATACCCACAGGTGTGGAGGGGCAGGCCATCCCTTCATTATGAGATTACAGGCATGAATAACCCCACCTGGCCACCTAACTCACTCTTGAGAGGCCAGAAGTGATGCTGGAATTTTCTTCCTCTGTGGTTTAAAAAGGGAAAATTAGGGAGAACACAAGGCATGAGAGATGCAGCGATGGATATGTCTATATGGAGCTTCTGTCTGCATCCAGTAGAAAATGCATTTCTAGGCACCAGGTTTAAGAGCGAAAACCTGGAGTCTTGTCTGTTAGCATTCTCCTTCCCCACAAACCAGAGAGGGAATACATTTGCTCCAGCGCACCCGGATGTAGGAAATGTCACATTCCTATTTCTGTAATTTCAGTTAAATCTGCTCTGAGTCCCTGGATGCCTGGCAGGTGGAGAATTCAATCTTGTCGTTACCAGCATTCCTTTCCCTTCTCCATGGGCTTATGTAAGAATTCTGGGCTTACACACTGTTGGAAAGCCAGGTAGGAACTACTTCCTCCAAACTCTCCATTATTCCAGCTGCTCATGATCCATCAGCCTTTTTTGGGCCATCTGCTATAACAAGACCCTCCTCACAGCATCATTCCACTGACCCACAGGCTCAGCCCCAGGGACCCTCACTGTAACAGGTCTCCACTATGCATAGGAGCTCACAAAAACCTTCTCTTCATCTTGGCTTCCTCTGATATCCAGCCACTCCCCGCTTCTCACCTTAAACACAGATGGCAGCTCCTTCCCATCGTTCCAAACCTTGGGGATTGTCCAGCCAAATTATCTTCAGACACCAAGGCTTCACCCGCCCTCTTCATGGAGACGATGCAAGGGCATCTGAGATCTTTGGAAGCCAAATTCTCGCCTCTCTTTGGGGTGGGCTGAGAGTGGGAACTAGACTCTCTTTTCCAAGTGCCATGTTTATTTGTTCATCATTATATTATCTCCAATGCCTGGAACATAGTAGGCACTACAGACTGACACATAGTAGGTACTATTAGTGTCTGTATAATGGGACTCTTGAGGTCGAAGCTATTAGCAGAAACCTACCAAGCAAAAGGTTGGAAAACCGACCACCAAAAAAAAAAAAAAGAAAAAGAAAATGAAAACAATCATGGCTTTGAGCTCTAAACACACAAGGCACCAGCCCAAGTTTGGGCAATTTTAATACAACAGCCATTTTGCCTCCAAACAAACTGGCACTGGAAACCTCCCTCTGCCTCTTAAAGAGAACCAGTTTCTCTTTCTCTAAGTGGGCAGCATTTCTCCCCGGTGACAGTACCCAGCCCACTGCCACCAGCAAAGGACTGCATCCAGGAGCCAAGAGCTTGATAATTTAAAGAATATATTTTATAGGGAAAAACAAAGTAACATCCACATAAATCTGGAACTACCACCACTTTCCAGAGGCCAAATCCCATTTGTGGAGTCTCTGGCATCTCAAGCACCTTGCAGTCAGCTCAACTACATACTTTTGGGATTCGTTGCAGAGAAGAGTGAAGGTTATCTGCAAAATAAAGGAACTAGGGCTCAGAATTCCCAGAGCAATCCATGACAGAGGAGGTGAGTAGAAAAGGGAAGGGTGAAGTCAAAGAGAGAATTCAATGAGTTGGCCAACACCAAGCAAGGATCATGGGACCCTCTCCATGGCCCCACATCTCAAATGAAGTCAATAAAACCCATAAATGCTTGGTGTAAGTGTTGTATGCTCCCAGAAATGAAAGCAGGGGCCACATTTCAGGTCAGCAGGGTCGGGGGTAGAGGCAAAGGTCATGGACTTGTGGGCCCTGGAGGATGGGATGATTCTGAGACATTGAATCCCTACACTGATCTCAGTAGAAATCTCAGGTAGGGCTTCAACATTCGTGGCCCAAGGACTCTGTGAGCCTGAGAGCAAAAGCCTTGGTGCATGTCCCGGCTCCATCAATCCCAACTGGGGCTTTGAACAAGTTACTTATTTTTTTAACTAACATTATTTTAATTGACAAATCATAATTGTACACATTTATGTGATGTTTTGATATGTGTATACAATGTGGGATGATTAGATCAAACTAATTAACATGTCCATCCCCTAATTTACTGACAATTTTTATGATGAGACATTTGAAATGTAGCCTCTTAGTTATTTTGAAAGATACATTATTATTGACTATAGTCACGCTGCTGTGCTATAGATTTCAAAGCATATAATCCAGCAACCCAACTTCTGGGTATAGACAAAAAAAAAATCGAAATCAATATTTCGAAGGGATCCCTACATTCCTATGTTCACTGCAGCTCTATTCACAATACCCAAGATATAGAATCAACCTAAGTGTCCATCAGTGGATGAAAGGATAAAACAAATGTACTATATACACACAACGGAATACTATTAACTCTTAAAAAAGAAAGAAATCCTGTCATTTTCAACAACATAGATGAACTTGAAAGACATTGTGTTAAGTGATATAAGCCAGGCACAGAAAGACAGATACTGCATGATTTTACTTATATGTGGAATCTAAAGAAGTTGAACTCACAGAAATAGAGAGTAGGACAGTGGTTATCAGGGGCTGGGGTGGAGGAAACGTAGGGGATAGGAGACACTGCTCAAAGGGTACAAAGTTTCCAATAGGAAGAATAAGTTTCGAACAAGCTAAACTCCTCTGAAAGCTCAGTTCCTCATCTGTAGAGCGGGGACACACCATTAACCTTCTAAGGATGTTGCTGTGAGAGTAAGAGATGATGTTCAGCACAATACCTAACGTACAGTCAGGTCTCCTTAAGCTTCAGCCTGTGTCGCCATGACCTCTACATCACAGGACAGAAAGGCTCACAGCCAGTGTCTCAGTTCCCAGTGAAAAGTGGATCCCAGACCAGGCTGAACAGCAGGATCCCTAGGGTATACCCCACCCTACTGAGTCAGAATCACAGGAGGTAGAGCCTGGGTATGTATGTATGTGCATGTGTGTGTGTGTGTGTATGTATGCATGTATGTATGTATGTATGTATGTATAAGAGACAAGGTCTTGCTCTGCAGTCCAGGCTGGAATGCAGTGTCACAGTCATAGTTCACTGCAGCCTCAAATTACTCCTGGCCTCAAGCTATCCTCCCACCTCAGCCTTCAGAGTAGCTGAGACTACAGGCGCATGCCACAAAGCCTGGATACTTTTTTTTTCCTCTTTCTTTTTGGAGAGAGTCTCACTCTGTTGCCCAGGCTGGAGTGCAATGGTGCAGTCTTGGCTCACTGCAACCTCTGTCTCCTGGGTTCAAGTGATTCTCATGCCTCAGCTTCCTAAGTAGCTAGGATTACAGGCATGCACCACCACACCAGGCTAATTTTGCTTTTTTCATTGTTGTTTCTTGTTTGTTTTTCACAAATAGGACTTCTTATTTGCCAATGTTTTAAGTCTGAACTTTAAACAGATTCTTGGACTAGTGGTTCATATCCATCAGCTCATTCAACTTTCGCATGTGTCTCGTCCCTAGTGGGTTTTCCAGAACTACTGCCGTCACCACGAAGTTCCATGCCTGTCAAACCCAGGGTTCTCCAGCATTTTTACTTTTCTAATGAAGACATCATGGAGAGGATAAATTGGCAAGCCTTTTCTACATCTTTTCCAATGTTGTCTGGAATCAATTTATTAACCATTTCTTTCAAGTCATTTGTCTGCACCTCTCAGGTCATGATTTCCATCATCCTCTTCTGGATTTGGCAGACTGTTGGTGCTAAGCATAAGAGGTCTTCGGTATCAGATTGTTGTGTTTTTTAGTAAAACCAACACAAAACAGAAGAAAGAAGTAACCATCGGTAGTCCTGACATCAACATGAGCTTCAATCATTGTTGAACATTTTTCAACCTTGGAACATATTTTGTCACAGGTAAGACCCATGCCATAGAAGTTAGTCAGGCAGTTTTTGCCCTGAACATCTTCAGTAATCAGCTTGAATTTTCTAAATGCAACTTCATCATTCTGCAAATCAGCAAGACTCATTTCAAACACAAGACCCTTGAGACCATCAGATGCAATTTGGGTTCCTTGGGTCCTGGTGACGAAGTCTTTCCAATATTTCTTATATTGAACATAGCAGGTGCTTTCACATCATACTGATCTTTCTTAGAGAATGGACCAACTACTTTCTTCTTAACTCCCTTTTTGCCACCTTCCATAAGGCACTTGTTCTTAACAACCGCCATGGTGCTGCTCAGAGTACCAAAAGGCTAAATTTTATATTTTTGGTAGAGAAGAGGTTTCACCATGTTGGCCAAGCTGGTCTTGAACTGATGTCAGGTGATCTGCCAGCCTCAGCCTCCCAAAGTGCTGGGATTACAGGTGTGAGCCACTGCACCCAGCTGATATTTATTTTTTCTTTTTTTGTACAGACAGGGTCTTGCCATGTTGCCAAGGCTGGCCTGGAACTCCTGGCCTCAAGCAATCCTCCCACCACAGCCTCCCAAAGCACTGGGATTTCAGGTGTGAGCCACCATGCCCAGCCTGGAATCTATTTTTAAAGCCAATCAAGTGTTGAATAAAATTGCAACTTGGGCTGTTTTTTCTTTGCACTTTTTACATTTCAATGGTTTTTAATATATTCGGAGATATACGCAAACATTACCAGTCAAGTTTAGAACATTTCATGACTTCAAAAAGAAACCTCATACCCTTTAGCTAACACCCCCTATCCTCCCATGCCCCTACCAGCTCTAAGCAACCACTAATCGACTTCCTATTTCTATAGATTTCCATCTGAATGAAATCATGTAGAATGTGATCTTTCATCTGTTTTGAAGGTTCATCCACGCTGTAGCGTATGTACTTTCCTCCTTTTTGTGATCAAATAATATTCCACCATGTGGGTAGACAACAATCGGTGTATCTCTTCATCTGGTGATGGGCATTTGGATTAATTCCCTCTGTGGGTTATTAGCAGTGATGCTGTGGTAATTATTCACGTACAAATTTTTGTGTGGACCTGTGCTCTCATTTTTGAATATGAAAATATGGCACATCTCCAAGGAAGACATACAAGTGGCCAATAAGCACATGAAAAGATGTTCAATGAAACTCATCATCAGGGAAACAGAAATCAAAACCACAATGTGATACCACTTCATACCTATAAGGATGGCTAGAATCGAAGATAGAGAAAATTGGCCTGGTGTGGTGGCTAATGCCTGTAATCCCAGCACTTTGGGAGACCGAGGCAGGTGGATCACCTGAGGCCAGGAGTTTGAGACCAGCCTGGCCAACATGGTGAAACCCTGTCTCTACTAAAAAAATACAAAAATTAGCCAAGCATGGTGGCAGGTGACTATAATACCAGCTACTCGGGAGGCTGAGGCAGGAGAGTAACTTGAATCTGGGAGGTAGAGGTTGCAGTGAGCTGAGATTGTGCCACTGCACTCCAGCCTGGGCGACAGAGCAAGACTTTGTCTCAAAAAAAAAAAAAAATACAGAAAATAACAAGTGTTGGTGAGGATGCAGAGAAACTAGAACTTTCATACACTGCTGGTAGGAATTAAAATGGTGTAGCCACTGTGAGAAACAGTTTAACAACTTCCCAAACAATTCTACATAGAGTTACCAAATGACCCAGTAATTGTACTCCTAGGTATAGGCCCAGCTTGGGCTCTTTTAATCTATGGAAAATGAACTATGGGTACTTGGCAAGAACAAAGAGGGAGAGAGGCAGAAATGGTGCCATGAGGGCACATTAATTGGTCTCTAGTACACAGGGCTCCTACTGCAAATGGTCTCTAAATGACTTCATCAGTTGCTCATAAAAAAAATCACCCTCTGCTCCAATCGTGGAGGAAGAAGTATGGATTGGACCTGGTGAGCCACGGTAAGACTGACGGCTAAACTTTATGAATGATGAGGGGATTTGCACGTATAATCTTGACTGTACTAGATTTTTTATTTTATCCACTGTCTTTGAAAACCTAACTCTTGACTAAGAACTGACTTTCCTGTACTTGTTGTTGACTCTAAGTAAATTTCCAATTCCACATAGTCCAAAGATGATGTGCTGAGAAATCTCTCCAAGGAAAAATGCTAAGAATACAGGCAGAGTTATGCGGCAAATTTTGCAGAATTAACTCAAATTGTACTTGTAGGTACGAAGCACAAAACATTTTCATGAGTAAAGAAAAAAGTGCTCTTCATTCTAGTAGACGCTGCAGGATGAGGCCGATCAAGGTGCTTGCCCAGCCAGACCTTGGGCTCTTACCAAATTTGTGTTAGAGTCAACTCTGATGGAGTCTGTATCTCAGTCATCTTTTTTTTTTTTTGACATGGAATCTCTCTCTGTCTCCCAGGCTGGAATGCAGTGGGGTGATCTCAGCTCACTGCAACATCTGCCTCCTGGGTTCAAGCGATTCTCCTGCCTCAGCTTCCCAAGTAGCTGGGGCTACATGTGCGTGCCACCATGCCTGGCTAATTTTTGTATTTTTAGTAGAGACAGGGTTTCACCATGTTGGCCAGGCTGGTCTCAAACTCTTGACCTCAAGTGATCCACCCGCCTTGGCCTCCCAAAGTGCTGGGAGTACAGGTGTGAGCCACCATGCCCGACCTCAGTCATCTTTTATCCTCCATGCCTGGCAAGTTCTAGACACACTGTGGTTCCATACAAGTTTGTTGAATAAATAGGAGACAGATAGAAAGTGGGAACTCTGGAAGTAGAGAAGATTCCAGAAATTGTGCATATTTCCCAGAGACTGTGGCCAAATTCCTCAGTCCTGCCAGAGTTTCTCTATCTCAACTCAAACCTTACATGTGGGCCCAGACACAGTGGCTCACACCTGTAATCCCAACACTTTGGGAGGCTGAGGTGGGCAGATCACTTGAGGCCAGGAGTTTGAGACCAGCCTGGCCAACATGGTGAAACCCTGTCTCTACTAAAAATACAAAAATTAGCCAGGCATGGTGGTGTGCACCTGTAGTCCCAGCTACTCGGGGGGCTGAGGCACAAGCATTGCTTGAACCCAGGAGGTGGAGGTTGCAGTGAGTCACGATTATGTCACTGTACTCTAGCCTGGGCAATAAAGCAAGACTGTCTCAAAACAAAAAAATACCCTTATGTGTGGGCCTTGTTACAGAATTAATGTTTATATGGACAATATGTACATAGGTGTATGTTAAGAGCATGAGTCATCCACAAGATTTTAGCAAAGTCCATTTAGAAAGCTCAATGCTTTGAGCTTCCACTTGCCTTGCTGCCTGTGTCCTCAGAAGGAGGCTTCATCCTTCCACGTAACCAGCAAATCCTTTATGCAGAGATGTACACAACACACTCCTATCCTTGGCTATGACACCTTGAAAGGTTCCTCTTGGTGGCCCCAGGTGCTCATTTCAGAGTAGTTCAAATTAAGGTGATCAGCTTTCATGCCAATCACTCTACAAATCACTCCTATTATGACCAATTTTTCTAAATGCTTTATTGAATTATTACTTAAAGAAATGTGCACATAGAAGAGGTCAACACAGTACTTTTCTTACAAACTGAACATACTGGCCAGGTGCAGTGGCTCATGCCTGTCATCCCAGCACTTTAGGAGGCCGAGGTGAGCAGATTGCTTGAGCCCAGGAGCTCGAGACCAGCCTGGGCAACATAGTGAGACCCCCCTCTCTACAAAAAATAAATAAATACAAAAATTAGGCAACAGTGATGGCACATGCCTGTAGTTCCAGATACTCAGGAGGGCTGAGGTGGGAGGGCTGCTTGAGCCCAGGAGGCAGAGGATGCAGTGAGCCATGATGGTGCCACTGTGATCCAGCCTGGGTGACAGAGCAAGATCCTGCCAAAAAAACAAAACAAACAAACAAAAAAAAAACAAAAAAACTGAACATCTCCATATTACCGACACCCAATTCAAGAAACAGAACATTACAGCCCCTTCCAGGATATTCCTGGGGTCTCTTCCATCTCTACTAACTGCTGACTACAAACAGCCTCCACCTATTTCACCTGACATTGTACTTTATGAAAGCAGCAGTTCTCAGATGGGGCTATTTTGCCCCCTGGGGACATTAGGCAATATCTGGAGACACTGGGGGTTGTCTGTACTTGGGGGGAGTTGTGTTACTGCATCCAGTGAGTCCAGGGATCCAGGGATGCCGCTCAACATCCTAAAATGCACAGGGAACCCCCACACATACAACAGAGAAATTGCTGAGCCGAAATGTCAGCAGTGTCACAGCTGACACCCTCACATACACACAATCACACAGTATCTGCTCTTTCATGCTCAGGATCTCTCATTCTAATCATTTCATAGGAAAGAGAAATGTCATTTGGAGGTAGGTAGAGTCCAAAACAAAGAAGATCCAGAGTTTTGTTTTTAATCAGTCTGGTGCCTTTAGAGCTAGGATTTAGTTTCCATTCTTTCTGTCTCATTTTCAAGTGATTTTTCTTCAAATGGCATCTGCTGGGCTCAAGACCCGGAGATTCCCACAAAGCTGAGATTCACATGGAATTTTGTACACACCCACACAGGTATACACTGCCATTTACATGCAGACATCCACCCACAGATACACACATCCGGAGACCAAGACAGAAAGCAAACTCCACCATAAAAGCACGGTTCCCTGAACAGGAGAAACGCACCATTCACTCAAGGGAGGTACCTATTTGTTTAATTCAGCCTCTGATAGGCTGTTGCCAAGCCCAACTCTGAAAGTCTTCCCCTCTAGGAAAGAGAGATGGATTTTTTCTTTACTCAAGAATATAGATCTAAAAAAAACAAACACTTCTGCATCTCAAAGCAGGCTCTACCTCCTGAGCTACACATATTGATCAGCATTTTACTGTCAATTTTCTTTTATTTGAACTGGAGAAAAATATAACCTAATTGTGTTCTTACTGGCAGTTTGGAATCAGTCACACTAAATCCAATTCTCTGGGTTCTCATGATTAAGGTGTTTAATTTGGGGGACAACAAAGCAAAAGCATTGGTCGTGTTTTAATATAATTAGTACAGGATATATCTAAGGGGTTCAAGTATCACTGTAGCAAGAAGCTCATTCTGCAGTAAAAGGGAGATTCTGCCACTAGGATTGAGTGAGGGTGGTTCATGGCTGCACCGTTTCATCAATGTCTCTTCAAGAGTCCATGGAATGTGGAATGGGAAAGACTGAAATAGTCCAAGTCTTGGCTAAGCTTCTATTAAGGGGTGTTAGGAGCTGATAAAATAACCTGGTCCTTATAGACATCCCACACTGTAGTTCTCTAAGCTACAGATTCTCAGATTTTTCTATTTTATAAACCAGTAAAAATATTTTATTAATTTGAGAACCAACATAAGGTTGCTACTTTTTTTTCTTTTTGGTAAGAAGGAACTTTTTTAAACTACCAGTTTCACACACACACACACACACACACACACACACACACACACACAGAAATTCCACCATGATTGGTCAGAATAGGTGAGGTTTTGCTGCAATAACAAACAACTCCTAAATCTTGGTAACTTCAAACATCAGTAGTTGTTTTTCTCACTCATGCTACATCTGCAGGGAGGTGTGGGGTGCTCTGTTTTCCATCAAACTTGCCCTAAGACTAAGGCTAATGGGGGCTGCATTACCTCGAGTATCACCAAGCAGGGAACAGAAGGAGAAGAATGCTAGAGAGTCTTGTACTAAGAATTAAATGCTCCAGGCTAGAAGTCTAACACTGCACCTCTGCCCCCAGCCTCTTGGCCAGTACTAGCCACATCCCCTCCCCCACCACAGGGCAACGCATGAAGACAGGAGAATTGGATACATTACAAATTTCTACCCCATGGCATTTCATAAAAGAGAAAAAAATGCAAATACAAAAATATTTTAATAGAATAGAATATATACATTTTTAGAATAAAGAACAGTCCTCCAAAAAGGACAGCTGGTGGTCTTTCACCAATGGGCACATTTCTGTGACATTTTCTCTGTTTTTCCATTTTATCCTTGACCTATGAACATTTTATAAAGATGGTCCAAAGAACACCATTTGGGAACCACTGCTCTAATCAGGTGATGAAAACGGCCCCAAGAACAGAGCACAGTCTCTTTAGCAAAGACCCAGCAGGGCCAGGGTGACCATGTTCTCACCATCAATGTGCAGACATCCACCTGCAGCATCCTAACATCCCAACATCAAACAGTGGCTCTTTATAGCTTGATTCTAATGCCCTTTGATCTTCATACTCATTGTAAAGCTCTCTGGCCCCAAGATCTAACATCGCCACTCTAGCTACATCCTGCAACTCTCATCTCTCCTGCCTCCTCATCCCTCTAAACTTCTCTTCACAACCTCATGTTTCCTTCTTGCTTTACCTTCCTGCTCAGCCTGGACCTTACAGTCACCTTCTTCTTGTAATGTGCTCCTAAACTTGTTCTTCCCTGCCTTCAACCACACCCACCTGGAAAATCTCCATACCCCATTGATGACTTGCCTCGCAATTGCCCAAGGGCTGCTGAATGATACTAGAAAGAATCACAACATGGATCTGGTAGTTCCACTAAATAATCTCACCATCCAACTCTAGGGTAGACTTCACTTCTGTTCAGCAATATTTTTAAGCATCACAAATAAATTCCAAACCATATTTGCTATAACAATTAACTTTAAACCTCTTCCATATCTCAAAGCCCCCCAAACCCATTCCTAGGGGTTTCAGAGCCCAGAGTTGAGTTCTCTCAACTCACTTCCATCTCACCCCTAGATCACTGTACCTTGACTCTCTTCCTCTGCCTTTCCCATGTTATAAGGAGAAGCATCCTTCTCCTTTCCCAAGCTACCTTCTCCACTTGTGCCTCATTTGAGACCTCCCTTTATCACCCGTTCCCTTGGAACTCCCGTGACTCACCACCTTCACTTGTCATTTCACTCATAAATATTTTGCACCATGTATGTGCCAGGCATTTAACATATAATCATGCTTAAGTCTCCACATGCTAACAAGAAAAACCTTGATTATCCCTGCTATGCCCTCAAGTCATTACCCTCCCCGCTCCTTTCCTGTGTTCCCAAACTTTGCTGATCTTCATCAATCCCTCTGATGCAGATGGCTCCGAAGTTTGCATCCTATTAGGTTGGTGCAAAAGTAACTGTGGATTTTGCCATTAAAAGTAATGGCAAAAACAGCAATTATTTTTGTACCAGCCTAGTATCTTTTCTCCTTCTACCAAACTTTGTCCCTGAGCCATCTCATCACCTATAACTACCTCCTCCATGCAGTTGATTCCCAGGTCTGTATTATTCTACCGAAAGTCCATTCCCCAACTTTCTCGGCTAGAATAACAGAAGCCCAATTAGAATTCATGCTACCAGTTTCCCACCACCACCACCACCACCGTCACCCTGCCATTGTTAGCAAAACCATCTCTTGAGTGGAGCTCAAAGATTTGTAATCTCCCACTCCCCAGAAAGATAACTTCAGACTCAGCCTAGAAGTAAAGATCCTCCAGATATGGCCTCAACTACCCTCCACCCCATGTCCCCAGTGCATCCCTTTGATGCCTCCTTCAGTGGAGTTAAAATGGAGTGAGTGTTTTTCTTTTCACATACTCCTGGTGTTCTTCCACAAATACAATTTTCACCTCTTGAATATTTTCAAGGATTCTCCATGCTACACACAGTGAAATCCAAACTCCCCGTCAGGACCCCAGTCTTCCCAAACCCTCTTTGCATTTTTCTGCCTCCATGCTTTTCCTTGGGTCATCCTCTTCTCTAATATAACCTTGTGTATTGTTCTAGGTTCTCCAGAGAAAGAGCAGAGAGATAGAGGTAGAGCTATACACATAGAGAGAGACAGATTGATTAGTTGTAAGGGATGGCTCACATGGTTATGGAGGCTAAGGAGTCCTGAAGTCTGCAGCCAGCAAGCTGGGGACCCAGGACAGCCAATGATATAGTTCCAACTCGAGTCCACATCTAAAGTCAGGACAAGATTGATGTCCCAGCTCAAATATAATCAGGTAAAAAGAGCAAATTCTCTGTGACTCTACCTTTTTGTTTTGTTCAGGCCTTCAGTGGATTGGATGAGGCTCACCCACATTGGGGAGGACAATCTGCTTTATTCAGTCTACCAATTAAATGTTATCCTCATCCAGAATATCTCAGAGACACACCCAGAATAATGTGTAGCCAAATATCTGGGCACCCCACAACCAAGTCCAATTGATACATAACACTAACCATCATGTCTTGCTTCTACTCTCTCCCCATTACTGCATGTCCAAATCCTTCCCTTATTTCAAGGCTTAGTTCAAATGTTACCTCTTAACTAAGCCTTCCCTGCTAACCCCAAATATTAATAGAATTGGTTTCTCTCTTCTCTGATGTCTCAAAATACGTTGTGTGTTTCTCTTTTACTGTATTTATTACAAACTCCCTTATAAATCAAGACAGTGATTCCCAGACAAATTATCAAAAGAGTATAAAAGAAGTCTTCTTTGAGTGTGAAATATCTCATGGAATATAGCACATGGCCTCTTCATGAAGAAACTACTGGGAGAGAAGAAGACAAGCTGGAAGAGACCAGGGAAAGGGGGTTAGTACAAAGCACAATGAGGCTGGGCTCATACAGTGGCTCACACCTGTAATCCCAGCACTTTGGGAGGCCAAGGCCGGCGGATCACGAGGTCAGGAGATCGAGACCATCCTGGCTAACATGGTGAAACCCCGTCCCTACTAAAAATACAAAAAAGTTAGCCAGGCATAGAGGCGGGCACCTGTAGTCCCAGCTACTCGGGAGGCTGAAGAAGGAGAATGGTGTGAACATGGGCGGCAGAGGTTGCAGTGAGCCGAGATCGCGCCACTGCACTCAAGCCTGGGTGACAGAGCAAGACTCCATCTCACAAAAAAAAAAAAAAAAAAAAAAAAGAAAGCACAATGAAATGTCAGTGGATGGGTGCCTATAATTTCTAAGGGAAATAGAGTATAATCCAAGAATTTTATAGCCAGCTAAATTATTGCCCAATCAAAATAGGCAAAAGACATGATCACATGTTGAAGAACTTAAAGAGTACAGTATTTCTGAGCTCTTTTTTAAAAAAAAGTCTTCATAATGAAATTTAGTCAGCCAAGAAATTAAAAAATAAGCAACTTGTGAATTGAATGACCATGACAAAAGGCTAATTATGAGAGGTGAATCCATTTAAAAATAGGGCTATGATTGCAGAACAGAAAGAGAAGGTGGTCAACCTTAACAACATAAAATAACCTAGAAATAACTAGTTTCCAGAGGTAAAGGGAGGGACTGTAGGAAGTAGAAGCGCTAATGCCCTTTATTAAGTCAATTAATCAGGTCTAAAATTGAAACGTGGTTTTAAATATATAACTTCTTGCTTATTTTCCTCCCTAACTACCTGAGGATCAACCACCATGATAAATGACACAGTAACTATCTGGACCAGGAAGTTCATGACCAATCGACCACTCCAGAGGAAACAAATGGTCACCAATGTCCTTCACCCCGGAAAGGCAACAAAATGTACAAGACCACAATAGGTGTCATCTTCATATTAATAGTTGGACTCAGAACCCGTGTTGGTGGTGGTTAAACAATGGGCTTTGGCATGCTATCTGGTTCTTTGAATTATGCAAAGAAAAATGAACTCGAACATAGACTTGCAAGACACAGCTGGCATGAGAAGAAATGACCTCAAGAAAACAGCAAAAGGAATGCGAGGGCAGAATGAAGTCAAGAGACTGCAAAGGCCAATGTCAGTGCTGGCAAAAAGCAAAAGGAGTAAAGATTTTGCAATGACTTTATTTGCAGTGACTGTACAAATTTTTCATGAGATGATCAATCAACTGTGAAGACTTTTACATATATATAAAACATCTTAATATTTTTCATCATCTTTGATTTCTTAGATGTTCTAGAAACTGATTTTTAGTGAGGAAAAACTACATTTACCTGAGTTGACCAGTTCCTTCTGTTTCACTTCCATTTCTTTTTCTTCTGATAAATTTACACAGCATTCAATTTGCTACTTCTTGTTTTTAAAATCTCATTTTGTGTGATCAGAAGTGTCTGTTCATGTCTCTAGCCATCTTTGTGCACAGCAAGGAATGCTGTTCACTTAATATTAGGAGGTTTATTTCTTGGGGTCGTGAGATTTGGGGTGATTTCTCTCCCTTTTTGTACTTTTCTGTATTAATTTTTTTGAGACAATGTCACCAATGTCCTTCATATTAATATTTGGACTCAGAACCCATTTTGGTGGTGGTTAAACAATTGTCACCCACATTGCAGTGCAGTGGTACGATCTCAGCTCACCAAACCTCCGCCTCCCAGGCTTAAGCAATTCTCCTGCCTCAGCTTCCCCTGTAGCTGGGATTACAGGCGCGCACCACTACCGCCTGGCTAATTTTTATATTTTTAGTAGAGGTGGGGTTTCACCTTGTTGGCCAGGCTGGTCTTGAACTCCTGACCTCAAATGATCCACCCACCTTGGCCTCCCAAAGTGCTAGGATTACAGGCGTGAGCCACCGTGCCCAGCCTTTTCTGTATTAAATTTTTAAAAACACAACATTTAAAATAATCGTCATTCTTTTTGAATCTACTTTGTATTATAGGTATCCAAATACTCACCTATTCTCTCTTACGTGATGACAAACTTGTTGAAATGTCATTTCATTTTGTGGCTCCAGCCCCAGGGATTCTGACTCTGATTCTAAAGGGTCTGCATGCAGAGTGAGCAAGCCGCCTGGATGATTCTCTTGCAGGTGTTTTAAGGGCAGGAGTTTGAGACACCCTGATGCAAAAGAACGAACCCTCAAGGAAGTTGGCTGTACATGTATTTTCCTTCCTAGCACAGGAAACGACAGAAAGATTATCCAATCAGTACCACTCATAGCACCTGATTATATGTGTATGAGGAATTCAGAAATGGTTTGACCAAGGCTGAAGACCTAAAAAGAGGCTCTTCTCTTGGACACCAAGTCCCCATCTCATGCATGGTTGAGTTAGTAGAAACTGAGGATGATGCTTCTTCCTCTAGCATTGGTATCCCATGGTTTTTGTTCAGTAGATGAAGTACCTCCATCCCCCAATATCCCCAAGCTCTATCCCAGTTTCCTCACATACACTTTTTTTTTTTTTTTTTGAGACAGAGTCACGCTCTGTCACCCAGGCTGGAGTGCAGTGCAGTGGTGCAACCTCAGCTCACTGCAACCTCCACCTCCCAGGTTCAAGTGATTCTCCTGCCTCAGCCTCCTGAGTAGCTGCGACTATAGGCAACCGCCACCACGCCTGGCTAATTTTTGTATTTTTAATAGAGACAGGGTTTCACCATGTTGGTCAGGATGGTCTTGATCTCTTCACCTCATGATCCACCTACCTTGGCTTCCCAAAGTGCTGGGATTACAGGTGTGAGCCACCACGCCTAGCCTGAGACTTTCAAGTAAAGCCACAATGGACCACAGAGCTTAGACATCAGGGCTAACATGGAATCTCTGTCATTAAATCTTGAGATCTTATTATCTTTGCTCAAAGAAAAAATAATCACAATTGACATTTTGAGGAGAAGACATCTGAATGTAAACTTGATCTTAGAGGATATTAAGGAATTACTGGTAATTTGATTAGGTATGACAATGATCATATAAAAAATGCCCTCATGTTTTTAAAGGGAAAGTAAATTACGTAGGGGTGAATATCATGATGCAATTACAAAACTACTGTAAACTAATTTTTAAATACTTCAGAAAAACAAATGGAGTAAATATTGCAAACGTTAACAGTTTTTAAACCTATGTGATGGGTATATGATAGCTCATTAAACTAGTCTCTCTACTTTTATGTATATTGAAAATTTTTCATAATAATAATAAAAAAAAACCTTGGCCAGGCACAGCAGCTCATGCCTGTAATCCCAGCACTTTGGGAGGCCGAGGTGGATGGAGGACTGCTTGAGCCTAGGAGTTTGAGACCAGCCTAGGCAACATGGTGAATCCTCGTCTCTACAAAAAATAGACAAATTAATCAGGCATGGCGGTGTGCACCTGCAGTCCCAGCTACTCAGGAGGCTGAGGTGGGAGGATCACCTGAGCCCAGAAGGTCAAGGCTGCAGTGAGCCAAGGTCACGCCACTGCACTCCAGCCTGGGTGACAGACCCTGTCTCAAACAAACAGGCAAACCAAAACCCTCTTAGTCCCATTTCCCAAAAAAATGATTTTTTTGAGATCTTACCATCTCCTGGCTTGATGCAGAGTACAGGAAATCAAGACAAAGTACAGCACACAAGGAATAAGGAGGGAGGGAAGCGTGGGGGAGGCTGACACTGTGGACTCTCCCAGCTCAGTCAACCCATGCACCTTGCTTCATGGAAGAAAGGAATGGAAGATGAATCATGCCTTCAGCACACAGTGACCTTCCTCATTAGTAAATGTGCCTCCAGAAGTGTCCAAGACCTCAGTGCCAGAGCCAGGCTGGCTGCATGAGAATCACCTGCGAGCTTTTGCAAACATAGGCCCCTACTGGGTCCAAATGTATTCATTTCTTGGAGAGGAGGAGAGAGGCAGAACAAGGAAAAGGATGGGAAGAAACCAGCCTTGTGCACAGGAGGATGCTGGGATTCCTCCTGCAAGTTTAGCGCAAAGCTGCCTATTTTACAAGGTCACAGAAGCTCAGAGAGGTAAACCTGCCCAGGTTCTCATAGCTTGTAACTGGCAAAACCCGCCCAAGTCTCTGTCTCTAGAGATATTTCCACTTGCTTCAACTCTGGAGCTGTCTTAGTTGTAAAGATGACAGATTCCACTCATCATTCACTTTTGTTTGCAGATATTGCCTAAGGTCCCTTGTGAATATTTAGGTCAGGGCTGTTTTTTTGAGTTTTTTGTTTGTTTCTTGTTTTTTTTACAAAGCAATCTTGTGGAAAGAACCCAAAGTGGCTCCCCCATTTAAGACCCTGTAAACAGGGAGACGAGAGTCCTGGTCTGGTTTCCACACCTTCCTTAGATTTCCCTGTGTGTAAAATCCAACAACAATCTTTGACAAATTGCCTCCCCTAGGGGAGAGATGGAGGAAGTGTTAACTTTGCTTTTTTTTTTTTTTTTTTTTTTTTTCTGTTTTCAGACAGAGCCTCGCTCTGTCGCCCAGGCTGGAGTGCAGTGGTGCCATCTCGGCTCACTGCAACCTCTGCCTCCTGAGCTCAAATGATTCTTGTGCCTCAGCCTCCTGAGTAGCTGGAACTACAGGCAGATGCCACCACACCTGGCTAATTTTTGTATTTTTAGTAGAGATGGGGTTTCACATATTGGCCAGGCTGGTATCGAACTCCTGGCCTCAAGTGATCCAACCCCCTCAGCCTCTCAAAGTGCTAGGACTACAGGCATGAGCCACCCTGCCCAGCCACTTTGCTATTTTTTTTTTTTTTAATACACAGCTTCGAGGTCCAGTATGATTTCACAGATTAGGAAACATCACAGGCAAAGAAGAACACTTTGCATTCAAATAGCAGAATGTTTTCATTTTCAAAGAGCTCTCACCTGCCATCTAATCTTGTCTTCCTAGAAGTCCTGGGAGAGAAGCAGATGTGGTTTCCAATCCCACTTTCCAGAAGAGGAGACTGAGGCAGAGGCTTTGCAGATACACAGAGGACATGTGAGGACAGGTGAAGGTCATGATCATTGTCAGCCCCCTCCCCCAACTGGACATTCCCAGATCTGGTGGACTTCCAGCCAGAGGAGAGAGAAAGACTGGATCACTCAACTCTGCCATGGGTGCCAGGACCCAATTTTTCCCTGGCTAACTCTGTCACCTCCTGTCTGGGATCTCCAACTACTAAGTCTCAGCTAAAACAGCAATTCAAAGGCGAACTTTTTTCTGAGGCTCCAGGATTGGGCCAGGCCCTCTCCATGGCTTTCTGCCCTTCCCCTACTGCAGAACTTAGCACCTGTATGTCACTATTGGTTAAAACATGTGCCTTTCATATGCTCTCCACGTTATCTGCAGCATCTGCAAAGAATAATAATGAATGGTAAAACCTAATCTCTATTGAGTGTCGATGATGCACTTTTAACGTGACATCTTATTTAATCCTCACTATATCTGCAAGAGTAGAAGCTATTAATAGCCAATTTTCAGATAAGAAAATCAAAGCACAGTTTCTATAACTTACCCAAGCAGCTAGCTAGGAGGCAGCTCAATTTGAGCCCAGGGAATCAGATTCCAGAAACCATGTTCTCAATTACTAGAGCAGATACCTCCCCAGAATCTAGTAGGTGGTTAATGAGTCTTTGTGGAATAAATGAACAGAAGGACAAGCAGTGGATGGATACATAGGTGGGTGGGTGGATAGATGGGTGGATGGAAAGATGGGTGGGTGGGCAGGTGGATGAATGAATGGATGGTTGAGTCGGTGAAGGGATGGCTGAGTGGGTGGAGAAATGGATGAGTGAGTGAGGGGGTGGAGGGATAGATAAATGGATCCACGGGTGGGTGGATAGATGGGTAGATGAGTGAATGGGTGGATAGATGCATGGGTGAGTGGATGTATAAATGGGTTGGTGGGTGGCTAGGTGGATGATAGCTGGGTGCATAAGAGAGTGGGTTGGATGGATAGATGGGTGGGTGGTGGGTGGATAGATGGGTAGGTGGGTGGATGGATGTATGCATGTCTGGATGGATGGATGGATGGATGGATGGATGGAATGGTGGATGGATGGACGGACAGATGAACAGATGGACTTGAGCTTTTATTCAGGGTCCTCCAAAGAATTGAGTGATTTCCTAGGGTGTGTCATCACCTGCAGGTGGGTGGGCAAGGGGGCTTGCCTCTGTAATACTCATGATTATGGGTAGTGCTCAGCCTTAGTCACCACTCTCCGAACACTTTATTGACTAGGAAAGTCAAAACTGGCATTGACAACTAGTGCAAATTACAGCTATAACTAACAGAAGATGTTGAGTGATGACAGCTGGGCAACCAATAATCAATAACTTGGCTGTGTCATGTTGCTGCCATGCTGGACAGGTAGAGCCACGGGTTCCTTGATCCTTCCATCACATTGAGGATGCTTATCAAGACTTCCCCAACCATGGGGACAGGGATCTTATCAAATACTTGCAGTTCACCCCAAAAGGCTCACCCTCTTCGTTCCACCTGCACATGACCTTCAGCTCAAAGACATTTCCAGTCCTCCAGGTGAGCCCTTCTTCCAGCCTTTGAATTAACCCTGATGACTGCCTGCCCATTAGGTATCTTCACCTTTCATCACGCAGCCTTTTCCAAGGCTTTCCTTCAGTCCAGCCCTCACTAAACGCTGGAACTGTTGTTGACAAAATCCAGAACAAGCTGGCTGGGGGATACAGGTGGGAAGCAGGCTGTAGTAATGGGGAAAAATTCTAAGCAATCTCGAACACAGAAAAGAAACTGAACAGGTAAGAGAGAGGCAGTCAAGAGGAGAAGTGTGAATTTTGCATAACTGAAGCTGAAGAAGAGCGGTGGGCATGGCAGACCACAAGATAAATATGATATAGACTCCTTTTTAAAAAAGTATAAACACCCACCCTTTCCTACTGACAACTGTGCTTCAAATATTGCTAAGGTCTTTACTAAAGGCGAGTCAGAAAAACTGAGTATTTTATGCAATACAGTAAGAAGGCCCATAGGCAAGCATGTTCCTGACACCACCTTCTAGGATAACCCCTGGGATTCTGGTTACACCTGTCCTAAAGTTGTCTCTCACTCCTGCTGTTGGAGAGCTACCATGAGAGAAGAACCATAGTGAAGTGGTTAAGAGTGTGCACCCAGCGACCAGCCAGATCGCTTCAAACCATCACTATCTAATACCGAGCAAGTTACACGATGTTCTTGAGCCTCAACTTTCTCATCTGTAAAATGGATATGCCGTCATTCATTAATCAAATTCTAGGTAAGCATATACTAAACACCAGAGACACAAATGAGAATCAGGAACAGGCATGGCCCTGGCCCTCACGGTGACCACAGTCTTGAAGGGGAAGGATGACACGCACAGAAACAGGAAGCCGTAGCTGAGCTAGTGTCTACCACAGAGAGGCACCTGGTGTCATGAAAGCAGATAACAGGGGGTTGCTGTGACTGAGTCAGTGTGGCCAGACATCCCTGAGGATGTAGTGACTCCACTGTCAGATGAGACCGTGACCAGGTGAAGAGGCAGGGAGAGGGAAAAATCTTTCCAGGCAGAAAGAGCAGGATGTGCAAAGGCCCTGTGGCAGGAAAAGAGCAAAGGAAGTGCAAGAGCCTGAAAGAGGCCAGAGAGAACAAGTGAACATGTGGATAATCACAGCACCGACCTCATACAGGACTCTCCTGCCTCAGCCTCCCAAGTAGCTGGGATTACAGGTGTGTGCAATCACACCTGGCTAATTTCTGTATTTTTGGTAGAGACAGTTTCGCCATGTTGGCCAGGCTGGTCTCGAACTCCTGACCTTAGGTGATCCGCCAGCCTCGGCCTCCCAAAGTGCTGGGATTACAGGTGTGAGTCCACTGCGCCTGGATAGAATATAAAAGATTCTTTAATTCAACTAAAACATTAAAACATAGATTATTTCTATAAGTGGTAATTGTTCTAACATGTTTTGGTCAAAATAGTCTCCCTACCCATCCACAATTAAATGGTTAATTGACATTTGATTGGATTTTGATAAAGTTTTCAAATCATGATTGACTTTTCCAATGTACAGTAAAATGTGTTTGAAAATATTTCATAAAAATTAATATTTAAAAATGGTCAGGCATGGTGGCTCACGCCTATAATCCCGCACTTTGGAGGCCAGGGTGGGCCGATCACTTGAGGTCAGGAGTTTGAGACCAGCCTGGCCAAACCTCATCTCTACTAAAAGTACAAAAGTTAGTCAGGCATGGTGGCACACACCTGCATTCCCAGCTACTTGGGAGGCTGAGGCAGGAGAATCCCTTGAACCTGGGAGGTGGGGTCCCCAGGCTTAGAGCAAAACCCCCATCTTGTCTGTCTCCACTCTCAACCCAGGCAATCACAGTCATTTCCACAGCCTCAACCATTGTCTACCTGGGATGCCTCCCAAGCCCGAGTCTCCAGCCCAAACCTGCCTTCCTAGCCCCAGACCCATCTGTCCTGGCACACATTGCCCCCTGGGTCCCAAGCAACCTCAGCCAATGAGTCCAATGTCGACTTCCTGTCCTTGCCTGACACTACCAGCCCTGAGATCAGACTTGACCATTCACCTCCAGTACCTGATAGGTCCATCAGTGCTTTGGAACATATCCCACAAACATTCCCCAAACCAGGCACCGGACTCCACACATCAACACCGTCATGTGAGTCACCAGCATCCCTGGCAGGGACCCCTGTCCCAGCCTCCAACTCATCTCCTTCCTGTCCCTTGAGTTCTGTGTCACATTCCAGAGGCCACAAGAAGAAAACTGACCACCTTAATGAAATTAAAAGAATTGAGAAGACATTTCCCTATGGTCCAAAGTCTTTCCAACTGAGAAACACATATCAAGATCCAGCCTGCCGGCCCTGCGGTTAAATGTTCCTGAAATAATTAAAGCCCAGGGCAACACAGCCCCCACTCCACAAGTACTCCCAGCACAGTAAGACTTGCTTCTCTGCAGGGGCTTGAAATGTCCAGTATGTACCCTGCCCCTCTTTGTCGTAGCTAACAGGAATGTGCTCCGTGTCTTCTTCCTGCTCAAAGGACCGTCCACCAACCTGCGCAGGCAGCACTTTTGGCCAGGGGGGGATGAGAGAACTTCCCACCATTTCCCACTTACGCACTGCATTCGTCAGGAGCCTGCCTCACAAATTACAAGAGCGCCACGGCAGACACACCACGTTCTAGCGGGTGGCCATGTCTTCATGTCAGCTTGAAAGGTCATCGCCAGGGAAATACCTATATCTCAGCAGAGACAGCTTCAGCCTGTGTAGTCCAGCTGTGCTCAAATGGAAATCCAGAAACCTGGATGCTGGTCAAAACACCCTGTCTTGGAGAGCCGGCTCTGCAGGTCCCCAGCGTGGGAGTGAACTGGGTGGGCCATCTGCCCTGCCTGCCCACATCCCTGCCTCCTGGAATCCTGGACCCTGAGAACCAGGGGGATGTGGTGGGGAACAGGCAAGTCTTGTGCAGAAAGCCAAGATGCCACCCAAATCCACTCTGCAGTCTAGGTGGGTGATATTCTGGTCTGCACCGTACCAGCGCATGAGGGGATGGAGGATGGAGTCTAGACAAGCCAAATGTAAAAAGATATTGCCCAAGTATTTTGTGCTTTGTCTGTGTTACAATGCTATGCCCAGCCCAGCGTGTTGGCTCACACCTATGATCTCAGCACCTTGGGAGGCCGAGGCAGGCAGATCACCTTAGGTCAGGAGTTTGAGACCAGCCTGGCCAATGTGGTGAAACCCCATCTCTACTAAAAATACAAAAATTAGCCGGGTGTGGTGGTAGGCACCTGTAATCCCAGCTACTCGGGAGGCTGAGGCAGGAGAATCACTTGAGCCCAGGAGGTGGAGGTTGCAGTGAGCGGAGATCATGCCAGTGCACTCCAGCCTGGGCAACAGAGTAAGACTCCGTCTTAAAATAAAATAAAATAAATAAATTCTATGCCCAGCATTTTCCATGTACTGTCTTATTATCTCAGTAAATCCCATATAACCTTCCTATGAAAGTGTATCTCATTTATCTCCATTTTATAGATGAGAAAACTGAGGCCCCTGGAGTAGTATTAATTTTCCAAGACCGCATTGCTCATAAAGGGTACAGCAGGGACCCAAGCTCGACACTCTCACCCTCAAACATTTCCACAATTGTAGACCAATGGCTCTCAACTAGGGTGGTTTTGCTCACGTACCACTCCCTTGCTCCATGATATTTGAAACCGTCTGGAGACATCTGGGGTAGCCATAGATGGGAGGGTAGAATGGCACCTACAGGATGGAGACCAGAGATGCTGCTAACCATCCTACAATACACAGGACGGCCCCACCACCACCACCATGAATGGTCTGAGGCCCACACTTAAAGGCTGTGTGACCTTGTCAAGTTTCTTAACCTCTCTGGGCACTGGTTTCTTGGTGGTAGAATGAGAATAATAGGGTTGCAGTATATGGCAGCCATAAAAATCCATCTCTCAAATTTCCAAGGATGGGAGTGTAATTGATTGGTTCAACTGCTTTGCTCTGAAGGAAGTACATTTGCATTGAGAACAGGTTCCCACGGGCTCTTCCCAGCCAGTGACTGAGTGTCAAGGATTCTAATGCAGGCCTCTCCCTGTAAGACAGGACTTGCCATGGGCCTTGCTGACACTTAGAACTGCGTTGCAATTTGAGATTTTTCCTATCTGTATGAGTTTCCTTTTGCTGTATAACAAACTAGCACAAAGTTAGTGGTTTAAAACAATGCACATTTATTATCTTGCAGTTCTGGACACCAGATGGTGGAAATCAGTTTCACTGGGCTAAAGCCATGGTGTTAGCAGGGTTGGTTCCTCTGGAGGCTTTTGGGGCAAATTCGTTTGCTGGCCTTTTTCAGCTTCTGGAGGCTGCCTGCATTCCTTGGTGGTCATCATGGCCCCTGCTTGAGTCACTTTTGCTGTCATCGCTACATATTTCACCTCCTTCTTTGACCTTCTTGCTTCCCTCTTTTATAAGGATGCTTGTGATTACATTTAGGGCCACCTGGATAATCCAAGATAATCTCCTCAAGATTTTTAGCTTAATTATATCTGCGAAGTCCCTTTGGTCATGTAAGGTCACATTCCTTGGTTCAGGGGATTGGGACACGGGCATATTTGGGGGCCATTATCAGCCCACTACCCTCCCCACCTTCCTTCTTTTTCTCTCCTTCCCACAGAGGTCGGACCTGCTTCATGGTCTGATGACTCTCCCAGTTGCCTCCAGACAAAATATAGAATGCTCAGTCAAATTAGAATGCCAGATTATCGATGAATACTTTTAAATATGAGTATGCATGGGACATATGGCATGGGACGTAGTTATAGTAAAATGTATTCATTGTTTATCTGACATTCAAATTTAACTGGATGTCCTGTATTTTTGTTTGCTAAACCTGGCCACCTTCAAGTAGTTCCTTCCCCATTTTCCTTCACAGGTATTTTCCCCAATAAATCTCTTGCACGTCTGATCCCACATTGGTGTCTGTTTTGCAAAGGCCTCCAACTAGCACATGATGAGAATTGAATGAGAGAGCACACTGCAAGATCACAGAGCAGTGCCTGTCCCCAGGAAGTAATCGTTTGCTCTTAGCCAGCAGGCACAGCCAAATATTACCAACTGGTGTGTGAACCTAGGCTGGCTGACTCCCTAGTCTGGGCTCCCTCACCCCTCACCCCTATACTTAGCAGGTGCTCAAAACACATTTCATGAGAGAGGTATGTATTTGTTTGCACGTTTACAGATGAATTCTGGGAGGATGCCAAGCATTGGTGGTTGCCCTGGAGAGGGCCTGCTGGCCTGGAGAAGTATGAAAGTGAGACTCACTTTTGGCTAAATGACCTCACCTACCCACCTTTTGAATTGAAACCATACAATTGTTATTACCTATCACAAAACTTAAAATTTAAACTTATTTTGAATTGAACTAAATTCATTGCAGTTTTTATATCCTGGAGGCTCAAGGCGTGCAGGAGACCCAACTAAGAGCCATTGAACAGACGGAGGCCCCACATTTGCTCTGAGAGGCACTGGTTGGAGGTAGCAAGTGTTCCCACAAGTTCCTAAAGTTGCTTTTTTTTTCCACCCAGCTGCTCCCGAAAGTACTTTTGAAAGACCAAGTTCTTGCACCAAACAACACTTTGATGTCAGACGACCCTGAGGATCTCCCTAATCATTACACGGCAGTGCTCCCAGTCCATCTAGGGTCTTCTTTGGGAGGCAAGGAGCTGGCGTGGAGGCAAAGGGCGTCTTTCACCTTCCCTCACATTTTGCCCACCAGCAAACGAGGAGGAGGAAGGGCTTGTGTCAGGGAATTGGATCACAAAAGCTCAGCACTCAAAGAGGCCTAAAGGTCAGTGCAGGTAGGAAAATTCTCCCTAACCTCCCTCACCCGACATTTCCTCAGTCCATGCTTGCCTGCCTCCAGGGATGGGGACCTCATTCCCTCAGACACAGCACAGCTGTTCTAACCAGCACAGCTCTGCCGGGAAGAAAGTGTTTTTCTCTCTGAGCTGAGACCTGGCACCCTCTGACTGCCCCCTGACATCCCTGTGGATCCTTGCTCTGCCCTCTGGGCTCCCAGGCCCTGTGAGCTCACTGCAGAGGAGCCCGCAGGCTGCCTTCTCCAACTCTACAGAGACTGGGCCCTTCCTCGCCTCCTGCTTGCCCTGGGCAGGCTCAGCCTGGTTCTCTTGCAGGACGAGGCACCTAGGAATGGGATGACAGCCAACAAGTCTTCAGAAAGCCCCTGGCAGGGCTGGAACTCCGAGAAAGGGGCATGATAGTTTGCAGGAACTCCCCTGGATGAGCCCTGTGAAAGCCTAAGTATCCCATGCAGAGGTCAGATGGTCTTAGGTAACCAGAACCCCAGGTGCCCCACCCCCAATTCTGCACCTCTCCAGTCTGCACAGGGCTGGGTACTCTTAGCCAAAGTCAGAGCTGTGGCACTGGTGTCTCCACTTGAACACCTCCTTCTGTTAACTTATTCTTGTTTCTTTTTTTTTAAAGACTTACTTATTTTTATATTTTAATTTAATTTAATTTTCTCTAATCCCATGACAAATTTTAGAAATGACTTATTTTGGCTTGGTGTAGTGGCTCAGCCTGTAGTCCTAGTGCTTTAGGAAGCTGAGGTTGGGAGGATCACTTGAAGGCAGGAGTTGGAGACCAACCTGAGCAACACAGTGAGTGAGACCCTATCTCGACAAAAAATTAAAATATTACCCGAGTGTGGTGGCAAATGCCCATAGTCCCAGCTACTCGAGGGGCAGGGGTGGGCAGATTGCTTGAGCCCAGAAAGTTTGAGGCTGCAGTGAGCTATAATCACACCACTGCACTACAGCCTAGGCAACAGAGTGAGGTCCTGTCTGTTAAAAAAGACAGATAAAGAGAGACTTATTTTTTAAAGTAAAAAAATCCAGAAGATCCAGAGGTAGCTACTTTGACGAGTTTCTCGAGTGTTCTGCTAGAGCTTCTCTAAGCATTTATAGCAGATCCGGGCCGTTCTTGACCTGGGAGAGATCCCTCACCTCCCTTTATGCGCAACCCTGGATGGCAGCTTTTATTCCCCGACTGCACGGTCCTTTGCTGGGTGGCCCCCCTCTGCCACAGCTGTGGTAGGTTGGCCCCTGGTTCTGCACAGAGTGATTCTGAGCGGTCCATAGGTTTAAGCTTTAACGATGCAGTGTTTATTTAAAAGCCTATTAAAGAAAACAGACTAGTGCCTCCAACCCATCATTTCACACCTGCCTCGAATGGGGTTAATTTTTTTTTTTTTTTTTTTTGAGACGGAGTCTCGCTGTGTTGCCCAGGCTGGAGTGCAGCGGCGCGATCTCGGCTCACTGCAAGCTCCGCTTCCCGGGTTCACGCCATTCTCTCGCCTCAGCCTTCCGAGTAGCTGGGACTACAGGCGCCCGTCACCGCGCCCGGCTAATTTTTTGTATTTTTAGTAGAGACGGGGTTTCACCGTGTTAGCCGGGATGGTCTCGATTTCCCGACCTCGTGATCCGCCCGCCTCGGCCTCCCAAAGTGCTGGGACTACAGGCGTGAACCACCGCGCCCGGCCCAGAATTCTTTCAAGTTCCACCCGGAGCGCCCCGGGCCTCTCGTGGGGGAAGGCAAGTGTCGGGCGCCCCCTGCTGGCGGGAGGAGCCGCGCGCTCGCGCTCAGGTGGGATTTGCTCCCGGACTCGGGGTCTCAACGTGCCGGAAAGGTTGGTTGCTCCAGGCTGAGTAAGAACAGTGAACAGGAAGAGGCTATTTAAAGCAGGCGGCTGGGAGCATAGGCTCAGGACGCAGGCAGAAGACGATGCCCCAAATTCTGATCCTCAAAGTGCCACCCAGGCCCAAACAAAAATAGGAGCGGAAGACAGCGGCCAGACACCACGGGGGCGCGGAGAAGGCTCTTATTAAAATGTCTAATGCACTTGGTGATATTCCTGTTTTATCCCTGATTGAAGTCTTACGGTCCCCACACATGGTCTTCTGCTCATGAAGGTGAAGGTCATTCATAGCACAGTAATTAATTCATTCAGCAAATAATTCCTGGGCCCAACCCCGTGCAGGGCACTGAGGGATAATAACAAAAAGCGTAATAGCTCACATTTATAAGGTCCTATGCAGCACTCTAGAAAGTAATGAAGAAAATAATAGGCTGGGTGCGGTAGCTCATGCCTATAATCCCAGCACTTTGGGAGGCTGATGGGTGGATTGCCTAGGCCTAGGAGTTGGTGATCAGCCTGGGCAACATAAGGATACACCGTCTCTACAAAAAATAAAATTAGAAAAAAATTTAGCTGGGCATGATGGTGCACGCCTGTGGTCCCAACTACTCTAAGGCTGAGGTGGGATCGTTTGAGCCCAGGAGGTCGAGGCTGCAGTGAGCCATGATTGCACCACTGCTACAGCCTGGGTGACAGAGACTTTGTCTCAAAAAATAAACCAAAAAAAAAAAAAAAGAAGAACAGAAAATACTAATAGCTCACACATTTATTGAGTGCCAAGCGCTGTTCTATGTGCTTTGCACCTATTAACTCTTTTAATCCTTATGCAATAAGAGGAAGGTTCTTATTATTACCATTTTGTAGGTGAGGAAACTGATACACAGAGAAGGCAAATAACTTACTCAAGTTCTCACAGCTGGGATGTGGTTGATGCATGGATGACTAAAACAGGGCTCCGTCCTTGGAGAAGCCCACAGTCTAATTGGGGTGACAGACCTGGGACATATATATATGTAATTGAGGACTCACAAGGGATGAAGTGTCATCTCTGTCTGGGAGGGTTAGAGCAGAGCAGACCCTTTGAAATGGGAATTTGTCAGGCTCAGAGGAGATAGGAGAAGAGGGAAGGGCACACTAGGCAGAGGAATGGCAGGTGCATAGGTAGGGTGGCAGAAAAGTGGCACAGCTTCTGCCATAAATAGAACACAGTCTGATTAGAATGAGGGAAAGACACCATCAGTGCTAGAAACCTGTGTCTGGAACTGACCATGAATGGCACTCAGCCCAAGGCTCTGTGAAGTGCGCCTAGGGTCTCGAACTCAAGGGTCACACTTCTGAGAAATGACAGCATGCTTTCAGGGAAAGGGAAGGAGAACTGGGTGTTCTCTGTGTCTGCTTTGCCATGAGGCAGGGTCCAGCGGGGAAGAGGACCCTGGAGGCACCACGTGGCTGGCTCCTGCCCTGTTCCTCCTATCAGCTTGTGCCAGAGGAACAACTAGCTTTCCAGATGACCCATGTCCAGCCTAGGGCCTGCTCCTGCTACACACTAGTGTGGGGAAAAGAGAATGTGAAAGCCTGTCAGTCAGGAGGACCAAGGCTTCCATCCTGGCCCCACAAGTCCCTTACACTCTCCAAACATCAGCTTCCTGATGTGTAAATTGGTGACTAACAGCCACCTTGCAGGGTTATCATTTTAGTTAGAATAGAGCTAGGTATTGGTGGTATACTGAGCACAAAAATGGCCCAGTCTCTATCATGGGCTGAGTCGTGCCCCACCCCCCATTCCTATGGTGAAGCCATAACCCTCAGTACCTCAGAATGTGACTGTATTTGGAGACAGGGTCTTTAAACAGGTGATTAAGTTAAAACAAAGTCATTAGGGAGGGCCCTGATCCTTATAGGAAGAGGGAATTAGGACACACACACACAGAGGGAAAAACACGTAAAGACACAAGGCAAAGACCGCCAAGGAGAGAGGCCTTGGAAGAAACCTACCCTGCTAACACGTTGATCTTGGACTTTCAGCCTCCAGAAGTGTGAGGAAATAAATGTCTGCTGTTTAAGCCACCCAGTCTGTGGTACATTGTCATGGCAGCCTAGCAAACCCTCTGCCTCTTTTAGTTCCTTCCAGAAAGAGGTGGGTCTATTTCTCCTTGAATCTAGGCTGGACTTGGGAGTTGCCAGTAAAAGGCTGGAATGCAGCAGAAGTGATAATGTGACAGTATGAGCTTAGGCCTCAAGTGACCTCTTGTGCTTCTGCTTGTTATCTTTTTGTGAATAAGCCTGGGCCAGCCTGCTGGCAGTTGACAGAGCACATGGAGGAGAACTCATTTATCCTGGTTCAGGCCATTCTAGACCAGTCAGCCCCAGAATAGGTGAGAGAGCTTTGCTAAGACCCGCAGGGCTGCCCCTGCCCTCAGTCCACAGCCAATCTCAGATGCACGAGAAAGCCCAGCCAAGGCCAGAAGAACTGCCCAGCTGATCTGTGAACTAAGAAAAGTAAATGCTTATTGTTGAAAGTCAGTAAGTTTAGGGATGTTTGTTACACAGCAATAGCCAACTCTGCAGCTCTGTAACAAGTGACTCCCCTCCTGAAACCAGCCTCCTAACTCTCAGCCCATGTGGGCCAGTGCCTAGCACAGGAGGCCTCTCTCTCTTCCCAGAAGATACCCTGTGCACAGTGATTTTGAGGAGCTTATCAGAGATGGGCACAGGAGCTTTAGAGAAGAAAGAAGGCTCTGCAGAGATGAGAGGCCAGTGGGGGTGTGGGAGGCTGCACAAAGACAGGGCCTAGCTGGGTTTTAAATCTGGATTAGATGGCAAATGTTGTAGCATTTGGATTAAGACAATTATCTGAGGCTGGGCACAGTAGCTCACACCTGTAATCCCAGCACTATGGGAGGCTGAGGCGGGTGGATCACCTGAGGTCGGGAGTTCGAGACCAGTCTGACCAACATGGAGAATCTCCATTTCTACTAAAAAAATACAAAATTAGCCAGGCGTAGTGGCGCATGCCTGTAATCCCAGCTACTTGGGAGGCTGAGCAGGAGAATCGCTTGAACCCGGGAGGCGGAGGTTGCAGTGAGCCGAGATCGCGCCACTGCACTCTAGCCTGGGCAACAAGAGCGAAACTCCATCTCGGAAAAAAAAAAAAGAAAAGAAAAGAAAAGAGAAAAAGAAAATTACCTGAAATAGACTGAGACCAGGGAGGGTGGGTCCCCCAGGACACGGAGATGTTATGTAGAAAGAGAATTGTATGCCACTGAGAAAAAAGCAATAGCTGTCCACTACAACACCAAGAATGTTGGGGACGTGAGAAGGAGCACCCAGTGAAGAGTAGGTGGGATTTGACTACCCGCAAAGGCAGTGGGAAAGGAGCCCTAACGTGTAGGGAAAACCCTGGCCTCTCCCAGATGCTTTTTCACGTCTTTCATCATTTTTAGCGTCTTATGATCCTTGCAAGTTCGCTGTGTTTAGCCATACTGGGTTGATCTGTTGGGCAGGAAAGTACTAGGCAGAAACCTAACCCTAAAGATACGCTAGGACAGCTTGTGTTCTCATGACTGAGAGAAAGAGAGAGGTGTGGAGGGAGCAGAGAAAGAGAGCAAGAGAGAGAGAGAGAGAGAGAGAGAGAGGAAGGGAGGAGCTGAGGCCATGAGATTTTCTTTTTTAATCCAGGGGGATCTTCTCCCTGGGCTGGTGACACTAGGTATCAACTGGGTTACACACTGTGGGTATTTGGATGGAGCCTCTCACACCAGCTTGCTAAACTTGGTAACCTGACAGCCTGACAAAGGCTCAGCCAGAGGTTTTCACGGAGTTTGGAACTCACTTTGTAATAGGATCATTTGCCTGACATACAGCAAGTCAGTATACCAAGACCAGGGATTGCAGCAGAGAAAGAGCTTAATAATTGTGGGTAACCAAACAAGGAGACAGGAGGAAACCTCAAATCTGCCTCCCCAAAGAATTTAGGACTAGGGATTTTAAGGGGTTTGGAGTGGGCCAAAGTGGGGAGGTCGTTGATTGGTCGAAGAGTGCAGGGTGAAGTCTTGGGACAGGGAGATGAAGAAACTGCATTCTCATGCTGATCCCGTTCCTCTGTGGGGGTCTTCATGCTGGCTGTCCTCTGCCACTCTGCTGGAATTTGCGCACTGAAGAACATCTTAAGCAATTCTTAAATAAAAGCCTTATGATTCTAACCTCAGTGGTCCTACTTATAGGAACAATGGGTTTGCAAATGGTCAGTGTCTAGTGTTAACATGACTTTTGGTTCCAAAGAAGTGGGCCAAAGCGCAGCCTGATTAACACTTAATTATAAACTATATTTCTGCCCAGAACCCAGCATGTGATGCTTGTTATCCCTGTAAGGATGGTTTCAACCTGAGAAAGAATTTCAGGCAGGGATGGCCAGCTGTCCACCAGAGATGTATGCTTCTCTTCCTGGTGTAGGCTGTTAAAGGGATGTGGCTGCCAAGCCAGGGGCTGCACTTCCCAGCCCTCCCTGCATCTGGGAGGGACTGTGTGACTGGTTCTTACCAATGAAGGTGAGAGAGAGTGATGAGTTGCTTCCGCTCAAATGGATGAGAAGTGGAGGTACTTTCTCCATTCTCTCTTCTTCCATCTATTGGCTGGACACCAACTCCCACGTGACCTTGGAAGCTCCATATTGAAAATGACAGTGGCTTTATTGTGAATGAATGACTTCATGGAGAGAGGTCTCCTCTGCCTTCCCCCTCGAACCCCCCTCCCTGCCAGGGACACCAGCATTGGCCATTACTCTGTGAGGTGTGGGCTGTTATCATCCCCATTTTACAGAACTGGAAATGGATGCTGAGAGATTAATCAACTTGCCTGAGATTGCACATTCACTCATTGAGCCTTCAATAAATGTTTGTTGAGGGCCCATTATGTGCCAGCACAGATTTAGGCAATGGGTGGCCAGGTGCTATTGCTGTGCTAGTCCTTGTGTATATAGCCCCCATTGTTACTGCGTATATTTGCAGGTAGGAGTGGCTTAATGGTCCGATAAAATCCATCTGTGAGCAGATGTTAAAGGTGTCAGGTTTCACATTCCTCAGTTAGCTATAGCCTTTTACATTCGATGTCATGCCATCCTTTGATTTCCATCTGATGGCCACCTATACAGTGAGTGTGTGCCTAAATGTCCTTTTTCTTTATGTAATTATAGGAGTGTTTGTGGAGTGTAAGCTGCTTCCGGTGTCCGTTTAATTTTAAAGCCATCTCCCGGTTTTAGTAGCTATTGAGGGTCCCTTGGTATCTCCCACTCCTGTCTGATTTCCTCCTGAGTTGTAGAGGTGGTAATGAATGTCTCCACGAGCTTTCTGGATTTCTGTGTTGCTTTAACTTGGGTATGTTTTGTGTGTCACTGGTTATGTTTCCTGTTAATGCCTCTACTTGATCCCTAAATTTTGTGGTCACTGAATTATCTTTTTGGTGTACTCATACATTAATACCTTAATTTTGTTTTATGATTTATATAGTTCTTCCCAGTAAGGTTTGGACCGCATGTTCTTACCATTAATTTAAAAGTTATTTTGTGTTGGGCACGGTGGCTCACGCCTGTAATCCCAGCACTTTGAGAGGCCGAGGTGGGTGGATTACCGGAGGTCAGGAGTTCGAGACCAGCCTGGCCAACATGGTGAAACCCCATCTCTACTAAAAATATAAAAATTAGCCGGGCGTGGTGGCGGGCGCCTGCAATCCCAGCTACTTTGGAAGCTGAGGCAGGAGAATTGCTTGAACCCAGGAGGTGGAGGTTGCAGTGAGCTGAGATCGCACCATTGCTCTTCAGCCTGAGCAACAAGAGGGAGACTCCAACTCAAAAAAAAAAATTTATTTTGTTTCCATTTGTGTGAACATAGGGCTATGCCATACGGAACTGTCCATGAGTTTGTAAAAATGTATATTTTTTTTATTTTCTGACACTGTCTTACTACTAGGACAAAAGCAATCAAGTCTGCATGCTGTACAGAGGGTGATATACCTGCCTCCTTTGGGATCCTTTGGTCCTGGGATCTGAGTGCTCTGCTGGCCTTGAATCACAAAGGCTGATCCTTCTGTAAACCAGGTGCTGGGCAAGACATTAGACCAGACTGGGCCACATTTACCTATATTGGCAGGGATTGTCCCTGTCCTCAAAATAAACTCCAGCAAGTCTGTTTCAGTCTTGTGAATGTCCTCAGTGAGGAGGCCTGGTTTACCCTTAAAGCCGGTGTCTTGACCCTAGATGTACCATTTCCATGTGAGCAGCTTTGGATCAATTTGGATACCTGTCAGTTCCTCAGGGCTCAGTTTTATCCTGTAAAGGAGAAGCATATGGCATGTAATTGTAACATTGTTGTTGCCAATCAGAGGCTCAGTGTTTTGAGGGTTTCATATGTAAGCCATATGTATTTTTCAAATGGTCTGTATTTGTTGTTAGAGTATGGGAATTTTGTTGTCCAAATCTGACCAGTAAGAAGGATGTAGAATCTGGTTTCCTTGTCTATAATGACTGTGTTCCATATTCATCACTCATCAGAATTCCTGACTTAAGTAGTGAATCTGGAGTTGGGTGATGCCGTGTTTGGAATGTGGCGATGTAGTCTTTGAGTGTTTCAAGTGCTTGTGTCTGTTCACTTCCCCATGTGAAGTCTCAGGATGTCCTGGTTATCTTATAATTGGTTTCAGGATGATGTTTAAGTAAGGCGTACGCTGCCTCCAGGACCCAAATAAACCTGTTCATCTTGGTGCTTCCTGTGTGTTGTTTGGCACCTTAAGGGATTTTATTTTATTCTTGAGACAGAGCCTGGCTCTGTCGCCCAGGCTAGAGTGCAATGACGTGATCTTGGTTCACCTCAACCTCCGCCTCCCGGTTCAAGCGATTCTCCCACCTCAGCATCCCAAGTAGCTGAGATTACAGATGTGCACCACCACAACCGGCTAATTTTTTTGTATTTTTTGTGGAGATGGGATTTGGCCATGTTGCACAGGCTGGTCTCAAACTCCCAGGCCCAAGCGACCTGCCCACTTTGACCTCCTAAAGTGTTAGGAATACAGGTGTGAGCCATTGCACCCAGCCAAGGACTTTTATTTTATCTATCACTGTGATCAGGATTGTTCTTCTTTCCAGTGACCATTGTACTACTAAAAATTTGCAATCGGTGTCTGGGCCTATGGTTTTATCTGTATGAATGGTCTATCCCAGTGATCTTAAGTGTTTTATTAATTGGGAATTTTTTTGCTTAAGTTTTTCCTGGTCATCGTTTACCATTATAATGTCATCTATGTATGATATTTTTAGTGATACATATTTTAATTGATCTATGTGTGATGATGAAATGAAGTGAGCTATTACTGAATTATTTAATTATCTTTGCAGTAATCTTTTAAATTGGGTATTTTTTGCCTTCCCAAGTAAAGGAGCTATTTTCCTGACTTTTTTTGTTTATTGGTATGGCAAAGAACACGTCTGACCGTCTATGGTTACATAGTATTTCCCACTGGAGTTAGTGATCTTATTAATGACATCTTCTACATCTGGAAATGCCTCAGACATTTTGGGTGAGAATATATTTAAATTTCCATAACAAAGTCTATAGTTCCTGTTTTGTTTTAGGACAGGCCATACTGGCCTATTAAAGTTATTTGAAATGCCAATTGTAATCACATCTTTCTTGCTTCCTTGAGGAATTCTAGAATCTTTGTTTTTTGTTTGTTTGTTTGTTTTTGAGACTGAGTCTCGCTCTGTCACCCAGGCTGGAGAGCAGTGGTGTGATCTCAACTCATTGCAACCTCCACTTCTCCGGTTCAAGTGATTCTCCTGTCTCAGCCTCCTGAGTAGCTGGGAGCACTATGGTGTTTGCTCCATTATCCCACAGATAAAGAGGAGCCAGTTTGCATCTGTGGTCCGTCTTTAGCAAAAGTTTGTTCTTAGTTGTCGTAATTCTGCTTTGATGTATTCTGTGATCTCAGTGATGTCCTGAGGGCTGTCATGTCCACGGTCATAATCTATAACTCTTTTTCTAGTTATTATAGGTCTTGCCACATGCGCCCGCCTCCCAGGGTCATCATAATCTCCCGGGTCCTCTGGATGGGGGGTTTGGTCCCAGACATTCCTTTTCAAAAGTTACATCTGAAAAGGATTTACTTTTGCTTAAAATTCTATGAACGACCTCTTTGCCTTTCTGGTGATCCCTGTCTGTCTGTAAGATGCTTTGCATTAAAAGTGCAGAGATTTCTTCTTTTGCGGCTCTGCTAATCAAAGGTTTAACATTTGGAGGGGCGAGCCTCGAGTCTGACTGTACATCCTTAGGGGATAGTACAGGGAGTCATTTCCTGACTTCCAACTCTGTCTGGTATTCAACACTAAGTACTGTATTTGGGTGACAAGCCTTCTGGCATGCCTGCTTAATTTTCTTTCCTAGGGCCCACATTATGCAATATTAATAGCTACTTTATATGGTTTCTTAATAATAAATATTTCCATTTCCCACCTTAACCAATAGTATGAGTGGAGGTTATTGACGTTCCTTTCTTTCTGCCAGATTAAAGTTGTTTTGCCAACCACTGTCTCGTAAGTTGAAACCCTGTTTGGTACGAGCCCTTCCGGCTCCACCAGCTTCCTAGCTTGGTGTCAGCCCAGACTTCATCGGCCTTTGGATGTGCACGACATGGGTTAGTTCCACCCCATTACCCAAGGTTTTCCTTAGGGAGCGAGACTTTCAACATGAAGTGAGATTATCTCTTTTTAGAGACGGTGGTCGTTTGTTTCGCCAAGTGGCTTGATTTTTAATTTAAGTTTTAGTGGAGGATTTGGCTTTAGGAATTTTCCCAATTTGGTTATCACAGTTATATGATTATAAATGGCTGCTTTTAGTTTTGGACATTTGTCTGACTGAAGGACAGCTGCTAACTACGCCAATTGTTGTGAGCAGTGCAAGGTCAGACATAACCAGGTCCACACACGTTTGTGCCTTTCCCAAGGTCAGACTTTTATTGATGCTTATTCAATCATAAAAGCCATGAGCTACAAGAAGTTCCCAAGGAGGCAATTCTTAGTATTACCCGCTCACTCAGTAGTCAGAGCCACGGGCACATAGGTCCAAGCCGATCCACAGGTCAGTCAATATTGCAAACCGTCATAGCAGTATTCGTAATTAACATGTAAATATTATAGATTAAAAATTTCACATCAAACAGAGTAACATTTAACACGAAGGGAAAGGGGATAGGAAAAGGGGTTAATGAATCATTCCAAGGAGAGCTGGACTGGTTCATTGATGTGAACATGGAGAGTGTTCTGGGCTGATTCTGACAGTCATCAGTGTCTTGCAAGGAAGAGTCCTTGATTTGGGTGGAGCTTTCAGTGGCAGATGCCGGGTGCTGACCATGAGTGACATCAAGACAGTGTCTAGTGAGATGTCTGAGTTGAACTGCTGAAGTCCTGCTTTTTTTTTTTTTTTAATGGTCCTTGAGTCTTCTGGTGAAAGCTGACAGTAAAGTGTGTGTGGCCATACCCTTGCCTGATTGGGTGCAGTTTCTGTTGATGAGGCAGACATCTGGTCCCTGTTGGCATGATGCCTTTTGAAATGTAAGATGGAATCTTTCTAACATGGAGTTACTTATGTCAAGGGCACTGTATATAGGCAGTGAGGTGGTGAGAAGTGTATTCTAGATTCCGCATATTCTAGATCCATTCCAAAGTAAAAGCTGACAGAACTTGCTGATGGGTTGGAAGTGGGATGTGAGGCCGGGCACAGTGGCTCACACGTGTAATCCCAGCCCTTTGGGAGGCCGAAGTGGGTGGATTGCTTAAGCTCAGGAGTTTGATACCAGCCTGAGCCAACAAAGTGAGACCCTGTCTCTCTCCAAAAAAATACGAAAATTAGCCGGGCGTGGTGGTGAGTGCCTGTGGTCCCAGCTACTCGGGAGGCTGAGGTGGGAGGATGACTTGAGCCTGGGAGGCAGAGGTTGTGGTGAGCCGAGATCGCGCCACTGCACTCCAGCCTGGGTGACAGAGTCAGACCCTGTCTCAAAAAAAAAAAAAAAGTGGGATGTGAGAGAAAGAAGTCAAGGATGACTCCACGGTTCTTGGCCAGAGCACATGGATGGAAGAGCTGTGGGAAGAGCAGGTTTAGGGGTGGGGCCCCAGAGATAAAAGAACCCAGGGCTCTGTGGAAGGTCCAAGGCTGGTCCAGAACATGACAGCGTGTTGTGCATCCTGGCTCCCTGTTATCAGCTACTTGGCGAGCCCCTAAAAGAGGAAAGGGGCAGCAGTGCAGAGGCGTGGTAGAGGGACTGAGTCTCCCACCCCAGGCTGCTGGGATGCTCAGCCTCCTCCGGTGGTCAGCAGGAGGGAGCCTTGGAAGGCATTGGAGATAAACCAGCAGAACCACGTTGGCTTTGGACACCCGGGTTCGCTGCAAGGTTCTAAAGTGGCCAGATGCCGCCCCCTGGTGGCTGGCAAGGCTACTTACAACCCTCACTGACCTGCTAGACAGCCCACAAGCTAGAACTGGAGGGGGCCCACCCCCAACTGTGAGCAAAGTGGGGGTTCATTTGAGGCTACGAGTTGGGGCAAACGACTTCCCTGGGCATGAGGCTTTTGAGCCTGTCAAGTGCCTCCCTTATCGCAGAAGAGCAAACAGGTGCATGAAGGGGAAACAACTTTGGAGAAAGGGGTGGCTTGGGGACCCCATCCGCAGTTTTGCTTTCTGCTGATTTTTCAGTCTTCTCCTATTTTCCTTTTCCTTAATTTTTTTGATTTAGATATTTTTAAGAAAAATACATATAGAGGAAAAAAGCCATTCAAATCATAGGAAAAAAGCCTACGTTGTGGAAAGTCAGTCTCCCCACCATTCCAGTTTCCCTCCCCAGAGGTGCCCGCTGTTACAGTTGGTGTTTCCTTCCAGGGACTCTACATGCATCCTGTCACCTGAATTTCTGAAGGGTTTACTATGTGCCATGCACACTTGGCATTTCCGACCTCCGTGTCTCTTCCCAATCCAGCAGTCAGAGGTCACATCCTGTCCCTCCCCTACTCAGCACTTCCCCCAGCTCCCACCTCACTCATAGTAAAGGCCAAAGTCCCTTCAATGGCTATGACCTCCCCTCACCCTTGGGCTCTCACACCTGATTTCCCAAAACTCTCTCCCTCACTTCCTCTGCTCCAGCCACACTGGCCTCATCACTGAGGAGAGCAAAGATCACCTGGTGGCCACAAAGCAGACCATCTAGAGGCGACACTCCTCATCTGAGGAATTCAGAAGTAATTCGATTTCCCTATGATCTAAAGCTGGTATCTAGTACCCTGCTTCCTTCCCCAAAATGTATAAGAAACCAGAATTTCTATACATCTCCGAATGCATGCATGTCAAAACTCATTGTGCAACCCTTGCTGACATCAAAGCACCAAAATATCTACAAGTGTAACTTTTTTTTTTTTTTTTTTGAGACGGAGTTTTGCTCCTGTCGCCCAGGCTGGAGTGCAATGGCACGACCTCGGCTCACTGCAAACTCCGTCTCCCGGGTTCAAGTGATTCTCCTGCCTCGGCCTCCATTTATTATGACCGATGTGGCTAACATGGTCCAAATTACCCTTAAGCTCCCGCTTTAAGGTCCATAAATGCCCCTGAGGAAAATCCACTGTGGTTCACACAGTCCTCTCTTGCTGAGGCGCCGGCCACACTCTGATGCAGGGTTCTTTCTATCTTATAAAACTTTCCCTTTCAATCCTATACTGTTGTGGGCAAACTCTTCTTAACTACCTGCGAGCCAATCACTTACCATTGCCAGGGCTTTGACATCTCGCCCAGAAATTACTTTGCTTATTGTGGTAAAACATACACAACACAGTATTTATCATTTTAATCATTTGTAAGTGCACAATTCAGTGGCATTAAATACAGTCACAATGTTGTGTAACCAGCTCCACTATCTATACTCAAAACTTGTTCATCATCCCTTATAAAAACTCCGTACCCTTTAAACAATAACTCTCCCTCCCCTCACCCCGGTAGCCTTTATTTTATTGTCTGTCTCTATGAATTTGACTATTCTGGATATCTCACCATAAGTGGACTCATATAGTATTTGTCCTCCTGTGTCTGACTTATTTCACTAAATGTAATGAAAAAGATCCATCCATGTTGTATCAGATATCAAAATTCATTTCCTTTTTATGGTTGAATGATATTTTATTGTAAGCATAGACCATGCTTTGTTTATTCATTCATCTGTTTGAGAAAGAAAACCTTTTTCTGAGAAATGCTAACCACTTTAAATTATCAGGCCCAGAAAGGTATTTAAACTGTAACAGCAGGCCGGGCACGGTGGCACACACCTGTAATCCCAGCACTTTGGGAGGCCGAGGCGGGCGGATCACTTGAGGTCAGGAGCTCAAGACCAGCCTGGCCAGTATGGTGAAACCCCATCTCTACTAAAAATACGAAAATTAGCCAGGCATGGTGATGCACACCTGTGATCCCAGCTACTCAGGAGGCTGAGGCATGAGAATCACTTGAACCTGGGAGGTGGAGGTTGCAGTGAGCTGAGATCGTGCCACTGCACTCCAGCCTGGGCGACAGAGTGAGATTCCGTCTCAAAAAAAAAAAAATTAAATTAAATTAAATTAAATTAAATTAAATGGAACAGCAGACTGGGTTCGGTGGCTCACGCCTGTAATCCTAGCACTTTGGGAGGCTGAGGTGGGCAGATTGCTTGAGCTCAGGAGTTCGAGACCAACCGGGCAACGTGGTGAAACCCTATCTCTACAAAAAATGGACAAATTAGCCAGGCATGGTGGTAGGCGCCTGTAGTCCCAGCTACTCGGGAGGCTGAGGTGGGAAGATCACCTGAGCCCAGGATGTCGAGGCTTCAGTGAACCATGATCACGCCACTGCACTCCAGCATGGGCAACAGAGTGAGACCCTGTCTCAAATAAATAAATAAAAATTAAAAAATAAAATGTAACAGCAGTCGCATCTCACTCCTCCTTGAGCTAAATAATTACCTCTTGAACCCACTTGGCTGTGCCAGCTCTGACACCAAGTAGCCATCAAATGCCATACACCCTATAGTTCAACAATATGTAGCCAATCATTAGCCAATGTTATTTCTGTAAACCAATGAGAATTCCTGATGAACAACTTCTGTAATTGTAAGCTCTCCGGATTTGTCCTTTTTCTCTCTCTCTCTTTTTTGAGACAGGGTTTCAGTCTGTTGCCCAGGTTGGACTGTAATAGCATGATCATAGTTCACTGTAACCTCAAACACCTGGGCTTGGCCGGGCACAGTGGTTCACACCTGTAATCCCAACAGTTTGGGAGGCCAAGACGGGAGGATCACCTGAGGTCGGGAGTTCAAGACCAACCTGACCAACATGGTGAAACCCCGTCTCTACTAAAAATACTAAAAAATTAGCTGGGTGTGGTGGCACATGCATGTAATCCCAGCTACTTGGGAGGCTGAGGCAGGAGAATTGCTTGAACCTGGGAGGTGGAGGTTGCAGTGAGCCGAGATCATGCCATTGCATTCCAGCCTGGGCAACAAGAGCGAAAACTCTGTCTCAAAAAATAATAATAATAATAATAATAAACACCTGGGCTCAAGTGATCCTCCTGCCTCAGCCTCCCAAGTAGCTGGGACTACAGGTGCACATCTCCATGCCCAGCTAATTTTCTATTTTTTTTTTTGAGACAGAGTCTCGGCTGTGTTGCCCAGGCTGGAGTGCAGTGGCATGATCTCGACTCACTGCAGCCTCTGCCTCCCAGGTTCAAATGAGTCTCCTGCCTCAGCCTCCCCAGTAGCTGGGATTACAGGCATGAGCCACCACGCCTGGCTAATTTTTGTATCTTAGTAGAGATGGGGTTTTGCCATGTTGGCCAGGCTGGTCTCGAACTCCTGACCTCAGGTGATCCACCCATCTCAGCCTCCCAAAGTCCTGGGATTACAGCTGTGAGCCACCATGCCCAGCCGCAGCTAATTTTCTAACTCAATTTTTTTTTTTTTTTTTTTTTTTTTAGAAATGGGGTTTCATTATATTGCCAAGGCTGGTCTCAAACTCCTGGCCGCAAGCAATCCTTCTGCCTCAGCCTCCCAAGTAGTTGGGATTACAGGCATGAGCCACTGTGCCCAGCCTCATCCTTTTTCTCATTAAAAACTTGAGCCTCTTGTTTGTTCTCCAGAGCATTTGCCAAGGCAACTTGGAAGTGTGCAGTCCCAGGGTGCAGTCCTCAACCTTTGCATTTGACTAAACTCTCTTTAAGCTACATTCTGAGCTAGTGACATAGCAAGACCTCACCTCTAAAATTTTTTCTTCATTAGCTAGGTGTGGGGGTGCATATCTGTAGTCCCAGCTACTCAGGAAGCTAAGGTGGGACGATTGCACCACTGCACTCCAGCCTGAGTGACAGAGTGAGACCCTGTCTCTAAAAACAAACAAACAAAAACAACAACAACAACAAAAAGACCGCATGCTGACTCTTTTGATTATTCTATGTTGACATGTTGATGGACATTTGAGGTGTCTCTATCGTTTGGCTATTGTGAATAATACTGCTATGGACATGGGTGTTGGCCTCATTACTTTTTCTGCAAACTGCCCTGCACACTTCCACATGAGGACTTTTCAGTGGCTGTTCCCTCTGCCTGGAATGCTCTTCCCCAAGGGATCCACATGGCTCACTTTCTTCAAGTCTTTTCTCAAATGTTGCCTTCTCAATGAGGCCTACCCTGACCACGCTATAAGTTCTGCAACCTGGCACTCCTTGTTCTCTTTACTCTGTTTTTTTTTTCTATAGTACTTACCATTTTCTAATGTGCTATATAACATACTTATTTAGTATATTAATTGTTTAGGATCTGTGTCTCTCCATGCGAATGTCATCTCCCTGAGGGCAAGGATCAATGTCTGTTTTGTTTATCTCAGGCACTCATGTAGGTAGGTGCTTAATACATAGTTTGTTGAATGAACTTAAAATCACAAGCCTAAGTCATTTGTTGAGTTACAGATTTTAAACTGGAGTCATGAGATGAATGTGTTAGATGCTCTAATATGCCAAACACTCTTAAATCCCTCAAATACTTAAAATACCATATACACACAGATTGTTTCAAATCTGGGTTAAAATTGAGGTTAACTTCTCAACTGGCTGAAGGTGCGTATCTCTGAAGATGTAAGTCAGGGAATGAGATCTGAAGCTGCAGACAACCAGCGTGACTTTTTCTCGTGACCTGAGGACCATGCTGTGCTCTTGATTCTCCTCCTCCCTGCACTTAGGGCCACCGTGCAGGTTGTATGCAGCATAGTTGGGAGTAGGGTGGGGGTGGGGGTAAGTGGATGCTGAAATCCAGTATGTGCCCCATTTGCCAAATGCAGGGCTTGAGTGCCAGCACAAGGTTTTGTCCATGGGAGAGAAGGGAGTGGTGCCTCTTTCCCATTTGCCACAGGCCCCAATGGGCTTGGAGTGGTCCTGCTTTGTCAAAGACAATGCCAGCCCGCTACCTGCAAACTGATTGGCTTTGAAGCTCACATCTCCCAAGTCAATTCCATGTTTCCTGCTTTTCAGGTTTGCTGAGGCTGTTCCCCCACCCACTATTGGATTTAATGAATCTAGTTGCTATGTGATTCTATTCTGAGTTCTTTTTGGAGACATCCCATCTGGCAAGGCCATGACTCTCAAAGCTATTTCTATGACACCAGATTGGATCCTCACACCCTCATGCTATTGTCTGACTCAGCGCAACACAACAGCCAAGGCATGTGAATTACACTGCTCTTCCTTTTTCTTTATTTAACAAACATTTACATAGTCCTTCCCCTGTGCCAGGCGCTGTTCTAACACTTTCCAAATATTAAGCTATTTAACCCTCCAACCTAAGAGGTGAGTACTATAATTATCTCATTTCACAGATAAGGAAACTGAAGCTCAGAGAATTTAAGTGACCCGCCCAAGGTTCACGTGGCCACAGGTGGCAGGGCTGGGATTCAAACCCAGGTCGACTTTTGCTCCATCTTCGCTTTTTTCTTGTCATTCTTTCCCTCCCTCTTCCTCTTCCTTTCTCCCCTCGTTTTCTCTTCCTTCTTCATTCCCTGCTTCCTTCCTGACAGGGCCACAGCAACTGCCACCTGCTTCCCTCAGACACTGCCCAGCCCAGCACACCCTCCCTCCATCCTCCAGGCAAGGCTCTGCCAGGCTGTCTGTCATCACCCTCATTTCTCTGTGCCAGCAGACAGGGTGTGCCAACCTCAATGCCCTCAACCCGCTGGCTCAGACCACAGCAGCTGGCAGAGGCCTGGGAGCTGGGGCCAGGCCAGCCTGGAGGGCAGTTGGCCCTTCGGGAAGTTACATGATGTGCCCAGACCTTCCCCAATGACGTTTATGTTATCCATATCATAATTTATTTTCTTGCCCAAGGATTTTAATGTGGTGCCAAGATGTCTTGTGCTGCTTGGGATAAACTTAGACAAATAAGGGCCAAGAGAAAGTGAGAGAGTGAGATAGAGAGAGGGATAGAGAGACAGAAAGATAGAGAACCCTAAGGCAGGGGGCAAGGGTGAAGAGACCCAGCTGTCCACGATTCTCTCACTAGAAGTGGCTGCCTACAGTTTTGGGAACAAGGAGGAGTGGCTTGATATCATCCCTCTATGTGTGAATGAACTTTTCTGTGAGTTTCTCAAAGGACTCATGTTCTTCTCCATAACTATGCCTTTGCATATGCTGTTCCCCTGGCCTGGAAGGCCCTTCCCAATCGTTTCTACCCAAGGACCATGCTCACGTGCTGCCCGCTTCTGGGAAACCTTTCGTGAATTCCTGCAGGGGACTCTGCTGGTCTCTCCTCTCACACCAGAGCATCTGTGTGCACGTGCACATTTCTGTTTTGAACTAATTGGCTTACATCCCCTCTCTATGCCCAGTACAGGAGTGGTGCCTGGAGGAAGCTGAGGAGGTACAGGAAGTCTATCAGCACTTCACAGAGGAAGGAAAAGTGGGGATTGTGAAAGCCTCAAGGCAAGGTGACTCTGGGTTCAAGGCTCACCAGCTGGTGACCCTGGGCAAGTCACCTAACCTCTCTGTGCCTCAGCTTCCCTTCTATAGAATGGGAATATTATTACATTTTGTATAGTTTGTACATCATTGGGTTGTGTGAGAATGAAATGAGTTAAGATATGGAAAGCACATAGAACAGTGTCTGGCATGTGCAAATCCCTCAGTAAATATTAGTCATTTTTATTATTATCAAACTGGAAATAGTCATAGAGTTGCCTAAAGGATTAAAGAAAGTACTTTTGATGAAGTGTGAAGCATATAGGAAGGTCTTTGTCATTATCATTAACAGTATCGGCCAGGCGCGGTGGCTCACGCCTGTAATCCGAGCACTTTGGGAGGCCGAGGCGGATGGATCACGAGGTCAGGAGATTGAGACCATCCTGGCTAACACAGTGAAACCCTGTCCCTACTAAAAATACAAAAAATTAGCCGGGCGTGGTGGCGGGTGCCTGTAGTCCCAGCTACTCGGGAGGCTGAGGCAGGAGAATGGCATAAACCTGGGAGGCGGAGCTTGCAGTGAGCTGAGATCACGCCACTGCACTCCAGCCTGGGGGACAGAGTGAGACTCTGCCTCAAAAAAAAAAAAAAAAAAAAAAGAAAAAAGAAAAAAAAGAAACAATATCAAGAGCAGTGCCCAATCCACTGTGATTTCCAGAATTAACTTACAAGTTGAGGCCACATAGCTATTGCTTTTTTGAGCAAATGAAATGATGAATATGATATTTTTTTCTTTTCTTTTCTTTCTTTTTTTTTTTTTTTTTTGAGGTGGAGTTTCACTTTGTTGCCCAGGCTGGAGTGCAGTGGGACAATCTTGGCTCCCTGCAAACTCTGCCTCCTGGGTTCAAGCAATTCTTCTGCCTCAACCTCCTGAGTAGCTGGGATTACAGGCGAGCGACACCACACTCGACTAATGTTTTATATGTTTGGTAGAGACAGAGTTTCACCATGTTGGCCAGGCTGGTCTTGAACTCCTGACCTCAAGTTATCTGCCCACCTCGGCCTCCCAAAGTGCTGGGATTACAGGCGTGAGCCACCGCGCCCGACCAAATATGTTTTTTGTAAATGATAAAATGACAAGCAAAAATCATGATGGTTTAATAAACGTTCATTGCCCTACCCAAAACATAGTCCTGCCTGTAAGTGTGGCTCGTTTTGGGACCTCGGTGGCTTCAGACTTTCAAAAGGGTGGTTTTACTCCCAAAGTCCTGGCTTTTGGGACCTAAGGCAGAAGCTAGTGATGGAGACGGGGAGCTTGGCATGTTGCTTTGCTTCTGACAGGTTAGGAAGCCTCTTCCTTGTCTCCATCAGTAAACAAAGGGAAGTCATTATTCGCTCCTGCAGATGTTGTAACGTTAAAAAAAAATTGGCCATCAGATTGAGAGAAAAGGCTAAGTCACTGGAGCCAATTTCTTTTGTACAGATGAGAGAACTCAGGCGAAGAAAGGGGAAAGGACCTGCTCAAAGCCACAAAGTAACGTACAGCCAGGGCTAGAACCCAGATCTCTAGACCCCTAGTTCACTGCCCTTTCACTGGTGATTGCTTTCCAAAAACTCAATGCTCTCCAAGTCCGGAGCCCCATGTCCTTAAATGGAAGGTGATGGAGGCTCAGTGCTCCTGTCCAGAGACCAGGTGGGGAAGACTTTTTGGAGGCAGGGAAAGTGAGATGGGCAAAGCCAATATGCAGGACACCCTCCTACCTACCTACCTACCGTGCAATTACCTCAATCTTCACAACACTGTGAAGCGGAGACTATCATTATCATCCCCATTTTACTTCTGTAAAAGGGGGCCAGTAACACTGCAGGGATGTAAACGGAGGCCCAGGATCGTCCCATCGTCCCATCGTTCTCTGCAGCTCTTGCTCCTAGAGGCTGGCTATTGCTAAGGTCCAGAACGTGTGCAGGGCACAAAGCAAATAGGTCTCCGGGACTGGGATGAGGTTTTGCCTCTCTATACCCCGTGGTACCCAGCACAGCGTAGGCACGGGGTAGGTCCTGGCTGATCAATCGTCCTGCCTTTTGAAAATGCCATCTTTTCCACAGGCTTGGCCATGCTGTACACCCCGGGATACACCTTCTCATACCAAGTCTCCACTCTCATGTGGTTCTATTCTTGGACTTTCCATCGCCTCCACGTCCCCTGAATATTTTTTCTGTCTCTAGCTCTCAGGAACTTTGATTCCTTGGCTGCCTTATTCTTTGTGCACTTTGGTCAAGAGCCAAAGATCTACTGGTCTCAGCTTTCCCACCTGTACAAGGCGGTGCAGAGCCATTGGCTGGCTTTGACGCGCTATTAGTTCGAATTCGGGACGTAAGAACCGCACAAAATTACCGAGCCCCACTTTCTCTCCGCTCCCCACCATCCCCTCCCTCGTTCGGAAAGCGCCTGCGCAGAAGCCGCCGGCCCGCCCTCCACTATTCGAATCCGTATCCGCCCTTTTCGCGCCCTCGAAGACTCGGCGCTCGACAGGCGTCTACCAGCTTGTCTTCCGGTTTCGTCGCCGCCGCAGGCGCACCTGCCGAGTTCCGAGCGACCGATGGAGATGGCGGCTGCGGCTGAGTGACGGACGGTGGAGGCCCAGAGCCCGGGCCTGAAGGGGGGGACAAACCTGGGTGCCCGCAGGAGCCCGGCAGGGTACATACAGAGGGTCAGGCCCAGTCTGGGGGGCGGGGACACGACTCCTCCAGAACGGAGACGGGCGGGCCGTGTGTGGTTGTGGTGGGTGTGACGTGAGAGGTGGGAGATGGGGCTTTCAGGCCGTGCGTTTCGCTTGTGTGTGCCTTTGATGATTGGGCTCTGTGTGGTTGTGCGGTTACGCGGGGCGTATACACTTGGGTTTGGTTGTGCAGCTGTGGGTGGAGTGGGTGGGTGCTTGTCTCCCGAGCGGTTGTGTTTGATTCTCTGGTTGTGTAAAGCTGAAGCGTTTGTATTCTGAGTTCGTGTGGAGATGTTCGGAGTGTTTTGTGTGGTGTCTGTGCGATGTGTGACGTTGTCATGTCTGCTTCACGGGATTGAGTCGTTCGTGTTGTGTGTGGTCATGCGATGTGTGTATAATCATGTTAGTTATGTGGGTTGTGGTTGCGATCGTGAGGCCGGGTTGAGTGCGGCTGTGGGATGTGTCGTCGATGCGGCATGTGGCGGGGTGACATTCATGCTGGATGTACGGCTGCAGAACATGTAGCTATATTTATTTTTTTTATTTTTATTTTTTTTACTTTTTACGTGATTTAGAGTGCGAGGGGCTTGCTTATGTGTTCAGTTATGGTTGTGGGGTCCAATTCGGTGGTTGTGTTAGATTTCTTTATGGTGTATGCTTAGTTATATGATTTTGGAGTTCATTCATTTCTTCGTTCATTCATGGAGCTTTATTGTGCTGCTTCATTGTGTGTGCCAGGTACTGTGCTAAACCCTGGGGAGACGGCGAAGTGGAAAACATATAGAGTCTGTGCCCTCCCAGATTTTACAGTCTTACTTGGTCACTTCACGTATGTACCTGCGGTTATAAATTGAGATGAGTGCTGTGAAGGAGAAGTCCATTCTGATGCTCTGAGTAAGAGGCATTTCTTTTGAGGAAGTGAGGTTTGGGTTTGGGCTGAGGCGTGAAGGGTGGTTGTGTGGCATGGATGTGGTGGGCTTTGTGTTATTTGTGGTCGTTAGGGGTGAGTGCATGGGAAGAAAGGGAGCTGTCAGAGTCAGCATCAGATGAACCACTGGCTGGGGAGGGAACAGGCCAGACCTAGGGCTGCTATATTCCAGTGGAAAAGTTATGAAGTCACTGGGTTTCTTAACTAGAGGGAAAAAATAGGGACCTGGTGTCTCATTTGTTTATTTTCTGAGTTGCTGCCACCCTTCAGCTTTGAGGACCAGGCAGTCCCTCCTCGGTGGTCTTCTACAGTCCATCCAAAGCTGAGGGTCACACATCTCCCCTCACTATATACTGTGGCTTGTATCCCCAGGTTCTTGGGGAGAAATTTCTCTGCTTTTGTGGAATGGTTTTGTCTCAATTTCTCTTGTGACTGGGTGTCTTGATGAGGTGACATTGGAAGTGACTTTGCCATGAGCCAGTAAGAAAGAGAATGTAACTTATTAAGCCCTGAAGTGTTTAGGCCCCAAATCAATTTATTTATTTATTTATTTATTTATTTACTTTTTTGAGATGGAGTTTCGCTCTTGTTGCCCAGGCTGGAGTGCAATGGCATGATCTCGGCTCACTGCAACTTCCGCCTCCTGGGTTCAAGCAGTTCTCCTGCCTCAGTACCCCCACTAGCTGGGATTACAGGCGCCTACCACCACACCCGGCAAATTTTTGTATTTTTAGTAGAGATAGGGTTTCACCATATTGGCCAGGCTGGTCTCGAACTCCTGACCTCAGGTGATCCGCCTGCCTTGGCCTCCCAAAGTGCTGGGATTACAGGCTTGAGCCACCATGCCTGGCCAGCCTTTTATTTTTGAAGCAGTGAGAACATCAGGTTTGCTACTTAACTGTCACTTAATGGCTTATAAGATCTGTCAGGGTGCAGTGGCTCACATCTGTAATCTCAGCAGTTTGGGGGGGCTCAGGCAGGAGGATTGCCTGAGGCCAGGAGTTAGAGACCTGCCTGGGAAACATAGCAAGAACCTGTCTCTATAAATAATTTAAAAACTAGCTGGGTGTGGTGGCATACTCCTGTAGTCCCAGCTTCTTAGGAGGCTGAGGCAGGAGGATCACTTGAACCGAGAAGGTCGAGGCTGTTGTGAGCAATTATAGCTCACTGGGTGACAGAGCAAGATGCTGTCTCTTAAAAAGGAAAATATAGTACGCCCATTAGAGATAAGTGCTCTACAAATATAAAATAGATTTTTTCTTTTTGACTAGTAGGTTTCTATTGTTTCTCTTTAACTGATGTTAGGATTTTTGATTTTTTGTATGTTTTTATGGCAGATACTATATCTTTTTCATCTTTGCATTTCTAACACAGGTGTCTTACAAGTATCAAGAACTTACTATATGTGGTTGAATAAACAATCAAGGTAAAGAGCATCAAGTAAAAACTTCTGCTTGTTGATAAGTACTTCAGACATTCCCCCAGTGGCTGAAGTGGCATATGAATTATGAAGTTGGATCATTTGGAATGAATGTAAGAGAATTGCCAAGGTATTGTTTGCTTATTTCAAGAATCTGTGCTTCCCACTTCATTGAGTTTTTGTTCTCCAGTGATGTTTTCACATTTTAGGTTTTGCAGCTTGCTTGGTCTAAGGATTTGAGAAAGAGTTTGTTTTCTCAAACTTGCACTGAATAAACATTAAGTACCCCATTGAACTGTGAAAAGAATGAAGAAAATCCTCAATTGCTACCAGTTTGCCTGAATTGGCTTTTTTCCCTTCTTCTTTTCTTTCTTAGGGCTCCTCCTACTCCAGAGAGGAAACCTCATCCAGGGCCATGAAGCCACTTCCTCACCATCTGTGTGCTGCTTAAGCTAATGCTGCGGGAACCATGGTTCCTTGGGAGGAATCAAGCTGACTCTTGGCATGAGATTCCTGCCTTCCTAGGGTTGAGAGCGGCACTGCCATGGCTTCTCTGGACGACCCAGGGGAAGTGAGGGAGGGCTTCCTCTGCCCTCTGTGCCTGAAGGATCTGCAGTCTTTCTATCAGCTTCACTCACATTACGAGGAAGAACACTCAGGGGAAGACCGTGATGTCAAAGGGCAAATTAAAAGTAAGAGGCGAGGACCTTGCCTATCCCCTGCTGTCGTTGAGAGCTTTAACTCACGGGATAGTTCTCATCAGCTTTGGTGTTGCCACAGGAATATGATAATAGTAGTAGCAAACAGATGACTAGTGTTTGTCATGTGCCAGGCGTTTTCAGAGTTTCCCTGTTTATTAATTTCATTTAATCCTCACAATAACTGTGTGGCTGTAAGCCACATTTCGAACCAGACACAGAGAGATTAGATAACTTGTCTGAAGCCACTCAGAGAAACAATCTGACTTTGAGTCTAGTAAATGTAATTGCTGTGATCTGGCTTGACTGTTCTTTAACCACCAGCCTAACAGGGTTTGGAGAGGAATTTCTTTCCTTTGCTATGATGATGGAGGCACATTATGCACCCATTTTACCTGTCACAAATTTAAGACTTCCCACCATCCTTCCTTCCCCAATTGGTATCTTGCCCTCTATAGCCCAGAAAAAGGAAGGTCATAGTCGAAGAACAAAACAACCTAAAAACCTTGGTTTTTGAGCTTCCAAGAGCTCAGGTTTGAGAGAGTTGTGGAAAGAATTTTTCAAAGGTACTTTTCACTATACATATGTTTATTGTATTTCCTGGACATCAAATTCTAACCTCCAGATAAGATGCTGCTCCTCTGGGCGGGCACAGTGGCTCACGCCTCTATTCGCAGCACTTTGGGAGGCCAGAGTGGGCAGATCACTTGAGCTCAGGAGTTCAAGACCAGCCTGGGCAACATGGCGAAACCCCGTCTCACAAAAAAAATTAAAAAAAAAAACAACTAGCCGGGCGTGATGGTGCACGCCTGTAGTCCCAGCTACTCAGGAGACTGAGGTAGGAGGATCACTTGAGCCCAGGGAGGTCAAGGCTGTAGTGAGCGATGATCATGCCACTGCACTCGCACCTGGGCAACAGAGAGAGAGACACACACACACACAAACACACACACGCCAAAGATGCTGCTCCTCTGGAACTTATTTTGTAGTTATTCAGCTAACTTGCTTCTCACAGCTGGCAGCATTTCTGAAGGCCTTGAGATTAAAGAGTTCTGGATGTTGTATTCAAAGTCTTTATTGGGAGAGAAAGAAAGGAATGATCATGTATTTCTAAGTGGACTTCAGCTTTCAGACAGGTGAATCATATGCACTTTGTAATCAGATATTTGTCCCTAGAGTCTCACTCTATCTCACTTTTCTGTTCAGTAAAAAAGAGTTTCTAAAAGCATAAACAGTTATAACTTCTATCCAAAAACAACAAAGGCAAACATTTCTGAAATCCTGAGGGCTTTGGTGGATGAGGTGGCTTCTGGCTGTAGAGGCTATAGAACAGAGCCAAAACTATTAGGAGGGAAAAAAATGCTGTGCTTTATAGTTTTTAGAGTTTCTTTCACAGACATTATTGTTTCATCTGACTCTCCTAACAACTCTGCAAGAAGGTGATTGGTCTCATTTTACAGATAGTAAGTGAAGTGAGGCTCAAGAGATGTTGAGTTACTTATCCACGGTCACACAGGAATTGGCAGAGCTAGGCCTGGAACGTAGGTCTTCTGTCATCTGTAAATCCAGTGCTGCCCTTTGCACGTGACATCACTGAGGGTGAGAGGCCCCGTGTTCCAATCACAACATGCATTGCAGCTTCCTGGGGGAAATGAAGCAAAAACAAAACTAAAAAACCTGATTATGTAAGTTTCCTTTGGACAACCGAAGAGCTTCCATCATTTTCAACTAGCTTCCAGTCTTGGTGTCAGCTGAACTAAGTCCTATACAATGCCATTGCTCAACCTGGTGATACCAGTGGGTAGAGAGGTTAGAGAATGTTCCCGGATTCCTACAGTGACCCTTTTTTAAGAGGAAAAATGTTTAAGGTTATTTAGAGAATACAGATATGGGAATCTATTTAAGGAATACTAAATAGAATAGAAATTTTGTGCCTTGTGAAAGAAACTTGAAAGGATCCTTGGCTGGGCACAGTGGCTCACATCTGTAATCCCAGCACTTTGGGAGGCCATGGCGGGAGGATCGCTTCAGCTTAGGAGTTTGATACCAGCCTGGGCAACATAGATCCTGTCCAAAAATAAAAAAAAATTTTTTTTAATTAGCTGGGCATGATGACATGCATTTGTAGTCCTAGCCACTTGGAAGGCTGAGGCAGAAGGATCCCTTGAGCCCGGAAGGTTGAAGCTGCAGTGAGCCATGATTATGCCACTGCACTCCAGCCTGGGCAGCAGAGTGAAACTCTGACTCAAAAACAAAAAAACAAAATAAAGTTACTTCAGCCGGGTGCGGTGGCTCATGCCTGTAATTCTAGTACTTTGGGAGGCCAAGGCAGGAGGATTGCTTGAGCCCAGGAGACCAGACTGGGCAACATAGCGAGACCATTTCTACAAAAAAATCATTTAAAAAAATTAGCCAGTCATAGTGGCACGCACTCGTAGTCCCAATTACCCAGGAGGCTGAGGTGGGAGGATCGCTTCAGCTCAGGAGATCAAGGCTGTTACATTCTAGCCTGAGCAACAGAGTGAAACTGTCTCAAAAAAAAGAAAGAAAAGATCCTCTTGGTTTTTCCCTTTATTTCCCACCCTGCCTTACCCCCGACATCTCTACCTCTAGTACTATTAATGATCATGTCTTTAGTTAGAAAGGAATTCTTGATTATGTTGCAGTTTTCTGCATTTCAGAATCAGGAAAGTAAAGTTTTAAGGATTGACATGAAAGGTTTTTTGAAAAGCCCTTTAGAAAGCAGATTACGTCTCCATTTGGTCTTTTGATTCTTAGAAATGTTATGACATGGTTAGTTTTGGGCAAGTGAAAAGTTAAAGCCAAAAGAGTGAACCTTAGTATTAGGTTTTGGGGGCAGTTCAAAAAAGAAAAGATAGATTAGTCATTAGTAAAAAGTTAGTGGGTTCGGGGCCCAGTCCTGGTTCAGCTCCAGTCTAGCCCATTTTCAGTAAGTAGAAGAAAAGATAGCTGAAAATTGACTGTGGCTTCTTGCTTTGTTAGTGTTTTTTAAAATATATGGGATTATTTTTAATTGGCCTTCTCTGGAAGGGCTATGTCCTTTCTGGGAACATTGCCAGGCAGTTTTTCTATCTCCTAAAAGTGGTTAAATGGTATAGATTGCCTGTTTAACCTGATACTTTAGTCTTGTTTGCAAAAATGAATTGTTACTTGCTAACTCACATTCCTGTTTGCTAGACCCTTTGTTCACATCAGGCAGTTTTCTCTCCCCTGTTACTAGAAAAGACTGCTTTAGGCCAGGGACAGTGGCTCATGCCTGCAATCCCAGCACTTTGGGAGGCCGAGGTGGGCAGATCATCTGAGGCCAGGAGTTTAAGACCAGCCTGGCCAATGTGGTGAAACCCCATCTCTACTAAAAAAAATACAAAAATTAGCTGGGTGTGTTGGCACGTGCCTGTAATTTCAGCTACTCGGGAGGCTGAGGCAGGAGCATCCCTTGAACCCCTGGAAGGCAGAGGTTGCAGTGAGCTGAGATTGCTGCCATTGCATTCCAGCTTGGGCAACAAGAGTGAAACTCTGTCTCAAAAAAAAACAAACAAACAAACAAAAAAAACCCACTTTAGTGCATTTTAAAGGATGTCCTTTTGTTTTAGTATTTTTCCAGTTTGGACAAAGCTGTCCCACAGTGACCAATAATCAGGAAGTTTGCTTATTGGCTTGACCGTCTTAAAAAAAAAAAAAGACAAGTGTATTCTTATCAATCTCACCCTCAGCCTGCGAACCTGGGCAACATCTCTACAAAAAAATGTTTTATAAAATAATTTACCTAGTCATGGTGGCGCACACCTATAGTCCCAGCTACTTGAGAGACTGAGGCGAGAGGATCGCTTGAGCCCAAGAGATCAAGGCTGCAGTGAGCTATGATCAGCCACTGCACTCCAGCCTGGGTGACAGAGCAAGACCCTGTCTCTAAAAAATAAATAATTAAAAAGTAAAAGTAATGATACCATTTTATATTCAGTCTGATATTTTCTACTAGATTCTGGTGGAAGAAAGGGATAGCAGTCATCCAAGATTAAAGAACATTCATGAGAGAGCGTCTTAGAACTGAGAATTCTTCCCGCCCCACACCAGCTGATTGTTCAGTTTAACAGGTGGTTCTCTGCACCAGCACAGGTGGCAGAACCCATGTTCTGCAGAGGCATAGTTTGTGAATCAGGACTAGCGGGGGAGAGCTGGAGCTCTCATTTCAGGCACATGAGGTGTCTACTTCCAGCCCTGCTGTTACCTGTAAGCTCTGTGATCTTGGGTGAAGCAAGTTCTTCCCTGTCTTTGATGTCGTTTCCTCATTTGTAAGTAGGGCTATCACCTGCCTTATAACATTGTAAGCATGAACTGGCATAATGTATTTGCAAGCACTTTGCGTTGTACCTGGTACATACGATGGCTAAATACAGGAAATGTTCATTTTCTCTTCTTACCCAATCTGGTTCTGTTTGTGTTATGTTGTAGATGTTATATCTGTTTCTTGAAGCTTTTTGCAAGTATTCTCACATGCATTCAATAAGTGCGTGGGCAGTAGTGGGGAAGCAAGAACTCTGTGTCCAGTTAAGCCTATGGGGAACACCAGTCCACGGATGGAGGTTTAGCTGAATCCCATCCTGGAGGTAAATGAGAAGAATTTACTCATGAGTTTCTGGGGTAAATGAATTAGTACTATAGAACTTGTTTTTTAAAAAACATTATTTTAACTGAGGTATAGTTTTAATTTTTTTTTTTTTTTTTTTTTTTTTTTGAGACAGGGTCTCATTCTGGTTGTCCAGGCTGGAGTACAGTGGCACAATCTCAGCTCACTGCAGCCTCGACCTCCTGGGCTCAGGTGATTCTCCCACCTCAGCCTCCCAAGTAGCTGGGACTACAGGTGCATGCCACAACACCCAGCTAGTTTTTTGTATTTTTAGTAGAGATGGGGTTTTGTCATGTTGCCCAGGCTGGCTTGAATTCCTGGACTCAAGCAATTTGCCTCCCTTGTGGGATTACAGGTGTGAGCCACTGCGCCTGGCCCAATTCAAAAAGTTTTCAAAAATGTATATACCCACTTCACCACCACTCCAATTAAGATAAAGAAGAAAACACTTCCATCACCCTGTTTTCCTCATCAAATTTGATTTTAGCACTTTTATTTAATTGTGCTCTTAAATTTGGCAATGAGCAGTAATTTAGCCCATATGTTGGCCGCCTAAACCAATTTAATGCTAATATTGATTAACTAGTGTATTGCTCTGTGGTATTTGTAATATAGTGTTTGTGTGCTTGCTCCTGCATTTTACTTGAGATCTAAATATTTCTGGTGCATTTTTAAACAAACGATAATTATTTCGTCAACTCTTGTTTTTTGAGATTTCTTTTGACTGTTTACTGGGTGTTCTTCATGGCTCATTTGTATTATTTGTTCCATTTTTCAAGGTCTTGTCCAGAAGGCTAAAAAAGCAAAGGACAGGTTGTTGAAACGAGAAGGGGATGATCGAGCAGAGTCAGGGACCCAAGGATATGAGTCTTTCAGCTATGGAGGGGTTGATCCTTACATGTGGGAACCCCAGGAGCTTGGTAAGAAAATTCATTTATTCATTCAGCAAGTGGTTATTGAGCATCTGCTATGTTCTAGGTAAAGTTTTAAGAGTTGGCTGAGGAGGCATCAGTAAACCATAATGGTCTAAGCTTCTCATGGACCTTATGCCCTTGCTGGGGGAAGAAAATGGAAGAGAACCAGCTGAGCATCCACTTTGTGTTAGGCACTACATTAAGTGCCTTATACCCATGGTCTTGTTAGATCTTCACTGCACCTCATGAGAACCTGCCCAGGGACAAACAGTGAGTAAACTGCAGAAGTAGGGTATGAATCCATATCTCTCTGACGTCAGCCCAGGCATAGAGTCCATTAATGATTCTTTCCTCTCACATAGGACATTACCTGCCCAGTGACAGGCACTGGTTTATGCAGCTTACTTTTTTGAATAATTATAGTAACATCTACCTACTTTCATGTTTTTGGGATGATAAAAATTCTCTAACATTTATTATGATGATTGTACAACTCTGAAAATCCTAAGCTGGGCGCGGTGGCTCACACCTGTAATCCCAGCACTTTGGGAGGCCGAGGCGGGCAGATCACGAGGTCAGGAGATCCAGACCACGGTGAAACCCCGTCTCTACTAAAAATACAAAAAATTAGCCGGGCGTGGTGGCGGGCGCCTGTAGTCCCAGCTGCTCAGGAGGCTGAGGCAGGAGAATGGCGTGAACCCAGGAAGCAGAGCTTGCAGTGAGCTGAGATCGTGCCACTGCACTCCAGCCTGGGTGACAGAGTGAGACTCTGTCTCAAGAAAAAAAAAAAAGAAAAGAAAATCCTAAAAACCACTGAATTTGCTTTAAATGGTGTATGTATGTGAATTATATCTCAATAAAGCTATTTATCATGCCAGTCACACTTAGTTGAACTATCTAATCTTACATATCTGTTTTTTTTTTTTGTTTTTTTTTTTTTTTTTTTTTGGAGATGGAGTCTCACTGTGTCACCCAGGCTGGAGTCCAGGGCTCCGTCATGGCTCACTGCATTCCAGGCTCAAGTGATCTCTCACTTCAGCCTCCTCAGTAGCTAAGACTACTGGTGCACACCATCCATCACACCTGGCTAATTTTTGTATTTTTTGTAGAAACAGGGTCCTATGTTGGCCAGGCTGGTCTTGAACTCCTGGGCTCAAGTGATCCTCCCATCTCAGCCTCCCAGAGTGCCAGGATTACAGGTGTGAGCCACTACGCCTGCCTACATATCCTTTAACCGTCTAATGATAACAGTCATTAATATAATAAAATATTTTCTGTCCATGAAATGGGTAATTATTCCTTTATTTATTTATCATTCCCTTGTGATTTATTCAATTTTCATGTTTATGATCTTGTTCACCTTTCACAAAAGCCTTGTGGAGTAGTGGTCCTTTTTCCCATTTATGGATGAGGAAACTGGAGCTCCAAGAAGGAAAGCGAAATTTACCCAGGCTCATCTACTGTATCTTTTTAGTGCTGTTATAGAAGGTGTCTCTTTGAATAAGGAAAGTCCTACAACTGTGCTGTCCATTCAGTAGCCACCAGTCATGGGCTATTTAAGTTTAAATAAATTTAAATGAAATAAAATTAAAAGTCACTTCCTGTAGCACACACTAACCACATTTTAAGTGTTCTGTGTCCACTTGTGGCTATTTGCTACTGTATTGGAGAATGGAAACATTTTTGTTATTGCAGGAGAAAATTGCTTTAAAAATAATACTATACAGCCGGGCGCAGTGGCTCACGCCTGTAATCCCAGCACTTTGGGAGGTCGAGGCAGCTGAATCACAAGGTCAGGAGTTTGAGACCACCCTGGCCAATATGGTGAAACCCCGTCTCTACTAAAAATACAAAAAAATTAGCCAGGTGTGGTGGCACATGCCTGTAATTCCAGCTACTCGGGAGGCTGAGGCAGGAGAATTGCTTGAATCCAGGAGGCAGAGGTTACAGTGAGCCGAGATTGCACCACTGCACTCCAGCCTGGGTGACAGAGCGAGACTCTGTCTCAAAAAAAAAAAATAATAATAATACTATACATATGTAATTATGAGATACATATGAAAGCCAATCCAAAACATGAAGGAGAAATTTTGGACACATGAATTCTTATTAGCTTTGTTTCATGATTGCCCATGTGAGATTACTGGGGTGATTTTCTGATTAAGTTGCCAGTTGCAGCAACTGAAGACAGTCACAAATTGTAGAAGGTCAAGTGAATGGCAAATTTTAGAAGTTAATATTTATTTATGATAGCTTGTTTGTGATACCTTGTTTCATGATTGCCAATGTGAGATTACTAGGGTGATTTTCTGATTAAGTTGCCAGTTGCAGTAACTGAAATCACAAATTGTAGGTCAAATGAATGGCAAATTTTAGCAGTTAATATTTATGGTCACCCCTAAGAATTCTAAATTAAAGTTTAATTAGATGTTAGAGTATGATTAGGGAAGAAAAGACATGTGGATGGTTAAGAGTATAGCATGTGTGGCCAGGTGCGGTGGCTCACCTGTAAACCCAGCACTTTGGGAGGCCAAGGCAGGTAGATCACATGAGGCCAGGAATTTGAGACCAGTTTGGCCAATGTGGTGAGACCCTGTCTCTACTAAAAATACAAAAATTAGCCTGGCATGGTGGCACATGTGTGTAATCCAAGTTACTTGGGAGGCTGAGGCATGGGAATTGCTTGAACCTGGGAGGTGGAGATTGCAGTGAGCCTGGAGATTTCGCCACTGCATTCCAGTCTGGGCGACAGAGCGAGACTCTGTCTCAAAAATAAATAAAGAGTATAGCATGTGGAGATGCTGATCGAAGGATACAAAATTTCAGCCGGGAGGAATAAGTCAAGAGATCTGTTGTATAAGGTGGTGATTTATAGTTTTTTGTTTGTTTGTTTTTCTGAGACAGCCTTCCTCTGTCACCCAGGCTCAAGTGTGCTGCTGTGATCTTGGCTCACTGCAACCTTTGCCTCTGGGTTCAATTCTTGTGCCTCAGCCACCTGAGTAGCTGGGACCACAGGCGTGCACCACCATGCCCAGCTAATTTTTGTATTTTTAGTAGAGACAGGGTTTCACCATGTTGGTCAGACTGGTCTTGAACTCCTGGCCTCAAGTGATCCATGCTCCTCAGCCTCCCAAAGTGCTGGGATTACAGGCATGAGCCACCGCACCTGGCCTGATTATAGTTAATAAAAATATCTCGTATTCTTGAAAATCAGTGAGAGTAGACTTTGTATTGTCACCACAAAAAGTGGTAAGTATATGAAGTAATGCATATGGTAATTAGCTTGTTTAGCCATTTCCCAGTGTATAAATATTTCAAAACATCATGTTGTACACGGTGAATATATGCAATTTTTATTTGGCAATTAAAAAATTTTTTAAAAGCATGGCATGTGACAAATTCTGTTACATTATAGTCTATAAATGAATAGATGATCATTGGGAAGAGGACATGCACTGAGTGCCGGGAGGGTTGAGGACAATATGTTTCTGGAACAGGTGAGACTGAGCAGGGGATATTTCAGGTTACTCAGACAGTAAGCTATTTGTGTTGCAGACATTTGTCCTGGGTTTTGGCTGCTGGACTGAGGAAGGTATCAGCTTAACTATCTCCCACAAGGGAATCTACCAGCATTTACATTTTTTTGGCCATTTTGAGAATTGTCCTTATCCTGAGGAAAAACCATATTGTATCAAATTTATAAAGTATAAAACAATAAGATAATTCAAAAATGTTTAAATCACCCATAATGTTCCCACCCTGTTTATTTAACATTGGCATGAGAGTCAGTTAAGACTTTACAAATTTTAACTTATTTAATCATCGTTAACAACTCTGTGAAGTAGATACCATTATTATTCCATTTGATAGTTGAGTACTCTTAGAGTTACAGAGATGTTAAGTAATGTGTCCAAGGTTACACAGTGTGTGGCAGAATTGAAACTTGAGCACAGGCTGACTCCAGAGTCCATGCTCTTATCTGCTCTACTCTCAGGTCTCTCATATGGTACTTGGTGGCCTCCAAAGGCGGTTAACAATTTAGCAGATTTTCTTCCATTTGCTTTCCTGGTTTTTGAATTTTTGGTAAGGCTCTAAAATCCTAGAGTTTTTACTTGCTTTTGAAATATATTTTTTTTTCTTTCTGAAGTTGGTCTCACTCTGTCACCCAGGCTGGAGTACAGTGGTGGGATCATAGCTCACTGAAGCCTCCAGCTCCTGAGCTCAAGCCATCTTCCCGCCTTGGCCTCCCAAGGAGCTGGGATTATAGGCGTACATACCCATGCCTGACTATTTTTTTTTTTTTTTTTTTTTTTGGAGAGAGACGGGGTCTCGCTATGTTGACCAACCTGCTTTTGAAATTCACTGGGATAAGAGGCAAGGTAGAGACTAGGCTCCCTCAGAGAAACTATAAGTCATTTGTCTCCCTACCTTCCTTCCCTCTAGGTGCTGTGAGAAGCCATCTTTCCGACTTCAAAAAACACCGAGCTGCTAGAATTGACCACTATGTTGTGGAAGTCAATAAACTAATAATCAGGTTAGAGAAGGTAAATTTTGTTGTCTTAAAACATTTTTTTCTACAAATACACATTTTCTGGGGAAAAATAATCACATTTCTATAGCCTGTGTTGTATATATCATATACATCTGATGGTGGCAGAGAAACACCTTCTCTAGAGAGGTGCAAAGGACATGGTGGACAGTTCTAGCCTGGGCCAGCATTCCTTAAGAGAATGGCCCAGGTTGACAAACTTGCCACATGCTTAGCTTCCCTTTTCCCACCTATGAATCCCACTCAGGTGCTGGAAAACCTTTCTTCCTTCAGATTCTTCTTTTGGGTGTCCCAGGCACAATCATCCAGTGAGGTGTAGTGTGTGATGGCAAACAAAGAAGTGGTCACCAGGTCTCACGGGTGTATTTTCATCCTAGTTGTGCTTGTTGTGTGTAACCTGGATTGTGTGCTGGGCATAGTAGCAAGCACAAGTACAGTTCTTTATGTGTACTTTGTAAGGCAGAAATATGTGGCCAGTTTTAGGGTCCAGGAGCACCGTGGAGAATGGAGAGTTTTCTGTTGCTTTCAGTCGTTGCCCTTACCCATCCTTGCCTACCCCTGGTTATTGCTAAAATGGGTAACTGACAATAAAGAGATTAGAAGTGGGTTATAGGAAGCGAGGTGGGTTCTAGATGCAAAACTAATACCCTGTCCCATGTGAAATTGTTTTTGTGATTTTGTGGCGTTGGGGATGACAGATGAGACTTGAGGAATGCAAATGTGCTAATTTCCCACTTGATGTATTGGAAAGTGTGGAGCATGTATACATCACCTGGTTAATTTCATTTGGCACTATTTTCTTCCGGTCAGCTCACTGCATTTGACAGAACAAATACTGAGTCTGCAAAGATTCGAGGTAACTTTAAAACTTTGCTCACATTCATCTTATTATCTTTTTTTCCCTGACCAAAGCTCTCTTTAAAATGGCCTGCTTTCTTGTTGGTTTGCTCTTCCCAAAGCAATAGAAAAGTCTGTGGTGCCTTGGGTCAACGACCAGGATGTCCCTTTCTGTCCAGACTGTGGGAATAAGTTCAGCATCCGGAACCGCCGCCACCACTGCCGCCTCTGCGGGTCTATTATGTGCAAGAAGTGTATGGAGCTCATCAGCCTTCCCTTGGCAAGTAGGTGACTTGGAGGTGGGGCCCTGGACCCTCATCTTCTTTTGGGCCTAGCTTATTTGCTAATTACCACTGGGATCGTGGAACCTTTTTGTTAAATTAATGGCTCATGGGAATCTTCATTCATTGAGTTGCTGTTTCTGTGAAACCCACTACAGACTAGGTACTATGCTAGGGGCCAGGGATACAGTGGTCTATAACAGGGATTGGCAAACTTTGTAAAGGATCAGATAGTAAATACATTTAGGCTTTGTGGGCCACATATGGTTGCTGTGACATTTCTTCTTTCTTTAAACAACCTTTTAAAAATGTGAACACTAGACTGGGCACAGTGGCTCATGCCTGTAATCACAGCACTTTGAGAGGCCAAGGCAGGCGGATCACTTGAGGTCAGGAGTTTGAGACCAGCGTGGCCAACATGTTGAAACCCTGTCTCTATAAAAATACAAAAATTAGCCTGGCGTGGTGGCATGTGCCTGTAGTCCTAGCTACTCAGGAGGCTGAGGCAGGAGAATTGCTTGAACCTGGGAGGTGAAGGCTGCAGTGAGCTGAGATTGAGCCACTGCACTTCAGCCTGGGTGACCGAGCGAGACTCCCATCTCAAAAAAATAAATAAATAAAATAAAATAGCAATGTGAAAATTATACTTAGTTTGAGAGCCATATAGAAACAGCCTGGAGGCTGGACTTGGCTCACAGGTCATTTTTTGCCCATTTCTGGCCTATAAGCCTATAAGGCATTGTCCATTCTTCCAAGGAGTCTAGCATCTATCAGGGGATATAAACTCACAAATAAATAATTGCTTTCTAAAGAGAGATGTACAATGAAAGAGACTGTCAGGAACTCAGGAGAGGCTGACCAACTCTTTGTCTGCTCTGCTTGGAAGTGGCAAGTGTGACTTTGAGAAGAGGGTCTTGAATATAAGCAGTGGGCTAGTCCCTTCCTGTGGGATAAGTCACAGACAACTCACTGCCATATAGAAAAGACTAATATCATAATATGAGAGATGCTGAGTGCTGTGGGCTCAGGGACAGTGAGAGCATGCATGCTTAGGGCTGGGAGGTGATGTTCAAGAAGAGCCTTAAAAGATGAGTAGGATTGCAAAAGAGATGGAGAAAGAGGACATTTTAGGTAGAGTGAAGAGTAGGAGCAAAGGCATGGAATTCTGGAAAGCCCAGGGTAGGTTAATAGATGAGCAAATAGAATAGTTGGGGGTGTGTGGAGGACAAAGTTTAGGTGGAACCCGATCCTCCAGGACTTTGCAACCAAGCTGAGTAGAAGTTGCTGAAGATGATCTCATTGGCTTCTGGGAAGTTTGGGGTAAATTTGCAACACTAGAGAGTTCTGCTGACTGTGCACACTGTTGGCCATGGGGTGTCTGGATAATGTGGGGACAAAAACAGATGCTTCTTCTTTCCAACTCTCACATATACCAGGTCACTGTACCTTGATACTTTCTCCCTGAGACCAACTCCCTGTCTCACATGAGATTTTATAAGCTGCCTTTTTGGGACACTATTCACCCTTCTTCTCTTGAGCTCTTTAGCCAGCATTTACTGGGCAGCTGCTGTGGGGTGGCCCTGCTGGATATGTTAAGTGTACAAGTGTGAGTAAGACACAGTTCGTACCCACAAAGAGTCATAGGTTCCTAGGGCAGCTCTGGGGTGTACATGCAACTGTACACAGGGAGAAGAGTGGAAAGTGCTCCAAAATGGGCAATGTGGTGGGAACTGATGGGAAGGATGGATAGTTTTTGCCTCAGGGAATTGGAAAAGGCTTTCCTGGAGGACCTGCCATTCAGAGAGGGTAGGAGCCAGATGTTTGGGAATAGGGAGAAGGCTGTGGAGGAAAGTCTCCTGGGAGAATGTTTGTTGTGTTGGAGGCACAGGGCAAATGCAGGAGAGTGGCAGGTGGAAAGGGAAGGCTGTTTGGATTTGGAGGGGCAGCAGTGGAGTCCTTTCTCACCAGAGTCTGACACCAGGAAGGCAGAGGGGCAGTACGTGCCCACAGCTGGAGCCTGATCTTATTACTCTCCAAATCAAACACCTGTGGACTGACACCTTGAGGTCGTGGGTATGGTAATTGGATGCTGTGGGGGTCATTGCTGCCTGTTGGTGTTGTGGTTACAGACAAGCTCACCAGTGCCAGCAAGGAGTCCCTGAGCACCCACACCAGCCCCAGCCAGTCACCCAACAGTGTCCATGGCTCCCGCCGAGGCAGCATCAGCAGCATGAGCAGTGTCAGCTCGGTCCTGGATGAGAAGGACGATGACCGGATCCGCTGCTGTACACACTGCAAGGACACGCTGCTCAAGAGAGAGCAGCAGATTGATGAGAAGGAGCACACACCTGACATCGTGAAGCTCTACGAGGTGATTCGCGCTGTCTGGTCTTGGGTCTAATTTCTTAGGCAGATTTGGCTGTTTGTTATGTACACTCCTGCAGATTCTGGAGAATGCTTTGGGAAGTTGTTCGTTTGAATTATTTGTAGTTCCTGTTAAAGGCCCATGTTATGATTTCCCAGCTAGGGCCCTGTGTGAGTCAGAGTCATCCTGGGTGTGTTGCAACAAACTCGTTTCAAGTGGCCTTCCTTGGCCACTTGAAAGCAGGTGGGTGGAAGCTTTGGTGGCCCAGAGGCAATAGGAGGAAGGGCAGTTGCCATGTGGTGTAGACAGGTTCTGTGGGAAGGGCAGAAGCTAGAGATGTTCATAAACAGTGGGCCAGAAGAATCCTGGGAAACTCACTTGGGAGTGTTAGACTTTACAAGTTTTAGAAAGTTCTACAAGTTTTCAGGCTTCACCAGTTTACTGAGTGTCCCCTTCTAAGTTTGTCCAAATGCCTCAGCTGTCGTTACTTGAGTGATCCCACAGCCCCCCTACTAGATGCATACTCTGAGAGGAAATAGTGTGCAAAGAATATCTGGGAGTGAGACTGGCTTGGTCCCTTAATGGCCAGGTGAGACCTGTGAGCTGAGGAAGACTAGCCAGGTGGACTGGGTGGGGAGGCAGTAAGAGATGCAGGGAAGAGATCAGCCCAGGCAGAGGAAGCAGCTTGTGCAACATTCTGAACAGAGGAAGAGTGTAATTTTGCCTAATGACCACTGAATAGTCATTGTTAGTAGTTCTGCAGGTCATAATGGCACTGTTTCTGGAATCCCTATGTAAATACTCAGGCTACTAGAAATGGTGTCAATTAAGCCCCATGTTGGGTTGCAGATGTAGCATTCTCCATCCTTTGTGTGGAGTTCACGACCTGGTATCTCATTTCTGTGAATACCCACGGTGCTTGTGCCACCTCCTCTTTTGAAGTAAGCCCTGGCAATGCCTTGTGCTGGTTTCCCATTGTTGCCTGGCATCACTTGGCAGAGAAAGAAAGTAGCAGCTAATTCCTTTTTGTCTTGGTAGACACCTTGGCTTGTGCCCTGGAAGCCTTGCTCCTCTCAAAAACATCTCGCCGGGCACTTTGGGAGGCCGGGGCAGGCAGATCATTTGAGGCCAGGAGTTCGAGACCAGCCTGGCCAACATGGCAAAACCTCGTCTCTACTAAAAATATAAAAATTAGCCGGGCGTGGTGGCAGCGTGCCTGTAATTCCAGCTACTCAGGACGCCGAGGCATGAGAATCGCTTGAGCCCAGGAGGCAGAGGTTGCAGTGAGTGGAGATCGCGCCATTGTACTCCACCTTGGGTGACAGAACAAAATTCCTTCTCAAAAAAAAACAAAACGAAACATCTGATCAGAAGCTCCATTCTCACTTTCTTTCCTTCCTACAAAATTTTCTGCTTGGAAAGTATGCCTATAAATCAGGAAATTGATAACAACAATTAATGTGTTAGAAAAGTGAACATTTTAAATATAGCTCCATTGATGGAGCCTAGCTTCTGGGTAGGTGTTTCTATATCTTGAGCATACCACTTACCTCTTTGTTTTTGTTCTTAGAAATTACGACTTTGCATGGAGAAAGTTGACCAGAAAGCTCCAGAATACATCAGGATGGCAGCATCATTAAAGTAAGCTATTCATCTATGTTTTTCTAATCCAGTGGTGACTGTTTTCTGGCATTTTAGGTCAATTCTCCAGTAGCCAAAAATGAAAATCTTAACTTCAACCGTGCTTTTTTTCTGAGACCAGCTGAAGTTGGTTTTTTTCCACTTTTGGCTATTATGAAGAGAATCATCTTCATGTCTGTCTTTTAGTGGGGTACAGGCTACCATCACATGAGCTTGTAGAAAGACAGCCACATTCAGTTGACCTTGGCTATTCTGACTGAGCAGGTTTGGGAAGGGCCTCAGACAATAGGTACTGCTGCTGAGTGCAGCATCTGGACAGAGCAGAGGAAGGGCAGTGGGTCTCATGCTCATGTCTGGGTAGATGCCACTTGAGTGTCACATTGAGGTGTCAGGGCTTAAAGCAGGCATGACCATTAGAGCAGGGGCTGGCAGACTGCAGCCCGTGGGCCAAATGTATCCTGACATCTGCTTTTTTTTTTTTTTTTTCCGAGACGGAGTCTCACTCTGTTGCCAGGCTGGAGTGCAGTGGCGTGATCTCGGCTCACTGTGACCTCCACCTCCCAGGTTCAAGCAATTCTCCTGCCTCAGCCTCCCAAGTAGCTGGGACTACAGGCACGCACCACCACGCTCAGCTAATTTTTTTATATTTTTAGTAGAGACGGGGTTTCACCATGTTGGCCAGGATGGTCTTGATCTCTTGACCTCGTGATCCACCCGCCTTGGCTTCCCAAAGTGCTGGGATTACAGGCGTGAGCCACCGTGTCTGGCCAACATCTGCTTCTTTTTTAAAATTGAGATGTAGTTCACACACCCTAACCTTTACCCTTTTAAAGTGTACAGTTTGGTGGTTTTTAGCGTATTCACAAAATTAGCGAACATTACCACTGTCTTCATTGTAAACATTTTTATCACCCCAGTAGGAAACCCCATACCCATTAGCAGCCACTGCCCTTTCCCCATCTCCCTGGACACCACTAATCTATTTCCTGTCTCTATGGATTTGTCTGCTTTTGACATGTCATATAAATAGAATCATAAATATAAAATCTCTCTTGTCTGGCTTCTTTCACACAGTGTACTGTTTTTCAGATTCATCCATGTTGTTGCATGTATCAGTACTTCATTCCATCTGTATGAATGCATTGCATGGATACTTGTCACATTTTGTTTATCCATCAGTTGATGAACATTTGGGTTTTTTCCACTTTTGGCTGTTATAAATAATGCTTCTGTAATATTTGAGTACAAGTTTTTATGTTTTTTGTGTAGACATGTTTTCATTTCTCTCGGGTAGGTACCTAGGAGTGGAATTGCTGGGTTTTATGGTAACTATATATTACCATAGAGTAACATTCCATAGAGGAATTGCTAAATCGTTTTGTGGAATGACTGCACTATTTTGCATTCCCACCAGCAGTGTATGAGGGTTTCACTTTCTTTATAGCCTTACCAACACTAGTTATTGCCACCTGTTTGCATAAAGTTTTATTGGAACACAGCCATGCCCATGTTTGATTACTGTTTGTGGCTGCTTTTGCACCACCATGACAGAGTTGAATAGCAGCAACAGAGACTGTGTGGCCTGCAAAGCTGAAAACATTTATGATTCGGCTCCTTATGGAAAAAATTTGCTGATCCCTGCTTAAGATCGTTGCTTTTTCTGAAGCTTAGTGTTTGTAACCTAGAAGTTAAAGTGCTAACTACTAGAGTCAGATCCCAGCAGTGTTTTCCCAACCTGTAGGAAAAGAATTAATTATGGTATCTAGTGTTATTAATTTCAGAGTTTTCTGTCTTTGTCTTAAACCTGTGTTGCCTATCTGCCACATTTAAAGCGATGCATGTAGTAGTAGATGTGCCTTTTTTAAAAACAAAACCATGTGTATATATATATTTAAAACAAAACCATGTATATATATATATATATATATATATATATATATATATATATATATGTATTTTTTTTTTTTTTTTTGAGACCGAGTTTTGCTCTGTCGCCTAGGCTGGAATGCAGTGGTGCGACCTTAGCCCACTGCAACCTCCGCCTCCCAGTTCAAGCAATTCTTCTGCCTCAGCCTCCTGAGTAGCTGGGATTACAGGCACCCACCACGATGCCTGGCTAATTTTTGTATTTTCAGTAGAGATGGGGTTTCATCATGTTGGCCAGGCTGGTCTCGAACCTCCTTGGGTACTTTTGAGCGAGAAAAGCCAAGTAGCTTTCTGCTCTTAATGTAGTGTAACCACTTCTTACATCTTGTTAGATATAGTGGAATTGTTTAGGAAAAGTAGGCCAGAGTAAATTCAGCCGCATTTGTTTTGGTGATGAGCATAAGGGCTAGTCCTTGGAGGCCTTGGCATGAATCTGTCCCTGTTGCGTCTGCAAATCGAAACATCACTTCCACTTGATTCATTCATTCCAAGAGATGGACACTGCATTATATCTGAAAGTCTGAAATGCCACCTTTAGAGAATTAACTGCCTTTGTGAGGCCTTACACCTTTAGCGTCCTTCTACACTATGCTGTCCAATCTGCACCATGAAACTTAGGTCACGTGTCTCTGGTTTCTCCTTAGTGCTGGGGAGACAACCTACAGTCTGGAACATGCCAGTGACCTTCGAGTGGAAGTGCAGAAAGTGTATGAGCTGATAGACGCTTTAAGGTAAGGTCCATTAAGTGGTATCCTGCCCGCTGGTGGAATGGAGAAGATGCTGTTCTAATGAAATGGCGAAAGCAGACCTGCACTCACTCAGACTTCTGGTGATGGGGCAGTGGGTGAGGAGGAGGGCAAGGAAGGGGCCAGCTCTGGCACTTAATGCATCTCAGTGACTTTTGTTTCGTTAAGGATTTCTAATGTTTGCTATTATTAAAGAAAGAGGAGCTGGTTATTGACACCTATCACCTGCCAGTCACTGGCTGTTTTCTCTAGAATAGCTCATTTATTCTACTGAAGTTACCCTGTGAGGTAGGGATTAACATCCTGTGTCAAAGGTGAGGAATCATGTCACAGATAGCAAAAATTGTGGAGTGAAGATAGAAACTCAGGTTCTTTCTTTGTGTCTGTGCTCAAGTCCACAGCTGCTTTTTAACTGTGGACTGGCCATTGGGGTTAAATTAGCCAGTGACTCAGAGGGAGAATAAGATGAGGTGCCTTTGTCCATCCAGACATACAGCAGGAGTTCGTAGTTGCAGGGCCTGGTACAAAATGAAAATGCATGTCCCCTGTTCAAAAGTTATTAAGAATAAAGACACTAACAGCAGAGCATTAAACCAAGCACAGGGCTCTTTTAAGTGCCAGTCCTTTCCAGTTGCATAGGTTGCTCACCTGTGAAGCTGGCTCTGCATGTGTAGTCAGTCACTCCATAACAGTGTTGTGCGCCCTTTGCTAAGGCCTGTGTACAGCCAAAGGGTAAGAAATGGGCTTTGCCTTCAAAGAAACTTCAATGGAGTCACTTGTCCATCTTTACACACCTTCCTGGCATGAAAGCCTGGCAACTCCAGATGTTATACTTTTCACCCTTGTTTCTGAAGCTGGCAGTGCTCATTATATTCATGTGTTTGTTCCAATTCAGTAAGAAGATCTTAACCTTGGGCTTGAACCAGGACCCTCCACCACATCCAAGCAATTTGCGGCTGCAGAGAATGATCAGATACTCAGCTACACTTTTTGTGCAGGTAAAGCCATCCTGGGTTGGCATAAATGTTGCACTTGGCCTGTCCTGCTCTTTTGCTTCCCAGGAGGCAGATCCATGCCAATGACTTGTTTACTTCCTATTTATACATTTATTATTTTTTGAAATTATGAATGCATGATGCCACACTTAGAGAAAAATCTGGATTTCAGAGAAAACTAAAACTACTTTTAATCCTATGTCCCCATTACAATCACTCATTATTCTGGTATGTTTTCTTTTTTCCCATTTGTATTTTTTATATACAGTAGTTACGATACTGCATATTGACTGTATATGCCATTCTTTAACCGTTTTCCTTTAGTTGGACATTTGATAGACTAATTTTTTGCTGCTGTTAAGTGTTGCCATGATAGTAATAATGGTACTTAGTATTTCTTCCTTAGGATAATCTCCTAAGAGACTCTTCTTGAGCCATCAGCTGGGAGGAAACAGCCGATTAAGGGCAGACTAACCTAAGTGGTTAGATCTGAATTGTGTCTTTCTATCCCTGAAGGCCCCTTCTGAGAGAGTCACAGTTAACCACTCTTGGGGCTCCCTGATAAAGAGATCTGTTTTTTTCTTTTTTTTTAAATTAAAACAAAGTGTTTTTTTTTTCTTTTATTAAATAGAGACAGGGTCTTACCATGTTGCGCAGGCTGGTCTCAAACTTTTGAGCTCAAGCAGTCTGCCCACCTTGGCCTCCCAAAGTGCTGGGATTATAGGCGTGAGCCACTGCACCCAGCCAACAAAGAGATCTAATAGACAGAGTCCTGTCAGGTTAGTTTTCTAACTCTGTAGTATAGAGAAGTAGGCCCTTCCTCACTTTGATTAGTGACTCTATTCAGCAATCATTTGTTGAGTGCCTCCTATGTACCAGGTAGTGTTTTAGGTGCTGGATGTCCTATAGTGAACAAAAAAGACCAACGTTCCTGTTCTCATTAAGCTTATGTTCTAGAGAAGGAGAGAGATCATAAACAACTAAAATATCTAGTATGTAAGATAGCAAAAGTGCTCTGGAGAAACTTACAGCAGGGAAGTGTGGGAGAGAGGGCTGGGATTGAGGTTTGCTAAGTTAATAGGATGGGCAGGGACAAGACCTCATAGAGAAGCTAACATCTGAGCCAGGTGAATAACTGGGATATCTGATGTTGATCATTTCATAAGGAAAATGCAGGCCCATTTGGAGTTGACTGTCTCACCCAATATGAGTTCTCTCCTTTCTAGCTGCTGTCAAATGATGTCACTCTCTGAGAACAGAGTGGCTCAGCTTAAGCAGACTCTCATCATGGGGCTTAAGGTTCATTTTTTCTCTAAAAGGGTTTAAGTGTAAAATTGTCTGTCACTCCCTGCAGGAAAAGTTGCTTGGTTTGATGTCACTGCCAACCAAAGAACAGTTTGAGGAACTGAAAAAGAAAAGGAAGGAGGAAATGGAGAGGAAGAGGGCCGTGGAGAGACAAGTGAGTGAAGCCAGGGATATGGGGCCTGCTTCCTCCTGTGGCTCTCAAGCACAGAGGCTGCCATGGGCTCCCAGGTTGTGTGCGGTTGTAGTGAATCAGAACCTCTCTCTCAAATGTGCATATTTCTTCTGTTGTGTTTCAGCCTCACTTTCATCTATGGGAACTAGAATAATTGTTTTTCTCCCCAGGGCCTATTTTTCTTTCAGAGCTTCTGCTGATTCTCTCATGGCTAGAATACCACAGAGATTGACAGTTCTCCCTATGGCAGGAGTTGCAGAGGACCAAGACATTAGGAAGTTCCTTGTAGAACATATCGGTATATGCAATATTAAACAGAAAATTATATGTGTATTTAACGCTGCGTGAGATTCCAGTGTAGATGAGGGGAACAGACCTTAGAGGTTTAAGAAAAGTATACGGCCTGTGAATCTAAGATTGAGAAAATCTGATGCCCTAACTTATTCATTATATTTTATTTTTGAAAATCAGGGTCTCCCTTCCGCCCACATATACACAAAAACATGACTTGATTTTAGCAGTTGGATATCTTTGTCCTGAGGTGAGAAATTGGAGTGTCACTGGCACAGGGATAGAGGGACAACAGAGGGTGGGTGACAGTGTGGGCTGCTGCCAGCATAGTGACTGTTTCTTCTCTCTGCTTTGCTCTCTCCCCAGGCTGCCCTGGAGTCCCAGCGAAGGCTTGAGGAAAGGCAGAGTGGCCTGGCTTCTCGAGCGGCCAACGGGGAGGTGGCATCTCTCCGCAGGGGCCCTGCCCCCTTGAGAAAGGCTGAGGGCTGGCTCCCACTGTCAGGAGGTCAGGGGCAGAGTGAGGACTCAGACCCGCTCCTCCAGCAGATCCACAACATCACATCATTCATCAGGCAGGCCAAGGCCGCGGGCCGCATGGATGAAGTGCGCACTCTGCAGGAGAACCTGCGGCAGCTGCAGGACGAGTATGACCAGCAGCAGACAGAGAAGGCCATCGAGCTGTCCCGGAGGCAGGCTGAGGAGGAGGACCTGCAGCGGGAACAGCTGCAGATGTTGCGTGAACGGGAGTTGGAACGAGAAAGGGAGCAGTTTCGGGTGGCATCCCTGCACACACGGACTCGGTCCCTGGACTTCAGAGAAATCGGCCCTTTTCAGCTGGAGCCCAGCAGAGAGCCTCGCACCCACCTTGCTTATGCTTTGGATCTAGGCTCTTCCCCAGTTCCAAGCAGCACAGCTCCCAAGACCCCTTCACTTAGCTCAACTCAACCCACCAGAGTGTGGTCTGGGCCCCCAGCCGTTGGCCAGGAGCGCTTACCCCAGAGCAGCATGCCACAGCAACATGAGGGGCCCTCCTTAAACCCCTTTGATGAGGAAGACCTCTCCAGCCCCATGGAAGAGGCCACTACTGGTCCTCCTGCTGCAGGGGTTTCCTTAGACCCTTCAGCCCGCATCCTGAAAGAGTACAATCCTTTCGAGGAAGAGGACGAGGAGGAGGAAGCAGTGGCAGGGAATCCATTCATTCAGCCAGACAGCCCAGCTCCTAACCCCTTCAGTGAGGAAGACGAACATCCCCAGCAGAGGCTCTCAAGCCCTCTGGTTCCTGGTAACCCCTTTGAGGAACCCACCTGTATCAACCCCTTTGAGATGGACAGTGACAGTGGGCCAGAGGCTGAGGAGCCCATAGAGGAAGAGCTCCTCCTGCAGCAGATCGATAACATCAAGGCATACATCTTTGATGCCAAGCAGTGCGGCCGCCTGGATGAGGTAGAGGTGCTGACAGAGAATCTGCGGGAGCTGAAGCACACCCTGGCCAAGCAGAAGGGGGGCACTGACTGACCAGCAGTGGAGAGGGCACCTTTGGGCCCAGGGGTCTGGCAGGAGCCAGTGGAGCAGGACAGAGGGCAGGCAGGATGGATGGGGAAGGTGGCAGGGTGAGAACTCAGATGCACACAGGTGAGGGGCAGGAATCTGCTGTTTTGTGTTGCGCACTTTGAGGTATTTCCACTACAGTTGAATAATAAAATAGAAACTAGAACAGGGAGAATCAGCATTCAGTTGCTGCTTTTCCTGTTTATTATTACTATCTTTTGTAATCGGAGGTTTACCCCTTTTGAAGGGACTTTACATTTTTACTACCGAGATATAACTAAATGCAGCTCTGTTGGGCCCAGGGCAGAAATGGCTGCTGTGTACCTCTTGGGTCCATTTGCTACTGCCTAGTCTTGGTTCCTTATGCAGTATTATAGGGCAGCCTTTTTAGAGCCCTTCCTTTAGCCAAGACAGAGAAGATAGATTCCACTGAGCTCTATTCTGCTCTGACAGAAGTCCATCCCTAGTAGGCTGTGAGTTCCATTTCACCTGGGGCCGCCTCTCCCCTGCTCTGCACTTCCTGTCTGTACAATAGAAGGGGGAGGTGCTGCTATGAAGGGGAGAGTTTAGACCCAGGAGAGCCCAGCACCTCTTTTTAAGGTGGGGTGATGGGAATATTTCACCAGGGTCTATTTTCTCAGTTTAAGTTCTTTTTTGTCTCTTTCAGGAAGTTAAGCTCCCAGTGCAGGGTATCAATGTGAATCTGGTCCTGAGCTTTTTAGAAAATAAGAGTGGTGGCCGGGCGCGCTGGCTCACGCCTGTAATCGCAACACTTTGGGAGGCCGAGGCAGGCAGATCACAAGGTCAGGAGATCGAGACCACCCTGGCTAACACAGTGAAATCCCGTCTCTACTAAAAATACAAAAAATTAGCCAGGCGTGGTGGTGGGTGCCTGTAGTCCCAGCTACTTTGGAGGCTGAGGCAGGAGAATGCTGTGAACCCGGGAGGCAGAGCTTGCAGTGAGCCGAGATCGCACCACTGCACTCCAGCCTGGGCAGTGAGAGTGAGACTCCGTCTCAAAAAAAAATAAGAGTGGTTAACTTTTTGGTTGATATTAGTATTATTTGTGAGAAGAGTTTCCCCACCCTTCTTCTGATAGAACAATTGTCTGTCACTGGAGAAATCTCCCTCCAGAGCTTTGGCAAAGTTACTCTGATCTGGGTCTGTTTAAAAGGCCGGGTCTCTAATTTAGGAATCGGTGATTTGGAAGCTTTTGCAGAACATCACCAGAAGAAGGGAAGCTTCCCAGAGTCAGAAGCTAAATTAAAATAATTTCCAAGGCTATTTGATCAGCCTTCTTCCTTTTTGGTTCATTGTGTCCTGACTTGGGGCACTGATGAGATTTTTTATTTTTTTTGAGACAGAGTTTCACTTTGTTGCCCAGGCTGGAGTGTAGTGGCATGATCTCAGCTCACTGCAACCTCCACCTCCCTGGTTCAAGTGATATTTGTGCCTCAGCCCCCTGAATAGCTAGGATTACAGGCGTGGGCCACCACGCCTGGTTAATCTCTGTATTTTTAGTAGAGGTAGAGTTTCACCATTTTGGCCAGGCTGGTTTCGAACTCCTGGCCTCAAGTGATCTGCCACCTTGGCCTCCCAAAGTGCTGGGAATACAGGCGTGAGCCACTGTGCCCGCCCTGATGAGATATTTTATTACCAATGTTAGTATTGAGAAACTGAAATGTTTGAAGAAGCACAACCCAGGATCGTGCTGGTAGCACCACAGTACTTAAACTGTTGGTCAATTAAGGCCAGAAAGGGAAATTGTTAATTTAGCTCTGGTGCTTTGGTTTACAGGAACATAACTCTTAACTGACATCTGACATCATGATAGCCATATGTGCTCAGCTCTGGGTAGAGTTTCTGCAGTTACTCATCTGAACTAATGAACAATAACTGACCACTAGTCACTTTATGCCGTGTAACTAGCTCTAGGCCATACTTTCACTGGTTACTGGTGTGAAAGCTGAAATTCATTTTGTTACATTCTGGTGAAGACCCCTCTTGATAATGGGAATGTTTTAACTCTCTTGATGAAAAAATAATCTGTATTTGTGTTGATGTTCACATTTCTGTAGCACATTTCTTATCCTTTTGGTTGAATGAAAAGATCTTGTATAGGGGTGTGGAGATGGGGAGTGGGTAGAAGTGTGTGAAGGACGCTTTGCATTTGGGATCTGTTCACAAACAGCCATATGAGTGTGTTAATGAATGTCAGCCAGTTACCAACCCTGCTGGTTGTTATGGGTTGTTTTGAGAAGTTGGCAACCAGGCATCTAAGATGTTGCCTGGTACAGGCCTCTTTTCTTCCCTGAGGCCCATGACATTTCTCTGTTACTCTAGAGGGTTTCTCAGATGGCCAGTAGGCTCCTCCCTGCTTAGGGTCTCATTTCTCTGAAAAGAGGATGAACTGAAAAGCAGGTAGTTCCAGAAGCTAATTGCTGCTTTCCATCATAATTATTTTTCTTGTGAGAACATTTCTCTTTTAATTAGCTAGTGATTTTGATTAAGACTAATTCACTAAACATACCCTTCCCTCAAATCACCTCAGGTAGCAATCTGTAAGTAACTAAAAGCATTGAAAAACACACAAGAAACATTTTTAAAAACTATTTTTAAAGGCCTGGCCGGGTGCAGTGGCTCACTCCTGTAATCCCAGCACTTTGGGAGGCCGAGACGGGTGGATCACCTGAGGTCAGGAATTTGAGACTAGCATGGCCAACATGGTGAAACCCCGTGTCTACTAAAAATACAAAAATTAGCTGGGCGTGGTGGCAGACGCCTGTAATCCCAGCTACTCAGGGAGGCTGAGGCACGAGAATCGCTTGAACCTGGGAGGCGGAGGTTGCAGTGAGCCAAGATTGCGCCACTGCACTCCAACCTGGGTGACAAGAGCAAGACTCCGTCTCACAAAAAACAAACAAAACTGACTGATTGAATATACTAAACCAAACTAAAATCATATTCTTTTGATTAAGTTTATCCATGGCTGTATTCTTCTATGAATTCTTCCATTTAATTCTTCCACGATTATCTTCTCCTGTAAATACATCACAGGAGTTAGAATTCTCTACCCATCAGCTGTACCATGTCGCAGAATTCATGCAGGCACAAAGTTGGAGTTACAGAGATGGGTTGACAGCAGGCAAACTTGGCCTATGTATTATAACCACAACTTCAAGTTCTTACCTCATGTGAATATTCACCCTTTCTTTAGTCTTCCAAGGCAAACAGCCCCGTCTCATCACCAGATGAGCAAGGTCTTGATATGGCATAGCAGATCTCCCTAGACACAGATCATGAGAAAAGATGGAAGAGACTTAGGGATTCAGGCATCAGATGAAGTTGGCTTTTCCCTTTTATGCCTTGTTTGTATTTACCCTGTCTAATACACTAAGGATACTTACTCATTGTACTTGCAGCTCAATATGTCTTTGCTGTTCAGATACTAAAATGTACCTCTGAGTCATTGTGAGCTGTGTGGTAGGTTGGACATTGGCATAGTTGGTGATGGGACTCAAAATGAAAAGGTGGTCTCTTTACCAGGTCACAGACTGTAGCAGATTGTGCTTGTTATCTGACAATGACTGTCACTTTGAGGGTCGTTGATTTGCATGCACTACTCTGGGGCCTTGTATTGGAGCCTTTTTTAAAAAAAATAAAATCTGAGATAGAGGTTGGGGGTGTGTGTGTCTGTGTGCACATGTGTTACAAGTGAGAATCATCAGATGACATCCCTTCTCCTTTCTTGATGACAACCATCTGAGTATCAGAATAGTTCCAGCACCTGTGTTGTTTGTCTGGTTAAGGCCTCTGGAAAAAATGAAGGTCACTGGGTTCTGAACAGGGGATAGATACGGGTTCCAGTTCTGCCCTTATTCCCAGTTATTCCTGCAGTGCTGGTTAAATGAACAGTTTTACAGAAGTATAGTGCAGATCCCTTAATGATCCTATCATCCCAGTTTCACACTGGAAGAAACTGAGGCTCAGAGATTGAGGAACCTTGTGACTGCCATCTGTGCCAGTCACCACCTCTGCATGACCACATTTCCCTCCATTAGCACTACCAGCATGCCTGTGAGGTAGTTACTCAGCTGTTCATCTGACCCCAGACGTAGAAAAGTTAAGAGAGATTAGCCTGGCTTAGGCCACACAGCCAGTCAGTGGTGGAATGAGGGTTTAAATCCAGATCTGCCTGACTTAATTTGCCCTCAGTAATAAGTAGCTGGGTCAGGTAGTGGTGTGGTGGTGGTGGGTGCTCAACCATTGTGTCAAGCTCAAAGAGGGCAGAAAAGGGCAATGGGGAATGAGGTTGGGTGCTGCTGAGCTGGTTTCCGATAGTGACTGCCTGAGTCTGTGAAACTGAGACCTCCTTAGGGCCTTAAGAATATATAGATTCTTAAACCAGGAGAGTATAATATCTAGTGCTCACTGTAGGCTAGACTGAGTGCTAAGTATTACGCATGGCTTACCTCAGTCTTCCCAACAACCCATTTACACATGCAGAAATGAGTGAGTGGTGAAGTTAAGCTTGCTTAGGGTTGCACTGCTGGGTTTCCAGCCTAGGTCTGTCTGACTGCAAAACCCAAGCTGCCCTAGATTGTGTTGTATGTGGACACCCATGTTTCTAATGTGGAATGGGGTGTTTCATCCCTAGCAAGTGCCTCCTGTGGACTTTTAAGATGAAAAACTTCTGCCTAACTCTTCAGGAAGCCTAGCGTAGTTGTAAAAATACTTCAGAAAGCACTTCTGGTTTTAGCTCAGACACGTAGAGTTTGAAAGTTATCCTATCCTTACCACAAGAAAAAGCTGGGCAAACTCAAAAGCATTGGCCTTTCTTGGTCCCATTAGAGAGCTGAGTGTGCAGGTCAAACTGCCATCCCAAAATCTAGAGAGAGGTGAGTCCAGAGAGTGAGCAAGATCTAATTGCCTGGAGCAGAAGCCACGGGAGCCATAGCTAGTAGGAAAACTTAAATGGTAATTTTGATGAACTGCTGGAGGTTGAGTGTGGACTAGCATGGGAGGGAGCAACTCCCCCTCACCCCCAACGCTTTCCTGGGTTTTACCCTACTTGGTTCTATTGGTGAAGAGCTGAGGAAGACCCTCTGGTGACTCTGGCAGGGGAAAGGGAGAATCATCTTTGTAATCAGAGCCTTCTCCATAATAAAGCTTATTCCCCAGAGGAAAGCACTTTTTCACAGAGCCTTATCCATCTGGAGGAGGGCTGGGTCATGTAAGGGGGTACAAAGGGGAACTAAGAAACACTTGTGGGCCAGTGCGGTGGCTCACGCCTGTAATTCCAGCACTTTGGGAGGCCAAGGTGGGCAGATTGCTTGAGCCCGGGAGTTCAAGACCAGTCTGGGCAATATAGCAAAACCTCATCTTTACAAAAAATACAAAAATTAACCAGGCATTGTGGCACATGCCATAGTCCAAGCTACTCGGGGCTGAGGTGGGAGAATTGCTTGAGCCTGGGAAGTAGAGGCTGCAGTGAGCTGTGATTGCGCCACTGTACTGCGCTCTAGCCTGGGTGATAGAGCAAGACACTGCCTCAAAAAAAAAAAAAAAAAAGAAAAAGAAAAAAAAAGGAAAGAACACTTGTGTAGGTCACAGCCCAAGGACACAAGCCCACTAAAATGCTGAGATTTAATCGTAAGATTATAGAATGCTTCACCTCCCCCATGTTTTTCCACCACATCAACAGGACTCCAGGATAGTAACAGTGAATTATACCTGGAAGAGCTGCAAGACACGGACTCTCTCAGGAGGAATATCGAGGGAAGCCCAAAGGCAAGAGGAGATAAACACAAAGACACTAGAGGAACTGGAAGCCTCTGACACCTACAGCTATGGCAAACATTAAACACAGCTCTCAACTCTGAGCCAGATTAACATAAGTTCTCATTCTAGAGGCTTATTTACCCCAGTTCCTATGGCCCAATAGAGTGGATATTCTACCTTCAACAAAAAAATTATAAGCATGCTAAAAGGCAAGGAAAAAAATAAACCCAACAATCAGATGAAACAAAGCAAACATCAGAATCACACTCAGATATTGGAATTATCAGACAAGAAATTTAAAATGTGGTCTGTTAAGGGGTCTAATGGTAAAAGTAAACAACATACAAGAACAGATGGGTAATGTAAACAGACATAAGAAAACTAAGAATCATGCGAGGTGTGGTGGTTCACACTTGTAATCCCAGCAGTTTGGGAGGCTGAGGCAGGCAGATCACTTGAGGTCAGGAGTTTGAGACCAGCCAGGCCAACAAGGTGAAACCCCATCTCTACTAAAAATACAAAAATTAGACTGGGCACAGTGGCTCATGACTGTAATCACAGCACTTTGGGAGGCCAATGCGGGTGGATCACGAGGTCAGGAGTTCAAGACCAGCCTGGCCAACATGGTGAAACCCTGTCTCTACTAAAAATACAAAAACTAGCTGGGTGTGGTGGTGGGCACCTGTAATCTCAGCCACTTGGGAGGCTGAGGCAGGAGAATCATTTGAACCTGGGAGGCAGAGGTTGCAGTGAGCCAAGATAGTGCCATTGCACTCCAGCCTGGGTGACAGAGCGAGACTTCGTCTCAAAAAAAAAAAAAAAAAAAATTAGCCAGGCATGGTGGTGTGCACCTGTAGTCCCAGCTAAGTGGCAGAGGTGGGAGAATTGCTTGAGCCCAGGAGGTAGAGGTTGCAGTGAGCAGAGATTGCACCAGTGCACTCCAGGCTGGGTGACAGAGACTTTGTCTCAAAACAAACAAACAAACACCCTAAGAATCAAAAGGAAGTGCTAGAAGTTAAAACCTTAAATGAAAAATGCCTTAATGGGCTTATCAGTAGACTGTCCATAACCAAAGATTAAATGAATTTGAAGATAGGTCAACAGAAACTTCCCCACTAAAATGCAAAGAGAACCTCCATCACCCCGCCAGAACATTCGAGAACTATGAGGCAATTCCAGAAGACATAAAATGCATTTAACTTGAATACTAGAAAGAGAAAAGAGTGAAGAATAAATACCTGAACTAATAAATGGCTAAGAACTTTACAAAATTAATGACAGACATGAAATCACAGATCCAGGAGGCTCAGAGGACTCCAAGCAGGACAAATACAAAACATCTACAGATCTGCATTACCTTATTCTAACCCCGTAAACCAAACACCAAGAGAAAATTTGAAAGAAGCTAAAGGAAAAAGCCATCATACCTATAAATGTAATTGCATTTAATTACTTGTTTGAAACCATGCAAGCAAAAAAAGAGTGGAGTGAACTATTTAAATTGTTGAAAGAAAAACACCAGGGCCAGGCGCAGTGGCTCACGCCTGTAATCCCAGCACTTTGGGAAGCTGAGACGGGCGGATCATCTGAGGTCAGGAGTTTGATACCAGCCTGACCAACATGGAGAATCCCCGTCTCTACTGACAATACAAAATTAGCTGGGTGTAGTGGCGCATGCCTGTAAGTCCGGCTACTCGGGAGGCTGAGGCAGGAGAATCACTTGAACCTGGGAGGCGGAGGTTGCGGTGAGCCAAGATAGCACCATTGCACTCCAGAAGGGAGGGAGGGAAAGGAAAAACACTAACCTAGAATTCTAAATCTGGCAAAATCACTCTTCAAAAGAGAAGGAGAAATACCTTTCAGATCAAGAGTACTTCAGAAATGTATCTTTTTTTTTTTTGAGAGGGAGTCTTGCTCTGTCGCCCAGGCTGGAGTGCAGTGGCGCGATCTCGGCTCACTGCAACTTCCCGGGTTCGAGCGATCCTCCCACCTCAGTCTTCTGAGTAGCTGGGACCACAGGTGCTGCCACCACACCAGGCTAATTTTTGTATTTTCAGTAGAGACGGGGTTTCGCCATGTTGGGCAGGCTGGTCTCGAATTCCTGACCTCAAGCGATCCTTCCGCCTCGGCTTCCCCAAAGGCTGGGTTTACAGGCGGGAGCCACCGCGCCTGGCCCTAGAAATACATCTCACCCATAGTTTGTTTACGAAAAAATTGAGGTCCTGAGTTAAGTGGCTGAATTTAGGAAGGAATTGATCCCAAACCATCTTTTTTTCTTTTGCTAAGAAGTTTAAGTCAACGTCAGAAAGTGCAGTTTGAACTCTTCATGATAAAACTGGAGATGTTTGGGGAGAAAAATGGACAATACGTTCAATAGGACGTTATCAGCTGACTTGGTATCCAAACTGAGCTTTCCTGATTATTTCTTATTGCAATGTCTGACTTTTAGCCTATGTAAAAATATTTTCCCGTGGGTGGATGGGGAAATGACTAATTTACAGGACGCGACAACCTAAACCTTCCAAGGGGAAGGCGTCCTAAAGCGAAGCTGCACACACCGGTTCTCGCCGCGCCGGGTCGAAGGCCGCCTACAAGTCCCAGAGTGCTCCGCGGCGTGCGCTGCCCGCCGGGAAGCGTCTCCTGTGCGTCTGCGCGGGAAGTGGAACCTGGCTCTGGGGAGAAGCCGCGTGAGATCCGCGCGGGTGCTAGCTAGTCCTTTCTCGTCGCTGCTCGGCTCGCGGCCCGTGGGGTCGGCCCCGCCACCGTTGCCGCCATGCCCATGAAGGGCCGCTTCCCCATCCGCCGCACCCTGCAATATCTGAGCCAGGGGAACGTGGTGTTCAAGGACTCCGTGAAGGTCATGACAGTGAATTACAACACGCATGGGGAGCTGGGCGAGGGCGCCAGGTCAGTCGCAGCCCCGGCCGCCTGGCGAGCCGTAACCTGCTAGTCGTGCCAGCCTGCTGGTAACGTGAGGTCCCGAGTCGCTCTGGGCGGCCGTTCATCCCCGGGGCGGGCCCCCCAGGTCGGCGCTGTTACCCCCATTTTACAGAGGTCCAGACTGAGGCGGACGGCGGGGCCCCCGCCGGGCCGGCTGCAGTCGTGACGAGGTTTGGGGGGCGGAGGACAAGAACCCCACTCCTGGATCTCCTTCCTCCGGCGCGGTGGGCGAGGCTGACCCGAGGGAGGCCACCAGTTCCCTTGGCCCCTCTGGCCAGCAAGGCAAGCGCTGGGGAGGGGCAGCCGCAGATCCTTTCGGGGTGACGGGGGTGACACCCCAGGACGAATCTGAGGATAAAATGAGAGAAATAACAGCGGCGAACACTGATCATATCTCGCACAGTTCTGAATGCTTCTCGCGCTTTCTTTTTTCTGATGCCTAGAGAAACCCCAGCTTATCCCCACTCTAAGGCTGGGGAAGCGCACAGAGAGGTTAAGTAACTTGCAGCTCCACGAGACACCATGCCAGCCGGTGAGCGGTGAGCCGGGCAGTGTGGCCGCTTCCTTCGGGACTCAAGGTTTGGAAGGAAGTGATTAATTATGTCAGCTGTGCAGCGGCAGACCCTACCCCGACTAGAAGGAACTGTAGGGAACGCCTAGGATGTCTTTCAGCTTGGAGCAGAGTAGGGACTCATTGAATGGCAGTTGGCAAGTGAAAGGTTTGGATTGACCCTGAGGCAGCCCTAAGCAGTGCCTTAGGCTCTGCAGGTATGAAGTCTACATTTATTGAGTACACTCTGAGTGCTAGGCTGTGTGCTGTGTGCTGGGAGTTCAGCAGTGATGGAGGAGGCAGCCTTAGCCCGCAGAAACTTTGGGACTTGGGTGTATGTTGGATCAAAATGAGGCGTGGGGGCGGGGAGCAACTTCTTGTGGGGCATGGTCCCCTTGGTGACGGACCTTCACTGCATGGCCCTTCAAGAGATCCGGAAGCCGCTTCCTAGCCATTTGCTCTGCGCAGGTGAATCTGATAACTTGGACCTGCTTGCCTGGAATCAGCTGGCTTGATGGCTTCCTGGAAGACTTGGTCTTGGTCTTAGGGTGTATGGGCACCCAGATACTCCTTCATAACCTACTGCACAACTGTGCACACCTTTGTCCCCGGGCAACTGCCAGGCAGATAATGGGAAGGGGTGGGGGTCTCGGTGCGGCCCGCAGCGAGCTGGAGAGCACATGCCCTATCCAGAGGGCCCTTCACTGTTTGGCATTGTGGGCTCCGTGGAGAATTTCTCATTTGTCAAGAAGCTGAAATCTAGGTTTTTATGTAAATCTCTGGCTTTTAAATGGCCAGCCAATCAAAATAAGCCTGTGAGCCTCTTACTTACATTCTCAGATATTTTAATGTCCTCTAGGTAAATGGGATACAAACAGCCATTCACTGTTTCTTTGTTCCTGGTGGTAGGGGCTGGCCTGTGCCACCTGTGCCCTCTGTGATCTTGTACCCGTGGGTTGGAGTCTGTCTGCCTTGCTCTGGCTAGCCGCAGTCCTCCCCCAATCCCCAGCCCTTGTTTGTTCATGTGCCCTCAGCCCTTCAGCTGCCCCACTGGGACCTACCTCCATCCCAAGTGCCTGCGACCGGTCCAGCCAGTCTTTGGGTACCTGCTGGGGGCAATGGGAAGGTGCCTTATTTAGTATTTGAGGGCCAAGTCCTTACTCACCTCTGCCAGGTGTTCTACCCTGAACAAGTGGTCCCCAAGCCTCAGGGTGAATTTGATGGTGACAGAACAGTGTGATCGAAGGCCAGACTAATCAGCCCAGTTAGACCTGGGGCAGTTTACTTAACTTCTGACCTTAGTTTCCTTAAATTGTAAAACCCCACCTTCTGGGGTTGGAGAGTCAGGTGCCTAGCAAAGTGTCTGGCATATACAGCAGTTGCTCAACTCAAGGTTCCTGCCATTATTAACTTTCTTTTTTTTTTTTTTTCAATTGATCATTCTTGGGTGTTTCTCGCAGAGGGGGATTTGGCAGGGTCATAGGACAATAGTGGAGGGAAGGTCAGCAGATAAACAAGTGAACAAAGGTCTCTGGTTTTCCTAGGCAGAGTGTTTGTGTCCCTGGGTACTTGAGATTAGGGAGTGGTGATGACTCTTAACGAGCATGCTGCTTTCAAGCATCTGTTTAACAAAGCACATCTTGTACCGCCCTTAATCCATTTAACCCTGAGTGGACACAGCACATGTTTCAGAGAGCACAGGGTTGGGGGTAAGGTCACAGATCAACAGGATCCCAAGGCAGAAGAATTTTTCTTAGTACAGAACAAAATGAAAAGTCTCCCATGTCTACCTCTTTCCACACAGACACGGCAACCATCCGATTTCTCAATCTTTTCCCCACCTTTCCCCCCTTTCTATTCCACAAAACTGCCATTGTCATCATGGCCCGTTCTCAATGAGCTGTTGGGCACACCTCCCAGATGGGGTGGTGGCCGGGCAGAGGGGCTCCTCACTTCCCAGTAGGGGCGGCCGGGCAGAGGCGCCCCTCACCTCCTGGACGGGGCGGCTGGCCGGGCAGGGGGCTGACCCCCCCCACCTCCCTCCCGGATGGGGCGGCTGGCCGGGCGGGGGGCTGACCCCCCACCTCCCTCCCGGACGGGGCGGCCTGGCCGGGCAGAGGGGCTCCTCACTTCCCAGTAGGGGCGGCCCGGGCAGAGGCGCCCCCTCACCTCCTGGACGGGGCGGCTGGCCGGGCGGGGGGCTGACCCCCTGACCTCCCCTCCCGGACCGGGCGGCTGGCCCGGGCCAGAGGGGCTCCTCACTTCGCATTAGGGGCGGCAGGCAGAGGTGCCCCTCACCTCCCAGTACGGGGCGGCTGGCCGGGCGGGGGGCTGACCCGCCGCACTCCCTCCCGGATGGGGCGGCTGGCCGGGCGGCTGAGCCCCCTACCTCCCTCCCAGACGGGGCGGCTGGCCTGGCGGGGGCTGACCCCCAACTCCCTCCCGGACGGGGCGGCTGCCGGGCGGAGACGCTCCTCACTTCCCAGACGGGGCGGCTGCCGGGCGGAGGGGCTCCTCACTTCTCAGACGGGGCGGCTGCCGGGCGGAGGGGCTCCTCACTTCTCAGACAGGGCGGCTGCCGGGCGGAGGGTCTCCTCCCTTCTCAGACGGGGTGGCTGGGCAGAGATGCTCCTCACCTCCCAGACGGGGTCGCGGCCGGGCAGAGGCGCTCCTCACATCCCAGATGGGGCGGCGGGGCAAAGGCGCTCCCCACATCTCAGACGATGGGCGGCCGGGCAGAGACGCTCCTCACTTTCCAGGCTGGGCAGCCAGGCAGAGGGGCTCCTCACATCCCAGATGATGGGCGGCCAGGCAGAGACGCTCCTCACTTCCCAGACGGGGTGGTGGCCGGGCAGAGGCTGCACTCTGGACACTTTGGGAGGCCAAGGCAGGCGGCTGGGAGGTGGAGGCTATAGCGAGCCGAGATCATGCCACTGCACTCCAGCCTGGGCACCATTGAGCACTGAGTGAACCAGACACCGTCTGCAATCCCGGCACCTCTGGAGGCCGAGGCTGGCGGATCACTCGCGGTTAGGAGCTGGAGACCAGCCCGGCCAACACAGCGAAACCCCGTCTCCACCAAAAAAATACGAAAACCAGTCAGGCGTGGCAGCGCGCGCCTGCAATCGCAGGCGCTGGGCAGGCTGAGGCAGGAGAATCAGGCAGGGAGGTTGCAGTGAGCCGAGATGGCAGCAGTACAGTCCAGCTTCGGCTCGGCATCAGAGGGAGACCGTGGAAAGAGGGAGAGGGAGACCGTGGGGAGAGGGAGACGGAGAGGCAGAGGGAGAGAGAGAGGGACTTAACTTTCATCTTGTGTTTCAGCAAGAACCATTTTAAGATCTCTGTTGCATTTCTGTCCTAGTAGTTTAAAGTATGGGAACGTCTCACCTGGCTATGTCCTAGTTTATTTGTAAAAAGTTCTGTGACACTGGGATACTCTGCAGTGGGGTGGGAACTGATCAGAGGCCTGCTACGCCCTGGAAGGTAAATTCAGCCTTTGAGCTCCCAGGTCTGTGTGCTGTGAGGGTCTCCAAGGCCTCTATTCCTCCCCTAGAGGCAGCAGTTTTCAAGGCTTAACTATTTATTTATTTATTTTTTGAGATGGAGTCTTGCTCTGTCACCCAGGCTAGAGTGCAGTGGCGCGATCTCGGCTCACTGCAAGCTCTGCCTCCTGGATTCACACCATTCTCCTGCCTCAGCCTCCTGAGTAGCTGGGACTACAAGTGCCCGCCACCACGCCGGCTAATTTTTTGTATTTTTAGTAGAGACGGCATTTCACCGTGTTAGCCAGGATGGTCTCGATCTCCTGACCTCGTGATCCACCCGCCTCGGCCTCCCAAAGTGCTGGGATTACAGGCATGAGCCACCGCGCCCGGCGGCTTAACTATTTAATTTGAGTCTTATACCCATATAGTTAAATAACATCCTCAGAGAGCCACTTTTCTTTTTTTTTTTTTTTTTTTGAGAGAGGACCTTGCTCTGTCGCCTAGACTGGAATGTGGTGCAATCACAGCTCTGGCTCACTGCAACCTCAAACTCCCGGGCTTAAGCGATCCTCTTGCCTCAGCCTCCCAAGTAGCTGGGACCACCAGCATGTACCACTATGCCCAGCTAATTTTTAATTTTTTTATAGAGACAGGGTCTCCCTATATTGCCCAGGCTGGTCTCAAACTCCTGAGCTCAAGCAGTCTTCCTGCCTGGGCTTCCCAAAGTGCTGGGATTACAGGTGTGAGCCACTGCACCCAGCTGAGAGCTACTTGTTGATTTTTAGCTTTAGGTGTTATCTGTGGACTTGTCACTATGGAATGTCTCTCACCACCATTGTTACTTCTCACCCCCCAAACCTCCATACTCTTCCACCCACTCCTCCCAGTATCATTATTCCAAATTTTGTACAGGACGATATTCAGCGTTCAGATTAATATTACTTTGTAAATGCTGTACACAATTGAGCCAAATAGAATACTATGATTATGCATTTTTTTTTTTTTTGCAAGGCCTTTTTTTTTCCTCTGGAGTATAAATCTGTTTAAATCTTCTAAGTTTAAAGGTGTTCCTCCACTCCTCAATTGTAAAACTGTTCCCCCATGTGTGAATACATTGGTCTCATTATTTTAAAATTGTGGTATAACCTAGATACGGTGCACACCTGTAAGTATACAGCTCCATGAACTGCCACTCATGTTTACACCTTGTCTTCACGACACAAATCACGACGTAGTACCTTTCATGGTTTCATTTTCAGTGGTGCTTTGGCATTGGTGTTAGGTTAGCTTGCAGTACAGGTTGGGATACAGATTTCTTTCCCCTCAGATGCCTGCCCAGGGGTCCCCACGCCATTCAGGGAATCTTCTAAGAGGATCCCTGCGAGTTTTTTCTCAGCCTTTTTGGGTCCTCTGAGAATCTGATGAAAATGCTGGGCTTTCTCCCTAGAAAAATACCCACGCATAAAATTTCAGGCTAAAAACTCTGTTTCATAGGCTTCATTTCTTCCCTTTTGCAGGAAGTTTGTGTTTTTCAACATACCTCAGATTCAATACAAAAACCCTTGGGTGCAGATCATGATGTTTAAGAACATGACGCCGTCACCCTTCCTGCGATTCTACTTAGGTGAGTGGGGCCCTCGCCATGGTCCAGGGGCTGTCCCAGACATGCCTGGAGAGACTGCGTCCTTCCTATGGGAGCGTCAGGATGAGCTGCAGTGTGCGCTGTCATGGTGTGTCTGTGACTCCTGGCACCTTTGGCTTCCCCATACCGAGGCACTCAGCAGCCACTGAGGTCTGGACTCTTTCCCTCTCCAGCCTCACCTCTTCTTACCCTCTGCCTCACACCATGGGGGTAATTTTTCCAAAGTCCCTTGTCACACCAGGCTGTGATGCCTTTGCTCAAGATTGTTCCTGGCCTGGAATCCCATTTCTACCTGCGTTTGCTTATTTAACTGAAAAAAAAAAAAAAAAAATTCTTCAGGGCTCAGTATGGGCACCACTTCTAGGAAGCCTTCCCTGCATCCTAGAGTGACCTCCCACATGCCCCCAGAACCCCTCTGTCTCGGTGCTGTGTGTGTCCTCTGAGGACTGCGTGCACTTACACGATGCTGTTCATGTTTGGACCAGGCGCTAAGTGATGTTTATTCCATTAAGTTTGGCTCCACGCTGGAAAACGAGGAGGGCAGCTGTTCTGGCCCAGCTCTCAGACACTTTGATCCTGAGCAAGTAACAGACCCATTTTAAAATTTGTCACCTGAAGGCAAAATGTCTGCCTTACATGGCTATGAGAATCAAATGAAGTGTAGGTTGGGAAATGCTTCAGGAAACAAAATGACCATGTTTTTTCATTCATTCCACCAATATGTAACACATGTTCCCTAGGACCAGGTGCTGGTCCGGAGGCTGGGATGTCAGGAAGCCACACAAAGATTTCTGCTGCCCTCGTGGAGATTATATCCAGCAGAGGGAGACAGAATGAACAAGAAATTTTAACAAAAGATTAGGGCCAAGCACAGTGGCTTGCGCCTGTAATCCCAGAACTTTGGGAGGCCGAGGAGGGTGGATCACGAGGTCAGGAGATCGAGTCCATCCTGGCTAACATGGTGAAACCCTGTCTCTACTAAAAATATAAAAAATTAGCCGGGCGTGGTGGTGGGCGCCTGTAGTCCCAGCTACTCGGGAGGCTGAGGCAGGAGAATGGTGTGAACCTGGGAGGCGGAGCTTGCAGTGAGCCGAGATCGCGCCACTGCACTCCAGCCTGGGCGGCAGAGCAAGACTCCGTCTCAAAAAAAAAGAAAAAAGATTAGTGCTGTGGGCCTGGTGGCACAGTGGCTCACACCTGTAATCCCAGTACTTTGGGAGGCTGAAGATGGTGGATCTCTTGAGCTCAGGAGTTCGAGACCAACATGGGCAACATGATAAAACCCCATCTCTACAAAAAACATTTAGCCAGTGTGGTGGCATATGCCTGTGGTCCCAGCTACTTGGGGGGCTGAGGCAGGATTGCTTGAGCCTGGGAGGCAGAGGTTGCAGTGAGCCAAGATCGCACCACTGCACGCCAGCCTGGGCAACAGAGTGAGACACTGTCTAATAAAAAAAAGAGAAGATTAGTACTGTGAGAAACAGGACAACAGGCAAGGTTGGAAGGGTGGCCCTGTGGCAGTTTGTGCATGTGAGCTTTGCTTGTGTTTTTAAAACCAACTATTGAGGTGCAATTTACTTCAGTTTGCTGGTAATGGCACACCCAAGTAGCACGTGCAACTGGATGGGTACTGGCCGTTGTTATATACCTGTACACTTACGTACATGCCCCAAGATGCAGAATGCCCCAGCACTGCAGGAAGTTCCTTAGTGCCACTTTCTGGTTAATTTCCCTTCCACCAGAGGCAACCCGTTATCCCTTCTTTCACTATAGATGCATTTTGTTTTAGAATGTCATGTAACTAGAATCTCACAGTATGTGTTCCCTTGAGCCTGGTGTCTTTTACTCATGTTTTGAGATTCACCCAGGTTACATGTTTCGTGGTTTTTGCTGCTTCTGGCTGGGTAGTATTCCATTCTGTGAATGTACCACAGTGTGTCCACTTACCTGTTGATGACCCTTTAGATTTTTGTAAGATGCCGAGAGAGTTAGAAGTATGAGATTTATGAGAGAGAAGACCTTGAAAGAAACCAGGAGAGTGAGGAGGCCGGGCAGGGAAGGTTGCCAGAACTACAGGTGAGGACGACGCAGCTCTGGGAGCGTTGGCCAGCGCAGCGGGACATTCTAGCCTTGTGTTGGGTTGTGAAGGCCAGACCCTAGGCCCCGGCCAGGGAGAGCACGGGCTGCCCAAGTGCTGCGCAGATCCCAGCAGTACTCCACAGGGCTGTCAGCTCAGCGGCAACTCCTGGGAGGTCCTTGCTTGAAGGGAGGTTTGAGTGGTGGGCCTCCTGGCTGCCAAGAAGAAAGCTACAGTAAACGTGTGTGTAGGCTGCGCAGGTCTCTATCTGTGGACAGAGGCATTCAGGCCTCCTGGGGGTATACCTGAGTGCAACTGCCAGGTCACAGAGCAGTTATGTATTTAAGGTTCTCAGGCACCGCCTTTCCAAAGCGATTGTGCCGTGTTGCACTCCAGTCACAGGGTGGAGTTCCAGCAGCTGCGCGTCCTCGCTCATGCTGATATTGTTGTATTAATGTCCCAGGGCTGCTGTAACAATTGACCACAAACTTGGTGGCTTCACACAAATGTATTGTCTTGCAGATCTGTGGGTTAGAAGTCCAGCATGGGCTGGAACCAGTGTCAGCAGAGCCCTCCTTTCTGGAGGCTTGAGGTGAACCCATGTCCTTGCATTTCCTAGACTCTAGGGCCTGTCCACATTTTTTGGCTTGTGGCCTTATTCTACCATCTTCAAAGCCAGCAACCTTGCATATGCGGCTGTCCCTCCATCCTTCCACCTCCCTCTGACCACAGCCTGGTCAGGTGCTGCAGTTGTAAGGACCCATGGGGTTAACCTGGGCCCACTGGATGATCCAGGATCCTCTCCCCAACTCAAGGCCCTTAACTCGAATCACATCTGCAGAGTCCCTTTTGCTGTGTAAGGTTCTGGGGGTTAGGATGTGGACATCTCTGGGGACCATTATTCTGCCCACCAAATTGTCTTTTAAATTTTGGCCATCCCATTGGGTGTATATCTCATTGGAGTTGTAATATGCATTTCCCCCAAGTATCTTTTCCTGTGCTTATTGGCCACTCAGATATTTATTTTGTAAACAGTCTGTTTGAATCTTTTTTTTTTTTGAGACAGAGTCTCGCTCTGTCGCCCAGGCTGGAGTGCAGTGGCGTGATCTCGGCTCACTGCAAGCTCCACCTCCTGGGTTCACGCCATTCTCCTGCCTCAGCCTCCCGAGTAGCTGGGACTACAGGCACCCGCCACACCACGCCTGGCTAATTTTTTGTATTTTTAGTAGAGACGGGGTTTCACGGTGTTAGCCAGGATGGTCTCGATCTCCTGACCTCGTGATCCGCCCGCCTCGGCCTCCCAAAGTGCTGGGATTACAGGCATGAGCCACTGCGTCCGGCCTGAAGCTTTTCCATTAAAAAAAAAAAAAAACGGGCTGCTTTCTTGTCGAGTTCTTTATGTGTTCTGGGTGCATTTCCTTTGTTGGAGATAATGTCTTGTGACTGTTTTCTCTGTGGCCTGCTTTTCATTTTCTTAGTGGTGTCTTTTGAAGAGCAGAAATTTCAATTTTGATTAATTCAGTTTATCATTTAAAAAATTTTTTTTTAAAAGACGGAGTCTCACTGTTGCCGAGGTTGAGTGCAGGTGCTTTCTATCCTAAATTCACTTATTTCCAGTAGTTTTTATTTTCTAGATTCCTTAGGATTTTCTACACGCACTGTAATAATGTCATCTGCAAATAAAGACAGTTATACTTCTTTTCCAATCTTTTGTGTTTTGTCTTAACTCACTGGCTAATGTGGCAGTAATATTTTGCATTTCTACTAGCGACCTATGAGAGTTCCTGTTACTCCGCATCCTCACTAGCACTTGGTATTGTCTGTGCTTTTAAAATTTTAGCCATTTGCATATCTTGTTGTGGTTTAAGTTGCATTTTCCTAGTGACTCATTGAGATCTCATCATTTCGTATGCTTATTATTAGCTCTTTACAAAAATTTAGTTAAATGTTTATTCATTGATGTGGTTTGGGTCTGTGTCCCCACCCAAATCTCATGTTCAGTTATAATTCCCAATATTGAGGTAGGGTGTGATGGGCCTGCTCCATGGGAGTACGAGTCCTAGTCACCGTGGGGGCGGTTTCTCATGAATGGTTTAGCACCATCCGCTTTGGTACTGTGGTCTGTGGTAGTGAGTTCTCTTGCGATCTGGCTGTTTAAAAGTGTGTGGCACCTCCCCCTTCTCTTTCTTGCTCCTGCTTCCACCATGTGAGACTCCTTGCTCCCCCTTTGCCTTCTGCCATGATTGGAAGCTTCCTGAGGCCTCCCCAGAAGCAGAAGCTGCTGTGCTTCCTGTACATCCTGCAGAACTATGAGCCAATTAAGCCTCTTTTCTCTATAAATTACTCAGTCTCAGGTATTTCTTTATAGCAATGTGAGAGAATGAACTAATATATTCAGATATTTTGCCCATTTTATTAGTTGGATTGTCTTATTGAGTTGTGAGTTTTTTATATATTCTGGATATAAGTCCTTTATCAGATATATGCATTATAAATATTTTCTCCCAGACTGTGGGTTATGGTGACTCCTGAACTGTAAAAGTTTTTAATTTTGATTTTTCAATTTATAGAGTTTTTTTTCTTTTATGGATTATGTTTTTTAATGTCATCTCCAAAATATACTTGCCTAGGTAAGGTCATGACAATTTTCTCCTGTGTTCTCCTCTAGAAGTTTTAAGTTTGAGTGCTTACATTTAGGTCTCAAATCCATTTTGAGTTTTAATTTTTTTTTTGAGGTTGAGTCTCGCTCTGTTGCCCAGGCTAGAGTGCAGTAGCACGATCTCAGCTCACTGCAACCTCTGCCTCCAGGGTTCAAGCTGTTCTCCTGCCTCAGCCTCCTGGAGTTTTAATTTTTAAAATTTTAATGTTGTGGGTAAAAGTCTAAATTCACCTATTTAGCATATAGATAGCCAGTTATCCCAGCGCCATTTGTTGAAACGATTATCTTTCTTCATTGAATTATCTTGGTATCTTTGCTGAAAAGCAATTGACCTTACAAATAAGGGTTTATTTCTGGACTCAGTTTTGTTCCATTACAGTGTGTGTCTATTCTTTTTTTTTTTCGAGACAAAGTCTCACACTGTTGCCCAGACTGGAGTGCAGTGGTGCTATCTCCACTCACTGCAACCTCTGCCTCCTGGGTTCAAGCAGTTCTGCCTCCCAGCTAATTTTTTGTATTTTTAGTAGAGATGGGGTTTCACTATGTTGGCCAGGCTGGTCTTGAACTCCTGACCTCATGATCCACCTGCCTCAGCCTCCCAAAGTGCTGGAATTACAGGTTTGAGCCACCGCGCCCGGCCATATTCTTATACTAGTACCACACTGTCTTGATTATAGTAATTTCAATTTATTGTAAATTTGAAATTGGAAAGTAAACGTTCTCCCATTTTCTCGTTTTTTAGAATTGTTTTGGCTCTTTTGGGTCCTTTGCATTTCCATATGAATTTTAGGCTTAATTTCTAAGTTTCTACAGAAACACCGCTTGGGATTTTGATAGGGATTGATTTAATCTGTAGATCAGTCTGGGGAGAATTGCCGTCTTAAGAATATTGGGTCTTTCTATCCATGAACATGGAATGTCTTTCTATTAAAATGGCATGTTTTTTTACATATCTAAAGTTTATGCTTGCTCAGGTCTAAAGAAAAATGGAAAAAGGAAGGGTAGTATTACAGATTATGTAAACAAGTATATCTATTTTATTATTAAAATGTTTCTGCCACTAAAAGCAAGTCCCAAATTACAACTTTTTGAGGCTGAGTGCGCTGTGAGTTCTGTTTCTCTTCTGCCCCGTGCTTTCCGTTTCCAGATTCTGGGGAGCAGGTCCTGGTGGATGTGGAGACCAAGAGCAATAAGGAGATCATGGAGCACATCAGAAAAATCTTGGGGAAGAATGAGTGAGTTGTTTGGTTTGACCTGGAAGGAACAAACTTCTCAGCCCAGAGAATTTGAGGAAGAAAGGGGTGTGTGGGAAGGGTGTTGAGAGGTAAGATTCTCTGACAGTGAACGCCAGACACTAATAAGAGCTGGGGCTGTAGAATCAGTTCTTTCTGATGTTGCTCTTTACCAAATCATTAAACCTCTGTAAGCTTTATCTCCCTTGGCTGTACAGTGTGAGAAGTACCTCTCTCCCTCTTGCGGGGGACGGGAAGCTGAAATGCAGCTGACTTGTGGCCCTGTGCAGCTGCTAACCCATCTCTCCTGGGAATCTCAGCTTGGAGCTAGCAGACATCTAGCCCTAGGGCTCCTGGTGACAGGTCTTTCTTTCCATGAATGAGAGGAGACAGAAAGGGACGGAAGCTGAAAAAGTCTGTCTTTGAGAAACCACACAGAGGCCTTTTCAGGCTCCTTTATCTTGTGATTGCATGTGAGAGCTGTGGGCTCCACCTGTGGCAGCAGATAGGCTGACCGCACTGTGTAGGCTTGCTGCTGTGGTGTGAGGGGACAACAGCAGGCCTTCTTTCAGCGCTCTCCTCAGGGGCCAGCAGGGAGACAGCGATAGGCTTTGACAGTGAGGATCAGGTTAGAAGGCAGGAGATCCAGGTGTCCCTGGTGGATGGTGGGGTTGTCTCGGCTGAGAAACTGCCCTGTGCCTGCCACTCAAAGTTGCCAATGCTTGGTTGCCGTCTGTGCTCTTTGGCAGGGAAACCCTCAGGGAAGAGGAGGAGGAGAAAAAGCAGCTTTCTCACCCAGCCAACTTCGGCCCTCGAAAGTACTGCCTGCGGGAGTGCATCTGTGAAGTGGAAGGGCAGGTGCCCTGCCCCAGCCTGGTGCCATTACCCAAGGAGATGAGGGGGAAGTACAAAGCCGCTCTGAAAGCCGATGCCCAGGACTAAGGCCCACGGTCACTGTGGGCTGGGGTGATGGTGTCTGACCAGTGGGGAGATTGGAATGGGATTACTTTGGCCCAGGGAAGCCCCTGGTTCTGTCCCTGGAGACTCTGGAAATCCTTTTGCATTAAAAGGACTTTACACACCTGTGTAAAAGGATGTGGGAGAGGAGGGTCTGAAGCTGAGCTGCTAAATGAATATCCCTGCTCTGCTGGTCAATAAAACGCTTCCTAATAGCAGCTTGGCGTGTATCTGGTCCTAGTGAAGAGGAAGGCCTGTGTAGCAGAAAGGCTTTGGGCCTGAGAGGTTAAGGCCACAGCCTGTTGACACCTGTTTTGGTCCTGCGACCCTTTACTGGTCTCCGCTGGCTTTGAATCTTCCTCTGGGCTCTACTCTGGAGAACATAAGGGCTGCTGTGGTTGAGTCTGGCTAGCACTGTCTGTGGTTGGCAGTGTGTACACCCCTCCGTTCAGTTCCTTGGGGGTATTTTTCAGAAATCCAAAGGCAACCCTTCGTGCAGTGCTCACTTTTTTAAGTACAGTTGATTACCCTTGCCTGCTGGGGGGCCTAGCCATGGGCCAGAGATGGAGGAGCCCCAGTGGCTGACAGGCCAGCCTCACTCAGGCACGTACCTGCTGACCAGTCAGCCACTGCCAACCCATGGCCCAGCCACTGTGTGCATTAGCAGGGAGGTTTGTAGGCCATGGAGGAAATGAGGAGACACCACCTAGTGGAGACATTGGGGCCCTGCTGGGGGGATGGTGTCTATAGCTGGCTCTGCTGGCTCCCTCAGGCCCTGCTTACCAAGCTCTGGAGGAGGGAGTGCTGCATTACTGAGCACCTTCCTTGTTCTTTCCTCATAGGACACTGATGTTACTGTCACTTTAGTTATGCTAAAGTGGAGGTTTCAGCCTCCAGAAGACAGCAGAGCCTTCTAGGGTCACCTTAAGAATAGGTTTAGCTAGGCTGGGTGTGGTGGCTCATGCCTGTAATCCCAGCACTTTGGGAGGCTGATGTGGGCGGATAGTTGAGCCCAGGAGTTCGAGACCAGCCTGGGCAACATGGCAAGACCTTGTCTCTACAAAAAGTACAAAAATTAGATGGGTGTGGTGTTTCGCGTCTGTAGTCCCAGCTATTTGGGAAGCTGAGGTGGGAGGATCTCGAGCCTGCGAGATCAAGGCTGCAGTGAATCATGATCGTGCGCTACTGCACTCCAGCCTGGGCCACAGAGCAAGACTGTCTCAAGAAAAAAAATTTTTTAAATAAGTTTAATTATAAAGTGAAGGACCAGTTGGACCACGGACCCCTAGAAACTCAGCCAAGGAGACCTGACTTTATCTGAGACAGGAAGGCAGTGGTTAAAAGAATTAAAAAAGGACAGTGGTGCTTGACAGAGCAGGACTGAAGTTTTCATTCCTCTACCTGCTGGGGCCTTGGTCAAGTCCTAAAAGCTTTCCAGGTCTGTAACTGGTTTTGTCTGTAAAATGGGGAAAAGGTTACCTTTTCTGCCACATGAAGTAGCTGGCTGGTGAAATGATGTCATACTACGATGTGTTTCATTAACTGTTGGAGATTATCACATTAAATTGAGCAGATTTGGATCTTTTACATTTGATGCTCAAGTTTGATTCTGTACCAGATCTGGGTTTGGGGTGATGGCTTGTCGGGGGTGGGAGGGGAAGGTGGGCAGAGACTGATGTATAATGGACAGGTGTTCCTTGAGTGACAGACTTACAAAGGGAGTGTTTAATTGAAATCTAGCATCTTGTCTCTCTGCTATCAGCATTTTGGCTGGGTGGAAAAAGCTCTCCTCCACAGAGAGCCCTCCCATGTCTGCTGGTTTCAGTTCCCCACCCAACTGACTGAAGTCTTGACCTTGATACCACCTGCCTGGGCGTTCTACTTGGCTGCAAGGGCTCTTCAGAAAGCACCTAGTTCCTTTTGGCTTTCATCTGCAGTGTAGGTCTCCATAGCTAGTGACACACAAAGCCTTATGAGAGTATTCCTTCCCTCTAGGGCCCAAAGAGGCTGCTAACCAGCAGGAATGTCCTGAACCAAAAGGAGTGGTGACCATTCTCTAGACAGAATAAATGTCTGGTCCCTAATGGGACAGATAACTAGGGTTTGAGTTCAGGCTTGACACAGGAGCAATGGGCAGTGAGGTGGACAGCCCAGACCCTGAAAGGACGTGTGGAGACAGCAGCAGTCCTGTGGTGCAGTTACTGCCTGTGTGGCCAGCTTCACAGGCAGCAGATAATTTGTGGAAATAAACATTATTTTCTTTTTTTGTTCCCTGTAGGCTACTTGATCCTGGATAGTTTCTCTTTAAACCTTTGTCTTTCCCTATTTTGTTTAGTAGTGATGAAAGATGGGTTTAAAATATACAGAAATGGGAGAAAATTAATTAGAGAAAATGTGAGGATTTTATAATTGATAACATGTTCTTAATTTTACTTGCACAAGCAGTGTTCACAGCCTTATTCTGAAGTGACCACTTTTCTTCTCTTTGAGGCACTACCTGGCAGCACCATCTAAACCTGTATCATCTGCTGTGGTCCCAGTTACTCAGGAGGCTGAGGCAGGAGGATCACTTGAGCCCAGGAGGTTGAGGCTGGAGTGAGCCATGACTGTACCACTGCATTCCAGCCTGGGTGACGGAGTGAGGCCCTATCTGCCTGCCAGTGAGTTCTGTCATGCATCAGACTTTGGACCTCAGAATTTTCACCTGGAACATGAGAGGTCAGATGACATAATGAATATGTTCTAACTTCTGAAACTTTTGGAGCTTGTTTTTGCCCTTGATAGCACGTATCCTTAGAGAATAAGCTTGCCAATTTAAGGCCTGTCTGTAATGGCATCTGAATGTTCCAGCAGCCTAACTGTGCTCTGCTCCAGAAACATGTGTGTGGCTTCCCTACCTCCACACCAAGGAGCTGCCTTGCTGGGTGGATGTAAAGACTGTCCTGCCAGGGTTTCCCACTAAAGGTATTAATAAGTCCAGTGGACCACAGAGGGCCCAATCCCTCTTGGCCGCTAAGGCTAAGGTAGGAGCCAGAGAGCTGTAGAGACAGGACCACCAGGATGCTTCATGTCCATAACACAAGAGAGCGCTGCATTGTTTGGGGGCCAGGCATTACTACTATCATGAAGAAAAATGAAGAGCAGGATGCATGTTAGTCTTTAATTCACTTTTAATAGTATAAACCTCATTTAGGTAGTAGTATTAAGCCACAACAATAATGCCACATTGAAACAGCATTTAATAAAATGCATAAAGCTAATTCATGCACTGCAATACTCTATATACAAACACAACAATGCAAATTCTTCTTCAAGACTGAAGACATTGATTAGATATAAAATTCAGTTTAAAAAGAACATGCTATTTTTTAAATGCCATCACATAAACAAAGTGATTTCACAGGGAGAAGAAAGCTGTATAAAGCTGCAGCTTTCAACAGGTTTTAAACCTGGCATTAAAATGTAATGGCAAAACCAATATTTTCTATATTGTGAAGGGCAAAGGTTACAGAAACGGTCCCAAGAAAATCTAACACCCAAATTTTCCTTTGATAGATAGATGCCTTTAAAAGGGCTGGTAATGCAGTTACATTCTAACAGAGAAGTCCAAACTACAGGTAAAAACTACGGCTTGTACTGTGAAAAATGTGCAGCTTTTCAGTTATAAAACTAGTTGAACACTGGTTTACAAGATAATCCGTAGAACAGAGAGACTGTAGAAAAATATTCCAGCACTTGAGTTGTGTGTGGCAGCAGCATTTGAGTCCATGAATGCTATGGTCATTAAAATAATTGATTATACTTTCCTAAAGAAAAGCCATTTTTTAATGCAAAGTCTACTACTTCCAAATGTTATTCCAAACATTAAATTTTAACAGTCTATCAATCAATAAATGTTGAACATTTTTTTTCTATTTTGCATGTATAAATATCAAGACACCAAAATTATTTATAGCTGGGCATTAAAAATATCTGACATTTTTCTCCCCGCAAAGATACTTTTCTTAAGCTCACACTTTAATTATTTGTAGACTGCTGTTAAGCTAAATAGCCCCAAAGGAAACTTTTAATTCATTTAGAGACTGTCAAGTTTCCAATTGCATTTTAACTAGAAAGCCACTTTCAATAGCGTGATTGTCACGACAGGCTATGACGGGGAAAGGTCGCACAATCTTGTGGGATGAGGCCAGTGAAATAGAAGCTTTCTCTACATCAAAAACAGGGAAGCTGAAGGCTAAATGACCCACTGTCTCACAAAAGGCACTGAGTACTATGGTCTCATAAAGTGTTTTTAAAACATTTTGATAACTTATTTTAAAAAGAAAAAGAGGAAACTGTGGATTATGTGAGTTTTTGCAGCAATCTAGTGATTCCTTCCAGCAGGCCCCTGCTTCCCAGGTCTATGAGCAACTACTGCTGGGCCAGGCCCTGGCTCTCAAGGGCCGAGTCTCAGTTTAAGGCCAGATTAAGGGGGAAAATTCGTCCGAGTAGACCTGGACGAGGAAAATTTGGTATCTGTAGCTTTTAAGGGCACACATATCCATATTAAAATGCAATTCTTATCTGAAAATTTAAAATCATAACTTATAGAAAGGAGTTAAAGTCATTTACATGCTTACAGTTAGAGAAGTAACTTGAGATCTGTAGCTTATATGCCGCAGAAGTTAGCCATCAACATCCATGCTTAGTTTTAAAGAATAATACTTGGTAGGTTGTTTATTTTTAACTGGCGATAGAAAGATGGGAATTACTATTTATTCAGTCATAGGACAGTGCCCCACATCTTGCTGACTGAGCACAGCGCAAGCCTGGGAAATTGCTACCATCTTTGGGAGTCAGGCCTCACTGACACAGACCGTTCTGAATCTCTGACCGTGACGCCTGTCTCTGGGCTACTCAACAGAGCTGAATAGCTGGGAAGGCTGATGGCTCAACCCAACTGCCAAGTTCCTTCCAGGTAGGGCCATGAATAGGTGCATGAAAAGGTTAAAAATTCCCACTTAGTTTTGGATATTAAGATAAACTGTCTTCCAGCTTCCTGGCTCTTGTCCGAACCTAGAGAATATACGGAAATGTCACCCTGTCAGAACCTCTTCTGCCTGGAATTCTTCCTTTTGCAGAGTGGAGATTCTGACTTCATGGCCCTTCCCAGGCAGGCTCACCCAAAGGAAAATGGAGTGAAGAAAATCACCAGCAAATCTTCCCTGCCGAGGGACCTTGGAACACCCATATCAGTTTACATTAGCAACTTTATGAAAAACTCTCTTTAAAGGAAAGTTTGGATACATGTCTGTATACATAATATACATCTATGTACACATACACACACTATATACACTGTACATATGGAGAGGATATAAACACATGTACATTCATTCAGTCTTACAGCCTAGAAACCTGTACACGCACAATGCTGCTGAAGGGACCCAGGGCTGGACATACGAAGTGCACGCTGGTGGGAGGCACACAATGAGAAGGTCCAGACCCTGTGTACAAAAGACCCAAACCAACCCTGTCTTGATGAGGGGTTGGCTTTAAAAATTTACATCAAAGTTAAGACATTTTCAAAGAGCCTCATAACTGAGAGAATGGAAGCTGGATAAAGGAAGCACGTGGGGCATCTGCTCTGCTGGCTCAGGCATTCCCAGGGCCCAGTGGGCACCGCCTTCCCTGGGAGAAAAGTGGCTGTCAGATGATGAGACTTCCTATGACCTGGACTAAGAAAAGAGTTAAAATGTTACCTATGACCCCATTGCACATAAAGTCATTTACACTGGAAAGTGGGCAACAAGCTTCTGGACTCCAATGAGATCAGGTCCCAGAACATGGATGTACACATGTGGCATGAACTGCTGATTGCGGCCAGGGGCTGGAAGCCCTGCAGAGGGCGGGCTGTGAGCAAGAGTGCTCTGCAGGAAATGTCCTCAAAGGACTATGAAAGTAAAAGCACTAGAAACAGCTAGAGTCCTTAGAATTTTTTGCTCCTTGCCGTAACTATCCCCCAAACAAGTAAGACAGCTAATAAGTATGTGTGTAGCGTGGATATTGCCTTGAGATTAAGGAGCCTAACGCATCCACTGTTAACACCATGGCTGGTGTCCTAACTGCCTCAGAAGAGTCCACATTCAATACTGACAATGACAAGCTAAAAATCAGTCCCTCTTGAGGGCAATTACACATCTTAGAAGTGACTACACCTGAAATTAAATATAAAGCCCAGAACAGCAAAAGAACCTCAAACCACAGCCTTATGGCAAGGGTTAGACAATAAATGTAACTCCTCAGGACACAGAAATGTCAAATTAGGAGAGTATGGTAGGTAACACACTTCCTTAAAAACACCTTCCAGGAGTAACTTGAAAAGTATTACTTGCTCAACTAATTTGGTCTTTCAAAAAATCTCTTCCTGTCCTGTTTTATGCTAATGTGTAATGATCTCCACCATTTTCAACATCTATCTGTCTTAACCCAACATTATCTGAGATACTTCTGGAAAAGAGCTCACTTAACTGATGACAGCATGTGTCTGTCCCACCTCTCTGAGCCAGCTGCCTCTCCTCATTGAGGGAGGAGCAGCCAGGCCAGTAGAAGAGGGAGCATGAACGTGGCTCCATGGAGTTCAGTAGCCAGAGGACAGGTCTCACTTCATGAAACCCAAAGTTTCACAAACTGCTAATAAGGGCTATAAGCCCTGTGAAAGTTGGAGCCCAAATATTTGGTTTGCATCTCTTTAAGTAATTCTTGACTTTGGGCTGACTTTACTTAACCAACCTGACAGGAGATGAAATGGACCTGCAGTCAGAGGCTTGAAATGAGTTAAAGCAGCAAGAATACAGGTTACGTGGACATGATCCTTAAAGAAAAGGCCACTTCAAAGTAAGGCCAAGAGGATCTCAGAAACCAACCAAGAGGTGTTCAAAGCCCAAAACAGTCCCTGGAATCAGCCATCACCAGCAAGGGGACTTAAAGAGCAGGACCAGGTTAGAATCAGCACCTTTCCAAGCAAAATCACGTTTTCTGCAAGGTTGTTTCACCACAGCCCAACACTTCCTTATCCAGCCTGAGTCTAAGCAGCCTACTGGCTGCCACTGAATGACCTGGGAATGAGAGGAGGGGCTGGTGGAGACCTTTTCACCAACACCAAGAACTGGGATCTGAAAGCTGTTATGCTTGTATTCCCAGGGAACTGCAACATGGCCCTCATGGTCACTCTCAAGGATCAAAACGACGGAAGGCAGGCAACAATCTGTGTTAGAGGCACCACTGAGCTGCAGGATGCCTGCTACTAAAAGCCTTCACAAGCAGAAATGAAACAAACCTGCCCTAATTCCATTGTCTCAGCTGGTTTTTTGTCTTAATTTTGAAACTGAAAACACATCAGGGTTAGAAAAGTAAAAATTACTTTAAGCTGGCAAAATTAAATCCTTTCCATCATTTTATAATGGCCACTCCCACTACTCTCCAAAATTTGCTGCCAAGGCAAGAATTATAAAATGATATAATTAAATCCAAACAAGAATTTAGAAGTTGGAAACACTGTTCCCACTTACCCTACTAACACTGACTTGCGTAAAGTGCTGCTAACCCTTCAGGATCAAGCATCCTGTTCTGCCTTGAGCCTGCAGCAGCTTCCATTCTGTCCAATGTGGCACCACAGGGGCGTCTGTAGCTGGCCAGACTGCACCCCTGTGGAGCACATGTGGCGCCAGCCTGAGCCAGATCAGAGCACCTGTGAGTCAGGGGAGTGTCCAGGGATCTTTTTGGATATCATCTGATTAACAAATCAAGAGAGGCAAATTTAACCCAACAGGGTGTATTTTCTTAATCTGGACTATTTAAAAAGCAAAAGACAAAGCAATTGACCGGGTCTTCCACATGCCACTGTTCTCAAACAGGAAAAGCTTGCTATATATTCACATCCGTGGGAATTTACGGGTGTTTGAAGTTAGACATAACTTCCTTTTAAGCGCATACTGTTCTTGCTGTAAACTCTGGTTGCTACAATTTATGAGGAGAAAGACTATCACCCTGGAAATTGAGGGTTGTTTTTAAGGAGCAAGCAGCCTGCATTTAAAATGCTCCGGGGTGGTCGGCTGGCACACACCTGGGGGAACCAAAGTGCACAGTGTGCTGGTAACATTAACAGACTTGCCAACAGAGATGCTGAGTCTATACACATTTTTAAAATCTCTGGTATTTAAGGTCAACAGGAAGAAATTGTCCTGAAACCTTCCATCCAGCTTTACCAGGCCCTAACCACTCTCGCCAGGCGGCAGCAGGCTCCTGCCCAGCCCCAATCCAGCCTCACAGTTATGATGGAGCTGCAGAAACACGAGCCCTTTTCAAGGGGGCATTTGGAGTGGAAAGCCCTGGGAAGGTAACGCTCACACTCCAAGGCCACACTCCTCCATCTGGACAAACACACAAGCACCCCCAATTGTATTGGAAGTACTGTCAAGAGCTCAAAATGCCCACCTTGCACTTTTTGGTCACAAGGCTCCATCTGCCACGAGCGGCGGATGTGACTTGGGGATGTTTTCACTTGCTGGAGGAACTGTACATCTCATTTGGCAGTTAATGTCTGACTAGTTGCAATCCAATTCAGATAACCAGTCATCAAAGGAGAACCCCAGGTTCTAGAGGAGTCTGCAGATGCCCATCAGAGACCAGGACCAAGTAGTCAGGGAACCTGACAAGTGTCTGCTCTATGGCTAGAAGCTTCTGAACTGGGTCACCACCGACTGTGCTACCACACTCCCACTTACTGCATGATGCAAATGAGCCACGTTTCCATTCACAGAATTCAGCTCAACTCCACAACATGTGCACACAATTAGGAATGATGCCTTCTTTTCTTAAACATAAATGATTGTCTCCTGTACCCTAGTGAGTTTTCACAGAAATCATTAGCATTTCGGCAAAAGACATACACAGTTTTCCATTTGCCCTGCCCACAGGCAAGATGTTGCTAACGTTACACATTGATAAGTGCTTAGAAAGTGCTAATATTATTACCCTGGTAATTAGTATCTATAATTCCAAGGACTTTTTTATATATATATATACACACATACTATTCTCTCAGGTTCTTTCAGTTTTCTTTAATACTAGTCTCTGACATTATAAAACCTTTTTTTTTGTTTTTTGCCCTTTGAGAATTTCTAAATACAAATTGAGTTAAAAGATTGTTCCAAAATCTGCTGCTTCATCAAAAGGCATTAAAACATTTCTTATGTCAGGAAAGGATCCTACTAGTCTTTTAATTGCTATTGTCTGGGATTAACAGATAAGGAGAAACCAGACAGGAAATGGCTAACATATGGAAATATTTGCACATACCAAAATACCACTACTTTTCTTTGTATGTGAACGGTCCTGGAAGGATTCTGTTGCTCCTTGGCAGGTGTGTGGTTTGCGCTATAGACTGGCTCCGGTGATCTGGCCATTATACTCTGCTGTCTCCATCTTGAGGATGTAGGGGATTATGCTGTCTATCGAAACATTGCCAATGAGACCAGTAAAAAAAAGTTCTTCTGTTATGTTGGAGCTCATCAGCCTGAGTGCCGGCAGGCGAACGAGGATCCGGGCCAATCTATAAAAGGGAGTGTCATTAGAAAAGGAGACTGTTTGATGCCCTTCAACCACAGCTCAGCAAAGGCTCCTGGGGTCCCGTCTGTATTGCACAGAATCAAACCAAACGGATCCACCATCCACCCACCTCTCTTTTCTGATTTCAACAGTTCCTCTTATAGAAATTTATCATGAGAAAAAACCAAATGAGTACAAAATGTATGTACAGATGTGTTCCCTTCACTCTTGTTTATTCCAACTCTCCTCACCCCCACCACCAAGAGAAAACCTGGAAATTCATCAACAGAGGACAGACTAAAGTAGGAGTCTTCATATGATGAACTGCTAGAGACTCATTTAAAAAACGATAATACAAACCTGTATTTACTGACCAGGAAAGACATCCATGACATATTGCTCAATAAAAGTTTAAAAGGAGATTATAAAACAGCAAGTATAGATGTGTATATAAAGTATTGGGAAAATGTTCACCACGCTAACAGTTGGGCTCTGGGTATTGGGATTTGAGGTGATTTTTTCTTATTTTTTGTACTGCTCTAATTTCCAGTGTTCATTTAGCATTATAAATAAAGCAGTAAAATAGCTTTCATTTTGAAGAAACTTGGGGTGGAGGGTGCACCACAATGCTGCCCTGGAGGGCCACTGAACACTGTGTATCTCAAGTGTCCCACGTGACCAGGCCATTCCCCAGCCAGGACTGGATCTCAGGTGAGCAAGTGGAGCATGTGCCAGGACTCTACTGCAGTGCCATGTGTGACAGCCCAAACCGGAAACACCCTACCTTTTCATTAGCAGGGAAATAGGAACCATAGAAAATGAAGAAGAGTACGTATTGTTATTGTATATTACATGAAAAAAGGTTACAAAACCTTTGGTATTTTATGATCCCAATTACAATACATAAAAAATTTCTGGAAGTGAATACGCAAAATGTTAATAGTAGGTATCTGGACAGTGCTTTTTTGTTTTTGTTTTTTTGAGATAGTGTCTTGCTCTGTCATCCAGGCTGCAGTGGAGTGATGTGATCACAGCTCACTGCAACCGCAACCTCCCAGGCTCAAGTGAGTCTCCCACCTCAGACTTCTGAGTAACTGGGACTACAGGTGCACACCACCGCACCTGACTAATTTTTCATTTTTTTGTCATAGAGATGGGGTCTCACTATGTTGCCCAGGGTGGTTTCAAACTCCTGGGCTCAAACAATCCTGCTGCCTCAGTGTCCCAAAGTGTTGGAATTACAGGTGTGAGTCACCACGCCCTGCCCCTGGATAGTGCTTTTTAAAAAGTTTTCTTTTTCCTTTTTCCTTTCTAGAACATTCTAAATTTTTCTAGAGTGAATACTGCTTATTTTTAAAATGGGAAAATGTATTCATACTATGCAGGTAGCATTCCAGCACCAGCATCCATTCACTCAGCCACAATGAGTCGCTGTGCTCCAATCTTGCAGGGCACACGAAGGTGTAAGGGACCTGCCATCTCAGCTGGGCCTTAGGGGCTGGCTAAGATTTCTATCAGCAGAGATACAAAGAATGGGGAGGGATGGGAGGCATTTCAGGAGGAATAATCAATATGAGAAAAGGCACAAGGATGGGGAAGAGTAAAAAATGGATATTCCAGACAGTAAATATCAAGATAAAGAAAAAATGAATATGCAAACAGGATGTAAAACACTCTAGGCCCTTTTCTTTGAGAACTATCTCGAGTGAATTTCTGAGCCCTATAAGAAAGCCTCCCTTATCATTTTGGGCTCCAAGTAACCTGTCGTCACCCTACCCAACCCTGGGTCCCTGACTGGACAGGAGTGACTCATGATGTTTTCAGACACATTGTATCTACTTTCCAAGGCCACAGAATCACTGCTGTCAAAGTGATTCTCGAGTGTGCTGTGGCTCTGCCAGTAGCCCCAGAGGGCCATTTCCAGCCATCTTTTGGCCATGGGAACTGTGGGGGAGCAGGCCTGTGGCCTCCTAGGAGGACAACCTGACTGTATACCTGGCTGGATGTATAAATTCTGGGTGTGGATGCATTCCCTGACAGTCCCATTCTCTATGTATTGAGGCTGAAGTTATTCTAGATTCATGATGAAGTCTTCAATGATTCCAGTAGAAAATGGATCTTGCTTTTGTAAAAGCCACATCTGGGCAACAGAAGTGCGCCAAAAGGAGAAGCAGGCTCTTGTCTACCAGCAGGACCAGCCAGCCATAAGACACCCCCAGTCACACCAGAGAAATGACTGGGACTGTCCTGGTTTTAGTGCTGAAAGACTAAGAGCTGGTTACCCTGCTGGGGGGCAAAATCATTTGAGAAGCACTGGGCCAGAAGGGGTAGCCCCCAGGGGCATCTGTGTTCCATGGGGCTCCTGGAGACTGAGGTCTGTGCAGAGGACACATGTCGGGAAGGTGGGCCTGTGTGTCTTCCCAGGCTGTCAATTTTGTTCCAATGTTTATTTTAGGGGGACATGGTGGGGAGGGAAACAGGAAATACTTTACTTGAAAGGGTCTCAGAAATTCATGTAGCTTCTGGTAGGTCAGAAGTTGTCATAGGAAAGCAGCACTCTTCCATCCTTGGCTGGAAAGCCTGCCAATGCATTCTGACCTTTGGCAGATCTGAACAATTTTCCTGCCTAAAGCTGCACGAGAAAGGGTTTTTTTTTGTTGTTTTTTTTTTTGTTTTTTGAGAAGGAGTCTCACTCTGTCACCCAGGCTGGAGTGCAGTGGCGTGATCTCAGCTCACTGCAACCTCTGCCCACCCTACCAGGTTCAAGAGATTCTCCTGCCTCAGCCTCCCCAGTAGCTGGGATTACAGGCGCCTACCACCGTGCCTGGCTAATTTTTTTTTAAATATTTTTAGTAGAGACGGGGTTTCACCATCTTGGCCAGGCTGGTCTTGAACTCGTGACCTCCTGATCCACCCGCCTCAGCCTCCCAAAGTGCTGGGATTACAGGCGTGAGCCACCGTGCCCGGTCCTAATTTTTATACACATATTTTTACTGCACATTAATTACAAATAATACCACTAATTTGCACCCAAACAAACTTTTTTCCATTAGTTTATCTGAGGGTAAAATGACTTTATATAACTCATCCACTCCTTTATAGGGGTCAGATTTGATTTCTGTCAATAAGAATTTTCTGTCAATAAGCACTTTTCTGTCAAGTACTCTAGCACTGCCTCTTCAATGGATGCTGACCAGAGGAGCAGACCTTTCAAACTATTCTGGACAAAGGAATCTCCATGAGAACTCAAGCCTCATGTACAGTGTTAGCCCCAGAACAGGCCACACAGCATCTGTTCCAACTCCTCCAATTAAAGAGTAGCAATCTGAGGCCTCGCTCACAGTCACACAGCAAAACTGGAATCAGCCACAGTCCTGGCCCTCCTGCTGGCACTGTCTACACTCTACACCACCTCTAGCATTCAAGAATTATCTCTAGCTCTTGGGAGCTTGGAAAAAACAAAGAAAACTCAAGAATTAGAGTGTGATCCAATGGAGGCTCTATCAGGCTGCTAAAAATGGAAAGGTTAACATAATTTATATTAGAAACTGCAGACTCAGCCACACTCCTTGCAGCCCCAAGCAAGAGCGCATATGCCTGAATGCCTCACCGGTAGGTGTCTTCTGAGTAGGTTTTCTGAACATAGTCCTGCAACTCCATCTGTGCCTTTTCTTGGAATTTTTCAATCTGGCTTGTGCTGGTCAAACCTGGATGATCTGAAAACAGAAAAGTACCCCCCCCCAGTTCCCTCTGTATTTGAAAAGTCTCACTTGTAGACTTCTTAGTACTTTTAGTCAAACTTCTGCAAACTTCTTAAGTACAACAAATTGAACTCAAAGACTGATCTAGTTTGGGTATTATTAGAACACTGGCTTTTCCTCTGTTTTCTGCCCAGGCCTGAAGTTCCTGGGAGCGGGTCGGGGACCCTGAGTGGATCCCAGTCTGAACAGCCCCACATGATTGGTTCTGGACATCTGGCTTCCTACTACCCTAGAAAACACATAGTTTTAAAAACTATCACATAAAATTACAAATTGTCATTTACTTTCTAAATAATTATATAATTTGTCCCAATTTTATTAGCTATTTTGTTGTTTGTGAGTGAAGGGCTGGGAAGGAAGACAAAAAGGTTAAGCTGTGTCCAACCCCTTACTGTGAGGTGAACAATTAGCCTAAGTGACTTTTCCAGAGGACTTGAGAGAACAGTTAATAAGGGGAGTGAGGCCAGCCCAGGCATCGTGATTGCTGCCTCTTCATCTCCTGCGAACATACCTTTTAGCATGCTCTGCAGTGCTATACACAGTCTGTGGGCAAACAAGTGGAACTTCAATGTGTACTGGATTATATGCGCTAACAAAACTTGGAAACTGGCAAAGGGCCGGAAAAAAAAGAAAGGACATCGGGTGGCAGCACACTTTTGTATGGTGTAGTCTTGTTTGGCCAATGGTTTAATTAGGACACAGATTAAATCTATTCAGTGCGTGACATCATCAGGCACTGCAGCATATTTCTTTGGGGCTGTAAAGGCAAGAATTTAAAAGCGTTTATGTATTTATCTAGCAAAACACCTATCATAAGAACACTAGGTCACATACAATCTGCAGGGCTCTTTCTACACCAATGATGACAACATGTTCACGTTCAGAAACATCAGTAGATACAGGTGGAAAGGGGTCATGCATCCCCACCGCATATCTTACCGGGGCTAAAGAGAACTATAGCTTTAAGGTATGCATACTCATAGCCATCTATATCCAGCTTCGCCATGCTGTTACAGAACTCCTGCAGCTTCCAGATGTGCTCCATGACTTGCTTTATCCGGTCACCAGAAAGTTTATCTAGAAACCAACATCACAGATCCTGAGAAAGGCTGGTAAGAACAATAAAACCAGCTTATTTGAGGGGCCACATATGGAAAGAAATGGGACCATTTCACTTTTTAATGAAAAATCAGTAATCTCAAGGTGAACAAGAGCTTCATTTTCCAGCTGCAGATGAAGTGACAAGAGGTACCCAAATTCTGCTCCAATATGGGTTCTGCCTCAATAACAAATCCCTAGACCAGTGATTCTCCCTGACCCTGCTGCCAGGCAGCTGGCCTGTAGGTGTACATTGTGAATTTCTTTTATTGTGTACCTGAGTAATAATTCCTTTATTCTGAAGACTCACAGCTTATATACTTGGTTAGGTTTTTTAAGTCTCTGCAGGCACCTGAACATTAAATGCTGGTAATTTTTAGTTGTCAAAACAATTTTTTTTGAGTTGGGTGTCTTACTATGTTGCCCAGGCTGAACTTGAATTCATAAGCTCAAGTGATCCTCCCACCTTAGCATCCTGAGGAGCTGGGACTACAAGTGTGCATCACCATGCCTGGCTTCAGAACAATTTTATATGTTATTTCATTTAATCCTCATGACAATATTTTACTGGCAGTATTAGTATTATACTCAGTTAAAAATAAAACTGGCCAGTTGTGGTGGCTCGTGCCTCTCTAGTCCCAATATTTCGGGAGGCCAAGGCAGGAGGCCTGCTTGAGGCCAGGAGTTTGAGACCAGCTTGAGCAACATCATGAGACTCTGTCTCTACAAAAAACAAAAACACACACACACACACACACACACACACACAAACAAAAAACAATAACACAACAAAAAACAAAACTAAAGCTCATTTGTGAACAAATCTTAACTTCAATAAAATGTTGTAAGGGGTTTTTTTTTTTTTGAGTCTCACTCTGTCCCAGGCTGGAGTGCAGTGACACAATCTTGGCTCACTGCAGCCTCCGCCTCCCAGGTTCAAGCGATTTTCCTACCTCAGCCTAGCAAGTAACTGGGATTACAGGCACTCACCACCATGTCAGGCTAATTTTTGTATTTTTAGTAGAGACAGGGTTTCACCATGTTGGCTAGGCTGATCTTGAACTCCTGACCTCAAGTTATCCACCTGCCTCGGCCTCCCAAAGTGCTGGGATTACAGGCGTAAGCCACCACACCCAGCCTGTTATAGGGTCTTTTAAACTTCACCCTTATGTAACTATTCCAAGGAAATAACTAGAAAAACAAATGTATGACTATGTCACTCACATTCCTAGATATCAAACACCTGGAATGCCCAATTAAAAGTGAAATTCCAAGCCTAGGCAGCACAGCGAAACCTCATCTCTATTAAAAAATATAAAAATTATCTGGGTGTGATGGCACATGCCTGTAAGTCCCAGCTACTTGGGAGGCTGAGGCAGGAGGATCACTTGAGCCCAGGGGTTCAAGGCTGTAGTGAGCTATGATTGCTACTGCACTCCAGCCTGGCAACACAGAGAGACTGTATCAAAAAACAAACAAACAAAACAACAACAACAAAAACTTCCACTTCAGCTACAAGTGTAGATTTTCAGTGTTACTTCGAATCCTGGGCATGACAGTGGTCTTCAGAGTGTTGCAGACATGCTACACATGGAGAGACTACAATGGCTGCCTCCTATTCCTGACACTGCTGGTGTTTTGAACACCAAATACTAGATAGTTGCCACAGATCTCACTAGAAAAGTTGTTTGTTCACTCTTAAGGAGCAGCCTGGGTGAGGTACGTATGTCCTGGACTAGGGGGTCAGCATGGTGCAGGTTTGTGCCCTAGTTTTTTTTTTGTTTTTGTTTTGAAATAGTTTCGCTCTGTCACCCAGGCTGCAGTGCAGTGGCACAGTCTCGGCTCACTGCAACCTCTGCCTCCTGGGTTCAAGTGATTCTCATGCCTCAGCCTCCCGAGTAGCTGGAATTACAGGCATGCGCCACCATGCCCGGCTAATTTTTGTTTTTTGGAGACAGAGTCTCGCTCTGTTGCCCAGGCTGCAGTGCAGTGGCGTGATCTCGGCTCACTGCAACCTCCGCCTCCCAGGTTCAAGTGGTTCTCCCGCCTCAGCTTCCCAAGTAGCTGGGATTACAGATGCCCACCATCACGCCTGGCTAATTTTTTGTATTTTTAGTAGAGACGAGGTTTCGCCATGTTGCCCAGGCTGGTTTCGAACGCCCAAGCTCAGGCAGTCCACCCGCCTTGGCCTCCCAAAGTGCTGGGATTATAGGCGTGAGCCACTGCACCCAGCCTCCTGTTTTGTATTTTTAGTAGAGAAGGGGTTTCACCATGTTGGCCAAGCTGGACTGTCCTGACCTCCAGTGATCCCCCGTCTTGGCCTCCCAAAGTGCTGGGATTACAGGAGTGAGCCACTGCACCCAGCCTGTGCCCTAGTTTTTGTACTTACTGTTTCATCTGGGGCAAGCCAGGGACCTTATCAGGGCCTCAGTTCCTCCATAGGGAAAAATGAGGTAATAGTCCCTACTTTATAGGGTTGTGAGGATCTGTGAACTATTATACATGAGAAAAGTAACCTGTCAATGAAGATGAAAATATCAGCTGTGATTATTCTGAAAACATCACTAAATGCCTATCAAGAAGTTGACCTTTTCCATTTTTTTCTTCATATTAATCGTATGAAGAGGGCAGTCTGGCAGAAATTTACATATTCTGACTGATAAGCCTCCTAACATTCATTCATTCATTGAGATGGGATCTTGCTCTATTACCCAGGATGGAGTACCTGGAATGATCACAGCTCACTGCAGCCTCAAACTCTGGGCTCAAGCAATCCTCCTGCCTCAGCCTCCTGAGTATCTGGGACTACAGGCAGATGCCACCAGGCCTGGCTAATTTCTTGTACTTTTTGTAAAGACAAGGTCTCGTTATGTTGCCCAGACTGGTCTCAAACTCCTGGGCTCAAGTGATCCTCCTGCCTGGCCTAACAAAGTGTTAGGATTACAGGCGTGAGCCACCATGCCCAGCCCAAAGGCTCCATACCTTAACAGTCAAACTTCTCTCAGCCTATGGATGCTGTGGGAAACTGAGGCTATCCAATTTGCTATGTTGCCAGCCTGGGTCAACAAAGGTGTCTTTGACATGAGCCTCCAACCAGGGGGCTGGGCTCTGCTCCATGGCCACCAGGCTGAACCAAGACACACCCCAGCCCCAAGTCCCTGTGCCCTACCTTCCTGGATGCTGTTCTGCAGGTGGTTGACAATGGCAGCCAGGATGGTGGAGAGACTCATGACCTGGGCACACTGGGCCAGGCCGAGGGTGAAGAGCTCATTCCAGCAGGCCCGCACAAGGCTGGTGTTGCAGTCCTGCCTAGGAATATAGAAAGGAGTCTGAGTGTGGTGTGTGTTGGCATTTCTCCAAGGTTGTGGGGCATCCAGGCACTAAGTCCCAGCATTTCCCAAACAGGTGAATTCAGCAAGTGTTTATTGAAGTGCTATCCAGGATCATTCTTCAAGAAAAGGATGAAGTCTATGAATAAGTCTATGAATGTTTTAACTAAAATCCTTCTAATGATCAACTATTCTCTTAAAAAACATTCTTTAAATAATAAAAAAATGTTAATAGGTATGGCCAAACCATCATTACCTACAGCCTTCAAAAGCCTCAGCATCCTGGACTGACTGTCCCAAGAGATGGTATCAGTTACTTAGGTCCTGCAGCCAAGGTCATGAGAGGCTACGGGGACCAAAAGACGGAGATGAGTACAGATTCTGAAGGGCAGAAACATGCCCTGCAACCCTGCAGGGCAGGAGGCAGGCTTTGTGCTGGATCCGAGACTGAAGCAGGGAGGATGAGGGTCCAGCTAAGGCCGCTTCCAGCCTTGCCCTGGCTAACTTCTACTCAGTTAGTCAGCAAAGTTGGCACATCACAAAACAATACATCCTTATTCTCAGAAACCCCTAAATTGCATTCCCTCACCTGTCTCAAGATTTCAGGAGGCCGGAGAAACTGGGCTGTCTTGACAAAGCTGTTTCTTCCAGTTGCCTTAAGTGTGGCCCAGCCACAGGAAGGCAGTGAGAACCAGGGCTACTGCACTGGGTCATTCCCAAATGCCCCAGATGCACATCTAGTATTTTACTATGATCACTGCCCTGAACACTAACTTATGAAAAACAGTACATGAAATGTAAATGAAACCACTTTAAATGTGGTAGCACATTTTATCTAGCCCGGACTGAGAAACTCTGTGGAGGAGGTTCCAAATTACCCAACTAGAAAAAGTACACTCAGGGCAGTGGGTAACAATGTTTTAACCTCATTTAAAAAATCTCAGGTACCTATCAGTACTATTAACTGTGGACTGTGGTGTTATTTAAAAAAAAAAAAAAAAAAAAAAAAAGCCTGAGGTTACACCACCTACCAGATAGTAGCAAGGGGTAGGCCATTCTCCCAAAGAGCTAACAATGAAACTCCTAATACTTGTTTAGCAGTCACTACCTGTCTAATTCTCCCTGGAGAATGGGACAATTCTGACTGCCTTTCCTTTAATCATGGAGGGAGGTGACCATTCTAACAACTACTCAGGACACATCCCACACCACCTGACCCACAGAACCACACTGCCTTCTGCTGAGTCCCTTGCATGCCAGGCACTGGGTTAAGAGCTTTATAGATCTGAAACCCACGCGAGGATTCTACAATGAGAAACTGGAGGCTCAGAGAGGTAAAGTGACTTGCACAAGGCCACACAGCTGACAAGCACTATTCTTATGGCCCGACAACCAGGTCTGTTTGCCCCAAAGACAATAGTGTCAACTACTAGACAACCCTGCCCTCCATTCTAGTGTTTTCCACATATTACCTAAGGATGGTTACTCTGCAATATGCAATGACTCTCATTGTATTTCCATTTTTATATGGTTACTTATCTTTCAACCAGACTGCCAGCCACCTGATGGCACGGTGGCAGCTGCACCAGCTGCACAGCACTTGGCACACTGGCAGAGCCGATGCTGGTATTTAGAGGAGAAACATACACAAGTGGTACTCAAGAAAGCAAGAAAAGGGGGGGGGGTTTCCTGTAGAGATGACACCAGGTTCTGTACTACTCAATGTGCCAATTGGCACTGTGGCTTGTGTGAGATTGTAAATCCATGTTTGAGGAAACAGCTGATTCACATTCACCTTATTAAGGCCTAGGCACAGTTCCCGGCCTGGCTTCAGTTTGTTGAGTCACACTGTGCATAGCACAGTGCTGGGGACTACCCTTGCCTTCTACATTCTTCTCCATCCCCAGCTCCTAGCACCAAATCCTTGGTGTATCTAGGAGGCTCCATAAAGTTTAGAGGAACATTGCAGAACTGGCAACTGGTAATCCTGCTACCAGTCCACTAACTATATTTAATAAAAAACTCAGGGTCCTTTGAATGAGGTCATAGAAACAGTCAAACTAGACAGGCCCTCAGAGTTCTTCCAGGTCATTCCTAGGGAGAGGAAGGCTCCTGCCCGAGGATACATGCACAGCAAGAGGCCACTTACCCAAGTGCCTGAAAGGCTGGGATTGACCGAGCCCAGTGCATTGAGAGGAAAAGCAGACGGGATGCAGACTCACAGATGTAGTGCACGTTGAGGTACTCTGGCATTGGACTGGGCATTGTTAGCTGGAAAAGAGGAGGCACATGGCACAGGAGGTGAAGGAAGGACAGGGGATGGCTTTGTCTGTCAACATGTATCCCTGTCATGCTTCAATAGCAGTGGCATCTAGAGTTGCTGTCTGATTCTGAAGTCCCATGCAGTCGGGGGGCTTGCACGGACTCCCCATGTTTTCTTGCTCAGTGAACTAGGGTCTAATGGGCCTTGGAATGTGGTCCATAAGCCTAAGGGGATCTTCCCAGCCCACCCCCACAAAAACATACTCCTCAAGTCTTGCCTCAGCTAAACTGTTATTTGTTCTATGGCAATTCCATTTTGAGCCATAGGTTAAGGTCTAAATTAAATCTGGGGAACAGGGGCCAGGTGCGGGTGGCTCATGCCTGTAATCCCAGCACTTTGGGAGGCTGAGGCAGGCAGATCACCTGATGTCAGGAGTTCGAGACCAGCCTGGGCAACATAATGAAACCCTGTCTCTATTAAAAATACAAAAATTAGCCAGGTGTGGTGGCATGCACCTGTAGTTCCAGCTACTTCGGAGGCTGAGGCAGGAGAATTGCTTGAACCCAGGAGGTGGAGGTTGTGGTGAACCAAGATTGTACCACTGCACTCCAGTATGGGTGACAGTGAGACTCAGTCTCAAAAAAAAAAAATCTGGGTAACAGGGGCCAACTTCATGGACTAGCAGGCATTTTGGGAGATGGTCTTAAGGTAGCAGTAAGTAAGAGCTAAGCAGCTCATGTGACAGGAGCACTTTGGGAGGCTGAGGTGGGAGGATTGCTTGAGGCCAAGTGTTTGAGACCAGCTTGGGCAACATATCAAGGACACCATCTCTACAAAAAATAAAAATAAAAATTAGATGGGCATGGTGGTGCATGCCTATAGTCCTAGCTACTTGGGAGGCTGAGGCAGGAGGATCACCTGAGCCCAGGAGTTCAAGACCAGGAGTTTGAGGTTACAGTGAGCCACAATCACATCACTACGCTTCAGCCTATGTATTTGTTTAAAAAAAAAAAAAATACTGGGGGAAAAGGAGGACTCAGCAGTCTGGAGACCTAGAGACTGAGAGGGCTTCAGGTACCCTCTGAGTGTCCTGTAGAAAAAGTGAGACCAGTGAATGACAGCACGGGGAACACCCATGAGGCCTTAACAGCACTCTTCAAGGGATCTACTTTCTGTGGCTCTAGAGGGCAGAGCAGTCAGGATCAATGGCTGGCTGCCTGCTTGTTGTAGATTTTATATGAGGGTTTCTATGACACAGAGAAGAGACAAAAGTGCCTGCCTGAGCCCATGGGGCAGCCAGGCAGTCACAGAGAGGCAGAGGCAGAGCATTCAGCCCTCAGCAGTTACCACTATGTCAGCCTGTCTTAGTAATGATGGGCCACGCCTGCTTCATGGTTACCTTCAGAACCAAATGGCACTGTGAGCAAAAGACAAGTGAAGATGCTTCATAATGGGACTATCATTCTGGAATACAAGATCCAGTTTGAAGTCATAATGTTAAATACCAGATTGAAGATGAGCTCACTCCAAGGTTTAATTTTTATTTATTTATTTATTTTTGAGGTGGAGTTTCACTCGTTGCCCAGGCTGGAGTGCAGTGGCATGATCTTGGCTCACTGCAACCTCTGCCTCCCAGGTTCAAGTGATTCTCATGCCTCAGCCTCCTGAGTAGGTGAGACTACAGGCATGCGCCTCCATGCCCGACTAATTTTTGTATTTTTAGGAGAGATGGGATTTCACCATGTTGGCCAGGCTGGTCTTGAACTCCTGAGCTGAAGTGATCCACGTGCCTTGGCCTCCCGAAGTGCTAAGATTACAGGCATGAGCCACTATGCCTGGCCCCAAGGTTTGATTTTTAAAACTGCAGATCGGCTTTGGTACAGAACCTATCCCCCAGCAGGTTGGGGGCACATGGTTAGGCTGAATTCACTCACCTTAAATGTGACGTGTGTGTCTGAAAGGAGGGGGCCTTCAACCTCAATGATGGGTGTCGACTGGTCTCTGCTGATGACGTGGATGCTCCCTCCTCCACTGGTGTCTATCCCATCTGCCAAGCTTGGAGAAGAGGAGCTGTCTGTGGTATTAAGTGCTTTAGCTAAGGTATCAAATGCCCTGTGAGCAAAAATGAAGCATGTAATTGTTGTGAATCTACAGCTTTTAGGGGGAACAGAATTCTAGCTATGATTTAGAAAAACTACAGTGGGAAAAGATAATTAAATTCTACCGTAGAGATGGGGTTTCACTATGTTGGCCAGGCTGGTCTCAAACTATTGACTGCAGGTGATCTACCTGCCTTGGCCTCTCAAAGTGCTGGGATTACACACGTGAGCCACTGCATCCGGCAAACAATGAAAACTTGTATGTATTATCTACACATCATCTTAGGCACTGAGCTATGTATTATCTAACTTCATGGACAATTTCTTTCTTTTCTTTTCTTTCTCTCTTTTCCTTCCTTTTCTCTCTTTCCTTCCTTCCTTCCTTCCTTTTCTCTTTGTCTCTTTCTCTTTTTCTTTCTCTCTTTCAGAGATGGGGTCTATCTATATCTATCTATCTATCTATCTATCTATCTATCTATCTATCTATCTATCTATTATTTATTTACTTTTTCAGAGATGGGTCTCAGCTGGTCTCAAACCCCTGGGATCAAGTGATCCTCTTGTCTCAGCTTCTCTAAGTGCTGGGATTATAGCTGTGAGCCACTGCACCTAGGCCCAATTTCTATTTTTCACAAGTACCCTCCAAAGTTAAAAATTATCTTCCATTTTACAGATGTGAATGCTGAGCTTACAGTTGTTAAATAACTTTTCCAAGACCATCCATATAGTAAGTGGTAGAACCAGAATTCTACCTAATTCAAATCCCACCCACTTTCCACGGTACCTAGATCTTATTTGTTATCAGACCACAAGTGAACAAAGGACTGGAACACTTGTATAGTCTCCAGCTTTGTATCTGGCTGGTCTGGCATGTTAGGAGCAGAGCACAAGAGCCAAACTGCAGAGAAGAAACATCCTTAGTAGCAGTTATCGGCATCTGGCATTAGCTCATACTATCACTATCTATCAGCCACTATCACTCTAGTTACCCTGGTGGATTTAAGCTCTGAATTCATTACTCAGAAAAAATATACATGAGGGCTGGGTGGGGGTGGTGGCGCACGCCTGTAAACCCAGCACTTTGGGATGCTGAGGCGGGAAGATCACTTGAGCCCAAGAGTTCTAGACCAGCCTAGGCAACATGGTGAGACTCCATCTCTATTAAAAAAAAAAAAAAAGAAAAAAGAAAAATATAGATGAGAAAAATAGGTTAAAATAGAAGTAGGAAAGGGAATGAACTCTTAATATGCAGACGCATTATTAAACAGTAATTAATACAAATAACCGCTGTCCACTAGAGTTTTCCTCCTATGTCTACTGATTTACTCAATTTCCTTTTCCATGGTTGGGAATGAAAAGAAGTTTTGATTGTTTTATACTGTATAACATAGGTGGGTCTATGTTCCCACAGTTAAAATTTCAAAGAAGACAGATGAGCAGGGTCATTGTAACAATTTTATCATCCTTAGTTAAATACAGCACAGGTACCAAAATGCTGTTTTCCACCCTCACAATAGAGGGAGGGTGTCCAGGCGAGGAGGGGAGACTCCATCCTCATGGGCTCGTACCGAGTTATCTCACTTGCAGACTGGTCCTCTGGCTGGATTTCTGAAGTGTCACCGTTGTTCAAAGATTCACTTAGGTTGGCAAGGGAGGTCACTACATTTGCCAGTGTGCCCAGAGCTCCCTGGCTTGTTTCAGCCTATTAAACAAAAAATACTGACATTAAAAATGAACACAGATACGCAAATGACTCTCAGGCCAATGAAGTTATAATGCTGGTTCAAAAACAGCTTCGAGGAGAGGGAAGTGTGACTACAAAGGGGCAACACGAGGAAGATCTTTTTAGTGATTTAACAGTTCTGTATCTTGGTGTGGTGGTATTTACACAAATCTAGATATGTGACAAAATGACAGAACAAAAACAGATAAACTAGACTTCATTAAAACTGTTGTGCTTCAAAAGAAATTGTCAAGAAAGTAAAAGCCCATAAAACAAAAGGACAACTCACAGAATGAGAGAAAATATTTGCGAATCATGTCTGATAATGGTTTAGTAGCCAGAATGTCTAAGGAACGCTAACAACTCAATAATAAAAAGACAACCCAATTTAAAAATGGAAAAAGAGGCTGGATGCAGTGGCTCATGCCTGTAATCCCAGCACTTTGGGAGGCCAAGGGAGGTGGATCACCTGAGGTCAGGGGTTCAAGACCAGCCTGGCAAACATGGTGAAACCCTGTCTCTACTAAAAATGCAAAAAATTAGCCAGGCATGGTGGCAGGTGCCTGTAACCCCAGGTACTTGGGAGGCTGAAGAAGGAGAATCACTTGAACCCAGGAGGCAGAGGTTGCAGTGAGCTGAGATTGTGCCACTGCCTGGGTGACAGAGTAAGATTCCATGTCAAAAAAAAAAAGGAAAAAGAGCACTTTGGGAGGGCAAAGCAGAAGGATCCCTTGAGCCCAAGAGTTTGAGACAAGCCTGGGCAACATGGCAAGGCCCTGTCTCTACAAAAAGTAAAAAAATTAGCCAGGCGTGGTGGTGTGTGCCTGTGGTCCCAGCTACTTAGGAAGCTGAGGTGGGAGGGTCTCTTGAGCTCAGGAAGTCAAGGCTGCAGTGAGCCATGATTGTGCCACTGCAGTCCAGCCTATCAGACAGAGTGAGACCCTGTCTCAATAACAAAATGAAACAACAAAACCCCAAAGATAATAGACTTCTCTCCAAAGAAGATATATAAACAGCCCATAAGCATATGAAGAGATGCTCAACATCATGAGAAATGCAAATCAAAATCACAATGACATACCACTTCACATCCACTGGGATGGCTACAATCAAAAAGATGGATAATAACAAGTGTTGGTAAGGATGTGGAGAAATGAGAACCTTCCTACACAGTTGGTGAGAATGTAAAGTGGTACAACACAAATGTCCATCAATTGACTAATGGATAAATAAAATGTGGTATAGCCATACAAAGGTGTATTATTAGGCTGGGCGTGGTGGCTCACGCCTATAATCCCAGCACTTTGGGAGGCCGAGGCAGGCAGATCACCTAAGGTCAGGAGTTCGAGACCAGCCTGCCCAACATGGTGAAACCTCATCTCTACTAAAAACACAAAATTGGCCAGGAGCGGTGGCTCACGCCTGTAATCCCAGCACTTTGGGAGGCCGAGGCGGGCGGATCGTGAGGTCAGGAGTTTAAGACCAGCCTGACCAACATGGTGAAACCCTATCTCTACTAAAAATACAAAAATTAGCTGGGTGTGGTGGCACGCACCTGCAATCCCAGCTACTCAGGAGGCTGAGGCAGGAGAATCGCTTGAACTCGGGAGGCGGAGGCTGCAGTAAGCCGAGATCGCACGATTGCACTCCAGCCTGGGCGACAGAGCGAGACTCCATCTCAAAACAAAACACACAAAATTAGCTGGGTATGGTGGCACATGCCTGTAATCCCAGCTACTCGGGAGGCTGAGGCAGGAGAATTGCTTGAACTCAGCAGGCAGAAGTTGCAGTGAGCCGAGGTGGCACCACTGCACTCTAGCCAAGGAAACAAGAGCGAAACTCTTGTCTTTAAAAAAAAACAGAGGTGCATTATTTGGCAATAAAAAGGAATGAAGTACTGATACATGCTATATCATGATGACCCTTAGAAACATCATGCTAAGTGAAAGAAGCCAGCCACAAAAGACCATATATTGTATGATTTCCTTTATATGAAATGTACAGAGTTGACAAAACCATAGAGTCAGAAAGCAGATTAGTGGTTGGTAGGGTTTGAGAAGAGGGGGAAAGGAGGAGTGACTACATAATAGGGTTTGGGGTTTATTCTGAGGTGACGAAAATATTCTAAAACTAGATAGTGGGGATGGTTTGTACAACCTTGTAAATATACCAAAAACCACTACATTATACACTAAAAGGGTGAGTTTTATGGCATGTGAATTATATTTCAATTAAAAAAGAAAGCCAGGGGTAGTGGCTCACGCCTGTAATCTCAGCACTCTGCAGGGACTAAGGTGGGTGAATTGCTTGAGTCCAGGAGTTCAAGACCAGACTGGGCAACATGGTGAAACACCGTCTCTACAAAAAAAATACGAAAAATTAGCCAGGCGTGGTGCTGTGCACCTACAGTCCCAGCTACTCGGAAGGCTGAGGTAAGAAGATTGCTTGAGCCTGGGAGGTGCAGGTTGCAATGAGCCAAGATCATACCACTGTACTCCAGCCTGGGCAACAGAGCAAGACCCTGTCTCAAAAAAAAAAAGAAAAAGAAAAAGAAAAGAAAGCCAGAGATATACTCAAACCAAGATATGTACACACAAGGTTATGTCTTGATTACAAAATGAAAAACTAGAATCAGTAGAAAAGGTCATAAACAGAAATGATTAAATCACAACAGACACATAGAATACTGTGCAGCTACTGTAAGATCCTCATTAACAGAAAGGTATGTTGAAGGAAATGAAGTTGAAGAAGAGTGAAATATAAAAAAGACAGAACAATACATATGGTTTGTACCAAAGCCAATGTCCTCGTTGTGATACTGTACCGTAGGTATGTATGACATAACCACTGGGAGGACCTGGGCGAAGGCTATGTGGGAGCTCTGTAATAGCACTGTACTTCCTTCATAGTAAATTATTTTAAATGTATAATTACTTCAAAGTAAAATTGGAAAACAGTTTCTGAAAGTAGCTTCCTGTGGGTGCTTTGCATATGTTTTATTATTCGTATCAAACTTCTGTGGGGGGTATTGTTGTTTCCATTGTACACAGGAAGGAATGGGGTAGGACACAGTCTGCCTCTGAAGCTCTTTCTCTTGATTCCTGAAATACCATACAGCTTTGTGGTCATTCTCCTCCAAAGTGACAATAACTAATTCCTAACCATTAACATTTATTGAATGCTCACTGTGTACCAAGAAATTTACAAGTGCAGGAAAGAAGCATGTGGCTACGAAGAGCACTGTCAGACTCTGAACCCAGTTCTAGCCAGTTCTGGAGTCTTGGTTCTCATTCCCAGTCTGTGTGTGGATGGCCCAATAGAATGGTTGCTGTGAATCCCTTGGTAATCTGTTTTTAAGGTTATCTGGGCCTTACTTTCAGGCTTACGCTTTCTCTGCATTTGACCATGCAGTCAGAGCCACTGTTCTAGAATGTGTGCTGCTGATAAGCTAAGCCCACGATGCGTGATCCATCAGCTCCCATCATGCATGTGGCCCCTGCCCAAAGACAGAAGGTGCAAGGCCCAGCCTGAGGACCAAGGCATGCAGGGCAGCTCTCCATGACAGGCAAGGGCTCTAAATTTTGTCTTCTCTTTCCCAAAAGAGGATGCCCTGTAATGCCCTGAGTACACCCATGAATGAGACTGTGAACAGATGAGGAGGAAGCCTGCAGGCCTTGCTCTGGTTCTAATGGTTGCAGCAATGCCAGTGTTCTCAATTACCAAGTCACCCTCTTAGAGTTGTGGCTTGCTGCTACTACTTCCTCATTACTTGGTTTACATCAGGAGCACCAGGATGAGACAAACAGTGAGTTCCCTGGCCTGGAAAAAATCCCCCTCCTTGGTTATCTTCACAGGAGCCAGCAAGTCTCCCCCTTTTGGACTGACGAACATCTCTGTCCACAAGTTAAATCCCTATGACTGATCTGCTCTAGCAAAGTTTTGGAACTGATAGATTCCTGGCTGAGCTTCCTCCTGAAGATCATCTAATAAAAAGGAACCCGGGGCTTTTGCAAAAAGGCCATCTGATAAGTATTTCTTTCCTTGGCTAGTAGTTTGCCAATGTGTATAAGAGAAAAAGAAAACTATAACAGAAAAGAGAACCACTGAATGTCCACCAAATTGACATCTAGACTGACATGTTACAGTGATTATGACCAGCCAGCTCTGATCTGAGAAGCCATCAGCATCTCTAAAACAAATCACAAGATAGCTATCACAACAATAAGGAGACCGAGACATAGGTCATGCTTTTGATGTGGTCTCTGAAGGCCAGGAAGAAAGTGGTGCACACAGTTAGAGAAGCAGCCTGCAATGTCAACATAAAGGATGAGAGAGAGCATGAGTAGAGAACGTCACCTTAGAATCCGTGGCCAGGAGAACTGTACCATCCTCACGTATCAAAGGCTGCTGGATGTTCACAAGCATCCCTGGATCAAGAAGACCTGTTTGTCTATTTAAGACATAAAGAAACTCAGAGTAGCTTCCAACATTTTATGCACAGTATGATCATGCTGCATTTACCTGTCCTTCCACATTTGTGAAGCTGTCTGAATAGTAGAAAAGCTCTAAGTAGACTCAGCCGCTTAGTGACTAAGCAGAACCCCCACCCCTGTCTCTCTGCAATGAGATATACATAAAGTCAGGTTTACAGCTTGAGACAGGATGAAATGCAGATGCATCCCCCAGGGCTTTCCAGGATGACTGCAGACTGTGGCCATTCTGCCTAGAAAAGTTAACTTGATTTTCAGAAAATCAGCAAGGCATCCTCAACTCCAGCTCTCTCTCTGATACATTTTGGATTGCTTGTTTTCCCCTCTTTCCGTTCCTTTTAAAGTAAGTTCAATAGATTATATTAAAAAGAATATACAAATTAACTGTAGCACTGAGACCTTATCTCACCTTGGGCCTTTTGTGTGTACTGCAGAAATGCCCCAATCTTGAATCATAAAATAATTGTCTTCCGTATGAATGATGCCTAAATTGCAGGACATAATCTGAATTCAAGGCTAGGAGAATTTCTGACCCCTTCATAAATCAGGCATCCTCAGGCCTGTCCAGAGGTGTGACTGAGCAGCTCCAGAAGGGGCAGAATTAGGCAACACAACGCTGGAGGCTATGGCAGATGGGTGGGAAGCCACAACAGTGCCTGCTGTGGGACACGTCTGTGCCTCCTCCATCAGCTGCAAAGGCTGATTGCAGTGAGAACAAGGGACTGACCTTGCTCCATCTTTGTCTGCCACAAACGTGGGAGTAGCTATCAGGGGACTTCTCAGGTCTTTCCGGATATAGATTTTCTCAGTTGAAGCAGCACAATTGCTTGGTTTCTCCCGTTGCACATCGAAGGGCTTCCGTTCACTCTGCACAGCTTAAATCACAACATAAATATTTGTGTTTAGAGAAACAATTCCAATCAATAAAAACCACAAGGGAAAACCCCAAATCCATTACTGCAGGGAGGATGACTCTGGTGCTAGGTTCATCTAGCTCAGCTTTCACAGTGGACTTTTCGGCCAGAGAGAAGGAATAAAGCCAAACCATGCCATGTCAAATCTAGAGGCATAAAAAAGACCTCACGATGGGTGGTATTCCCTGCTAAAAAAAACTGCAGCACAGCACCTATGTGGCCTATGGAAGCACCCATGAGCCTTCTGGGCCATTTTATTAATTTTATGCTATTATTTTATGTTATTATTTTATTATTTTTTGTAGAGATGAAGCCTCATTATGTTGCCCAGTCTGGACTCATCCTGGGCTCAAGCAAACCACTCGCCCCAGCCTGCCAAAGTGCTGGAATTACAGGCATAAGCCACCGTGCCCAGCTGGTTTTTACTTCATGCTGCTAACAAAATAGACTCTTTCAAGGATAAAAAAATGCCCATCTTTGGGCCGGGGGTGGTGGCTCACGTCTGTAATCCCAGCACTTTGGGAAGCCGAGATGGGTGGATCACTTGCCCAACATGGCAAAACCCGGCCTCTATTAAAAACACAAAAATTAGCCAGGTGTGGTGGCAGGCACCTGTAATCCCAGCTACTTGGGAGGCTGAGGCAGGGAGAATTGCTTGAACCTGGGAGGCGGAGGCTGCAGTGAGCCAAGACGCGGCACCACTGCACTCCAACCTGGGCAACAGAGCAAGACTCTGCCTCAAAAAAAAAAAAAAAAAAAAAAGAAAGAAAAAGAAAAAAGAAATGCCCACCTTCAAGTGGGCCCTTAATAGAATGCATTTCCTATGCCACAATTTGTAGAGGAACCCTTCTAATTTCCAACTCAAGTCTGAATAGCTTCTGCAAACTGTTTAATGGGTGTCAATTTTATATTATGCTAGCAAACTCTCCTTTTAGCAGTCTAATGTAAGAGCAGATATGCATGTTAGAAGCAACTGAAGAAAATGAAAGCTTTTTAAAGACAAAACTGATGAAGGTCAGGGACTAATATTCAGATATGCTACTAATCAAACTGCTATCCAGTTGAATATTGTGTTTGCAGCTACAGCTGTGTTCACAAGAAAACTGATTTCAGTCATTGCTCTGAGTAAAAATATTCATCATTGAGAAAAAGGACAGCTTGGCAATGTGGGCCAGTCCCACACCAAGTCAGTGATTTATTTATTCACTTTGGGCAAAGAGCAGTATCATTAGATAAAATAAAAACATCACACCAGGCAGAAATTAGGTTGATATTTCTAATTTCTCAAAAAATACATTTCCATTTATTCTCCAGTGAATTTTGTGGATTCCTGTTCCCAGAAACGTCAACAGCAATACTGAAATATATTGGTTTTCAGAGTTCCTAGAAAACTATGCAAAAGATGACAGAACCATGCAGCATACTCAGCGGAAGCCTGCAGTCCTGGGTCCTCGGCCACCAGCCTTGCCATGCAAGTTGCATGCAAGTTGCATGCCTTGCTCTGCTAAGCTCCATTTTCCTACTGTGGCTTAAGCCTAACTCCACTCTCCTTGGATTTCTTTGTGCTGCCCATCTTGAGTCCTGGTCTTCATGTTTTCACCACTAGCTAGGGAAGTGACCTCCATGCTGACTGGTCCCTGAAAACCCCCAAAATTCTGTCTATGGGAGTGGAAAGGAGGGGCCTGAGACCTTCCCTGGCTGCCCCACACATCCAGGAGCAATAGCTTTCTCTTTAGAATCCCAGCTACACAGAGGCTTGGCAAAGGACCTTATCCCAAAAGAAAGTAGAGGGGCTAAGAAGACAGGGAGTAGGCTCATGTAATCCTCAGGAGCAATATATAAGTAAGGTGATTAAGTAGATCACAGATGAGGACCCTGTGGCTGAGAGGCTACGTGTATCCTCAGGCATCATAGCTCTCTCTTAGTGGCACACCTGGAGGTAGATTTGGTATCAGCTTTCCTCCAAAGCCTGTGTTCAACCCACTCCACTAAGCTGCCTCCTGATGCATCTGTAATAAGGCTTTCCACACACACAGCAGGAAGAGACCAACCCCTGCAGCGTTGGCTCTCAATCACCTGGCTGACCCATGAGGTAAACCAAAATGAAGCCTGAGTGCATATTTTTTTCTTAAAGTATTTTAAGGCCAGGTATAGAAACCTTATTTAATGGACTCATTTACTGTCTCCCTCCACATTAACTCATGTGGTTTTTAAATATTGTTACTCACATTCCATTTTCATGCCCATCTCTAAGCATTTTTTCAGCCGGCAAAACTGACAGCGGTTCCGGTGATGTTTATTGATGATGCAGTCTTGGTTGCTCCGGCAGCTGTAGGTCAAATTTTTCCTCACACTCCTTTTGAAGAAACCTTTGCAACCTTCACAACTGACAGCCCCATAGTGACGGCCTGAAACAGGAGAAAGAATACACAAATATTTTGTGACTATATTTGTGGATTCACCAAAGAGGTGATCTGTCAGTTCCTGTGCAAGTCTCATTGAAGTGATGGGTGCCATACACTGTTAGATGCCAACAGCCACGTGGCCTGAGCATTAAGCATACTGGCCACACCCTTCACGTAATTTCTCTACCATCTTTCAAGTAGCCTTATGAATTCATGATGGAAATACTGAAACTCAGACAGGTTATATGACAGCTGGCAGATGGCATGACCTTAGTGCTCTTAGTATACAAATGGTCTAACATACAGTAGGAGCTCACAGGTGACGGCTGAACTCTACTGTCCACTTGAACACACCTGGGTCCTATTCCTGGAGATCTGGGCTTGTGATGCGGCTCAGGGCCCCTGTCCTGCCACGAGTGGCACATAGCAAACACGTGCATGTGTGGCTTTGGCACAGAGGGTCTCACTCCTGCATTTAGCCCCTCTCTGATTCACGTCCTGGGCCCGAAACCTCCCCTGGGGAAGCGGGATAGTCACAGGGAGAAGCATGGGGACTGTCACTGCCGAAGCCCACAGCAAAAGAGGATTACCATATGGTTCCACCTGGGCTAGCCACTCAAAGCCTTCTAGAAACACAGTTCTAGGAATGCATTTATTAAACACAGTCCATTTTTCTAATCTTGTTTTACTTTGGTGTCTCTTTTTATTTCTGATACATTGTAATTGTCCATGTCCATATTTATGAGGCATAATTTGATATTTCAATATATCCACGTTGTATAATGATCAAATCAGATAGAGTGACCATCACCTTATGCATTTATCATTTCTTTGTTAATAAGGACATTCAAAACCCTTTCTTCTAGGTATTTTATAATATATAATACCTTATTGTTAGCTATGGCTACAGTGCAATAGAACACCAGAACTTGTTCCTACTACTTAACTGTAACTTTGTACCAGTTGGTCAGTCTTTCCCAACTATCTCTCACTTTTCCCCTCCTGAGTCTTGGTGCCATTATTCTACTCTCTGTTTCTATGATATCAATTTTTTTTTTTAAGGATTCCACATGAGTGAGATCGTATTTGTCTTTCTGTGTCTGGCTTATTTCATGTAACATGATGTCCTCCATGTTCATCTATGTTGTCACAAAGTGCAGGATTTCATTCAGTTTTATGTATTCCACTGTGTTACATACCACATTTTCTTTATCCATTCATCCGCTGTTGGATACTTAAGCTGATTCCACATCTTGGCCATTGTAAATAGTCATGCAGTAAGCGTGGGAGTGCAGATATTTCTTCAACATAATGATTTTATTTCCTTTGGATATGGATCCAGTACTGAGATTGCTGGATCATGTGGTAGTTCTATTTTTAATTTTTTGAAGAACCTCCATACAGTTTTCTATAGTGGCTGTACTAGTTTACAATCCCACCAACAATGTGTAAGTGTTCCCTTTTCTCCACATCCTCCCTAGCACTTCTTTTCGTCTTTTTAATTGTAGACATTTTTTCTTTTCTTTTTTTTTGAGACAAGAGTCTTAGTCACTCAGACTGGAGTGCAGTGGCCATGATTTCGGCTCACTGCAACCTCCACCTCCTGGGTTCAAGTGATTCTTGTGCCTCAGCCTCCCGAGTAGCTGGAATTATAGGTGTGCACCACCACACTAGGCTAATTTTTTTATTTTTATAAGATTTTATAAAAATAAAATCTTTTTTTTTTTTTTTTTTTTTTTAAGACAAGAGTCTTGCTTTTGTCACCCAGGCTGGAGTGCAGTGGTGCGATCTTGGCTTACTGCAACCTCTGCCTCCCAGGTTCAAGCAATTCTCCTGCCTGAGCCTCCCAAGTAGCTGGGATTACAGGAACCCGCTACCACACCCAGCTAATTTTTGTATTTTTAGTAGAGACGGTTTTACCATGTTGGCCAGGCTAGTCTCGAACTCCTGACCTCAGGTGATCCACCTGCCTTGGTCTCCCAAAGTGCTGGGATTACAGATGTGAGACACCGCACCCTGCCAAAAAATATATATCTCATAAAAATACAAAAATCAGTAGAGATGAGGTTTTGCCACGTTGGTCAGGCTGGTCTTGAACTCCCGGCCTCATGTGATCTGCCCACCTCGGCCTGCCAAAGTGCTGGGATTATAGGCATGAGCCACTGCACCCAGCCTGATTATAGACATCCTAACTGGAGGTGATACCTCATGTGGTGATTTGCATTTCCCTGAAGATTAGTGATGTTGAGCATTTTTTCATATAACTCGGCCATTTGAATGTCTTCTTTTGCGAAATGTCTATTAAGGTATTTTGCCCATTTTAAAATTGGGTTACTTGTTTTTTTTGCTGTCGAGTTGTTTAAGTTCGCTATATGTTCTGGGTAGTAACCCTTTGTCAGGTGTACAGTTTGCATGGTATCTCCAACTTTTAATTATCAATGACATTAAAAAGTGCCCCTGGCTGGGCAAGGTGGCTCATGCCTGTAATCCCAGCACTTTGGGAGGCCAAGGCAGGCAGATCACAAGGTTAGGAGTTCGAGACCAGCCTGGCCAATATGGTGAAACCCAGTCTCTACTAAAAATACAAAAATTAGCCAGGCGTGGTGGCAGACACCTATAGTCCCAGCTACTTGGGAGGCTGAGGCAAGAGAATTGCTTGAATCTGGGAGGCAAAGGTTGCAGTGAGCCAAGATCACACCACTGCACTCCAACCTGAGGGACAGAGTGAGACTCCATCTCAAAAAAAAAGCGGCCCCTCCTTCAGTTTAGCTTTCTTATTCACAAAGTACTTTCACATACATTATGCCCACTTGTTTCCAGCTGAGACTGACCATGGACATGCTCTTCTGATTCTGTCTTGTTTGTATAATCCAATTTCATAGCTACATTGCCAAGGAGGATACATTTCACAGGATTACCATTTATGGTGGCTACAGAGAATCCCACTGTTCTAAGCTCTAGTATGCAAAACCATTTCCCAAGTGTGCATCTGGAATAACTCAGTCTTTTTCTTTTAAGAATAGTTGTGGTAAAGTGCCTTCTATAATATTGTTTTTCCTTTCTTTGCAGTATATTTCCTTGAGTTCTCTATCCCTTTGAGTGACACTAATATCAGGAGACAATGGCACCAAGAGCCTGTGACTAGGCCTTTCCTTTAAGCTCAGAAGAAGACTGACAAATGGGGAAGCCAAGCAGATTCTATGGCCCTTTTGTTACGTTCATGCTTCACTCATTTGTTCAGAAGTTTGTAGAGAGCCTTTCCTTGCTGAGCAAGAAGACAGGAATACAGAGATAGATGGTAAGACATGGTTTTTGCTCTGACATTCTGATGGGGAAGACAGGCCTGTAAAGAGTGAATTATATGAGTATGCAACAAGTGATTAATCTGTAGGAAAGGGCAATCAGAATCACAAGCAGCACTGTCTATCTGCCTACTGGGGTAGGTGAGGGCTTCAGAGAAGGGATAGGATGGGTTGGGTTTACCAGGACAAAGGGCGGGAGCAGAGGCAGGCACCATTGGCAGATAAATGGTGTCACCAGCATGGAAGGGAAACTGGAGCTTCTGATCTTCTGTAGATGCTTGCTTGGGGCTGTCTTCCTAAGAGGCTTGGTCCAACCTCCTTTTTAAAAAACAAAACAAACAAAAACCAGGACTACAGTGCCCAAAGTTCCTGTGAATTTTGTGACCACAGAAGAAAGTGGAACCAAGCAGCCATCACAGAACACAGGCCTGTGCCCCTGGCATTCCTGGTACTGTGTTCTTGTAAAATACTTCTCCATTCCTTCCTGTCTGCCTCACTAACCTTCTATGGATCCCCAGTACAAGCAGGCCAGCACTTGAATTTTTGGGCCAGACATCTTCTTCAGTCTCACTTTACCCAATCGTAATCACAGAAGCCTATGAGCTCTCTCTCAAGGATACCATGGGTATTGATCTTAAACTCTAGGCCCTGGCTCCACTTGCTGGAATGCCCTCCTCCTGCTCCAACCAACATGTACACAATTACCAAGGCTCCCAGGTGCGACTGCCTCTGTGGGGCCTTTCCTGACCCTGGGACACTAGCTGGAATCACATGCCTCCTCCTGCTTCATTACAGCAGTTATTTACAGTGGGTTATAGTGAGGGGATGTTAAGAGATAGTTACAGTTAGGATGAAGGGGGATTATACAAATTATACACCTTGTAAAATAGCCAAGTGCTGTACAAATGTTAACAAGATTAGACAATGAGTACTTTCTTAGCAGCACATAAATACTACACACTCAACCAAGATTTACAAATCACAGAAATAATTTCTTGACTTTTCCTTTTGATGTCTAATTTCTGACAAACTACCTTACTTATTTACATCATTACCCCAATAAGAAAAGTAGAATTCACATGTGAAACCTACAAACGTACATAAAATGGTCCTTCTAAATTAACTACCACCCCACCTCACAACAGTTACTTCATGCTGTTGGCCCATTATAAGTGCCAGCATAACCTGGAACTACATACCGGAGGCTTTGTCGCCACAGACCACACAGTACTCTACCACCTGGGGCCGCTGGACGTCCGTCTTCCCCAGTAAACGCTCCACAGAGGCAGAATCCGTGACAATCTGAGAGAAATCAGGAAACGAACAGGGGTGCCAATTAAAAATCAAATCACTGCCGGGCACGGTGGCTCACGTCTATAATCCCAGCACTTTGGGAGGCTGAGGTGGGTGGATCACTTGAGGTCGGGAGTTCGAGACCAGCCTGACTAACATGGTGAAACCCTGTCTCTACTAAAAATACAAAATTAGTCAAATGTGGTGGTGGGTGCCTGTAATCCCCAGCTACTCTGGAGGCTGAGGCAGGAGAATTGCTTCAACCCGGGAGGCAGAGGTTGTAGTGAGCCGAGATCGCACCACTGCACTCCAGGCTGGGTGACAGAGTGAGACCCCATCTCAAAAACAAACAAGCAAAAACCCAGATCACTAAGCAAAGTAATGTTTAATTACAAATTCTCAATGTTGGGTTTTTAAGCAGAACTCTGGACAGAACTGGCAAAATTCCAGAAGACAACTTAATCTGACACCCAGAATGGCTCTGCCACTCATCCGGACTGCTCATCAGCTGGCTGGTTTCCCAGGGTCAGGCGCTGGTTTCCACTGATCTACTCTATCTGGCTACTACAACCACCCAAAATTGTGGCCCATGTGGGGAATCACACACAGAGGCTTCAAAATGAAGATATTTAAGATTCTTCCCGTAACAACTTGAATGTACGCAAAGAGGTGTATTGGCAGAGAAATAACCAAACTTTATTAATTAAATAACTAGGACTCCGACTGAGGCAGCTGGTGGTGAGCTGATGACGAGAACAAATGACCTTTGAAACCTGCTATCTTCCCCTCATTTGTGGTGATTTTCTAGGCGACAGCAATTCATCTGGGAGAATACTATAACTGATATCAATATAAGAAAGTGAAAAATAGCTGTTATTTTAAAATGTACTTGAACTTGAGCCAACAATAAGCCTTAAAATGATTTATACATGGTGGGAACACATACAGAAATCATTAAGTAGAATCACCTCTTGTGAAACATGCAACAAAATCAACAGCCATTCTTTCACAGACAAGGAGTACTCTAAAGGAGGAGGAAGGAATTCTGATTTCAGATGATCACAATGTACTCCGGGAAAGGAAGGATGAGACAGCATTTAGTAAGTGTAGCGTAAGGTGTCTAAAAGAACAGTTCTGAAAGCTGAACATGTTGGCGTTCTGATCCCAGCTCAATCAGAAGACAAAAAAAGTCTTCCCTTCTTTAAGTTTCTTCATAGTAGAACCTCCCCACCCAAAACAGAGATTCTAAGCAGCATTAATTCAACAGCCAAAAGGTGGAAGCAACCTACATGTCCACCAACAGATGAAGAGATAAAATGTGGTCTATATACAGAGTGGAATACTACTCAGCCTTTAAAAGGAATGGAATTCTGACACATGCTACAACATGGATGGGTGAAATAAGCCAGTCACACAAAGGCTGATTTCACTTATATGAGGTACCTAGAGTAGTCAAATTCATGGAGACAGAAAGTAGAATGGTGGTCACCAGGGGCTGGGGGAGGGGGAGAGGAGAGTTACTATTCAATGAGTACAGAGTTTCAGCTTAGGAAGAGGAAAAGAGTTACACAGAGCTAGATAGTGGTACAACAATGTAAATCTACTTAATGCCACTAAACTGTATACCTAAAGCTGGTTAAGATGTTAAGTTTTATATTATGTGTATTTTATCAAAAATTAAAAAAAAAAATGAAACACAACCCTGACGAAGCATGCTCCATGCTCAGCCATCATGGGATACTGACCTTGAGTTTCTGTTCTCTAATTGTTGGGTTTGGAGATTCTATACTTCCCAGACTCATGCTAGCAACAACCCTGCTTTCCTTCAATGTCTGCTCTTTTCCTTGCTGTGGACTGTCCTCAACCCCATCCTGCCTTAACAGAGCAGGAAGAACCAGGGCAGAGATAGAGACAAGAATTGAGGGGCCCAGGGCGAGTAGTACACAGTGGCAAGTAAAGACAGAATGAAAAGCTGGGGCCACAGACCTGATGATCTGGACAAGTCGGTTCTCGCCTGGCTGTAGTCAGCCCTAGGTGGTACCTTTAAAATATCAAGGGCTGCCACTTGATGGCCTTAGGTAAGAACAATTCTCCAGTAGCCTCAGTGCCGGCTTGCTCATGTCAGTCTCCTGTGGCCACTGACTTCCAGGTTCTACTTCCATCCTCTCTGAGTGTTATAGTTGACTGTCTTCTGGGCCTTGCCACTGGATTGCTGGTTTATTACTTTGGCCAAAGCAGCAACCTGCCATGTTTGCAGGTCCCCAAGGAACCTTCCAGGGATGGATTTGGCCTCGAAGGCAGATGTAAGAACAAGTCAGGAACAAGTTCAATAGCAGAAGTGCTGAAACAAATACCTGTCCAAAGGCCTTACCTGGATCCTGCCAGGGACGAGGTTGTCTGAGGTGGTGAATATGAGTTGCTTGGCGCTGGATGTCTCTGGGGAAGCCAGGATCACCTTCCCAGTTCCAGCTCCATCTGGGCTGGTCAGGATGAACTGCTGTTTGGGGGATCCGGAGGCGTCCACTGCGGTGACTATCTGGATTTTCTGTCCTGTCTGCTGGTCTGTGACAATCTATAAGACACAACATGGAGGCTGCTCTCATGGAGTGTCACAAGACCCATGCATTTGCAGGTGGTGCTCAAAGTGGTGACTGCCAAAAACCAGTCCTTGAATTAATGCTGTCTAACATGCATTTTCACCAGTCCACGGTGAACTGAGAAAAATAAAACACAATAGTGAGCTTTTCAGAAACAAATTTTCATAAAGCTAATTTTAGTCTAGGACTATATCTTTCCTACTGTTTTTAGAATTAAAATGCCCTTTCTTTTATGAAATGAAGGCAATAATAAATAGTAGGTTTAACTTTTTGAAAAGTCCTTGTCCTCACCTAATAACAAATGTAGGCAATCCTAACTCTTTTGAAATGCTACTGATCCACAAAAGCCAAAAACTTGGGAATGACTGTTTCAAAGACAGCCTCTTTCTAAAAGGTCCTGTAAATAATATTGCCTTAGGTTGAGAGAATACAGGGAGACCCCTGCTGACACACACTCAACTTACCACTAATTGACCACCCACCTCCTTCACTCCCACTTCCTGACTCTGAGGTCTTTAAGGATAGAGACTACATCTGATTCACTGCTATATCCCCAGGGCCAGCACAAGGCCTGCCACATAGAGAGACGACAATAAAAGATCCTAGGATGCACCGAAGGAAGTGGGCACTGACTCTGGAGAAGTCTTGACCCTTATTCCTCTGGGAGTTCTCACTCTTCAGGAGTCTCGCTGTCAAGACTCCACTTCTTCACACAGTCCTTGTCTAATTGCATCAGTCACAACAAAAACAGCTGCTATGACAAGAATGAACTCTCTTATTCTTGCTCATGAAGTTCTCTGAAGTTGTTCTAATCCCCGTCCTGCCTCTCTTCTAGACCAGATGTTCCTGGCTAGCAGCACTGCCACCTCTCCCTCCAGGCACCAGCAGACCCTTACTGCAAAGAAGACTCTTGAGCTGCTGCTGCTGTGTTGGGTGAGGGGAAACATGCTATGTCTCTGGCTGGAACTCAGTTTCCTACAGCACAGTACACTTATGGGCAGGTCTAGCATCTGTACCACACTTTTGAAATGGAACTCCAGCCGGACGCAGTGGCTCATGTCTGTAATCCCAACACTCTGGGAGGCCGAGGTGGGAGGATCACCTGATGTCAGGAGTTCAAGACCAGCCTGGTCAACATGGCGAAACCCTGTCTCTACTAAAAATACAAAAATTAGCTGGGCGTGGTGATGGGCGCCTGTAGTCCCAGCTACTTGGAATGCCAAGACACGAGAATCGCTTGAACTCAGAGGCAGAGTTTGCAGTGAGCTGAGATTGCGCCACTGCACTCCAGCCTGAGCGACAAAAGGGAAACTCCGTCTCCAAAAAAAAAAAAGAAATGGAACTTCAAGGTTGAGACAACAAACTCACACAGTCTAACACAACAGCTTGGCTAACTGCAATACGGAAAATAAGACAATGTTGGCTGGCTCAAAATAAAATGACATAGGCAAGAAAAGATTCAATCACTTAAATGTTTACTGAGCACCCACTACGAGTCAAACACTGTTCTAGGTACTAGGAATAGGGACGTGAACAAAAAAAGGTCCCACCATCATAGAACTAAACTTCTATTGGGGGAAGCAGACCATGAACTCTGAATAAATAATATCAGTCAGTGTAAATGCCCTGGAGAAAACAAAAAGCAGAATAAACAGAGAAAGCATGACATTGGGAAGGAGACAGGGATGCAACTTTAGGAGGAAAGACATCTCTGAGTATGTGACACTGAACAAAGACTTGAATCAAACACAACAGTAAACTGCAAAAATGCGGCAAAGTGTGCTACACGGCACAGCCAAGTGCAAGACCAGAGAGGCAGCAGAATAGGATGACAGATCCAAGAATGAATACTCAGCTGATTATGGGACAAACCCCAGTATATCATCATTTCCAACTAAAGGGGCAAAAGATGTTTAAGGCTCAAGGAGAATGGATTTGGAGGGAATGAAAGGAAGAAACTTTCATCATTACAATCTGTGGCATGCCCGGAGTCCCCCAGAAACATAAAACATGAGACAGAAAACCTTGTGAAAAGAATTATCTTTAAAAAAAACTTTCCTACCCACAGCTCAACTGAAAGATTGCAGACACAGGCTGGTTGACACATACTTCTCTCAGCTGCCACAGAAGGGATTCTTGCCTTAGATAAAGAAGATGGCCTTTGGAAGCCCTCATAACCTGAGCTCTGTGAGTCATATGTCTATCAATTCTTTTTCTTTTTTTTGAGACAAGAGTCTCGCTTTGTCACCCAGGCTGGCGTGCAGTGGCATGAGCATGGCTCACCGCAGTCTCAACCTCCTGGGCCCAAGCAATCCTTCTGCTTTGGCCTTCTGTGTAGCTGAGACCACAGGCGCGTGCCACCACACCCAGCTAATTTTTTAGAAAATTTTTTTGTGGAGATGGAGTATCATTTTGTTGCCCAGGTGACCTCAAATTCCTGGGCTCAAGTGATCCTGCCGCCTTGGCCTCCCAAAGTGCTAGGATTCAGGCATGAGCCACCAAGCCCAGCTCATGTCTATCAATTTTTGTTTCCTTCCTAAACTGTTTTCCCTGTTAAGAAATGACAGTTATGTGATTGAGAGGGGTCTTCAATTACCAACTAAAACCAAGGCAACACTAGTAATTCCTTTGCCCTTTTGTGTTCAGGGATGACACATGCTGTACCAGAGCACACACAGATAACCAGCATGTCATTTCTTGTATGCTCTTCTCCAGTCATTGTGGTTGAGGTATGGCAAGTATGAGGTCAGGGTATGTTGGGAAGTAGAAGTTACTGGTTCCAGACAAGGACAGCAGCTCTTAGTGGCAGTATATAACATACCTCAAGGCTCAGAATTTTTTTTTTTTTTTTTGAGACAGGGTCTTGTTCTGTTACCCACATTGGAGTGCAGTAGCACGATCCTGGCTCACTGCAGCCTCGACCTCCTAGGCTCAAGCAATCCTCCCATCTCAGCCTCCAGAGTAGCTGGGACTACAGGTAAGCACCACCATGCCTGGCAATTTTTTTTTTTCTCTAGAGATGGGGTCTTACTATTTTGCCCAAGCTGGTCTTGAACATCTAGGCTCAAGTGATCCTCGTGCCTTCGCCTCCCAAGGAGTTTACAGGTGAGAACCAATGCACCTGGCTAGATTATTCTTTTCTTTTTTTCTCAAAGACTCACGCTTATAAAAATTCAATGAATTACTTATAATTTTGGGTTTTTTTTTTTTATCTTCACCCTCCTAAGACATCCGTATCCTCCATTTAGAGAGATCACGCCCATGAAAAAACTAAAAATGCAGGCAGAAAAAAAAATCTCCCAAATACCCTATTGGAACACAAGGGTGACCATTAGGCAAGACCTTGTTAACAAACACAGATAGATTCCTATTTAATGACCTAGAGGACACATCAAATTGCAAGGATATATCCAAGCTCATTAAAATTTAAGTCGGCTGTGGAGGAGAGGTATTGTGCATAGAACTGTACCCCCTGAAAAGATACATTCCAGCCATAATTCCCAGTATCTATTAATGTACCTTACTTGGAAGTAGGGCCTTTGCAAATGTAATTAGGATAAGAT